>NC_000022.11:41209564-42459564 GCF_000001405.40 Homo sapiens
GTGTTTGTAAAAGGGGTATTTGAAAGGTTCCCGAAAGTGTGAGGGGGCTGATAGCAGATCTGCAGCTTCTCCCCCCGTGCACTAAAGCCAATCATAATTCTTTCTACCTGGTTTGTGTCATCCTCCATTAGGAGACCCCATCTTCAGAACCAATGGAGGAAGAGGAAGATGACGACTTGGAGCTGTTTGGTGGCTATGATAGTTTCCGGAGTTATAACAGCAGTGTGGGCAGTGAGAGCAGCTCCTATCTGGAGGAGTCAAGTGAAGCAGAAAATGAGGATCGGGAAGCAGGGGAACTGCCGACCTCCCCGCTGCATTTGCTCAGCCCTGGGACTCCTCGCTCCTTGGATGGCAGTGGTTCTGAGCCAGGTGCCTTCAGAGTGTCCCCTGAGGATGGAGAGGAGATAGAAGATTATAGAGGAAGAGGGGGGTGGATATAGGCTATATGGGCAGAGCCATCCAGATGTAAAAGGCTATTAACTCTGATTTCTAAGGGATCAGATGTGTAAGGACCTGTAAGGGAGACAGAAGCACCCCAAGTAGCCACTGTGTTAACTTCCTTTGCTGAAGTCTAATTTCTTTTTTTTTTTTTTTTTTTTTTTGAGACTTGAGTGTCGCCCTGTTGCTCAGGATGGAGTACAGTGGCATGATCTCGGCTCACTGCAACTTCCACCTCCTGAGTTCAAGTGATTCTCATGCCTCAGCCTTCCAAGTAGCTGGGACTACAGGCACCCACCACCACATCCAGCTAACTTTTGTATTTTTTTGTTTGTTTGTTTGTTTGAGACGGAGTCTCGCTCTGTTGCCTAGGCTGGAGTGCAGTGGCGCGATCTCGGCTCACTGCAAGCTCTGCCTCCCGGGTTCACACCATTCTCCTGCCTCAGCCTCCTGAGTAGCTGGGACTACAGGCGCCCGCCATGACGCCCGGCTAATTTTTTGTATTTTTAGGAGAGACAGGGTTTCACCACGTTAGCCAGGATGGTCTCGATCTCCTGACCTCGTGATCCACCCGCCTCGGCCTCCCAAAGTGCTGGGATTACAGGCGTGTGCCACCGCGCCAGCCTAACTTTTGTATTTTTAGTAGAGGCGGGGTTTCACCATGTCGGCCAGGCTGGTCTCAAACTCCTGAACTCAGGTGATCCACCCACCTCAGCTTCCCAAAGTGCTGGGATTACAGGAGTGAGCCACTGTGCCCGGCCCTAGTCTAATTTCAAATTGTGACTTCACTCATTCTTTCATATAACTAATGTGTATTCAGCACAGATTAGATGCCACTGAGTAGCATGGTGCTGCTTTTTTGTATAAGTATACCATGGATTTCCAACGTGGATGTTGAGAAGATAGGAAACCTAAAGTGTTTTGGTTACTTTCTGAGAAGGGACAAATAACTTGTGGTTTGGAAGTCAGGGTGGGAGTGGGAAGGTAATACACGATAAAGTGACCCTGGGTAGGAGGACTGGGTTGGGGGCGGGCAGATGAGAATCCCTATGGATCATCTGGAAGCCAGTTGACTTTGGAAATGTGATGCTTGGACAGCTGCTGAACCCCTGTGTCAGGGCCTCCCATGTGTGGGCTGCCTGTGAAGAGAGGCAGGCTGGATAGTCTGTGAGGACACTGCCATCCTTTAGATCCCAAACTTTTTTTGTTTTATTTTGAGGCAGGGTCTCACTCTGTCACCCTGGCTGCAGTGCAGTGGTGTGAAAATGGCTCACTGCAGCCTCGACCTCCTGGGCTCAGGCAATCCTTCCACCTCAGCCTCCTGAGTAGCTGAGACTACAGGTGCACGCCACCATGCCTGGCTAATTTTTGTATTTTTTTTTTGTAGAGACAGGGGTTTTGCCCTGTTACCCAGGCTGGTCTTGAACTCCCAAGCTCAAGTGATCCCCCACCTCAGCCTCCCAAAGTGCTAGGATTACAGGCATGAGCCACCGCACCCAGCCCCAAACTCGTTAGAAGAGTAATCTAATACTCTTTGCAGTTGAATCTTATTTCCTTTTTTTTTTTTTTTTTGAGACGGAGTCTTGCTCTGTCACCCAGGCTGGAATGCAGTGACATGATCTTGGCTCACTGCAAGTTCCGCCTCCCAGGTTCAAGCCATTCTCCTGCCTCAGCCTCCCCAGCAGCTGGGACTACAGGCGCCTGCCACCACACCCGGCTAATTTTTTTTGTATTTTAGTAGAGACGGGGTTTCACCATGTTAGCCAGGATGGTCTCGATCTCCTGACCTTGTGATCTGCCCTCCTCGGCCTCCAAAAATGCTGGGATTACAGGCGTGAGCCACCGCACCCGGCCTTTTTTTTTTTTTTTTTTTTTTTTTGAAACAGAGTCTCGCTGTGTCACCCAGGCCGGAACGCAGTGGCACGATCTTGGCTCACTGCAAGCTCCGCCTCCCGGGTTCACGCCATTCTCCTGCCTCAGCCTCCCAAGTAGCTGGGACTACAGGCGCCCTCCGCCATGCCCGGCTAATTTTTTGTATTTTTTAGTAGAGACGGGGTTTCACCGTGTTAGCCAGGATGGTCTCAATCTCCTGACTACGTGATCCGCCCGCCTCAGCCTCCCAAAGTGCTGGGATTGCAGGCGTGAGCCACCGCTCCCGGCCTTACTTCCTTTCTATTTATATTGTCTTCTTTTCATCCCTTGCCTTTTATCTTTCTCCCTTCTATCCTCTTCCAGCCCTTCTCTTAGAATCTTAGGATTTAGAACTAGAAGGAACCATTAGAGACCACTTAGACCAGGGGTTCTGCACATTAGAATCATCTAGGGGAGCTTTTAACAAACTACAGGTACCAGTATCCCGTCACAGACCAATTCATTAGAATTTTAGGTTCAGGCTTTTTTTTTTTTTTTTTTGAGACAGCGTTTCACTCTTGTTGCCCAGGCTGGAGTGCAGTGGTGCCATCTCAGCTCACTGCAACCTCCGCCTCCCAGGTTGAAGGGATTCTCCTGCCCCAGCCTCCGGAGTAGCTGGGATTATAGACGCCCACCACCGCGCCCGGCCATCTCAGGCATTTTTAAAAGCTCCCCAGGTGGGTCTAATAGTGAAGTCACGGGCCAGGCATGGTGGCTCACGCCTGTAATCCCAGCACTTTGGGAGGCCGAGGCGGGAGGATCACAAGGTCAGGAGTTCAAGACCAGCCTGCTCAACATGGCGAAACCCCGTCTCTACTAAAGATATAAAAAATTAGCCAGGCGTGGTGGCACATGCCTGTAGTCCCAGCTACTCAAGAGGCTGAGGCAGGAGAATCCCTTGAACCCGGGAGTCGAAGGTTGCAATGAGCCAAGATGGCGCCACTGCACTCCATCCTGGGCAACAAGAGCAAAACTCCATCTCAAAAAAAAAAAAAAGTGAAGTCACGATTAAAACACTGATCTAGCTGGGCGCATTGGCTCACGCCTGTAATCCCAACACTTTGGGAGGCCGACACGGCGGATCACAAGGTCAGGAGATTGAGACCATCCTGGCTAACATGGTGAAACCCCGTCTCTACTAAAAACACAAAAAAATTAGCTGGGTGTGGTGGCAGTGCCTGTAGTCCCAGCTACTCGGGAGGCTGATGCAGGAGAATGGCGTGAACCCGGGAGGCAGAGCTTGCAGTGAGCCAAGATTGCGCCAGTGTACTACTCCAGGCTGGGTGACAGAGCAAGGCTCCGTCTCAAAAATAAATAAATAAAACACTGATCTAGTTCAGTCCCTTTACTATATAGATGAGAAAATAGAGCCACAGAGGTTAAGTGACTTTGGCACTTTTTCTTCCTATAAATTTTTTCGCTTTTTTTTGAGACAGTGTCTTACTTTGTTGCCCAGGCTAGAGGTACAGTGGTGCAGTCATGGCTCACTGCAGCCTCAGCCTCCTGGGCTCAGGCAGTTTCCCCCCG
The DNA here is from genome assembly GCF_000001405.40 of Homo sapiens. Taxonomy (NCBI): domain Eukaryota; kingdom Metazoa; phylum Chordata; class Mammalia; order Primates; family Hominidae; genus Homo; species Homo sapiens. Next base: position 41,213,441 of record NC_000022.11, read on the forward strand.
CCAAATCACACCTGGCCTTTTTTTTTTTTTTTTGGGCAACAAGGTCTTGCTATGTTGCCCAGGATGGTCTCAAATTCTTGCCCTCAAGCAATCCTCCCTCCTTGGCCTCCCAAACTGCCGGGATTACAGACAGGAGCTACCATGCCTAGTTTCTTCTCACTTTCCTCTGACAAACTTTTCAACACTCACCTGTTCCCCCAGTCGTCCTCATGGATTTCCATTAGCCCCTCTGTTGACATCTGTAGCCAAGGGAGGCCAAGCAGCAGCACTTCATTCAGGTAGATTCAGGATATACACACCAGTACCTCCCATTCCTCCTCTTATTCCATTAGCCTTTGTGGGGGCAGGGGCTCACCTGGTTAATGCAGTGCCCCAGGTTTTGAAGGGCCCATCACTTTGTTTGCTTTGAGGTGGTCATATCGGGTGAGTCATGTGCTAAGTTCTCTTCCCAGCTGTCTGTGAGATGTGTGGTATCGTGGGTACAAGGGAAGCCTTCTTCTCCAAGACCAAGAGGTTCTGCAGCGTCTCCTGCTCCAGGAGCTACTCCTCCAACTCCAAGAAAGCCAGTATCTTGGCTAGGTTACAGGTGAGAGGCAATCACTTGGATCCTTCCCGGTGCCTTTGGTGCTGAGACAGGAACCACCAAGTGACTGAAGGCCAGGGCCAGGAAAGTTTGAAAAGGTCCTTGCTTGTGGCCAGCTGGTATTTATTATGTTCTCAAACTTCAGAGGACAGTAGAATCCATTTGTGGAGCTTTTTAAATTATAGGTTCCTGAAGCTACGCTCCATTACCTACCATCATCCCCCAGAGTCTGGTGTATTCAGTACATTTTAAACAAGAACTATGGGGGAGTCTGACACCCTTGGTCTTCACCCCACACTTTTATAAATCCTTTCAAAGGAAGTTGGGAAACAGGCCCAAGGTTCACCAGCCACGGTGGCTTCAGGAAGACCATGCCTCCTCGGACTCCATGTCACAGGCAGCTACCTAGAAAGTCTTGCCAATTTTCTAAATTACTGATATTTATAGAATCTTTAGAGATGGAAAGATTCTTGGATGTGGTGTTGAACCCACACATTTATTGATAAGTATACTGAGGTCCAAGGAGGTAGAATGACATACCTAGTGTGGCTCTGTAGGAGGAGAATGGCGGAATTGAGGCTGGAACCTCATCTCAGGGGCCTCATCTTACCTTGTTTCCCAGTAGCTGGGACCAGCATCTGCAACACTGCTTCCCAAATTTGCCTGCATGTTGGGATCACCTGGAAAGTTTAAAAATTATTGATGCTGGTCGGGCACGGTGGCTCACGCCTGTAATCCCAGCACTTTGGGAGACCGAGGCGGGCGGATCACGAGGTCAGGAGATCGAGACCATCCCAGCCAACATGATGAAACCCCGTCTCTACTAAAAATACAAAAATTAGCCAGGCGTGGTGTTGTACGCCTGTAGTCCCAGTTACTCGGGAGGCTGAGGCAGGAGAATCGCTTGAACTTGGGAGGTGGAGGTTGCAGTGAGCCGAGATCGTGCCACTGCACTCCAGCCTGGGGGGAAAATATTATGTAAAATATATTGATGCTTGGGTCCTACTCCGAAAGGTTCTGATTTAACTGGGATGGTGTGTAGCCTGGACAGAGATTGGAAGAGCTCCCAGGTGATCCTAATGTGCAGCGAAGTTTGAGCACCACCGATGTTTATTAGAAATTGCTGTGTCCCAGATCCTTCTGCTTACTGCTTCATACACTGTCGCCTTTGTGAGACAATTACCATTGTTTCCCCATTTTGTAGATTTTACTTAAGGCACCGAAAGATCCCTCTCTTCCGAGAGCTAAGAATAATATTGGTAATATTAATAGCTATGGTTTGGGAGTACTTGCTAAGGGCTTGACATTCTCAGTCCAATTAACGATCTTAAAAAATTTGATTTTTAAAAAAATTCCTTTTTATAAAGGCTCAGAAATTTTAGTAACTTACTTAAAGGTATACAACTAAAAACTGTAGAACTGGGATTTGCCCTGTAGGTTTGTTTGGGACTTAAACCCAGATTTCTGCTTCACTGATCTCTTTAGTAAATTCCTGGCCTTCCTGTTCAGTACTTAAGTTACAAAATACAGACCAGATCAGTGGCCATTCCCTTTGGAAAGGGAGGACCCCCTTTGAGTACCTAATGAAAGCTGTGGGTCCTCTCCCAAACATTCGCCTATGTGGACCCTCTCCCGAACATTCGCCTATGTGGACCCTCTCCCGAACATTCGCCTATGTGGACCCTCTCCCGAACATTCGCCTATGTGGACCCTCTCCCAAACATTCGCGTATGTACAGAAGGTTGCCTCCCAGTTCATGAGCGTTTCTGGGCCCCTGTGAGGCCCATTCTTTGCTTTGGATCTATCAGTAGCGACACTGGAGGAAGGAGATGACTGAGACTTGAATCTGGGAGGACAGAAAGGCTTAAAAGATAGAACATGGGTCTCTCCCTGCTCTGCAGCACTGCCTAGCACCCCCTAGCACCCCCGACGCTTCCCCACAACCACCCCCTGAGCTCAGGATTGTTATTGTCATCACTGTTTCACACATGAAGAAACTGAAGCCCAAAAGAGGTTAAGTCACTGGCCCAAGCCCAGGACTTCAACTTGGCGGCCCAAATCCAGACTCATGATCCCAGCCGCCAGGCTACACATAGCCTCTGTCCTCCTCTCCAGGGAAAACCACCGACCAAAAAAGCCAAAGTCCTGCACAAGGCTGCCTGGTCTGCCAAAATTGGAGCCTTCCTCCACTCTCAAGGGACAGGACAGCTGGCAGATGGGACACCAACAGGACAAGACGGTAAGATAGCAGAGGGCCCTGCTTAGGAAGCTGCCGTGGCTGGGGAGGAGACTGGGTTTGGGGTGGCCTTTCCTAGGAATGAAGACTGGGCAAACCGGCCAGGTAGAAAGTGCCCTAAGTCAGGGTCACTGCGGATTGCATCTTCCTCACCTGTTGGGTATTGTGGAAATTACCCAGAAAAATGCCTTCAAACACCCTTAAATTATCAGGACTCCTACCCATGATAATTCAAAAGCCAAGAATTGGCTGTTTTTGTTTCTCTTTGCTTTTATCCTTTTGGTTTCTGTTTCCCTGGGGCAACGAAGGCCCAGATATGGTTTGAAGGCAGGTTTGGAGAGGGGTGGTGGGATAAGGAAAGGAGCCTCTCTCTGAGTGTGTAGCAATTGCTAAGCAAGTTAAATGTATGCATAAAGCAACTCTGCTATCATTGTTCTGAGTTTCTAACTGAAATTGAGCTCAGCAGGCCGGAGCTCAGTTGGAGGGGCCCTGGTGTGTGCGCACCCCCTCCCCCACATTTAGATTGGGTGTGGCCAATCAGGTTCAGGGCGGAGGGAGGAATTTAAGCCCAGGGATATTTCAGTTTTCCCCTTTGGGGGAAGAAGGGCGAGAAATTTCCCTTTGAATGTTCCTCTACTCCTGAGAGTCTTGCCACCTTTCAATTCAGTCCTCAACAGTGGTCCCTCATGGCCACTGGTGGATCAGGTATGGGAGTGAAGGAGGGTGTCGTGGGCAGCGCTGTGAGAGGGGCTGCTGGGGGTGGGGGACCTACCTCTGCAGGTCCCACAGGGCCCTTGGGGTCCAGGCTCCTGGAGTGGCTGCTGCGCAGGCTCCTAGTCTGACTCGTCCTCTCTGCTCTGCAGCTCTGGTCTTGGGCTTCGACTGGGGGAAGTTCCTGAAGGATCACAGTTACAAGGCTGCTCCCGTCAGCTGTTTCAAGCACGTGAGTGCCCTGGAGCTGAGGGAGGGAGGCCGGGGAGCCGGGCCTGGAGCTGCTCCTCCACCTGCTTCACCAGGGCGGCTTCAGGCTGGACAGTGACAGTGGGGAGGTCTGGGCAGGAGACGGATGGCGTTACCACTCGCTCCATTTCATGTTTATGTCAAAAAAATCCTCCTACAAACACTTCTATCACCTGCTTGGCTTCACTCCCGGTCTGAAGCCCTTCAGTTTATTTACATGATGGAACTTGGTGCTAGCTGATGTCGAAGGGTCTTTGCAGTCTGAAACCCTTCTCTCCTTTCTCCCCCATTTGCAGCATTTTCCCATGGAAAGCAGGGTGCTTCTGTAGCTGGCCTGGGCCCCGTGGGCCCCGAGAGGCAGATGTGGATGCTCCTGGAGCCACTTCTGTAAAAGGCTCCTCGATGCGGATCATGTAAAAGCCAGAACGAAGGGCAAGGCCCTTAGGGGCGGGGCTTGAGCGCAAGAACCGAATATCCAGCAGCTGTGACGTGTGGAGCCTGCAGGCCGGGAGAGCAGAGCCCACAACAGCACTCTTGTTTTGTCTTCACACCACGTCCCTAAGCTCCGGGAAATCCAGGAGGAGGCCTCTTTAGTCTTGAGGAAGTAGGGAGTCTTTTACCCAGAGTAAGCCACTTCCTCTCCTCCTTTCAGAACTGCCACTGAACTCTGGGGAGTGCCCTGAACAATGACAGCTGCTTCTTGACTCAGCTAACTCACTCCTCTCGTCTCTGAATGGCTAATGAAGGTGCACCTCCTTCCTGCTGGAGGGGGAGCCTCTTTTTTGCCCTGAATTCTCTAATAGTTTCAGCATTTTCATTTCCAGGGAGTTGCATCATCCTTGTGTCTAACACATATAATCCAATTTGCTTTGTAAAAAGCCTGCCCCTGCGTGCCTGGGCTAGCGCAACTGTGTCCGGGTTCTGTGATGAACTAAACTCAAGTGACCAGGGAGATGGAATGGGATACCTCAACTGGCTGAAGCCAGGGCTGAGAATAAAAAAGGTGAATTTGGCCAGGCGCAGTGGCTTACCCCTATAATCCCAGCACTTTGGGAGGCCGAGGCGGGTGGATCACCTGAGGTGAGGAGTTCGAGACCAGCCTGGCCAACATGGTGAAACCCCATCTCTACTAAAAATACAAAAATTAGCTGGAAGTGGTGGCAGGCACCTGTAATCCCAGCTACTTGGGAGGCCGAGACAGGAGAATCCCTTGAACCTGAGAGGCGGAGGTTGTAATGAGCTGAGATTGCGCCACTGCACTCCAGCCTGGGTGACGGAGCAAGACTCTAAAAAAAGTGATTCTCCCAAAGGAGAATCAAAAGTACCATTGGCAGGAAAGTGAGGATTAGGTACTGGGAAGGCAACTGAAACAGTCCAGTGCTGTCCTGGGGCACTTTATTTTATTTTATTTATTTTTTCGATATGGGAGTTTCACTCTTGTTGCCCAGAGCTGGAGTGCAATGGCACTATCTCAGCTCACAGCAGCCTCCCCCTCCCAGGTTCAAGCGATTCTCCTGCCTCAGCCTCCGGAGTAGCTGGGATTACAGGCATGTGCCACCACCACGCCCGGCTAATTTTGTATTTTTAGTAGAGACATGGATTCTCCATGTTGGTCAGGCTGGTCTCGAACTCCCAGCCTCAGGTGATCCGCCCGTCTCGGCCTCCCAAAGTGCTGGGATTACAGGCGTGAGCCACCATGCCTGGCCCCCTGGAGCATTTCAGTAGGAGGGGAGGTAGAGAGTAAACTTGCAGGTGGATGGCTGTGTGTAAACAAGGGGGTCATAATGCCCACAGCCCAGGTTTGTATGATGATTGAAGGAAAGTATATTTGTGCTAATATCAGCGCCCTGCCATTGCTCGGGCTGGCACAGGGACGAAGGGATCGAGGCTCACCAAGGCATCATGTGCCCAAAATGATACAGTAAGAAACCAGTCCTATAAAGATTTTAGGACTCGGTTCTGTCTGACTCTGGGTCTCTAGCCATCACCCTGCATCCCACCACCTCCACCTCTACTCCCGGCTTAGCTCTTCAAGGACAGGAGACCTCATCTCTTTATCTCTAGTAGCTGGTTCTGCACACAGTGGGTGATGTGAAAAGTTGAGGTGCAAACGAGGACTTGACTGAGGCCGTGAGGCAGTCTGTCTCCCCTGCTAGCACAGTTAGCTCACTCTCTCGGTACACTCTCATCGCCACACAGGTCCCACTCTATGACCAGTGGGAGGATGTGATGAAAGGGATGAAGGTGGAGGTGCTCAACAGTGATGCTGTGCTCCCCAGCCGGGTGTACTGGATCGCCTCTGTCATCCAGACAGCAGGTGAGTGTTTGGCCAGGGCAGGGCCAGGGATGTGTCTGCAGAGTGACATCTCTAGATGGGTGAACAGTGTTGTAGGCAGGAGTTGGCTTCATAAAACAAAAATCCCACCCACTGGAATTTTTGCCCCACTTCTAAGGATTCTTTTACCGGAGAAGGGAACACAGAGCTTGGCAGGCTTGGAAACCCCAAATTTTTTTGTTTGTTTTTGTTATTTTGTTTTTTTTAGATGGTGTCTTGCTCTGTCACCCAGGCTGGAGTACGGTGGCACGATCTCGGCTCACTGCAACCTCCACCTCCTGGGTTCAAGCGATTCTCCTGCCTCAGCCTCCCGAATAGCTGGGACTACAGGCCACCTGGCCACCACACACGGCTAATGTTTGTATTTTTAGTAGAGACGGGGTTTCACTATCTTGGCCAGGCTGGTCTCAAACTCCTGACCTCAGGTGATCCTCTGCATCCCAAAGTGCTGGGATTATAGGCGTGAGCCACCGTGCCTGGCTGGAAACCCCAATTTTTAAAGTTTGTTCCAGGGCCAGGTTTCGTGGCTCACACCTCTAATCCCAGCACTTTGGAGGCAGAGGCAGGAGGATTGTTTGAGCTCAGGAGTTCGAGACCAGACGGGGCAATATAGTGAGATACTGTCTCTATAAAAAATGAAAAAATTTAAAAAGTAAAATTCATTCCAAGGATGATCAGGTTATAGAGAATTAACTCTCAGCACCATTCCATAATGCTTTCCGAACTAGGAGCATGAATTTGTTTGGCTAGGACTGTTGTGGACAACAGGAATCCACTTGCCTGGAAGTATAGGTGCCAGAAGTCCAGCTTAGGCTAGAGAAAAGAGAAGGCTTAAGAACATACCTTCCCCAAGCTAGGCCCGGTGGCTCACGCCTGTAATCCCAGCACTTTGGGAGGCCGAGGAGGGCAGATCACGAGGTCGGGAGATCGAGACCATCCTGGCTAACACGGTGAAACCCCGTCTCTATTTAAAATACAAAAAAAAATCAGCCGGGCGTGGTGGCAGGCGCCTGTAGTTCCAGCTACTCTGGAGGTGGAGCTTGCAGTGAGCTGAGATGGCGCCACTGCACTCCAGCCTGGGCGACAGAGCAAGACTTCGTCTCAGAAAAAAAAAAAAAAAACAGAACATACCTTCCCCAGCTCACCCTCCCTCACAGGTGCCCTTTCCTTTCCTTTCAGGGTATCGGGTGCTGCTTCGGTATGAAGGCTTTGAAAATGACGCCAGCCATGACTTCTGGTGCAACCTGGGAACAGTGGATGTCCACCCCATTGGCTGGTGTGCCATCAACAGCAAGATCCTAGTGCCCCCACGGAGTGAGTTGATGAGAACATTTCCTCTCTTGTTCCCGTAGGGCCCCTGGTAGAGGGAGAGTCCTCTGCTTGTGTTAGGTAGAATGGGAGTCCTCTGTCTTGTTAGAACAGAATCCACTTGCCCCCTGGCTTCCTGCCCTCCCCATCCCAGAGGCCTGGGGGCAGATCCACGTGTGGAATCTGATGTTCTCAGATGAAGTCATTGCTGGCCTGAAGAGGCAGCTATTTTCAGTCCCCACTGCTGAGGGGTCCCCACTCTGGGTCGGCGCTAGCGCCCCTGTCAGTGGAGGTTTGTCAGTCTGTGTAACCAGGATTCTGCTGGTGCCTCCACAGCCATCCATGCCAAGTTCACCGACTGGAAGGGCTACCTCATGAAACGGCTGGTGGGCTCCAGGACGCTTCCCGTGGATTTCCACATCAAGGTCGGCAGTGAGCCCTTAACTGATGTGCCTCCTTCCGCTCTTCCATTTTTCTGCATCCTGCATGCCACTCACTGGAGCATGTTACCTAAGACCCCTTGCCTGATGATCTTCAGCAGCTCCACATTTTGCAAGGCTAGAGACAAATGCTGCTGCTACGTGGTTGCCATCTGCCTTTCTAGCCTGGCGTCGGCCACTGCCCCACCCAGACTCTGCTCCTACTGCTCCAGTCATGCTGCTTTGTCTGCCTTTTGCTCTTCCGGAACCTTACCTTTGCTCATAGAATTTTTCAGAAGTGTTCACTCAATAGATTTTATTAACATACTTTTTTGTTTTTTGGGAGACGGAGTCTCGCTCTGTCCCCCAGGCTGGAGTGCAGTGGCGCGATCTCGGCTCCCTGCAAGCTCTGACTCCTGGGTTCACGCCATTCTCCTGCCTCAGCCTCCCAAGTAGCTGGGACTACAGGCGCCCACCACGCCCAGCTCATTTTTTTGTATTTTTAGTGAGATGGAGTTTCACCGTGGTAGCCAGGATGGTCTCAATCTCCTGACCTCGTGATCCATCTGCCTCGGCCTCCCAAAGTGCTGGGATTACAGGCATGAGCCACCGCGCCCAGCCTTTTTTTTCTTTTTGAGATAGAGTCTCGCTCTGTTGCCCAGGCTGGAGTGCAGTGGCATAATCTTGGCTCATTGCAACCTCCGCTTCCTGGGTTCAAGCAATTCTTCTGCCTCAGCCTCCCGAGTAGTTGGGATTACAGGTGCGCACACACCACCATACTTGGCTAATTTTTGTATTTTTAGTAGAGATGGGGTTTCACCATATTGGCCAGGCTGGTCTCGAACTCCTGACCTCAAGTGATCCACCTGCCTCGGCCTCCCAAAGTGCTGGGATTATAGGCATGAGCCACCATGCCCAGCCTTACATACTTGTTTACAAGGCACTGTGGGAATACAAAGAATACAGACCCTGCCATCCAGAAATCTCTAGTCTGGCAGAGGAAACAAAAGCCATGCACACAAGTAATTGTAATATAGCCTCGGTTCTGAGCCAGGGATGTGCCTGGCACAGCACAGGGTAAAGCCCAGTCTGGGGCGCCTCTGGGCTGTCTGATTCTGTCTGGTGTAGGACTCCTGTGTGGCACAGAATCATCTTTGTGGCATTTAATTTTAAGAAATGATTTAGTAAAAATTAAAAAGTCACATATATACATGGTAAAAGTGACTCATACCTGTCTCAGTGTCTCAGCACTTTGGGAGGCCAAGGCAAGAGGATCACTTGAGGCCAGGAGTCTGAAACCAGCTTGGGCAACACTGTGAGACTTCGTCTCTTGAAAAAAAAAAAAAACATTAGCTAGGCACGGCACAGTGGCTTACTCCTGTAATCCCAGCACTTTGGGAGGCCGAGGTCAGAAGATCACCTGAGGGCAGGAGTTCCAGACTAGCCTGGCCAACATGATGAAACCCTGTCTTTACTAGAAATACAAAAATTAGCTGGGTGTGGTGGCATGCGCCTGTAATCCCAGCTAACTCAGGAGGCTGAGGTGAGAGAATCGCTTGAAACCGGGAGGCCGAAGTTGCAGTGAGCTGAGATCGTGCCACTGCACTTCAGTCTGGGCCACAGAGCGAGGAGACTCCATTTCAAAAAAAAAAACAAAAACTAACAAAAATGGCGTTGGATTGTGGGCTGCACTGTGTTGGCTGTAGATGAAGAGAACATGGCAGGGAAGGCAGCCCAGAGGGGCCCCGAGCCAGGCCTTACCCTGTGTTTTCTCTCACTCTCCTGAGTGAGCTGCTGGGATACCGGATGTGGGACAGGCAATTGGTGTCAGGACGTATCCCAAGCCCTTGAGCTGGGCCAGAGGGTCTGTCTGGTTTAGGACCCCTGTGTCAGCTTTGCCTGTTGGCTGCTTTGTGACCTCTGAGACGCTTTCCTTCCTGGTGTGTTTGGAAATAGCACTGCTTAGTCTAGTCTAGGCTGGTTCTTCCTGACCCAGCAGTGCCCTGGGGCTGGAAAAGCCCTACACCCTACCTGTTCCCTGCCCCAGGCAGGACAGCACTGAAGTCACAGTGAACAAAAAGAACCTCCTCCTCTGTACCCCAGCACCATGGCTCTCTGTAGAGCAGCTCGAGGGCATCTTGGTCACCATCCCTCATTAGGTCAGTTGCTACCAAGGCACTGTGAAAGCACTGCAGAGCTGCAGCCCATCAGGGTCAGAAAGGGACACAGGAAGACTCAGTTCTCTGGACATGAGTCTTGTATGTGCCACAGGCAGAGGGCTGGGAGGGGGCGGGGAGGGCAGGATGCCTGGGGATCAGAGTGCAGAGCCCATGAGGAGCACAGGCTGCACACCAGCTTCCAGGCCCAGCTCTGGCACAAATGAGTCTGTGTAATTCTGGGCAGGCGTGACCTCTGGGTCACTTTTCCTTAGTCTAAAGTGCGTTTTGTGATTTGCATCAACTCATTGGCGTTTTGGTGGCAAGAAGTGGCATGCCCACTGCAAGCCGTGTGCCTTCCCTCTGTGTCCTCCTAGGGAGAGCTGTTGCCTCCCTCTGTGTCCTCCTAGGGAGTCAGGGCCAAGGTGAGCCTGGCAGCGCAGGCAGTCTCATCTGCCACCTCCCGACTGACTGAGTGTGGGGGATAACACCACACCTTCCCTGTCCTCCACTCACCAGAGCAGGAGGGTGGGTGGGAAGAGCCCTGAGCCATAGCAGGCCTGTGTTCTGACGTCGTTTCAGATGGTGGAGAGCATGAAGTACCCCTTTAGGCAGGGCATGCGGCTGGAAGTGGTGGACAAGTCCCAGGTGTCACGCACTCGCATGGCTGTGGTGGACACAGTAATCGGGGGTCGCCTACGGCTCCTCTACGAGGATGGTGACAGTGACGACGACTTCTGGTGCCACATGTGGAGCCCCCTGATCCACCCAGTGGGTTGGTCACGACGTGTGGGCCACGGCATCAAGATGTCAGGTTAGCAGAGCCCCAGGCCAGAGGGACTGCATGCTGTGCTTCCCCAGGGACGGAGTGGGAGCACCTTCCTACTCGTCACAGCAGGTCAGCAGGTGGAGGTTGGCATGGCCCCCCTGCAGTGATGATACTGAGCTCCAGAGAGCTTGAGTAACTTGACAAAAGTCACTCCACTCAACTTGTGAGTGGTAAAATCAAGATTTGAACCCAGATGCTACCAGCCCCGATCCTCTCCCCTGTCAATGCGGGAGCAGTCTGGGTTTCGAGGGCTGAAGAGTCCCTACAGAGAGCTCTTGATGTTTTCTGGACTCAACCTTTCTGTCTGCTACTCTGGGGTGGGGGGTCCTGAGATACAGAGATACAGCTGAGAACACGTGCAGAGCAGCCCCACATTCCCAGGGGAGGCGTGTGGAGATGGCCCAGGAGCCGCCTCCAACTCCCTTCTCTCCCTCATTCCCTATCCATCTCCTCCAAAGAGAGGCGAAGTGACATGGCCCATCACCCCACCTTCCGGAAGATCTACTGTGATGCCGTTCCTTACCTCTTCAAGAAGGTGAGGTTCAGCTCTTGGGCGCTTTTCCCCTCAGCCATGGGTCCATTCCGGGCCTGAGGGACCTGGCTCTTCCCCTGGGACCATCCCTTTCCCTCCTGAGGCCTGCTTCCCTCACCCTTCCTCCTGGCCTGCCCAGGGAGTCCCCAGCTGTCCCATTCCTTTAAGGTACGAGCAGTCTACACAGAAGGCGGTTGGTTTGAGGAAGGGATGAAGCTGGAGGCCATTGACCCCCTGAATCTGGGCAACATCTGCGTGGCAACTGTCTGTAAGGTGAGCCAGGGGCCGGCTCTCCAGCCTCCAGATTTCTGAGCGGGGGGACCCATGTGGCCCAGAGCTCTAACCCCACTCGCCACCGTCAGGGGGTCTGTGTCCCAGCCTCTCATCACTGGCTGCACCCAGAGTCCCTGACTTTTGTGAGTGGGGCCTGGCCTGCCCCTTGCTCAGAATCTGCTTTCGTGTCAGGGTCCAAGGCTCCCTGGACGAGTGCTTATTCAACACCTGAGCCTGGTCCTGTGTCAGAGTAGGCCCCTCCCTGTCACCTCACTGGGGCCTTCTTGCTGTGTGCCATCTCCTTTGAGCGCTGGCCTAGGCAAGAGCCACAGCTGGGGTCACCTTGCTCCAAACCTCATCGCCTCCTCCTGAGCAGCACCCCCACCCCTCCTTGGCCCTCCTGGAGGAGGCTGCTGACTCGTCCTCGCCGCGGATCCGCTCCATGCCGGGCGCGTGTGCTCACCCAAGAACACGGTCCAACAGGATGGACGCGGCCCCTGCTGGCGTGGTGTTTGCTGTCTAGTGGGGAAGAGAAAGAATCCCACGCGTATGCATCACAGAAGTACTGTGTGCCCCAGAGAGGCTCAGGTGTCCTCCAGGAGGGCCATGCCCTAGATCCGTTTGGATCCATTTGCCTCGTGTCCCTATTGGGGTGCGGTACCAACCCAGGATGGGGTGCAGTTCATGATATGATCTGTCTGCCTGCTCCCCCCACCCCCCAGGTTCTCCTGGATGGATACCTGATGATCTGTGTGGACGGGGGGCCCTCCACAGATGGCTTGGACTGGTTCTGCTACCATGCCTCTTCCCACGCCATCTTCCCGGCCACCTTCTGTCAGAAGAATGACATTGAGCTCACACCGCCAAAAGGTAAGACTAGAGAGGCCACCACCTGCTGTCCTTGCCATCAGAAGGGGCAGGGTGTCCAGGCGCGGTGGCTCCCGCCTGTAATCCTAGCACTTTGGGAGGCCGAGGCAGGTGGATGACCTGAGGTCAGGAGTTTGAGACCAGCCTGGCCAACATGACAAAACCTCGTCTCTACTAAAAATACAAAAATTAGCCAGGCATGGTGACAGGTGCCTATAATCCCAGCCACTCGGGAGTCTGAGGCAGGAGAATTGCTTGAACCCAGGAGGTGGAGGTTACAGTGAGCCGAGATCATGCCATTGCACTCCAGCCTGGGCGACAGAGCAAGACTCTGTCTTCAAAACAAAACAGAAGGGGCAGGGTGTGGCCACAAGCCCAGATTCCTGGTCAAGTCAGGCCCCAGAAGTGTAGCATTTCAGGGTGTATGGGAAAGGTGACAGAGCCCACCACCAGCCCTTAACTGCTGGGCTGACCCTACCCCATGGCCAGTGTATGGTTGATGAACAGAGCTCCCACTTATCCCATTGGTCAGTGAACAACCTATACAACAGGACTGTGGTGCTAGAGCAGGTACTACCCTGAGGGGATGAGAAGAAGGCTGCTGGGGAGACTCCATGCTGGGTCCTGACCAAGCTGCAGAGCTTCTTCAGCCATGTGTCCTTTCCTCCTGCCCACTTCCTGCTTCCCCCTCTCCCTCTGCATCTGAGCTTTCTGCTCCTCCAGGTTATGAGGCACAGACTTTCAACTGGGAGAACTACTTGGAGAAGACCAAGTCGAAAGCCGCTCCATCGAGACTCTTTAACATGGTGAGGAGACTGAAGTGGAGCAAGGGGCCTGCGGTGGCCTCAGGACAGGCCCTGCCTGCTGCTGTCAGTGGTGGCAGTTCCTACTCTTTCTCTCGAATCTCTACTGCTGACATCAGCCACTTTCAGGGGGAAGTCCCCAGCTATGGCCTGGGCACTCCAGTCCCTCTTCCATGGAGGGCGGTACTGGGAGAGGTGCAGTGGGTTATTGTCTAGAGGAAGCTGCCCCAGCAGCCATTCCAGTCCCCGCCCCTCCCTGCCAGTTCTTCAAGTGCCTCCGGGCCGGGGCAAGCCTGCTGGGGTAGGGAGCTGACTGGCTTGGCCACTGCCTCCTTTTTCTGCCCCAGGATTGCCCAAACCATGGCTTCAAGGTGGGCATGAAGCTGGAGGCCGTGGACCTGATGGAGCCCCGGCTCATCTGTGTGGCCACGGTGAAACGAGTGGTGCATCGGCTCCTCAGCATCCACTTTGACGGCTGGGACAGCGAGTACGACCAGTGGGTGGACTGCGAGTCCCCAGACATCTACCCCGTCGGCTGGTGTGAGCTCACCGGCTACCAGCTCCAGCCTCCTGTGGCCGCAGGTGTGGGCTCTCGTGGCCCTAAGAGGCTCTGACTTTCTTTCCTCTTCTTTTTTCCTTCTTCCCCCGCCCCTGTGCCCATCTCCGTTCTTTGGCATGAGGTGGAGATGTCTCATGGACCACTTTAAGTAGAGAGTGAGCCCCGTCACCCAGCCCCTGCTCCTGACTTCTCTGTCTCCCTTTCCCTCTGGCCTGCAGAGCTCCTTCCTTCATCTTGCCCACTCTGTCATATGTTCGTGCCCTTGTGCACCCAGGTAAACTACCCAGGTCCCTCTGAGCAGCCCTGGTAACAAGGGTGGGAAGAAGGGACAGCTGTTCTCCGGCCCCTCCTCCAGCCCCGCCCTCTCCTCATTGCCCAGGTTTGGCTTCCTGTCTTGGGGTGTCTCGTGTGGGAGGGTGGATGGGGTCTCGGGATGCGCCTGTGCCCTGTGTCCTCCCAGGGACCCTCTTCTCATCTCTTTCACCCTTGTCTTTCAACAACAGAACCGGCCACACCGCTGAAGGCCAAAGAGGCCACAAAGAAGAAAAAGAAACAGTTTGGGAAGAAAAGTAAGTGCTGCACCGGTGCAGCCAGGCTGGTGTGGGCCTGGGAGCAGTGGGCCTGCGTCCCTGGGAGCAGGCGGGGGTCAGCCCCCAGGCACTGGTTCCCAGGTGCTGTCCTACTGACGTAGCTCTCTTCGTGTTCCTGTCCTGTCTCTTTCCCCTTGCCCTTTGGCCTACGGGCCTTTCACCCTGTCTCTGGGGACCCAGACCATAAATAGGGAGTGTTCAGTCTCTGGCCATGGTCAGGGTGCTGAGGAAAAGAGGTAAGAGATTGAGGTTGGGGGATCCCATCCCTGATGCCCCATGTTCAGAAAAAAACAGCCTGGCCTGGGCAAGCCGCAGCTGCTAGGTTCTAAAGGAAAAGCCACAGGAAGAAATAGAAGCTGTCTCTCCAAGGCTGTCATTCTTACCTCGAGACCTCTTTGAGGGTGGGAGAGGGTGGGAGCAAAGGCAGGCAGCTGAGTGGCAGGACTCCACCTGGCTCTCAGGCCGTGGGTGTCGTTTCCCTTGGTGGGGCCTCACTCTACAGATTCTGAGCCCAGCTTGGGTTCCACTTGAGGGGCAGAGCGGGAGCGGGCAAAGCCATCCTTCAGAGCCGCAGGCCTATGACAGCGAGGTGGGCTCCACAGTGTGGTACCATGTGGGGAAGAGGATGTTCTGAAACAGAAACAAGGTCCCTTGGGCAGGGTTAAGATTGAGTGAGGCGGCCAGGCGCGGTGGCTCACACCTGTAATCCCATCACTTTGGGAGGCCGAGGTGGGCGGATCATGAGGTCAGAAGTTCCAAGACCAGCCTGACCAACATGGCGAAACCCCGTCTCTACTAAAAATACAAAAATTAGCCAGGTGTGGTGGCAGGCGCCTGTAATCCCAGCTACTTGGGAGGCTGAGGCAGGAGAATCACTTGAACCTGGGGGCCGGAGGTGGCAGTGAGCCCAGATCGCTCCACTTCACTCCAGCCTGGGCGGAAGAGGGAAACTCCATCGCACAAAAAAAAAAAAAAAATTGAGTGAGGGTGTGGCATTTATCCAGCAGGCAGAGGCTCTGTACCATTCAAACGGTAGGACCGGGAATGGTGCATGTTGTGGGAAGAAATCAACAATCAAAAACGGGGGCTGAGTGTGATGGTTCACACCTGTGATCCCAGCACTTTGAGAGGCTGAGGTGGGAGGATCTCTTGAGCCCAAGAGTTTGAGACCAGCCTGGGCAACATAGCGAGACCCCTAATTTAAAAAAAATTTTTAATTAGCTGGGTATGGTGGCACAGGCCTGTAGTCCCAGCTACTCAGGAGGCTAAGGTAGGAGGATCACCTGAGCCTGGGAGGTCAAGGCTGCAGTGAACTGTGATCACCCCACTGTACTCAAACCTGGGTGACAGAGTGAGACCCTCTTCAAAAAATCTTTTTATTTAAAAAAAGATTTTAAAAAGCAGTTACAACCACGACTGCCTGGGGCTTGGTTTGAGGGAGGTGGTGGTATTACTTCCCATTGGAGAGAATCTGAGCTCAGGGCACATAGCCAATAAGATGTGTTGTCAGAGTTGGAGTCCAGGCTTTCTGTCCCCAAACTGGCACTTTTCCCTCTGCCACGCTGCCTGACCACTGGGTGAGACCTATCCCATAAAGCCTTACCTAAATACAACCCTAATGCTGGGTTTGAATCCATTTTTATTCAAAGGGAAAAGAATCCCGCCCACTAAGACGCGACCCCTCAGACAGGGGTCCAAGAAGCCCCTGCTGGAGGACGACCCTCAGGGTGCCAGGAAGATCTCGTCGGAGCCTGTTCCTGGCGAGAGTAAGAGCCACCGGGCTGGGTCAAGGCAGGACCAGCCTGCTCCGTGCTCAGAGACGACCCTTCTCCTTCCCCACCTGGGCACAGAAGAGTAGAGTCAGGTTTCTTTGGCATTTTCTGGGCACCAAGCAGTCCTGTACCACTGGACCCAGGGTGTTTCCCAGACACGCCCCCAACTGTGAATGGAGCTGAGTCCCCCTCTAGCCCGGCCCCGGCCCCTCCTCCTCCTCCATCTCTACCCCTACCTCTAGTGCTTGGCAGGGTGGTGACAGATTGGCACATGGCAGTGTCGTTGGCATAGCCTGCCTGGCTTGGGGCCTTGGCCCTTTGCTGCTGCCACTGCCCTCCCAGAAGGGAAGCTGGAGGGTGAAGGTGCATCCTAGGCCCCCATCTGTAGGGAGCCAGGTCCCTTTCCCAGCTCCTCCGCCCCCACCCCTCCCAGAGTTATTTACTCGCCCACCCACCCGCCTCCCCTCCCTCTTCAGTCATTGCTGTGCGTGTGAAGGAAGAGCATCTAGACGTGGCCTCGCCCGACAAGGCTTCAAGTCCAGAGCTGCCTGTCTCCGTCGAGAACATCAAGCAGGAAACAGACGACTGAGCCTTCCTGCCTCCAGCCTGGCTTCTAGCTGGAAGCCAGCCCAGCGTTTCTCTACCACCACCACCATGCCTCCACCTGACTTTGGCTTGGAGACTGATCCTCTCTGTGTAAATTCTGCCCGGTGCTGTGAAGGCTGGACGGTGGAGGACCTGCTGGGGTCTCCTGGGACCCGCCTGTTGCTTCTGCCCTCCCCTGTGGAAAGGTCTATATGACGGGCCGCCTGAGGCCCCAGAACTCGTCTGTGAACCACCTTTTCCAGCCAGAGTTCCCAAAGCTGGAACGCTAGCTGCCTGCTCTTCCTTAAGATGGCCTCCCCCCGACCCGCCACGGCCCTCAGTTGCCAGGGATGGGGCCACCACTGTCACACTGTGGAATACAAGACAGTGAACTCTGTCTGCCTGAACGAGCCATGTAAATTAAGTTCTAGAGCAGCTCTCTGAGCAGGATAAGGTCCCCTGACAGTGAGTTGTGTGGTGGGGGCAGCCTCTGCCTCAAAAATTCACCAAGCAGAATGCCTCTCAGCCTCATGTGTTGGTCCTCTGCTCCTCCTAGCTCCCCAGGGATGTTGGGGACCCAGCTTGTCTCGGCAGCTAAGAAGCAGTGACCAGGATGTGGATTTTGGCGACCTGTGTGGTGGCCTTGAGCTGCTTTCTGTGTTTGTGAGGACTGACTCCCATTTCCTAAAGGAAATGCCCCCGGGGAGGACATTGGGAGGAAGATGGCCTGAGTGTGCACTTTGGCTCTGCTACCTGCTCCTGAAGCCCCGCTAAAAATAATTCATCCAAGATTCCTTTGTAGTTAAAGGGTCCAGTTCTGACTGGAGCCTCTAGAGAGCTGGGCTTGTATGTTCTTTTGGCCTTTTGTTCCTACCTAAATGAAGAAACCATGCCTGGAGGGGCCGTGAACACAGAACCCTCAAGACAAGGATGACAGAGCTGGAGGACACATCTAGCTGCCATTGCAACCTCACTGGGCTCCCCAGACTCTGTGTGTGAGAAATTAAACCCCCTGCTTGCTTGAGTCCCGTTTGTTAGATCTCTATTCCTTGCAGATTGTGTTCTGACCCCACCCCCCCACCTCGTGGTATCGATCATGAAGGCCACGTGAGTCAAGACACGAGTGTGCAGGGCCGTAAAGAAATGTCGCCTGTCATCAGCTCAAGTTCCCTGTCTTAGCCACATGCTGTCATTCTTTACGGTTGTGCCATTCTCCCCAAAGACTGTGAGTTCCCCAGAGATGGAGCCTGTGTCCGCCTGTGCGTAGCACCTGGCATAGGCTGGCATAAAGTTGGCTTGTGTGTGTGAAATGGGAATGTGCGCATGACCACGTGTTGCTGGTGCCTAGAGGTCAGCTTGATTTGTTGGAGATAGAAGTATTGATCTCTTGGGAGTTTTTGCTCAATCCATGCAGTAACCTTGTGCCTCAGTTTGCCCTTGGAGGGAACTCAAGTTCTTGGAGTCTGAGCAGTGGGGCTGCTGGCAGGGAGGCATTTGCAAACCCCTCATCCCTGCTTCTGCCTCAGGACCCACAGGGGCTCCTGGTACAGGTGAGACCAAATCCAGACCCTTCAGGAACCTGCCCTGCCTCCCTTGTCCTTTATGGCCATCCAGTCTAGCCCCTCTGCTGCAGGGAAAGGGATGCAAGGGAACTCCATAGTATCAAGAGCCCCTACCCAGGTGCCAGGTTAAATAGGTATCTAAATGGCTCATTTCACCTTCACAGTAACCCTGTGCAGTACTGATGGGAAAAAAGAAGCCTCAGTACAGTTTAGTCGTTTGGCTGCTTAAATTTACACCTGTTGCCGGGCGCGGTGGCTCACGCCTGTAATCCCAGCACTTTGGGAGGCCACGGCGGGCGGATCACAAGGTCAGGAGATCGAGACCATCCTGGCTAACACGATGAAACCCTGTCTCTACTAAAAATACAAAAAATTAGCCGGGCGTGGTGGCAGTCACCTGTAATCCCAGCTACTCGGGAGGCTGAGGCAGGAGAATCACTTGAACCTGGGGGGCGGAGGTGGCAATGAGCCGAGATTGCACCACTGCACTCCAGCCTGAGCAACAGAGCGAGACTCTGTCTCAAAAAAAAAAAAAAAAATTTACACCTGTAAAGGATGGCAGTGGGGTTGAACCCAGGTTTGTCTGCCAGATGACCTAGTCGTGAGTCAGTCATTCAGCCTTCCCGAGCATCTTCTGGGTGCCAGACACCAAACTAGACACGGGCATCAAGGGAGACTGGCAGACGTCCATCCTGGTGCCTTCAGCAGGCGAGCATCTCCAGCCGGGAACAATGCCAGTGCCTGAGCCTCAAGATAAGAGCCCTCTGCCTTGAATTCCTTTGTATTCCTGGGAGGAAACTGCTACTTTCATCAAAATAACCCACAATACTGAAAGGAGTATCAGAAGGGATGGCTAGGTCAAATGGCCTGAGACGTCCTGATTCCAAAGCCATCATACTGTGTGTAGGGGTGGGGACCCGGGGTGTCTTTCCCTTTTAACTAAAGCCCTGACCTGGAAGTGGACTCATCAGAGCTTCCACTCCTGAACCCAGCTCCGCTTCTACATGAGCCTCCCGGGGCTGACGCAGGGAGAAAGCACTGCTGCCATTTCCCAGTCGCGCACGTGACTGCCAACTGAGATTAGTATTGCTCTCATCAACGATAGTTCCGGGTCTGGCTTCCAAGGCAGAACTTGCTTACCTTCAGCTTGGGGTCTTTTCAGGAGTTCCTTCCCGGCTCCCAGCCAGAAATTAGGAACACTTTATAGACTGACTTGTGCCCATCCCAAAAGGCTGGATCCCTAACCCCAGTACCTCAGAGTATGACCTTACTTGGAAATAGATTCCTTACAGAAGTAATGAAGTTAAAATGACATCCTTAGGTTGGGCCCTAATCTAATAGGCTGTTATATTTATAAAAAGGGGAAATTTGGCTGGGCGCAGTGGCTCACACCTGTAATCCCAGCACTTTGGGAGGCTGAGGCAGGTGGATCACCTGAGGTCAGGAGTTCGAGACCAGCCTGACCAACATGGTAAAACCCCTTCTCTACTAAAAATACAAAAGTTAGCCATGCGTGGTGGCACGCACCTGTAATCTCAGCTACTTGGGAGGCTGAGGCAGGAGAGTCGCTTGAACCCAGGAGGCAGAGGGTGCAGTGAGCCAAGACTGTGCCATTGCACTCCAGCCTGGGCAACAAGAGCAAAACTCCATCTCAGAAAAAAAAAGGGGGGGTGGAATTTGGGCAGAGACAGATTATAGAGGGAAGATGATGATACACAACATCACGTGAAGGTTGGGACAGAGATGGAGATTATGCTGCCACAGATCAGGGAGCACCTGGGGCCACCAGAAGCTGGAAGAGGCAAGGGGGACCCTTCCACTACCTGTTCCAGAGAGCACTACCGGTTCCAGAGAGCACGCCCCTGCCAACACCTCAACGGCTGACCCCTAGCCTACAGAAGCTCTGCTGTTCTAAGCCACCCAGCTCCTAGCATTTTGTTGTGGCAGTCCTAGGGGATGAATACAAACACCAACTAATGGCCCCAGGAATCCCAGATGTTCAAAATGCAGGTCCAGGGGAGATAGAGCCCTCTCCCCACCTTCCCAGGCCCCACTCTATTCTCACTTTCCCTGGAAGAACTTCCTCTCCCTTTTGGACACCTCCGTGGCCTTACAGGCAGTGGTTCCTACATACGGGGGTGCCTGTATCTTGTGCACCCTTCTCTGATATGCTGTGAGTTTGCTACAACTGAGGGGTCAAGCTGGGACTAGATATGTCAGGATGGTGAATGTACTATCAAGTGGGGTCCAACCTATGGCTAGTAGGTGGTGGGAGGCAGAGCCAATGATGCACCTGCACTTCCACTCTCCCCATCCCTGGGATCCTGGGATGAGGGAGACCCCTTAGGTCAGGCTGGGACATGGTTGAGTCAACAGTGATCCAGCAAATATAGAAACAGCAGGACCGATTTTAGGGATACATCTGGACCAGCACAGTGTGGCTTATAGGAAAGGCCACTGTCCCACAGCAGGAGCAAATGGTCACTCCTTGCAAACCCACCCTGGGTCTAGCCCAGAGGTGGGGGCAGGGAGGAGGGAAGAACGGGAGGATGGACATTATTATTATTATTATTATTATTATTATTATTATTGAGACGGAGTCTCACCCTGTCGCCAGGCTGGGGTGCAGTGGCGTGATCTCTGCTCACTGCAACCTCTGCCTCCCGGGTTCAAGCGATTCTCCCACCTCAGCCTCCCAAGTAGCTGGGATTACAGGCGCCCGCCACCACGCCCAGCTAATTTTTTTTTTTTTGAGACAGAGTGTTTTTGAGTCTTGCTCTGTCGCCCAGGCTGGAGTGCAGTGGTGAGATCTCCGCTCACTGCAAGGTCCACCTCCTGGGCTCACGCCATTCTCCTGCCTCAGCCTCCCAAGTAGCTGGGACTACAAGCGCCCACCACCACAGCCGGATAATTTTTTTGTATTTTTAGTAGAGACAGGGTTTCACCGTGTTAGCCAGATGGTCTCTATCTCCTGACCTCGTGATCTGCACGCCTCGGCCTCCCAAAGTGCTGGGATTACAGGCGTGAGCCAACGCACCCAGCCATAGTTTTTGTATTTTTTAGTAGAGATGGGGTTTCACCATGTTGGCCAAGATGGTCTTGACCTCTTGACCTCGTGATCCGCCCACCTCGGCCTCCTGAAGTGCTGGGATTACAGGCGTGAGCCACCGCGCCCAGCCTCGGATGGACATTATTGAACTGACGCAACTGGGTCATTGCCCAGCTCTGGAACCACATGAATCAGGACCAAGCCAAGTCAGGCTCCTGCTTCCTGGGGACTTTGGAACCTGGCCCACCACCCACCAAGGTCTCACCCCTCCTGCCCCATGGCCAACCTTATCTGCTCCACACTGTCTTCCTTTGATGGGGGTTCTCCTGGCACTGGGCCTGGAGGCTGGTGTCCGCTTGGCCTTTCTGGCAGCCCAGCCCGGGCAGTCTTCAAAGACAGCAGCTGCAGCCTTCACCCTCTGGCCACGGGCATTGGGAGGGGTGGCGCAGGTGGCCCCCACCCGCAGGTTCAGCCCAGTAAGCCACCTGAAGAGAAAAGAGAGCTGGGGAGCTAGCTGTGCTGATTCTGCTCCAGTGGCCTGGAGCAGGTGGGCACTGGGTGTGGGGCAGGGTTGGTGCAGAAGGCAGCACAAGGCCACAGGCAGCATGCATTCATTCGCTCAACAAGCATTTGCCAGCTTTCCTGAGGAGGTCAAGGAGGCCACCAGGAATTTGGGAGCGGTGGAGCCTATAGGTGACAGCAGGCTCTGCTGAGAATCTTGGCGGCTCACCAATTATGTGACCTACAAGCCACTTCAAGCCTCTGATCCCTTCTTTGTAAAAAGGGGATAATAATAGTAATAATAAACAGTTAGAGGGCTTACAACGTAGCAGACACTGTTCAAATCAACTTATCTATGCTAATTTCATTCTTACAACAACCATCATGAGGTTAGATACTACATCCCCCCTTTTTACAGATGGGCAGGAAAGGTTACGCGGCTTGCAGAGTTAGTTGGTAAAATACCAGAGCCAGGACTGGAGCCCAGGTCTGCAGGACTCCAGGCTTCTTGTGACTTTTTATTTTTTTTTGAGATGGAGTCTCACTCTGTCGCCCAGGCTGGAGTGAAGTGGCGCGATCTCAGCTCACAGCAACCTCTGCCTCCCAGGTTCAAGCAATTCTCCTGCCTCAGCCTCCCAAGTAGCTGGGATTACAGGCACCCACTACCACGCCCAGCTAATTTTTGTATTTTTAGTAGAGGCAGAGTTTCACCATGCTGGCCAGGCTACTCTCAAACTCCTGACCTCAGGTGATCAGCCTGCATTGGCCTCCCAAAGTGCTGGGATTATAGGCGCGAGCCACCATCCCCGACCTCTTGTGACTTTCTCATGTAATTATGTAAAGTGGTCTCGCCTACCTATTAGGTCCCAGCCCGCTAGGCAGAGCAGATACCATGCCCACTTTATGGATGATGAAATCAAGGCTCAGAGAAGTCCACCCTCAACATCCCCAGGAAGGGTAACTAACCCTGGAAAGGGCTTATACATGCCTGGCTCTCACAGGACCCGCCCCTCCCCACAAGCTGCTCGGATGGGCATGGACATGGTGTGCCTGGGGAGATGACAGGGGCTTGACTGAGAGTGGCTGGGTGGTCTTTGGCTGGAGGTCTAGGTGGGGGTGCCCACCTGTGCAGCGGAAGCAGCTGGCAGTCACAGTGGAAGGGATTGCTGCTGAGGTCGATGAGCTCCAGCTGGCTGAGACTGGGCAGGGCAGGCAGGGCCCGAAGCTGGTTCTTCTGCAGGTGCAGGCTCTGGAGCCCGGGCCCCAGGCCTGAAAAGGCCCCAGGACAAATCTGCAAGGAGTTGCCAGGCCCCAATGTGAGCTCCTGGCAGAGCTGTCCCACCCCCAAGTCTGGAAGGGAGCCCCATCTTCCCTCAGCAGAAGAGAAGCTGGAGAGCCCAAGCTGGTCCAGCCAGGAAGTGCAGCGCTGGGTCAAAACCCAGGCTGGTCTGATGTCAAAACACTTGCTCCGTCCAAGTCACCCAGATGCCCAGTTCATGGTCCACCCCACCACCCAATAATGGCAAAACCTCTTGGGGGCTCTCAATATGTACAAACAGTAGATGACTGCATGGTCCCAAATTCCTCCCTCCTCTATGCTCCAGCAATACCGTCCTGTGCAGGCACCGTGTGTGGCCTGGGTTCTGCCCGGACTGTCACTCACACCGGTAGGGGCAGTCCTGGTTTATCTCAGGGTCCCCGTGCCCAGGCTGAGACCTGGCACCAAGGGGCTGGCAAATGCTTGTTGAGTGAATGCACGCTGCCTGTGGCCTTGTGCCGCCTCCTGCACCAACCCCGCCAGATGCCCAGTGCCCACCTGCTCCAGGCCACTGCTGTTCAGGAAGAGGTGCTGCAGCGACCTGCCCACAGGCTGGAAGGCTCCGTCACGCAAGGCCCTGAGTGGGTTGCCCGAGAGCTGCAGCTCCAGGAGGGCAGGCAGCCCCTCCAAGGCCCCAGTGGGCACCTCTCGCAGCTGATTCCTGTCCAGGTGCAGCTTCTCCAGCTCCCGAGCTGGGCCCAGCGCCCCAAGGGACACTTCGGTGATGCGGTTTCCACTCAGGTAGACCCAGCGCAAGGCCCGTGTTCTCCCCAGGTCCCCAGGTGCCAGGCGGTCCACAGCGTTGTCCTGCAGGTGCAGGGAGAAGAGGCTGGGCAGGGCGCGCAGGGCAGCCCCTGGCACCTGCAGGAAACGGTTGCGTTCTAGGTACAGGTAGCCGAGGCGGGGAGCCCCTTCAAGGGCAGCAGCGCTGAGGCCTGCGAGCTGGTTGTCGGAGAGGTACAGGTAGATCAGGCGGCCCAGCCCGGCCAGGGCGCCCGCTTCCAGCTCCGCGATGCCGCAGTGCTGCAGGTGCAGCGACACCAGGTGGCCCAGGCCGGGGAAGGCCGCTCGGGGCACCGAGGGGAAGTGGTTCCGCCTCAGGTCCAGGAGCTGGGTGTCGCTGGGGAAGCCGCGGGGCACCGCCTGCAGGCCGCAGCCCTCGCAGCTGCTGTGCCGGGACTCGGGGACGCACACGCAGGCGCGAGGGCAAGGCGCGACTGCCCGCTCCTCCCCGGGGCCGCGCGGAGGGCCGCGCGGAGGGGCGCGGGGCCCGGCCACAGCCCGCTCTTCCAGCTCTTCCTCTTCCTGCGCCGCGTCCCCAGGGCAGCGCAGGTCCCAGGGCCGCAGGGCGTCCAGAGCCTCGCCCCGCAGGCGCCGCGGCCCCTGGCACGCGCCGTCCGAGCGCACGCGCGCCCGCGCCAGCCACTCGAGTAGGGGCCGCGCCTGGCAGCCGCACCACAGCGGATTCCCCTGCAGCCGCAGCCGGCGCAGCTGGCCCGGGCCCTGCAGCGGGGGCAGGGTGTCTAGCTGGTTCCCGCGGAGGTCGAGGGTGTGCAGGCGCGGACAGTGTGCGAAGGCCCTGGGACCCAGGGCCTGCAGGGCCCCGCCGTCCAGCAGCAGCTCCCGCAGGCCGGGCAGCGCCAGCCCGTCCTCCTCGCCCGCGTAGGTGAGCGGGTTGTGGCCCAGCTCCAGACGGGCCAGGCCGCGGGCCTGGGACAAGACAGGCCCGGGCAGAGCCTGGAGCTCGTTGTGGTGTAGGCTGAGCCGTCTCAGGGCGGGCAGGCCAGCCAGGGCCTCGGGGGCCAGCACGCTGAGCGCGTTGTGCGACAGCCGCAGCCAGCGGACGCGCAGTAGCCCCTGGAAGGCCATGGCGGGCAGGTAAACCAGGGCGTTGTGGGCCAGGTTTAGCGTGGCCAGCGCACCCAGTGCCCCGAACGTCCCCGGCCGCAGCTCCTCCAGTGCGTTCCCCTCCAGCTCCAGCCGCCGCAACGAGCCCAGCCCGTCCAGCGCCTCCTGGGGCAGCTCACGCAGGTGGTTGGAGGCCAGGTTGAGCAGGAGCAGGCGGCCCAGGCCACGGAAGGCGCCCTCGGCCACCAGCTCCACCTCGCAGTGGCGCAGGTCCAGGTGTGTGAGGTGAGGCACGCCCTGGAAGGCGGCTGCGGGGATCACCTTCAGCAAATTGCCCTGCAGGTCCAGCCGCTGGGTCAGCTGGGGACAGCGAGGAGAAAGTGGGGCTGAGCCAGGCAGGGACCCCGCCTTTGCAAGTGCTGCTTCTTCCCCGGAACACTCTTTTCTCCTGTCACCTTTCCCATATTTCTCTTCATCCGACCCCTGACACCTCCTCCAGGAAGCCTTCCTCTCCAGTGCCCTGGGCATCACCCACTGTGGCATTTTTCACACTGTGCTGTCCCTGCCTCCTCGCTCTCTCTCCTCCACTAGCTGATGACTCTGCAGAGCAGAGACCACACCTCACCCTGCCACAGCCCGCCTCTCCACCACAGGGTCTGCAGTGAATTCAGTATCGATCTATGGGTCACCTACTTATTCCATTCACACAGTAAGGATTTTAAATAGATCATCTCCCTGTTACTGGTTTTTATTATTCCCATTTTACAGAAGTGTAAACTGAGGCTCAAAGAGAAGTAATTTGCCAAGGTCTCCCGGGCAGGCGGTGGCAGATCAACTGGTGCCCAGCCCAGGCTCCTCCCTCTGGGTCCCCACCTTGCCCCACTGCCACTCTGTGCCTGTGCTCCTGCCCTGCTGACCTCAGGGATGGCGTCTGGCACCTCAGTGAGGTTCTGGTACCGGCAGGCAACGTGTCGCCTGGAGTTGTCACAGATGCAGGCCTGTGGGCAGCGCTGGGCGGCGGCCTGCCTAGCCGGGGCCAGCAGCAGAAGTACAAGAAGCGGCAGCACCAAGGGGACATGGGTGGAGCTCCGGGGCCTGGGACGGGGAGGGAGAGTCTGTTGTGCACAAGGGCCGAGGCCACATGCTGTCCCTCACTTAGTCCCAGCCATGGTGCAGCTCCTGCCCCAAAAACCCCTCAGAGCCTCCTCCTTTGGGCCCAGGAAAGTGCCAATCACCCTGAGCCTCCCTGCCCCCCACCCCCCACGCAGTGGAGGTCCTATGATTAGTCCTGTTTTACATGGGAGGAAACCGAGGCTCAGAAAAGTGACCTGGTTAGTCCCTTTGCCTCTGCCCAATGGCTCAGTGAGGACTTGCTGACTGTGAGAATGACTCCAGTTCAGAGCATGTTCTCAGGCTGTGGTGAGGCTCTGGTCCAGGGTAGGCTCGGAAGCAGCCTGTCCTCAGACTGATATGATGCCAGCTCCCAGGTGGCAGGAGCATAATGGTACCCCCCAGAAAGGAGGGAGGCATCCAGTCCGGGTCCTTGAGTCTTTTTTTGTTTGTTTGTTTAAATAGAGACAAGCCTTGCTCTGTTGCCCAGGCTGGAGTCTGGAGTGCAGTGGAATGACTATGGCTTACTGCAGCCTTCACCTCCTGGGCTAAAGTGATCCTCTCACCTCAGCCTCTTGAGTAGCTGGGACTACAGGCACACACCACCACGCCTGGCTAATTTTTTAATTACTTCTGGTAGAGACAGGGTCTCGCTATGTTGCCCGGGCTGGTCTTGAACTCCTGGCCTCAAGTGATTGTCCCACCTTGGCCTCCCAAAGCGCTAGGATGATAGATCACCTCCCCTGCCCAGCTGGCCCCTCTGTTCTCAGCCTGTGTCAGGCATGGCCTCTCCCCCATCGCTGGGCTGTTCCCCGGCCCCCAGGAGCCTCCCCCTCGCTGCTCACTGGACTATCGTCTGTTTTGGAGTCTCCTTTGGGTCCCAGGCTCCAGCCCCTGCGTTGGAGTTGGTGGCTTCTCCAGAGCCTGTGGTGAAGGCTGTGCCTCAGGGCAGGCCAGGGAGGGGACCCATGGGGACAGATCGCTGAAGCGACAAGCATTCATAATGCAGGGACCACTGCTGGGCTCTCAGACAAGCCCCAGAGGACCAGTTCCTGGCAGTGGCCACATTGCCACGTGTCTCAGAGCCCACCTTGGGAGACCCCCTTCCTGGAGAACCCCAGGAAGTCCCCAGAGCCCCTGCCCGCCAGCCTCTGAGAGGCCCAGAGGGGGCAGAGACTTACCTGAGGCCACTGAGCTGCTCTGAATCCCCCCTTGCACCATCGGGCCCAAAGACTCACCCCTCCATGCCGCCTGGAACTGCTGGTCCAGCCTGGAGGCGCAGCGCAGGGACAGGCTGTCCCCGCCTGGCAGGAGCCCCCCTCCACGGCCCGCAGGCCTGGCAGCTGGGACAGGGCTGAATGGGAGGCATTGTCGGCAGACCAGGCAAGCCAGGCTTCCCCAGGCTGAGGTGAAGAAGGGGCGGGCGGCGGGCGGGAGCAGCGGCTGGAGTTACAGGGCCTCCTGCCTGCCCCAGCCGAGGACTGAGGCCCCGGCCTGAATCCTTGGGCCAGCCCGACAGGGAGGGGGCACCAGCAGCTGGCCCGGGAGTCAGCAGTCCTGGGCTCCCTCCTGCCATGTGGGCTGCCCTCCCAGAGGCTGCTTCCTAGTCTCTGAAAAACACATCCCATTAATAAGTAGCTCTGAGGTCACAGTGGGGGTTCAGGCCCGCACCTGGCACACAGTGGGTGCTTCAGAACAGGTGACCCTTTCCTTCCGTTTGTGCTTACACATTGACATAAATAGTTTAATACTGGACACACAGGATTCTAGACACTCATTTTTTTCACTTAACCTCAGATTACTGGGAGTTATCCAAATTGACTCTTCCGAATCTCATTATTCTGTGGTATATAGTATTCCATTGTGTAAATGTATCACATTGACTTAGCCATTCATCTTGGACATTGGCTACCTCCAATTTTTTGCTATTTACAAACAATATTGCAAAGAATATCCAAATACGCATCTTCCCAAGCTCGTGTTTGTTTTTTAAATAATACATCCAGACCATGGCCAATGTTCATGTATCTTGATTTTTCAGATTCCTGCTTCTGATGGAATTGCATCTTCTACTGTTTGTTCCTTTAATTGGAAACAGGGGTCAGGCACAGTGGCTCATGCCTGTAATCCCAGCACTTTGGGAGGCTGAGGTGGGAGGATCACTTGAGCCCAGGAGTTTGAGACCAGCCTGGGCAACACAGACTCTGTCTCAAGAGAAAAAAAAAAGGCCGGGCGCGGTGGCTCACGCCTGTAATCCCAGCACTTTGGGAGGCGGAGGCGGGTGGATCACGAGGTCGAGATCAAGACCATCCTGGCTAACACAGTGAAACCCTATCTCTACTAAAAGTACAAAAAATTAGCCGGGTGTGGTGGCAGGCGCCTGTAGTCCCAGCTACTTGGGAGGCTGAGGCAGGCAAATGGCATGAACGCGAGAGCCGAGATGGCGCCACTGCACTCTAGCCTGGGCAACAGAGTGAAACTGTCTCAAAAAAGAAAAAAAATATATACATATATATATATATATATATATATATATATATATATATATATATATATATGTATGTGTGTGTGTATACACTTATGTGTGTATATATTTATATATAATAAAAATATAAATGTATATGTTTATATATATTTATATATGTTAAACAATGAACATCTGTGTGTACTTTTCCTAGACTGCAGGAGTTTTTTGTTTTTTGAGACAGAGTCTCACTTTATCGCCCAGGCTGGAGCTCACTGCAACCTCCACCTCCCTGGTTCATGCGATTCTCCTGCCTCAGCTTCCCAAGTAGCTGGGATGACAGATGTGTACCACCACATCTGGTTAATTTTTGCATTTTTAGTAGAGACGGGGTTTCGCCATGTTGGCCAGGCCGGTCCCGAACTCCTGACCTCAAGTGATCTGCCCGCCTTGATCTCCCAAAGTGCTGGGATTACAGGCATGAGTCACCACGCCCAGCCCTGCAGTAACATTTTAAAAAAAGAAATAGTGCCATGCCACACAGCCATCTGCTTTGTGCTTTTTTTGCTTGGCAAATTCCAATCAATGGAACTTCAGTGTGCTCTTTCGTCCTTTTTTTGAGACAGGGTCTCACTGTTGCCCAGGTGTGAGTGAAGTGTGATCATGGCTCACTGCGGCCTTGACATACCAGCCTCCCAAGCAGCTGGGACCTCCAGATATGCACCGCCACCTCCAGCTGGTTTTAAAATTTGTTGTAGAGTTGGGGTCTTGCTATGTTGTCCAGGCTGGTCTTGAACTCCGGGGCACAAGTGATCCTCCCACCTCGGCCTCCCAAAGCGTTAGGATTACAGGCATGAGCCACTGCACCTGGCTGTGTCTGGCGTTTTCCACTCAATATTATGTTAGTGAGAATCATCTTTTTATTTTTTTTTTGAGACGGAGTCTAGCTCTCGTTGCCCAGGCTAGAGTACAGTGGCGTGATCTCAGCTCACTGCAACCTCCGCCTCCCAGGTTCAAGGAATTCTGCTTCAGCTTCCCGAGTAGCTGGGATTACAGGCACCCGCCACCACACCCAGCTAATTTTTGTATTTTTAGTAGAGACGGGTCTCACCATATTGGCCAGGCAGGTCACAAACTCCTGACCTCAAGTGATCCGCCCGCCTCAACCTCCCAAAGTCCTAGGATTTACAGGTGTGAGCCCGCACCCGGCTTCATCTATTTTAATTTTTTTTTTAAATTCAGCATTCCAGCCTTCCATTCTATAAATATATGACAACAGTGGCATGGGGCAGGGGCGGGAGGCAGTCTGCCCACAATGCAGGCAGTAAGCGGGTGTGCTGTCAGTGGAGAAGTGAGACACAATGGAACTGACTTAAAGTTGGTCTCTGCTTTTTATTATCATGTGCTGACAAGTCTAAACAATGTCAATGCTAAAATATTTCTTCTTGGGCAGACCATTCCTACCTTCTCGGTACCACACCGTACCACAAGTAGCTTACCCATTCCTCTAGTGATAGACATTTGGGTTGTTTCCAGCATGGGTTTATTAGAAAGAGCACTGTAGCCGGGCATGGTGGTTCATGCCTGTTAAGTGAGCTGAGGCGGGAGGATCACTTGAGCCCAATAATTCAAGACCAGCCTGGACAACACAATGAGACCCTGTCTTTACAAAAAAAAGCTGAACGTGGTGGCTTGTGACATGGTCCCAGCTACTTGGGAGGCTGAGGCACGAAGACTAAGTGAGCCCAGGAGGTCGAGGCTGCAGTGAGCTGTGATCACACCACTGCACCCCAGCCTGGGTGACATGGCAAGACCCTGTCTCAAAAAAAAAAAAAAAAAAAAAAAAGGTTGTACCAATTTACACATCTGCCAGCCACTCCAGTTGCCCCAAATCCTCACCAAACTTGGTACTGTATTTTGTATTTTAGCCATTCTAGTGAGGGCATAAGAGTGTCACACTGTGATTATGTTTCTCTGGGAGGATCACCTGAGCCCGGGGGGTAGAGGCTGCAGTGAGCCGAGATAGAAGCTGGGCAACATGAGACCCTGTTTGAAAAAAATTAAAGTTATCCCCCCCACCCATATATATATACAGAGAGAGTTTAGGCAATTATTTTCTCCCTGTCTGTAAGTTGCCTTTGTACTCCTTAATGAGTATTTTGATAAACAGAAACCTGTTCTCACTGCTACATCATTTCCATTGTGTGAACATCCCACGATAATGGCAAAGGAGGTTAAATACAGCTTAATTTATTCATCTTTTCCTCACTCCTAAGGCCTTGAAGATACTCACTTACACTATCTCCTACAAGCTCTCTCTCTCTTTTTTGAGACAGGGTCTCGCTGTCAGTCATGCTGGAGTGCAGTGGCACGATCACGGCTTGCTGCAGCATCCACTTCTTGGGCTCAGGTGATCCTCCCACCTCAGGTTCCCAAGTAGCTGAGACTACAGGCATGCATCACCACACCCAGCTCATTTTTGTATTTTTAGTAGAGACAGGGTTTTGCCATGTTGGCCAGGCCAGTCTTGAATTCCTGGGCTCAAGTGATCTGCCCGCCTCGTCCTCCCAAAGTGCTAGGATTACTACAGGCGTGAGCCACCACACCCGGGTGAAGCTCTATAGTTTTGCTTAATTTTTAAAACATTAACTGAGGTAAAATATATTAATACATGAAATCTATCATTTTAACCATTTTTATGTGTACAATTCAGTGCATTAAGTACATTCACAATGTTATGCAACCATCACCACTCTCCATTTCCAGAACATCTTCATCATCCCAGAGAATCTGTTTGCAGCCTCACTCCCTATTCCACCCTTCCCCTAGCCCTGGCAACCTCTACCTTCTTGTCTCTGAATTTGCTTATTCTAGATGCCTCATCTAAATGGAATCATATTTGTCCTTTTGTGTCTGGCTTATTTCATTTAACATGTTTTCAAAGTTCATCCACGTTGTAGCTGGCATCAGAACTTAATGCCAGCCCCACACCCACCCCCTACCGTATCAACTCACACAGAAGACAGGGGACAGGGCCAGCAGTATCCTCTGCCACCTGGTCACCTACGTGGCCGACTGCCAATGAGAAAATATTGCCCTCTAAGAAACCTTGGAGGGACTTCTTGGAGGCCGTTTGTGGGGGACATGGGCTCCCAAAGCACATACATGGTGTAGGGTAGGAGGTAAGGAAGGTTGGCTGGGCTGTCCTCACATATGTGGCAGTGGAGCAAAGGATCCCAAGGGAGGTGGCTTCCATAGTGAAGGAGCAACGCAGAAGCCAAGCGAGCTGCAGCCCAAAGGCAGGGTGCTGGGTGAGGTGTGGCCAGGCAGGAAAATGGGCCCCCACTCAGGACTGCCACTTCCCAGGTAGTGGCCTGAGGCCGAGGCCGGGCCCTTCTGCAGGGCTGACTGCCCCACAGACTGCTGCGGGGCCGCATGCTCTGCCGAGGTGGGACTCCACGTACAACGGCCCCCGAGACTATCCCGCTTTCAGTGAGAGTTTCTGAGTCTCTGAAGCTGCCACACGACTTTATTTGTGAAGCCCCCGGGCACAGCCCAGACACACACAGAGCACAAAGGGGAAAGCATGGGGCAGTCACGGGTGCTCAGGGAGGTCATACAGCATCTGCCCAGTCCAGACCCTACCGCTCCCCTGCCCCAGGAGGTCCTTTAAGAGCAGCGTCCAGATGCAGCTCGGACATTGGGGACCCTGCCTCTCCCTCCCCAGACTGGAGAACAGCTTTGGGTTGTCAACACTCCCCCTCCAGCCAGGCCAGTCACAGACGACATCTCAGCAGCCAGGAGAAGGCCCACTAGGTCCGGGGCCAGCGCAGTCCCAGCAGCTCCTGCTCCTGGACAATCTGGTGTCTGCCTGTCCACACGGTGTGGGGCCCAGGGTTGCCCTCTGCCAACAACCCCACGATCCGACCCCCACAGTCCCACCCATGGCATTCTCTGCTCTTCAGGCTGAGCGGTCAGCACAGTGGTATGGATGGTAGGGGTGACAGCTGCCGCAGGACCAGGGCTTGGTGACGAGAAGCAGCCCCAGGCAGGGCAGGAAACAACCCAATCACAACACAGAGGGGAAGGACAGCACGCGGGCAACTCCCTGGGTTCTGGCTCCGCCAGGGAGCCGGGCCGGAAGGCAGGTGGGTGGGGACGGCCATCAGGGCCCAGGCGGAGATCAGCAGAGCGCCCTCAGGTGGAGGTGAGTTTAATGGCGGAGCAGCTCACAGCCCTTTCCCCTGGGGGCCAACTCCCCACAACAGAGCAGGGCTGGGCCAGCAGAAGACGTTAAAACCCAAATCCCGACAGGAGGCACAGACCTGCACATGCGCCACACCCACACACATACTCAGGGGACTGACAGGACACATGGGACACAGACCCGCCCTGCCTGTGGCCAGAGTCCTGTCCAAGGCAATGGCGTAGGCTGCGCCTCAGTTCATCCGAGTCCCTCCCCAGCTCACTGGTCCAGGCCAAGGGATGGGAGAGGCTTTGAGTCTAGACCTTGTACAGCGTCTGCAGCAGACTGTGGCGGGCGAAGGAGCAGGATTCCAGGGCGCTGTTGGGCCTGCGGGGAAAGAGGGGTCAGCAGGTCGGTGGATGCCTCTTGGCCTGTTTTCCAAGTGTGGGGGCCATTTTGGTGCCAGACTCATTTTTGTTAATTTGCACAACGACTCAGCAAGAGAGACATTAGCCCTCTGCCTTCTGCACACCGTGGGTGGGGATGGGAGGTGCGAGAGGCTCAGAGAGCCAGGCACCCAACGCCACACAGCCCAGAGCTGGCCAGAATGAAGGCCCCCTCAGCCAGGCTCTCCAAGGGCCCTTCCAGCAGACATAGGCCAGGGAATCCTTACTGGCTGCCAGTGGCCACATAGGACTGGCCCACTAGAGTCCAATCTGGATCATAAGTAAATGGCTAGCCATTGTTTTTTTGGTTGCTTTTTTTCTTTTTCTTTTTCTTTTTTTTTTGAGACGGAGTCTCGCTCTGTCACCCAGGCTGGAGTGCAGTGGTGCGATCTCGGCTCACTGCAAGCTCCGCCTCCCGAGTTCACGCCATTCTCCTGCCTCAGCCTCCCGAGTAGCTGGGACTACAGACGCCCACCACCATGCCCAGCTAATTTTTTGTATTTTTAGTAGAGACAGGGTTTCACCATGTTAGCCAGGATGGTCTTGATCTCCTGACCTCGTGATCCTCCCACCTCGGCCTCCCAAAGTGCTGGGATTATAGGCGTGAGCCACCGCGCCAGGCTGGTTGTTTTTTTCTTGAGACAGGGCCTCTCTTTGTTGCCCAGGCTGGAGTACAGTCCTGGAATCATGGCTCCCTGCATCCTCGACTTCCCAGGCTCAGGTGGTCCTCCTACCTCATCCTCCCAAGTAGCTGGGACCACAGGTACACACCACCACACCCGGCTAACTTTGTATTTTTTGTAGAGATGGGGTTTCACGAATGTTGCCCAGGCTGGCCTTGAACTCCCGGGCTCAAGTGATCCAGTTGCCTCAGCTTCCCAAAGTGCTGGGATTACAGATGGGAGCCACTGCGCCTGAGCTGGCTGTTGTTGCCCTCAATATCATTAGTTTCACTGCAAAGGAAGAAACTGAGGCAAGACTCTGGGGGACTGGGCAAGTGCGGGACGCAGCCAGGACCAGGCCTGACAACACCTCTGGCCTGAAGCCAGTGAACAGGCCAGGATCTGCGCCAGGCCGGGCATCCCAGACCATTTGGCTGGGAGCTGAGGGAAGAGGGTCCGTGCATGTCACTACATAGTTAATCAGTCACCTTGGACAAGACCCAGGGGGCAGACTGAGGCCTGTGCTGGAGGTTGGGCAACAAGCTGGGAAAAGGCATTTTGCTCTGACCAACAAGGGCAAGAGGCACATGCCCAGGCTTAGGATAGCACAGGGGCTGCCAGGGATACAGAGGGAACTACTCTGACCAGGGGGCAGGAAGGACACAAAGGGCTCAGGCGCAGACGGGGGCTGGGGCCACTGGCCAAACAAGCTCTGGACAGCATGGGCAAAGCTCGGCACTGCAGCAACAGCACTGCTATGGAAAGGGGCTCAGGGAGAGCACACTGTGCTGGGGTGGGGTGGGGTGGGGTCGGGGTGAGGCTGTGGCCAGCCATGAGATTCACAGTGAGGCTCTACCTAGCACCTGGCAGAGGAGGGGAACAGTGAGATCTGCCATTCACCAAGGCCAGTCCAGCTGCAGCCCAAGGGGTGGTCTGGTGTGGGGGAAATGCGGCCAGAAGGTAAGGCCTGGCTAAGGAGGCGGCGCCATGCAGACACTGGAGTGGACAGGGCTGCCGCGGCACCAGCTGGGTGCTGGAGGCCAGCGGGGGCCGCTCACGCTCCGCCAGCCCCGCCTCCCCACATGCACCAAGTATCCTGCCTCAGCTGGTGGGCTCTGGGCTCCCCCAGCAAAGGGACTTCCTTGCTCCTCTGCCTGCCCCATGTCCCCGGATGGCGCCGACTGACTGGAAGTGTGGCTGGTCAGGGCGCTTGGAGACAATCTCACCTAACCCCCCGGTTGGACAAATGGGGAGACTGAGGCCTGATGAAGGCCACAGGTTGGCCAGGGGCCACACAGGGCCTTCAGAGGGCAAGCCTCCCGACCCCTCCCTGGTGGGGCCTTGCCTCTCTTACTTGACTGTGCCCATCACCCCATCAATGCCCCGGGACACCCCAGGACCCTCCAGAACAAGGCCAAGGTTCACACATTGCTGGGCATTTGGCAGCTCCCGTGGCAATGTGTGTCCCCAGGAGAGGGCCCGGGGCTGCAGAGCCTGGTGTGACCAGGCCCCTTTGGCCTGCGCTGCTGTGAATGTGGACAAAAAGCCACTCCGGAGATGTCACCAACCGCAGCACCTCGCTCAGCAGACATGGGTCTGGACACTGGCCCAGCCTCTTGCTAGCGTGTGACCAAGGGAAACTCCTTAACCAACCCAGTGCTCCTCATCTGCACAATGGGGGCGCCGCATGTCTCCTCTCTCACTGTCCCTGAGCCCCACTGTCCTCAGCTGGGCAGAGGGGAGTGGGCCTCCCAAGGGTGGTGAGACTCCAATGCAGATGCTGAGAGCCCAGGAGGCATGAGGGCCTCTCATGCACCTGAGTGGGGCCAGCAGGCTGGCTGGGCTGGGGCTGGGCCTCCCGGAACCGGGCGCCTTCAGACCTGGCCAGAGAAGCCCGAGAGGGCAGGCACCGGCAGAAGGACAAGGCCACACTCACTTGGTCACGAACGCCAGCAGCAGGGGTGCAAGGGCCTTGGGGAAATAGTCCTGCTGCACCATGTGGTTCAGCGCCATCAGGGGGCCGTACAGGTTGGCAATGGCCTTGACCTTGTCTTCACTCTGAGAGGAACACAGCGAAAAGCGGGGTGAGCTTCAAAGTCACCTGGGGGGGCCCCTGGACTCCACCATCCAGACTCTGCTGATAGTGCCCACAACTGAGTCTAGCCGGAATCTCATCGTGAAGACCAAGGCTGCTGGGGCAGACCCAGGCCTCGGGGCCCCGTGGGCGAGCCGGCTCAGGACTCGAGGTGAGGGAGGTTGGCGGGCATGGCTGGGGCAGCTTCTGTGCAGACCCCACCCACCTCCCTCCCGGGCCTGCTGTTCCTTCCGGCCTCACCTTGAGCAGACCCATGTGCACGAGCAGCCTGGTGAGGAAGGTGTTGGAGTTGAAGGACGAGGAGTTGAAAGCCTTCTGCATCAGGGCATCTGTAGGGCAGAAGCAGCAGGGGCAGGCTGCTGGCTATGGCAGAGGGCTGGGCCAAGGCACCCAGGGTTCCCCCAACACCGCGCAGACACAGGCTCGCCTGCCTCCTCGCCCTGACGAAGAGGCGAACACGAGAGGGACGGCAGAGACACAGGAACCAGAGGGAGTGGCAGTTGGCATCAGGGGATGGGCTCAGTCCATCTGCCAGCTGTGACACTCTGGCCCTTGCCCATCCTGGCCTCAGGTATAAAATGGGCATGGGGATGACACCCACTGTGCCCACCTCACACCGTGGGAATGGAGATTTCCTGAGGCAGGCTACCACTGGGGAGGATTCAGGTTATTTTGGCAGGGTGAGGGGATGTGCAGGGACTGTGCTAGGCTTCCTGGGAAACAGAACTAGGGCAACTTGTTCCCAAAAATGCCCACAGGCGGGCCCTCAGGGAGCAGGCTTGTGTCTGGCCCCCACCTCCTTCCGAGCCTCATTTCCCACTGAGCCGCCCTCCCCGCTTCGACGCCACGCCGGGAAGAGGCACCACATGTCCTTCCACCCCTTTCTATCTTTTCCAGGAACCGTCCCCCTCGCCTCAGGGCCCTTCCTCCCCTCTGCCTAACCGGAACTGGCTCAGGTTTCGTTAGATGTGGAGGCTCAGTCAAGCACATGGAAACAGGGTGGAAGGTGACAGGTGCTGGAATGGAGGAAACAGACAGGGTGGGGAGAGGGTTGTGATAGGGCTGGAGGGATATGGGCTGGTGCTCCAAGGAAGCCCCCATAATGTTATGGGGAAAGGTGTCCTCTGTGCAAGGAACCTCCAGGTAGAGTGGACGTGAGCACAGAAGCTCCAAGGTGTGGACAAGGGCTTGGCTCTCACCATCCCTCCTCCCGATAGACCTGCGTCCATTGGGCTTGCAGATGTGACTATCTGGACTTCCTAGAGCGGGCTATGGGTTCTAACTGTACATGGCTGTGTGGATTTGGGAAAGGCCTCAGTTTCTCAGTGGTGAAAAACAGGGAGAAGAGCAGCCAGCTGGCTCCACGGCAGGACCCTGACGGAGGAAAAACTCAGGTGGCCAAAGAGCAGTTCCCATGAGAGCGCTGGGGCTGACGAGTTACGGCAACCACGAAGGATACCTGGGGCCCACGAGCATCAAGGGACAGAGGGCACCCAGGTCTCACCCAGCCCACATTACCTACTGCATCCTGCACTGCCATCCTCACAGTAGCTTCGTCCTTGAACACAGATGACACCTTTAGGAAGGCAGAGACCACCTTCTCGGGGTCAGACGTGTCAGTCTGAGGACAAAAGAGACAATGGTTGGCCTGTGGCACGTGGTGGAGAGGTACCTGGGCTCTGACGCTAGCTAGGAGAGGCCTGGGCAGTACAAAGGCCCCTGGCGGGCAAGAACAGGTCCTGCCTTACCCCATGCTGTCCCTTCAGAGTCTGGCTTGGATTTGGCCTGCAGCAAGCACATATGCAGCATAGAGAGGGAATGAATGAGTGAATGAACAAGGATGAAAAATCATCCCAGCCGGGTGTGGCGGCTCATGCCTGTAACCCCAGCACTTTGGGAGGCTGAGGTGGGAGGATGGCTTGAGGCGAAAAGTCTGAGACCAGCCTAGGCAACATAGCAAGACCCCATGTCAACAAAAAGGAAAAAAATTAGCCAAGGTTGGTGGTGTGTGCCTATAGTCTCAGCTACTTGGGAGGCTGAGGCAGGAGGACTGCTTGAGCCCAGGAGGTCGAGGTTGCACTGAGCCATGATTGCACCACTGCACTCCAGCCGGAGTCACAAAGCAAAACATTGTCTCAGAAAAAAAAAAAAAAAAATCATTTCAGGGATCCAGTGGTCCCCATCTTGTAATTGAACTTGAAGAAATAATCTAGCATGTAGACAATACTCACATGCAGAAACGTTTACCTCAACCTCACAACAGGGAAAAGTGGAAAAAACGTCAGAAACAGTGCCTGGCTTTTAAGTGCTACATCCACACATTGCAATAAAAATCCTGAGAAGAGTTTTATGGGCACAAGAAAGTGATGAATGGTGCTACACCAAAGTGATAGGCCACAGAAAGGCTTACAACATCTGATTTATCATGTTAAAAGAAACAAAGAATACAGGCAAAACCTAACAAAGCAATTGGCCGAAATGTTAAGCCAACTCTGAGAGTGGGCCCATTTTATTTCTCTGTAACCTCCGAGCCTCCGCTTTCTTATCTACAAAATAAGGGCTGGCCGGGCACGGTGGCTCATGCCTGTAACCCTAGCACTTTGGGAGGCCGAGGTGGGTGGATCATGAGGTCAGGAGTTTGAGACCAGCCTGGCCAACGTGGTGAAACCTCGTCTCTACTAAAAAATACAAAAATTAGCTGGGCGCGGGAGGCTGAGGCAGGAGAATTGCTTGAACCCAGGAGGCAGAGTCTGCAGTGAGCCGAGATCGTGCCACTGCACTCCAGCCTGGGCGACAGAGTGAGACTCCATCTCAAAAAAATAAATAAATAAATAAATAATAAAATAAAGTAAGGGCAGCAGAGTCTACATTTCATGTTGCCAAGAGGGTTAAATAAAATCATGCCCAAATGCAGTGCCTGGCAGAAAATGGATGCCCCGAAGATCATCTATGAATGAATGAATGAGCCAACCAACAAGTGAGGCTGGAGTGAGGGCACCCATCCTGCAATAGGCACGTCACTTCCAAAGGAGCCCTGGGCAACAGAGTTGTTCTCGAAGCAGCTGGGCTGACGGAACACGCAGAGAGAAGCCAAGGAGGGGGTGGGCACATGCAAGGCTCTTAAGGAAATTCCCTAACCCCAGTCAGCATGGGAACTGGCGGGCTGTACTTTCTGTAGGCTGAGTGGGGAGGGAACATTTGCAACCCCTGGAGGCTTATAAATACCCTGGACATTTGCGCGTGTTGTAACAGTGGCAGGCCAAGCCTCCCTGCCCCCAGCTGACAGCGTCGCACCCCCAGGTCTCTGAGCTGTTCGTCCCTTTTCTCTAACAGCTCCAGAAGCCACAGCACGTACAGCGTGGGGGTCGAGGGGTGGTTATTACCTGCTGGGCTATCAGCACGGAGCTCTTGGGCCCTAGGCGCAGCAGCTTCTCTGGAGAGGGAAAAGCCAGGAAGGTGGAGACGTCTGCAGGAGGTGGGGAGGACAGCACGGGAGCTGGCTCCTGGGAAGTAGGGGCACAGAGGCTCTGGAGAATTCCGGACCCCAGACTCCCCGACACAGCTGTGCCCATCCCCACACCCAGCACATCCACCCTTCACTCCAGCCCATCTAGGCTCAAAGTCTAGAATTCTTCCTCCCACTCAGCTGCATTTCCCATCTATCAATATCACCCAGAGATGCTGGCCCTGGATGGCTCTTGGTCCAGGAGCCTTTGGGGTGAGGGGGAAGCTACCTCCCTGGGACTCAAAAAACCTGCTACGGCCAAGTGGATCCTCGTCATGACATGCAGTGCCCCAGAAATGACTACGGAGGCACATGGGGGCTAAAGTGGGTCCCCGTAGAACTACAGTCCAGCCTGGGTAAGCCCTGCTAGCACCAGAGGTGCCCAGAGGAAAAACTGAATTGAGGCGAACCTAGCCATTTGTTTAATTGATTCCATAAACCAGAGAAGCAGCCCAATTCAGCGTAAGCATGGGGAGTCCTTGTCCAGAGCCAAGTTCTCCAGGAGCTTTACTTAGGAACCTGACAGGGAATGCAAATGAATGAACTGGAGGTGTGGCAGCCCTGATGCAGCCCCGGGCCAGACAAGGGACACCAAGTGCCCAAGCCAGGTCATGGCCCAGCCACCATCCCAGGAATGGGGGAGTGGTTCCTAAGGGTCACCAAGACAATCCTCTGGTGGGTGGGGAAAAAAAAAATCAGAATTTCTATTTATGCTTATTTGTTTATTCTTTCAGAAACCCTTATGCATATCTTATAATATACATAATGCAGCAGCACTGCTACCTGTAAATAGACATTTATATTGGGGTAAATAGAAATATAGGTAACTATGGCTGGGCCCGGTGGCTCAATGCCTGTAATCCCAGCACTTTGGGAGGTCGAGGAGGGTGGATCACCTGAGGTCAGAAGTTCAAGACCAGCCTGGCCAATATGGCGAAACCCCGGCTCTACTAAAGATACAAAAATTAGCCAGGCGTGGTGGCAAGCATCTGTAATCCCAGCTGTTTGGGAGGCTGAGGCATAAGAATCACTTGAACCCGGGAGGCAGAGGTTGCAGTGAGCCGAGATCACACCACTGCACTCCAGCCTGGGTGACAAGAGTGAGACTCCATCTCAAAAAAAAAAAAAAGAAATATAGGTAACTATCATTACACTGGGACCATTTTCCTTTTTTTACTCAATATCATGCAATCAAAAAAAAATGTTTGTGGCTACTGTGCTTAAGGAGACACCCCCTACCCCATTGTGAAAGTGCCTCGGGATTTCACGTTCTCAGGACCAGGGCTCTGATTGTGGCAGATGATAGAAACTCACCCCAGTGTTAGGGTCCAGAATCTTCCGTGAGGGCGTGGCTGACTTCTCTCCCTGCCCTCGCTGCTGAGGCTCTTCTTCCTCCTCCTCCTCCTCTTCTTCCTCCTCTTCCTCATCTTCCTCCTCCTCTTCTTCTGCTTCCTCTTCTTCCTCTTCTCCTTCCTCCTCCTCCTCCTCGTCCTCGTCATCACTGCAGAAAGAGCTGGCTGAAGCAGATCCTCTCTACCCAGCAGCCCAGGTTGGCTCTAAGGCCTGGCTCCATGAGCCCAGAGACCTCACCTCAGCCAGGAGGGAGAGAGCCTGGTGGGGTGGGAGCACCTGCTCCCAGGGCAGGGGCAGGTGGATCACCAGGGAAATCCATGCTGTGGACACAAAAAAATAAGATCGGCCCGGCGCGGTGGCTCATGCCTGTAATCCCAGCACTTTGGGAGGCCGAGGTGGGTGGATCATGAGGTCAGGAGATCGAGACCATCCTGGCTAACGTGGTGAAACCCCGTCTCTACTAAAAATACAAAAAATTAGCCGGGTGTGGTGGCGGGCGCCTGTGGTCCCAGCTACTCAGGAGGCTGAGGCAGGAGAATGGCGTGAACCCTGGAGGCGGAGCTGGCAGTGAGCCGAAATTGTGCCACTGCACTCTAGCCTGGGCAACAGAGCGAGACTCCATCCCCCACAAAAAAACAAAAAAAAAAAACAAAAAAAAATCAGATCTTGTCCCTGTCCTCAAGGAGCCCCAGGTTTCATGGAGAGACAGAAAACGAAGACAGCTTTGTCACACCTAGAGCCCAGGGCTTGGCAGGAACACTGCCCAGGTTGAGATGCCAGGGCAGGGGCGCCCACATCCACATGACCTCAGGAAGCTACAGGTGTGGGGGAGGAAGAAGAGTAGGGGTGTCCTTGCCCCATAGGAAGGCTGGACCATTTCCCAGGGACAGTGGGACCTGTGAGGTTCAGCCCACCTCGGAGTCCCCAGTTCCTAGCCTCAGCTCAGGGCCTAGCACCGAGGAGACACGACTGAGTATCTGACACACGAATGAGGCCGACTTGGAGATGCGAGGGGCACAGGGAGCC
This sequence comes from Homo sapiens, assembly GCF_000001405.40. Lineage (NCBI taxonomy): Eukaryota > Metazoa > Chordata > Mammalia > Primates > Hominidae > Homo > Homo sapiens. The sequence continues at coordinate 41,255,373 of NC_000022.11, forward strand.
CGATGCTGATGGCCCAACCGGACTTGGATCCAGGAGATGGCCACTCCCCGGCCACCCACCTTCACCTCCAGGTAGACTCCCCAGGCCCCATGGTCTCTTCCTTTCTAGAGTCAGCGTCTTAAGAACAATCCCGAGTGCAGCCCCTTCTGGCTGCCCCCACCTCCCACCCCCATCACTCCCCAGGCCCCACCACATCAGGATGAGATCTGGCCTCACCCCTTCAGAGGCCTCCCCAACTCCACCACTCTACAGGGTGGCCCCGCTCAGCCCGTACGAGCTCCTCTGTTGAACGGACAACTCATTCTGTCTCCACCCCACGAGACAGAAGCCCTGACTGTCCCATCCTTATAGCCCTGATGCCTAGTGTATGACCTAGTACGTAACAGGAGTGCACCCAACGTTTCTGAATAAATACAAGTAGAAACAAATAAAGGGGCCAGGTGTGGTGGTGGGTGCCTGTAATCCCAGCTACTTGGGAGGCTGAGGCAGGGGAATCACTTGAACCCAGGAGGTGGAAGCTGCAGTGAGCCGAGATCACGCCACTGTACTTTAGCCTGGGGAACAGAGCAAGACTCCATCTCAAGAACAAAAGAAAGAAAGAAAGGAATGGCCTGACCCCGACCTCTGGGGCCACCCCGAGTTCCCTACCTGAGGGACGCCAGCACCTTGGCCATGTTGAAGCCCTCCAGCACCTCCTGAAGCTGTTCACAGCCTTCTTCTCCCAGGGTGTTGCCTGCTCAAGGGGAGGGAAGAGCAGTCAGCCGGGGTGCCAGGGCCAGCCTAGCAGACCTGTGCAGAGGCCTCCCCCATCCGACTACCATTCAGGTCCAGCTTCTCCAGCTCAGCTTTGTCTGCCATGGCCTCAGCAACAGCCAGGGCAGCATCCCTCTTGATTTCACAGAATGACAAGTTCAGCTCCTGAAAATAAGAGGAAGGGTTGGAGGCAGGCAGAAACCCGGGCCAGGACACCAGGTTCTACTCTAAGCCTCAGTTTCCCCAAGTGAGGATATGGCAGGCTCTGTCCTCCAGGTGGGGCAAAGTGGGCAGGAAGAATAACACCAACAACAAAAATAATGCCCTGCAGCCAACGATGAGTCACGTACTGTGTTTACTTAAATCACAAGACAGTGATGTACACCACTCCCTGCCTCCCGCTTTAGAAATGAAGAAACCATGGCTCAGAGGGGTGTGGAGGCTCACACAGCATCACAGGGCCCGAAGTGGAGGAGCTGGGATATGGACACAGGCCCACCTGCCTTCAGACCAGACCCCTGTGCCCCCAGCCGCCCCACCACCCACAGACCCCAGAGGGAGGACGTCAGGCGTCCAGGCTGGCACCTTTAGCTTGGGCAGGCCGCCGCGGATGGCATCTGCAATGGCAACTGCACCCTTGGAGCGCACCAGGCAGTCCCCAAAATTAATCACCTCCACCTGCCGCAAGGTCTTCAAGGTCTGTGAGGGGGAAGCAAGGGTCCAGAGTGAGGGTGCAGACCACACCCCAGCCCTCAGCAAGCCCCGGGGGCCCCACACGGTCACATCCCAAGCCAGCCACCACACACTGTCCTCCTCTGCAAGTCACCAGCTTTGCCGTCTTCTACTTGTTGGCCTCTGGGCCCCTGGCCAAACCTCCTCCACCCCTCCCCATGTTACGGCCAGAACTCTTCCTGAGACCAACCAAGCAAGGTTCCTGCTGAGCATCCGGGTCTTCCACACGTAAGCTGATCCCTCTGCCTGAAACACCCATCCCCCACCCTCTGTCCAGAGAAAGACCACTTGCCCTATACAACTTAGCCAAAATGTGATCTCTTCCAGGAAGCCTGCCCTAAGTCTGATTTGAACTTCCTTCTGGCGTGTTCCCCAACACCTGCACACATCTCTGCTAACACACAGGCAGCCGGACTAGCCTTCTGTGGGGCCACGGGACCCTGGCAGCCAAGAAGCCACTGCGTTCAGAGCCCAGCACTGTTACCACTGGCAGCTTCCTTCCCTCCTTGAGCTAGGGTCTCCCTGAAGGCGGGGTCTTTGGCTCAACCCCATGTGGCCTGCACTTGGTACAAAGCCAAGCACTAAATGGGGACTCAAAAAACAGCTGCTGGGCCAGGCACAGTGGCCTGCACCTGTAATCCCAGCTACTCAGAAGGCTGAGGTGGGAGGATCACTTGATCCCAGAAGTTCAAGACCAGCTTGGGCAACAGTAAGATTCCGTCTCAAAAAGTGATAATAAATAACAAAACAAACAACAGCTGCTGAACAAATCAACCAGGAAAACAGATGTGGGGAGCAGTCTGCTCCTGTGCAGCCTGAGAACAAACCAGCGGCAGCCGCTGGGGGCTGCAGAGGCGGCTCAGGAGAAGGTGGCATGAAGAATCAGAGCTGCCCGAGGAGGGCGTGGGTTACCTTGGGACCTGCAACCCTGTTCAGGACATGTTCAAAGAGCTGGAGCCATGGGGCACACACCCAGGGGGCAGGCAGGGGGTAGAGGAGTCCCTGCTAAACGGAGCCCCAGCTTCCCTGGAAAGACAGCAGCCAGCCTCTATCTGGCGGGGCCCAACTGGCTCTGCCACACTCGCCTCACCTCGGCCATGGCCACGGCGCCCTTCTCAGTGAAGGTGTTGTCATTCAGGTTGATGACCCGCAGCAGGGGGTTGACAGCGAAAGCCTGGGCCAGGGCAGTGATGCCAGGGTGGTTGATCCCATTCTGTGGCATGTGGACCTCCTCCAGGGTCCCGATGACCTGTGAAGAGGAGGCAGAGAGTGGAGGGGGCCCCGAGTGCCAGGTGACATCCAGCAGGCAGGAGAGCAATTCCACACAGCAGGCACAGGAATGGGCTGCCGCCAGCACAGGGCAGGGGCCTGTCTGTGGGATTTTGGGGCATGGCTGCATCTAACTCTTTCCACAACCTCCTGAGGGAGGCCTACTGCCTGGGATAGGATCCCCACCAGAGAAAAGACTAGGGATCAAAGAGGCGAAGTGACTTGCCCAGGGTCACAGAGCTCTAGATCCAGCAGGTCGATTTCTTGTTCTCAGTCTGGTGTCCTCAGCACAGTGGGGACCCTGGCTGTGGTGGGCAGGCACTCATGCCCCTTCTCTGGATGACATAGCTCCATGTGACCTTTCTTTCTTAGGGGCCCTCCTAGCCCACCCACCTACACAACATAACCCCTTCGACATGGCGTCCTTCTCTAGGGATGAGGAGGGTGTTCCCTGGCCCATGCAGCCCTATCACAGCCTGGCCTTTTGATACCCATTCTCTCTGCCTCCTTATTTTCTTTTTCTTTTTTCTTTTTTTTTCCTTTTTTGAGACGGAGTCTCGTTCCGTCGCCCAGGCTGGAGTGTGATGGCATGATCTTGGCTCATCGCAACCTCTGCCTCCCAGGTTCAAGTGATTCTCCTGCCTCAGCCTCCTGAGTAGCTGAGATTACAGGCGTGCGCCACCACACCCGACTAATTTTGTATTTTTAGTAGAGATGGAGGTTTCACCATGTTGGCCAGGCTGGTCTTGAACTCCTGACCTCAGGCGATCCAGCTTCCTCGGCCTCTCAAAGTGCTGGGATTACAGACGTGAGATACCACACCCAGCCATTCAGCATTTTCTTGACAGGCTAACTCATATGAGTTCTAGGGCTCTTGTTTTGGTCACCTCCTCTCCCAGGAAGGCTTCCTGGATTCCCCCAGCCACGATCCAGTGTGCGTTCCTCTGTGCTCCCGGAGCACCTGGTCCCTCCTCTATCACGGTGGTCCTCATCCTGCCTACATTCAAAGCCTATATTCCGTCTGCATCCCATCGGCCCCTGAGCTTTGGAGGAGAGGGCCATGTCCCAGTCTCCACTGTGACCCAGGACTGAGGGTTGGCCTGGCTTAACTGTGCCAAGGAATCTTCTGCTGTCTTCAGGTGCTCAGTGCAGCACAGGGCAATGGGGGGAGCGGGTGGTCCACAAATAAATACAGGAAGGCCAACCTGGGCACACTCCAGGTCAGGCCTTCTTAGTATTTTCTGTGCCATGAACCCTTCAGGCAGTCTGGTGAAGCCCCTGGGTCCCCTCCTCAAAAAATGTTTTTTTAAAATTTTAAGATAAATTACACAGAATTACAAAGGAAATCAACTCAGTTGGAACAGTTATCAAAACATTTAGGAAAAAACTCCAAACGCATGCTGTAGTGATATACAAACTTCTTGTTAATGCACCAAATAACAAGATCTAGGGGTGGGTCCACTATTACTGTAATTTTGATGTAGTGAGAAATATTTCTATATATCAGCAGTAACTATAACTTCATATGAAATACCTGTGATTTCCACTGGGGATAAAGTCACAAGATTTTCTTTTTATTTTTTTAAAAATTTTAAGCTGGGCGCAGTGGCTTATGCCTATAATCCCAGCACTTTAGGAGGCCAAGGCGAGTGGATTACCTGAGGTCAGGAGTTTGAGACCAGCCTGGCTAACATGGTGAAACCCCATCTCTACTAAAATACAAAAATTAACTGGGTGGGCATGGTGGTGCACACCTGTAGTCCCAGCTAATCGGGAGGCTGAGGTGGGAGGATCACTTGAGCCTGGGAAGCTTCAACTGCAGTGGGCTGAGATTGCACCGTTGTACTCCAGCCTGGGCAACAGAGCGAGACCCTGCCTCAATAAAATTTTTTTTTTTTTTGGGTTCAGGGACTACATGTGCTTGTTTGTTATGTGGGTAGTCACAGGCCTTTCTAATGCTGTGAGGTTTATTGTCTACATTTATAATCAAAGGTCACACTACATATTTTAGCTACATTAGTAATAAATAATAATGTTATTTTTTCCTCATCCATGTTCACAGACCCCTGAATTCTATCCACATACTGGGGGGGATTAAGAACCCCCATTCTAAGCCCACCAGAGGACACCTATGAAGGCTCAACACAACCACAGCGCACCCCCTCCTCCCAGTGCACTGAGGACAGCAGGCTGACGGCAGGGAGGGATCCAAGGATGGCAGTGAGGCCCCCACCAGCTCCAGAGGAGGCAGCAGGAGCTCCCCTGCAGCCAGGGGTGCAGGGAGACACAAGGCAGATCTCTGCGATGTTCACTTGGCACTGAAGCAGGCAAAGGGTATCTACAGACAGCCTCGATGGGCAGCCAGGACATTCCGGCCCGTATGAGCAATGCTCCTAGGATACTGTTTGCTGAAGAAAACATTTAAATTAAGAGAAGAGGGGCCGGACGTGGTGGCTCACGCCTGTAATCCCAGCACTTTGGGAGGCCCAGGCGGGCAGATCACTTGAGGTCAGGAGTTCGAGACCACCTGGCCAACATGGTAAAACCCCGTCTCTAATAAAAATACAAAAATTAGCCGGGTGTGGTGGCGGGTGCCCGTAATTCCAGCTACTCGGGAGGCTGAGGCAGAACTGCTTGAACCTGGGAGGCGGAGACTGCAGTGAGCCAAGATCACGCACTGCACTCCAGCATGGGTGACAGAATGAGACTCTGCCTCAAAAAAAACAGGAAAGAGAGGAGGGAGACAGACCCCAAAGTTTTCAGTCCTGTTAGGGGCAAGTGTAGCCTTCTGCTGGCACTCACGATCGGGGACTCAGCAATGTCCTGCGGGGATGGGGAGAGGAGAGTGGAAGAGGAGTGGGGATAAGGTCACCTGAGAGCACGTCATTTGGCACCTGAGCCCTGCGGCTGCCCCTGCCTATCTCCCTGTCTTGGAGGTCTGGTATGTTCCTTCTCTGTGCCCCACACCAGTGGCTGGGCCAGGCTACTGTCAGCACTCGCACCATCTCACTTCACCACTTCTGAGCCTGGCAGATGACACTCCTTGGTCAGAGTGGCCTGCCTGGCCTGAAGCCCCATAGGGGCTGGCTCACCAGTGGGAGCCAGTCACACACCTTTCCGGAAAGTCACACACCTTTCCAGAAATGCACGACAGGAATTCTGGCTCATTTTCGGATGGGTTAACAGGCTTGGAGAGGGCACGTGACGCCCCAGGTCTCTTGGTTGAGTGCCAGCCCTGGGATTAGCATCCAGAACTGTCAGCCTACTATGCCGAGTGCACCTCAAGGCTGCAGGGGCAGGATGGACAGAAACCACTCACCCTAAAAGCTTCTGCCAAGGCAGTGGCGCCATCATTCTCCAGACGGTTTCTGCCAGCCACAAAGACCTTCAGGGCCAGAGGCTTGCCTTGGGCACTGGATTTCCGGTGACATTCGGTCAGAGCTGCAGCCAGGATCTGTGGGGAAAGGCAAGGGGCCCTGGTCATGGGCAGGAGCCCCTTCTCCCAGCGGGGTGGCCACTGCTGCTGAACTGCTCTTCAACATCCCACGCCACCCATCGGTGCAGGTCAGGGGACGCAGGACTGCTAACAGCTCAACAGTCACACCTTAAATATGTCCAGCACTTCAGTTACACAAGGTTTTTATCTCTAATGCTGTGTCACACCAGCCTGAGAGGTTTAGCTTCACTTTCGAGACGGGGAGACCAAGCCCTACTCAGGAAAGGGAGAGACCACATGGAGTGGATGAACTTTTAGCCAGGTCCAGGGGAAGGACTTCCTAGTCAGCTCACTTCACTGTCTAAGGCCCTCTGCTAGGTGGGAAAATCATGGCTCCCATTTTCCAGCTGAAGAAACTCAGGGTAAGAGGAACGGAAACTTTCTTATGGTCAATAAACAAGTGGTGGACTCTGGACCAAAGCCCAAATCTTCCAGCTTCTCTTCCACGTTCCACAATGTCCAAGGGAGCCAGCTGCCAAGTCCACGGTCCAGACGAACCTGTCTGACACCTGCCTGTGCCTAAAAGCTGGCCAGGCACAGCAGGAGCTTGCCTGCTGGTGGTAAAAACCTAACACCCAGCTTGCCCTGTCCCTGGTGTGGTGCCAGGAAGTAGCTTCTACCCTGGTTACACCATTAGGAAAAGCACTGAAAAACGGAGACTGACCGATGGGAATCAGAGCCCATGGTAAATGCGACATAAAAGAATCACGAGCGAGTGCACCGAGAGAAGTGATATTTGCAGAACACCTGATGTTTGCAGAGCACCTGCTAGGGCCTGGGCATCCTTGGCATATTTTCTTGTTTCAACCTCAACACCAGCCTGGGAGGCAGGCAGGATTGGCCGTACTTTACAGATGAGGAAGCTGAGGCTCTGAGAGATGAGTGAATTGGCCAAGGTCACCCGGTAAGTATTTAGCAAAGCCGCACATGGCGGGTGGGTTGGCCTAACTCCTGGCATGAGACTGCACACAGCCATCCTTGAGGAACAGAAGAGCCAGCACCTGCCTGACTCCACGGTGGTGATGGTGGATCACGCACACACGATCACGCACACACTCAGGGTAGAGACATCAAACTTCTGCCAAAGACCAGCCTCTGAGGAAGCTACTCAGCAGCAGCAGCCGACTGCTAGGTCACCCCCATTCTCCCAGATTCCCTGGAGGCCACGTGGTGATGGCCTTAGCTCCTGCAGGAGTCCAACTTGGGTATGGAGAGTTCTCAAGCACAGGGCCATGCCTCTTGCCCCACCAACTCCTCTGGGCCCTTCTATTCTCATGGTGCATGGCACAGAAACCACACTAAACACACTGCCCAGAAGAAAAAGATTCCAAAGGACCTGCAGGCCTTGGTTAGACACCCAGACCATGGCGTCTGAGCTCCCAAGAGGCATAGGTCAGCAAGGCCGAGACCCAGAGACCTAATCAAATCAGTGGTCAGGGAGGCACAGAGAACCATCAATCAAACTCCAGGGTAGGCCTGTCTGCCCAGGAGGCCCTCTGGTCCTGGGTCCAAAACTCATTCCCCAACTCACCCCATTACAAGTATAGGACAGGCCAGACAACTCCTGGCCAGTAGGAAAGCTCCCTGAGCCTCAGTTTCCAGGCACTGCTGGGCAGGAGAAGGGAAGTAATGGAAGGAAAACCGAAGCATTTTGCTAGAATAGAGTCTCTGGCTCTCCCAGCGTATGCCACTCACTCTAGGTTGGGCCACGCCTGCTTTCTGTGCTGACGCAAACGTTTTTATATGTTTCTGTTTGTTTGTTTGTTTGTTTGTTTTTTTGAGACGGAGTTTTGCTCTTGTTGCCCAGGCTGGAGTGCAGTGGCGCCATCTCGGCTCACTGCAACCTCCACCTCCCGGGTTCGAGCAATTCTCCTGCCTCAGCCTCCCGAATAGCTGGGACTACAGGCACCTGCCACCACACCCAGCTAATTTTTGTATTTTTAGTAGAGATGGGGTTTCACCATGTTGGCCAGGCTGGTCTCGAACGCCTGACCTCAGGTGATCTGCCCGACTCGGCCTCCCAAAGTGCTGGGATTACAGGCATGAGCCACTGCACCACCGTGCCCGGCCCATTTTTACATCTTAACACAGGGATAGCTTATTGCCCAAGTGGACTTGGGGGAGGGCTGGCTAAGGCAGGCACAGAGCCTGCCCCTGCTCACCCTCACGTCAGGCCGAGGGACACAGGCACCCTCTGCAGGGGAGGCCACTCCAGCTCCTCAGCCTGGGGCTCCATGGGCCTCACAGCACTAGCTATGTGATCCACTCCACCCCATCTCTCTAAGCCTATGCTGAGTCATGTGGAAAAACTGGGATGGCATCAGCCACCTTTCAGTGTGGGTGGGAAAAGTTAAGGTATTGCATATTCAAATAAGATATCCCCAACTGCTGTTACTTCTGTGTCCCCAGCCCTTTTCTCCCTTTGGTTAGAAAGTGTGTGTAGGGGTTGCAGCCTGGCACTCAGTGTCCTCCAACCCTGGGTCTAAAGGCACTGGGATGGAGTTGGAAGAGAATAATACGGCAGGCCGCCCTTGATGCAGGTTCTGGGAAGCAAAGAAGCTCCACTCTACACTGACCAGCCCAACGTGAAGCTCTACACTGACCTTGCCTGAGGACACCTCCCTGGGCAAGGCCCTGTCTAGGAATAAAGGTGAGCTGTGACGGTGCCCCCCCTGAGCATATGCTCCTCTTTTCAGACTCCCTCTGCCTATGTGCCAGGCTCTACCAGCTGCTCTGCGGGTACAGTGAGTATAGGGATGCCCCAAGCCCTGAGTTTTGCAGAGCCAGCAGGCTGGAGCAGGTATGCAGTGGCACTCCCTCTGCGTTGCCAAGCCAACCCAAGAACTGGGGATGGTTGCTTGGCAACCCCACCCTCATGGACGCCTCTACCCTCCGGCCACAGGCTGTTGCCTTTGAGGCCTTTCTCTTTTGAAAACAACGGCTGACCATCCCAGATGGTGGTGGCCAAGGGCCAGGGCACATATGTCAGACGGATGTGGATGGACCAGGGGACTCTGCGGGGAGGGGGCTGCCACACCCACCTTGCCGCCGCCAATGCCCATGCCACAGTTGTTGAGCTTGAGTTCCTGCAGGGTGAAGCAGGCTGAGCTCTTGAGCAGGGCCTCGAAGCCTTGCACACCGTCGGGCCCGAATGCGTTGTCGCTTAAGTCCAGCTCCACCAGCTGAGCCCCAGCTGTGATGAGTCCTTCCCCTAGTGAGATCTGGGCACAGAGGAAGCTCGTGTCAGTTTCATAGACACCCAGCTTCTGTGCTGGGTGCTGCTTCTGTGCCAGGCCCAGCTCTGCCTTCCAAGGACACCCCGGCTGGTGCAGAACCAACACAGACACAAACCATTTCAGTATTCTTAAGACTGGAAACCCTGCAAAGGGCTCCTAACAGCTGGAGAGTGGGGGATGCGTATGCCTGGAGTGGCCCGGGAAGGCTCCTTGTAAGAGGTGGCATTTGGACTTAGTCTGGATGAGAATCAGCTAGTCAACATGAAAAGACTCCAGGCAGCTGAAAAAACAGGAGCAGAGAGACATAAGCATGAAGCAGCAGGCTGTGAGCCTGGAGGAAAGCTGTGGGTAGGCTCCAGAAGAAGCCGTGGCATGGGCTTTGGGTGGAAGGGAAGTGAGGGGTCAGATCAGGCAAGAGCCTTGAATGCCAGGCCAAGGACTGTGAGCCTCAGCCTGAGAGCAGTGGGCTTTGAGGTGGCTGAGGGATATGGAATTAATATCCCCAGACCTGAGGTGAGCAGATGCACAGAAAGGGGGGCTGGAGTGCCCACCCAGGAGTGTGAGGCAGCGACACTGGCAACAGAGGGGACCTGCCAGCCGGTGTGACAAGTGTGGGAGAGGAGCTGCCTGTTCATGGAGCAGGGGACATGCAGAAGCTGTTGGTTCCCTGTTCGTGCAGGAGGAGGGAGGGAGGAACCACAAATGCCTCCAGGGTTTCTGGTGGTGACTGGCAGATGGAGGTGGCCATCTCTAAGCCACGGCCAGGATCAGCTTTGACAGGGTGATTTGAAGCTCTCCTGGAAACCTCCTGGGCTGGGGAGAGCTACATTCCCTCACCCCACCAGGAGAAATGGTCAGAGAGGAGGCTCTGCCAGAGACTGGGTCAGAAATGGGGCTGAGCAGGTGGTCCATGGGGGCAGGAATGTGGAAGGGAGACTTTCTGCCCTCACCCTGGCCACAGATATGGCAGATGAGGCAGTTTCTACCATCCTCCCACCACTCAGTAAGCAAAAGGCAATGTGTCCTCTCGTTGCCCTACCCACAGAAAGCCTAGCCCCTGGTGGCTGGGTGCGGTGGCTCACGCCTGTAATCCCAGCACTTTGGGAGGCCAAGGTGGGCGGATCACGAGGTCGGGAGATCGAGACCATCCTGGCTAACACAGTGAAACCCCATCTCTACTAAAAATACAAAAAATTAGCCGGGCATGGTGGCGGGCGCCTGTAGTCCCAGCTACTTGGGAGGCTGAGGCAGGAGAATGGCATGAACCCGGGAGGCGGAGCTTGCAGTGAGCCGAGATCGTGCCACTGCACTCCAGCCTGGGAAACAGAGTGAGACTCCGCCTCAAAAAAAAAAAAAAAGCCTAGCCCCTGGCGATCTGGCCTCAACTGACCTCTAGCTGCTCAAACACCCTGTGCCTACTCCACCACATGCCATCTTCTAACCCCAAATTCTCTTATCCCCCTCTTAAGATTTATTCTCACGATTGGGAACATAGAGATAAGAATACTTTCTCTTCCCCATTCCTACAGAGTCAAGTAAAAGAAAACAAAAACCAAAAGAATACCTTCTGAAAGCTCAGGGAAATGAAATGCTAAAATTTAGGCAAAACTTGCACAGTGAGAATTCCACAGTGAGTATGCAAAAGAGAGTTCTCTTCACCATCTTTTCTGACTTGAAATTCTTTTTTTTTGAGATGGAGTCTCGCTTTCTCTCACCCAAGGTTGCAATGCAATGGCACAATCTCAGCTCACTGCAACCTTCACCTCCCAGGTTCAAGTGATTCTTCCGCCTCAGCATCCTGAGTAGCTGGGATTACAAGGCCCCTGCCATCACGCCCAGCTAATTTTTGTACTTTTGTAGACACAGGGTTTCAGCATGTTGGCCAGGCTGGTCTCCAACTCCTGACCTCAGGTGATCCACGTGCACCGCCCCCCACCTTGGCCTCCCAAAATGCTGGGATTACAGGCGTGAGCCACTGCGCCTGGCCTAACTTGAAATTCTTTAACATGCAATCACTGAAATGAATTTCCTTTTTTTTTTGAGACGGAGTCTTGCTTTGTCACCCAGGTTGGAGTGCAGTGGCATGATCTTGGCTCACTGCAACCTCCACCTCCTGGGTTCACGCAATTCTCCTGCCTCAGCCTCCCAAGTAGCTGGGACTACAGGCAGGTGCCACCATGCCAGCTAATTTTTGTATTTTTAGTAAGACGGGGTTTTGCCATGTTGGCCAGGCTGGACTTGAACTCCTGACCTCAAGCGATCTGCCCGCCTCGGCCTCCCAAAGTGCTGGGATTATAGGCGTGAGCCACCACGCCTGGCCAGAAATGAATTTTCTTAACCTACATTCCAAATCCTAGCCTCACAAGCCAGGTGCAGTGGCACGCACCTGTAATCCCAGCTACTTGGGAGGCTGATGCGGGAGGACTGTTTGAGCCCAGGAGTTCAAGACCAGCCTGGGCAACAGAGCAAGACCCTGTCTTTAAAAAAAAATAAAAGGAGGTTGGGCGCAACCAGGGTGAGGGGCTCAGTAACATCAATGTGCACACTCATCACTGACCAGAAACCTGCACCCTCAGGGCCTGCCGTGTGCAGCCCCGTGCCAGGAGGACACACTGAGAGGCTGCCGACCACCAGCCCTGCCCTCTTCCCTTGGCCAGGCATGCCTTTCTGTGTTCTGTGTTGCCTCTTTCTATTTCCTTCCACACATATGCACTCAGAGACTGGGAACTCGACCCAAGCCAGTCTGAGCCCTGGGAATGAAGAAATGGGAAGCCACCCATGACGGGCACAAACCAAAGCAGACAGTGGTACGGAGAAAGGGAGGAGCCAGAGAAAGATGGGGACGGCTACATGGGCTGTGTGCAGAGAAGTCATGAAGGAGCAGGACTGCGAGGTGCAGGAAGGGGTTGCCAGGAAAGGCGGGGCAATCATATTGGGGTGAAATCCACAGTCAACCAAGCCAAGCAGCTCAGGAGGACCCAGGAGTGCATGGTCTCAGCTCTCCCACCTCCCTGAAGTCCCCACCCTTAGGGTTCCTCCCCTGTCAGTCTCTGTGCTCCCACCCTCCCCTCCTGTCAGGACACAGGGCACGTGCTGGACTTGCCGGGCTTCCATTCCAGCAGCTCAGTCACCCACAGGGCTAATCTTAGGCTCCAGAAAGAATAAAGCATGAGAAAAGCCCTGGGAATTGCCAAAGAGGGCCTTGCGCGTGGAGGGGAAGAGCGGCTAGTTCGCTTACCAGGGCTGGTGGGATCTCGGTCCGCAGCCTTCCCGTGAACATGTCACTCCAGTGGCAGCGCTGCAACGGAAAGAAGAGAAGAGTTAGCGGGAGAGAGACCCCTGGAGGCCCATAGTGAAGCCTCATCCTGGTGGATTTGAACTACCAGAGCATCACAAGACTTTTTTCTTTTTTTTGAGACGGAGTTTCGCTCTTGTTGCCCAGGCTGGAGTGCAGTGGCGCGATCTCAGCTGATCACAATCTCCACCTCCCGGGTTCAAGCAATTCTCCTGCCTAAGCCTCCGGAGTAGCTGGGATTACAGACGTCCACCACTATGCCTGGCAAATTTTGTATTTTTAGTAGAGACAGGGTTTCTCCATTTTGGTCAGGCTGGACTTGAACTCCCGACCTCAGGTGATCTGCCCACCTTGGTCTCCCAAAGTGCTGGGATTACAGGCATGAGCCACCGCACCTGGCCCCCAAGACTTAACTTGAGCTTTGTTTGTAAAAAGCTGGACCCATTCTGGCTGTAGTTGGTGGGACCTGGAGGCCAGTCCTCAAATCAAGAGGCCTCCAAGAGTTATTGGGGGCTCACAAGTGTCAGGAAAATCCCTGACTTGTACAACCCTCTAGGTGGACGTGTGACGTGGTTATGGATGACAGAGAAACATGAACATAAACAACACAGAATTCTACGTTGAGGGCCAGTGGCTCACGCCTGTAATCCCAGCACTTTGGGAGGCCGAGGCGGGCAGATCACTTGAGGTCAGGAGTTCCAGACCAGTCTGGCCAACATGGTAAAACCCCTTCTCTACAAAAAATACAAAAATTAGCATAGTGACGGGGACTTTTTAACAAAGGGAGAGCAAGCCTCAGGCTCAGAGCCATTAAACAGCAACAGCATCAAATAATAATTCAGTAACACTATTTTATTTCCTTTATTGTAAGGAATGTCAGCTTTCCATTCATAGAAGTGCTTTGAAATTACATGAAAGTTTGCTGTTTTCTTCGTTTTTTTTAAGAGATAGGTTCTCACTCTGTCGCCTAGGCTGGAGTGCAGTGGCAGAATCATAGCTCACTGTAACCTTGACCTCCTGGCCTCAAGTGATCCTCCCACCTTAGCCTCCACAGTACCTGCTATTACAGGCATGTGACACCACTCCTGGTATGATTCAAAGAAAGTATTAGGCAATTCATAAAGATAGTAGATTGGTAGTTACCAGAGGCCTGGAAGGTTAGAGGGAGGGGAGGCTGAAGAAAGGTTAATTAATGGAGACAAGTATAAAGTTGGAAGAAATAAGACCTAGTGTTCAATAGGTCAACAGGGTAACTATTGTTTACATTAATCTATTATATATTTCAAAATACCTAGAAGATGCCGGGCATGGTGGCTCACACCTGTAATCCCAGCACCTTGGGAGGCGGAGACAGGCAGATCACCTGAGGTCAGGAGTTTGAGAGTAGCCTGGCCAACATGTCAAAACCCCATCTCTACTAAAAGTATAAAAATTAGCCGGGCATGGTGGTGCACGCCTGTAGTCCCAGCCACTCTAGAGGCCACTCATTTCAGCAAGAGAATCGCTGAAAACCGGGAGGCAGAGGTTGTGCTGAGCTGAAATTGCGCCACTACACAGCAGCCTGGGCGACACAGAAAGACTCTCTCAAAAAAAAAAAAAAAAAGCTGGAAGAGAAAAATTTGAATGTTCCTAGCATAAAGATAAATATTTAAGGTGATGGATACCTCAATTACCCTTATTTAATTTATTTATTTTTGAGACAGAGTCTCACCCTGTCGCACCCAGGCTGGAGTGCAGTGGAGCAATCTCGGCTCACTGCAATCTCCGCCTCCCAGGTTCAAGTGAGTCTCCTGCCTCAGTCTCCCAAGTAGCTGGGATTACAGGTGCCCGCTACCACGCCCAGCTAATTTTTTGTATTTTTAGTGGAGATGGGGTTTCGCCATATTGGCCAAGCTGGTCTTGAACTCTCGACCTCAGGTGATCCACCCACCTCAGCCTCCAAAAGTGCTGGGATTACAGGCGTGAGCCACCGTGCCCGGCCTATTTTATCTATTTATTTATTTTTTAAGACGGAGTTTCACTCATCGCCCAGGCTAGAGTGCAATGGCCTGATGTGGGCTCCCTGCAACCTCCACCTCCCAAGTTCAAGTGATTCTCCTGTCTCAGTCTCCAGAGTAGATGGGATTACAGGCACCCGCCACCGCGCCCAGCTAATTTTTATATATTTTTTAAGTAGAGATGGGGTTTCACCATGTTGGCCAGGCTGGTCTTGAACTCCTGACCTCAGGTGATCCACCTGCCTCAGCCTCCCAAAGTGCTGGGATTATAGGCATGAGAGCCACCATGCCCAGCCCTCCCTTATTTTTTATTTTGAGACAGGGTCTCACTCTGTCGCCCAGGCCGGGGCGTAGCCATGCAAACACGGCTCACTGCAGCCTCGACCTCCCAGGCTCAAGCCATCCTCCCACCTCAACCTCCCAAGTAGCTGGGACTACATGTGTGTACCAACACACCCAGCTAATTTTTGTATCTTTTGTAGAGTTGGGAATCTCCCTATGTTGTCCAGGCTTGTCTCAAACTCCTGGGATCACGTGATCTGCTCCCACCGTACATACTAAGGAAGCTGGTTTTTGCAGAAAAATCCGCATATCCACCAATAAAGCAGACCATGAACACACCTGGGGCCTCAGCTGTCTGCTCTACACCAGATCTGCTTAGTAGTTCCACCTGCACGTGGGTCCACAGGGCCAGGAACAGGCAGCCGGAGCCGGAGCGCCACAGTCCCTCACAACAGATACCGGCAGGTCATTCGGAACAAAGCTCCCCAAACCTAACTCTAATGAGCTGAACAGTCAGCATAGGACTCTAGGGCACACCGCCTGGCTTCCAATCCTGATTTAGCTGACTCCAGCCATCACTCCCCCTCTCCAGCCTCTGGTATCCTATCTCTGAAATGAGGTTTTAGGTCCTAATGATCTCCCACGAGAACAGCAAAGCAGTTAAGAGCTTGCTTGGGTTGGGCACATTGGCTCACGCCGATAATTCCAGCACTTTGGAAGGCCAAAGTGGGAAGACTGCTTGAGCCTAGGAGATCAAGATCAGACTGGGCAACAAAGCAAGACCCCATCATTAAAAAAAAAAAAAAAATTAGCTGGGCATTGTGGCACACACATGGTCCCAGCTACCTGGGGGGCTGAGATGGAAGGATCACTTGAGCCTGGGAGTGCAAGGCTGCAGCAAGCTATGATCATGCCACTGCACTACAGCCTGGGCAATGGCGTGAAACTGTCTCTAAAAAAAAACAAAAAAAAAAAACAAAAACGCCGGGTGCAGAGGCTCACGCCTGTAATCCCAGCACTTTGGGAGGCCGAGGCGGGCGGATCACAAGGTCAGGAGATTGAGACCATCCTGGCTAACATGGTGAAACCCGTCTCTACTAAAAATACAAAAAATTAGCCGGCATGGTGGCAGGCACCCGTAGTCCCAGCCACTTGGGAGGCTGAGGCAGGAGAATGGCATGAACCCGGGAGGCGGAGCTTGCAGTGAGCTGAGATCACGCCACTGCACTCCAGCCTGGGGACAGAGCGAGACTCCGTCTCAAAAAAAAAAAAAAAAGAGCTTGGGCTGACACCTGGACTCCACCTCAGCCTACTCCTAGTTGTGTGACTCTGGGCTACACTTCTCTCGCCCGTCAAGACCTCACTCCTCACTTGCACACTGCTGCAGCAGCAGAGAGAACCCCTCTGGCATCAGCACTACGCCCGGAACACTGGGCCATCAAGGGCAGATCCCACCCTGCCCCTGCCCTGGGCTGCTTCCTGCACAGAGGAGGGCCTAGGAGGTGGTGTGCAGTGATTCACTCGAGCCACTGCATCTGTAGCAGGCGGGAAGGTGCATGCAGCACTCCTACCGGCCAGGCTCTCCCAGGACAACCTCTGAGGAAGAAGGAAGGGCTCTATCTCCTATTTCATATAAGAGCCCAGCCTCAGAGCTGCACGCAGGGCAAGGCCACGTACGGCAAACAAGGTGGTGCTGTTAGGGCTTGATCCCATGTGCCGAAAGCAAGCTCAGCTCCTGCTGAGTCCTGTAGCCTTCAGGCCCATGGCTCCTTCATTCCTGTTCTTCACAGGTCTCGGGGAGGGCTGAGTTCTGAGTTCTTTGGTTGGAAAACATCCCAGCTTATGCTCAGGGAAAGTACAGGCCCCAGGCAGGAGAGCAGAAACAATCACTGTCTTGGTGGTTAACTTGACCATGACCTTCCTAAGGAAACAAATATGTAGTGCCACTTTGTAAACTAGTTTGCAGGCCCTTCCGGCGTGAATCCTCTCATGGCCCCCAGTCCCATATTCCTCCTCCTGCAGAAACTGGCACCACAGAGAGAACACTGATCTCAGGAGTGTGATGTGTGGCTTGGCCACATCTCTGCTATTTTTTTTTCTTTTTTTTGAGATGGAGTCTCGCTCTGTTGCTAGGCTGGAGGGCAGTGGCGTGATCTTGGCTCACTGCAACCTCTGCCTCCTGGTTTCAAGTGATTCTCCTGCCTCAGCCTCCTGAGTAGCTGGGACTACAGGCACACGCCACCACACCCAGCAAATTTTTGTATTTTGAGATGGGATTTCACCATGTTGGCCAGGATGGTCTTGATCTCTTGACCTTGTGATCTGCCCGCCTTGGCCTCCCAAAGTGCTAGGATTACAGGCGTGACCCACCAGGCCCGGCTTTTTTTTTTCTTTTTTTGAGACAGGGTCTTGCTCTGTCGCTCAGGCTGGAGTGTAGTGGTGCAATCTTGGCTCACTGAAACCACTGCCTCCCAGGCTCAAGCGATCCTCTCATCTTAGCCTCCCAAGGAGCTGGGACCATAGGTGCACACCACCATGCCGGGCTAATTTTTGTACTTTTTGTAGAGACGGGGTTTCACCATGTTGTCCAAGCTGGTCTCGAACTTCTGGGCCTTGGCCTTCCAAAGTGCTGGGATTATAGCTGTGAGCCATCGTGCCCGACTGATCGTGGCTATTTAATGAGCCCCTCTGAGCCTCAGTTCCCTTGACTTATAAATGGAGACTCAACCCAGTCTCTTCCCTGGTTGCTGTGAGCAGGCAATGACATGCAGAAGAGCCCAGCCCAACCCCAGCCATGCACATATGAAGAGACAATGCCATTCTGGAACTCTGGTCTCTCTCCCTCATGACTTTGGAATTTCAAAGAGAGGGGAATACCCAGTGACATCTCCCAACGCTTTGAACATGACACTCTTGCTTTTCTCACAGAGCGTATCAGAAGACTGGTGTTTAGGAGAACCTGTTTGGGGAACACGGGGCTAGAATAACCTGACTTGCCCTTTGCGTTGGCCAAAAAGGGCACCACTTGGATCTAACCTTCAGGAGAACTTGCCAGCCGCACGCAGTGGCTCACGCCTGTAATCCCAGCACATTGGGAGGCCAAGGCAGACAAATCACAAGGTCAGGAGTTCGACACCAGCCTGGCCAACATAGTGAAACCCCGTCTCTACTAAAAATACAAAAAATTAGCTGGGCAAGGTGGTGAGTGCACATAATCCTAGCTACTTGGCAGGCTGAGGCAGAAGAATCACTTGAACCTGGGAGGTGGAGGTTGCAGCAAGCCAAGATCGCACCACTGCACACCAGCCCGGGTGACAGTGTGAGACTCCATCTCAAAAAAAAAAAAAAAAAAAAAAAAAAAGGCCGGGAGCAGTGGCTCATGCCTGTAATCCCAGCACTTTGGGAGGCCGAGGCGGGCAGATCACAAGGTCAGGAATTCGAGACCATCCTGGCTAACACAGTGAAACCCCATCTCTACTAAAAATACAAAAAAAAATTAGCCGGGAGTGGTGGTGGGAGCCTGTAATCCCAGCTACTCAGGAGGCTGAGGCAGGAGAATCGCTTGAACCCAGGAGGCGGAGATTGCAGTGAGCTGAGATTGCGCCACTGAACTCCAGCCTGGACGACAGAGTGAGACTCCGTCTCAAAAAACAAAAAAAGAGAACTTGCCTCTGCTGCGAGGAGTGTAGGGAGCTGGCAGTCTCCAGCTACAGCACCTTCCTATTGCTGCGGCATTTGAGCTGAGGCCTGGCCACTTCTGCCCAACATGAGATTCCTTTAAATGGGCAATCTTTGCTCTGAAACTCCCAGAGGGTGGGTCTGTCAGAGCAGCCTCACAGTCAGAGGCTCCTGCTGGTTATTTCTGCAACCTTCCCACCTCACATGTGACAGCTCTGCATTATGAGAAGGCTCTCCCTACTTTGTCTTTCACAGGTGTCATGCCAATAATCCTCCTGCACCCCAACACCCTCTCAAGGTCTGCTGACTACAGGGAGAGGGTCCCTAGCCAATGCTGTGTGCCCTGGGGAGGCCAGAGGAAGAGGAGCTGCTTGGGGTACAGCCACACAGGCAGGGGCCTGGAAGAGACTGGACACAGGCAGGGGTTGTGGAAGTGTGAACAGAAGCTTGTTCAAACCAGCCTGGGCCTACTCGCCCCACTCTGCTCACCTTCAACTCCGACTTCTTCTCTAAGGCCTTGGCGATGACCCTGGCTGCTTCCACGCCCACTGTGTTGCCTTCCAGACGCAGAGCCTCCAAGCTGTCAAAGTCTTCAATCTCTTTAATCACATCTTTAGCTGCCAGGGACCAAAGAGCAGAACCTTAGGCTTTTGGAATCACAAACAGCTAAGATAGGAGAGAGGTTGGCAACCACCTTGCCACTCAACAGTCTATGGTGCACCTACCATGCAATGAGCCTTGGCTTACAGAGAATCAGACAGGCTCATGGTCCAGAGTACAGAGCTATGCAGATGATTTCTCTGTAATGAGTGTTAAAACCAGGCATGTAGAGAGGCTTGGGAGCCGAGGGAAAAGAGCAACTGGATGCTCACAGCAAAGAAGACTTTGCCAAGTAGGTGGTGTGTGTGGAGCCTCCAAAGATGGGCAGTGTACCAGGCCAAGCAGAGAAACGGCACCCAAGCCAGAGGGCCAGCAGGCACGATGGCACAAAGGCTTTCATTGTTAAGTGATTCATGTGTGGGGTGTTTGTCCACTACTGTACTATTTTATTTTGATGAAACATTCCAAACCACCTAAATGTCCATCAAGAGAAGACAGAAGACCCAGTGCAGTGGCTCACGCCTGTAATCCCAGTACTTTGGGAGGCTAAGGCAGGTGGATTGCTTGAGCCCAGGAGTTTAAGACCAGCCTGGGCAACATGGTGAAACTCTGTCTTACTAAAAATACAAAAATTAGCTGGGCGTGGTGGTGGGTGTTTGTAATCCCAGCTACTCGGGAGGCTGAGGCAGGAGAATGTCTTGAACCTGGGAGGAGGAGGGTGCAGTGAGCCGAGATCATGTCACTGCACTCCAGCCTGGGAGACACAGCAAGACTCCATCTTAAAAAAAAGTCAGGCATGGTGGCATACGCCTGTAATCCCAGCATTTTGGGAGGCCAAGGCAGGCGGATCACAAGGTCAGGAGTTCAAGACCAGCCTGACCAATATAGTGAAACCCCATCTTCACTAAAAATACAAAAATTAGCTGGGCGTGATGGCACATGCCTGTAATCCCAGCTACTCAGGAAGCTGAGGCAGGAGAATCACCTGAACCTGGGAGGCGGAAGTTGTAGTGAGCCGAGATCACACCACTACACTCTAGCCTGGGCGACACAGTGAGACTCTGTCTCAAGAAAAAAAAAAAAAAATTAGGCTGGTGTGGTGGCGTGCACCTGTAGTCTCAGCTACTTGGGAGGCTGAGCTGGGAGGATCAGCTGAGCCTGAGAAGTTGAGGCTGCAATGAGCCATGATCATGCCATAGCACTCCAGCCAGGGGGACAGAGCAAGACCCTGCCTTCTCAAAACAAAACAAACAAAAAAAGAGAGACAGGAAGACAGAGAGGAGGACAGAGGTTCACTGTGGCACGTTACACAAATAGTTATACCAGCACTGCTATGAAAGATGACACAGGTGTTTCTGACTTGGAAAAATCTGTTATAGCAATAAGTGAAAAATTAGGTTACTCAAGCATTTGGGCTGATCACTCTTTAAAAACATATGTATTCACACACAAACACACATGCACACATGTGCATAAAACAAGGTCTAGAAACATAGAAACCAAATGCTATAGCAGTTCTCTCTAGCTGGTAGGATAATGGGTGATTGTGTGTTTTTAACTATTTGAAGTAAAATGTTCTCAATATATCAGGTTATATAGCAGCTTTTAAAAGATCTATAATATAATCCCAATTAAAAACAAAATGGGCTGGGAGTAGTGGCTCACACCTGTAATCCCAGCACTTTGGGAGGCTGAGGCCTGAGGATCACCTGAGGTCAAGAGTTTGAGACCAGCCTGTCCAATATGATGAAACCCTGTCTCTAACTAAAAATACAAAAATTAGCCGGGTGTGGTGGTGGATGCCTGTAATCCCAGCTATTAGGGAGGCTGAGACAGGAGAATTGCTTGAACCTGGGAGGCAGAGGTTGCAGTGAGCCGAGATCGTGGCATTGCACTAATCCCTGGGCAACAAGAGCGAAACTCCGTTTCAAAAAACAAACAAAACAAAATGAACTCAGCTATGTTCAGGAAAAAAAAAAAGACTAGGCTGGGCGCGGTGGCTCACGCCTGTAATCCCAGCACTTTGGGAGGCCAAGGCGGGCGGATCGTGAGGTCAGGAGTTCAGGAGTTCAAGAACAGCCTGGCCAACATGGTAAACCCCGTCTCTACTAAAAATACAAAAATTAGTTGGGCATGGTAGCGCATGCCTGTAATCCCAGCTGCTCGGAAGGCTGAGGCATAATTGCTTGAACTGGGACCCAGGAGGCGGAGGTAGCAGTGAGCGAGATCTTGCCACTGCACTCCAGCCTGGGCTACAGAGCGAGACTGTTTCTCAGAAAAAAAAAAAAAAAGACTGTGTTAGAAATAAAATGCCCTGAAAGTAATAGTAGTTATATCCCTGGGGTTATATGAAAGTGAGGATTTTTTTTTTTTTTTTTTTTTTTTGAGACGGAGTCTCGCTCTGTTGCCCAGGCTGGAGTGCAGTGGCGGGATCTCGGCTCACTGCAAGCTCCGCCTCCCGGGTTCACGCCATTCTCCTGCCTCAGCCTCCCAAGTAGCTGGGACTACAGGCGCCCGCCACTACGCCCGGCTAATTTTTTGTAGTTTTTAGTAGAGACGGGGTTTCACCGTTTTAGCCAGGATGGTCTCGATCTCCTGACCTCGTGATCCGCCCGCCTCGGCCTCCCAAACTGCTGGGATTACAGGCGTGAGCCACCGCGCCCGGCCGAAAGTGAGGATATATTTTTTCCCTGTTCTTTGAATGTTTCTGTATTCTATAATAAACCTGCATTAATTGTATAATCTGAACAAAACCAAAACTTACATGAAACAAAAAGTTGAGTCTGGCTGGTACAGGATGGAGTAGGGTGACATGTGGGAGGGAAGAGATAGAGATGGGTATGGGAGATAAAGTTTGAACTTGACCTTCTGGTCAAGAAGGGTCTTGAGAAAGGACTTATAACCTAGCAGGGGCTCCCTAAGAAGTTGTCCAAGGTGGGTCCAAGTTTCCCTGGTTGGGCCAGAACCCAAGGATGGCTCACTGATGCGGGTACCTTCACTTCCAGATGCCAGGGGATTCAGGGTTGGTCAGTGCCAGCCAAGCCTTGGCAAGGGATGAAAAGACTTCCTGGGTGCTCTTAAAGTAAAAGTGAGACCTCTCCCTGCCTTACTTCCCAGAGCCTTTTCACTTGTTTTCATAGAGTATATTCACATTTTGCCTTCACTTAGTTACCTGGGTATATCATTCCTATTCCAGATTTGCTGCTTCTTAGGAGCTGGGTAAGCTGGGCACCCCTGGGGACTTACAAAATGGGAGACACCACATTCAGCCTGTGCTGGGAGAGTAAAGAAGTTAACTGGATGGATTTCAGAGCCAGCCAAACTTGAGTTTTTTTTTTTTTTTTTTGAGATAGTCTCGTTCTGTCACCGAGGCTGGAGTACAGTGGTGCCATCTCGGCTCACTGCAACCTCCGCCTCCCGGGTTCAAGCGATTCTCCTGCCTCAGCCTCCGGAGAGTAGCTGGGATTACAGGTGTCCACCACCACGCCCGGCTAATTTTTGTATTTGTAGTAAAGACAGGGTTTCTCCATGTTGGCCAGGCTGGTCTGGAATTCCTGACCTCAGGTGATCTGCCCACCTCGGCCTCCCAAAGTGCTGGGATTACAGGCGTGAGCCACCGCACCTGGCCCAAACTTGAGTTCTAATCCCAGCTCTACTCATTAAAGCTGTGCCCTTAGGCATGTCATACCACCTCCCTAAACCTCAGTTTTCCAATCTGCAAAATGGAAATGCAATCTATCTCAAAGGATTTTGTGAAGATAAACTGAGATACTATTTATCTGGCACTTAATACCCTTATCTGACACGGTGTTCAATAAATGGCATTTGCCATCAAATCTCTGTTTCCTAAACGGAGCTCAATGTCTAATTAGAAGCACAGGAATAGGGATTTCACTGAACCTCTGTGAAAATCCTAGCTCTGCTATTTATCAAATGTGTGACCTTGGTCAAGTTACTTAAAGTCTCCTAAATTCCTTTTTCTCATTTATAAAACAGCAACATTCCAATCTATCTCCCACAAGGGTGACGCAAGCATCAAAAGTGATAAACGAGGTCAAAGTGGGCGGATCACCTGAGGTCAAGAATTCAAAACCAGCCTGGCCAACATGGCAAAACCCCGTCTCTACTAAAAATACAAAAATAAGGGGCCGGGCACGGTGGCTCACGCCTGTAATCCCAACACTTTGGGAGGCCGAGGTGAGAGGATCATGAGGTCAGGAGATCGAGACCATCTTGGCTAACTAACACGGTGAAACCCCGTCTCTACTAAAAATACAAAAAAATTAGCCGGGCGTGGTGGCGGGCGCCTGTAGTCCCAGCTACTCAGGAGGATGAGGTGGGAGAATGACATGAACCCAGGAGGCGGAGCCTGCAGTGAGCCAACATCATGCCAGTGCACTCCAGCCTGGGTAACAGAGCGAGACTCCGTCTCAAAAAAAATAATAATAATAAAAATACAAACACAAAAATAGGCTGAAGGCCAGACACAGTGGCTCACGCCTGTTATCCCAGTACTTTGGGGGCTGAGGCGGGCGAATCACCTGAGGTCAGGAGTTCTAGACCAGCCTGTCCAACATGGTAAAACCCCATCCCTACTAAAATACAAAAAATTAGCGGAGCATGGTGGTGGGTGCTTATAGTCCTAGCTACTCAGGAGGCTGAGGCAGGAGAATGGCGTGAACCAGGGAGGCAGAGCTTACAGTGAGCCGAGATTGCACCACTGCACTCCAGCCTGGGTGACAGAGCACGACTCCATCTCAAAAAAAAAACAAAAAGAAAAGAAAATTAGCTGGGCATGGTTGTACACACCTGTAGTCCCAGCTACCCAGGAGGCTGAGGCATGAGAATTGCCTGAACCCAGGCAGAGGTTAAAGTGAGCTGAGATTGCACCACCACACTCCAGCCTGGGCAACAGAGCAAGACTATGTCTCAAAAAAAAAAATTAGCCAGGCGTGATGGTGTGAGCCTGCAGTCCCAGCTATTTGGGAGGCTGAGGCAGGAGAATCGCTTGAACCTGGGAGACAGAAGTTGCAATGAGCCAACATCGCACCACTACACTCCAGCCTGGGTGGCAGAGTGAGACTCATCTCAAAAAAAAAAAAAAAAGCCGGGCACAGTGGCTCACGCCTGTAATCCGAACACTTTGGGAGGCCAAGGTGGGCAGATCACCTGAGATGAGGAGTTCGAGAGCATCCTGACCAATATGGCAAAACCCTATCTCTACTAAAAATACAAAAATTAGCCGGGTGTGGTGGTGGGCGCCTGTAATCCCAGCTACTCAGGAGGCTGAGGCAGGAGAACTGCTCGAACCCGTGAGGCAGAGGTTTGCAGTGAGCTGAGATCGTGCCACTGCACTCTAGCCTGGGTGACAGAGACTCCATCTCAAAAAAAAAAAGTGATAAATGCACAGGGAGGAAGTCTATAAACGTTAGACCTTATGGAGATGTTAGGAACATGCATCAGCACGCTCCCAGCTACCCAAGGACTCAAGCAGCCTCCGACCTGGAGAGGAGAACAAGGCTGCCTACACAACATGACAACCAGGCATGTCCAGACCAGTTCCCCTGGTTGGGCCAGAATCCCAGGAGGCCTCACTTGATGCAGGTGCCTTCACTTGCAGGTGCCAGGTGATTCAGGGTTGGTCAGTGGCAGCCAAGCCTTGACAAGGGATGAAAAGACAGGGTCTGCTCTCTGGTTCCTAGTTTTCTGTGGTTGCAATACCTGTATACACACAGACAGCCATCCCTCTCCCAGGTACATCTGGTTGCATGAACCAGCATCTCCCAAGAGGGCCCAGGTTGTTTTAATGCAGCTCCACCAGAGCCTCAGCTCTGGGGAAAGCTGCAGCTATTCCCAGGCCTGCCTGGGATCATGGGGGTTAAGGGCAAGGGTGGGGACAACACCGGATATTAAGTCAGAGTCAGAGGCTGTATCTTGGGACTGGCACTAACTGTGGCCCCTCATTACCTATCATCCCCTCCTGAGAAAGAAAGGGCAGGGCACAAAGGGATGCCCAATACAAACATGGAAAGTGCAGGGGAGCTTGCTCCTGGGCAAATGATCTCTGAGCCTCATTGTTAGAATAGGCCCAATGATACCTCACAGAGCTGCTGGGACAAATAATGGAGACAATGTAGCAGAAAGAGCCTGACAACCAGTAAGAGTTCAGTACACTCCCTCTCCTCCCCTGGACACACCAGTGCACAACTTCCAGAAACTCACCATCTTCTGCAGTGTTGAGTTTGAGGCTCTTGCCTTTGAAACTCAGCTGTCCCCCGGCCACCTGAGTCTTGGCAAGTGTCTCTGCCAGCTTGGCAATGTCTTCCGAGGCCATGTTGACTAGGCTGGTGGGCTCCCCTGGAGATCTGCAGACTGAGGAGGCCAAAGTTGCAGTAAGAAAAAGGAGTCTCCTGGGGCCCCTGGTTGGGGGCAGGGTAGGACATCAGCCATCTCAGGAGTCTGACCCTACCTCCCCTGCTATGGAGACCCTAGAGATAAATCACTGGAAGAAAGGAAAACAGCATCAGAGAAGGAACAGTTCTAGAAGGTGCAGGAGGTAGTAAAAGAACAGAAAAATCATGTCTTAGCCTATAAGAAGCTACCATCTCATTACAAGTCCTCCTCTGCTAAACTGCCGCAGCTGGACACCCAGCAACACCATGTGAGCTGCCCATTTCCTGGGCCCCTTCAGTGAATGGCAGTCAAGTCCCAAACCAAAGGCTGCAGAGTCTGGCCCAAGCACACACCTGCTTGAGCATCTTGGCTGTTCTCTGTTTGAGGGTCCCATTCCTCAAACAGGACACAGATGGCTATGGGATCCAGATCATTCATCCCAGAGAATGCCCCACCACCCACGCTGGCATGACTCTGGGGTGGGGCACAGGGGTCAGCCCCACTGCACGTCTGGTTTCAACCGTGGCCGGGAGACTGGGCAGGCCACAATGGCCCCTCAGGGGTTTCTAGATCAGAGATCGCCACATCACAACAGCTACCATCATAATAGGACAGGGACAGGGCTGCTACCTATGAAGCCCTACTATACTCAAGTCTACCAGAAGATTTGGGTAGAAATGGGGTTGATAAGCCTCACTATTTATAAAATCAGGAGTGCTGGTAAAAGAAGTAAAGCTGGCCAGGTACAGTGGCTCACACCTGTAATCCCAGCACATTGGGAAGCTGTGATGGGAAGATCGCTTGAGCCCAGCAGCTCAAGACCAGTCTGGGCAACATGGCAAAATCCCATCTCTACTAAAAATAAATACAATTAGCAGGGTATGGTGGTGTGCACCAGTAATCCCAGCCACTGGGGAGGCTGAGGTGGGAGGATTGATTGAGCCCCGGAGACAGAGGCTACAGTGAGCCATGATCTCACCACTGCACTCTAGCCTGGGTGACAGAGTAAAACCCTGTCTCAAAAAAATAAAAATAAAAATAAAAATTAGCTGGGTGTGGTGGCACGTGCCTGTAGTCAGTCCCAGCTACTGGAGAGGCTGAGGCAGGAGGATCATTTGAGCCCAGGAGTTCAAAGCTGCAGTAAGCTATGACTGCCACTGCACTCCAGCCTGGGCAACAGCGGGAGGCTCTATCTCTAAAAGTAACTAAATAAATGAAAGAATTTTTTTTTTTTGAGACGGAGTCTCGCTCAGTCGCCCAGGCTGGAGCACAGTGGCGCCATCTGGGCTCACTGCAAGCTCCGCCTCCAAGGTTCATGTCATTCTCCTGCCTCAGCCTCCTGAGTAGCTGGGATTACAGGCACCCACCACCATGTCCAGCTAATTTTTTTGTATTTTTAGTAGAGACAGGGTTTCACCGTGTGTTAGCCAGGATGGTCTCGATCTCCTGACCTCGTGATCCACTCGCCTCAGCCTCCCAAAGTGCTGGGATTACACGCATGAGCCACCACGCTTGGCCAATAAATGAAAATTTTTAAAACAAGTAAAGCTTTGAGAACTCCTGCGCCTGCTCATGGTACTCCAGCTTTACTTGGAGTACATGTGAGATTAAATGTCTCAATGTGTACTGCCTATAAATTGAAGCCAGCTATATTAGACAGGAACGTGGAACATCACTACATACCTGAATAGTGTTTACTTTGTGGTATGAATAAACGTATCTGTGAGATGCTCCAAAAAAAGAAAAGAAACAGCAAGTAATCAGGAGAGACCAAGGAAGCAGATATGAGGGGCAGAACTAGGGGGTGCTATCCGAAAGGCCTCCTCCTACAACCTCCTCATTCTCAGATACAGTTGTGATACCCTGAATCCTCCCACCCCTAGGCTTCCTCTGGGTTCTAACTTATAACCCTGGTTTGTCTGCCTTTATCAATAAGCATGAATTATTATCCTGGGTAAGGTGTCCACTCATTCATTCAAAAACACATTGATTACTACTGTGTGCTGGATGTTGTTCCAGGTCAGCAGTATAGCAGTAAAGGAAGCATAAACCCTGACCTCTTGAAGCATATGTTCTAAATGACACATTTAGTATGTGATTTAAAAAAAAAAGGGGGGGGTTGGGGGGCCGGGAGTGGTGGTTCACGGCTGTAATCTCAGCACTTTGGGAGACCGAGGCAGGTGGATCACGAGGTCAGGAGTTCAAGACCAGCCAGGCCAACATGGTGAAACCCCGTCTCTACTAAAAATACAAAAATTAGCTGGGCGTGGTGGCACACGCCTTTAGTCCCAGCTACTCGGGAGGTTGAGGCAGGAGAATTGCTTGAACCCGGGAGGCGGAGGTTGCAGTGAGCCAAGATCGCGCCATTGCATTCCAGCCTGGCGACAGAGCAAGACTCCAACTCAAAACAAACAAATAACAACAACAACAACAAAAAGGCATTAACAACAACAACAAAAAGGCATTATTAGGAAATAGTTAAATAAAGATATCAGGGATTGGGCCATGCACACATCTGGGGGAACATGATTCCTGCAAAGGGAATAGCAAATGCAATGGCTCTTGTAGGGGCAGAGGGTTGGAGAAACTGCAACAGGGCCAGTGGGGCTGAAGCACAGAGAGAGAGGAAAAAAACAAGGTAAGAGAAGAGACAGTTAACAAGGGGCCCAAGTCATAAAGCCCATTTGAAGAACAGTGGCTTTCGCTATAAGTGACAAGGAAAACCACTGAAGTTTTTAGCAGAAAGCAGATGTCATCTGACGTACATTTTGACAGGATCACTCTACTTGCCACATAGAGCCTGGCATTTAGAAGGTGCTCAAGAAACGACCAGTTGAAATTGCATAAAAATTAACCAGGCCAGGGCCGGGCGCAAAGGCTCACACCTATAATCCTAGTACTTTGGGAGGCTGAGGTGGGCGGATCACGAGGTCAGGAGATCGAGACCATCCTGGCTAACACGGTGAAACCCGTCTCCACTAAAAATACAAAAAATTAGCCGGGCCTGGTGGCGGGGGCCTGTAGTCCCAGCTACTCGGGAGGCTGAGGCAAGAGAATGGCATGAACCCGGTAGGTGGAGCTTGCAGTGAGCTGAGATTGCGCCACTGCACTCCAGCCTGGGCAACAGAGCGAGACTCACCTCAAAAAAATAAAATAAAATAAAATAAAATAAAAATTAACCAGGCCGGGTGCGGTAGCTCACGCCTATAATCTCAGCACTTTGGGAGGCTGAGGTGGGTGGATTACCTGAGGTCGGGAGTTCGAGACCACCCTGGCCAACATGGAGAAACCCTGTCTCTACCAAAAATACAAAATTAACCGGGCGTGGTGGCACATGCCTGTAATCCCAGCTACTCAGGAGGCTGAGGCAGGAGAATCGCTTGAATCTGGGAGGCAGATGTTGGGGTGAGCTGAGATCGTGGCATTGCACTCCAACGTGGGCAACAAGAGTGAAACTCCGTCTCAAAAAAAAAAAAAATTAACCAGAGTCGGGTGTAATGGTTCACTCCTGCAATCCCAGCATTTCCGGAGGCTGAGGTGGGCGGATCGATTGAGCACAGGAGTTAGAAACCAGCCTGGGCAGTATGCCGAAACCCTGTCTCCACTAAAAATACAAAAACTAGCTGGGTGTGGTGGCAGGTGCCTGCAGTCCCAGCTACCTGGGATGTAAGGTGGGAGGATCACTTGAGCCCCGTAGGTGGAGGCTACAGTGAGCTGAGATCTTGCTGCTGTACTTCTGGAGACCCTGTTTCAAAAAATAAATTAACCAGAAACCAGCCCAGTGCAATAACTCACACCTGTAATTCCAACATTTTGGGAGGCTAGGCGGGAAGATCACTTTAGACCAGGGTTCGAGACAAGCCTGGGCAACAGAATGAGACCCTGTCTCCACAGAAAAATTTAAAAATTAGCCAGGTGTGATGGCATCTGTAGTCCCCATGACTTGGGAGGTTGAGGTGGGAGGATCGCTTGAGCCCAGGAAGCCGACGCTGCAGTTCAGCGGTGATCGTTCCACTACACTCCAGCCTGGGTGACAGAAGGAGACCGTCTCTAAAAAGATAAAAAAATTTAAAGAAAAACCAACAAAAAAATTAACCTGAAACCCCAGCATCTCTTGCAGTTCTGAGATGGGACAATTTGAGGGTAAAAGGTGGTGGTGAAGCCTCCAGATAGAATAGGGACAGAACTTCTCAGCTGAACGGGGGCCCATTCCTCAGTCCAAGAGAGAGCGAGACAGAGATGCACCCCTCCACACTCACTTTATAAACCAAGAAACTGGAGCACAGAAACGTAAATTGATTTGTCCAAGGTCAGCAAAGGATCAGCGCCAGAGCAAAAGCAAAGGGCTAATAGAGAAACATCCTCTCCCCGCTCCGCAGCAACGTCAGAGACTTTCTGAGGTGAGATGCATGCTCCTGCAAAGCGTCAGCAGTGACTCACATCGATTCCAGGGACAGCGGCGCCAGCCCGGGGCCCCCGCGGGCGTGGGCCTGCTGGGAGGTGGCTCTGCGGGAGCGACGCGCGAATACAGGCCGCAAATGATAGGCGGGCGGCGCAGGAGCCCCATCTGGAATCCCCGGCGGACTCGCACCGCCTCCGGTTGACAACAATGCTAATATGAGACGCCACTGCTAGCAGCTGCAGGCTGAGCTGCTCTGGCGAGTCAGACGCCCTTTAAGCCTCAGTTTCCCCATTTGTGAAAGGAGCCAGCGCCGCTCAACAACCCCACTCCCACCGCCACCCCTGGGGCGCTCGGCCGTCGAAGGCTAAGTGAAGAAGGCCGAGGGGGCAGGCAGAAGGCGCACACGGGCGCCACGCCCTCCTCGCCCCGCACCCCTGTTCCAGGCAGGTGACGGGGAAAGGAAAGGGACCCTGACTCTACCGTAAACAGGCGGCGCCGCCGCGTGGGGGGAATCGAGCGCGCGCCTCCGCCCTCTGGGGCGGGGACGGATTTAGGGTCCGGGTCAGGCCGGGGTCGCCACCTCCGGATCCAGCGGTCCAGATGTCCAGCCGGCTAGTCTGTTAGCTCTCTCGAGCTCCCGGCCTCACGCGCTTCCAGCACCACCTGCTCTCCGCACCGCGGCGGATGATGGCGGAGGAGGAGGATTTTGAAAGCCGGCAGTTTCTTTGCTTCGATTTGATTTGTTCGAGGCCCCGGCCGGCTTGCCCTCGCCCCGCTCGCGCGGCCTCTCGGGTAGAGTAGTCCGGTTCCCCATCTGGGAGCGCGATGGGGCGCGCACCGCGAACTACCCGTCCCATGGCGCACCGCGCGCAGAGCGTCCTCCACCGCCCTCCTCTTCGCCCTCCCCTGGTGGCTTCTGGCTCTTTCTCGCAGAGACCGCAGGGAGGTGTTCAGCCGGGAGCGCCCAGAGACTACAATTCCCAGAATGCGTTGCACCCAGGTCCCTCAGCTCTTCCGGAAAGGTTTTGTTCGCGTAACTTTGTTGATAACAGGTACTGCTGGCTGCTGGGTCTCTTGGGCAAGACACAGGTATCCATTTCCCGAAAGAAAAGACTCTTTTCCGTCCCATGAAACTGAAAGGGCATTCGAAGGCTTCCACATAAATATGCACAAATTACCTGATAATTAAAAAGGGGAAATAGTAACTATCGTAGAGAAGCTCCGCAGACACCACTTGAACGGCCACGTTAACATCAACAGCAGGACAAGCTGACATTCATCGCACGCTTTCTGTGTGATGCACTGAGAAAAACACGGCGTCACCGTCCGGTCTATAATGCATGACCTTAGTCTAATCATGAGAAACCCAAGCTGAGGGACATGGTACAGAATAACTGATCTGTACCCTTCCGGAAATGTCTGTATTATGTAAGACAAAGAAAAACTGAGGAACTGTTGCCGATTACAGGAAACGAAAAAGACAACTGAATGCAAGACATGGTCCTGGATCGGATCCTGGGTGGGGATTGCTATAAAGGACAATACTGAAACAGCAAAACTTGACTATATTAGATAATAGTATTGTATCAATGTTAAATTTATTAATTTTGATTATGGTACAGGGTTATGTAAGAGACTGCCCTTGTTCTTGGAAAAAAATGCTGAAATAATTAGGGACAAAAAGGACATGATGTCTGCAACCTTTATGGTTAAAAGAAATATACCTATACATATACATAGAGAAAGCAGAGACACAAATGTGGCAAAATGTTAATCAGTTAATCTGGTTGAAGAATATGGGAGTTCTTTGAACATTTTTGCAACTTTTCTGTAGGTGTGAATTTAAGCATAAAAACACAAACAGCGTTTTTTTTTTGTTTTTTTTTTTTGAGATGGAGTTTCACTCTTGTTGCCCATCTTGGCCTCCCAAAGTGTTGGGATTATAGGCGAGAGAGTGTGAGACCAGCCTGGGCAACATGGTCAAACCCTGTCTCGACAAAAAATACAAAAATTAGTTGGACGTGATGGTGCAAGCCTGTAGTCTCAGCTAAGGGCCTGAGGCAGGAGGATCTGGAGCCTGGGAGCTTGAGGCTGCAGTGAGCCGTGATTGCACCACTGCATTTCAGCCCTGGCGACAGAGCAAGACCTTGTCTCAAAAACTGAAAAAAGAAAAAAAAAAAAAGTTAAACAGATCATGCAGGCTGGGCGCAGTGGCTCACACCTGTAATCCCAGCACTTTGGGAGGCCGAGGCGGGCGGATCACCTGAGGTCAGGAGTTTGAGACCAGCCTGACCAAAATGGAGAAACCCCGTCTCTACTAAAAATATAAAATTAGCTGGGCATGGTGACGCATGCCTGGAATCCCAGCTACTCGGGAGGCTGAGGCAGAAGAATCGCTTGAACCCGGGAGGCGGAGGTTGCAGTGAGCCGAGACGCACCATTGCACTCCAGCCTGGGCAACAAGAGCGAAACTCCGTCTCTAAATAAATAAATAAATTAATTAATTAATTAACAGATCATGCCATATCCTTTTACACACAGCTCATTTAATCTTCACCACCACAAGGGAAGTGGGCATCATTACCACCCTTCCCAGCACAGAGATGAGAAAACTGAAGCTCTAGACAGAGTGTAACTCTCCCAGTTCTCAAAGTTCCTGAGATGTGGATCCTCTTTCCACCTTCCCTCTCCTTTTTACCTACAAGGCCCATGTCAAATGCTACTTCATGAGTCTCTCCCTCCTGCAGGTGCCCACAGCAAGATGCAAAGCCCCACAGCAGTTGGCCTGGGACTCTGGGGCTCTTTGACAGAGTTAACACTGTTCTTGGCAGTTTCCTCCTCAGCCTGGGAGGGTCTCCAGAGCAGACGCTGTATCCATCTGGGCAGTATCTTCTCTGGGCCTGGCCTGTCATAGGTGCTTCAGGTTTCCCCATTTGAACCAGATACCAGTCGGGTTACCGGATGTTTGCTTAAAATGAGTCATAGGCTTCCTGCTATTCCTGTGCTGCTTCCAGCTAGGACTGATCGAATCAGTCTGGATTTTCCTTGGGGTGATCCGCAGGCTCCCTTTTCCAATTTTACTTCTTGAGACTTTCCTTGGCCCTCACACAGAGACCTCCCAAAGGGAAGAGGAAGGTGGGCAGGGGAACATCTTAGCTGATCCCGTCCTCATCCAGCTGATAGGACATTGGGTTTTCGGAACTGGAAGGGAATTCTTAGACAACAGAAATTCAGTGGCCTTCAAGGACCTGGGAGGTAACAGGAAGTCATGGGGCTTGTCGGGGCTTGGTGGGGCTTGGGGGGAGTTAGAGAGTGGATGTTCTGCCTGAAGGTGTTCACATTCGAAGCTAAAAATCACAAACTCAGCCTGACAGCACCCCCTAGCAATCTGGATTCTGTCACTCCTATATCCTGATTTTTTTTTTTTTTTTTTTTGAGATGGAGTTTCACTCTGTTGCTCAGGCTGGAGTGCAGTGGTGCGATCTCAGCTCACTGCAACCTCCGCCTCCCAGGTTCAAGTGATTCTTCTGCCTCAGCCTCCCGAGTAGCTGGGACTACAGGTGCACGCCACCACGCCCGGCTAATTTTTGTATTTTTAGTAGAGACGGTTTCACCATATTGGCCAGGATGGTCTCAAACTCCTGACCTGGTGATCCACTTACCTCGGCCTCCCAAAGTGCTGGGAGTACAGTACAGGCGTGAGCCACTGTGGCCGGCCTCCTGAATCTATCTTAAACCTCTTTACAAATGGGGAGACTGGGGTTTGAAAAGGAACAGGGGGTTTGCCCAAGGGTGCCCAGTGAATCAGAAGAATCAAGAATCATCACTGTTTCTGGCCGGGCACAGTGGCTCATGCCTGTAATCCCAGCACTTCGGGAGGGCGAGGCAGGTGGATCATCTGACGTCAGGAATTCGAGACCAGCCTGGCCAACATGGTGAAACCCTGTCTCTACTAAAAATACAAAAAATTAGCTGGGCATGGTGGCAGACACCTGTAATCCCAGCTACTCGGGAGGCTGGGGCAGGAGAATCTCTTGAACCCAAGAGGCGGAGGTTGCAGTGAGCTGAGATCACGCCATTGCACTCCAGCCTAGGCAACAAGAGCAAAATTCTGCCTCAAAAAAAAGAATCATCACTGTTTCCAAGCAACACACTTATCTTCTCTCTTTCTCCTTCCAGCCCTTTCTCCAGCTTTCTCTCTTTCAAGTTATCACCTGAGAGCTAGTCTGCCTGGCCCAAGAAGTGTAATCATGGCCTTTGACAGATGGATAGTGTCATCCAAGACTATCTTGTTCCTTATTTCAACAAATGAAGAACTAAGGCCCAAGTTACAGTGTGACTTACACATGAGACAAGGCTGAGCATGGTGGCTCACAACCAACTGTAATGCCAGCACTGTGGGAGGCCAAGGCAGGAAGATTGCTAAAGCCCAGGATTTGAGACCAGTCTGGGCAATATAGTGAGACTCTGTCTCTACTAAAAACAATTAGCCAGGCATGGTGGTACATACTTGGAGTCCCAGCTACTAGGGAGGCTGATGCAGGAGGATCCTTGAGCCCAGAACGTGGAGGTTGGTTGCAGTGAGCCATGGTCAGGCCACTGCACTCCAGCCTGAATGATAGAACAAGACCCTGTCTCAAAGAAAAAAAAAAAAGAGAGAGAGAGAGAGAGAGAAAGAGAATAGAAGACAGGTCTCTAGGGTCCTTTTCTATTATTATTATTACTTTTTTTTTTTTTTTTTTGAGATGGAGTCTCACTCTGTCACCCAGGCTGGAGTGCAATGGCACAATCAAGGCTCACTGTAACCTCTGCCTCCCGGGTTCAAACGATTCTCCTGCCTAAGACTCCCGAGTAGCTGGGATTACAGGTTCCCACCACCATGCCCAGCTTATTTTTGCATTTTTAGTAGAGATGGGGTTTCACTGTGTTGTCCAGGCTAGTCTCAAACTCCTGACTCAGGTGATCCACCCACCTTGGCTTCCCAAAGTGCTGGGATTACAGGTGTGAGCCACCATTTCCGGCCTTCTAGGGTTGTTTTCAACATATACACTTCACTTGTGAGTGCGAGGTGAGTTTAAGGGGGAATCAGGAGAAGCAGAGAGTGTTCCAGGCCTTTCTCTGTTGTGCAGCCTTTTTTTGTTGTTTTTGTAAAGAATGTTTCAAAGACAAAAGCAGGCTGCCTCTGATTAGTCTGGTTTACTTAACTGAGTGTTTTAAATTCCATTCTGGTGCCTGAAAACGAACTTAATTGCCAATTGTAAATGGAATAAATAATAATATTTATGTTGGATTCCTGAAAACAGACCAAGGCTGCTGACTTGCCATTTAGTCAGATCAAAAACAAATGGCTAAAGTATGCCAGACATGTGAGGAATGTGGAGGGAAATTCCCAACACCCAACTGGGTGCTCGCCTGCAGCCCCTGGAGAGAGATGGGTCAGCCCACCTGCAGGGCAAGGCAGCCTCCCCCAGGGTCCCCTCCACTGGTGGGAGTGGGTTGGCTGCATCATCTATGAAGGACAGTCGAACCACATCTTTCTCAGGACTCAAACCAAGGGCATCCCACTAGAGCAACTATTTAACCTTGATAAATAACCATCATTACAATAATTCATTTGTTCTACAAATAGTTATCAAACATCTATGTTCCAATAGGCACTGTTCCAGCTCCTGAAAAATCCAGTGATGAAAGAGATTGAAAAGGATGGTGTCTATGGAGGAGTTTTAAATTCTGCTCTAATGTTTATGGAGGATTTCCCGGTACCAAATGGTTTCTGGCAGATTATCTTCTCTTTTAATAATTCCTTCATCGGCTGGGTGCGGTGGCTCCCGCCTGTAATCCCAGCACTTTGGGAGGCCGAGGTGGGCAGATCACGAGGTCAGGAGTTCAAGACCAGCCTGACCAATATGGTGAAACCCTGTCTCTACTAAAAATACAAAAAAATTAGCCAGGCACTGTGGCACGTGCCTGTGGTCCCAGCTACTTGGGAGGCCTAGGCAGGAGAATCACTTGAACCTAGGAGGTGGAGGTTGCAGTGAGCCGAGATCACGCCACTGCACTCCAGCCGGATCAACAGAGTGAGATCCATCTTAAAAAAAAAAAAAAAAAATAGGCCGGGCGCAGTGGCTCACGCCTGTAATCCCAGCACTTTGGGGGGCCGAGGCGGGTGGATCACGAGGTCAGGAGATCGAGACCATCCTGGCTAACACGGTGAAACCCCGTCTCTACTAAAAAAATACAAAAAAATTAGCCGGGCGTGATGGCGGGCATCTGTAGTCCCAGCTACTCGGGAGGCTGAGGCAGGAGAATGGCGTGAACCTGGGAGGCGGAGCTTGCAGTGAGCCGAGATCGCGCCACTGCACTCCAGCCTGGGCGACAGAGCGAGACTCTGTCTCAAAAATAATAATAATAATAATAATTCCTTTTTTCTTTTTTTGGTGGAGTCTCACTCTGTCCCCCAGGCTGGGGTGCAGTGGTGCAATCTCGGCTTCCTGAAAGGAGGTTCTCTTGAACCTCTGCCTCCTGGGTCCAAGAGAGTCTCCTGCTTCAGCCTCCTGAGTAGCTGGGATTACTGACACGTGCCACCATGCCTGGCTAATTTTTGTATTTTCATTGTATTTTACTTTCAATTTATTTTTTAATATTAAAACATTTTTTTTGAGACGGAGTTTCGCTCTCATTGCCTAGGCTGGAGTGTAATGGTGCGATCTCGGCTCACTGCAACCTCTGCCTCCTTGGTTCAAGAGATTCTCCTGCCTCAGCCTCCCGAGTAGCTGGGATTACAGGCGCCCAACACCACGCCTGGTTAATTTTTGGTATTTTTAGTAGAGATCGGGGTTTCACCCTGTTGGCCAGGCTGATCTCAAACTCCCAACCTCAGATGATCTGCCCGCCTCTGCCTCCTAAAGTGCTGGGATTACAGGCGTGAGTCACTGCACCTGGCCTTCATCTTCTCTTTTAATAATCCTCTTGTGGCCGGGTGCAATGTCTCATGCCTGTAATCCCAGGACTTTGGGAGGCCGAGGTGGGTGGATCACGAGCTCAGGATTTTGAGACCCGCCTGACCAACATGGTGAAACCCCGTCTCTACTAAAAATACAAAAAGTAGCTGGGCCCCTGTAATCCCAGCTACTCGGGAGGCTGAGACAGGAGAATCGCTTGAACCCGGGAGGCGGAGGTTGCATGAGCCGAAATCATGCCATTGCGCTCCAGCCTGGTCAACAGAGTGAGACTCCGTCTCAAAATAAATAAATAAATAAATAATCCTCTTGTTCCAAAATGGAAACAATTTTTTTTTTCTTTTTTAATGAAAACTGAGCTGGGCACAGTGGCTCACGCCTGTATTCCCAACACCTTGGGAGGCTGAGGTGTGAGGATTGCTTGAGCCCAGGAGTTCCAGACCATCCTGGGCAACACAGCAAAACTCTGTCTCTACAAAAAAATTGTCTAGCCGGGCGCGGTGGCTCACGCCTGTAATCCCAGCACTTTGGGAGGCCGAGGCGGGCGGATCACGAGGTCAGGAGATTGAGACCATCCTGGCTAACATGGTGAAACCCCGTCTCTACTAAAAATACAAAAAATTAGCCAGGCGTGTTGGCGGGCGCCTGTAGTCCCAGCTACTTGGGAGGCTGAGGCAGGAGAATGGCGTGAACCCGGGAGGCAGAGCTTGTAGTGAGCCGAGATCGCGCCACTGCACTCCAGCCTGGGTGACAGAGGGAGACTCCTCTCAAAAAAAAAAAAAAAAAATTATACAAAAAGTTAACCAGCACGGTGATGCACATCTGTAATCCCAGCTACTCAGGAGACTGACGGGGTAGGATTGCTTGAGCCCAGGAGTTGAAGGCTGAAGCGAGCTGTGATCTCACCACTGTGCTTCAGCCTAGGCAACGGAGGGAGAACCTGTCTCAAAAGTAAATAAATAAATAAATAAAATGAAAACTGTCAATAATCTGTTTAGTATAAATGCAAAAGAGCATTAAGAAATAATTTTTAGGCTGGGTGCAGTGCCTCACGCCTGTAATCCCAGCACTTTGGGAGGCCGAGGTGGGCGGATCACAGGTCAGGAGATCGAAACCATCCTGGCTCACACGGTGAAACCCCATCTCTACTAAAACTACAAAAAAATTAGTTGAATGTGGTGGCGGGCGCCTGTAGTCCCAGCTACTTGGGAGGCTGAGGCAGGAGAATGGCGAGAACCCGGGAGGCAGAGCTTGCAGTAAGCCGAGATCGCGCCACTGCACTCCAGACTCTGTCTCAAAAAAAAAAAAAAAAAAAAAGAAAAGAAATAATTTTTAAAATACTTGGTTTTTTAAAAAAATTCCTTTTTCTCTTTTGGTGGATATGGGGTCTCACTATGTTGCCCAGGCTAGTTAGTCTCAAACTCCTGGGATCAAGCAATGCTCCTGCCTCAGCTTCCCAAAGTGCCGGGATTATAGGCATGAGCCACCGTGCCTGGCCCACCTAACTTTTTCGTTAAAAACAAACAAACAGCCCATCCTGCAGTTAGAAAAATCTACTCCTCTCCCTCTCCTTCTCCCTCTCCCTCTCCCCACGGTCTCCCTCTCCCTCTCTTTCCAAGGTCTCCCTCTGATGCCGAGCCGAAGCTGGACGGTACTGCTGCCATCTCGGCTCACTGCAACCTCCCTGCCTGATTCTCCTGCCTCAGCCTGCCGAGTGCCTGCGATTGAAGGCGTGCGCCGCCACGCCTGACTGGTTTTCGTATTTTTTTGGTGGAGACGGGGTTTCGCTGTGTTGGCCGGGCTGGTCTCCAGCTCCTAACCGCGAGTGATGCACCAGCCTCGGCCTCCCGAGGTGCCGGGATTGCAGACGGAGTCTCGTTCACTCAGTGCTCAATGGTGCCAAGGCTGGAGTGCAGTGGCGTGATCTCGGCTCGCTACAACCTCCACCTCCCAGCAGCCTGCCTTGGCCTCCCAAAGTGCCGAGATTGCAGCCTCTGCCCGGCCGCCACCCCGTCTGGGAAGTGAGGAGCCTCTCTGCCTGGCCGCCCATCGTCTGGGATGTGAGGAGCCCCTCTGCCTGGCTGCCCAGTCTGGAAAGTGAGGAGCGTCTCTGCCCAGCCGCCATCCCATCTAGGAAGTGAGGAGCGCCTCTTCCCGGCCGCCATCCCATCTGGGAAGTGAGGAGCATCTCTGCCCGGCCGCCCATCGTCTGAGATGTGGGGAGCACCTCTGCCCTGCCACCCCGTCCGGGATGTGAGGAGCGTCTCTGCCCGGCCGCCCCATCTGAGAAGTGAGGAGCCCCTCCGCCCGGCAGCCGCCCCGTCTGAGAAGTGAGGAGCCCCTCCGCCCAGCAGCCACCCCGTCTGGGAAGTGAGGAGCGTCTCCGCCCGGCAGCCACCTCGTCCGGGAGGGAGGTGGGGGGGTGAGCCCCCCGCCCGGCCAGCCGCCCCATCCGGGAGGGAGGTGGGGGATCAGCCCCCCGCCCGGCCAGCCGCCCCATCTGGGAGGGAGGTGGGGGATCAGCCCCCAGCCCGGCCAGCCAACCCGTCCAGGAGGGAGGTGGGGGGGTCAGTCCCCCGCCCGGCCAGCCGCCCTATCCGGGAGGGAGGTGGGGGGGTCAGCCCCCCGCCCGGCCAGCCTCCCCGTCCGGGAGGTGAGGGGCGCCTCTGCCCGGCCGCCCCTACTGGGAAGTGAGGAGCCCCTCTGCCCGGCCACCACCCCGTCTGGGAGGTGTGCCCAGCAGCTCATTGAGAACAGGCCAGGATGACAATGGCGGCTTTGTGGAATAGAAAGGGGGGAAAGGTGGGGAAAAGATTGAGAAATCGGATGGTTGCCGTGTCTGTGTAGAAAGAGGTAGACATGGGAGACTTTTCATTTTGTTCTGTACTAAGAAAAATTCTTCTGCCTTGGGATCCTGTTGATCTGTGACCTTACCCCCAACCCTGTGCTCTCTGAAACATGTGCTGTATCCACTCAGGGCTGAATGGATTAAGGGCAGTGCAAGATGTGCTTTGTTAAACAGATGCTTGAAGGCAGCATGCTCCTTAAGAGTCATCACCACTCCCTAATCTCAAGTACCCAGGGACACAAACACTGCGGAAGGCCGCAGGGTCCTCTGCCTAGGAAAACCAGAGACCTTTGTTCACTTGTTTATCTGCTGACCTTCCCTCCACTATTGTCCTGTGACCCTGCCAAATCCCCCTCTGCGAGAAACACCCAAGAATGATCAATTAAAAAAAAAAAAAAAAGAAAGAAAAATCTACTTCTGGAGAAACAAATTACCTTCCCATCTCTTTTGTCAGGAAACTCTTGGATGATGTACTGACCAAAACAGGGAATAACCTAACAGAGAGGAAGACAGGGATTTTAGGAAACCGGAGATCACACAGGAAGGAGGTAAAGGGAAATCCCAGGATGATGGCAAAGGGAAGTCCCCAAACAACAGCTGTGCAACAAGAATAAAGAACAATCAGAGGACCTCTTGAGCCCAGAGGTCAAGGCTGCGGTGAGCCAAGGTCGTGCCACTACACTGAAGCCTGGGCAACAGAGTGAGACCCTGTCTCAAAACAGAAAAGGACCTATCAGCCCCAAGTGGAGCAGAACAGAGGGATTTGGGAGGAATGTCCTCAGAAAAAGATATTAAAACACAGTTATCTGATGAGTTTGAAGATGTAAAAAGTTCTACTGAAAGCCATTGTACATAGTGATAGGAAGACATGCCATAGATTAAAAAAATAATAACCTAAGCAAATCAAAATTAGGTAACAAAAGTCCAGGAAAAACAAAAGCTTATAGATGGGAAATGTAGACAGTATACATCACTTAACTTAGAAATGAGCCACCATCGAAAATAATAAAAACACTGATTATGAATTTAAAAACAAACAAACAAACAAACAAGGCTGGGTGAGGTGGCTCATGCCTGTAATCCCAGCACTCTGGGAGGCCGAGGTGAGTGGATCACCTGAGGTCAGGAGTTCAAGACCAGTCTGGCCAACATGGTGAAACCCCATCTCTACTAAAAATATAAAAATTAGCCGGGTGTGGTGGCACATGCCTATAATCCCAGCAACTCAGGAGGGTGAGGCAGGAGAATCTCTTAAACCCAGGAGATGGATGTTGAAGTGAGCCGAGATTGTGCCACTACACTCTAGCCTGGGTGACAGAGTGAGACTCCATCTCCAAAAAAAAAAAAAAAACACACACACATATATCAATGCTATGCATATAATAACTCAGTCCTTGCAGTGACCCTATATTAGAGTTCTCCAGATAAATAGAATCAGCAGGAGATATATGTACGTATGAGAGAGAGACACACACACAAAGTGATTTATTTTAAGGAATTGGCTCATGTAAGTATGAAGACTGAGAAGTCCTAAGATCTACAGTCAGCAGGCTAGAGAGCCAGGAAGAGCTGATGGTTCAGGTCAAATCCAAAGGCAGGGAAAAAATTAATGTCCCGACTGGGCGCAGTGGCTCAGGCCTATAATCCTAGCACTTTGGGAGGCCGAGGCGGACAGATCACTTGAGATCAGGAGTTCAAGGCCAACCTGGTAAATACGGTGAAAACCGTTACTACCAAAAATACAAACATTAGCCGGGTGTGGTGGCGCATATCTGTAGCCCCAGCTACTTGGAAAGCTGAGGCAGGAGAATCACTTGAACTCCTGGGAGGTGGAGGTTGCAGTGAGCTGAGATAGCACCACTACACTCCTGCCTGGACAACAGAGCAAGACTCCCTCTCAAAAAAAGAAAGCAAAAGTCAATGTCCCAGCTTGAAGGCCATCATGGAGGAGGAATTCTCTCTTCTTTGCAGGAGAGTCAGCTTTTTTGTTCTATTCAGGTCATCAACTGGTTGGATGAGGCCCATCCACCTTAGGGAGGACAATCAGCTTTACTCAGTTTATAGATTTAAATATTAAACTCATCTGGAAACACCCCCACAAAAGCACCCAGAATGTTTGACCAAATATCTGGGCACCCTGTGGCCCAGGCAAGTGGACACATCATGAGCCATCACAGACCCTTTCAGTTGGGTACAGTACTTTTTTTTTTTTTTTCAAGACAACCTCTTGCTCTGTCACCCAGGCTGGAGTGCAGTGATGAAGCCATGGCTCACTGCTGCCTCCACCTTCTTGGCTCAAGGATCCTCCGCTTTGAGGATTCTGGGCTCACCCTCCTGAATAGCTGGGGACTACACACACATCACCACACCTGGCTTTTTTTTTTTTTTTTTTTTTTGAGACCGAGTCTTGCTCTATCGCCCAAGCTGGAGTGCAGTTGTGTGATCTTGGCTCACTCCAACCTCTGCCTCCCAGGTTCAAGCCATCCTCCTGGTTCAGCCTCCAGAGCAGCTGGGACTACAGGTGCACACCACCACGCCCAGCTAATTTTTTTTTTTCTTTTTTTGAGATGGAGTCTCGCTCTTGTCACCCAGGCAGGAGTGCAGTGGAACGATCTCGGCTCACTACAACGTCCGCCTCCTGGGTTCAAGCGTTTCTTGTTACTCAGCCTCAAGTAGCTGGGATCACAGGCGCCCGTGACCACGCCTGGCTGATATTTGTATTTTTAGTAGAGACAAGGTTTCCCCATGTTGGCCAGGCTGGTCTCGAACTCCCTACCTCAGGTGATCCACCCGCCTCTGCCTCCCAAAGTGCTGGGATTACAGGCATGAGCCACCGTGCCTGGCCACGCCCAGCTAATTTTTGTATTTTTAGTAGAGACAGGGTTTCACCATATTGGCTAGGCTGGTCTTGAACTCCTGACCTCGTGACCCACCCGCCTTGGCCTCCCAAAGTGCTGGGATTACAGGCGTGAGCCACAGCGCCTGGCCACACCTGGCTAATTTGTTGTTGTTGTTGTTTTGAGACTGA
Organism: Homo sapiens; assembly: GCF_000001405.40. Lineage (NCBI taxonomy): Eukaryota > Metazoa > Chordata > Mammalia > Primates > Hominidae > Homo > Homo sapiens. The sequence goes on from NC_000022.11 coordinate 41,298,341, forward strand.
GTCTCACTCTGTTGCCCAGGCTGGAGTGCAATGGCGCGATCTCGGCTCACTGCAACCTCCACCTCCCAGGTTCAAGCGATTCTCCTGCCTTAGCCTCCTGAGGAGCTGGGATTACAGGTGCGTGCCACCACACCTGGCTCATTTTTGTATTTTTCGTAGAGATGGGGTTTCAACATGTTGGTCAGGCTGGTCTCAAGCTCCTGACCTCAGGTGATCCGCCCACCTTGGCCTCCCAAAATTCTGGGATTACAGGGGTGAGCCACCACGCCCGGCCTCGGCCTCCCAAAGTGCTGGGATTACGGGCATTAGCCACCACGCCCGGCCAATTTTTTGTATTTTTTGCAGAGTTAGGGTTTTGTCATGTTGCCCAGGCTGGTCTCAAACTCCTGGGCTCAAGCGATCTGCCCACCTCGGCCTCCTAGTGTTGGGATTTTGGGTGTACCCCATCGAGTACAGTACTCACATTACCCCCATCTTAGTCACCTCAGGCTGCTATGACAGATACCATGGACTGGATGGCTTAAGCAGTAGAAATTTATTTCTCACTGATCTGGGGGCTGGAAGTCCACGACCAGGGTCCCAGCATGGTCAGGTTGTTGGTGAGGGCCGCCTTCCTGGTTTATAGATGGCTGCTTTCTTGCTGTATCCTCACCTGGCAGAGAGAGATAATCTCCCCAGTGTCTCTTATAAGAGCACTAATTCCATTCATCAGGGCTTCATTTTCATGACCTAATTATCTCCCAAAGGCCCCACCTCCTAATACCATCAAATCAGGGATTAGAGATTCAACATATGAATTTTTTTTTTTTTGAGATGGAGTCTCGCTCTGTCGCCCAGGCTGGAATGCAGTGGCACGATCTCGGCTCACTGTAACCTCTACTTCCCAGGTTCAAGCCATTCTCCTGCCTCAGCCTCCCGAGTAGCTGGGACTACAGGCGCCCGCCACCATGCCTGGCTAATTTTTTGTATTTTTAGTAGAGATGGGGTTTCACCGTGTTAGCTGGGATGGTCTCGATCTCCTGACCTTGTGATCCACCCGCCTCGGCCTCCCAAAGTGCTAGGATTACAGGCCTGAGCCACCGCGCCCGGCCTAATTTTTGTATTTTTTTGTAGAGACAGGGTTTCACTACGTTAGCCGTGCTGGTCTCGAACTCCTAACCTTAGGTGATCCACCTACCTTGGCGTCCCAAAGTGCTAGGATTTCAGATGTGAGCCACCGTGCCGAGCTACAGGGTTTTTGAGAGGGTAAAAGAATCAACATATGCAAAGTGTTTGGCTCATAGTAAAGAAGCGGTGGCTGTTACTGCTATTTCAGCTTTAACATGGGGACATAGAGCACACTGTGACAACATGGGACTGACAACATGGGGCTTCCCAGAAAGCCTACCGATGCCAGCCTCCTGGCCCTTTTCTTTTTCTTTCTTTTTTTGAGACAGAGTCTCACTCTGTCGCCCAGGCTGGAGTGCAGTGGCATGATCCCGGCTCACTGCAAGCTACGCCTCCCGGATTCACGCCATTCTCCTGTCTCAGCCTCCTGTGTAGCTGGGACTACAGGCTCCCGACACCACGCCCAGCTTATTTTTTGTATTTTTAGTAGAGATGGGGTTTCACCGTGTTAGCCAGGATGGTCTCGATCTCCTGACCTCATGATCCGCCCGCCTCAACCTCCCAAAGTGCTGGGATTATAGGCGTGAGCTACCGCGCCCGGCCTCCTCCTGGCCCTTTTCTCCAAAGCATCCTCACCTCTGGTTGGGGTCTTGTAATAAAGACCCCTTTACCATCTTAGGCAGCCCAAACAATTGAACAAGTTGGTACCAACTTGAAGAGATAAGAGGCTGGTGTCCTGCTGAATCCCCCTTGAATGATGGACAGTCCTCTTCAAGAATATGTGTTCATTATTTCACCAGCAACCTGGGGTGGTGGAATCACCAGACCATTTGCCATCTAGTTCACTTGAGGCAAAATGCAGCAATCCAACTGGCCTCAGCATCCTCATCGATGAAATGAGAGTGATAATAACCATGGTGGTAAATGTGATAAGTTGTCAAGGGTGTTTCATTGTAAATTGCCTAGGGGGTATTGGGAACTCACACACACACACACACACACACACACACACACACACACACACACACACACATATATTTCTGGAGACAGTTTTGCTCTTGTTGCCCAGGCTGGAGTGCAATGGCATGATCTTGGCTCACTGCAACCTCCACCTCTGGGGTTCAAGTGATTCTCCTGCCTCAGCCTCCTGAGTAGCTGGGATTACAGGCACCCACCACCACGCCTGGCTAATTTTTGTATTTTTGTAGAGATGGGGTTTCACCACGTTGGCTAGTCTGGTCTTGAACTCCTGACCTCAGGTGATCCACCCGTCTTGGCCTCCCAAAGTGCTGAGATTACAGGCGTGAGCCACTGCACCCAGCCCTGATTGTCAATATCTAATCAGGTTCCTCATTTTCCACCATTCCCCAGGTGATGTCTGATCACCTTGCCCTGCCTTCAGCAAGAATCTTGTTAGATGGGTTTAAGCGAGAATCCTCTCATCTCTGATGCAGTTTCCTATGCACTGGCGCTCAATCAGTGGATCCTTTCTCCTTCCTCATAAATTCCCAGTTGCCCATGCTGATTTCTGAATTGAGCCCAAATACTCTCCCTGACCGCAAAACCCACTGCAGTGGTCCCTACACCCATCATGATGCCAATAAAGTCGGCCTTGTAGTCTTTAACAAGTGTCATTCAATATTTTTTTTAACATCCTATACATAAAACTCCAGCCAAGTGAGGTCCTGATTCTTCTATGTGTCTCCGGTTCCCATCTATGAGAAGGGCACAACGCAACCAGGGTTTTGGGCAGCCTTCCATGAAAGCACCTGGAAGCCGGAGAAGGGGGGCGGGGGGACTTTTGACACAGATGGGGAAGGGCGGAGGCGCTGGGTTTGAGCAGCATCAGCCCAGAAATGCAGAACTGCCAAAAGAAACCCCCCTAAAAGGCAGGACACTTTTAAAGAAAATAAAGGTGAATTCCAGGCATGAGCTTTCGACGGGGAATGGGGCTTCCCCGACTCGCCCCCACGCCCCCCGCCCTTCTCCCCAGGTGCGCAGCCCGCGCCGCCCACCCCGGGCGCGGCGAGGCGACGGGAGCCGAGCTCTCTAGGACCCGAGGAGGAAGAGCTGCAGGGAGACAGTGCCTCCAGCGGGTGCTGCCGCGAGCGGCCAGCCGAGGGGCTGGAAATGAAAGTAAAGCGCTCCAGAGCCACATGGACGGAGCTGCCGGGGCGGCGGCGCCGGGAGCAGGATGCGGCCGCCCGTAATTAAATAGCATTTACTCTTATTATTACTAATAATAATAACGTAATCATACCTCTAGTCATAGCATACCATTTATCGGGCTCGGCGCAGGCCCGCGGGGAGCGCAGCCCGGCGGAGGTGAGTGCTTGGCGCGGCCCGAGCCCCGCGGGGCAGAGGCCGGGGACACTGCGTCCGGAGCCGCCCGCGCGCGAGGGTTCGGGGACGCCCGGGCCGGGCAGGGCTGGGGAAGAGGCGAAGAGAGCCCTTTCCAGGCCGGGGCCGCGCGCCGGGCCACCTGGAAAGTGGGATTTTGCAAAAAATAAATCGTCTCTAAAACCCCATTTGCTCCTTTTTGGGGATCCCGGTCCCCGTGCCCTGCCCCAAAGTTTAAAAGTTACCGTGTGGCCGGGGGCACCTGGCGCTGGGGAGACTTGGCCGCCCCTGCAGCCCCCAGGAGGTGTCTTGAAATTTTCGTGGGGCCTCTCTCTTCGGCGTCCGGAGCTTCTGGGGTGTCCAGATGCTTTGCCGACCCCGCGCAGGGGGTCTCGGGGGCTGGCAGGGGCGTCGCTGGCAGGGCCCCCCTTCCTTTTGTGTTGTCCTTGGCCCCGCAGCACCCGGAGTTGGAGGGGCCGCGGCGAGGGCCGGGGAGCGGGGCCGCCCGACGGGCCGCCCCTTTCGGCTGCGGCGGCCACGCGAGCCCGGGGATCCGGGGCCTGCAGCCGGGCCCGCGGGAAGGGGGCGGCAGGAAAGGGGGGCGCGGTCTGGGCCTGCTGGGCAGGGGGGCGTTTCCGGTCGCAGGATCAGTCTCTGGACTTCGAGGCCTGTGGGAGGCCCGCGGCCGTCCAGGGAGTGCTAGGGGGCTGCGGACCCCGGCTCTGGCGCCTGGGGACGGGGGCGCCCTGACGGGGCTGGGGGCCTGGGAGCCGCCGACTCCGGCCTCATACCCCCATCCTGCCCGCTGCGAACCTCAGGGCCCCCCTCCGGGTTTGCTCCCTCCTCCTTTCCCCTCCTTTCTCCTCAACTCTGTCTGTTTTAGGCGTTTATAAGGCGCCTGGTTGGGGGGACTTTCACAGACAAAGCCGTCTTCCCAGGGGGGAAAATAATCATATAAAAACAGCTCACTCTGATAGAACCTGATGGCTGTATTGCCAACAGGGCATTGACGGGGAAGACTAGGGGGCTAGGGCCCTGCGTGGGGAGTCTGGGGGCTCTAAAAGGGGGCTGGGCCTGAGTGGGGAGCTGGTGATCAGCGGTTTTATTTCTCGGGTTGCTAGCTTTGGCATCAGACTTTGAACCCCAACTTCTTGCCATATTCCTCAGCATCTGCAGTTCAGCCTGATGAAAATAGCAGAATGCAGATCCTTGAATTTTCACACAAATGAGATAATTATAGTACATGTAGCAACTGTGTTGGACACAAAATGCTGGCAGAATCTTTAGTTCTACTACCAATACTTCCTCTACACACATACAGCCATCCCCTCCGTGGTGGTCTTCTTTCCCCGTGTCCACCTCCCACAGAAGTTGGACTGCAAGGTGGAAATGACACCTGGTCAACAGTTGGATGGAGCATGTTTGAGAAGTGGGGAGACTTAAGGTGGGAAGAAAGAACCTGTCCAGGAGGGATGAGATCTGAGGATGGGAGAGAGACTTTGTTGTCCCTGAGCTGGGATAAAGTTTCTGTTCTGTAGATGCTGTGTGTTCTTAGCTGCTGGCTTTTGTATAGGTTAGACAGGAATGGGGGTTTTGGTAGATTATTGTGGGGCTTAGAAGCTTGGTGGGATGTGCTGATCTCTCGAGTCTTAGTAGGAAAGCTGAGATGTCGGTTGAGACATGGATAGAGAATCTGAAAATAATCCCTCAATCTGAAAATAATAATCCCTCAAATATCACTTTTTAGTTTATAACAAAAGGGCTTTCACATGTGTTGGCTCATCTGTCCTCCATAGCAACTGTGTCAGGTAGACATTTTCTAGATAAGAAACCTTAGGCCGAATTGTGTGTCTTGCTGGAAAGTCAGACAGCAGAGGTAGGATTCCCACCCAGTTTTCTGGCTCCAAATCGTCACCCTTTCCCAGAGTCCTGGGCCACCTTAGCAAGTTACTTTTCATTTATTTTATTTTATTTTATTTTACTTTTTTGAGACGGAGTCTCGCTCTGTCGCCCAGGCTGGAGTGCAGTGGCGCGATCTTGGCTCACTGCAAGCTCCGCCTCCCGGGTTCACGCCATTCTCCTGCCTCAGCCTCCTGAGTAGCTGGGACTACAGGCTCCCGCCACTACGCCCAGCTAATTTTTTGTATTTTTAGTAGAGACGGGGTTTCACCGTGTTAGCCAGGATGGTCTTGATCTCCTGACCTCGTGATCCAGCCACTTCGGCCTCCCAAAGTGCTGGGATTACAGGCGTGAGCCACCATGCCCAGCCTTCTTTTTATTTTTTGAGACAAGGTCTCACTCTGTCACCCAGGCTGGAGTACAGTAGCACAATTGTAGCTCAGTCTGCCAGGCTCAGGCAATCCTCCTGCCTTGGCCTCCCAAAGGGATAGGGTTACAGGCATGAGCCACCACACCTGGCTGCTGCAAGTTTCTTTCTTTCTTTCTTTCTTTTTTTTTGACAGAGTCTCACTCTGTTACCCAGGCTGGAGTGCAGTGGCATGATCTTAGGTCACTGCAACCTCTGCCTCCCGGGTTCAAGTGATTCCTGGGCTCAACATATCTGAATTCAAGTGAACTCCTGGGCTCAACATATCTACCCACCTCGGCCTCCCAAAGTGCTGGGATTACAGGCGTGAGCCACCTCATGCCTGTCTGCAAGTTACTTTTCAAGTGCCTCTTGTGAGATGCTGTGGGGCAGGTTTGCAATTGACTTTGTCATTTATTATCTGGCTGGAAAGAGAAAGTTGATTCTAGTGAACCAATGAGAACACAAGAATTCTGGGGTCAGTGCAGTGGGAGTGGAGAGAAGACAGCTCAAGGCTACCTGGAAAAGTTAGAGAAGGCTTCTTCTAGGAAGTAGAATTTGAACTTCAAAGAATGGGGAGGCTTGCCAGGGTGGAGAAGAAGGGAATTTCTGGGTTAGCCACAATTGCTTCTGTGCTGGGAAGTTGACTTACATTCTCTCGAATTGTTATAGTAGCTCCGTGAGGGGTGGGCATTATAATCTCCATTTCACAGATGAAGAAATTGAGGAACACGGGATTTGTGTGCCCAGCCCAAGGTCAATCTGCAGGATTTGAATCCAGGCCTTCTTGACTCTTGAGTGTGCTCCTGCCCTCTGCACCACCTTCCTCTCAGATACGTAAGCAAGAACAGGGACTGTCCTATAATCCCAGCACTTTGGGAAGCCAAGGCGAGCTGATCACTTGAGGTCACGAGTTCGAGACCAGACCTGGCAACATGGTGAAACCCAGTCTCCACTAAAAACACAAAAATTGGCCGGCTGCGGTGGCTCACGCCTGTAATCCCAGCACTTTGGGACGCCGGGGCGGGTGGATCACGAGGTCAAGAGATTGAGACCATCCTGGCCAACATGGTGAAACCCCACCTCTACTAAAAGTACAAAACTTAGCTGGATGTGGCGGTGCATACCTGTAATCGCAGCTACTTGGGAGGCTGAGGCAGGAGAATTGCTTGAACCCAGGAGGCGGAGCTTGCAGTGAGCCGAGCGCTCCACTGCACTCCAGCCTGGGCGACAGAGCAAGACTCTGTCTCAAAAAAAAAAAAAAAAAATTAGCTGGGCATGCTGGTGGGTGCCTGTAATCCTAGCTACTCAGGAGGCTGAGGCAGGAGAATCTCTTGAACCTGGGGGGTGGAGGTTGCAATGAGCCAAGATCACGCCACTGCACTCCAGCCTGGGCAACAGAGTGAAACTCTGTCTCAAAAAAACAAAAATGGAGACTGGATGGTCTGAATTAGCAAATGAAACTGGGGTAGCATTGTCAACAGGCTCCCCAAGACCAAGGAGTTCTCCTAAACTGGCTCTGTATCCCAGGGCCCCGAGGGGCTGGACCAGTGAAAGCACTCTCAGTAGGTTTCTAACTGCAGAAAGCAGAATGGCAGTAGAAGGAGGACCGGTCCCTGAGCGTGGGGATCTGAGCAAGTTTGGTTCCTTAGTGCCTGCTGGGTGCCGGCCCAGCACCCTGGAGGAGCTTAGAGCTTGGGATGAGATAGATATGGACCATTAATCTGAGCTTCCCAAGGACAGGAACTGGGTCTGATTCACCCTCTGTGCCTCCAGCCCCAGAGGCGGTGCCAGGATGACACACTCAGCCATTGTGTTGTCAAATTGAATTATGCCCCAATGTAGAGGAGGAAGGTTTATTTTGCCCAAGAGTAGAAGATCTTCCTAGAAGTGCCATTTGAACATCTGAAAGATAGGTTGAAAAGCCAGAGAAAGGGTGTTCTAAGCAGAGGCATTGAGATGGACAAAGGCAGGGATGTATAAAGAAGAACAGGTCACCTGGTACAGCCACAGTCTAGTGGGCAGATACATGACATTGGGTTCAAGTCAGGCTCTGCCGTCATGATCCTTTCGATTCTCTGGGCCTCAGTTTCCCCTTCTGAAAAGGAGCCCTGAGATTTGATGATATTTAATGATAACCCATGCTTGGGGATCAGGATAAGAAACTCAGATGAAAGGAGCTAGAAGTGTTTAAAAATTTTTATTAATTTAGTAATCACTGAACCAGCAATTCTCTAGGCCCTGTTGCAAGTGCTTTTTCCTAAATTAGCTTATTTAATTCTTTTTTTTTTTTTTTTTGAGACGGAGTTCCACTCTTGTCGCCCAGGCTGGAGTGGGATGGCACGATCTTGGCTCACTGCAACCTCCGCCTCCCGGGTTCAAGTGATCCTCCTGCCTCAGCCTCTCAAGTAGCTGGGATTACAGGTGTCCGCCACCACACCTAATTTTTGTATTTTTAGTAGAGACGGGGTTTTGCCATGTTGGCCAGGCTGGTCTTGAACTCCTGATCTCAAGTGGTCCACCCGCCTGGGCCTCTCAAAGTGCTGGGATTACAGGCGTGAGCCACTGCACCCAGCCTTTATTTAATTCTTTCAACAGCCCTAGAGGGAGGCACTGTAATTATCCCCATTTTACAGGTGAAGAAACTGTGGCATAGAGAGGTTCAGTGAAGTGCAGAAGGGGCAGAGCTGCAGAGCCAACCCAGGATGTCTGGCTCTGGAGCTGGCCTGGTGTGGGCCTGGGAAGGAGCCTCAGGGGAGACCTGAGGTTATTCAGACAGCAGCGGGTGGAGGTGCTGTAGCCCCAGGCTGGAGGCTCAGCCTGGGCTGATGATGGGCTGTGCGTCAGCCCCCAGGAGCCTCCACAGAGGTCAGCTCCTTTCTTTTTTTTTTTTTTTTTTGAGACAGAGTCTCATTCTGTCACCCAGGCTGGAGTGCAGTGGTGCGATCTTGGCTCACTGCAACCTCTGCCTCCCGGGTTCAAGCAATTCTCCTGCCTCAGCCTCCTGAGTAGCTGGGATTACAGGCACGCACCACCACACCTGGCTAATTTTTTTTTGTATTTTTAGTAGAGATGGTGTTTCACCATGTTGGTCAGACTGGTCTTGAACTCCTGACCTCGTGATCCACCCGCCTTGGCCTCCCTACTGCTGGGATTATAGGCATGAGCCCGTGCTGGGCCTGAAGTCGGCTCCTTTCATCACATTTCATGGCCCCTGGAAAACAAGCTCATTTTCCTTCCTCTGTCAGCACCAGCTACAGATTCCTTCTCACCAAATTCATTCCCCCCAGGGAGACTGTTTCTTTGCAGGCATGTTGGTTGTGTTGGTGCCGTGTTGGTTGTGTTGGTGCTGTCTCCCCACCGGGCTATGGAGGCCCAGAGGGAGGGACATTCCTGCATTCAGAGCGCTTGTTCCCTTCAGAAACATCTGGTAACTTCAGTTCTGCAGCATCACAGCTCCTCAGCGTCAGAGGCTGAGACACAAGCTTGGTGGGGATCGTGGGGATACGATCACCCATATAGCAGCACATAACACCCATATAACAGCAGCCCCCATATGGTTAACACCACTGTATACCAGCATCGTGCTTGACATTTCCTATGCCTTCTCTTATTGAATCCACTTAACAGCTCTTCAAGACCAGAGCAATCATTGGCAGCCCCATCTTGTAGATGAGGAGCCTGAGGCTCAGAAAGACTAAGTTAACACTTCTGAGATCACACAGCTGAGGTAGAGAAGGGAGTCAGATGAAGCCACCTGGCATCCGAGGTCTTAGCTGCCATGCAGGAGACAGTCTTCAGGTTACTTCCAGTTTCCTCGAAGCTCTTTTCTTATCAATCTGGAAATCCTAACTACCACCAACATTTGTGTCCTGCTGTGTCCACAGTCTCTCATTAATTGTCATGACAGTCTTTTGAGGTAAGGTAAGAGGTGTCCCTGTTTTTCAGAAGAAAAAGACTGAGGCATCATCACCCACCCACTGCTCTTCCTACCCAGTCCACAATGTGACTTGGGAGGGGAACAGGGTATTGGATTCCCTGAGACCGAGAACCATGTCTTCTGATTGGTTTGTGTTACTGAAGTGCTGGAGTCAGCTGATGATCATTCCTTGAGCACTTCCTGTGAGGGCTGCAGGGAAGGTGGGGGCTCTGGCCCTCCTGGGGTTTTTAGAGGTCGCCCTGGTTCAGCTATGCTCTTGTTCCCTGGAGCATCTCTGTGTCATCCCTCTCCCTCCACAGGCTGAGGAACGCAGGGCAGGGAGCCCAAAGTCCTGAGTTTCATTCCCAACTCCTGTTCATGCTGGCTGTATGATGGAGGCATTATTATTTTGTCATTCTTGGCTTCTGTCTCCTTTTCTGTGAAACGGCCGTACTGATCCTGTCGAATCTGCATCAGGGGTTGTAGTTATGATCATTTAATAGCCTTCAGAATATTCCTGAATCTTCTTCACTGTCTGCCTTGATCCAGGCCTGAACCACTGCAGTAGCCTCCTAACCAATCTCCCAGTATCCTCTCTTGTCATACGTCCTCCCTGCAGTAGCCAAAAGGATCTTCTTGCGAAATAAATAAGCTCCTGTCACTCTTCTGCTGAAAACTCTCCTGCAGTTTCCTGACACACGCAAAACACAGCCCTGGCTCCCGGCATGGCCTGTGAGTGGTTCTGAGACCAGCCTCGCCTGCCCCTTGCACTTTGCCTCCCACGTGGCTTGCCCTTGCTTGGGTGTTGCAGCCACGGTGGCCTTCTGAGTTTTCCTGGAACATTATCAGCTTGTTCCCACCTCAGGGCCATTGCCTGTGCCCTGTCCCCTGCTAGGTAGGTGCCCTCTTACCCCACCTCCTATCTTCCATGGCTGGCTACCTATCTCTCTTAAATGTCAGCTTCCTCCTAAGGGCCTTCCCTAAACTCCCAGTCTGCTTTTTTTTTTTTTTTTTTTTTGAGACGGAGTTTCGCTCTGTCGCCCAGGCTGGAGTGCAGTGGCGCGATCTCGACTCACTGCAAGCTCCGCCTCCCGGGTTCATGCCATTCTCCTGCCTCAGCCTCCCGTGTAGCTGGGACTACAGGCGTGCGCCACCATGCCCGGCTAATTTTTGTATTTTTAGTAGAGACGGGGTTTCACCGTGTTAGCCAGGATGGTCTCGATCTCCTGACCTCGTGATCCGCCCATCTCGGCCTCCCAAAGTGCTGGGATTACAGGCGTGAGCCACCGCGCCCGGCCTGCTTTCTTTTTTTCTTTTTTTGAGACAGAGTCTCGCTCTGTCGTCCAGGCTGGAGTGCAGTGGTGTGATCTCGGCTCACTGCAATCTTGACCTCCTGGGTTCAAGTGATTCTCCTGCCTTAGCCTCCTGAGTAGCTGGGATTACAGGTGCCCACCACTAGGCCCGGCCTAATTTTTGTATTTTTATTAGAGATGGGGTTTCACCATGTTGGCCAGGCTGGTCTTGAACTCCTGGCCTCAAGTGATCTGCCCACCTCAGCCTCCCAAAGTGCTGGGATTACAGGCGTGAACCACCGCATCCGGCCCTAATGTACTTTCCATCACTCCATGCCACGCTTCCTGCTTCAGCTTCCTTGTGACTCTGATCTCTATTTTTACTTGTCGTGTGCATTTCACGCTGGTTTATTTGTCTTCCTGCCCATGGATGACAAGCTGCACCAGGGAAAGGACTTTATTAACTGTGTTCCCCTAGCACCTGGTAGGGCCCCTTGCACTAAAAGTGCTTCATGGTTATTTGTTGAATAAATGAATAATAGTAGGAGGTTGGCCACAGAATAGCCCTTGCCAAACAGCCCACGACTGGGCAGGGAAACTGCAAAGAAATCAACATTGATGGCTGAGCACGGTGGCTCATGCCTATAATCCCAGCACTTTGGGAGGCCGAGGTGAGCGGATCACAAGTTCAGGAGATCGAGACCATCCTGGCTAACACAGTGAAACCCCGTCTCTACTAAAAATACAAAAAATTAGCCAGGCGTGGTGGCGGGCACCTGTAGTCCCAGCTACTCGGGAGGCTGAGGCAGGAGAATGGTGTGAACCCGGGAGGCGGAGCTTACAGTGAGCAGAGATGGCGCCACTGCAGTCCAGCCTGGGCGACAGAGCGAGACTCCGTAAATCAACATTGAGTGATTGAAAACTTACAGGATAATTATGTCTGTTGTGAGTGCTCTCTACAGCACCCAGTTTAGCAGAAACATGAATTTCTGACCCCTTCAGGGGGAGGCACACCAGGTGGAGCTGCAAAATTGTCTTGTCAGGTGTGTATCATCATCCCTGTCTCCCAGATGACAAAACTGAGGCTCAGGGAGGTGCCCTGAAAGCCAGTGTGGGACAGTGCTGGGATCTGAACCCAGGGCTGGTGGATTGCATGGCCTAGCCTGCCTCCCTGTCAGCACAAGGCACGAAAGCAAGCAGAGCAGCACTGGAAACTCTCTTGATGCCCAATGATGCACCACAAGGATTTCCAAGCTCCCTGGGAGCAGGAGCAGTGACTACTTAACTGCTCAAGAGGAACAGGGTATGCCACAGTGTTAGACAGTCACTCTAAGCTCTGGGTGATTCTGGCTTATTTTTTAATTTTATAATTTCCAAATTTTATTTTTTAATTTTATAATTTCCAAATTTATAATTTCCAAAGCTTTTACAATGACCTTCTGTTACTGTTTTAAAAAGGGAGTTTTTTGTTTGTTTGTTTTAATGGAGTCTTGCTCTGTCACCCAGGCTGGAGTGCAGTGGCACTATCTCGGCTCACTGCAGCCTCCGCCTCCTGGGTTCACGCCATTCTCCTGCCTCAGCCTCCCGAGTAGCTGGGACTACAGGTGCCCGCCACCACCCCCGGCTAATTTTTTTGTGTTTTTAGTAGAGAGGGGGTTTCACCGTGTTAGCCAGGATGGTCTCGATCTCCTGACCTCGTGATCTGCCCGCCTCGGCCTCCCAAAGTGCTGGGATTACAGGTGTGAGCCACCGCGCCCAGCCTCACTTTTTTTTTTTTTTTTTTTTAGCCTGCATTCATTCGCGTGTATATGTGCATGTGTGCACATCGGTTTTGAGTGGGGGAGTGACATTGGCATATGCGTTACACAGATATCCCTGACCACTGAATGGGAGCATATTGGAGGGGGTGCATTGGAAACTTGGCAAGAGATGTTGAGGGTCCGAGAGGTGGCCGTGCTTGTGGAGAGGATATGAGGGGTTGCAGGGTGGGGAAATATTTATGAGGTAAAGGTGGCTGAGAACAGGATGATGCTCAGAGCTATGAATAGAGTCAGGGAATAATGGAAGAGGAGTAGGATTAGGGGAGAAGATGCTGAGTTCAGTTTGGAATGTGTTCAGTTGGAGAAACACCCAATCCAGCTGAGATGGCACCAAAGAGGACTTTGGACACAGAGGCATCTAAGCTGGGTCTTAAAGGATGAGTAGGAGTTGGGAAGGTGTGTGTGGCAGAGGGCATTCCAGGTAGAGGGCCCAAGATTAAGAAAGGGATGGAAGTCATAGGCAGCCTGGGTGTTGGACTTCCAGGTACCACTACCCAGAAGATAAGAGATATGAGTCTGAAATACTGGGGAAGGGGGTGGGCCTGGCAGGAGGAAGAGATAGGCGAGTCGTTAACATGACTCATGTTATCATGAAATGCAAGAGCTCATCTGGGGAGCAGGTAGTGAAGAGAGCAGGAGCACTGTCCCTTAAATGGAAGCTCGGGGATGTTGGTCTTGAGACCTGGGCAGAATAAGACGAGCCCCCAACAGAGAAATCTGCTTCGTTTTTTGTTCCTCAACCATGCATGGAGGCATCTCCATGACAATACATATAGATTCAATAGCTGCATTGTATTCCATGGTATGGAATTTAATTAACTAATTTAATTCATTTTAATTAAATTAGTTAATTAAATTAATCCTTTACTGGTAGACATTAAGGTTGCTTCTAGTTTTCCACTTACTCTTAAAAATAATACATCCTCGGGAGGCTGAGGCAGGAGAATGGCGTGAACCCGGGAGGCGGAGCTTGCAGTGAGCCAAGTTCGTGCCACTGCACTCCAGCTTGGGTGACAGAGCGAGACTCCGTCTCAAAAAAAAAAAAAAAAAAAATACATCCTAGCTCGGCGTGGTGGCTCATGCCCGTAATCCCAGTACTTTGGGAGGCTGAGGCGGGCAGATCACCTGAGTCCAGGTGTTCAAGACCAGCCTGGACAACATGGTGATACCCTGTCTCTACAAAAAATACAAAAAATTAGCTGGGCATGATGGCACATTCCTGTAGTCCCAGCTTTTTGGGAGGCTGAGGCTGCAATGAGCTGAGATTATGCCACTGCACTACAGCCTGGGCAACAGAGTGAGACCCTGTCTTAATGATAATAATAATAATAATAATAATAATACGTCCTACACCTGTAGTCCCAGCTACTTGGGGAGGATTACTTTAGCTGAGGAGGTCAAGGCTGAAGTGAGCCACGATGGTGCCACTGCACTCCAGCCTGGGTGATACAGTGAGACCCTGCCTCTAAAATAATAATAATAAATAATAATAATACATCCCTGGCTGGTCATGGTGGCTCACGCCTGTACTCCCAGCACTCTGGGAGGCTGAGGTGGGTAGATTGCTTGAGGCCAGGAATTCGAGACCAGCCTGAGCAATGTGGTGAAACCCTGTCTCTACAAAAAATACAAAAAAAATTAGCCAAGCGTGATGGTGCGTGCCTGTGGTCCCAGCTACTTGGGAGGCTGAGGTGGGAGGATCGCTTGAGCCTGGGAGGTCGAGTTTGAAGTGACCTCCAGCTTAGGCGGCAGAGATCCTGTCTCAAAAACAAAACAATTATAATACATCCTATGCAAATATAATTGAGTACATGTGTAGGGATTTTCATAGATTAAATTCTTGGAAGTGAAATTTCTGTGTCAAAGTGAAAGGACATTTTACCATTTGGAGGAATTTTTGCTGCAAGTAACAGAATTCCTAGCTCAAAATGGGGGTTTGTTTTCTCACATAAAAAATGAGGTGGGGCAGTTCCAGAAGCAGGTAATGTTTTGGGTCAGACTTTTTTTTTTTTTGAGACGGAGTCTCGCTGTGTCGCCCAGGCTGGAGTGCAGTGGCGCGATATCAGCTCACTACAACCTCCGCCTCCCGGGTTCAAGCAATTCTCCTGCCTCAGCCTCCCTAGTAGCTGGGACTACAGGCGCCCGCCACCACGCCAGGCTAATTTTTTTGTATTTTTAGTAGAGATGGGGTTTCACCGTGACGAGGTCTGGATCTCCTGACCTCGTGATCCGCCCACCTTGGCCTCCCAAAGTGTTGGAATTACAGGCGTGAGCCACCGTACCCGGCCAGATGTCACATGCCCTTACCAAAGCCAATCACTGGCAAGGGAAAAAGGCCATTCTGATTGGCTTAGCCCAGTGAAGGTTCACCTGAGTGCCTGGGAAATGGACAACCTTGAAGGAGCAAGAGGGGAAACTGGCTGCTGGGTGCAGCCAGCAGGGCCTGCCTTGCTCATTTTAGTACATGTTGCTAAATTGCTTCTCAAAGATGATTCCAGTTTACACTGTCAGTATACGTACAGGGAGGGCTTGGGAGTGCCAGTTTCTCCATCCTCGTCAACCAGGCTTTCTTTTCACCTTAGTCTCATGGGTGAAAATTGGCATCTTGTGTTTTTTTGTGTTTTTGATTTTGTTTTTGAGACAGAGTCTCTCTCTGTCGCTCAGGCTGGAGTGCAGTGGTGCCATCTCGGCTCACAGCAACTTCCTTCGGTCTTTCGGGTTCAAGCGATTCTCCCGCTTCAGCCTCCCAAGTAGCTGGGACTACAGGCACCCGCCATCATGCCTGGCTAATTTTTTTTTTTTTCGTATTTTTGTAGGGACGGGTTTTCACTATGTTGGCCAGGCTGGTGTTGAACTCCTGACCTCAGGAGATCTGCCCGCCTCAGCCTCCCAAAGTGCTCGGATTATAGGCGTCAGCTACCGCGCCTGTCCGGCATCTTTTTTTAATCAGTGAGTTTGAGTATCTTAATAATTTATTTTCCTGTGAATTTCCTTTTTATGTTTTTTGCCCTTTTTAATTTTTATTTTATTTATTTATTTATTTATTTTTTTGAGATGGAGTCTTGCTCTGTCACCCAGGCTGGAGTGCAGTGTTGCGATCTCAGCTCACTGCAACCTCTGCCTCCCGGGTTCAAGCAATTCTCCTGCCTCAGCCTCCCGAGTAGTTGGGACTATAGGCGAGTGCCACCAAGCCTGGCTACTTTTTGTATTTTTAGTAGAGATGGGGTTTCGCCATGTTGGCCAGGCTGGTCTCGAACTCCTGACCTCAAGTGATCCACCTGCCTCAGCCTCCCAAAGTGCTGGGATTACAGGTGTGAGCCACTGCGCCCAACCTATTTTTTATTTTTGGGATAAGGGTCTCACTGTGTTGCCCAGGCTGGTCTTGAACTCCTGGGATCAAGTGATGCTCCCACTTCGCCTCCCAAAGTGCTGGGATTACAGGCATGAGTCACCATGTGCGGCCCATAATCATCATTATTATTTTTTTATTTTATTTTATTTTTTGAGACGGAGTCTTGCTTTGTCACCCAGGCTGGAGTGCAGTGGCACGATCTCGGCTCACTGCAACCGCTGCCTCATGGGTTCAAGTGATTCTTCTGCCTCAGCCTCCCAAGTAGCTGGGACTACAGGCGTGTGCCACCACACCTGGCTAATTTTTGTATTTTTAGTAGAGACAGGGTTTCACTATATTGGCTAGGCTGGTCTCAAACTCCTGACCTCGTGATCTGCCCGCATCGGCCTCCCAAAGTGCTGGGTTTACAGGCATGAGTCACCATGCCCGGCCAATCATTATTATTACTTAAAAATACAGGCAAGACCCTGTCTCCAAAAAAAATAAATAAATAATAAAAATTTAAAAAATCTGATCCTGGAGGTTTGTTTGGCCTATATGCTTCTTGCTCCTCCACCAGGTGCCTTCTCTGAGTCATGCCTGACACACGCTTTCAAGATGCTCACCTCCCTCTCTTTTTGTTCTTTGAGACAGGGTCTCACTCAGTTGCCCAGGCTGGCCCAGACAGCAGGGAGGCAAGTGAGAGGTGGGCTGGTGAGCCCCGATGTCACAACTGGGGACACCTTCCACACGCACGTGCTAGAGTGCTAGAGTACAAGTGGCACGATCTCGGCTCAGTGCATCCTTGACCTCCTGGGCACAAGCAATCCTTCCAGCACAGCTTCCTGAGTAGATGGGACTACAGGCATGTACCACTATATCCAGCTAATTTCTAGTGTTTTTTTTTTTTTTTTTTGTAGAAATGGAGTCTTGCTATGTTGCCTGGGCTGGTTTTGAACTCCTGGGCTCAAGCGATCCTCCCACCTCAGCCTCCCAATTACAGGTATGAGCCACTAAGCCCAGCCGTACCTCCCTCTTTAACTGAGAATAAATGACCTTTTAACCACTGTGTTAGTCTGCATAGGTTGCCATATCAAAATACCATAGACTGAGTGGCTTAAACAACAGAAATTTATTTCTTTACAGTTTTGGAGACTGGGAGTCCTAGTCAGTGTGCTGGCCTGTTTGATTTTTGGTGAGGGCTCTCTTCCTGGCTTACAGACCTCACTGTGTCCTCACATGGCCTTTCTTTGGTGCATGCAAGGGAGGAAACAGAGGAAGAGCAAGCTTGCTAGTGTCTCTTATAAGGACAGTAATCCTGTTGGATCAGGGCCCTACCCTTATGCCCTCATTTAACCTTAATTACAGGTACTTCTGTATAGGCCCTATCTTCAGATATAGTCACATTAGAGATTAGAGCTTCAGCATATGAATTTGGGGAGGACACAGACATTCAGTCTATAACATTCTACCCTTCATCCCCCCAAATTCACGACCTTATCACATACAAAATACATTCATTCTATCCAAATAGTTTTTTTTTTTTTTTGAGACGGAGTTTCTCCCTTGTTTCTTGTTGCCCAGGCTGGAGTGCAATGGCGCTATCTCGGCTCACCACAACCTCCACCTCCCAGGTTCAAGTGATTCTCCTGCCTCAGCCTCCTGAGTAACTGGGATTATAGGAATGCGCCACCATGTCCAGCTAATTTTGTATTTTTAGTAGAGATGGGGTTTCTCCATGTTGGTCAGGCTGGTCTCAAACTTCCAACCTCAGGTTATCCGCCAACCTTGGCCTCCCAAAGTGCTGGGATTATAGGAGTAAGCCACCATGCCTGGCCATTTTTTTTTTTTTCTTTTTTTGAACAGGGTCTCGCTCTGTTGCCCAGGCTGGAGTGCAGCGGCGTGATCTTGGCTCACTGCAACCTCCGCCTCCCAGGTTCAAGCAATTCTCCAGCATCACCGTCCGGAGAAGCTGGGATTACAGGCGCATGCCATCGCACCCAGCTAATTTTTGTATTTTTAGTAGAGACAGGGTTTCACCATGTTGGCTGGGCTGGTCTCAAACTCCTGACCTCAGGTGATCCACGCACCTTGGCCTCCGAAAGTGCTGGACTTAACAGCTGTAAGCCACCACACCTGGCCTTTTTTTTTTTTTTTTTTTTGAGACAGGGTCTCACTCTGTTGCCCAAGCTGGAGTGCAGTGGCACGATCACGGTTCACTGCAGCCTTAACTTCCTGGGCTCAGTTAGTTGCTCTGTTGCCCAGGCTGTAGTGCAACGGCGCAATCTTGGCTCACTGCAACCTCTGCCTCCCAGGTTCAAGCGATTCTCCTGCCTTAGCCTCCTGAGTAGCTAGGATTACAGGCGTGTGCCACCATGCCCAGCTAATTTTTTTTCTTTTCTTTTTTGAGAAGAGTCTTGCTCTGTCGCCCAGGCTGGGGTGCAGTGGCACAATCTTCGCTCACTACAACCTCTGCCTCCTGGATTCAAGCGATTTTCCTGTCTCAGCCTCCCGAGTAGCTGGGATTACAGGCATGTACCATCACGCCCAACTGACTTAATTTTTGTATTCTTAGTAGAGACAGTGTTTCACCATGTTGGCCAGGCTGGTCTTGACCTCGTTATCCGCCTGCCTCAGCCTCCCAAAGTGCTGGGATTACAGGCGTGAGCCACCGTGCCTGGCCCCCAGCTAATTTTTATATTTTTGGTAGAGATGGGGTTTCACCATGTTGGCCAGGCTGGTCTCGAACTCCTGACCTCAGGTGATCCACCCACCTCGGCCTCCCAAATGCTGAGATTATAGGCATGAGCCACCGTGCCCGGCCAGAAAGACAGTCTTGAATTGCCAATACCATCCTTCCCCCATTCCTGGGCAACAGCCATGTGGTGCAGAGAGAGAATTCATCCAACAAAATATTGAATCATAACCTGATTTAACCTTAATTAGCTCCTTATGGGCCCTGTCTCCAAATATAGGGTTTAGGGCTTCAACATATGAATGGGAGAGGGGGCACAAACGTCCAGGCCGTAACACCCTCCCTATAAGAATTTTCTGGCTGGGCGCAGTGGCTCATGCCTATATTCCCAGCACTGTGGGAGACTCAGGTGGGAGGATTTCTTGAGCCCAGGAGTTCGAGACCAGCCTGGGCAACATGGCAAAACCCCATCTCTAAAAAAAAAATAAAATACAAAAATTAGCCATGTGTGGTGGTCCCAGCTACTCAGGAGGCTGAGGGGGGAAGATCAGTTGAGCCCAGGAGATGGAGGCTGCAGTGAGCCAAGATCACACCACTGCACTCCATCCTGGGCAACAGAGCGAGACCCTATCTCAAAACAAAGAAATTTTTTTCCCAGAGGAGGGAAGGGTGTGGGCTGTTAGGTGCCTGTAGGGCTGGGGCCTTTGGTCTCCTGACGCATTGTTAATCAGGCTGCCTGATGCCCATCTCTGCGGTGTCACTGAACCCAGGATCCAGGCTGACTGCATGGCTTTGAATAACTTTCCTAGCCTCTTGGAGTACTATTTTCCTGCCTGATGGGGATGTTGTGAGATTTAAATAAATCTCAGTTATTTAGTGACAACACATTTTTTTGTAGAGCAAAGCTAGACATAGAGTGGCCCTTTTGTTTAAAAGCTCCTGTGACTCCTCTACCTTAGGGTGGAATCCACAGTCTGCCCCGTCTACAAAACCTCTATGGGCTGGGTGACACACGTGGCTCATGCCTGTCATCCCATCACTTTAGGAGGCTGAGGTGGGAGGATCACTTGAGACCAGGAGTTTAAGACCAGCCTGAGAGGCTGGGCGCGGTGGCTCACGCCTGTAATCCCAGCACTTTGGGAGGCCGAGGCGGGCAGATCACGAGCTCAGGAGATCAAGACCATCCTGGCTAACATGATGAAACCCCATCTCTACTAAAAATACAAAAAATTAGCCGGGTGTGGTGGCAGGCGCCTGTAGTCCCAACTACTCGGGAGGCTGAGGCAGGAGAATGGCGTGAACCTGGGAGGCGGAGCGTGCAGTGAGCCAAGATTGTGCCACTGCACTCCAGCCTGGGCAACAGAGCAAGACTCCGCCTCAAAAAAAAAAAAAAAAAAAGACCAGCCTGGGCAACATAGTGAGACCTTGTCTCTACAAAAAATTTTAAAGGTTAGCGAGGCATGGTGGCGCGCGCCTGTGATCTCAGCTGCTTGGGAGGCTGAAGTGGGAGGATCCCTTGAGCCCAGGAGTTTGAGGCTGCAGTGATCATGCCATTCTGGGCAACAGAGTGAAACCGTCTCAGAAAAGAAAATGAAAATACCTCTACATGTGGTCTTCCTGCTAATCTCTCTGACCTTCCTATTCACCACCCTCCCCACTGCCCACTCTGCTCCATCCTCACCAGCCTCCTTGCACATTCTCAGATACACCAACAAGGCATCTCCCTCAGGACCTTTGCACTCACTGTTCCCTCTGCCCGGAGCCCTTTCCCACCAGGTATCCACAGGGCTGGCTCCCTCACATCATACACGTAGATCTCCATTCAAATGTCAAAGTGAGCCAGGCGCAGTGGCTGATGCCTATAATTCCAGCACTTTGGGAGGCTGAGATGGGTGGATCACTTGAGGTCAGGCGTTTGAGACTAGCCTGGCCAACATGGTGAAACCCCATCTGTACTAAAAATACAAAAAGGCTGGGCACAGTGGCTCACGCCTGTAATCCCAGCACTTTGGGAGGCCAAGGTGGGCAGATCACGAGGTCAGGCGATCGAGACCATCCTGGCTAACACGGTGAAACCCCCTCTCTACTAAAAATACAAAAAATTAGCTAGGCATGGTGGCACGTGCCTGTAGTCCTAGCTACTCAGGAGGCTGAGGCAGAAGAATCGCTTGAACCCGGGAGGTGGAGGTTGCAGTGAGCCAAGATCGCGCCACTGCACTCCAGCCTGGGCGACAGAGCAGAACTCCCTCTCAAAAAAAAACAAAGCAAAAAGTAGCCGGGCATAGTGGCAAGTGCTTATAGTCCCAGCTACTTGGGAGGCTGAAGCACAAGAATCACTTGAAACCGGGAGGTGGAGGTTGGAGTGGGCTGAGATCACACCACTGCACTCCAGCCTGGGCAACAGAGTGAGTCTCCGGCTAAAAAAAAAAAAAAAAAAAAAGGTCAAAGTGGCCTCTCAGACTGCTCAGAATTATAGCACCCTGTCACTCTATCTTATTATTTTTTCTTAATTGCGTGTATCCTTCCTATATTATGTGATATATTTATTGTCGTGTGCCTCTCCACTAGAACATATGCTCTAAAAGAAAGCCTTTGTTGGCTGAGCACAGTGGCTAACGCCTGTAATCCTAGCACTCTGGGGGGCCAAAGCAGGCGGATCACCTGAGGTCAGGAGTTTGAAACCAGCCTGGCCAACATAATGAAACCCTGTCTCTACTAAAAATATGAAAATTATCTGGGTGCGTGGTAGTGCATGCCTGGATTCCCAGCTACTCCAGAGGCTGAGGCAGGAGAATCGCTTGAACCCAGGAGGTGGAGGTTGCAGTGAGCTGAGATTGCATCACTGCACTCCAGTCTGGGCAATAGAGCGAGACTCCATCTCAAAAAAAAAAAAAAATGGGGGGCCGGGCATAGTGACTCATGCCTGTCATCCCCGCACCTTGGGAGGCTGAGGCAGATGAATTACCTGAGGTCAGGTGTTCGAGACCAGCCTGGTCAACATGGCGAAACCTCGTCTCTACTAAAAATACAAAAATTAGCTGGGCATGATGGTGGGCTCCTGTAATCCCAGCTACTCGGGAGGCTGAGGCAAGAGGATCACTTGAACCCAGGAAACGGAGGTTGCAGTGAGCCGAGATGGCGCCATTGCACTCAGCCTGGGTAACAGGGGAGACTCTGTATCCAAAAAAAAAAAAAAAAAGAGTTTTCCCTTGAACTTGAGGGTGTCCATACGGTATTGTAGCTCAAGCCTGTGTGGGAAAGGGCAGGTGCCCTCTATGCCCCCTTGTCCCTTGAGGGTACCACACAATCTAGGAGTCCAGGGGGCCATGGGGGTGGAGGACACTGGCCTGAGGGTGGTCATCGCCCTCAGGGACACGCCTCCCGACATGGGGAAGGGAATGAGAGTGGGAGTGAGAGCACCCAATCACAGGACCCACGAAGTGGTGGTGGCTGACGGCAGCCTGGCTCTTGCTGACTGACTGATGGACTGTGCTCTCTTCCCCAGAGACTGATGGAGAGGCAGAAACGGAAGGCGGACATCGAGAAAGGGCTGCAGTTCATTCAGTAAGCCTGCATGCGGCAGGGGCTGGACGGCTGGGTGGGCAAGGGTGGGTTCTCTGAGAGCCATGCCCTCCCAGCGCTCCCTTTTCTTGCTGCTGAGCCTTTGCTGCCAAGGCTCCTGTGTGCGCTGGGGTGCGGGCAGGTGGGAGGAGCCAGGAAGGGGCTGGTGTGGCTGTGCGTGAACTCCACATGCACACATGCTCCCTGGCCCAGGTTACCCTTCAATCTTGTCCAGTAGGTAATTCTGCCCTCACCCTTCACATTTGCACTCCCTGTTAATTCTCTTGCATGACTGCACGAGTTTTCTGATAAATCAATGGTCCCTCTGTTACAATCTCAGTCTCCGTGCTGGGACCTTCACATCTGTGTCTTCTTTGAGACAGAATCTCTCCTTGTTGCCCTGGCTGGAGTGAATGGTGCTCCTGACCTCCTGGACTCAAGCAATCCTGCCTCCACCTCCCATGTAGCTGGGAGCATAGGTGCACACCACCATACCCAGCTAATTTTTTTTTTTTTTTTTTTTGAGACAGAGTCTTGCCCTGTTGCCCAGGCTGGAGTGCAGTGACATGATCTCGGCTTACTGCAACTTCTGCCTCCTGGGTTCAAGCGATTCTCCTGCCTCAGCCTCTCGAGTAGCTGGGATTTCAGGTGTGTGCCACCATGCCTGGCTAATTTTTGTATTTTTAGTAGAGATGGGGTTTTGCCATGTTGGCCAGGCTGCCTTGAACTCCTGGCCTCAGGTGATCCACCCACCTCGGCCTCCCAAAGTGCTGGGATTACAGGCGTGAGCCACCGCACTAGGCCATTTAAAAAATTTTTTTGTAGAGACGAGGTCTTGCTATGTTGCCCAGGCTGGTCTCAAACTCCTGGGCTCAAGTGATCCTCCTGCCTCAGCCTCCCAAAGTGCTGGGATTACAGACATGAGTCACTGTGCCTGGCCAATCCATCATCTTTTTAATCTTCTCAACAGCCCAGTAAAGTAGGTAGCCTTATTTCCATTTTGCAGATGAGAAAGTTGAGACTCACAGAGGTTAAGCAACTTGTTTAAGGTCATGGAGCTATTGAGGAATAGCATTCTAGCCCAAGCCTGGTTGACCACAAAACTCAAAACTCACATTCTTTTTTTTTTTTTTTTTTTTTTTTTTTTGAGACGGAGTCTCGCTCTGTCGCCCAGGCTGGAGTGCAGTGGCGGGATCTCGGCTCACTGCAAGCTCCGCCTCCCGGGTTCACGCCATTCTCCTGCCTCAGCCTCCCAAGTAGCTGGGACTACAGGCGCCCGCCACTACGCCCGGCTAATTTTTTGTATTTTTAGTAGAGACGGGGTTTCACCGTTTTAGCTGGGATGGTCTCGATCTCCTGACCTCGTGATCCGCCCGCCTCGGCCTCCCAAAGTGCTGGGATTACAGGCGTGAGCCACCGCGCCCGGCCAAAACTCACATTCTTTCTATTGTATGCCTCTGAGCACCCACATGCCACACTTTTTTTTTGTTTGTTTTTGAGATGGAGTCTCACTCTTGTCCAGGCTGGAACGCAGTGGTGCGATCTCGGCTCACTGCAACCTCCACCTCCCAGATTCAAGCAATTCTCCTGCCTCAGCCTCCTGAGTAGCTGGGATTACAGGCGCCTGCCACCACACCTAGCTAATTTTCGTATTTTTAGTAGAGACGGGGTTTCACCATGTTGGTCAGGTTGGTCTTGAACTCCTGACCTCGTGATCTGCCCTCCTCGGCCTCCCAAAGTGCTGGGATTATAGGTGTGAGCCACCGCATCCAGCCCGACATTTGTTTTTGTTTTATTTCTCTTTTTTTTTACACACAAAATATTTTGAGTAACCTTTTTCTCTTATTGCTCTTAAATAGATCCTCAGAGGCATAATTATCACAACACTAATGAAGCGTGGGCATCGTGGCCTCTCACTTGCACGAGCCCCTTCCGAGGCCCTGGAAGGCATGCACCCTTGCAATCCTGCGTTCATCATTTTGTGTTCTTTTTCTTAAATAGGGCTCCCCATAAAACTGGAATTCGCCTCTATGTTCCCTTATATACTCCCCACTTTTGTTCTCTCACACAGACCAGTAAAACACTCTTTGCCTTTTCTTTTCTTTGTGATGGGGTCTCCCTGTGTTGCCCAGGCAGGTCTCAATCTCCCGGGCTCAAGCAGTTTTCCTACCTCAGCCTCCCACGTAGCTGGGATTGCAGGCGCGTGCTGCTGTGCCCAGCGTACTCCCTTGCCTTTTCTCACCCATGTCACCGCAGACTGGGTCCCTTTTCACACGCCCTCGGTATCCATGCTGCTCTCACAGAGCGAGTGTTCATATTGACACAACACATTCTCCTTCCTCAGCGC
Source organism: Homo sapiens (assembly GCF_000001405.40). Classification (NCBI taxonomy): domain Eukaryota; kingdom Metazoa; phylum Chordata; class Mammalia; order Primates; family Hominidae; genus Homo; species Homo sapiens. The sequence goes on from NC_000022.11 coordinate 41,323,058, forward strand.
ACAACGCAGTCACTTTTCCTGGCCGCTTCTGGAGGGTGTCCTGCGCTGGGCTGATTTGATTAGGGGTTTTGGGTGCACCTAGAGCATGGCCCCAAGTTCAGCACCCCTTCCCTGGGCTGTTGTCCAACCCCACCTTGCTGCCATGGCTGGGAGTTTGCAAACCCTCCTCAGACTTGTTCATCAGAGCGGTTGCTAGCTCATCTCTCTTCATGGGCGGCAGGTCCTCTCCCATTTTGGGGAGTGAGGGTTTGATTTTGGGGAAGTGTTCCAATTTATTCAGAGGCCAGTCTGGTGAACAAGGTGACTCCGGCCACTGCTGTCTTCCATAAGAAGAGTTCTGTGTCCCCAGCCTCAGTCACTGATGTCTGTAGAGCTGGATTCCCAGCCCAGTTCTCCCATTTCCCCTACGGGGTCATTGTGAAGGTTAAGGGACCAGGTGGTGCTTGGGGTAAATGTTCACTCTCGTCCCCTCCTTCTCCTTTCCAAAGGGGCGTTCTAGGAAGGCCCAGCTACAAGGCAGCCTCCCCGAAGCCGTCTGTTGGCCTCCTAAGGCTTTGCAGGAAGCACAGTGGGACTCACTGCTTTTCACATCAGTCCCGCTATTTTTGCCCCACTCCTCCTACGCTGTGTTGGTGCACGTGTGCTTCATGTGCTTAGCACGTCCTGAGAGCCCTAAGTGAATTGGGACAGGTGGGTTGGCCCCAGCTTGCAGAGGACCTTAAGATGTCTACGGCCGGGCGCGGTGGCTCATGCCTGTAATCCCAGCACTTTGGGAGGCCAAGGCAGGCGGATCATGAGGTCAGGAGATCCCGACCATCCCGGCTAACATGGTGAAACCCTGTCTCTACTAAAAATACAAAAAATTAGCCAGGCGTGGTGGCGGGCGCTTGTAGTCCCAGCTACTCTGGAGGCTGAGGCAGGAGAATGGCGTGAACCCGGGAGGTGGAGGTTGCAGTGAGCCGAGATTGGGCCACTGCACTCCAGCCTGGGCGACACAGCGAGACTCTGTCTGGAAAAAAAAAAAGATGTCTTAGGACCGCATGACCTATGAAAGGTAGAGTTGATGCTGGAAGAGGGTAGGCTGGAGGCAGGAGGCCAGGAAGGTAGTGATGGGGTCTTTAGTGGGGGCAACAGAGGAGACAGACACTGCAGCAGTATGGGGAGGGAGGGCAGGTCTGGGGCCCAGACAGTGGGGAGGCAAGTGAGAGGTGGGCTGGTGAGCCCCGATGTCACAACTGGGGACACCTTCCACACGCATGTGCATACACAGCCCTCCTGGCGTTGCGCCTCTGCCCACCTCTCACGCACTAGCCTAGGCCACTCTTTCCTGCCCAGGTGCTGGCAGCATCTCCAGGCAACGGAAAGATCTCCCCAGCCCTGCATCCGATGCCTTCCTGCCAAGCAGCCTTGGGCGAGTCCTTGCGCCACTCTGAGCGTCTGTTTTTCCCTCTGTGGAATGAAGGACTGGGAGACAAAGCCCAGCTTCCCTTCCAGCCTGGCCATTGAGCCCATTGGAGAGATGAACCTCAGTTCTCCTGGGCTGATGCCCTCTTTCATACTGAGGGAGCATTAGCCACAGGAGGGAGCAGGTGCCCAGACCCCACCTAGAATGATTTGTTGAGTCCAGCATGAGGGACTGACAGGCTCAGTGAAGACCTGGCATTGGGTGGGGCGTGTGTTATGTGGGATTGGGCAGGGGAGGGGCCTGAGGTGGACTCCCGGTGCCTCAGTGTCTGTGGACCTGTGGTCTCGGATTTGGTTTGATGGGGCGTGGTCCTTCCCAAGGCCTGTTCTAGGTGTTAATTCCCTGACAACACTCATACTTCCTGCCTTTTCCTGCCTGCTCCTGTCCCTGGCACTCCTGCTGCAGCAGCCCCTGCACCATCCTCTCCTCCTGGCCTTCAGCTGCAGCTGGAGCCTTCCCCCGCTCTGCCTTGGCCAGAGTCTGATTTTCCTCTTGTCCTTTTCCAGTCCTGGGGGCCTCCTAGGCCCAAGTGTGGCTCCTCCCTCCTTCCCCTCATGTAACTGAGAAAGGGCTTGGAATGCCTGCTTTCCTTTAGGAGAGGGCTGGTTTTTTCAGCAGAGGATGGCTGTTTTTTTCAGCAGCAGGGACTGGGGCTAGGTCCAGGGCCAGAGGTAGAGCTGGAACTGAGCTGGGCTAGGACTGGCTTGGGGCTGGGGCTGTCTGGGTTGGGGCTGGAGCTGGGGCTGTGGCTGGAAGTGGGGCTGGAACTGGGGCCAGGCTGGAGGTGGGGCTGGGGTCAGTCTGCTCTTTCTCAACACCTGTACCTGGCAAAACCTGGCTGTCTGGCCCCAAGGAACATGCAGGTCCTTCCATCAGAACTGGAAGGCCTGCATGGCAATGATTTAGGAGAAGAAAACCGCAGTCTGTTCACCCTAGTCCACAAGGTGATGGCTGAGGTCTGAGTTGGAGGAGTAGCTCTGGACCTCCATGAAGCTGGGACCGCCGGGCTCACCCAGGCCTCGTGTTTTCTTTTCCTGATAGGTCGACACTACCCCTAAAGCAAGAAGAATATGAGGTGAGTGTCAGCTGCCAGGCTGAGCAAAGGTGAAGGGCGGAGATGTGCAGGGGAGAGGCGTGGGCCGGGTGCCAGAGCTGGGGCCAGAGGTCATGAGCCCCCTACACACCTTGCCCCCAACAGGCCTTTCTGCTCAAGCTGGTGCAGAATCTGTTTGCTGAGGGCAATGATCTGTTCCGGGAGAAGGACTATAAGCAGGCTCTGGTGCAGTACATGGAAGGGCTGAACGTGGCCGACTACGCTGCCTCTGACCAGGTGGCCCTGCCCCGGGAGCTGCTGTGCAAGCTGCATGTCAATAGGGCCGCCTGCTACTTCACCATGGTGAGCCTGGCACCCTCTTTTCTCTCCTCCTCTGCTGCCCTGATCCCCTGGATGCCCAGTCGAGCCAGGCCCATACCCCAGTGAGCCTGTAGACCAGGGCCAGCCTCCTCCCAGCCTGCTTTCAGAATTTCATTGTCTGTTCTCGTGGCTCTTAATCTCAACTGTACAACATGCTCAGCTGGAGAGCTTTTAAAAGTACGGATGCATAATAAAAAGTTTTTAAAAAAAATGATACTGATGCCCTAGCCCTAGCCCTGCCCTAGATGAAGTAAGTTAGAATCTTGGGGTGACCCTGGGCCTTGGTGGGAGTCTGACTTCTCCTGCTCCTCCCTCCCGGCCCCACTGTTTCTTCCATAGCCTCAGCCTCCTCACTGTTCCTTCCATAGCCTCAGCCTCCTCACTGTTCCTCCCATAGCCTCAGCCTCCTCACTGTTCCTCCCATAGCCTCAGCCTCCTCACTGTTTCTTCCGTAGCCTCCTCACTGTTCCTCCCATAGCCTCAGCCTCCTCACTGTTTCTTCCATAGCCTCCTCACTGTTTCTTCCATAGCCTCCTCACTGTTCCTCCCATAGTCTCAGCCTCCTCACTGTTCCTCCCATAGCCTCAGCCTCCTCACTGTTCCTCCCATAGCCTCAGCCTCCTCACTGTTTCTCCCATAGCCTCAGCCTCCTGTTTCTTTGCGGACTTCAGTGCCTTCCTCCTCCTCCTCCTCTCCTCCTTAGAGCTGCAGCCTCCTCCTCTTCCCTGTCCTGTGCACCCACTGACTCAGGTTCATGAGATCCTGTGGGAGGCTCTGCTGCAGGCTCTCTAGAGGACCCCATGACACCTCTGCCATCCAGCGAACTCTTCTGGATAAATGGCTCCTGGATGCCTCAGGGTTAACCCTTGTACACTCTGCACACAGAGCTGCCTTCATGGTCTCACTGCCTCTTAGAGATGCCATTGTTACTCTCAGCTCATCATGTTCCCAACCAAAGGCAGAGATGGAAATAGACGTGCTTGAGTGGCCGGGCTCATGGTTGTAGATCTTCAGGCCCTTCCCTGCAATATCCTGCCCGTGCCCACTGCAGCCCCATCAGCTGGACACACAGACACCCTTGATCAGAGTCTGGACACCAGAGTGCTTCCTTCTCTCCTGGAGCCTCGAGCCCTGTCCCTGACCCAAGACTTCAGCTCCTCTGTCTCTGCCAGGAAGGGAAGCTGGTGTTCCTTCCTAGGCAGGGGCAGGAGGCCTGGGGGAGGGAGGGTAACAGGTGTTGACCAGTGACCACATGCTCCTCTCTGGCAGGGCCTGTATGAGAAGGCGCTGGAGGACAGCGAGAAGGCGCTGGGCCTGGACAGTGAGAGTATCCGGGCGTTGTTCCGCAAGGCACGCGCTCTCAATGAACTGGGACGCCACAAGGAGGCCTACGAGTGCAGCAGCCGGTGTTCCCTCGCCCTGCCCCACGTGAGTGTGGCTCTGCAGCCACGCCGGTGCCTGCTCAGAGGCCAGGCTTCTGACCTTCCGGCCCTCACTTGGGCCCAGCCACCACATCCTTCTGTGTCTCACTTCCTCCCCTGTGACATGGCCATGCAGATCCTGATGTTAACACTAGCTCCCATTCTCTGAGCGCTGACTGGGTGCCAGGCACTGCTAGGATGCATTGTGTGTATTAACTCACCTAATACTGGCAATAACCCTAAGAGGCAGATACTGTGATTATTCTCATTTTAAAGATGATGAGGCCAGACACAGTGGCTCACGCCTGTAATCTCAGCACTTTCGGAGGCTGAGGCAGGCGGATCACCTGAGGTCAGGAGTTTGAGACCAGCCTGGCCAACATGGCAAAACCCCATCTCTACAAAAAATACAAAATTTAGCCGGGCATGATGGCGTGTGCCTGTTTTGCTAATTCTGTTTAGTTCACAATTAAGACCCTTTCTTGGCCAGACACAGTGGCTCATGCCTGTAATCCCAGCACTGTGGGAGGCCAAGGCGGGAGGATCACTTGAGCTCAGGAGTTTGCAACTAGCCTGAGCAACATAGCAAGACCCTGTTTCAACAAAAAATTAAAAAAAAATTAGCTGGGCATGATGGCACGCACCTGAGATCCCAGCTACTCAGGAGGCTGAGGTGGGAGGATCACTTGAGCCCAGGAGGTGGAGGTTGCAGTGAGCTGTGATTGCACCATTGCACTTCAGCCTGAGTTTGACAAAGCAAGAGCTTGTCTATTAAAAAAAAAAAAAGCCTTTCTTTATGACCATGGTCCCCTGACCCATATAGCATTTTAGAGTGTCCACAACAGATCCACACCTAGGTCTCACTGGTACTTACTCATGAGGAGGACAGGGCAGGTTTCATCCGCACCACAGCGGATAGAAAGGAGCTGGGACCCAGTTAGGGTTAGTAAATGGCCAGGGAAAGTAACTAAGGGCTCCTGGCTCTGCTTTAGGGAACTCTCTCTTTTCCCAATCTTTGTTGGGCAAATACTGACCGAGCTCCTGCTCCATGCTGGGCACTGGGGACCAGAGATGACTCCGACCCAGGCCCTGGCCTCTAGGAGATTGTCAGTGAGGTAGGAGGTAGACACGTGCACAGATGTCACAGTGTCTTCCTTGCCCTTTTGTGCCTGGACCCCAGTTTGTAGCCACCTGTTTCTTTGTTCACTGACTGTTCTCCCCCTTTAGATTGGAATCTCCATGAGGCCTGGGCCCATCTGCCCTGTTCGCTGGGGTATCCTTAGCCCCTCACTCTTGCTTGGCACGTAGTGTATGTTCTGTATTACAGCCTTGGAAGGGAAGGAAGGATGGTTGCTGTTTAGTGATCACTAAGTGTGGTCCAGGCACTGTTACAAGCTTTCTATGCCCTGCCTCCTTGGAGCCTTACAACCCTGTGCCTCATGTATGTATCGTCACTTGCTGGGGGTTGCAGGAGATTGTTTGGCGATAGAAACAAGTTGTAGAACTATATAATGTGACCTCATTCCTGTTTAAAAAAAGAAAGAGATGGCCGGGCACAGTGGCTCACGCCTGTAATCCCAACACTTTGGGAGGCCGAGGCGGGTGGATCACTTGAGGTCAGGAGTTCAAGACCAGCCTGGCCAACATGGTGAAACCCTGTCTCTACTAAAATACAAAAAAAAAAAAAAAAAAAAAAAAATTAGCTGGGCATGGTGGCACATGCCTGTAATCCCAGCTACGCGAAGGCTGAGGCAGGAGAATCTCTTGAACTCAGGAGGCAAAGGTTGTAGTGAGCTGAGATCGCGCCACTGCACTCCACCCTGGGTGACTGAGCAAGACTCCATCTCAAAAAATCAAAAAGAAAGAGACAATCCCCAAATCCCCACAAAACAAAACTAAGCTTTTTTTTTTTTTTTTTTGAGACAGGGTCTTGCTCTGTCGTCCAGGCTGGAGTGCAGCGGCGCAGTCTTGGCTCACTGCAACCACTGCCTCCTGAGTTCAAGCGATTCTCCTGCCTCAGCCTCCCAGGTAGCTGGGATTACAGGCACCCACCACCATGCCCGGCTAATTTTTCTATTTTTGGTAGAGATGGGGTTTCACCATGTTGGCCAGGCTGGTCTTGAACTCCTGACCTCAGGTGATCCGCCCACCTCTGCCTCCCAAAGTGCTGGGATTACAGGCATGAGCCACTGTGCCCAGCCAGAAGTAAGCATTCTTTATAGGTCTGCATGCATGCATTCCTAGAAAAGAGCCCTAAGGAAACACATCAGCCCAGCAGAGTGTGATTCCCTCCTGGAGAAGCCTAGGGTGAAGGGGGAGATCCAGGGAGCACTTGCTGTCCCTGTAACATTCTTCCCTTCTACAGTGACATTGTCACTTTTGCTGAATTTTAGAAATAAAAAGATTATATTAAAATAAAAACAAAATGATTCATTTTCCATCCCCAAATAAAAGGAAAAACAGAAGCATGGGATGGTGGTCCTGGTGCCACCACTCACTAGCTGTGTGACTTGGACAAGCCAGGGACACCTCCTGGGGCCTCACTTTCTCATCTATAACATGGGGTGACTATGACCTCCCTCCGTAGGGCTGCACAGGTGTCCAGGAGCACAGCTTTGTGAGCCCGGGCAGACTGACCCACCGCCCTGTGTCTTGTCCTCTGCAGGATGAAAGCGTGACTCAGCTTGGTCAGGAGCTGGCCCAGAAACTGGGGCTGCGAGTTCGCAAGGCGTATAAGAGGCCCCAGGTAGGTGGGTTCGGGACCCTGGGAGGGTCGGTGTGGACGTGAGGAGGTCTGAAGGGAGGGACCAGGCTCCGTGGGGAAGGTGGGTGAGGGTGGCCAGGGCTGGGTTAGGACAGAGGGGAGTGACAGCAGGTGATCTTCCTTGTCTGTTGGCTGAAAGCCCTGGAACCTTTCGGAAAAGGAGAGAGCAGCCACCGCTTCTAGCTCACTTTAGACTCCAACTGTTGAAAACCACTCCCTCCCCTGTGCTGGCTGACTTTAGTCACCTGGAGGTGGCCTGAGTTGACACTGGCGTCCTTCAGCATTATGTTCTCAACACCCATATGGTGCAAATTTGAAGTGTTGGTATCTGTTTGGCTGGTTCAGTTCCACATAGATTCATTTGGTACCTGCCGAGGGCCAGGAGGCTGCACAAGGGAAACTCGTGACTCGAGTCTCTGCTGTGACCTTGAGCAAGTTAGTTCATCTCTTTCCACCTTGGTTTCCTCATCTGGACGATGGAGATAATTTATGCCCACCCCAGAGGGCTCATGGGAGGATTAAAAAGAGAGAATGGATGGGCTGGACGCAGTGCCTCATGCCTGTAATCCCAGCACGTTGGGAGGCCAAGGCGGGCAGATCACCTGAGGTCAGGAGTTTGAGACCAGCCTGATCAACATGTAGAAACCCCATCTCTACTAAAAATACAAAAATTAGCTTGGGGTGGTGGCACATGCCTGTAATCCCAGCTACTCGGGAGGCTGAGGCAGGAGAATCACTTTTTTTTTTTTTTTTTTTTGAGACGGACTCTCGCTCTGTCACCCAGGCTGTAGTGCTGGAGTGCAGTGGCGCGATCTCAGCTCACTGCAAGCTCCGCCTCCCGGGTTCACGCCATTCTTCTGCCTCGGCCTCTCCGAGTAGCTGGGATTACAGGCGCCCGCCACCACGCCCGGCTAATTTTTTATATTTTTAGTAGAGATGGGGTTTCACCGTGGTCTCGATCTCCTGACCTCGTGATCCGCCCGCCTCAGCCTCCCAAAGTGCTGGGATTACAAGCGTGAGCCACCGCGCCCAGCTGAGAATCACTTGAACCCGGGAGGCGGAGGTTGCGGTGAGCCAAGATCGCACCATTGCACTCCAGCCTGGGCAACGAGCGAAACTCTGTCTCAAAAAAAATAAATAAATAAAAGGCCGGGCGCGGTGGCTCATGCCTGTAATCCCAGCACTTTGGGAGGCCGCGGTGGGAGGATCACGAGGTCAGGAGATCGAGACCAGACCATCCTGGCTAACGCAGTGAAAGCCTGTCTCTACTAAAAATACGAAAAAATTAGCGGGGGTGGTAGCGAGCGCCTGTAGTCCCAGCTACTCTGAAGGCTGAGGCAGGAGAATGGTGTGAACCCAGGAGGCGGGACTTGCAGTGAGCAGAGATCGTGCCACTGCACTCCAGCCTGGGCAACAGAGCGAGACTCTGCCTCAAAAAAAAAAAAAAAAAAAAAGAGAGAGCAAATGGGCCGGGTGCAGTGGTTCATGCCTATAATCGTAGTACTTTGGGAGGCCGAGGTGGGCAGGTTGCTTGAGCTCAGGAGTTCAAGACCAGCCTGGGCAACATGGCGAAACCGTATCTCTACAAAAAGTACAAAAATTAGCCTGGTGTGGTGGTGCATGCCTGTAGTCTCAGCTACTTGGGAGGCTGAGGTGGGAGGATCACATGAACCCCAGAGGTCAAGGCTGCAGAGAGCCGAGATTGCATCCAGCCTAGGGGACAAAGTGAGACTCTGTCTCAGAAAAAATTTAAAAATTAACAAATAAAAAAATAGAATGTTTGAGATGGTGCCTAGCATGGTGCCTGACACACAGTAGAGGTGTGCAGGGAGGTCCTCTGCCCAGGTCAAGGTTGGAAGAAGAAAACCCCAGAATCTGACCCAGAGAGACAGAGCAGTTGATTTCCGGCAGGCCTGGGGACAGGGACTCTCGGGGGCGCTGCAGACCCCAGCTGCTTGTGTCAGGGCCTCTTTGCTGCCCCAGCTAAGGGGACCTTGAGCATCTTTTCAGAATCTTTACCTCTGCCCACCTCTCTCCAATCTCTGGCAGGAATTGGAAACCTTTTCTCTGCTCAGTAACGGCACTGCGGCTGGCGTGGCAGATCAGGTAGGATCGGGGCTGAACCAACCTGTCTCAGTTTATCCATTATGAGAGGTTTGGATTCACTCTCTCCGGGTATAAATGACCTCAGGCAGTGGGTCCAGGGGCCTCCGCCTCCCTAGGAGGTACCTCCCGTGTCCACGGGGGCAGGATGTGGGGACAGGCCATGGCTGCTGTTGGCAGGGAGTGGTCATTGCCGGGGAGCCGCCGGGGGCAGCCTCACTCTTGAACCCTGGCCAGGACACAGTCTGGGCAGCCTGGTCCCACACGCCTTCCTTCTGCCTCCTGCCCCACATTTCCTGCTGTGTTGCCTTTTTTCTCACCAGCCTTTCTGCAGGTTCAGGCCCCTGGGCCTCAAATGTCTTCCTCTTCCCCACCCTGCCTTTCTCTGTCTTTTCGCTTTTCAAAGCCCAGCTCAAGGGCATGCCCCTGCCGAAACCCATCCTGCTCTCCCTGGCTCAGTGACTCTGCTTGGGAGGGGCAGCCGAGACTGAGGACTCTGACAAGGAAGAGCCCAACTGGGCCCTGCAGCCTTGGGCAGGTCCTTCAGTTTCTGCATTCTGAAATGCGGACCATCCCTCAACGGGAACAAGGGAGGAAAGTGCTTGATAACCTGGCACACACGACCCAGCAGGAAATGCAGTGGGCAGTCACTGTGGATAGCTGCTGTGCTGTCCTGAGTTGGGGACTCCTCCCAAGGGCCAAGACACTTGTGCACCCCAGTCAGGCCTGGCTCATCCCAGGGGGGTGAGGCAGGGCCTGGCACACGACTGAGACCCCTGCCCGCTGCTCAGGTAGACTTTGAGGCTTTCTGGAAAGTGAGAGATGGGCTATAAGAGCACTGATGGAGCCTGGGGTCCTGCCACCTTGTACATTAAGGGAAACTGAGGCACAGAGTGGGGAGGGGACGGGGCCAGTGTCACACAGCGAGGCAGCAGCAGGCCTCCCTCCTCCAGAGCTTTGCAGCACTTTCTTTCATTCATTCCATAAGGAGGCCCACAAAACACTCTCGGCCCTGGGCCTGAGAGAGCTGCGTCCTTGCCCTCAGGGACCTCCCAGCCTGCAAAGTAGGCAGTTGATGATCTGCCTTTGTAGCACTCATGGTTTATAATCAGAAATTATAGGTCAGGCATGGTGGCTCATGCCTGTAATCCCAGCAATTTGGGAGGCCGAGGTGGGTGATCACTTAATTTCGGGAGTTAAAGACCAGCCTGGCCAACATAATGAAACCCCATCCCTGCCAAAAATACAAAAATTAGCCGGGCATGGTGGCATGTGCCTGTAGTTCCAGCTACTTGGGAGGCTGAGGCAGGAGAATCACTTGAACCCAGGAGGCACAGTTTGCAGTGAGCCGAGATCGCGCCATTACACTCCAGCCTGAGAGACAGAATGAGACTCCATCTGAAAAATAAAAGAAATTATTAGGCCTGGCACATACCAGGTGCTCCAACGAGAAAACATTAAATGAATGAAAGGTGATTTGTCTAAGTTTACCCAGTATGGGCCAAGCACTGAGCTTGGGGTTGGGTATGTGATAAACAAAACAAATCTGTTTCCTGCCCTCAAAGAGCTCACAGTCTAGGATGGACATTAGGACATTAGGCAGATCATTTCTGGTTTCAAACTGTGATGAGGGCTGTGAAGGCAGAGTATGGGGAGACCTGGGCCATTGAGACTGGGAGCCCTGATTTAGACAGGATTCAGTGACATTTAAGCTGAGACCGGAAGGTTGAAGAGTTAGGGGCAGGGTGTGCAGGTGAAACAGCATTCCAGACCAGGTGGAAGGTATGTGCAAAGGCCCTGAGGCCTGGAGGAGCTCAGAGTGTGGGAGGAACCAACACCAAGGCAGAGCTGGGGGTCCTGGAACAGGAGATAGAAGCCAGACCGCTTGACCCCTGATAAGAAGCTCAGTCTTAGCATTGGGAAGGCATTGAGGGGAGGCAGCATTAATTCTATTCATTTATTCGGAAGGTATTTATTGAGCACTGCTTTGTACCCAGTGTCAGTTCAGACACTGGGAATAGAGCACCAAGGTAGCGTCTCATCACAGCAAGTGGAGCTGGGCTGGGCAGGCACAGCAGATGCTCAAAAAATATTTGTTGAATGATTGAATGACTGCGGCCAGGGGGCCACAGCAAATATGGGCTGAATGCCCAGCTCTCCAGGGCCAAGGCCGCAAAGCCTTGCTTAGTCTGCAGCCAGATGACCACAGATGGTGCCATACCTGGCACCAGGCCCCCCCCAGTCCCTGCCAGGCTGTTCACCCATCCCTGCAATCTTGCTGGGCTCCTCCTGCACATTCATAGAGGTCAGGAGGGCATGGTTAGGGAGGGCTCTAAGAAGCCCACAGTGGAGAGGACCAGTTCAGACCCTGCCTCATGAACTCAGTTTGCCCAACATGGTACAGCACACATGTGAGCACACACATGTGCACATGCACAAACGGAGTGCCCTAGGACACATGAGGGCAGGGTGGTGTCCCAGCCAGAGCCCCTGGCCTTCCGTGAGTTGTGCACAGACACAAGTAAATGCAGGCTGCAGGGGTCCCTGTAGGTTCTCCACCATGAGCACCATATTCATTCAGCCGGCTGGTCATTTCACATGTGCACCTGGAAGTGGGGATGGACCAGGCTGTGCCCACAGGGAGCTTCTTATGACCTAGGAGCCAGGCAGAGGCCCTGCAAGACAGTGTCTGTGCAAGAGCTGTCCCTGGCATCGTGGGGAACAAGATGCAAGGAGGGCTGTGAGTTCCAGGAACAGAGAGCCCAAGGCAGCCTTGGTTGGAAAGGGCTTCAGCGAGCCAGGGAAGCAAGACTAAGAGGAAGGGAGAGCTGGAGAGGGGGAAATGGCACTCATGACCAGGAGCACAGCCTGCACAAAGGCTAAGCAGCAAAAGAGACAGACACCCCAGATCACAAGACCAGTTCCTCCTATGGGGCTCGGAATAGCCTGGGCTCTGCAGTGGAACGTGCTTTGGATCAGATCCTGAGCACGCTCCTTATCTACGCAGGCCACTCCACCCCTCAGAGCCTTGGCTTCCTTCTCTTTTGCAGGGGTCCGGTACCTGCCATTTTGTGGGGGTTATAGAATTACAATGGGTCAATGTGAAAGCTCCCAGCAGGGCGTCTGCAGAAGAGATAGAGCTCCATAGACCTTTGTTGCCAAACAGATGTCACCAGAAGGAGTGCCATGCAGAAGGGCAGGAACAGTGAGCCTGGCAGGCTGGGGTGATGGCATGGGCAGGAGGGCTGAGAAGGTGACTTTGTCCTGCGTGGCCTGGGAGCCATGGGCAGGATCTAGCAGGGAGAATCACCGCTTTCCCTAGAGATGTTCATCTGGTACCTCTCTTTCCCTCAAAGACTTTATGTACTTACCATGAGGATAGCAGCTCTGTGATCCAGCGTGGCGGCCTTGGTTTGGCAGCCAATCTATGGTGGGCAGACACTCCGGAGACTGAAGTGCACACATTTGCCATGTGCTCTATGGCAGGCTCAGGTGTGGGAAGGAGGTGCAGGGTGTTGGTGCAGGTATGGATGGGGGAGTGTACAGTTCCAGGGGACAGAGTCAGGACAGGCTCTTGGGTCAGACAGCCCTGCTCTGATCTGTGCATAGCAGCTTTCTGGGCTGACATTTCCATGCCGTGGGATGATACCTCGCAGGGCGCCTGGACCGAGGGCTAAACCCCACAGTGGGTGTGAGATGCTGGCCTGGGCTGGCGTGAGGCAGGATGCTGGATGAGTCTAGCTGCTGGTCCTGTGGCTGCTGGTCCTGGGAAAGGAAGGCTAGTGGTGGAGTCTGGTCCTCCATCCGGCTCTCCGTGGGGACACAGAAAGGGTGGGGCCACCCAGGGCCTCACCAGGGAAGCAGGACTTGAGCTGGACTGTGAAGGACTCAGAGAAAAAGGGGAGGGTGTTCAGGACAGGGAAGGATGCACCACAGCCTGGAGGTTGGAGTGTGGGAACTGTTGAACGAAACAGCAGCTCTCCCAGCCCAACTTCCAGAAACTGTGCATCTAATCAACACAGGCCGGGCACGGTGGCTCACGCCAGTAATCCCAGCACATTGGGAGGCCAAGGCGGGTGGATCATTTGAAGTCAGGAGTTTGAGATCAACCTGGCTAACATGGTGAAACCCCATCTCTACTAAAAAATTCAAAAATTAGCTGGGCGCGGTGGCTCACACCTATAATCCCAGCACTCTGGGAGGCCGAGGCGGGTGGATCACGAGGTCAGGATATCGAGACCATCCTGGCTAACACGGTGAAACCCCATCTCTACTAAAAATACAAAAAATTAGCCAGGCGTGGTGGCGGGTGCCTGTAGTCCCAGCTAGTCTGGAGGCTGAGGCAGGAGAATGGCATGAACCCAGGAGGCGGAGCTTACAGTGAGCTGAGATCGTGCCACTGCACTCCAGCCTGGGCTACAGAGTGAGACTCCATCTCAAAGAAAAAAAATATATATATATATTCAAAAATTAGCTGGGCATGGTGGCATGCTTCTGTAATCCCAGCTACTCAGGAGGCCGAGATTAGAGAATCACTTGAATGTGGGAGTCGGAGGTTGTAGTGAGCTGAGATCACACCATTGCACTGCAGCCTGGGTGACCAAACGAGACTCCATCTCAAAAAAAAAAAGTTGGGTGTGGTGGCTCAGGCCTGTAATCCCAGCACTTTGGGCGGTTGAGGGAGGTGGATCACCTAAGGTCCGGAATTCAAGACCAGCCTGACCAACATGGAGAAACCCCATCTCTACTAAAAATACAAAAATTAGCCAGGCATGGTGGCGCATGCCTGTAATCCCAGCTACTTGGGAGGCTGAGGCAGGAGAATCGCTTGAACCTGGGAGGCAGAGGTTTCGGTAAGCCAAGATCGCACCATTGCACTCCAGCCTGGGCAACAAGAGCAAATCTCCATCTCAAAAAAGAATAAATAAAAATACAAAATAAAAATACAAAAAAGTTAGTCAGGCGTGGTGACGGGTGCCTGTAATTCCAGCTACTCGGGAGGCTGAGGCAGGAGAATTGCTTGAACCCGGGAGGTAGAGGTTGCAGTGAGCCAAGATCATGCCACTGCACTCCAGCTTAGGGAACAGAGTGAGACTCTGTCTCAAAAAAAAAAAACAAACCCAAAACACAAAGCACTTCCTGTGTGCCAGGCCCCGTTCTAAGCACTTCACACATAGCAAGTCATTTCATCCTGATAGCCTTCCCCAGCGGTGAGTGAAGCAGGCCCAGAGTGGATGGGGAACTTTGCCCAGGTTGTACAGCCTGCTCAGGCCCAGCTTTCCTCCAGCAGGAAGGCAGTGGGATCCCACCTGGGTTTATGCCCTTCTCTGCTTCCTGGGGGGCCTGGGGCTACCGTGGGAGAGGAGAGCCTGGGGACTCAGGGAGGGGGCACTTTTGTCTTTGAACTGCAGGCCATCTGTGGTGCTGTGGGGGGAGGCTTGCTAAGACCCTTGCCACCTTCACCGGGGTGAGGACCCTGCCCTGTGGTGGGTGGAACCAAGACTCAGAGGTTCTCTCCCTGCCCTCAACCACCCCTCCCTAGAGGGACAGCTGTGGGGATCCACTGAGCCCATGCCCCCACCTGCTGGCCCATCCAGCCCCTTGCTGGGCACCACAGGGGTGAGGACCCAGCACGTGTGAGGGCTTTTTTTTTTTTTTTTTGAGGTAGAGTCTCGCTCTGTTGCCCAGGCTGGAGTATAGTGGCATGATCTCGGCTCACTGCAACATCCACCTCCTGGGTTCAAACCATTCTCCTGCCTCAGCCTCCCAAGTAGCTGGGGTTACAGGCTCCTGCCACCATGCCCGACTAATTTTTGTATTTTTAGTAGAGATGAGGTTTCACCATGTTGGCCATGCTGGTCTTGAATTTCTGACCTCAGGTGATCCACCCACCTCAGCCTCCCCAAGTGCTGGGATTATAGGCATAAGCCACCACGCCTGGCCGCATGTGAGGGCTTTAATCTCCCCTGGCACTCTAAGTGCTCCTCGGTGCTGGGTCAACAGCATAGTCACGTGGGGAGGGGCTGGTGCTGGGTGCTGGGATCGGGGCCTTCCCAGCCACAGCGCCACTGTGGCCCTCTCCCCACAGGGAACTTCTAATGGATTGGGGTCCATAGATGACATCGAAACAGGTAATGTCCCCGATACGAGGGAACAAGTGGAAATTGGGGCCCCGAGAGGTCAGGGGAGTCGAGCCCCCTCCCCATCCCAGCCCTGTAGATGGGAGGGCCTCCGAGGGGTTCCCCACCCTGGTACTCCCTGAGGCATGGGAGAAAACAGTGGGTTGAGAGCTACAGACCCACTCAAGGAGGGGAGGGCATCTCTAGTCTGGCAGAGAGGGGTGCTGCCTCTTAGCTAGGTGCAACAGTCCCATGGCCTTCACTCCTGGCTGCCTGCACACCCCCACCTCTTCCAAAGCCCTTTCCCCTCCTCTTCCTCATTGGCTTCCAGAAAAGGTTGCCTTTTAAGAGTGTCCCCTGGAGAGGGCATTGCTTACCCCAGAAGAAGGAGGCAGCAGTGGTGGACATTTAGGCATTGAGCCTGGGCCAAGGATTGACATCATAGGACTGAGGGCCCCTCCCTGCTCTGGGGCTGTGGCCTTCCTTGACCACCCCCTGAGCATCTGCCAGTGGGATCAGCCGATGGGGAAGGCAGGGCTCCTGGCAAGAGCTGAAAGAAGAAGGGAAAGTGTTGGATGAGCATCACGGGGCCCGGGACGCCTCCTCCACCCTCACCAAGCAGTGCTCCCCTTCGGCTCTTGCCCACCCCATCCGCAGACTGCTACGTGGACCCTCGAGGCTCCCCAGCCCTTCTCCCCTCCACGCCCACGATGCCCCTGTTCCCTCACGTTCTGGACCTGCTGGCCCCCCTGGACAGCAGCAGGACCCTCCCCAGCACCGACAGCCTGGATGACTTCTCAGACGGGGATGTCTTTGGCCCAGAGCTGGACACCCTCCTGGACTCGCTGGTGAGCCACACCACCCTCCTTGTGCTCCCCTGATCCCCTCTCCCCGCTGTGTCCCCATTGTCCCAGGGGTGGAGGGAAGGCCCCAATGCTCATGTCATGTGTCTCAGGAGGAGGCCTCAGTAGGGACTTGTTTGGTACAGAAATGAAGCTGCACACTGGGCACGGTGGCTCACGCCTGTAATCCCAATACTTTGGGAGGCCAAGGCAGCGGATTACTTGAGGTCAGGAATTCGAGACCAGCCTGGCCAACGTGGTGAAACCCCCTCTCTACTAAAAATACAAAAATTAGCCGGGCATGGTGGCACATGCCTGTGGTCTCAGCTCCTCAGGAGGCTGAGGCCGGAGAATCGCTTGAACCCGGGAGGCGGAGGTTGCAGTGAGCCGAGATCACACCACTGCACTCCAGCCTGGGCAGTGGAGCAAGACTCCGTCTCAAAAAAAAAAAAAGAAATGAAGCTGCACAATGTCTGGCCAGAAGGGACCATAGTGAGCCCTGCTCCCACATGGGACAGGATGAAGCCAGGCGACAGGGTGCAGGTCTCCTTGCTTCCCCAAGTCCTGATGCTGCCCAGGCCTGGGCAGTCCTGTTTTCCTCTGACCCCTCCCTCTGTCCCTGCCTCATAGTCTCTGGTCCAGGGTGGCCTGTCTGGCAGCGGCGTGCCTAGTGAGTTGCCCCAGCTGATACCCGTGTTCCCCGGCGGGACCCCACTGCTACCACCTGTGGTGGGTGGCTCCATCCCTGTCTCCAGCCCACTGCCCCCCGCCTCCTTCGGCTTGGTCATGGACCCCTCCAAGAAGCTGGCCGCCTCTGTGCTGGATGCCCTCGATCCCCCGGGCCCCACGCTGGACCCCCTGGACCTGCTGCCGTACTCGGAGACCCGGCTGGATGCACTCGACAGCTTTGGGTCGACACGAGGCTCCCTGGACAAACCTGACTCCTTCATGGGTAAGGCCATGGGTGGGCCCGTTCAACCTCCCTGGACAGGTTGCACAGTGCTGTGGCCTCTTTGGTGCCTGGAGAGTGGAGTTGAGTTACAGATCTGTTTGTCCCCATCACTCCTTAGCAATCCCAGGCCATGTCTGTGTGTTGCCGTCTCTGCAGTGCTCAGCACAGTGTGGGGCTGGGCCTGAGGGGTGGGTGTCTTGTTCAAGATCAAGCAGAGGAGAGCTGCGACAGTCCAGGCCTCTAGACTCCCAGTCTGGTGCTCCCTGCCCAGCCTCCCGGGACCCTGGGTCACCAGGCTGGTGAGATCCCATGGGATGATCCTGAGGCTGGGGGCGGAGCACAAGGTCATGGCCTCCCACTGCACCACTCTGGGCTGGGTGCCAGGGACCCAGGGAGGAAGCCGTCTTGTCTGGGCGCTGGTGGGGCTAGCTTTCGGCAGTCGGACACAGCCCAGGGCACTCGACTGAGAGGGCTTAACGGGACTGTCGGGGCACGGAGGGGACTTCACTCAGCCTCAGGGCCAAAGGAGGCTTCCTGGAGGAAGTGATGACTAGGCAGGGTCTTGAAGGAAAAGTTCACCTGCCAGGCAGAGGAAGCAGGGGCACTAGCCTGGCATGGCATGGCGCGGGGCTGGCTGATGAGCGGAGCAGCTGGGGTGGGGGCCTTGGTCTCCGAGGACCTGGGAGCAAGCTAAGGAACTTGGGCTTTCTCCTACGGGCAGCGGGAAGCCCTGGCAAGTTTAAGCAAAGAGTGGACACACTCAGGCTGGGAGGCGTCTTTGCCCCTGGGGAGTGGAGAGGAGAGGATAGAGTCAGGGGTTCAGCAGGAGTAGGAGAGGATGTGTGGCCTGGGGGCTTCTCCGAGTCAGCAATACATAAGGGGAAGCCCTAGGAAGGCCCCTCACGCCTCAGAGCCAGAGCCACTGACCCCTGTGTCTTCTCCCTGCCCAGAGGAGACCAACTCACAGGACCACCGTCCCCCTAGCGGTGCTCAGAAACCAGCCCCCTCGGTGAGTGACTTGAGTGGGGATCCAGGCCTCTCATTCCCTGCTGGGGGTTGTGGGTTCTAGAGTTGGGGAATGAGCCCTCTGCATGGGGTAAGGCACTGCATTCCCCACGGCGGGGCACTCCCAGAGTGGATGGATCAAAGATGATCACCTCGTGCCCTTCCTCACCAAGCCATATGCTGGGCGGGCACACAGAGGGCACCACTGCCCTTGTCTGATGGAAGAATTCAAGTCTCAGAGAGTGAAGTGACTTCCCCAGTGTTAGTAGCATCCCTGGTCTCCAGACTCAGTCCGGTCCTGAGTTTAAAAGAGCATCTGGGCCGGGCGCGGTGGCTCATGCCTGTAATCCCAGCACTTTGGGAGGCCGAGTTGGGCGGATCACAAGGTCAGGAGATTGAGACCATCCTGGCTAACACAGTGAAACCCCGTCTCTACTAAAAATACAAAAAATTAGCCGGGTGTGGTGGTGGGCACCTGTAGTCCCAGCTACTCGCGAGGCTGAGGCAGAAGAATGGCATGAACCCGGGAGGCAGAGTTTGCAGTGAGCCGAGATCGCGCCACTGCATTCCAGCCTGGGCGACAGAGCGAGACTCCGTCTCAAAAAAAAGAAAATAATAATAAAAGAACATCTGATGAGGGGCCAGGCGTGGTGGCTCATGCCTATAATCCCAGCACTTTGGGAGGCCGAGGTGTGCAGATCACAAGGTCAGGAGTTCGAGACCAGCCTGGCCAACATGGTGATACCCCGTCTCTATTAAAAATACAAAAATTAGCTGGGTGTAGTGGCGGACACCTGTAATCCCAGGTACTCAGGAGGCTGAGGCAGGAGAATCGCTTGAACCTGGGAGGTGGAGGTTGCGGTGAGCTGAGAGCACGCCATTGCACTCTAGCCTGGGCAACAAGAGCAAAACTCCATCTCAAAAAAAAAAAAAAAAGAGCTTGCTACACTCTGACCTACACTAGCTGTGTGGTCCTGGGGAATTTCCCTAACCTCTCTGAGTCTTGCCTTCCTCCCCATCTGCTGATGACTTGGGGGATTGGGGGAGGGCATGAGCACAGGCTGCAATCACGGCCCCTCCCATTTCTATGCTTTCACATTCAACTTGCCTTCAAAGAAAGGCTCAGAGCCAAGACCCAGGTCACCCACTAGCCTGGGACCATATGCTGGGACCAAGGTGGTCCTGATATTTTAGACTCTTGGACCACATTACAAAGAACTCCCCTGGCTGGGAGGGTGGAGGAAGAGGAAGGGTCCTGGGCTGTGGTTTTGCTCTTGGGTAGGATAGGGGGGTCATAGAGCACTCCCCACTTCTGGTGCCCTGGCTGGCCCCAGTGGCCTCAGCCATCATCCAGTGCCCACAATGGCCTCCTTCCTCCTGTCACAGCCAGAGCCCTGCATGCCCAACACTGCCTTGCTCATCAAGAACCCCTTGGCTGCCACCCACGAGTTCAAGCAGGCCTGCCAGCTCTGCTACCCCAAGACAGGTAAACTTTCACCTGTAGACTCCACCCCTCTGCCCAGAGAACTGGGAATCTCAGGAACATGGGATCCCAGATCAAAAGAATCCCAGTGTCTCAGTTGGAGATAAGTGCCAGAAATCAGAAGCCCCTCTGGGGCAGAAAAGGAAAGGGGCAGGAGTTTGGGGTCTGTCCCTGCCAGGCACCACCTTCACAGTCCTTTCTAGAGAAACACTAACATGGTCAGACTCACTAGAGAGTGAGGACGGTGGTAGAAAAAGGATGGGTAGGCCGGATGCGGTGGCTCACACCTGTAATCCCAGCATTTTGTGAGGCTGAGGCAGGCAGATCACTTGAGGTCAGGAGTTTGAGATCAGCCTGGCCAACATGGTGAAATCCTGTCTCTACTAAAAATACAAAAAGTAGCCAGGCTTGGTGGTGCTCGCTTATAGTCCCAGCTACTCGGGAGGCTGAGGCAGGAGAATTGCTTGAACCCGGAAGGCAGAGGTTGCAGTGAGTTGGGATCACACTACTGCACTCCAGCCTGGGTGACTGAGTGAGACTCTGTCTCAAAAAAAAGGAGGGGGGATGGGTGCCAAGAATGGGCTCCTTCGAGGGGCTTCCCCCAGCACAGTCCCCCGGTCTCCAGGGAGCAAGTAGCCAGGAAGGGTGTGGTGGGAGCTGGCAGGAGGCCCTCAGAGGGGAGGTAGGTATATAAGGAGGGGGCCGATTCCTACCCACCGCATGGGCCTGCCAGCCATCACTCTTCAATTCTGCTTCCGGAATTATCATGTGTGTCCACCCTGCCCATAGGCCCCCGGGCTGGCGACTACACCTACCGTGAGGGCCTTGAGCACAAGTGCAAGCGGGACATCCTGCTCGGCCGGCTCCGGAGCTCGGAGGACCAGACCTGGAAGCGGATCCGGCCCCGGCCCACTAAGACCAGCTTCGTGGGCTCCTACTACCTGTGCAAAGGTGGGTGGGCTGCAGCGGGGCAGGCAGCACAGCTGGGGCCCAGCCCCTCCACCCCCAGCCGCTGCTCTACTCCCCATCACAGGTAGACAGAACAGGGGTGGGCCTCACAGCTGCACGGGAGGAGAAAGCCACGGCCTAGGCTCCTGGGGCCCGTGCAGGATGAATTCCACATCAGAATGAGCGTCTTCTTCCCTTAGCAGCTTCCAGAGGCAGGTGGGACACATTTGGGACATTCAGCTGGAGACCGAGCCCGTCACTGGCCTGTGCTCTGGAGTGTCAGGAGCCTACATGACTCATAGGGGGCTGGCTTCTCTTACCACTGTAGGGCCCTGAGGGGCCGCGGGGCAGTGTGCCCAGCAGCCACATGAAGCATTTAGGACTGGCGCATGGTGAGGGCTCCATCCACTTGAGCTCTCTGTCACTCTTCTGTTGTCACTGTCCTCATTTCTGGCTCACATCAGCCTGGTTGGTATTTAATGGACATCCATCATGTCCCTGACTAGCTTCTTTCTGGTCCCAGCCAAGCGCCTTGGTCCCGCTGTACGGCGATATGTGAATAGTCACGAATTGCTAAGGCCTTCCCAGTGTAGCCCTTTCATTTCACCAGCATGCAGCCTCACAGCTCTGGAGGAGGAAACGGAGGCTTTGAGAGTGCACCCACGGCTCTGCCTCTCCCCCAACCTGGCCCCTAGCAGTGGCCCGCCCAGGCCTCCTGAACTTGCTCCTTGTCCTCCCAGCAGCCAGGCTGGTCTAAGGACATGTCACTCTTGGGTCAAAGGCCTCCATCAGCCACTGCCCGTGGCCAGTGGGATGAAGTCCACATTCTGCAACAAGACCTACACGTGCCCGTATCCACCCCCTCACCCCTCTGCCCTAACCATTCCCCAAATGCACTGACCCTCCCTGATTCCGTCACACACGCTGTGCCCTTTGAGCCTAGTCACCCTCTGCTCCTCCTTCAAGCACCGCCTGAATCTTGGGAAGCCCTTCTCTGCGGTGCTTCCCCTTGCAATCACCCCCACTCCCACCCAGGGATCTGCCCCACTCCTCCAGGTCTGTGGCCTGTTTGTCCTTGTGCGCCAAGAGCCTGGCAGAGAGATGGGACAAGGCAGACTTAGAGTGGGAGGAGGAGAAAGAAAAACAGGTCCCACCCCCAGGAAACAGCAGAGCTCCAGGTTCTGAGCCACCTTTCCTCTCTCCAGATGGCCCAGCCCCCAGAAATTTTGTTTTGGTTTGTTTTTGTTTTATGAGACAGGGTCTTGCTCTGTTGCCCAGGCCAGAGTGAGTGGTGCTGTTATAGCTCACTGCAGCTTCAACCTCCTGGGCTTAAGCCATCTTCTTGCCTCAGCCTCTTGAGTAGCTGAGACTACAGGCACATGCCACCACACCCAGCTTATTCTTTAATTTTTAACTTTTTTGTAGAGATAGGGTTCTTAATTTGTTGCCCAGCCTGGTCTTGAAGTCCTTGCCTCAAGCAATTCTCCTGCCTCAGCCTCCCAAAGTCCTAGGATTACAGGCATGAGCCACCATGTCCAGCGCCCCCGCCAGCTTTATGTATTATCTCACTTGATTCCAACAACCCAGTCTCCTCCATTCATAGCAAAGACAGCTGAGGCTCGGGGAGTAATGAGGAATCCTAGCCCAATTCTGTCTGACGCCAAATTACATGCTCTTAACCATGCAGTGTTCTTTTCCTGGTGAATAATTATTTTTAAATCCCTTATATTTGCCAGTCACAGTGGCTCATGCCTGTAATCCCAGCACTTTGGGAGGCCGAGGGGGGTGGATCACCTGAGGTCGGGAGTTTGAGACCAGCCTGACCAACATGGAGAAACCCTGTCTTTACTAAAAATACAAAATTAGCCGGGCGTGGTGGCGGGTGCCTGTAATCCCAGCTACTCGGGAGGCTGAGGCAGGAGAATCACTTGAATCCAGGAGGCGGAGGTTGCAGTGAGCTGAAATCGTGCCATTGCACTCCAGCATGGGCAACAAGAGCAAAACTCCATCTCAAAAAAAAAATCCCTTCTATTTATTTAGAGACTTGTATACTTCTACAAAAGCAATCCTGTGGGGTGAGTGGGGTAGGAGTGATTACTGTACTCTGCAGGTGTGGAGTGCAGAAGCGGGCCTTGTATTTGGAAAGGAATTTTCAGCCCTGCCAAGTCCTGGCAGCAGGGGGTGCAGCAGACCCTGCCTCACCTGCGTTGGGGTGCAGAAGGGGGCCTGGTATTTGGAAAGGACTTCCCAGCTCTGCCAAGTCCTGGCAGGGGGTGCAGCAGCCCCTGGCTCACCTAGCTGTGTTGGGGTGGAGCGAAGCCCTGCCTGGCTCATGGGGCCAGAGCCCCACAGGCCGCAGCGGGGTGGCGAGGGTGCTGCGGGCTGCTATCCCCGCCTGGCGGAACGTGTGTCCTGTTGCCTCTTTGCAGACATGATTAACAAGCAGGACTGTAAGTACGGGGATAACTGCACCTTCGCCTACCATCAGGAGGAGATCGACGTGTGGACCGAGGAGCGGAAGGGCACCCTCAACCGCGACCTGCTCTTCGACCCGCTGGGGGGTGTTAAGCGCGGCAGCCTCACCATCGCCAAGCTCCTGAAGGAGCACCAGGGCATCTTCACCTTCCTCTGCGAGGTACTGCCCACCCACCCACTGCCACCCCATAGGCCATGGCACAGACAGGGCTGGGGATGCTCCCTGGCACGGACCACCATAGGAAGTCAGCCCTGGAACCCGTGGGCTGTGGAGGCCTGGTCTTAGAACCAGTAGGTCCTGGAGGGTCAGTAAGTCTGGGCCCTAGGATCCTATCTTGCTAGAGGCCAGATCTGATCCAGCCCCCTCATTTTGCAGAGGCAGAAACTGAGGCTGGAAAGAAAAATCATAACCCTCACACCTGCTCTTTTCTGACAGCCAGTCATAGGCAGGGCTTGGCACGTGGTTGTTTTCGTTTCTCATTCCTAGCCTGATGCAGTGGCTCACGCCTGTAATCCCAGCACTTTGGGAGGCTGAGGCGGGCAAATCAATTGAGGTCAGGAGTTTGAGACCAGCCTGGCCAACACGGTGAAACCCTGTCTCTACTAAAAATACAAAAATTAGCTGGGCGTTGTGGTGCACGCCTGTAGTCCCAGCTAGTTGGGAGGCTGAGGCAGGAGAATCACTTGAACTGGGGAGGCAAAGGTTGCAGTGAGCCGAGATCGCGCAACTGCACTAGAGACTCCATCTCAAAAAAAAATTAAAAATTAGCTGGGCTTGGTGGCATGCGCCTCCCGTCCCAGTTACTCAGGAGGCTAAGGTGGGAGGATTGATTGCTTGCGTCCAGGAGGTAGAGGCTGCAGTGAGCCAAGATCGAACCACTGCACTCCAGCCTGGGTGACAGAGTGAGACCCTATTCCAAAAAAAAAAAAAAAAAAATGTCATTTCCATCGTCACGGCAGTGCTGGCAGGCAGATATCCCCATTTTACAGATGTTGAGGCTGAGATTCAGGGTAGCGAGGAACTGCCCTCAGCCACACAGACAGTGCCGTGCAGAACTGAGCTTCAAACCCAGGCAGCCTGTCCCTGGAGTCATGCCCACCTCCCAGCACCAGCTGCTGCTGGTGGTCCCCACAGCCAAACCCCCAGGACACAGGCAGATTGAGGGCCTGTCCGGGGCTTCCCCCGCATCCCTTGTTGTGGGTATGATGTATTTGGCACTGCTTAGCCGTCCCAAGCGCCGTGTCCACGGCCCCACGTCTCAGGCCTCCTCCACATGCCTTTCCTCGGCCCTCCTGGCTTCAGTGGCCATTGCGCTTCCCTGCCTGGGTTTGCCCTCCCCACAGGGCGCTGTCCTGTGTTTCTGGGCTTGGAACCTCTCAGCTGGACTCTGATCCCAGCAGCCCCACTGAGCTGTTAATTCCCTCCCCAAAGCTGTCCCTGAAGACCCCGCTTGGCCTCCGGAGTGAACTTGGCCCCTGTCTCCCCACCCAGTCATAGCATGTTGAGGGCAGGGGCAGTGGCACGTCTGTGTCCGTAGAGCAAGGGCTCCAGGTCCGGGTTGCTGGCAGGGTTTGGTGCCGCTCAGTCCAACCCTCATCCCTGGCACCACCAGCCCTTCCCCTAGCTCTTCCAGGTCGGGACTTGTGCCAACCCCCCACAGGGAGCATTGGCCTGGGAATCATAGTTCATAGCCAGGTGACAGCCTGTAGTTCATAAAGAACTTGCCATTCCTTTTTATCTTTTTTTTGACATGAAGTAACCCCCTGCCTCAGGCATTGGGAGTGGTGGGATCAGAGGGAGGGAGGAGGGTGAGGAAGGGAGCCAAAGCCCAGGTCACCTGTGAGCTGGAAGCAGAGAGGCAAGACCACAGACCCTGGGATTCCCTTCCTCACTCCTCTGACCCAGGGCAGGGCTTGCAGGGACCCAGCTGTCCTTCCCCAGCTAGCTGTGTGGGGTCCCAGCTCACCCCCTTCCCAGGTGGCCATGCCAGGTCCCAGCCCTTCCCCTCCCTGGGCAGATCTGCTTTGACAGTAAACCCCGGATCATCAGCAAAGGCACCAAGGACTCTCCGTCTGTCTGCTCCAACCTGGCTGCCAAGCACAGCTTCTACAACAACAAGTGAGTGGGACCCTCAGCCCAGGCTGAGGCCTAGGGGCCAGTGGAGAGTCCCCTCAGGCAGCTCAGATGGCTGAGGAAAGGCTGAACTGAAAGGGTGGATGTAGGGTGCAAGGAAAGGGGCAGAATTTGGGAATCAAATCCAGCCTCCACCTGGAAAGGATGAGAATCACATTTGTCGAACATCTACTATATTCCAAGCGTCATCTTGGGTATGTTAATTATCTTAGCAATCCTGTGAGGGAGGAGTTACTGGCCCTGTTGTACAGAACAAAAAGCTGAGGCTTGGAAGTAGCTTACTTAGCTTACTCAGCTTACTCAGCAGACAGCAAGCGGGGGGCCTCGTCTCTGACTGTAGCCCAGCACCCTCCAATGTCATGACATCAGTGTCAGGCAGTGAGGGGAGGCCTGGGTCAGGTCTGGCACCACCCCTTTCTCCCTCTTGTTCCCCTTGGTTCTGCCATGGTGTGCATATGGAGCCCAGGGCCTGCAGTCAGACAGACCTGGGTCCAATTCCTGGGCCAGTCCTGTCTTACGTCCAAGCCTGGGTTTCCTCGTCTGTAAAGCTGATGATGCTCTAGGCTCCTGGGGCTGCAGTGAGGGTAATTAAGACTCCTGGCCCAGAGGACATGCTTGGTTAGTGTTCCTCAGGATGCAGGACCGGCTCTGCAGAATCAAGCTGGAAACCTGAGGGCGGTGCCCTTTGCTTGTTGGCAGCTCCATCTTTGAACCCTGGGGGAGGGACAGGAGTAAAGCAGCGCTGGGACCCAGGCCCAGGGGTGCCTGAGCATAGGAGCCCTGTTTCTGCCCTCCTGTGTCATCCATGGCCTGGATTTGGTACATAGATCAGGGGGTGCCCAGGGAGAGCCTGGCACTGGGAAGGTGGCCCTACCAGGAGAGAAGGTCAGAGGGGCTGCGGACTGCATCGTGCCCCTCCTGCCTGCCCGCCCGCCAGGTGCCTGGTGCACATCGTCCGCTCCACCTCCCTCAAGTACTCCAAGATCCGCCAGTTCCAGGAGCACTTCCAGTTCGACGTGTGCCGCCATGAGGTGCGCTACGGCTGCCTGCGGGAGGACAGCTGCCACTTCGCCCACAGCTTCATCGAGCTCAAGGTCTGGCTGCTGCAGCAGTACTCAGGTGAGGGGCAGGCGGTGCAGGTGGAGGGCAGGTGACTCAGGTGAGGGGTAGGCGGCGCAGGTGAAGGGAGCGCAGGACTGACTGGGGTGACAGGCCAGGGCCCCATGGTCGCTGGAGGGGGCTTCGGGAGAGTTCAGGAGAGGTGGCTGCGGGGTGGGCTCTCTGTGTGTCCCAGGCACCACAGAGGAGAGAAGCTCTGCTCTCAGGGCGCTTCCAGGCTCGGAGATCTGGGTTTTTCCCTTCGTAGGCACCGTCCAGGGAGCACGGAGAGGGGAGAGGAGCACCTGGGCTCCTGCAGCAGGACCTCTGCTTGCTCCCTGGGTGGTCGGCAGCAAGTCCCCGCTCCTCACTGAGCCTCCAGTGCTCATCTGGGAAATGGGGAGCCCCATCTCTTCCTCACAGAGCTGCTGCGGGGATTGGAAGGTGTTCTCCACTCACCCACCAGGGATTTACTGAGCACCTTCTCTTGTCAGGGCATTCAGCCATGGTCTAGTCGAGGCCCTTACTTTCAGAGAACCTACATTTATAAGTGGGGGCCAGACAGATAATATATCAACAGGTGAATAAATCCTGTATTCCATCCATTCTAGGATGCACATTTACCCCTACTGCCTGTCATCATTTAATTAGCAGCATTTTGTGGGGCGGGGATTTAAAATATGGTACATATAACATTCAGTGTCTGCTTAGAGTTGGTGAAATGCAGTGGTAGCATTTCAGGCGTGCCTCAGTGTTATGAGGAAGATAAAGCCGAGCAATGGGACAGAGACAGACTCGGGGATGGGAGCATTTTAGGTAAGATGGCTGGGAAGGCCTCTCTGAGGAAGTGACTTTTGACCAGGGAAGGGCGGGGAGTGCATTCCAGAAGAGGGACCAGACTGAAGTCTCTGAGGCAGGAGCAAGCTCTGCACAGAAAGGATGGTCCCTGGGGGTAGAGCAGCTTAGTCAGTAGAAGGGGAATGAGGCCTGAGAGGTTGGAGGGGACTGAGCATGTAAGAGTCTCTAGGCCTTAAACAGGAACAACTGGGGTTGTTCTAAATATGATTTACAGTGTCTGGAGGAGGGTTTTAAGTGGGTGGAGTTATATGATCTGATCAGTACTTTGCAAAAGTCACTCTGGCTGCTGGGTGGAGATCGAGGAGCAAGGGCAGAAGCCGGGAGATCAGGGAGGGTGGCTCGGGCCAGGGTGGTGATGCTGGAGGTGGGAGAAGTGGTTAGATTCTAGGTGTATTTTGAGGGTGGAGCCAACAAGATGTGTTGATGGATCAGATATGAAGTATGAGACAAAGGAGAGCGTCAAGGTGGACTCTAAGATCAGAGCAACAGGAAGAATGGGGCTACCATGTTCTAAGAGGGGGCAGGCTGTAAGAGGAGCAGCTCAGGCTCAGTGTGGGACGTGGGAAGTCTGAGCTGCCTGGTGGACTTCACATGGAGATGTTGGAAGCAGCAGATGTGGGGATCTGGAGGTTCACAGGAAAGGTCTGGCCTGTAGATACATACTTGCAGATCATCAGCAAGAAACTGGATGTCAAGTGCAGTGTCTTGCCCCAAGTAAGCACCGATGATGATTAGCTGTCGTGGAGCAGGGGCCATAGGTCAAGGTGGAAGGCCACATCTGTTGTGGGAAAGACGTGAGAAAGATGGAGAGCGCTGAAAAGAGGGCAGGCTTCATGGAAGAGTTGTGAGCTGGATCTCCAAGGTCGGGCTCAGTGGCAACAGTCTGAGGCTGGCGGGGAGACAGACTGGAGAGTCCATGCCACCAGGCTGGGGTATTTGCCCTTTGGGGACTGGCAGTAAAGAGCCGTGGTACCACAGTGAACCGGTGAGCCAGGCTGGGCAGGCATGGAGCCCTAAGTGCCAGTGAGGCCAGGGGCTGCCAAGCAGGCACTAGGCTTGCAGCCCTGTTGAGGGAGATGGGGGTCAGGGAAGGGTGCTGAGTCACCGGCCCAAGAGACAGGGTCACTGGCATGGGAGCAGAGGACTCCCTACCACAGTACAGAGCCAATATCTTTCTACTGCATTTTCCCACTCTTGGCTGCATTTAATTCTTTCACTTCCAGTGAGGCTCGGAGCAGGTCTTTGTTCCCATTTTGCAGATGGACAAAGTGGTTCCCTTGTACCCCATGTCTTACTGTGGCTGGGCTGAGAATAGGGCTCCTCCAGCTGGGCCTCGGGGGTCCCTGGCACCTCGTGGACCCCCTGCCTCCCTCCTTGCTGAGCACCTTGAAAGATGCCTGTGTCTGCCCCCACCCTCCCCAGGCATGACCCACGAAGACATCGTTCAGGAGTCTAAGAAGTACTGGCAGCAGATGGAGGCGCATGCGGGGAAGGCCAGCAGCAGCATGGTAAGGCCTTCTGATACTATGCCATTATTCAGATTTTGTGAATTGTCCCCAAATTACAAACAGGAAGGCTCTAATTTTACAATAGAGAAATGTTTACAATGGAGGCACCTCGAATAAGTTATGAAAGTAACTTGGATAATGTACACATTCAGCTGTTGTGTCTCATTTTATTTTATTTTATTTTATTTTATTTTGAGACAGGGTCTTGCTCTGTCACCCAGCCTGGAGTGCAGTGGTATGATCATGGCCCACTGCAGCTTCCACCTCCTGGTCTCAGGTGATCCTCCTGCCTCAGCCTCCTGAGTAGCTGGGATTACAGGCATGCACCACCACACCTGGCTGATTTGTCTATTTTTTAAGACCGTGGGTCTGGGGATGTGGGGCTTGCCATCTTGCCCAGGCTTATCTGAAACTCCTGGGCTCAAGCAATCCTCCCACCTTGGCCTCCCAAAGTGCAGCGATTACAGGCATGAGCCTTGTCGTGTCTCTTTTTCATCTCCCTTGATGAAGAAACGGTTCTTTAGTCTTTGCCTTGTGTTGCATTGAGGTTTTTGAAGAGCCAGATGTTTTGTAAAAGGTCCATCCCTCTGGGCTCGTGTGAGTTTCCTCATTCCACAGAGGTGATGTCGTGTTCTCAGCTCACACATCAGGGGATGCGTCATCTCAGTGTGTCCCTTCACTGGTGACAATCTAATTAAACTTTCATAACTTGATTCAAGGTGCCTCCATTGTAAACATTTCTCTATTGTAAAATTAGAGCTTTCCTCTTTGTAATTAAGACTATACTTTCAGGGATCATTTCTATAGTTTGTAATTAATAAAGGTCTTCAGAGGCCCGGCGCAGTGGCTCACCCCTGTAATCCCACCAGCCTTTGGGAGACTGAGGCGGGCGGGTCACGAGGTCAGGAGTTCGAGACCAGCGTGTCCAACATAGTGAAACCCCATCTGTACTAAAAATACAAAAAATTAGCTGGGCGTGGTGGCGGGCGCCTGTAGTCCCAGCTACTCGGGAGGCTGAGGCAGGAGAATCGTGTGAACCCGGGAGGTGGAGGTTGCAGTGAGCTGAGATCACGCTGTTGCACTCCAGCTAGGGCGACAGTGTGAGACTCCGTCTCAAAAAATAAATAAATAAATAAAAAGTCTTCAGGAGGCCTGGCGTGGTGGCTGACGCCTGTAATCCCAGCACTTTGGGAGGCTGAGGTGAGCGGATCACCTGAGGTCAGGAGTTTGAGACCAGCCTGGCAAACATGACGAAACCCCGTCTCTACTAAAAATACAAAAAAATTAGCCGGGCATGGTGGCGGGCACCTGCAATTCCAGCTACTTGAGAAGCTGAGGCAGGAGAATTACTTGAACCCAGGAGGCAGAGGTTGCAGTGAGTTGAGATTGTGCCATTGACCTCCAGCCTGGGTGACAGAGTGAGACTCCATCTCAAAAAAAAAAAAGAAGAAAAAAAGGTCTTCAGGAGAAATACGTTGAGACCTTGTAAATATCCCAGTACTGCTCGGACTGACACCACTGATTGTGGTATCCCCTCCCATCCCTCCTGATCTTCGCCATGGTCCTGAAGAGAGCATGGGATTGTGGCATTTGCAGATGGGGAAGCTGAGGCTGAGAGATTGTTAGTGACTTGCCCAGGGGCACACTGAGTGGGGCAATTCCCAGGTTCTCTGACGTCCTGTCCGGGGCTCGCTCTTCTCCCTCCCCACCTGCGGCATTCCTGTCCATCACCCCCAGGCGGGGATCAGAACCCTGGCCCTCGTATCTCCTGGGGTGGGTGTGAGGCTCACAGGAGCCAACCTAAGCTGCCCTGTGCTCACATCGTCCCCAGGTGGTGGGATCACTGTAACTGTAGATGACAGTGGAGGACCCTCGGGCTCAGAGGGGTGGGCACAGCGCCCAGGAGACAGTAAGTGTGAGATGAGGCCTCTGTGCCATCCAGGCATGAGCACTGACCCTTTCATCCACATGAGGCCACCTGCTGATTAACTTGGGGGAAGGCTGGGCCCCTGGACCCTTCAAGAGGCTGACCAGGGTGTGGCAGGGAGCAGGGCAGGCTGCCGGGGGGTCCCTGGGCCAGGCTGGCTGGCAGGGCTGCCCACCACCTCGAGCATTCCCTTGCTCCCTGACTTCTTTGTTCCTGGTCCTCTTCTCTTTTTCTCCCCTCTTCCTGGTCCCTGCTGCCCTCCATCAGTCTCCTGTGCAGTCCTCTTTTCCCCTCCCCATCTGTTTCTTTTTCCTTCTGGCCAGGAGCCTGGCAGGGAAGGAGTGAGGGGCTTATGGGACCTTTGAAAGAGAGAACACTAGCTGGGTGTGGTAGCTCACCTGTAGCCCAGCTACTCAGGAGGCTGTGGCAGAAGGATCCCTTGAGGCCAGGAGTTTGAGATCAGCCTGGGCAACATAGTGAGACCCCTCTTGCCACCTGCTATGGCAAGGAGCTGGTGAGACTATGCAGTCATCAACGTGGGCATGGGGTCTGGCTCTAAGGGAGGAGCTCAGGACTGCAGTGGCTGTCATTAGTGCAGTGGCTAAGCCACCATACCCTCGGTGCCCCCTTTATCTCGCCCAAGAAATGGTAATAATGCCTTCCTCTCACGCTTCTTGTGAGAATGGAGGGGAACACCCAGAAGTCAGTAGCCACATGGGTCCACTTGTTGCCTGCTCCAGTGCAGGCCGTCCCACGCGTAAAGGCATGACCTCACCTTATCATCAGGGTCACACGTGTGTTATTCTGGGGCTGAGCAGCCCACGAGTTGTCCAGCACCAGGCCAGGGGTCAGTCAGCAATGAGGACAGCTCCTTCCTGCTCCAGGGCAGGCCCTGGGCAGGGCAATGCTGGGGACACGGTGGGGAGTAGGCCACAGCTTCTGTGGGGGAGTTCCTATGGCAGGAGGATCATGCCCAGCAGCCTGGAAGAGCAAGGGGTGACCCTGCACTCGAGGCTCCTGGGAAGACGGGGAGGCTTGAGGTTATATGAGGGAGAGGGGACAGCTGGTGCATTCACAGAACAGCAGGCTGGCCAATGTAGCCAGCTGAGGGGGTTCAAGGTGGCAGGAGACAAGGCAGAGTGAGCATTTTTCCTACCTCTGGCCCCCAACCCTGTCCCGGGGTACAGAAGAGCAGGCCAAAGGCTGGGGCGTAGGACAGAGAAGGAACGTGGTGGGTGGGGCCTTAGAGACCAGCAAGGCCTTGCCCTGGAGGGAGGGCCAGAGACCAGGGCCACTCAGACGCCTGTCCCACCGCCCAAGGCTGACTCCTGCCACCACCACCCTACCCCTGCCGGGGTGGCTTCCCATCTCCTGGACCCCCCGCTCTACAGGTTCGGCACTCATAGACGGGTGAGTCGGTCAACAGGAGCAGTTTAGAGACTGTGGGAGCTCACTGAATGGACAGCTGCAGCTTAGGAGAGCTCCGGGGCAGGCTTCCCACAGGAGATGCGCTTGAGCTGAGTTTTGAAGGATAGTTTCTAGAACAGGCTGGATGAAGAGTGGAGGAAGGGCAGCGGGAACAGCCTGTACAAACGCAGGGAGGTGTGGCGGAACGGAGCTTTGCCATGGGAAATGCAGCATCCACAAAGCAGGCCTCCCAGGGAGTTGGGCGAGGCAGGGACCAGCCACAGAGGGTGGAAAGAGGAGCCCCGTTCCAGGCCTGGCTCTCCTGGGAAGCCCTTGGGCCTGCAGTTGGGAGGTCACTGCCTGCCAGGAAGACCTGGGAGCAGACCAGCTTATTCCAAGGCTCTCCCAGAGGACACCTGTGTGGAGACTCCAGGGCCTCAGGCCTGGTGCCTGCAGCTTCACCAACCCCCCTCCCCATCCCCCCACAGGGTGCTCCGAGGACACATGGGCCCAGCACCTTTGACCTGCAGATGAAGTTTGTATGTGGCCAGTGCTGGAGAAACGGGCAGGTGGTGGAGCCTGACAAGGACCTCAAGTACTGTAGTGCCAAGGCCCGGCACTGGTGAGTGGGATGCCAGGTGGGGGCTCAGGTGGGATGGGGCCACCCTACCACCACAGGTGTGGAGGCCAACTGAGAGAGGCCAGGGCTCTCCACAGAGGTCACACAGCACACAGGCTGTGCCCTGACCTCTCCCCAACCCTGCTCTGTCCTGCAGCTGGACCAAGGAGCGGCGGGTCCTTCTGGTGATGTCCAAGGCCAAGAGGAAATGGGTGTCAGTGAGGCCACTGCCATCCATTCGTAACTTCCCACAGCAATACGATGTGAGCGCTGGGATGGGGGGCTGGGGGTCCCCCAGGAGGCAGCGATGCTTTCCAGCGGGACTCAGAGGATCTCCCCACGCCCACCCCACAGCTCTGCATCCATGCACAGAACGGCCGCAAGTGCCAATATGTGGGGAACTGCTCCTTCGCACACAGCCCGGAGGAGAGGGACATGTGGACCTTCATGAAGGAGAACAAGAGTGAGTGGGCAGACGGGGCGGGCGGGCCCTCCCCCGGTGTCTCTTCAGTGCTGAATGTCTCAATTCACCAGCGGGCCCAAGAGCGTCCACTGCACCCCTTTGCTACCTGGGCCCTTCTCCACCTGCCCCATGCCGGGCCCTCTCTGAGGCCAGGCCCTGAGGCTGAGCGGCCTATCAGCAGGACTTGGGACGCCCACGGCTCCCAAATCAAGTGGGGACCATGGGGCAGAATGGATGGAGAAGCCCCTCAGCAGGTGCCCTGTCCCTGTCCCCTGCCCAGTCCTGGACATGCAGCAGACCTATGACATGTGGCTGAAAAAACACAACCCAGGAAAGCCTGGAGAAGGGACCCCCATCAGTTCTCGGGAAGGGGAGAAGCAGATCCAGATGCCCACGGACTACGCGGACATCATGGTAACGCCTCCGCCCTGCATGCTCGGGGCTGCGGTCGGGGCTGTGGTCTGAGCCTCACCTGGGAGGGGCAGCCTGGAGGGCCCAGCCGGCCAGCGCTCAGCCTCTCCGAGGTGGGTGGTCCGGGCAGAGGTGTGGGGGAGCAGGCACCCATGATGGCTGTGCTCCCAGATGGGCTACCACTGCTGGCTCTGCGGCAAGAACAGCAACAGCAAGAAGCAGTGGCAGCAGCACATCCAGTCCGAGAAGCACAAGGAGAAGGTCTTCACGTCCGACAGTGACGCCAGCGGCTGGGCCTTCCGCTTCCCCATGGGCGAGTTCCGGCTCTGCGACAGGTGCTCCTGGGAGGGCAGGGCCTGGCGGGACATGGGGTGGCCCGAGGAGATGGAGTCCGTGGCCAGCTCTGGCTCCTCTTGGCCTGGAGGTGGTGTGCAGGGAGTGGTGAGGCTTGGCTGTGACTGCAGCCATGGGGGTGGTGGGGAAGGGTGGATGGGAGGGCTGGGCTCAGACCTATCTAGACCTTTAATTTGCAGCTGTGGGGCAGATCCCAGAGAGGGTCAGGACACCCAGGTTTTCCCTGAGCTGGGACCCAGCTGCCCAGGGAGAGGCTTGTCTTCGGGGAGGTCAAGCGGCCGGCCCCAGATGGACAGCCTGGGGTGGGAAGGGCACAGAGCTCGGGCAGTGAGCCTCCTGCCACCCACAGGCTCCAGAAGGGCAAAGCCTGCCCAGATGGGGACAAGTGCCGCTGCGCCCATGGACAGGAGGAGCTCAACGAGTGGCTGGACCGGCGCGAGGTGCTGAAGCAGAAGTTGGCCAAGGCTCGCAAGGACATGCTGCTGTGCCCACGGGACGACGACTTTGGCAAATACAACTTCCTGCTGCAAGAGGACGGGGACCTTGCCGGTGCCACCCCAGAAGCCCCTGCTGCTGCTGCCACCGCCACCACTGGGGAGTAGGGCCAGGTGTTGGCCGTGGGTGAAGTCCTGGGGTCAGGGGGTGGGGTGGGGCCAGAAGGCCTGATAGAAGGGTCAGGGCAGGCCAGGGGGGTGGGGGGCCGCCCTCATCAGGCAGCCCCCAGCCCCCTGAGGCCCTGTCCATCTTCTCCCCACCACCGCCCCGGTGTGCGTACCCAGGCGCACGTGCTGCAGCCCCCGGAGGCCCCGCTGAAACCTGGGCTGCCCTTCCCCCACCCCCACGGCTCTCCTGGTTGAGGAGGGAGGGGCCTGGCTGACCCCTCCAGCTTCAGCCTCCAGCTTTAACTTCTGTCTGCTCCTAATGGGGGCCCAAAGCTCAGGGCTGGGGAGCCTGGGGTCCCCACTTGAATCTCCAGCAGGAGGGTCCTTCTCTCCCTGGCCCGTCCTCCTCCCACCCCCTCCCCCTGGGGGCAAATCAGGACACAACAGAGGGCAGAGGCCCCATTAGCTTTAAAATGTAGCCCCAGGTTGGAGCTGGGAACACTGTACTGGCCACTTACCCTCTGGGGCCTCAGCTTTCCCTCCGGAAGGCTGGGAGGAGGTGGGCTAGATGATCTTTGGAGCTTAAGGAGTCCCAGCCCTTTCTCTGATGCCACCACCTGAACCCTGCTCCCTCGTGGGCCAGTGAAAATAGACTGTAGGTCCTCAGAGCCTTCAGAGATGATCCAGCCCAAACCCCATTTTGCAGAGAGGAAAACTGAGGCCTAGAAGGGAGGAGTGGTCCACCCACGGTCCCAGCACAAGGCAGAGCTGGGATGAAAACAGGGCTGAAAAGACTCAGGGCCAATTATTGGCTGAGCCCACGGTCCCCTCAGCAGGGATGCGATGGTCTCTGAATCAGTGTGCAGCTGGGGTCCCAGGCAGCGCTGCCTGGGGGCTGGGGAGGGGAGGCCCAGAGGAGGGCTGGCCATGTGAGCACCCCATGAAGGGACCGCCCCCTCCCAAGGATGGTCCCTTTGGGTGCAGCAGCAGAGGTCACCTCCTGACATGCGCTCTGGGAAAGGTGGCAGAGGGCAGGACACCATGAGCTCAGGATCTGTGTGAGGTGTGGGAGGTGGGAAGGGTGAGGGTCTGGGGGAATGCGGAGAAAAGGGAGGCTTGACCCCGGGCACCATGGGCCACTCCAGGATGGGACACGGCCCCTCTTTCTTGGGGACCCAGTATGTCCTCTCCTCTAGACCCAGACATACAGTTATAACCGTCTGTCCTAGCCCCTCCCTAATCCCTGGCCCTCCCAGCTGTCTGGGACTTCAGTGGACCCCCAGCCCCTGCCCCCACTCACCAAGGCCTCGCTCGTCCCTCTCGTCTGACATGTCTGTGTGCACCCCCCTCCTCTCCACCCTACCTTCCATCAACCAGGGCAGATCCACCGTGCCCTGGTTCCCCAGACATTCCAGAATGCCCCACATCATTGGCACAGGAGTGGGGCAGCCCCGGAAGGAACCAGGGATTAGGCTGTAGGGGGGTGAGAAGGAGAGAAGGGACCACCCCATTCTTCTCAAGCAAGGATTGCCAGCGCGCGCTGACACAGTGATGGGCTGCCCAGGGCTGGAGGGGACGCTGTTCCTCCCGCCGCCACTGCCCAACCTTTCCTGATAATCGTGGCATGCGCCCTTTCCTCTTCCCTGCCCCACCCCCTGGCCGCAGCAGGCCAGCACTGCAGAGTTTGGGTGCTG
The DNA here is from genome assembly GCF_000001405.40 of Homo sapiens. Taxonomy (NCBI): domain Eukaryota; kingdom Metazoa; phylum Chordata; class Mammalia; order Primates; family Hominidae; genus Homo; species Homo sapiens. The sequence goes on from NC_000022.11 coordinate 41,359,124, forward strand.
GTGGTGTGGCTGTAGGGGAGGGGAGACCACACCCAAGGTGGGGGCTGTGGCCATGTGTGGCCGTGATGTCGATGATACTCGTTTTCCCTGATCCGTGGTGTTGCAGTCCGTTGTCACCAGCCTTGTTTCTAGTGTGTATATATGTCGCCCCCGTGATGCATATATACACAGGTATTAAATATATCGCTCTATATAATATTATATATGTGTGTGGTATCCAAGGAATCACTTTTATGAGGGCTAAAGATAAAGAATTTGGCCAGAAAATGCAGCCATCCTTGTGTGATTAGGAGGGTTTCAGGGGCCACTGGACTATTTGCAAGGTGACAGGGACTGGAGCCATGGCTCAGAGGTGATTCGGGCAGCCAGGGACAGGAGCCACCCTCCCCAGGCCCAACTCTGCTAGCTTCCCAGACCACCCCCATCGAGTGCGGAGAGAGTGGGAGTGCTCAGGGAAAGAAGGTGATTTGTATTTGTCTCCCCGCTGAAAAGAACAGGATTCAAGTCCAGAGTTTTCATCTTCAGCCTGTGATCTGTCCAGGGACCCTTGGGATCTGGGGCTTCCTGGCCTGGCCAGAGCTGGAGCCCCCACAGGGTAAGGAAGAGAGAGTGGGAGGCAGAGTGTGATGGGGAGGAGGGACAGGAAGACCCTTTTAATGATGAGGGTAACTATTTCAGTTGTGAGCCTTCTAGGGCCCCAGGCTGGGAGGCTCAGAGGACTGAATCTGGGACCTGTGTTCCCCCCGGCAGGCAGGGACAAGATGGCATGGCAAGCATGGGGGCGGGGTGGGTGGGGAGGGATGCTGCATTTCTCAGCTGGGCAGTAATCAATTTAATGGTCCTTTAAAATGTCTGTGTATTAAAAATTTAAGAATACCACACTTTAATATTAAATATTCATAAGGTCTAGTATCTTGATAATAATGTAGATGTTTTAATAACAATTTTTGTCCTTCTTAAAATAAAATGAAAGAAACTTGCTTCCCTTAGCCTTTGTTCTAGAAAATAAACTTGTGCACTTTGACCTCTGTCCCCGAGATGTCACTCCTGTTCCTCCCCACCTGGTACTTATATCCAGGGGCCTTAGCTGCTCTGTCCTCATGGGACAGACCTGGCCGGTACTAGCTACTCTGAGGAATGCTAAGCATTCCGAGGGGTGAGGGGCAGGTCTGTGTCCCTGTGTACACACGGAGGCCAGCCGACCCTGGCTCCGGCAGCATCTCACTGGCAGCGACACGCTGCCACTTGCCACCCTTCCCTGGCTCATCTGCAGCTTGCCTGCTCTCAGCCTTCCACGTGGGGCTGCCAGCGGTGCCCACACTTCCCTACATTTACGCTGCAGTGTGTGCCCAGCTGGGTTCCAGGACCCACCTCTGCCCTTTCTGGAGGTGGCTCTTGCAGGAAGGCAGGGACCATGCCTCGCCTATGATGCCCAGTGTGATCCCGACTGCAACCCTGGCTTCTGTGAACCCAAGGGAGACTGAAGTCACATGGGTCCAGTTTCCTCATCTTTAAAAGGAGCTGGCGGGGGGGCTGGGCACAGTGGCTCACACCTGTAATCCCAGCACTTTGGGAGGCCGAGGTGGGCGGATCAGCTGAAGTCAGGAGTTTGAGACCAGCCTGGCCAACATGGTGAAAACCCGTCTCTACTAAAAATACAAAAATTAACTGGGCATGGTGGCACATGCCTGTAATCCCAGCTACTTGGGAGGTTGAGGCAGGAGAATCGCTTGAACTCGGGAGGCGGAGGTTGCAGTGAGCTGAGATCGGTCCACTGCACTCCAGCCTGAGTGACAGAGCGAGACTCTGTCTCAAAAATAAATAAATAAAAGGAGCTGATATATTAGATCTGGAGTTCTCAGGGACTCAGTCTGCTGGGGTGGGAGGTACTTTGTCAAATCTTTTGGATTGTGCATGGCTGCAGGTGATAGAGGGGGTCCCATAGGGAGGGACTGCTCATGTCCAAGAGCAAGCTCTCACCAGACAGCTTTTTTTTCTTTTTCTCCTTTTTTTTTTTGAGACAGAGTCTCACTCTGTCACCCAGGCTGGAGTGCAGTGGCACGATCTCGGTTCACTGAAACCTTCACCTCCCAGGCTAAACTGATTCTCCTGCGTCAGCCTCTTCAGTAGCTGGGACTACAGGCACCCACCACCATGCCTGGCTAATTTTTGTATTTTTGGTAGAGCCAGGGTTTCACCATGTTGGCCAGGCTGGTCTCGAACTCCTGACCTCAAGTGATCCACCCGCCGCCTTGGCCTCCCAAAGTGCTGGGATTACAGGCATGAGCCACCACCATGCCCGGCTTCCCAGACAGCTTTAAACTGCAGTGTGGAGTGGACCAGGACAGCGGTTCAGGACCAGAGAATTGCCTGAAGACGGAGTCATTTGGGCCAGGTGTGCAGTAGACGCTCAGATGCTTGATAAATGATGGCACGAGGAACAAAAGCAGCCAGCTTTATTGAGCATCTTGGTTGCAGCAGGTACTGTGCAGCTAGTACATCCGTCCCTCACAGCAACCGTGGAAGTTCACTGTCCACATTTATAGCCCAGAGAGTTTCAGTGAAGGTTCCAAGGACCCTCAGGAAGGAGGCAGAAAAAAGATCGAGAACCACTGGGAACTGGGTATCGGCAAACGTCCCTTCCGCCCTGACATTCTGGAATTCACAGCACCTCTGGATGCACTGTGAAAAACCGAAGTGGCGTGGCAAGGCAGAGTTCCCGGAAGAAAAATACAGACTCATGCTTAGGCTGGAGAGATCGCGTGCCTGCATCAAGACCTTACAGGATTACTCCTGTAATCCTGCCTTGGGAGATCAAGGCAGGAGGATCACTTGAGGCCAGGAGCTTGAGACTAGCCTGAGCAACAGTAAAGCCGTATCTCTACAAAAAAAAAAAAAAAAAGTAAAATTAGCTGGGTATGGTGGTCCACACCTGTGGTCCTAGCTACTTGGGAGGCTGAGGTGGAAGGTTGGCTTGAGCCCAGGAGGTTGAGGCTGCAGTGAGTCATGATCACACCACCGCACTCCAGCCTGGGAGACAGAGCAAGATCCTGTCTCAAAAAAATAAAAATAAATAATAAAGGAACAATTAAAGAGTAAGACAAGCAGAGGCCGGGCTCAGTGGCTCACTCCTGTAATCCCAGCACTTTGGGAGGCAGAGGAGGGTGGATCACGAGGTCAGGAGTTCGAGACCAGCTTGGCCAACATAGTGAAACCCCCGTCTCTACTAAAAATACAAAAATTAGCCGGGTGTGGTGGCACACGCCTGTAGTCCCAGCTACTTGGGAGGCTGAGGTGCAAGAACCACTTGAACCCGGGAGGCAGAGGTTGCAGTGAGCTGAGACCATGCCATTGCACTCCAGCCTGGGTGACAGAGTGAGATTCTGTCTCAAAAAAAAAAAAAAAAATACAAGCAGGACTTCAATCAACCTAGTGGAATAAACTTGTACATTCTCATCAATTCCCTTAAATTCTCTTCTGGTCCTCACGTGGCTCAGATTGGTAAACATCAACTGAGCACCCACTCTATCCCAGATCCAGGGATACAGGATTACTTAAGAAACTGCTTCCCCTTCAGTTCAGTCAGTGCTAAAGGAGACCGACGTAATAGAAGATTGTAGAATGATGTGATGGGGGTGACGGGGGGAGACACTCAGGGAACCAGGGGAGGTACCTCATCCAGGCTCAGCAGCCAGGGAGGACTTCCTGGAGGAGGTGAAACTGGAATTGAAGCTTCAAAAAGATTCATCATTGTAATCCATGTCACTTACTGTTCTGCATCTTTCTCTCTTAATTTTTATTTCACATGTGCAGTTCCATGTACCCGTGTCACCTGGATATTTATGGTCAGTAGCTGATATTCATCCTATTGATGAGTCAGAGCTCGCTTAAGCAGCTTCCAGTTACTGAACGCAGCCCTGTGTCTGGTCTTCAGCCCTGTGAGTAGGGGCCTCAGTGAGCACGACCAACACAGCGCACCAGCTGCCTCAGCTCTACACCTCTAGAGAAAGCCCTTGACAGTTCTGCAAATAATTGCATCCGTCTATCCCCACACCTGGGAGCCCTTTGCAACCTCCCTGGGAAACAACCCCCAGTCCTCAGAAAAACGCAGCTGGAGCCACTGGACCTGCTCAATTGATGATCAGTAAGATTATGCCAGCCTCTTCTGGCACCTTCGTTTCGGGCCTAGAAGTAAATATATATGCGCTGCTGCTCAAGGAGAGGACGAGGCACAGGGAACGTGTTTTGTTGTTTTGTTTTGTTTTTTGTTTTTTTTTTTTTGAGACGGAGTCTTGCTCTTGTGCCCAGGCTAGAGTGCAGTGGCGTGATCTCAGCTCGCTGCAAGCTCTGCCTCCCGGGTTCACGCCATTCTCCTGCCTCAGCCTCCCAAATAGCTGGGATTACAGGTGCATGCCACCATACTAAGCTAATTTTTGTGTTTTTGGTAGAGACAGGGTTTCACCATGTTGGCCAGGCTGGTCAAGAATTCCTGACCTCAGGTGACCCACCCACCTTGGCCTCCCAAAGTGCTGGGATTACAGGAGTGAGCCACCGTGCCTGGCTGAGAACGTATTCTTGATAAAGTTCTCCCTCAGCCCGGCCTCTCAGCTGCACAAGGCGTTAGATGTTCTTAGGGAGCCACTGTGACTCTGACTCCAGACTTCTGTCTGGGATTACAGCTCCCCTGCAAGGAGACATAGCTGTAGGCACAAAGAACACCATGTTCCGGCTGGGCACGGTGGCTCACGCCTGTAATCCCAGCACTCCGGGAGGCCGAGGCGGGTGGATCATGAGGTCAGGAGATTGAGACCATCCTGGTTAACATAGTGAAGACCCCGTCTCTACTAAAAATACAAAAAATTAGCCGGGCCTGGTGGCGGGCACCTGTAGTCCCAGCTACTCGGGAGGCTGAGGCAGGAGAATGGCGTGAACCTGGGAGGCGGAGCTTGCAGTGAGCCAAGATCACGCCACTGCACTCCATCCAGCCTGGGTGACAAAGCGAGACTCCATCTCAAAAAAAAAAAAAAAAAAAAAAAAACCATGTTCCTAGTGAACTGGGGGTAAATACAGTTGATGAAAACTCAAGCGCAGGGCATAGGAATGGGCTCAGTGGCATTGATAAGGACACCAACAGACCTCAGACCATCTGCAGTGGACATCAGATCCCTGAGCTACGAAGTCCAAGAAGTGCAGACAATTCCAGCACTCCCAGCATACGGCCCCCGTCCGAAGGTCTCTAGGTATGTATACGGCCTTCCCTTCCCACTACCTCTGGCCTCCCTGGCTGCCTGGCCCAGCAACCCACTGGTGTGGTCCCTGTCTGACCTAGGGGATGCTGCCAGCTGGACACTGAGTGCCGACTGGGGGCTGCCAACATGGACTCCTGGTGGTGTGAAAGTTCTCTAAGGATAGGGAGTTGCCTGGCTGGGTATGTTAACTTTGAATTCCTCACAGGGTTTAGGCTGGTGCCAGGTATGTGATAAGCACTCATTCATAGTCTCAGAGGCTTAGGACATTCGCACATTAAAATGAACCTGCAGAGGCCAGGCACGGTGGCTCACACCTGTAATCCCAGTACTTTCGGAGGCTGAGGCAGGTGGATCACCTGAAGTCAGGAGTTTGAGACCAGCCTGACCAACACGGAGAAACCCCGTCCCTATTAAAAATACAAAATTAGCTGGGCACAGTGGTGCATGCCTGTAATCCCAGCTACTCGGGAGGCTGAGGCAGGAGAATTGCTTGAACCTGGGAGGCAGAGGTTGCGGTGAACCGAGATCACGCCATTGTGCTCTAGCCTGGGCAACAAGAGCAAAACTCCGCCTCAAAAAAAAAAAAAAAAAAAAAAAAAAGGAGCCTGCAGAGAGCTCACCGGAATGAATTTCCAAGAGAAAAACGTCTTGCAGCAGGTGGGTATGTTTGAGAAACACAGGGTGCTTCCTGTTCCTTTTGAGATCATACCGATGGACACCTGCCCACTCCACCTTTGTGATAAGCGGTCTTGCACTCAAGAGAATTCTTGGACCGAGGAATGGTGAATGCGGCAGCCCAGCCTGAGTCCACCCCTGACTGCAAATCACAGGTCAGCTGGGGGCCTGCGCACCAGGCTCACTCTCACCCTTACCCTCACCCCCGGGGTTGCAGAGCAAAGGGCACTGGCCAGGGTTCTGGCTGGAAACAGCAGTAAGGGGGTCTCTCCTTTGTAGTTACAAAACACTCTCTGCTGGTCAAAACATACAACTCTGCAAAATTAAATGTTTGTGTGTGTGTGTGTGTGTCATAAATATATACATATATATGTTTACTTTTGCAAAAAGAAACATTGGGGAATGGGAAAGAGGGACAGGGATAGAAAGGACATTTCTAAAGTATACTTCCTTGAGGCTGGGCACAGTGCCTCACACCTGTAATCCCAGCACTTTGGGAGGGTGAGGAGGGCGGATCACCTGAGGTCAGGAGTTTGAGACCAGCCTGGCCAATGATGCGAAACCCTGCCTCTACTAATAATACAAAAATCAGCTGGGCGTAATGGTGTGTGCCTGTAATTCCAGCTACTTAGGAGGCTGAGGCAGGAGCCTGGTAGGCAGAGGTTGCAGTGAGCTGAGATCCTGCTACTGTACTGCAGCCCGGGCAACAGAATGAAACTATGTCTCTAAATAAACAAATAAATAAACAAACCTTATCGGAGGTTTTGAGCTGTGAGCCACGTATTGTTTTTTGTATTCAAAAGTTAAAATTAATTTTTAATTAATTTGGGAAAGAGCATAATTTGGGGAGGGTCATTAGGGAGGGAAGGAGGGTAATTAAGAGTATAAGCTGAGGTCATTGGGAAAGGAAGAAGCCAGAAGGGGCTCTTGGAGTATTTTTGATTCTGTACAAAATGGAATTTTGGAAAACAACAAAGCACTGCTTAGAAACCAGCTACAGGCCAGGGGCAGTGTTCACACCCATAATCCCAAGACTTTGGGGAGGCCAAGACCGGGGGATGGCTTGAACACAGGACTTGAGACCAGCTTGGGCAACAGTGTCTTTATAAAAAAAAAGTCCAGTGTGGCGGCATGCACCTATGGTCCCAGCTACTTGTAAGGATGAGGCAGTGAGCCGTGATCCCACCACTGCACTTCAGCCTGAGCAACAAAGACCCTGTTTCAAAAAAAAAAAAAAAAATCAGCTACCACGCAGAAAACCAAATGTTTATTGCAGCCCATCTGGAGCTTCAGAGCCATAGAACTAGAGCTGAACGGCACCTTAGAGGTCACTGCATTCGGTGGTTCGGGAACTGAGACCCAGAGTTGCTGCCACGCTTGCTCAAGATCCCACAGCAATGTACGGCAGAATCGAGAACCTGGCATCCCCCGGCAAGTCTGGCTTTGACGTGATGTTGGTCTGACGTAGAGGTTGACATCCAGAACCTTTGCTTCACCCATTCAAGTAACCCAAGGACCACAGGGGCCAGCGTCCTGGTGGGAGGGTATGAGAGGGAACTACAGCAAATAGCCAATTGGCACTTTAAGTCCCCACAATGACTGGGAAGCAGGGATTCCTCATCCAGGACAAGCCTGAAGCAGGCTGGCAGAGCTGCCCCCCTTTCAGTGGTGCCTGGTCTCCTGGCACCTGCCCCTTTTCCCCTCTCCCCTGAAGACCAAAGAACCTGAGGCGGTAGGTTTTATCACTTCCTTTTGGGGAACAGGCTTCAGGCTGTGCAGATGGTATAAAGCTCCAATTATGCATGCCATATGTACACTGGCGTGCCTTGTAGGGTACGTGTGCATGGCATAAACACAGCATCAAAACATGCCACAAGCCCTTGAGGCTCAGAAGCGCACAGGTGAAGGCATGATGTCCGACCGCATCCCTGCATCTGCCAACACAGGGTGTCTTGTGCTCGGCTGCCTGAGGTGCTGTCCTTGCCTGTCATCCTCCTTTTCTCTTGGAGCCTCAGGTCCCAGCCCGGGATGGTTTCCACTGCGTGCCTGGGCCTCCAGGGCACCTCCATGCTGATGCGTGCTTGCTGTGGGCGTGGAGCTTACCATTCTCACCTGGCAGCCCCAGTTATGGCTCCCAGCCTGGGGGAGAACTTCCCTTTCCAAAGTTAGATAACAGGCTGGGCTCTCTGTCAGAGGATTGGCGCGACAGCTCCACGTGCTGCAGCTGGCGCAGGGCCAGGCCCGCCCTGCCAAGCAGCGGGAAGGGAAGGCCTGGCTGCAGCCGGAGCTGGCAGGTGGCCGAGCCGGGGGTGGACGGGCGGGCTGGGACTGGTGCTGGCCATTGGCTGCCTCAAGGCTCCCACCCCGCCTGCCTCCCTAGCCTGCGGCTGGCGGCCCCTGCCTCTCCAGCTGCCTCTGAACTCCCTGGAGCAAGCACCTCCTGCTGGGCTGTGTGAGCTGCGACTGGTTCTCAGTGGCCCCTGCCATGGACATGCCTGAGGTCCTCAAGTCCCTGCTGGAGCACTCTCTGCCTTGGCCAGAGAAGAGAACAGGTAGGAGCACAGGTGACCTGCATTGATTGGCTGCCCAGGTACTCGAGGGGGCGAGGGGGCAGCCACAGGCACAGTGGCAGGACAGGCATCTCCAAGCCAGGGAGGGTCTCAGCAGTGGTGCGCCCTTGGTCTCAGGGTGCAGAGTGCGGAGAGGGGTTCGAGGAGGCATGTGTCACACCGGCTCTGGGACTCTCTCCTAGGCCTGCTGGATTTGGGGAAGCCATGGCCAGTGTGTGGCCACTGACAGGTGCTGTGCTCATGTGGGACCAGGACAGGACAGGGGGTCCTATTGAAAGAATCTGGCTGGATGCTGACTGCTTTTGAAGCTCCCTCCCCCTGTACGCTGGGGGTGGCAGAGGAGCGGCAGGGACTGTGGATTTGGGCAGCAGGAGCCTGGGTCTGAAGCAGAGGCTTTCCTTGGTGCGCCTGCTGCAGCTCCCGCTTGCCGGAGGGCTGAACTCATGGATGGGATGGAAACTGTTATGTAACAGGACCACAAGGCTCGAAGCCCTGCGTTCCTAGGATACCACAGGCAAAACGCGCGAGGGAGGAGAGAGGAGGGCGTGGACTGAGGGGCAGACCTGGTGGCCAGCACCAGGTGTCTCCCAAGTCCTGCCTGGGAACCCCATGGCCAGATTAGTTTGGCGGAGAATACTGATAAATCTCTCTCCAAATCTCTTCTGTTCCCAGAAGTCAGAGGTCACCCCCAGGTCCCCAGGGCTCCAACTCCTCCTTGCCTTTAGAGGGGCCCAGCTGGCTTTTGCTGCCTGAGTCTGACTTGAGCACCTGGGGTGTCCTCTCAGGGGACCTTTCTCAGGCCTCCCTCTCATCCTGCTGTGCCAGCACCTGCTACCTAGCATCACCAGGTGGCCCTGGTTGTCCCCGCAGGACTCCTTCCTTCCACAGGACGCTCTCAGCCCACTCCCAAACCAGAGCCAGGAGACAGATCCCACAGCCCCCGGCCTCCCTTCACCCCTCTGGAACTGGGTGTGGGTTTGCTTGGGCTAAGCCAGGAAAGGAGGGTCAGCAGGTTCTAGCCCCAGGGAGACATTGCCCGAACGGGGAAGGACGTACTGGGAGCTTAGGGCAGGGGCTCCGGAGCTCTCGCACGCAGCTCTGGGCTCAGGCCCCTCCGACCACACTCCATGCTGTCAAATGGTGGGACAGTCCAGGCCACCCTCTGAGAAGAGTGTCACAGAAGGCGCTCCTGTGGCCTCCTAGCACTGGGGACACCAGTTGCTCACCATGAGAAGCCCACCTCCTCAGCGAAGCCCTCTGCAACTCAGCCGGAGGGATCTGCCCCCATTTGGAGTCCACACCCACAAACAAGCCACAGCTGACTTTTTTGGCATCTCTGAGTGGCCTGTGTGGGTGGGCAGAGCTGAACACATTTCCAAAAGCTAAGGTAGAGGGTCCCCTCCTTGGTCCAGGAACCCAGGAAGGGTGGTACAGTCCCTCCTGGCTCCCCCAAGGTGTCCCAGGATGCCCCCCAGCACACACATGAAGGGCGAGGCTGCCAGTGGGGCAGGGAGGATTCTCAGGGGCGACTCGGGGCACTGCTCCTCAGATGAGGATAACAAGGCCTTTGAAGTGTGGCAGCAGCTGCCGGTCTCTGGCTCCCAGCTGGTCTGTGGGGCCCTGCAATAGCCGAAAAGTCCCCCTCCCTCACTGTGGATGAGCAAAGTCAGGGCCTGGCACATAGGGGACCGCCCAAGGTTTCAGGCAGAGCTTTGCCGAGCACTGGCAAGCTGTGGCCGAGAATTAGTTAGTCCAGCATGGCTGGGCAGGTCCAAGGGGTGTGGGCCAGTCTTGGGTCACCTCCTGTCACTTCATGTGGCATCTCACTGAGAGTGAGAAGCATGAGGTCCCACAGGACCGACAGATGCCAGCAGCCAACTGCTAGATAAAATGAGGGGAAGAGGGCTGAAGAGCCACAGGACTCACAATGACTGCAGCACATTACTGCCCCCTAATCTGCAATCAGTTTCCCAAAGCTGCCCGAATCTCCAGACCATTTATAAACAGAAACGTCTACCTGAAAAGCAATAGACCTTGTTGAAAAGAGGGTATAGCCACCACACAGAATGATTACAGAATTACTTGCCATCAGGGACCATGTACTTAAGTAGTTGTTGAAGTGGCTTCTCTTCCATCTGCCACTGCTCTGACTCTGGGTGTGAATTGGAGAAAGACAACAGAGGCCAGGTGCTCCAGAAAACAGGGATGCCCTCAGGTCCGCGTGCCCTTGCTTTGGTGGACTTCCTGCTGCTCCCGTCCAGTGGAAGGGGGCAGTTATCTCTTTGGATGACTGTTTACAAACTCCCCATTTTCTCTTCTTTCTCCTGCCCAATGGCTGTGCTTCGGCACACATTTAGGTCATGTGCAGAGCGTATCTCACCTCCAGTGGGAGGGAAGTGTACAGGAAAGTCTGCGGAGTGTGAGAAACTCCAGGTGTGCTCTCCCCATGCTCTCCGCTCCGTGCAGCCTCTCACTCCACTTTCTTTTATTTTCTCTTTCCCCCTTTTTTTTTTTTGAGATAAGAGTCTTGCTCTATCGCCAGGCTGGAGTGCAGTGGTGCTATCTCGGCTCACTGCAACCTCTGCCTCCTGGGTTCAAGCAATTCTCCTGCCTCAGCTACCCGAGTAGCTGGGACTACAGGCGCCCGCCACCACGCCAGGCTAATTTTTGTATTTTTAGTACAGATGGGGTTTCACCATGTTGGCCAAGATGGTCTTTATCTCTTGACCTCATGATCCGCCCGCCTCAGCCTCCCGAAGTGCTGGGATTACAGGTGTAAACCACTGCGCCTGGCATTTTTTTTTTTTTTTTTTGAGCCAGTGTCTCACTCTGTTGCCCAGGCTGGAGTGCAGTGGTGCAACGTCAGCTCACTGTAACCTCCACCTCCCGTGTTCAAGCAATTCTCCTGCCTCAGTCTCCTGAGTAGCTAGGATTACAGGCACCCGCCACCACGCCCGGCTAATTTTTGTATTTTTAGTAGAGACAGGTTTCACCATGTTGGCCAGGCTGGTCTCAAACTCCTGACCTCCAGTGATCCAGCTGCCTCAGCCTCCCAAAGTGCTGGGATTACAGGCGTGAGCCACTGCACCCAGCCTCATTCCGTTTTCTAGTTCATTGATGCCCCTTGAAACCCAGACTTGGGGTCCCTCTCCCTCGTGCTGCCCCTGGGCCTCCCAGCCCAGCCCGTGTAGACCTTGCCTCTTTCCTGTCCCTGGATAAACAGACTTTCTCCACCAGAGCTGACCAGCTCCCAGACTCCCTTGGCTTCCAACGACAATGGCTTCTTGGTGGCCTTCACTCTAGGCCATGAGTTCAAACAATTTCTCTTTTGGCAGAGAAATCCATTTCCAGCAAAAGGGTGGGTCTGTAGCCAAGCCCTGACTCAGTTTCCCCTCTATGTCCCTGGGCCCTAAATCCTGAAAACCACTCTTCCTGTCTTCACTCCCAACCTGTCTCCCAAGGATACTTTTCCAAGAGTTGATTCTGTTCCAGACTGCTCACTCCAGCTCTTAACGTCTTTCTCTTCCAGCTTCTGGAAAGACACTGTGTCTCTAAATCATATGATTAGCATTTTATACCCTATACTTCCCTCTCCCATGGGGCCCTGGCCATGCTTAGAGACACCTCCTCCCATTTTCTTGCCATCTCCGGTCACTCAGGCCTCCGTTTCAGGGAGTTGTGAAGCCGGAACATACACCTCAAAGGCTGAACAAGGCCTTTGCTTTGGGCTGGGCAGGCGGCATCCCCACGTAGGGGCACTCCTGATCTAGAATCCTTTCTAGGCAAGGCAGTGTGGCCCTGGGAAGAGAGCAGGGGGCTTATGATCAGAGTCAGGCCACAAATCCTAATTCTACAACCCACTGGTTGGGACTTGCCCCCCTCTCTCTCCATCTCCAGACTTTAAAAAGCGGAAAAGAATATCTGTGCCATGAGCTTGTTGCCAAGATTAAGTGAGTTATCCCATGTGAAAGTGTCTGCAAACCGTGAGATGCTGTGCTGGTTTTTTCTGTGAAAGGCAAACAGCAGCATGGCCTGGCGTCGTGCGTCTTCCACCTACATCCCATTTGCAACCTGACCCTCATTCCCTTCTTTCCACCTTCCTTTGAAGAACTGGATGGTACAAGTTGGTGTGTACACACACACACACGGCTGTCTCCTTGGAAACACATGCTGAGGCTCCTAGAGGCATGGTGCCATCTGCCCTGCACCCAATGGGACAGCCCCATTTCATAACAGGCAGGATCTCAGTAGGACTTGCTGGGGCAGAGGCAGGGGTACAGGAGGGGGCCTTGGTGTCATCCTCTTGGTGGACTGAGGGAAATGAGCCGAGAGTGTGGACTCGGTGCAGCCTGGGCTCTCCTGAGCTTGGCCTGAGTGAAGGGCCCTGTGTTTGCCTCCATGCACAGCCTGGGAACCAGAGCAAAACTGAGAAATCGAGGAGTTTGCTTTCAGGGACGAGGATGGGGAGAGGGCCTTCTATGTGCTGGATATGCTAGCTCATTTAATCCTCACTGCCTCTTTCTAAATGGTATATTTCCCCTGTTATTCTGGTGAGAAAATGAACAAAGAGGCACTGGCTACCCTCAGGGCCAGTCTCTCTCTTCTTCCTTCCCACCCTAGGTGCCCAGAGCCTTCTTCTCTACCTGCCCCCCACCCCATCCCTTCAGAGAAATGTGAGAAACTCATTCTTACCAAGTGCCAGGCATTGACGGCATGTCGAGGAGTGATCCTTCCAGATGGCTAGGCTGCTGCAGGACGGGCTCCTGACTTGACAGCCACTGTCTCCTGAGCGTGAGCCAGGACTGTATTGTGTGTGCCTATGTCACTATCTGTGCAATGGCTCTGCAAGGAAGGTATGATCATCCACTCTACGAATAAGGACATCGACGCTCAGAGAGAGGAAAGGCCACACAGTTGTTGAAGGATTCAAACCCAGTTCCTCCTGACACCAGGCTCGTGTCTACCCATAGGGTGGGTACCCATGTGGGTACCATGTCTCGGGTCGTAGCTCTTCGTCACCCAGCCACTCATCACGTGCTTCCAGAGCGTTTGCTATGCTTGGAGAGCCCGGGGTGAATGAAACCAACTCTACTCTTGCTCCCCTGGTGTTTGGATTCTAGAGGGGAGAGAGAATCTGCTGTGTTTAGGCAGGAGGCGGTGGTGGTCAGGACCAGCCTCTCCCAGGGAGAGGCATTTGAACTGAGGCCTGGAGGCCTGGAGGGTGAGGAAGAGCCAGCTACCCGAGGAACTTTCAGGCTGTGGGAAGAGCACCTGCAAAGGCCCTTCCTGGGACAGGAAAGAAAACGGGTCTGAGGAATAAAAGGCCACCATGGCTGCAGAAAGCAAGCAAGGGGGAGAGGGGTACCAGGTGAGGCTGGAGAGACCCGAAGGGCGAGCACCTGCAGAGCTTTGACGGTCATAAAGAGGAGTGACGCTCTCATCTCCCTGTCTGTAAGGACCCTCACACTCACTATTCTTGGGGAAGTGGCTGGTGGGGAGAAATTAGGTATCCCCAGAACAACCCAAGCAGGAATTACAGTAGAGTTAACTTTGACCGAGCACATGCTATAGGCCAGGTGGTGTCCTAGCACTGTGCCTGAATGGACTACTTTACTTCGGACACCACGGTACAGAGAAGTTCAACAATTTGTCCAAGGTCACCAAGAAATACAGTTAACCCTTGAATACCACAGGGATTAGGAATGCTGCCCCGCCATGCAGTAGAAAATCTGCATATAATTTTTGACTCCCCAAAAGCTTAACCACTAATAGCTTATTGTTGATGGGAAGCCTTACAGATAACATCAACAGTCCATGAACATATATTTTGTATGCTATATGTATTAGATAGTATATTTTTCTTTTTTTTTTAGACGGAGTCTCACTCTGTCGCCCAGGCTGGAGTGTGGTGGCGTGATCTAGGCTCATTGCAACCTCCGCCTCCCAGGTTCAAGCAATTCTCCTGCCTCAACCTCCTGAGTAGCTGGGATTATGGGCGCCCACCACCACGCCCAGATAATTTTTGTATTTTTAGTAGAGACGAGGTGTCACCATCTTGGCCAGGCTGGTCTTGAACTCCTGACCTCATGATCCACCTGCCTTGGCCTCCCAAAGTGCTGGGATTACAGTCGTAAGTCACCACGCCCGGACTTTTTTTTTTTTTTTTTGGAGACGGAGTCTCCGTCACCCAGGCTGGAGTGCAATGGTGTGGCCTCGGCTCACTGCAACCTCTGCCTCCAGGGTTCAAGCGATTCTCCCGTCTCAGTCTCCCGAGTAGCTGAGACTACAGGCGCATGCTACCACACCCGGCTAATTTTTGTATTTTTAGTACAGACAGGGTTTCACTATGTTGTCCAGGCTGGTCTGGAACTCCAGACCTCATGATCTGCCTGTCTCAGCCTCCCAAAGAGCTGGGATTGCAGGCATGAGCCACCGCGCCCAGCCTATATACTGTATTCTTACAACAAAGTAAGCTACAGAAAATAAAATGTTATTAAGAAAATCATGGCCGGGCGCAGTGGCTCACGTCTGTAATCCCAGCACTTCGGGAGGCTGAAGTGGGAGGAGTGCTTGAGCCCAGGAGTTTGAGACCAGCCTGAGCAACATAGTGAGACCCTGTCTCTACCAAAAAAATTAAAAATTAGCTAGGCAAGCCAGGCATGGTGGCTCACGCCTGTAATCCCAGCACTTTGGGAGGCCGAGGCAAGTGGATCACAAGGTCAGGAGATCGAGACCATCCTGGCTAACATGGTGCAACCCTGTCTCTACTGAAAATACAAAAAAAATTAGCCGGGCGTGGTGGCGGGCACCTGTAGTCCCAGCTACTCGGTAGGCTGAGGCAGGAGAATGGCGTGAACCCAGGAGGCAGAACTTGCAGTGAGCCGAGATCGCGCCACTGCACTCCAGCCTGGACAACTGAGCAAGACTCTGTCTCAAAAAAAAAAAAAAATTAGCCAGGCAAGGCAGTGCACACCTGAAATCCGAGCTACTCTGGAGGCTGGGGCAGGAGGATTGCTTGAGACCAGCAGTTCAAGGCTGCAGTGAGCTATGACAGCATCACTGCACTCCAGCCTGGGGGACAGAGCAAAACTGTCTCAAAAAAAAAAAAAAGAAAAGAAAATCATAACAGAATCTTAACTAAGTTGAAGTGGATCATTGTAAAGGTCTTCAGCCTTGTCTCCATATTGAGTAGGCTGAGGAAGAGGAGGAGGTGGAGGAAGAAGAGGGGTTGATCTTGTTGTTTCAAGGGTAGCAGAAGTTGAAGGGGAGGCAGGAGAGGCAGGCAAATTTAGTGTAACTTTTGTTGAAAAAAATCCACATGTAAGTAGACTCATGCAGTCCAAACCCCTGTTGTTCAAGGGCCGACTAAAGTGGAAGCAGGAGTCAGCCCCAGGGGGTCTGGCTCCAGAGGCCCACCTCTGTCCCCTCCAGCACGTCTTTGACTGCAGAAACCGTGGCTATCTGGTAGTGGCTTCTGAGACATCACACAGGGCAGAGGTGAGGGCTTCTCTCTGGAAAGGGCACTCTTGAGGGAGCTCTCCATTTGCAGACCAAGCCCTGGTAGCGGACAGAATGCAAGACAAACAGGAAACTAGCACTTTTGAGAGTACTGACGAGGAGGGCAAGAATCAGTAAAGAGCCTCCACCCACCACTTCTCCCCTGGAACACACTGAGACCAAGGAGGGTACAAACCACAGAGCCCAGGCACAGGTATGTGGGCTAAAAAGGAGAGCTGCTGGCAAGGCTTGTGCGGGCAGACTTGCCAAAGGATGGCTCATGTTTGCTGTTCCAGGTTCAATTGTGAATCAAACACAATGCCTGTTATTTGATGTTATTAATGCTCCAAATGCGGCCGGGCGTGGTGGCACACGCCTGTAATCCCAGCACTTTGGGAGGCCGAGGCGGGCGGATCGCGAGGTCAGGAGATCGAGGCCATGCTGGCTAACACAGTGAAACCCCGTCTCTACTATAAATACAAAAAAATTAGCCGGGCTACTTGGGAGGCTGAGACAGGAGAATGGTGTGAACCCAGGAGGCAGACCTTGCAGTGAGCCGAGATTGCGCCACTGCACTCCAGCCTGGGCAACAGAGCAAGACTCTGTCTCAAAAAAAAAAAAAAAAAATTGCTCCAAATGCATATCATTTAGCTCTGAAAGGTTTGGTTAACTGTCCTACTAGTACCAAGAACAAAGCAAGCCAACAAATATTTACTGATAGGGTGGGGATTTTTTCAAAAAAGAGAAAAAAGTATATTTTTACTGGGTTATTACCCTGAACAAAGCATCGTGCCCTCCTGCATTTGATTTGCGCAAAAGACACAGATAACCGGGCTTTCTTAGAGCTCAATGGAAGAAGCCTTATCACCCTCCTGCTCTCACACGTCCCAGGCCCATGTCCCATTTTCAGTAAGCCAGAAAACAGAGTGGGACTGTTCTACTAGGTGCGGAATATATGGCCAAAGAGATCATTATAGGGTATCTGGCCAAAGGCTCCTGTGTTGGAGTTTTAGCTCCTCTAAACTTCAAGTTTAAGTAAAAATAATCCAAATTGGCAAAATGGCTTAATGAAAATCACTTGTTCTGCTTATGCTCTACTGAACGAAGTTTTTGTTCTGTTTTTGTTTTTTTGTTGTTGTTGAGATGGAGTCTCGCTTTGTGGCCCAGGCTAAAGTGCAGTGGCGCAATCTCGGCTCACCGCAACTTCCGCCTCCTGGGTTCAAGTGATTCTCCTGTCTCAGCCTCCAGAGTAGCTGGGATTACAGGTGCCTGCCACCATGCCCGGCTAGTTTTCACAGAGATGGGGTTTTGCCATGTTGGCCAGGCTGGTCTTGAACTGCTGGCCTTAAGTGAGCCATCCGCCTCGGCCTCCCAAAGTGGTGGGATTACAGGCTTGAGCCATCGTGCCAGGCCTGAACAAAGTTTTTAACTTGGGCTAGTTAGCAGGTTTCTGGAACAGTCGTGACTAGAATTTACAGCCAGTCGTCCAGCTTTGGAAAATGGACATTTCACATCCAATCTTGTCTGTAGCTTAGACTCTAAACCCACCCTCAGGCCCACAGCCTTGTCCTCACACACAAAATAACTACTCCTGACCCAACACAGCTTGAACGGAAGGGGAAGGGTGGGTACCCACCCACTCCACACTGCACACCGTGCCAGGCGGGCACTTGGCATTGCACATCACAGGTCATCCTCACAACCATCCTGTGAGGCGGGCGTATCCATCTCTGTTTCCAAGGCGAAAATAACTGAGGTTTAGACAGGAGAAGTCGCTTGCCCATGGCCATGTGGCTGGGTCAGAAACTGAGGAAGGCCTCCCCACAAAGTCACTGCTGCCCCAGGACCCATGCTTCCCTAAAGAAACCAGTGTGGTCTTGTTTCTTGTTTTTGGTTTTTTGGAGACAGGGTCTCTCTCTGTCACCTGGGCTGGAGAGCAGTGTGGTACAATCACAGCTCACTGCAGCCTTGATCTCCTGGGCTCAAGCAATCCTCCCACCTCAGCCTCCTGAGTAGCTAGGGTACAGGCGCACCACCACACTCAGCTAATTTTTTTTTCTTTGAAAAAACAGAACGCTTCACGAATCTGCATGTCATCCTTGCACAGGGGACATGCGAATCTTCTCTGTATCATTCCAATTTTAGTATTTGCGCTGCTGAGGCAAGCACATCAGGCTAATTGTTTACTGTTTGTAGAGATGAGGTCTCACTATGTTGCCCAGGCTGGGCTACTGTTCCACACCATACCTTTATTTTTCTCTTTCTCTTTTTTCCCCCTGAAAAGCCTCTCTAATCTCTCAGCCTTTAAAGTCTTAATCGTGTAATAACATGTTCTTCTTATGGGGTTTATTTCTTTGTCGGGCTCACAAACTATGGAAATTAGCTAACTAGTTCTCCCAACGTTTATTCCTCCACTAAGACGGGGCAAGGTCACACCAATATTCCCACTTTAGTGATAGGAGACAGAGGTAGAGAGAGGCTGCTGTGGTGGAGAATGAAGAGGAGAACATAATAGCTCCCACCTCCAGGATGGCACTGTTTAATGCTGTAAACTGATGTAGCTAACCCCTCACAGCTGGCAATTAAGCACGATAGAGAACGTGTTTGCAACGCTCCTGCAGTATTTGTGACACATCATCTACCCTCTGGTTATCCAGGGGAAAAAACTCTCTCTGGGGAGTGTCAGTACATGAACACCAAGTTCTGGAGGCTTAACCCGCTGGTCTCACTTCTCACCAGCGTCACTTGCCTGTTAGGGTAGCTGCTCCAGGCTGGGAGATGAGTGGAGTAGGCATTATTCGTTTTGGATAACTACAGCTAAAAAAAGAAAATCTAAATCTTTACTTCCTCTTACTACATCCCATCTTTCTCATAAACACGTGTTAGAACCTTCCACTGTTATCATTAATCATTGTCTAATACTTTGAGAATGGGTTTTTCTTCCCAGCAATAATGTCGTATTAGCCATGAGACTATATAGGTATGATTCTAAGCCATCAAGTCTCCTCATGGCCAAACTAGCAGGTTTTTTAAAAAGCTTCCTTAGCTTCCTTTTTTTTTTTTTTTTTTTTTGAGACAGAGTCTCATTCTGTCCCACAGGCTGGAGTGCAGTGGCACGATCTCGGCTCACTGCAACCTCCGCCTCCCACGTTCAAGCAATTCTCCTGCCTCAGCCTCCCGAGTAGCTGGGATTACAGGCACTCGCCACCACGCCCAGCTAACTTTTGCCTTTTTTTTTTTTTTTTTTTTGAGAGGGAGTCTCGCTCTGTCGCTCAGGCTGGAGTGCAGTGGCGTGATCTCGGCTCACTGCAAGCTCCGCCTCCCGGGTTCACGCCATTCTCCTGCTTCAACCTCCCGAGTTGCTGGGACTACAGGTGCCCGCCACCACACCCAGCTAATTTTTTGTATTTTTTAGTAGAGACAGGGTTTCACTGTCAGCCAGTATGGTCTCGATCTCCTGATCTTGTGATCCTCCCGGCTCGGCCTCCCAAAGTGCTGGGATTACAGGCGTGAGCCACTGTGCCCGGCTATATTCTTAATAGAGACAGGGTTTCACCACGTTGGCCAGGCTGGTCTCGAACTCCTGACCTCAGGTGATCCGCCTGCCTCAGCCTCCCAAAGTGCTGGGATTACATGGGTGAGCCACCACGCCCAGCCCTGTATTGGTTTAATCAGTTTCCTTGGAATGTCCTTTGTCTAGGTTAGCTTCCCCTAAAGGTGTTTAAGTTTCGCCACACACAGAATTCTCACTAACAATTCTACAACACAACAAATTTTCTGTACACAATTAACTATTTTCACTACAGAGAGTGACACAGGCACCACACTAACCTCTGGGATAATGGATATGCCAACCAGTTTTAGTAAAATTATGAAAACTAAATTTGTTGAAGGTTTGCAACTGTGCGCCTACGCAAATTGGCTCACAGAAACCCCGTAAGGTAGGCCAGGCGCGGTGGCTCACGCCTGTAATCCCAGCACTTTGGGAGACGCGGGTGGATCACCTGAGGTCAGGAGTTCGAGACCAGCCTGGCCAATGTGGTAAAACCCCGTCTCTATAGAAAATACAAAAAATTAGGCGGGCACGGTGGCGGGCTCCTGTAGTCCCAGCTACTCCGGAGGCTGAGGCAGGAGAATGGCGGGAAGCCGGGAGGCAGCGCTTGCAGTGAACCGAGATCCCGCCATTTGCACTCCAGCCTGGGCTACAGAGTGAGACTCTGTCTCGGAAAAAAGAAAAAAAAAATTAGCCGTACGTGGTGGTGCACGCCTGCAATCCCAGCTACTCAGGAGGCTGAGGCAGGAGAATCGCTTGAACTCAGGAGGCAGAGGTTGCAGTGAGCCGAGATCCCGCCATTGCACTCCAGCCTGGGCAACAAGGGCAAAACTCCGTCTCAAAAACAAAAAACAAAAAACAAAAACACCATAAGGTAGAGCCTGCCCTAACTCCATTTGGCATAAAAGGAAAAAACGCTGGGTGCGGTGG
Organism: Homo sapiens; assembly: GCF_000001405.40. NCBI lineage: Eukaryota > Metazoa > Chordata > Mammalia > Primates > Hominidae > Homo > Homo sapiens. Next base: position 41,379,598 of record NC_000022.11, read on the forward strand.
CTCACGCCTGTAATCCCAGCACTTTGGGATGCCGAGGCGGGTGGATCACCGGAGGTCAGGAGTTCGAGACCAGCCTGACCAACATGGAGAAACCCCGTCTCTACCAAAAATACAAAATTAACCCCGTCTCTACTAAAAATACAAAATTAGCCGGGCGTGGTGACGCATGCCTGTAATCCCAGCTATTCGGGAAGCTGAGGCAGGAGAATCGCTTGAACCTGGGAGGCGGAGGTTGCGGTGAGCCGAGATCGCGCCATTGCACTCCAGCCTGGGCAACAACAGCAAAACTCCGTCTCAAAAAAAAAAAAAAGAAAAAAAGAAAAGAAAAGAAAAGAAAATAAAAAGAAAAGGAGGCCTGAAAAGGTAAAGCAATCGAGGCATCAGATTCAGAAAATGACTGAGGTTCAATTACAGTGGCAGTGAGAGCTTGAATTTTGGAATCAGACCTATCATCCTGTCTCTACCACCACCCAAAGTCCTTCAAATCTCTTGCTTTCCAGGCCTGGTCAGCTACCCAACTTCTTTTTCCTCCTTACCCCGCCGCAAAATTATTTTTATTTATTTATTTTTTTGACATGGAGTCTCCCTCTGTCGCCCAGGCTTGACTGCAGTGGCGCGATCTCGGCTCCCTGAAACCTCCACCTCCCAGGTTCAAACCGATTCTCGTGCCTCAGCTTCCCCAGTACCTGGGATTACAGGCGCCAGCCACCATGCCCGTCTAATTATTTCTGTACTTACAGTAGTGTCGGAGTTTCGCCCTGTTGGCCAGGCTGGTCTCGAACTCCTGACCTCAGGTGATCCGCCACCTCTGCCTCCCAAAGTGCCGGGATTACAGGCGTGAGTCACCAAGCCCAGCCCCAGCAAAATTCTGATTGCATCAGCTTGATAACTTTTAGCTGGCTGTGGGTGTCTGGATCATGCATCTACCCCCTGAACCAAGGACTATCACTATACCACCCCCCCAACCCCTCCTGCTAGAAGGGCTGGGCCACTGTAGGGATGCTGGATAAACAAGCCAAGCTCTCTGCCTTCCGGGAGTTAAGCGGGGAGTCTAATGTTGCCTGGGTTTGCAGCGGAGTCTGATCTGTACTATAAAGAGGTACAAAGTTCTGAGCGCTGTTTAGGAGCAGCTTTCCATTTGTGTACCGCGCCACATATTACATTTTTACGGATTTCTGCGGAACTCCCGGGGAGGCTTTATATTTTAAGAGAGGAGGTGGTTCTCCCACAAAACGTGGCATCGGTACCTGGTGTCAAGGAGGTTTTTGTTTTCTAGGTAAAAGAAGGGAGAGTTCTAGAAAGGAAAAGAATTTCACATCTGTTTGGGACTGTGGAGATTCTCTAGCCCAACCTCTTAATTTTATGGCCGAGGAAACAAGCTCCAGTGAAGCAACCGGACTTTCCCAAGGTCATAAGCTAGTAAGTGGGAGGGCGGAAACATGTACTCGGGCCCTGGCTCAGGTCAGAGCTTCAGGAATGCTCCCTCCACGCTAGTGTTGATCTGGATGCGTGGGCAACCCGACACCCCGCTCTAGGGCGGCCAAGCCTGCTCAGGCCATCCCTACGACTTGGCAGGTCGCGGTCCCCGGCCCTGCCCTCAGGCGACCTCTGGGTCGCGTGGGAGCAGAAGTGCGGGCTAAGCTCAGCGTCCCTGCCCCGCGACCCTGGGCAGAGTCCCCAGAACAAAAAGACCCGTCCCTCCCTTCCCCTCCCGCCCCGCCACAGCCCCGCACGTGCGGCGCCTCGTGCACCGCCCCGGGCCCCGCCCCCGCCCTCCATTGGCTGTTCCCGCGCCTTCCTCCTCTGCCCCCTCCCCCCGCGACCAGACTCGGCTGCGGCTCCACGTGACCCGCGGGGGGTGGACACGCCGCGCGAGCAGGAGCTCGGATAGGTCGCTTTGGCCGGCCTGGCCGCTCCGAGCTCCGCCCCTCTTCGGTGGCGCGTCGGGAAGGTTGCAAGTCGGGGACAAGAGGGAGAGGCTGCGGTGGTTGGGGAGGGCGGGGGTTATGAAGAGGGCGGTGAAGGGGGAACACTGGTAGGAGGGAAGGGACCGCGCCGAGGAAGGCCCACCACAAAGACTCCAGCAGGCGCCAATCAGGGGACACAGGGGCGGCGGGGCGGGGCCTCCGCGAGGGTCCTCACCTGGCCCCGCACGTGTCTATCTTATCCCGGCTGCCCGACCAATCACGGCCCGAGGATCTGCGCCTGCCCCTCTCGCAGGCTGGACCAATCCAGAGCAACGATCCGGGGAAGCTGGCCTGGCCTCATGAATAATTAATGTGCCAGAGCCGGTCCGCAGGCGGGGTAGCGATGGAAGGAGGCGGGGGCGCCATTGGGCGCCTGCGCAGTAGCTGCCCGTGTCGGCAGCTGCAGCGGGTCGCACGGCTCCGGCCCATCTCGGGGGGCGGGCGGGGGAGGCGAGGTGCGCGAGCCGAGTCCGGGGCACGATGTCCGACGCGGGCGGCGGAAAGAAGCCGCCTGTGGACCCGCAGGCAGGACCCGGTCCGGGGCCGGGGCGCGCAGCTGGGGAAAGGGGCCTGTCGGGGTCCTTCCCCCTGGTCCTGAAGAAGCTGATGGAGAACCCCCCGCGCGAGGCGCGCCTCGGTGAGGGCGGGGGGGTGGTCCGCGCGGGCTGGGGGCGGGGCTTATACAGGGGCGGGGCCTCGTGAGGGCGGGGCCGGGGAGGCAGTGGGTCAGGGAGCAGTGGTCCAGCGGAGGGGGATGGGGCCTGGATGACCAGGAGCCTGGAGGACGAGGCCGGGGGGCTGAGGACAGAGGGTCAGGGGCGGGCTGAGACGGTGGGTCTGGCGGGAGAGGGTGGGGAGAGGTTTTGAGGAGGCGGAAGGGGATCGGGAGCAGTCACTTAAATGACGCTCCAGGGCCCCTCCCCCGGGGCCACCTGCATCGGAGTCACTCGGGATGCCTGTTTAAATTGCTGGTTCCTGCGCCCCACCCAATCTGCGGTCACTGGGACAGGGGTCTTGCATTTTAAGGAGCACCCCACCGCACCCCCATTATTTTCCAAGTACACCAAAGTTTAGGAAGCGCAGGCCTAGGGTAGCGAACTGTCATCGTACGTGGCCTTACCCCTCCCGGAGGGACCTGGCTTCCTCCCTGGGTGTGAGTAGCGCCAGCTACTAGGTCCAACGGGAGCCTTTCTGTTGCGGGGCTTCTGCTGAGCGGGTGGGGGGGGTGTGGGCGAGTAGTGTGAGGCGCCTTGGGAGGGGAGTTTTGGGCCAAGCAGAGAAACGATGAGGGTCAGATGAGTCCACTGAGGCCCTTCGCCTGGTTGGTTGGGGCTGACCCTTAGATTCTGGGGCCACGGCGGCAGGACTGAGCTTCATCTTTTTGCCTAGGCCAGGAACGTCACTGGGGCGTATACGGAAAGCAGGTCTGGCCTTGTTTTTCGCCCTGGGAGATGGGGTGCAGGGAGCAGCAGGAGGGCCGCCTGTGGTGGGGTTGTGGGTGCACTGAGGTATACTTTGAGTGTGAGACCTTTGCATTTCCAAGAGCCATCAGTTATTCAGGGTTTGGGAAAGGGATAGGCCTTCGAGAGTTGTCTGGCCTGGGGAATGGATTTTCCTTTTTAAAATGCCATTTCTCTTCCTTTCCTGGGTGTATGCTGAGGCTCCCATCCCTGTGGCTGTCACTGTTGAGTTATAAATAGCTTCAGCACATCAGGTGAGGCCAGCCTCTCTCCTCCTGCTTTGGGACCTCATGTGCACAAACCCTTTTGTTTGTTTTTGAGACGGTGCTTTGTTCCAAATCTGGGGCTGAGACAAGCTGCAGGGACAGGTGTACACATCTGACAGTTTCTTGTTTGAAATTACCAGGTAATAACCATCCATAACAAGAATTCTACCCGATATTCGTAGAGTGCTCGCAAAGCACGCTGACATCATCTTATTTCATTAACAGTCCTAGAGGGTATTCTCCCCTCTTCCCAGATGAGGAAAATTGAGGCTCAGGGAGGTGAGGGTGCTTCCTCAAGGTCACACAGCTATAACTTTTGACCCTCAGTTTGGTGCTCTTTCTACTGTATCATGCTGGCAGCCACTGTTGCATGACCTGAGTGATGGACTAGTCCTTTATCTCTTACAATTTAAAATTCCACCTTACAAAAACACTGATTTAAAGTATCCTTTATTGCTTAGGCCAGGCAAAACCTGGAACTTATTGTTGCCTGTCTTTCACTATGGCTGCTTTTCTATCTCCTGCCTTCTCCTGCCTCCTTTGATCCCAAATGACCCCACCCGACATGGGTCACAGTCATTTCTGAACAGAGTGAGGAGTCCAGATCTCAAGGGAGGAGAGCAGGAAGGCCATCTGGCCCACCCAGCCCACCAAGGCTTGACTTTCTTACTTCTCAGTTGGTTTTAAACCAAAGCCTGGTATAGAAAGCAGTTGCAGGAATTCAGATTAATTTGTATTAGAAAGCCATGACCAAGTTGTTTGTCAAAACCTCCACCTTCTTAACTCACTGGGTGTGTTCATTTTTATTGGACCAACAAGCTGCTATTTGGTCTGGGAGTCCATGTGTGGCTGGTTTATTTCCAACTTAATCATATTTGATTTCTCCTTTTCACTTATAAATCCAGAGTTCAAAATTGTCTCCCTCAATTTTGAAAACCCATCATGAGCTTGTCATGATTTTATCTCCCACTTCCCTGATTAGCCTCCCTGTCACTTTGATTTCCTTCCAACCTTGTCACATTGCTCTCTTCTCTTTTTTTAATTGCCCTCTCTTGGATATCCACATGTGTAACTTTGTGACTGAGACAATTGGGTAGATCCAGTCCCCACTAATTGATTAGTTTTCCTTTGAATAGGAGCAGTCTTTCTTCTTCAACTCCACCCCTCTCCTTCCTCCCAGAAAACCTGCCTTCAGTCTTTTCTGCTTATTCAGGAATAAAGGTCTCTTGAAATGGTTGCTCTGAAAAGGGTCCTGAAAAGACAGCTCCAGGCCCTTTCTAATAAACCTAACCTGAATCTGTTTGCAAATCCAATATTCTACAGTTAGTATATATATTTTCCCATAGTCCACCGTCTGCCTACCCCTTGTTGGGCCCTTGAGATCTGGAAATAAATCAGTTCATACTTTCAGTGAGCCCACAGTAACAATGATGCCTACAGTGTGCCAGGAACACTGTAAAGACACTTTTTTTTTCTTTCGAGACAGACTTTCGCCCTCGTTGTCCAGGCTGGAGTGTAGTGGTACAGTCTCGTCTCATTACAAACCTCCGCCTCCAAGGTTCAAGCAATTCTCCTGCCTCAGCCTCCCAAGTAGCTGGGATTACAGGCATGCACCACTATTCCTGACTGATTTTTTGTATTTTTAGTAGAGACGGGGTTTCACCATGTTGGTCAGACTGGTCTCAAACTCCTGACCTCAGGTGATTTGCCCGCCTCGGACTCCCAAAGTGCTAGGATACAGGCGTGATCCCACTGCGCATGGCTGTAAAGACACTTTCAAATGTTATCTCTGGCCAGGCCCTGTGGCTTATGCCTGTAATCCCAGCACTTTGGGAGGCCAAGGTGGATGGATCACCTGAGGTCGGGAGTTCAAGACAAGCCTGACCAACATGGAGAAACCCTGTCTCTACTAAAACAAAATTAGCCGGGCATGGTAGCGCATGCCTGTAATCCCAGCTACTTGGGAGGCTGAGGCAGGAGAATCGCTTGAACACGGGAGGCGAAGGTTGTGGTGAGCTGAGACCGCGCCATTGCACTCCAGTCTGGGCAACAAGAGCGAAACTCCTTCTCATAAAAAAAAAAAAGTTATTTCTAATCTTCACCAAAGAAACATCTTTATCCTTATGTACAGTGGAGGATACCAAGGCTCAGAGAGGTTAAGTAACATGGCTAAGGTCACACATCAAACAGCAAGTGGCAAAAATGGGACTCCTCCCTGGGCTGGGTTGCTGTGGAGAAGCATAACTGGAGGGAACAGGACAGGGGAACACAGAAGTTCTTGGCCTGAAGATCTCAGCCCTTTCTAAGCTAAGGTATCAGGAAAGGTCAGAGACTCCATTTCCCTCCTTGTAGTCTCTCTCCTGCAGATGCTAATCCTACAGCCTATTCTGTTTTTGTTTTTGTTTTTTTGTGACGGAGTTTCACTCTTTGTGGCCCAGACTTGGGGTACAGTGGCATGATCTTGGCTCACTGCAACCTCTGCCTGTCAGGTTCAAGTGATTCTCCTGTCTCAGCCTCCTGAGTAGCTGGGATTACAGGCGCCCACCACCACACCCAACTAATTTTTGTATTTTTAGTAAAGACAGGGTTTCACCATGTTGGCCAGGCTGGTCTCAAACTCCTGACCTCAGGTGATCCACCCGCCTCAGCCTCCCAAAGTGCTGGGATTACAGGTGTGAGCCACCGCCCCCGGTACCTGGCTAATTTTTGTATTTTTAGGAGAGACAGGGTTTCATCATGTTGGCCTGGCTGGTCTCAAACTCCTGACCTCGGGATCCACTCGCCTGGGCCTCTCAAAGTACTGGGATTGCAATCCTGACCCCCCCGCACCTGGCCAGTGCTACAGGCTATTCTGAATTAACCCTGTGGCCAGGTGCAGTGGCTCACGCCTGTAATCCCATCACTTTGGGAGGCCAAGGCAGGTGGATCACCTGAGGTCAGAAGTTCGAAACCAGTCTGGCCAACATGTTGAAACCCCAGTCTCTACTAAATACAAAAAAAATTAATCAGGCGTGGTGCCGCATGCCTATAATCCCAGCTACTTGGGAGGCTGAGGCAGGAGAATCGCTTGAACCAGGGAGGCGGAGGTTGCAGTGAGCCTAGATTGTGCCATTGCACTCCAGCCTGGGCAACAGAGCGAAGCTCCATCTCAAAAAAAAAAATAAAACAGGCTGGGCGTGGTGGCTCATGCCTGTAATCCCAGTACTTTGGGAGGCTGAGGCGGGTGGATCACCTGAGGTCAGGAGTTTGAGACCAGTCTGGCCAACATGGTGAAACTCCGTCTCTACTAAAAATACAAAAAATTAGCTGGTCATGGTGGCAGGCTCCTGTAATCCCAGTTTACTGGGGAGACTGAGACAGGAGAATTGCTTGAACCCAGGAGGCAGAGGTTGCAGTGAGCCAAGATTGCGCCATTGTAAGCCAGCCGAAGCAACAAAAGTGAAACTCTGTCTCAAATAAATAAATAAAATAAAATAAAACAGGCCAGGCATAGTGGCTCATGCCTGTAATCCCAGCACTTTGGTGGGTGGATCACCTGAGCTCAGGAGTTCGAGACCAGCCTGGCCAACATAGTAAAACCCCATCTCTACTAAAAATACAAAAAATAGCTGGGCATGGTGGTGCGTACCTGTAATCCCAGCTACTCGGGAGTCTGAGGCACAAGAATCGCTTGAACCCAGGAGGTGGAGGTTGCAGCGAGCCGAAATTGGGTCACTGCACTCCAGCCTGGGCGACGAGCAAAATACTGTCTCAAAATAATAAAAACTAAAATAAAATTAAATAATGAATTAACCCTATGACCGCTTAAGGTCTCAGAGTATGTGGTAAGCCTTCTGGGAAGGCCAGGCATGGATGAGGATGGGATGCCGTGTCTAAAGGAAAACAGCCGGCCTGGTTCAAGTGCGAGATTCGAACTGGAGAATAGAGTAGGTTCTTGAAATGCATGGGTTGGAATCGGGGCTCTGAGAAAGATGGGCCAGGCCTGTGAGGCTCACTGCCCACTTCCTGGGATTGAGTTACTCTCCTGTGTGGTATTTCATCGCAGATTTTGTTTCTGCAGATAAGGAAAAGGGGAAGGAAAAGCTGGAGGAGGACGAGGCCGCAGCCGCCAGCACCATGGCTGTCTCAGCCTCCCTCATGCCACCCATCTGGGACAAGACCATCCCATATGATGGCGAATCTTTCCACCTGGAGTACATGGACCTGGATGAGTTCCTGCTGGAGAATGGCATCCCCGCCAGCCCCACCCACCTGGCCCACAACCTGCTGCTGCCTGTAGCAGAGCTAGAAGGGAAGGAGTCTGCCAGCTCTTCCACAGCATCCCCACCATCCTCCTCCACTGCCATCTTTCAGCCCTCTGAAACCGTGTCCAGCACAGGTTGGTGAAAGGCCATCGAGGAGGGCCACCTGTCCCATCCAGGGAAGTCCATTTCCCACTGAGGGCTGCTTGTGTCCATGTACCCAGTGAGTCCCTTCTCTGAGGGGAGGTCCTGGTGGGGCTGCAGTGTGGAGAAACTCTTCACTCCCCACCCTTCCACACAGTTCCCCGAGGCTGGAGATAAAAATAGTGGTCATGTCACTGGCAGTTGGAACCCTTCTGTTGGTTGCTGTGCTGCAAACAGTCAGGACAGGACCTTCCAGGCCACGGCATTACAGGATAGAAATCCCATTCTGCATTTCCTCAATGCTGCTCTTTTTTTTTTTTTTTTTTTTTTTTTTTTTTTTGAGAAGGAGTCTCGCTCTGTTGCCCAGGCTGGAGTGCAGTGGAGCAATCTCGGCTCACTGCCACCTCCACCTCCTGGGTTCAATCAATTCTCTGCCTCAGCCTCCTGAGTAGCTGGGATTACAGGCACCAGCCACCACGCCTGGCTAATTTTTTTATTTTTTAGTAGAGACAGAGTTTCATCATGTTGGCCAGGCTGGTCTCGAACTCCTAACCTCTGGTGATCTGCCCGCCTCAGCCTCCCAAAGTGCTGGGATTACAGGCGTAAGCTACCACGCACAGCCTTAATTTTTGTATTTTTAGTAGAGACGGGGTTTTGCCATATTTGTCAGGCTGGTCTTGGCTCACTGCAACCTCCATCTCCCGGATTGAAGCGATTTTTATTTTTAGTAGAGATGGGGTTTTGCCATATTTGTCAGGCTGGTCTTGAACTCCTGACCTCAGGTGATCGACCTACGTTGGCCTCCCAAAGTGGGGAATGCTTTCTTTGTGCCAGGGCATAAGCACTATTCAAGTGCTACCTCCATTACCTACTAGCCTGGGCAACAGAGTGAGACGCCATCTCAAAAAAAAAAAAAAAAGAAAGCATTCCCACCACCTGGCCAGGACAAACATCATCTTCAGAGTCTGTCCTTATTCCTCCTCCTTTTACATTTTATCTCTGGGGGTTTGTTTTCATGCTCCTTGGACACGAACCTACCAAAGGAGACATGGCTCCTGTTGCAGGGGTTCTGCAAAGCTTTCTGCAGTCTCTGAGGCATACAGGCTGATAGCTCCTGCCAGTCGGTATGTCACCCCAGGAATCCACACCCAATAAGTTCTCATACTCTATTTTTTTTTCTTTTTATTGTGGAAATTTTTTCAAACAAAATACAAAAGTAAGAGACGACTATAATGAACCTCTATGTAACCGTCACCCAGCTTCAACAATTCTCAACTCAGAAGCAGTTATTTTCAATCAAATTATAAGTATTTCAATATGTATCTAAAATATAAGGGTTCTTTTAAAAAAAACATAACGAAAATACTAGTTTTACATCTAAAGTTGACAATAAATCCATCAACATTCAGATTTCCAAAGTTGTCTCATAAATGGTATTTTACAGGCCGGGCGCAGTGGCTCACGTCTGTAATCCCAGCACTTTGGGAGGCCGAGGTGGGTGGATCACGAGGTCAGGAGATTGAGACCATCCTGGTTAACACGGTGAAACCCCATCTCTACTAAAAAGTACAAAAAATTAGCCGGGTGTGGTGGCGGGTGCCTATAGTGCCAACTACTCGGGAGGCTGAGGCAGGAGAATGGCGTGAACCCAGGAGGCAGAGCTTGCAGTGAACCGAGATTGCACCACTGCACTCCAGCCTGGGCGACAGAGCAAGACTCCATCTCAAAGAAAAAAAAAGATCGAGACCATCCTGGCCAACATGGTGAAACCTCGACTCTACTAAAAATACAAAAATTAGCTGGGCATGGTGGTGCGTGTCTGTAATCCCAGCTACTTGGAGGCTGAGGCAGGAAAATCGCTTGAACCCGGGAGGCGGAGGTTGCAGTGAGCCGAGATGGCGCCACTGCACTCCAGCCTGGTGACAGAGCAAGACTCCATCTCAAAATAAATAAATAAAAGTTTTTTTTTTTTTTCTGTAGAGTCAGGGTATCACTGTGTTGCCCTGGCTGGTTTCAAATTCATGGCCTCAAACAGTCCTCCCACCTGGGCCTCCCGAAGTGTTGGTTGAAATTACAGGCATGAGCCACTACACCCAGCCGCTTTGTTAAGTTTCATTGCTGAATAGTAGTCAATTGTACTAACGTACCACAGCTTATCCATTTAACCGTTGAAGGACATTCTGATTTTGGTTATGAATAATGCTGCCATGAACATTCATGTGCATGTCTTTTTTTTTTTTTGAGACGGAGTCTTGCTTTTGTCGCCCAGGCTGGAGTGCAGTGGCGGGGTCTCAGCTCACTGCAACCTCCGCCTCCTGGGTTTAAGCGATTCTCCTGCCTCAGCCTCCCAGGTAGCTGGTATTACAGGTGTGCGCCACCACTCCTGGCTTATTTTTGTAGAGATGGGGTTTTGCCATGTTGGCCAGGTTGGTCTCAAACTCCTGACCTCAGGTGATCCACCTGCCTCACCTTCCAAAGTTCTGGGATTACAAGTGTGAGCCACTGTGCCTGGCCCATCTACATGTTTTTTGGTAAATATATATATGCGTTTCTTTTGGGCATTTGCTTAGGAAGAGAATGGCTAGGTCATTGGACATGCATATGTTCAGTTTGTGTAGACCCTGCCAAATAGCGTACAAAGTTGTTATATCCATTTGTACTCACACCAGCAGGGCATTGGAGTTCCATTGTCAGCCTTTGATTTTGACATCTTTTGTAATGGTGGACCTATGAGAGAATTATATTTCAGGCAAGTTACCAACAGATCTATTCCCTTTCCCTCTTCTTCCAGCAAAGTCATTTTAAGGTCTCATTGTCATCTTTTTTTTTTTTTTTTTTTTTTTTTGAGATGGAGTCTCACTCTGTCACCCAGACTGGAGTGCAGTGGTGCGATCTCGGCTCCCGCAACCTCCGCCTCGCAGGTTCAAGTTCTCCTGCCTCAGCCTCCTGAGTAGCTGGGAATACAGGCGCCCACCACCACACCTGGCTAATTTTTGTATTTTCAGTAGAGACAGGGTTTCACCGTGTTGGCCAGGCTGGTCTTGAACTCCTCACCTCAGGTGATCCACCTGCCTCGGAAAGTGCTGGGATTACAGGCGTGAGCCACTGCGCTCAGCCCTCATTGTCATTTTCTAGAATTTGTTCATAGAGGTATCCATGGGGAAATGAGAATTCCTCAAAATCTTGTCCCCAGGCCTCTTTGCAAATTTTCCCCTTTTGTTTCCTGCGGCTTTCTCTTATCCTGTCCCTGAAACTTAACCACATCTTGCCACTTGGTTGTTGCTGAAGGGCACCCAGGCATGGCGTCACTTTGAACAACATTCTCATGTGGTAGGTACCTGAGCTGCTTGTCTTGCAGGTACTAGGTTTGGCATGCCCGAAACTGCCTACAGTTACCATGTGGGTCCCTGGTCATTCACTCCTCTGACACTCAGATGTCTCTGTAATTAACCCCTGTCTAATAGGATACAATGAATTTATGTGCATAATCCAATTAAAGCCTAAGTCTGATCATGCCACACCTCTGCCCAGAGCCCTCCAGGTGTTCTATCTCAGGATAAAAGTCAGAATCAGCAGCACCATTGACATTTAGACCAGATGATTTTTTGTTGGGGTTGGAGGCGTGACTGACCTATGCATTGCAGGATCTTCTTTTCTTTTTTTTTTTTTTAAGACAGTCTTATTCTGTCACCCAGGCTGGAGTGCAGTGGTGTGATCTCAGCTCGCTGCGACCTCTGCCTCCCGGGTTCAAGCGAGTCTCCTGCCTCAGCCCCCTGAGTAGCTGGGATAACAGGCACGGCCGGCTACTTTTTGTATTTTTAGTAGAGACGGGGTTTCATCGTATTGGTCAGGCTGGTCTCGAACTCCTGACCTCAGGTGATCCACCCACCTCAGCCTCTCAAAGTGCCGGGATTACAGGCATGAGCCACCACACCAGGCCGGCATCTGACTTTTTTTTTTTTTTTTGAGAGGGAGTCTCACTCTGTCGCCAGGCTGGAGTGCAGTGGCACCATCTTGGCTCACTGCAATCTCTGCCTACTGGGTTTAAGCAATTCTCCTGCCTCAGTCTCCTGAGTAGCTGGGACTACAGGCGCATGCCATCACGCCCAGCTAATTTTCGTATTTTTAGTAGAGACGGGGTTTCACCATGTTGGCCAGGATGGTCTCGATCTCTTGACCTCGTGATCCACACGCCTCGGCCTCCCAGAGTGCTGAGATTACAGGTGTGCACCACCACGCCTGGCCCATCTGACATTTTTATATATCGTTTGTATTTATCTTGTGTAATGCAGCTTTCCCCACTAGAATAACATTTCATGCAGGCAGGGATTTTTAGCTGTTTGTTAACTGTTTTGTCTTTGCCAGGACAGAACCTGGCATATAACAGGTATTCAATAAGTATCTGTTGACTGAATAATTATTTTGTATACTCCTATCAGTAGCATTGAATGAGCTGGCCAAAGGTATAGTTTTTCTTAATATAACTCTTATCTCTAATAACACACAACCTTAGAATTCTAGAGGTGGTTTTAACCCAATCGGTGTCCACTATTAAATGGCAGCCAGGTGGGGCAGGGAAGAACAAGGAATCAGCCAGCCAGACTAAGTTTCAAATTTTAGTTCAATTGCTTATCATCTGTGTGACTCTGGGAAAACCATTTTATTTCTCTGAGCGTTAGTTTCTTCATCTGTAAACTAGTTGTCATAAGACTAAATGGGGCCGGGCGCAGTGGCTCACACCTGTAATCCCAGCACTTTGGGAGGCCGAGGCAGGTGGATCACCAAGTCAGGAGATTGAGACCATCCTGGCCAACATAGTGAAACCCCGTCTCTACTAAAAATACAAAAATTAGCCGAGCATGGTAGTGGGCGCCAGTAGTCCCAGCTACTTGGGAGGCTGAGGCAGGAGAATAGCTTGAACCCAGGAGGTCAAGGTTGCAGTGAGCTGAGATCACGCCACTACACTCCACCCTGGGAAACAGAGTGAGACTCTTCAAAAAAAAAAAAAAAAAAAAAAAAGACTAAGTGACTAGATGGCACAGTAACAGACATGTCTCAGGGACTCAAAAGTGGAACCCGGGCTGGACGTGGTGGCTCACACCTGTAATCCCAGCATTTTGGGAGGCCGAGGCGGGTGGATCACTTGAGCTCAGCAGTTCAAGACCAGCCTGGCCAACATGGTGAAACCCTGTCTCTACTAAAAATACAAAAACTAGCCAGGCGTGGTGGCTTATGCCTGTTGTCTCCACTACTCGGGAGGCTGAGTCGGGAATCGGTTGAACCCGGGAAGTGGAGGCTGCAGTGAGCCAAGATTGCACCAGTGCACTCTACCCTGAGTGACAGAGCAAGACTCAGTCTCAAAAGAAAAAGAAAAGTGGAGCCTGGCCAGGTGCAGTGGCTCACACCTGTAATCCCAGCACTTTCAGAGGCTGAAGCAGGAAGATCACTTGAGCCTAGGAGTTTGAGACCAGCCCTGGCAACATAATGAAACCCTGTCTCTAAAAAATAAAAAAAAATTAGCCAGGCGTGTTGGTGTGCATCCGCGGTCCCAGCTACTCAGGAGGCTGAGGCAAGAGGATCACTCCAGCCCAGAAGGTCGAGGGTGCAGTGAGCCATGATCATACCACTATACTCCAGCCTAGGTGACAGAGCAAGACCCTGTCTCAAAAAAAAAAAAAAAAAATTGGAACCCATTTCCATTCTTCAGTCTGTGTCTGCCTGGAGAGACACAGCTGTTTCTCATTACTGGAGATCTTGAAATCACAGGAAGTTAAGGGAATATAAAAATTTAATGTTTTAGGCTGGGCGCAGTGGCTCATGCCTGTAATCCCAGCACTTTGGGAGGCCAAGGCAGGCGGATCACAAGGTCAGGAGATCAAGACCATCCTGGCTAACACAGTAAAACCTCATCTCTACTAAAAATACAAAAAAATTAGCCAGGCTTGGTGGCGGGCACCTGCGGTGGCAGGCGCCTGTAGTCCCAGCTACTCAGGAGGCTGAGGCAGGAGAGTGGCATGAACCCGGGAGGCGGAGCTTGCAATGAGCCGAGATTGCGCCACTGCACTCCAGCCTGGGCGACAGAGCAAGACTCCCATCTCAAAAAAAAAAAAAAAAAAAAATTAATGTTTTGCTTAACATTTCTGGAGGGGGTGGAAACAATTGGAAAACCCTGTCTTTTTCTAGGGCTTCTGTTTCCTTTTGAGCATTCTGTTCCTGAAGGAAAGAATTCTTTGAATGTTTGTGTTGTGGAATTGAACCGTGTGCCAGTCTGGCTTAGGGGCTGGTACTGTTGGGGTTTTCTTCTCCCCAGGCGGCAGTGGCTTATGCAGCCTTGAGGTTCAACCAGGTGTCTGGGTGTGTGGCGTGGGTCTTCTCTGTCCAGTGGGCTGCTTCGGGACCACCTGTCTCTGTGTCTTTTAGAATCTTCCCTGGAGAAGGAGAGGGAGACTCCCAGTCCCATCGACCCCAATTGTGTGGAAGTGGATGTGAACTTCAATCCGGACCCCGCCGACCTGGTGCTCTCCAGTGTGCCAGGCGGGGAGCTCTTCAACCCTCGGAAGCACAAGTTTGCTGAGGAGGACCTGAAGCCCCAGCCTATGATCAAAAAGGCCAAGAAGGTCTTTGTCCCCGACGAGCAGAAGGTAACCTGGTATTCCTTATAAATAAAGATGCAGCGTTGGTTCAAGGGCCTAGGGGATATGGCTCCTCGCATTTGATTTTATCTGGAGAGCCTTCCCTCCTTGTGACACCATTTGGAAAGACATGAGTTTAGTGCTTAAAGCCATATCCTTCAGCAGTTTGGTAGAAAGAAAGGGAGTCATGTGGCATTTGGCCCCAGTGTGACTCCCTGTAGTTTCTCTCCTTCCCCGGGCCATCGGCTGTGTTGATGTTCCTGCCTCCCTGGCTGTAGCCCAGCCACTGGGCAAGAGCTCACTAGGCCACAGGAACTGGGGTTGAAAAAGTCCTTGCTTTGAAGGACAAAGGGTTTCTTGTATGTTGCCATCCCCAGGGATGAGCAAGCAGCTTTCAAGCTGGTGGTGCTGTTAGGAACTGGTGGGAAGAGAGAATTTTGCAGTTTTCCATCCTTTCCTATGAAAAACTTACAGCAAGGATTTTTCATCCAAATCTTTGGAGTCAGGCACACCTGGGTCCAAACTCCATGTTGCCACTTGTGGCCTAGCTGTGCCTCAAGTTCCTCATCTGTAAAACGGGAGCAACTGAACCTCCCTCCCGGGGAGGTTTGTGAGACTTTAATAATGATGTGATGATCATGGTGAATATTTAGATGGTACTCACTGTAGGCCAGGCACTGATTTTTGTTTTGTTTGTTTTTGTTTTGTTTTGTTTTTGAGACAGAGTCTCACTTTGTCACCCAGGCTGGAGTGCAGTGGCGTGATCTCGGCTCACTGCAACTTCCGCCTCCCAGGTTCAACCGATTCTTGTGCCTCACCCTCCTGAGTAGCTGAGATTACAGATGTGCACCACCACGCCGGCTAATTTTTGTATTCTTAGTAGAGATGGGGTTTCATCATATTGGCCAGGCTGGTCTTAAACTCCTCACCTCAAGTGATCCACCTGCCTCAGCCTCCCAAAATGCTGGGATTACAGGTGTGAGCCACCATGCCTGGCCTGTTATTTCTCAGTGTAAAGATAAGGGACCTGTGATATTGAGGGGTTAAAGTACTTGCACAGTTTCACTGCTAGTAATCTTGGAGAGCCAAGATCTGAACTCGGGGATCTAGGCCCTTACCCACAACCAACATGCCTAAGTAAGGCAAGGGTGTGGACAGTGCAATGCTTTGTGCTGGAGCAGCAGGTACCAGGCCTCCAGGAGATGAGTCTCCTTCTCTTCACCATGTAACGTACCAAATAACTTTTGTTTCTCGTCCTGCCCCCGAGGAAAGGGCAGTGCCCTCAATGTGCCCTGGTTTGTGCTGCTCCCTCCCTGGTATCCCTGCTTTAGCTCTGGCCACACCAGATGAGTTAGGGGAATCCAGGTGGTGGGAGTGGAAAAATTGGGTTCTCTCGTGGGGAAAGACGAGAGACTCACAGAGGGCACTTCCCCACAGGATGAAAAGTACTGGACAAGACGCAAGAAGAACAACGTGGCAGCTAAACGGTCACGGGATGCCCGGCGCCTGAAAGAGAATCAGATCACCATCCGGGCAGCCTTCCTGGAGAAGGAGAACACAGCCCTGCGGACGGAGGTGGCCGAGCTACGCAAGGAGGTGGGCAAGTGCAAGACCATCGTGTCCAAGTATGAGACCAAATACGGGCCCTTGTAACCCGTGCCCCCCGCCCGGGCGGGGTACTGCCTGCACCTCAGACCTCTGCCTGGGGGCTCCCTGTAACCCCTCACACGCGTGGAGACTTATGACTCGTCGTGGGCGCATGGCGGCGCACCTGCTGCAGGAGCGGCCACGTCTCAGCTTCATTATACCATGGCCTGCGCACGTGGCGACGTCCCTGAGGGGCCAGTCTCCTCACTGGTGGGGAACGCAAGAGAATCTGCGTAGATGGGTGACTCAGCCTTAGTTTCTATTCTTGGATGTCCCAGTTGAATCAGAAGGGGACCTCTGGAGTACACACCTCTCTCCTGGGCGCTCAGGGTCCCTGGACTCTCCCTCAGTCTCCAGCCTGGGCTGCCGAGGGCTATCTCTGCAGAATGAGTTGTGATCATTGTCACCCTATGTCTTCTCAGGTAGCAGGGCGCGTTTCCACTTAAGGTGTGTCTGTCACGCACCTCATTCTCCCCAGACAGTCTTTGAGTAACATCTGTTCCCATCTTCCTTGGAAGCAGGACACACCAGCTCCTCCGTCAGTGTCTGCATGGGTAGCAGGCTGCAGGAGTGGGGTCTCTGCACAGCCTGGGATGGGGCTTGGGGCTGGGGCCTGCAGCAGAAGTGTGCCCAGCGTTTCTCGGCTCCCGCACCCCTTTTCCCTTATGGCTCTGAGGCCATCGGCTGTCTCTGCATTTCATTGGCTGTGGAGGAGAGACTCCTAGGATGGCTGCTGTCTGAGCCATGAGTGCCAGGGCTGAGAGAGGCCTCTTCATTTCCTCTCCAGGCTACTCAGAGGCCATGTGAAGCTCGTTTGTCCCACTAGACCAGGCCTCTGGGCCTGCTCTTTCTTTCCACCCAATGTCCAGTCTTGGATCATAGATTTAAAAGGAAAACCCCTCTTATCTAGGAGGCTTTAACTTCCTGGACCCCAGGATTCACCTTCCTAGTGGTGTTTAGAAAATGCCTCCACAGCCCCCTTCCACCATGGGCATGAGAGCTGGGGTGTGTTTCTTGAGAAGCTCCCTTTTTTCTTGCTCTGCTCACCGGTGTGGCCTGGGCTGGAGTGCACTCTCCCTGGGGGCAGCTGGGGCCTCGCAATTCTTGCTTCAGGATCTCTCCCATGCGAGCTGCCCGGAGGGTGTCAGCAGGGCAAGACACCTAGTCTAGAGTCACCAAGGTCACAGTGCCACTTTCACGGGATAGCAGGCTCTTGGGACTTTTACACAGGCCTAGGGTCCCCTCAGTCTTGGTCCCAGGAGATGGGGGCCACTCGTGAGGCTGGCCATGCTGTGGCTTCTCACAGCTGTGGTCTCCCCTGCCTCACAACGACTCCTTTCTCTTGTGTGGCGGGACTCGCCCTTTTGCTGTGCTCAGAAGATTCACTGAGGAAACTCATGGAAGCCTCTGCTCATTTGGGTCACTGGGACACCCCTGAGATGGGTGTGTTTATTTGCTCAGGGCGGGCAGCCTATGGTGAAGAGGAGACAGAGGCGATGGGCGTGCTTCGTCCTCCGTAACACTGGCTTTATTTACCGTGGTGGTTCAGAGTCCCAGGCCCTGACCTCTAAAGACTTTTCATAACAGACGTTAAGACCAAGCCGTGGACCTCACCCCAGGGGAATGCCACGGCCCTTTGGGGACCTGCACACCCACCTCTCCGGGGGACTTGACAAGGGGCCCTGAGGCCAAGGGAGGTCACTCCTCCCTCCAGGCCCCTGACTTTTACTTTGTGGTTCTCTAAAAACCATGTACACACTTTCACTCTATTGTAACCACACAGGGCAGGCGCATCCAGCATGTCAGTGTCCTGCCCCGGGCAGCTCTCCCTCCCGGGCACGCTCCCTCTGGCCTGGTGGATCACCAAGAGGGCGGTTCTCATTTTGTTATTAGTGGAAGAGCCTTGAGCTTAAAAGCTCTTCATTTTCTTTGCCGGAAAGTATATGGTTTGTGTTTTTGCAGTTTTATTTTTTTAAGGATGGACACTAAATCTCTGGTGTCCATGTTCCGAGCCCGGTGGCTGGGATGGTGGCTCGATGTGTCTCCTCTTTATCCCGCCCTCTGCCTGTTTGGTGCCCTCCCTTCTTTCCCCCAGGCAGTGGGTATCGGGTTCTTTCCCAAAGTGCTTACTTGGAAAGAGTGTGGCTGCTGGACTCTTTTCGAAATGCCCCTCTGAGTCAGGAGCCTGGTGGGGACAAGATGGAGGATGTCCACAGAGGCTGACCTGTGGGGGAAAAGAAGTGCTCAGGTAAGGTTGTCTCCTCTCCTGTCCTAAAAAAATCCATGCTTGCAGGAGAGGGTTGGTGCCTGCTCAGTTTCTGTCGAGGGAATGGGAGTCTCCTCGGCTCCCTCCTGGGCCCTCTGCTTCTTGGAGGCCGACCGCTGGAGACTGCGGCTCCTGTGCTTGGATCTTTGACATCTGTCAGTCACTGGAGGCTAGAGAAGTTGACTTTACCTTGGCTTTCTGTGGGTTCCCGATGGGCTTGGAAGTGCCGTCTACTTCCTAAGCATCCTGTCTAAAGCTTTGTGGCACCCTCAGTGCAACCTCAGAACAGACAAATCATGAATGAGCTGGAACTTTGCAAGAATATTCATATTATAAATGTCTCATCTGATGGAGGAACGTGTGCATTTAGAGAGAGGGAGAGTTTTCAAGGTTTATGGCAACTTTGTGGAGGACCTGGGTAACTCTTACCCTTGGCCAAAGGAAGAGGTTTTCCTGTCTGGCTTCTGAGGTTGGAGGGGGCACTTAGCAGTGAACCTTAAGTCTGGGTACATGTAACCCTGCTGAGGGGCTGTGCAGGCCGCTCCTACGGTCCTTTGGCCTGAGGCAGGGCGGGAGGCATGCAAGCCAGTGGGGGAAAACCCCTCTGAAGCTGGGCAGCCCTCTACCTGGGCCCCGGGAGCCGTGCTCCTTGGAACGCAAAGGGCCGAGGAGCATCTGGTTTTCATGGCAAAGCTCTACTCCAGAGCTCCTTTAACATCTGCTAATTAAGTGCAATAAATTTTTCTAGAAAATGGCAAAGATGACTTCCAGGTGGATATTGCTCTCTTACGGTGTTGGGGATGCCAGAACACCACTTGGTTTTATTTTTCTAAGTGCATGTGATGTGATAGAGTGTGTGGGGCTCTGTGTCCTTCCCTGGGAGCTGGCATTCCAGCGGGCCCCTCTCTTTACCTTTGTTGGGGGAAGGAGGCAAGAGAGAAATTCCTTCTTCCCAGCCAGAGAGGGCAGAAGCAGACCGTAGCCCATTGGCCTTATGTGCGTGTGTGCGTGCGAGTGTGTCACTGCTGGTGGGCCGGAGTGATGTGGTGGGAGGGAAGCCGGGAATGTATCCTTTTCAGACAAAATTAAATATTTTGAAATGAGAATGTTGGGATTGTCTTTTCTGTCCTTCTCCCCACCCCCAACCCTGAGTTTCCTCTCTTGAGTGTTGGCCTAGGAGCTGGAGAGTCAAGCTGGAAAACTTTTATCTCATTAGAATCCACCCCAGACACCCCCTTCATCACAGTCCAGACACTCTTAGCATCTGACCCCAACCACTCTGCCTCAGTTTCCTCATCTATCAGATGGAAGTGATTCTCGCCTTGCTTATATTGAGGAGGGACAAATATTAGACCAAAAGCAGTTTGAACAGGTAAAGGTGCTACACAACTAGAAGACAGGGAACTGCTTATGACAAGTGTTCTCGAATAGAGAATGCGTGATGGCAGCTCTGTAAAGAAAAGAAAGGGCTGGGCGCGGTGGCTCACGCCTGTAATCCCAGCACTTTGGGAGGCCAAGGCAGGCAAATCACAAAGTCAGGAGTTCGAGACCAGCCTGACCAATATGGTGAAACCCCATCTCTACTAAAAATACAAAAAATTAGCCGAGCGTGGTGGCGGACACCTGTAATCCCAGCTACTCAGGAGGCTGAGGCATGAGAATCGCTTGAACCTGGGATGCAGAGGTTGCAGTGAGCTGAGACCATGCCACTGCACTCCAGCTTGGGCAGCAGAGCGAGACTCCATCTAAAAAAAAAAAAAAAAAAAGGAAAGGACAGGCACGGTGGCTCACGCCTGTAATCCAAGTGCTTTGGGAGGCCGAGGCAGGCAGATCACTTGAGGTCAGGAGTTTGAGTCCGTTTGAGTCCAGCCTGGCCAACATGGTGAAACCCTGTCTCTACTAAAAATACAAAAATTAGCTGGGCATGGTGGTGCAGGCCTGTAATCCCAGCCACTTGGGAGGCAGAGGCTGGAGAGCTGCTTGAACCTGGGAGGTGGAGGTTGCAATGAGCCAAGGTTGCGCCACTGCACTCCAGCCTGGGCGATAGAGCGACACTTGTCTCAAAAACAAAACAAAACAAAACAAAACAAAAAAAACCGAGAGGACTAAAGAGTTGGATCCTCTTGGTGGGACTCTTGAGGGTTTTCCTTTTCTCCTGTTCTTTGGCTATAAAACATTTATAATTTTTTTTGGGGGGGGGGACAGAGTCTTGCTCTGTCACCAGGCTTGAGTGCAGTGGTGGGATCTCGGCTTACTGCACCTCCGCCTCCCGGGTTCAAGCGATTCTCCACCTCAGCCTCCCAAGTAGCTGGGACTAGAGGCGCATGCTGCTACACCCGGCCAATTTTTTGTATTTTTAGTAGAGACAGGGTTTCACCATGTTGGCCAGGCTGGTCTCGAACTCCTGAGCTCAGGCAATCTGCCCGCCTCGGCCTCCCGAACTCAGGCAATCCGCCTACCTCCGGCCTCCCAAAGTGTTGGGATTACTGGCATGAGCTACCACGCCCAGCCTGCAAATATTTCTTTTATATATATATTTTTATTTTTATTTATTTATTTTTGAGACTATCGCTCAGTCACCCAGGCTGGAGTGCAGTGGTGTGATCTCGGCTCACTGCAAGCTCCACCTCCCGGGTTCACGCCATTCTCCTGCCTCAGCCTCCCCCAAGTAGCTGGGACTACAGGTGCCTGCCACCAAGCCCAGTTAACTTTTTTTTTTTTTGATTTTTTAGTAGAGACGGGGTTTCACCGTATCATCCAGGATGATCTCAATCTCCTGACCTTGTGATCGTCCCACCTCGGCCTCCCAAAGTGCTGGGATTACAGGCGTGAGCCAGCGTGCCCAGCCTGGCCAGGCTGGTCTTGAACTCCTGACCTCAAGTGATCCACCCACCTTGGCCTCCCAAAGTGCTGGGATTACAGGTGTGAGCCACCGCGCCTGGCCCCCTCTGTATTTTCTACTCTGCATGCAAATGCGCTCTCTCAAAGCGGAGATCTGTGCAGCCACGGCAAGCACAGGGGCATGGGCTTGAAACATGTCAAAGCTGTGAAATCTCTGTATGTATGGCAGAGCACTGGCTTTGGACTCCGACGGTCCTAGGATCAAACCCTGCCTCCATCACCAATTTGGGGTATGATCGTGGGCAAGTCACTTCCCTTCTCTGGGCTTCCAGTTTCTCACCTGTAGAATGGAACACCAGCGGCCGGGCGGTGGCTTACGCCTGTAATCCCAGCACTTTGGGAGGCCGAGGCAGGTGGATCATGAAGTCAGGAGTTCGAGACCAGCCTGACCAACATGGAGAAACCCTGTCTACTAAAAATACAAAATTAGCCAGGCATGGTGGCACATGCCTGTAATCCCAGCTACTCAGGAGGCTGAGGCAGGAGAATCACTTGAACCCAGGAGGCAGAGGTTGCGGTGAGCCGAGATAGTGCCATTGCACTCCAGCTTGGGCAACAAGGCGAAACTCCATCTCAAAAAAAAAAAAACAAAAGCAAAAACGAACACCAGCTTCATAAGACAGTTGTCCCACGAAGACACCTGGAGCAGGGCAAACACCACTCAGCAGCTGCCATTATGGTGACAGAGAGGAAGGTACGGACCTACATGGAGACCATCACCTCCAGTCCCAGCAGCTGCTGCCCATCGCGGGTTGTCTACCAGCTGGTGTGGGATGCAGCCAGGGTCAGACCAGCTGTGTGGTCTTGGACAACTTATCCATTTCCCTGAGCTGTTTCTCTCTCTGTCCAACAAGGATGCGCTACACAGGTCACATGTGCGTGCCTGACAGCACATCTCGACCCTTCTCCTTCCCCTCCACCCCAGCTCCTTCAAGGACAAATTCCGAAGCTGGACACATGCCCCCTTCCTTTACTGCACCCTATTACCAGACAGCCCTTCACACACTGCCCCGTGGCTGTGCCAGGCTGGCCCAGCTGGCAGCTCCTGACGTCAGCAGCTAATCCGGGAAAGCTGCCAGCCAGAGATAGGGGTGAGCAGCAAAGGAAATCAGAAACAGGTTTTAAGATGGGTGCCCCAACCCCCCAGCCAGCCCTCAGGGAGCTTTCATCAGCCTCTCACTTAAGCAAATCCTCGCAACCATGCGTCCTGATGCCCGGTCCCCTCAGGATTAAGTAAGTGCTGAGCAGGAGGCTTTTATTTTAAGCTGCAGCTCTGTCATCAGGAGCTAGGCACACAGCAAGCCACTGCCTAGCTGTCCCATAGGTTTCTCCAAACAGAGTAGTGGGCGTCCACTCAGGTCTGGATTTCAGGCTGACTCCAGGAAGTCCAGACTACAGGGAGGTAGAGGGGACGGGGCAAAGGTCAAGGATCAGAGGTAGAGGGGACAGGACAAGGGCCTCAGTGTGTTGCCTCCAGCTGGCCCTCCCTCTTAAGGCACAAGGCCCGGTGCACCATTCCTCACTGTTCTTATGTCTTCCCAGCGTACAGCACGCAGGACGGTGCTATGGTTTGAATGTCTCCCCAGAATATATGGGTTGGAAACTTAATCCCTAATGCAATAGTGTTGGGAGGTGGGTCTTAATGGAAGGTGTTTACATCGTAAGGCCTCCACCCTCACGAATGGATATAAAAGAGCTTGAGGTGGCTGGGTGCGGTGGCTCATGCCTGTCATCCCAGCACTTTGGGAGGCTAAGGCGGGCAGATCACCTGAGGTTGGGAGTTCAAGACCAGCCTGACCAACATGGAGAAAGCCCGTCTCTACTAAAAAGACAAAAATTAGCTGAGCGTGGTGGCGCACGCCTGTAATCCCAGCTGCTTGGGAGGCTGAGGCAGGAGAATTGCTTAAACCCGAGAGGCAGAGGTTGTGGTGAGCCGAGATCGGGCCATTGCACTTCAGCCTGGCCAAGAAGAGCGAAACTCCATCTTAAAAACAAAGAGCTTGAAGCTGCACGTTGGAGCTCTTGCTCCCTCTCACCATGGGATGCCTTCTGCCACGTTATGACACAGCAAGAGGGCCCTCACCAGATGCAGCCCTCGATCTTGGGCTTCCCGGCTTCCCGAGCTGTCAGAAATAAATCTCTATTCATACCAGCACAAAATGGGGCTGGATGCAGTGGCTCATGCCTGTAATCCCAGCACTTTGGGAGGCCAAGGCAGGCAGATCATCTGAGTTAAGGAGTTCGAGACCAGCCTTGCCAACATGGTGAAACCCTGTCTCTACAAAAATACAAAAATTAGCTGGGCATGGTGGCGGGCACCTGTAATCCCAGCTACACAGGAGGCTGAGGCTGAAGAATTGCTTGATCCCAGGAGGCGGAAGTTGCAGTGAGCCAAGATCATGCCATTGCACTCCAGCCTGGGTGACGAGCGAAACTCTGTCTCAAAAAAAAAAAAAATTTCCTGTAGAGACAGGGTCTTAACTGTATTGCCCAGGCTGGCCTCAAACTCTTGGCCTCAAGTGATCCTTTCACCTTGGCCTCCCAAAGTGCTGAGATTACAGATGTGAACCACCGAGCCTTGCCTTTCTTCCTCTCCATCCTTGGCACCCAAGTCTAGTTCTTTAACCCATTTGCTCCTCCTGGGTCTTCCCAACTCCTTCCTGTTTCAGAGCCATTGCACTTGCTGTTCCTTCTGCCTGGAGTGCGTGCCCCCACATCTCCTCAGCCTCGCTCTGTTCTCAGTGCCTGGCCTGCCCATGCGCAGCAGCAGTAGCTGCTCCCCAAATATCTGCTGACCTGGCTGTGGGGAGGATAACACCAGAGCTGGGTGTGACAGCGGTGTTGTATCACCACCAGGTGGAGCTGTAGACACGTCCTGGGCGGTGACCTCGGGTCCAGCCTCCAGATCTGTCCTCTCAGCAAAGCCTCCAGGGCCCTCCGTGCCAGGCAGTGCTGTGGGCACCAGCTGACTCAGCCGCCGCCCCTCCTGCCCTCCAATGGCTACTGGCATACGTGGTCCAAGGGCTTGCACAGAAGCCTGGGAGGAAGGGAGGGCTGGCTGCCGCCCAAGGCCTGTGCTTCTAGGCTCTTTCTGGGGAGGGAGGGGACGTGGAGGGAGTTGGGTGGGGATGGTAGCTCAGCCAGGCATCTGGGATGAGGGGTTCTGCAGAGGCGTCGGACTTGGAGTCTATCTGCTGCCTGAATTTGTATCCCACCACCCCCAGTCCTCCATATGCCTTTGACAAGCCTGGCTCTGAGCCTCAGTTTCCCCATCTGTCAAAAAGAGAGAATAGACTGGGCACAGTGGCACTTTCAGAGGCCAAGATGAGCGGATCACTTGAGCTCAGGAATTCAAGACCATCCTGGCCAATATGGTGAAACCCCATCTCTACTAAAAATACAAAAAAATTGGGGCCAGGCCTGGTGGCTCATGCCTGTAATCCCAGCACTTTGGGAGGCTGAGGCAGGTGGATCACGAGGTTAGGAGTTCAAGACCAGCCTGGCCAAGATGGTGAAACCCCATCTCTACTAAAAATGCAAAAATTAGCCGGGCGTGGTGGTGCGCACCTGTAATTCCATCTACTCGGGAAGCAGAGAATTGCTTAAACCTGTGAGGCAGAGGTTTCAGTGAGCCAAGATCGCACCACTGCACTCCAGCCTGGGCGACAAAGAGTGAGACTCCATCTCAAAAACAAAAACAATAACAAAAAAATTAGCCAGGTGTGGTGGCAGGCACCTGTAGTCCCAGCTACTCGGGAGGCTGAGGCAGCAGAATCACCTGAACCTGGGAGTCAGAGGCTGCAGTGAGCTGAGATTGCACCACTGCACTCCAGCCTGGGCAACAGAGAGAGACTCTGGCTCAAAAATAAAAAAAAGTGGGCCGGGCACGGTGGCTCGTGCCTGTAATCCCAGCACTTTGGGAGGCTGAGGCGGGCAGATCACAAGGTCAGGAGATCGAGACCATCCTGGCTAACACGGTGAAACCCCGTTTCTACTAAAAATACAAAACAAAAAATTAGCACTTGTAGTCCCAACTACTCGGGATGCTGAGGCAGGAGAATGGTGTGAACCCAGGAGGCAGAGCTTGCAGTGATCCGAGATTGTGCCACTGCACTCCAGCCTGGGCGAGAGCGAGACTGTCTAAATAAATAAATAAATGTTAAATTTTTTTTTAAAATAAATAAAGAATAAATGGGCCGGGTGCAGTGGCTCATACCTGTAATCCCAGCACTTTGGGAGGCTGAGGCGGGCGGATCATGAGGTCAGGAGATCGAGACCATCCTGGCTAACACGGTGAAACCCCATCTCTACTAAAAAATACAAAAAATTAGCTGGGCGTGGTGGCGGGCACCTGTAGTCCCAGCTACTCGGGAGGCTGAGGCAGGAGAATGGCGTGAACCTGGGAGGCAGAGCTTGCAGTGAGCCGAGATTGCACCACTACACTCCAGACTGGGCGACAGAGCGAGACGCCGTCTCAAAAAAAAAAAAAAAAGAATAAATGTGGGCAAGAACTGGAACCCCATGGGGTGCACGGAGCAGGCCTGCCATATCAGGATGAGGCCAAGGAGGGAGCTTTTTCAGGGGCCTCCTCGAGTGGGGGTGGTGTGTGCAGGTACCGTGTGTGTGGGTTGGGGAAAAGGTGGGTGGACAGGAAACCAGGGGCCCCTGGGGCCTCAGCACTGCCTTTTCAAGTGGGGCAAGATCTCTGGGGCCTCCCCTGCCCTGAGGCCCAGAGCCTGAGTTGCCCGAGTGCCTGTGTCTCAGTGTGTGTACAATTGTGTCTATGTGTGTCTGTGACTGTTCCTGGGTATATGTGTGTGCGTCCAACTGCGTCTGGCAGGGTTAGCATATGTGTACACAAATGGGTCTGTGTGTGTCCTCACCAGGGACTCTCTCACCTTGACCGAGGAGTCCGCGGATCCCAGGGCACCAGGAGGTTTCTTTCTTTCTTTTTTTTTTTTGAGATGGAGTCTTGCTCTGTCGCCCAGGCTGGAGTGCAGTGGTGCTATCTCGGCTCACTGCAAGCTCTGCCTTCCGGGTTCATGCCATTCTCCTGCCTCAGCCTCCCGAGTAGCTGGGACTACAGGCACCCACCACCACACCTGGCTAATTTTTTTTTTTTTTTTTTTGTATTTTTGGTAGAGACGGGATTTCACCATGTTAGCCAGGATGGTGTCGATCTCCTGACCTCGTGATCCGCCCGCCTCGGCCTCACAAAGTGCTGGGAGTACAGGCGTGAGCCATTGCACCCGGCCCAGGAGGTTTCATATCCATGCCAGGAGGGGCCCACAGGGCCTGGGGCAGCTGCTCAATTGGCAGCTGGGGCAGTGCCCTGTGAAGGCTCTGGGGTACCCTGCTTCTGTTCCAGCCCCCTACCCCCATCCCCAGTCCCTAGTAACTGGATCTTCTCTCTCCATCTCTCCCCTGGAAGGACCCAGTGCTTCCTGATTTGCATGATATTTACATACATTTGAATTTAGATCCCTGCTTCCCTGAGGCATACAGCATTATTCTCACTCCTGCCAGAGTAGTCAAGGAGGCTGTGGACTTCCTTAGCATAAGGGAGTCCAGGGATTAAGCTGGAGGGGCCCAACACCTCCCCTCTTCCCCATACAGAGTCAGCCTGGCTCTTTTCCTGCTCAAGATATGTGATTATTTAATTAATTAATTTATTTTTTGAGACTGTTTCACTCTGTCACCCAGGCTGGAGTGCAGTGGTGTGATCTTGGCTCACTGCAACCTCTGCCTCCTGGGTTCAAGTGATTCTCCTGCCTTAGCCTCTCAAGTACCTGGGATTACAGGCGCATGCCACCACACACAGCTACTTTTTGTATTTTTAGTGGAGATGGGGTTTCACCATGTCGGCCAGGCTGGTCTCGAACTCCTGACCTCAAGTGATCTGCCCGCCTCAGCCTCCCAAAGTGCTGGGATAACAGGTGTGAGCCACCGTGCCTGGTCATGTAATTATTGAGCACTTACTGTGTCAGTTTTTGTTTTTTTGAGACAGAGTCTTGCTCTGTTGTCCAGGCTGGAGTGCAGTGGCACAATCTCAGCTCTCAGCTCACTGCAATCTCCGCCTCCCGAGTTCAAGTGATTCTCCTCCCTCAGCCTCCTGGATAGCTGGGATTACAGGTGCCCGACATCACCCCTGACCAAGTTTTGTATTTTTAATAGAGACGGGGTTTCATCATGTTGGTCGGGCTGGTCTTGAACTCCTGATCTAAAGCTATCCACCTTCCTCCGCCTCCCAAAGTGCTGGGATTATAGGCGTGAGCCACCACACCCGGCCAGATTTTTTTTTTTAATTGAGATGAGGGTCTCCCTGTGTTGCCCAGGCTGGTCTCAAACTCCTGGGCTCAAGTGATCCTCCCACCTCAGCCTCCCAAAGTGCTGGAATTACAGGCATGAACTATACCGTGCCAGGACAGCAGATGCTTTCTATGCCCATTCATTTCAACCTCACAACAGCCCTTTACGGTATCTTTACATCCATTTTATAGATAGGAAAACAGGTTCAGAACAATTAAGTGACTTGGTTGAGACCACCCAGTAAGTAGGATTTGAACCCAGCTCTGGTGAACTTTCTGTTGACACGGCTGGAGTGTGGGCTTAGTAAGGGGGCCTAGGCACTTTCTTTCTTGGCTCCTGCCCTTGAGTAACAAACCTGGCTCTTGCTCTTTTGACTCAAGGGTCACTATGTCCCCTGGGGAGATAAGAGGAGCGGTAGTGGTGGTGGTGGTAGCAGACTATTTTTGTATTTTTAGTAGAGGTGGGGTTTCACCACGTTCGCCAGGCTGGTCTCGAACTCCTGACCTTGTGATCCACCTGCCTCAGCCTCCCAAAGCGCTGGGATTACAGGCGTGAGCCACCACGCCCAGTCTGCTAAGTGCTTTTCAAGCATTTTCTCAAACTGTCTTTCCCACAACCCTTTGTGAGTTACATCTTATTATAAATCGCATTTCACAGGTGAGAAAACTAGGGCACAGCGGCCAGGTGCGGTGGCTCACACCTGTAATCCCAGCACTTTGGGAGGCCGAGGCGCGTTGATCACGAGGTCAGGAGATCGAGACCATCCTGTCTAACACAGTAAAACCCCATGTCTACTAAAAATACAAAAAAATTAGCCGGGCGTGGTGGCAGGTGTCTGTAGTCCCAGCTACTCGGGAGGCTGAGGCAGGAGAATGGCGTGAACCCAGGAGGCGGAGCTTGCAGTGACGAGATGGTGCCACTGCACTCCAGCCTGGGCGACAGAGCGAGACCCTGTCTCAAAAAAAAAAAAAAAAAAAAAAGAAAAGAAAACTAGGGCACAGAGAGGTGAAGTGAGTAGCCCAAGATCACATAGCTAAGAAATGTTACAGGCAGACTCAAACTGAGATCTATCTGGGTCCAGAGTCTGTGCTTTTATTCTCTGTGTTGCACTGAACTGAACTATCAAGAAATGGAAATTCTAGCCGGGCACAGTGGCTCACGCTTATAATCCTAGCACTTTGGGAGGCTGAGGCATGTGAATTGCCTGAGCTCAGGAGTTCAAGATCATGCTGGACAACATAGTGAAATCTCTTCTCTGCTAAAACACAAAAACTTAGCCAGGTGTGGTGGTGGGTACCTGTAGTCCCAGCTACTCAGGATGCTGCGGCACGAGAATTGCTTGGGCCTGAGAGGTGGATGTTGCAGTGAGCTCAGCTGAGATCGTGTCACTGCACTCCAACCTGGGCAGCCTGGGCAGCAGAGCGAGACTCCGTCTCAAAAAAGAAAAAAGAAAAAGGACTGCCAACTCTGGCTGGCTGGGCTGGGCTGGGCTGGGCTGGGCAAGGTAAGTCAATCTCACCTCTCGTGGGGCTGGAGGATAGACACACCCCGCATTCTAGCCACGGCCACTCTCTGGGTCACTCCTCCCCTTTGAGCCTTAGTTTCCCATTTTTTGTTTTGTTTTGTTTTTGAGATGGAGTCTCACTCTGTCGCTCAGGCTGGAGTGCAGTGCAGGGCCAGGCACGGTGGCTCACGCCTGTAACCCCAGCACTTTGGGAGGCCGAGGTGGGCGGATCATGAGGTCAGGAGATCGAGACCATCCTGGCTAACACGGTGAAACCCCATCTCTACGAAAAATACAAAAAATAAGCCGGGCGTGGTGTCAGGAGCCTGTAGTCCCAGCTACTTGGGAGGCTGAGGCAGGAGAATGGTGTGAACTCGGGAAGTGGAGCTTGCAGTGAGCCAAGATTGCACCACTGCACTCCAGCTTGGGCGACAGAGCAAGACTCCATCTGAAAAAAAAAAAAAAAAAAAAAAAAAAAAGGATTCAGGGCTGGAAGTGGTGGCTCATGCCTGTAATCCCAGCACTGTTGGAGGCCGAGTTGGGCGGATCACCTGAGGTCAGGAGTTCGAGACCAGCCTGGCCAACATGGTGAAACCCCATCTCTATTAAAAATACAAAAATTAGCTGGGCATAGTGGCTAATCCCAGCTATTTGGGAGGCTGAGGCAGGAGAATCACTTGAACCGGGAGGTGGAGGTTGCAGTGAGCTGAGATCGTGCCATTGCACTCCAGCCTGGGCAACAAGAGCAAAAAAAAAAAAAGAAAAAAAAAAAGAAAAGAGGATTCTGGTCCTCTCGTCCTTGCCCAGCTTTCCAGGGCAGCTATGAGGATAGAAGAGCCAAGGTTGCCATTTTCAAATGGTTTTTTGAAGTAGAACATCATTTTCACCCATAATCTTATCCAGAAGGCCAACATATGAAACACATAAAATGGGTGTTTCATCAGCATAAATTTCTAAGCTGAAGATGGGGACAGATCATTAGTCTAAAGTCACTCCAGAGGGTAAGTGTGTAACATCTGTGATGGACACACACCCTGCCCAGGGTGTGGGTGAAGGCCAGGATGCTGAGCTACCCCAGCACCCAGTCTATCTCTGAAGTTGTCTGTGTTGCATTGATATGAAGAAAGACTTGAAGCTTCCAGACAAAAAGCTGCTTTTAAAAAATGAATTCAAAGCAAGCTTTCGTGACAACTCTAAGGCCCAGACAGGGGCTCCAAGTGTTCACACAGCCCATCTGATGATCCTTGCCCTCCTGCCATCTGGGCTTCAGACTCCCACTTGGGGGCACAGGGAAGCTGGGGTCCACCTCCAGGGGCCCATCTGTTTACTTCTGCAGGTCCAAATCCAATGGCCAAGATCACTTGGCCAGTGACCTGGCTCCCCACAACCTCTCAGAAGCCTGAGTGCTGCAGGTTGGGCAACAGAGTGTGTGTGGAGAGGCTTTGAAGGACCGGCCTGGGGCTCAGCCGGGATGTGGGAAGCAGGGCAGGTAGGGTGAGATGGGGTAGGATGCGTGAGGGGTAGGGAGCTGGCCAAGGCCTGGGAGTATAAAAATAAATCCTGTTGGCCTGGTGACATCATTGGAGCACAGGATGTCCCTGGCAGGGGCTGGGAGTGGCAGAGGGGACATGGCAGGGGGTAGGGCAGAGAGGGTCCTGATCTGCCTGTTCTGTCTCTGGGAGCTGTGTGTGTGTGTGTGTGTGTGTGTGTGCGCGCGTGTCTGTGTTTGAGACAGAGCCTTGCCCTGTTGTCCAGGCTGGAGTGCGGTGACACAAACTTGGCTCACTGCAACCTCTGCCTCCTGGATTCAAGCCATTCTCATGCCTCAGCCTTCGAGTAGCTGGGATTACAGGTGCGTGCCACCACGCCCGGCTAAATTTTTGTATTTTTAGTAGAAATGGGGTTTCACTGTGTTGGCCAGGCTGATCTCGAACTCCTGGCCTCAACTGATCTGCAAGCCTTGGCCTCCGAAAGGGCTGGGATTACAGGTGTGAGCCACCACGCCTGGCCTCCTTTGTGTTTAGAGGGACCAGGCCTGGGTTGTCCTGGGGCAGAGAGGCTGCCAGGGCCTCCTCCCCACTAGACACTTGGGATCATTTATATTGCATCTGTGAAAACTGAGGCCCAGAGAGGGACTTGCCTGAGGCTCCGCTTTGAGAGAAATGGCAGCTTCAGGACTCCAGCCAGAAGTGCCAGCCTCTCCTAAAGTCTGGTGGGCATGGTCGGGAGGATCACTGGGGAGAAGGCTTGACCGGATGGGGGTTGGGGGATGCACCAATTGAGCCAATGCCTAGCAAGGTGCTGACAGGGGCTGTGCAGCAGACAAGCCCCTCCCACCTGGCCATCACCTCTGCGCCTCACTCACCCCGCAGAGGGACTGGGCAGGGATTAGTGCTGCTCCCATTTTACAGAAGAGAAAACCAAGACCCAAGGGGACAAAGTGGCCTGCTGCAGGCCACACAGCAAGCACATCATGCCCAGCTAGAATGGGGTCTGGTCTCTCCTGACAGTCCCCAGTTTAGCTGCTGATAGAGAGCCAGGTCCACAGCTAAGGTAGAGTCAGGGTGGGGGAAAGAGGGGTTGCCATGGAGATACAGGGAAGGGGCAGGAGGGAGCCCTGTGCCTCTGCTCTTCTCCTTCAGGTCCCTCCTACTGCTCACCCCTCCTCCACAGGGCTCACACTCTTACTGCACTGTGGACAAAATCCAGCCTCCTTGCCTGGCCAACGCTCTCTGGGCACATCAAGCCTCATCTCCCACCAAACCAACACACTCTAAGCTCAGTCTCACCAAAGAGCTCACAGATCCCTACAAGCGATTGCTATTTCAGGCCTCTGAGCAGCGGAACAAGCTGTTCCCTCTGCCGGGGATGCCCCTCCCGAATCTTCCGGGGTAACTCCTCTTCATCCTTCAAAATTCAGCTCTGAGCCCTCACTGCTCCATCAGACCTCCATGAGGATTGTGATTGCGATTGTGATATGTTTGCTGCCTGCCCCTCTTCCTGTACCAACAACTCTTTTAGGGCAGGAAGTGTACTTTATTCATCTTTCCATGCCTAGTGTCTAGCTAGGGCCTGGATGGAGGAATTAAACTGAGTCCTGATTCTTCTGTACCCTCCTCACCAGGGACTTTGTCCAAGTCACATCCCCTCTCTGAGCCTTGATTTTTATTTATTTATTATTATTATTTTGAGGCAGGGTCTCACTCTGGTTGTCCAGGCTGGAGTGCAGTGGTGCAATCTCGGCTTACTGCAGCCTCCACCTCCTGGGTTCAGGTGATTCTCCTGCCTCAGCCTCCCGAGTAGCTGGGACTACAGGCACGTGCCACCATGCCCGGCTAATTTTTTGTATTTTTAGTAGAGGCGGGGTTTTGTTATGTTGGCCAGGCTGGTCTTGAGCTCCTGGACTCAAAACAATCTGCCTGCCTCGGCCTCCAGAGTGCTGGGATTACAGGTGTGAGCCACTGCGCCCGGCCTCACTCTCTGAGCCTTTAAAATAGGGACAATAAGGCCCATTTTGCAGGGTTGCTGGAGGACAGGGTCCAATGTATCCCTTAGCAGGCAGTAAGGGATACCTGTACGGGTGGGCATGGTGCTCCAAGGTCATGATCCGGCCATTCTCTGACCAAGGCTCCCAGTCCATCCTCGTCTGCCCTGTCTTTCCAGCCTGCCCCATCAAATCCAGTCTGCCGCAGTCCCCACCTGCACCTGCCATCGCCTGCTGTCAGCTAGCTCTCTTCCCTAAAACCCTCCCTGTTCTCAAATCATCTCAAAGCCTTGAAGGTAGAGCACATTTCAAATGCAGAGGCCCAGGCCCCACTCTCAAGAGGCCTGGTGTGGAACTCCGGAATTAGCTTTGCTCAGCAGCCTCCCCGTGGCCATGCCCTTGCTTTAGGGGAGCCTCCCGGGGCGACATGGAAGCGCCCGATGATGTCCTAACCTGGGGAAACAGGGAGAGCAAACGCGGTGTGGTGGGATGTGGGTGGCCATGACCTTAGGTGGCAGCTGCCTCCTGTCCTCTGTTGCTTTCCCAAGGGTGAGGTGAGCCAGCCTCGACCAGGGGCCTCCTCGGTCCTGGGAAGCAGGCGGCTGGGCCGGCGGCTTCCTGCCTTGGCCTCGCACTTGCGCGCCGGCTGTGTGCCGCTGGGCCGCGGCCTCCTCTAGGCCGAGCTCTGTCTGCGGAGACACAGACGGGGACATAAATAACACCCAGCCTCGGCCAGGCACGGTGGCTCACGCCTGTAATCCCAGCACTTTGGGAGGCCGAGGTGGGCAGATCACCTGAGGTGAGGAGTTCGAGACCAGCCTGACCAATATGGAGAAACCCCGTTTCTACTAAAAATACAAAATTAGCCGGGCGTGGTGGCGCATGCCTGTAATTCCCAGCTACTCGGCAGGCTGAGGCAAGAGAATCGCTTGAACTCGGGAGGGAGAGGTTGCAGTGAGCCGAGATCGCGCCACTTCCCTCCAGCCTGGGCAACAAAAGCGAAACTCCATCGCAAAAATAAAAACAATAAAAATAACACTCAGCCTCGCCGCGTGAGGTCGGCGCGAGAATCGGCGGGGGCAGCCGCGGGGCCTCGGGGGCGGAAGACGCACTCAGTGGGGAAGAGCGCGCGGCCGGGCCCCAGGGCGGAAGTCCCTGGTGGAGGTGAAGTCCGAGGAGGAGGAAGAGGAGGAGGAGAAAAAGGAGGAGGAGGGCTCAGCGGTCTCGAAGCTGCGGCCCAGGCGGGGCAGGAGATGTGAAGATGCCAGGTCCCCGGGGAGGGCAAAGGGCGTGCGGGCCGTAAGGGACAGCAGAGCGGTCGGGGCCGCCCACCCGGCGGACGCCGGAGGCGAGAGGCCCCACCCCGGCTCCTCTCCACACCCCGCGCGGCCTTGGGGAGTCAGCCCGGGACTCGCTCCCGGCAGGTGTCCTACCCTCCCCCGGTCCCGGTTGGCGCGGCGGCCGGCACGGCGGGCGCGGAGGGGGCCGCGCTGGTGTCACCAGGAGTGAACAGCCCAGCTATTCAGGGAGGGGGCGCCCCCCGCTGCCCTCCGCGACCCGCGCTGACGTCGCCGCGCAGCCCGTTACGTAACCCCCCTCCCCGCCTTTCCTCGCGGGCCCGGCCTCCTCCTCCAGCGCCGCCTCGCCTGCCGCAGCGCCTCCGCGTTCCGCTTTGCGCCCAAAGGGAAACTGAGGCCCTTCTCCAGCAGAGCACGGCGGGTAGTGCCCGCGGGAGTGGCTGTGACCGTCCTCGTTAGGATTCTTGGGTCCCTAGGGGAGCCCAGACTGCGAAGGGAGCCCCAGCTCCGCCTGGGGGACTCGGCTTCCTCCTGTCTACCGCGTTCTTCCTTCCTGGCCTGGACTCTGGGGGCTCTGGAGTCTTCTGTGGCCGCTCCACCCACATTTGTGCCTGGGCCACCATGTGCCTTAAATTATAAAGTCGGGCAGTGACGCTCAGTAGGGGTTGGTTTCTCCACCTTCCTCTGGGTGACCTTAGGCAGATTTTGCCTCTCCGAACCTCAGTGTCCCCACCTGTCTAAAATGGCCCCTTCCTTCTAGTGTGGTGGGGAAGAACAGCAGCATGTCGACACCCGGTGAGTACTTAGCCAGGTAGCTGTGAACTCTCCTTATCTAACCCTCCCTGCCAGGGGCCTGCCACAGCGCCAGACCTGGGCCTGGTTAGGTGGTGCCCAGCTGGGCCAGTCAGCTCCCTGTGGACCTTGGCCTTTGCCCTGGGAGCATGCGGTGCAGGCCTGCCCTGTGGCTCAGCAGCTGCAGAATGGCTGGTGTTCTGTGGCCTGGTGATGGTGGGGAGTGGGTGCTTCCCTGTCACCTTCCTTACAAGACCCTGGGAGCACCTGAGGGTCCCTTGCGGTCCCATTCATGGTCTTACTAAGGTAGCTCACCCAGAACCTGTTTTGAGCATCTAGGAAGAGCAAGCTGTGAGATGAGGAAGGTATCTGCCCAGGCCTTCTCTGAGCTCCTCAGACACTGGGAACCTCAGTCTCTTCATCTCTTCCTTGGGCATAGATATCATACCTCCTTCCCTTCCCTCCTGCTTGGCCCCTGCCAGCATGAGATGAAATGTCACTTTCCCTACTCCCACAAATTGGCTTGGACATAAGCCCAGGGCTTTATGCTCATTTTACCTTTTTTTTTTTTTTTTTTTTTTTTTTTGAGGACAGAGTCTTGCTCTGTCACCCAGGCTGGAGTGCAGTGGTGCGACCTCGGTTCACTGCAACCGCCACCTCCCGGGTTCAAGCGATTCTCCTGCCTCGGCCTCTCTAGTAGCTGGGACTATAGGTATGTACCACCACACCCGGCTAATTTTTGTATTTTTAGTAGACATGGGGTTTTGCCATGTTGGCCAGGCTGGTCTTTAACTCTTGACCTCAAGTGATCCACCCGCCTCAGCCTCCCAAAGTGGTGGGATTACAGGCGTGAGCCACCATACCCGGCCTCATTTTACCTTTGAGCAAACATATGAGAGGAGAATTAGTGTCCAGGCCACACGGCACCAGCCTCGCCTTTGACAATTGAGGAAACCAAGAGGGGGAGTCGCTCTTCCAGGCAGGGTAACCAGTCATCCTGGTTTGCTGGAAACTGAGGGGACTCAGGCTTTACTGGGAAAACTGGGAGTTACCCTATCTCCAGGATACACACCTGGCAAGTGACAGTGTCTTATGTTCAAAGTCTGGTTGCCGAGCCTGTGTGTGGCACCAAACTATTGCCTTCAATTTTTTGTTTGCTGAATTAATAAATGCAAATGAATGAATGAATCCTTCCCTCTCACTGCCCTTCTCAGTCCTCCTTGGGCACCTTGGCTCATGTGCCTTGGTCTGAGTCTAGACTGTGCCAGCAGCATCCTGTGGGAGGCCAGATGGCTGGTTCCGCTGCTGAGTTCCAAGAAACCCCTTGGCCCCTGCTTGGTTCAGCCTCAGCCTTCAGGAACCCCCCAGGGTCCACCCAACAGGCTTGTACCGTGTGCCTAGGGAGGAGGCTGGGTTCCCACCTGGTGAGCCACTCAGCCCCGTAGTATTAGCGGTTTGGCTTCAGACTTGTCACTTTGCTTCTTGGAGCTCAGTTTCCTCACCTATAAAATCACAGTACTGGGGGCTGGGCGCGGTGGCTGACACCTGTAATCCCAGCACTTTGGGAGGCCGAGGCGGGCAGATCATGAGGTCAGGAGATTGAGACCATCCTGGCTAACACGGTGAAACCTCGTCTCTACTAAAAATGCAAAAAATTAGCCGGGAGTGGTGGCGGGCACCTGTAGTCCCAGCTACTCAGGAGGCTGAGGCAGGAGAATGGCGTGAACCCGGGAGGCGGAGCTTGCAGTGAGCCGAGATTGCACCATTGCAGTCCAGCCTGGGTGACAGAGCGATTCTGTCTCCAAAAAAAAAAAAAAAAATCACAGTGTTGGTTGGGCGCAGTGGCTCACACCTGTAATCCCAGCACTTTAGGAGGTCAAGGTGGGTGGATCACCCAAGGTCAGGAGTTCGAGACCAGCCTGGCCAACATGGTGAAACCCTATCTTTACTAAAAATGCAAAAATTAGGCCGGGCACAGTGGCTCATGCCTGTAATCTCAGCCCTTTGGGAGGCCGAGGCGGGCGGATCACCTGAGGTCAGAAGTTCAAGACCACCCTGACCAACATGGAGAAACCCTGTCTCTACTAAAAATACAAAAATAGCCGGGGGTGGTGGCGGGTACCTGTAATCCCAGCTACTTGGGAGGCTGAGGCAGGAGAATTGCTTGAACCCGGGAGGCAGAGGTTGCGGTGAGCCGAGACTGGGCCATTGCACTCCA
Organism: Homo sapiens; assembly: GCF_000001405.40. Classification (NCBI taxonomy): domain Eukaryota; kingdom Metazoa; phylum Chordata; class Mammalia; order Primates; family Hominidae; genus Homo; species Homo sapiens. Next base: position 41,416,727 of record NC_000022.11, read on the forward strand.
GCCTGGGCAACAAGAGCGAAACTCCGTCTCAAAAATAAATAAATAAAAATACAAAAATTAGCCGGGCATGGTGATGCATGCCTGTAATTCAGGAGGCTGAGGCACGAGAATCGCTTGAACCCGGGAGGTAGAGTTTGCAGTGAGCGGAGATCATGCCATTGCCCTCCAGCCTGGGTGACAGAGTGAGACTCCATCTCGAAAAAATAAAATAGTCGGGCACAGCGCCTCACGCCTGTAATCCCAGCACTTTGGAAGGCTGAGGTGGGTGGATCACGAGATCAAGGGATTGAGACCATCCTGGCCAACATGGTGAAACCCCATCTCTACTAAAAATACAAAAATTAGCCAGGTGTGGTGGTGTTTGCCTGTAGTCCCAGCTACTCAGGAGGCTGAAGCAGGAGAATCACTTGAAGTTGGGAGGCGGAGGTTGCAGTGAGCCGAGATGACGCCATTGCACTCCACCCTGGGTGACAGAGCTAGACTTCGTCTCAAAATAAATAAATAAAATGAAGTAAAATAATAAATAAATAAATAATAAAAATAAAAAATCACAGTGTTGGCCGGGCACGGTAGCTCACGCCTGTAATCCCAGCACTCTGGGAGACCGAGGCAGGCAGATGGCTTGAGCTCAGGAGTTTTGAGACCATCCTGGACAACATAGGGAAACCCCTTCTCTATCAAAAATAAAAAAATCAGCCAGGCGTGGTAGTGCAGACCTGTGGTCCCAGCTACTTGGGAGGCTGAGGTAGGAGGATCGCTTGAACTCAGGAAGTCAAGGCTGCAGTGAGTCATGATTGTGCCACTGCACTCTAGCCTGGGTGACAGAGAAAGACCCTGTCTCAAGTCAATAATAAAATAAATAAATAAAAAATAAAGCGAGGGTATTAAGACATGTCTACCAGGTTGCCGCCAGTATTTGGGACAATACAGATGAAATTCTTGGCACACAGGATGCTCTTAATAAATAAATGTTATTATTGCTTATTAATGTGGCAGTACTAGCATACTTTACCCATTAAGCACTTTCTGTGTGAGGGTTACTGTCCTAAATGCTGCGCATGCATTCACGCCCAGTGAAGATCTGGGTTTCAGAATGGTGTCCTGGCCAAGGTCACACAGCCAGCAAGGTGCTAAGCCAGCATTTGTAAGATTCGGCATTCTTGTAGAACTTAGCTCAAATGATGGCAGTTGTTCATGATCTGGGGAAACTGAGGCAAGAGGAAGCGAGTGACTGCTGAGGTTCCCTGCCTCCAGAAAGCTGGCCCTCTCCTTGCCCAAGGTGGCAGGACAGGTTGTAAGAACAAGCCCTTTGCTCAGGCTGGGCCGCCTGCCTCCAGTCGGCTGGCTGCCCGTGCCCTCTGCCAGCCACTGTTCCCTGTTGGCCAGCCAAGCTGTGGAGCAGTCCAGGACATTGTGTCCAGAGAGAGGGCCAAGCAGGCCCATCCCCAACTGTGGCGCTGACCTCCCTCCCTGTCCCTCTGGGCCTCGGGCCAACTTGGCCTATCCCCAGCCCTGGTATGAGCGGGACAGAGCTGCCCTCACGGAAGCAGCTCTGAGGGCAGTGCCTCAGCTCCTCCCGCCTTACTTTGATCCCTAGTTAGGAGGGGTGCCCCACTCCAAGCCCTGCTGTCTCTGCAGAGATACCACTAGTCCCAGGGGACAGACTCCCCAGGATGCTCCTCAGGACAAGCCAGCTGGGCTCCTGAGATGCCTGTTTTTCTGCCCTTGGCATGTTTGCTCTGCGTGTCCCAAAATGCCAGCTGAGCCAAGGGGAGAGGCCCCCTTACACAGAGAGTCAGCTGTGTGGGAGCCCAGTGCCCAGGTGAGCTGGACACAGCCTTGTCTCCCATCTTTATGGATAAGAAAACTGAACTGCATAGAGAGAGTGGGATTCACACAAAACCACACAGCCATGAGCTGAGACTCTGCGGGAAGGGGCTGAGGAGCGGAGAAAAGTAAGGGTGGGGGAACAGTCTCAGGGAAAGGGGTGGTGGTTCATGCCTGTGATCCCAGTACTTTGGGAGACCAAGGTGGCAAGATCCCTTGAACCCAGGAGTTTGAGACCAGCCTGGGCACCATGGTGAAACCTCATCTCTACAAAAATTAGGGTGGCGTGGTGGCACATACCTGTAATCCCAGCTACTCAGAGGGCTGAGGTGGAAGGATCACCTGAGCCTGGGAAGTTGAGGTTGCAGTGAGCCATCATCCCGCCACTGCACTCCAGCCTGGGCAACAGAGCCAGATCCTATCTCTGTATAAATAAATAAAGAGCGCCTCGGCCGGGCGCGGTGGCTCACACCTGTAATCCCAGTACTTTGGGAGGTCGAGGTGGGTGGATCACCTGAGGTCGGCAGTTTGAGACCAGCCCAACCAATGTGGAGAAACCAAATGTCTACTAAAAAATATAAAATTAGCCGGGCATGGTGGTGCATGCCTCTAATCCCAGCTACTCAGGAGGCTGAGGCAGGAGAATCGCTTGAACCCAGGAGGCAGAGCTTGCGGTGAGCCGAGATCACGCCATTGCACTCCAGCCTGGGCAACAAGAATGAAATTCCATCTCAAAAAAAAAAAAAGAAAAAAAAGGCCAGGCGCGTTGGCTCACGCCTGTAACCCCAGCACTTTGGGAGGCCAAGGCGGGTGGATCATGAGGTCAGGAGATCAAGACCATCCTGGCTAACACAGTGAAACCCTGTCTTTACTAAAAAATATAAAAAATTAGTTGGGCATGGTGGTGGGCACCTGTAGTCCCAACTACTCGGGAGCCTGGGCGACAGAGTGAGACTCCGTCTCAAAAAAAAAGAAAAAAAAAGAAAAAAAGGGTTCCTTTGTATGTTCCAGGTCTCAGTTTACTGCCTACTCAGAAACAGCCTCCCTGACCTCCACCCTTGTAGAGGACAGCTGGTTTGTTTCCCTGAGGACAAATCTCCACATGGATTTCTCGTTTCCTTATATTTATTGTTTATCTTGCCCACCAGAATTAGTAAGGCTGGCAAGGGCAGGGACTTTTGATTCTGCTGCGACTCCAGTGCTGAGAACAGACTCTAGCACATAGTAGGGGCTCAGTAAATATTAATTGAGTGAACCATGAATGTTGGTTGGGCGTTTCCGTCGTTCCAGTAAGTCTGAGCGGCTGCTTTGTTTTTCTTTTTTAATAGCTTGAGGAATGATTGACATACAATATACTATACATACTCAAAAATTGTAATTCGGGGCTGCGTGCAGTGGCTCACGCCTGTAATCCCAGCACTTTGGGAGGCCAAGGTAGACAGATCATCTGAGGTCAGGAGTTCGAGACCAGCCTGACCAACATGGTGAAACCCTGTCTCTACTAAAAATACAAAAAAATTAGCCAGGACTGATGGCACATGCCTGTAATCCCAGCTACTAGGGAGGCTAACGCTGGAGAATCGCTTGAACCCAGGAGGCAGAGGTTGCAGTGAGCCGAGATGGCATCATTGCACTCCAGCCTGGGCAACAAGAGCAAAAGTCTGTCTCAAAAAAAAAAATTATGATTTGAGCCAGGCGCTGTGGTGCACACCTGACCTGTATGTAGTGCCAGTTACTTGGGAGGCTGAGGTGAGAGGATCTCCTGAGCCTGGGAGTTCCAGGCTGCAGTGAGGTATAATTATGCCACTGCACTCCAGCCTGGGTGATAGAGCAAGACCCCCATCTTAAATTAAAATATATAGGTATAGGCTGGGCGTGGTGGCTCACACCTGTAATCCCAGCACTTTGGGAGGCCAAGGCGGGTGGATCACAAGGTCAGGAGATCAAGAGCATCCTGGCTAACATAGTGAAACCCTGTCTCTACTAAAAATTCAAAAACTAGCTGGGCGTGGTGGTGGGCGAAGCTTGCAGTGAGCCAAGATCGCGCCACTGCACTCCAGCCTGGGCAACAGTGTGAGACTCTGTCTCAAAAAAAATATATATATATTATATATATGTACATTTTAAATATTTTAAAATATTTTAATTTTTTTTTTTTTTTTGAGACAGAGTCTCGCTCTTTTGCCCAGGCTGGAGTGCAGTGGCGCTATCTTGGCTCACTGCAAGCTCCGCCTCCCAGGTTCACGCCATTCTCCTGCCTCGGCCTCCCGAGTAGCTGTGACTACAGGCGCCCGCCATCGCTTCCAGCTAATTTTTTGTATTTTTAGTAGACACGGGGTTTCACCGTGTTAGCCAGGATGGTCTCGATCTCCTGACTTCGTGATCCTCCCACCTCAGCCTCCCAAAGGGCTGGGGTTACAGGTGTGAGCCACCACGCCCGGCCTTAAATATTTTAAAATAAATAAAATTGGCTGGGCGCGGTGGCTCATGCTGTAATGCCAGCACTTTGGGAGACTAAGATGGGCGGATCAACTGAGGTCAGGAGTTAAAAGACTAGCCTGACCAACATGGTGAAACCCTGAAAATCTTCTAAAAATACAAAATTAGTTGGGTGTGGTGGCACATGTCTGTAATCCCAGGTGCTTGGGAGGTTAAGGCAGTAGAATTGCTTGAACTTGGGAGGCGGAGGTTGCAGTGAGCCGAGATCACACCATTGCACTCCAGCCTGGACAACAAGAGTGAAAGTCTCAAAAATAAAATAAATAAAATTATAATTTGATAAATTTTGTATACCCATGAAAGCATCACTACGATCAAGGTAATGACTATATCTCTCACCTCCAAGTTTCGTTATTCCCTGCCATTTTAAAAAAATTTTATTATTATTTTTTGAGACAGGGTCTCACTCTGTTGCCCAGGCTGAAGTGCAGTGGCTTGATCTCAGTTCACTGCAGCCTTTACCTCCCGGGTGCAAGTGATCCTTTCACCTCAGCCCCCAAGTAGCTGGGACTACAGGCACGTGCCACCACGCCCACCTAATTTTTATATTTTTTGTAGAAATGGTGTTTTACTGTCTTGCCCAGGCTGGTCTTGAACTCCTGAGCACTTTGGCTTCCTAAAGTGCTAGGATTACATATTCCCCTTTTTAAATTCCTCCTGCTTGACCCCGCCATCCTTGTGTCCCCAGGCAACCACTAATCTGCTTTCCTTCGCTACAGGTGAATTTGCATTTTCTATAAATGGAATCAGATAGTACCTACTTATTTTTCTTTTAAGGTGTGGCTTTCAGCCAGGCATGGTAGCTCACACCTGTGATCCCAACACTTTAGGAGGCTGAGGAGGGTGGATCACGAGGTCAGGAGATCAAGACCATCCTGGCTAACACGGTAAAACTCCGTCTCTACTAAAAAATACAAAAAATAAGCCGGGCATGGTGGCGGGCGCCTGTAGTCCCAGCTAATCAGGAGGCTGAGGCAGGAGAATGGCATGAACCCGGGAGGCAGAGCTTCCAGTGAGCCAAGATAGCGCCACTGCACTCCAGCCTGGATGACAGAGAGAGACTCCATCTCAAAAAAAAAAAAAATTTTTTTTTTGGGCCAGGCGCGGTGGCACACACCTGTAATCCCAGCACTTTGGGAGGATGAGGCAGGTGGATCACCTGAAGTCAGGAGTTCACAACCAGCCTGACTAACATGGTGAAACCCAGTCTCTACTAAATACAAAAAAATTAGCCAGGCATGGTGGCACATGCCTGTAATCTGAGCTACTTGGGAGGTTGAGGCAGGAGAATCACTTGTACCTGGGAGGCGGAGGTTGCAGTGAGCTGAGATTGAGCCATTGCACTCCAGCCTGGGCAACAAGAACAAGACACCGTCTCAAAAAAAAAATTTTTTTTTTGGCAGAGCATGGTAACACACACCTGTAATTCCAGCACTTTGGGAGGCCAAGGCAGGCAGTTCACCTGAGGTCAGGAGTTCGAGACCAGCCTGGCCAACATGTTGAAACCCCATCTGTACTAAAAATACAAAAATTAGCCATGCATGGTGTTGTGTGCCTGTAGTCACAGCTACTCAGGAAGCTGAGGCAGGAGAGTCACTTGAACCTGGGAGGTGGAGGTTGCAGTGAGTGAGCTGAGATTACGCCACTGCATTCCAGCCTGGGTAACAGAGTGAGACTCCGTCTTAAAAAACAAATTTTTTATTGGTGTGGCTTTTACTCAGCATTATTATTTTGAGATTCAGCCATGTTGTGTGTGTCAGTAGTTCATTTATTTTCATCACGAATAGTAGTCCATAGTATAAATGTGCCACCATTGGTTCAACCATTCACCCATTGAAGGACATTTGGGTGTTTCCAGTTTGGGGCCATAACAAATAACGCTGGTATGAACATTTGCATATAAGTATTTTATTTTTCTTTGAGACAGGGACTCACTCGATTCCCCAGGGTGGAGTGCAGCGGTACGATCATGGTTCACTGCACCCTCGATCTTCTGGGCTCAGGTGATCCTCCCCGCTCAGCCTCTGAAGTATCTGGGACTACAGGTAGGCACCATACCTGGCTTAATTTTTAAAAAGGTTTTTGTGGTTTAGCTGGGCTTGGTGGTGTGTGCCTGTAATCTCAGCTATTTGGGAGGCTGAGGCAAGAGAATCACTTGAACCTGGGCGACAGAGATTGCAGTAAGCCAAGATGGCACCATTGCACTCCAGCCTGGGCGACAGAGCAAAATTACATCTCAAAAAAAAAGAAAATTCTGTAGAGATAGGATCTTGCTATGTTGCCCAGGCTGGTCTCAAACTCCTGGACCCAAGTGATCCTCCCACCTTGGCCTGCCAAATACTTGGGATTATAGGCATGAGCCACTGCACCTCACAAAGACTTGCATGCACTTGGCCTTGCATGCAAGTCTTTATAAGGACATAACGTTTATTTCCTTCCCCCTTTTTTTTTTTTTTTGAGACGGAGTCTCGCTCTCATTGCTCAGGCTAGAGTGCAGTGGTGCTATCTCGGCTCACTGCAATCTCTGCCTCCTGGGTTCAAGTGATTCTCCTGCCTCAGCCTCCCAAGTAGCTGGGATTACAGGCGCCAGCCACCACGCCCGGCTAATTTTTGTATTTTTAGTAGAGATGGGATTTCACCATGTTGGCCAGGCTGGTCTTGAACTCCTGACCTCAGGTGATTGGCCCACCTTGGCCTCCCAAAGTGTTGAGATTATAGGCGTGAGCCACCTCACTAGGCCTTATTTCTTTTTCCTTTTTTTGTTTTTTGAGACGGAGTCTTGCATCTCGCTCTGTCGCTCAGGCGGTAATACAGTAGCAAGTTCTCTGCTCACTGCAACCTCCACCTCCTTGGTTCAAGCAATTCTCCTGCCTCAGCCTCCTGAGTGGCTGGGACTCCAGGCGTGTACTCCTACGTCCGGCTAATTTTTTTTTTTTTTTTGAGATGGAGTCTCACTCTGTCGCCAGGCTGGAGTGCAGTGGCACGATAGCGGCTCACTGTAACCTCCGCCACCGGGGTTCAAGTGATTCTCCTGCCTCAGCCTCCCGAGTAGCTGGGACTACAGGTGCGTACCATCACGCCCAGCTAATTTTTGTATTTTTAGTGGAGATAGGGTTTCACCGTGTTGGCCAGGATGGTCTCGATCTCTTGACCTCATGATCCACACACCTCAGCCTCCCAAAGTACTGGGATTACAGTCGTGAGACACTGTGCCCAGCCTATTTCCTTTTCTTGTGAGGAGATAGGAATAGAATGGCTGTATCACATGGTAAATGTATAACTTCTTTTTGAGCCCAGGTCTCACTCTGTCATTCAGGCTGGAGTTCAGTGGCCCACTGCAGCCTTAACATCCCAGTCTCAAGCAATCCTCTCACCTCAGCCTCCTGAGTAGCTGGGACCACAGGTGCCAGCCATAACACCTCACTAATTTTTTTTTTTTTTTTTTTGAGACAGAGTCTTGTTATGTTGCCTGGGCTGTAGTGCTATGGGGGAATCTCAGCTCACTTCAACCTCTGCCTCCCAGGCTCAAGCGATTCTCCTGCCTCAGCCTCCCAAGTAGCTGGGACTACAGGCACACACCACCATGCTTGGCTAATTTTTGTATTTTTAGTAGAGATGAAGTTTCACCATTTTGGCCAGGCTGGTCTCAAACTCCTGACCTAGTGATCTGCCTGCCTTGGCCTCCCAAAGTGCTGGGATTACAGGCATGAGCCACCACGCCCAGCCCACTAATTTTTTAAGTTTTTGTAGAGATGGGGTCTTGCCATGTTGCCCAGGCTGGTCTTGAACTCCTGGGCTTAAGTGATCCTCCCACCTCAGCCTCTCAAAGTGGTAGGATTACAGGTGTAAGCCACCACGCTTGACCATTTTTTGTAGAGACAAGGTCTTCTCACTGTGTTGCACAGGCTGGTCTTGAACTCCTTGGGCTCAAACAATCCTCCCACCTTGGCCTCCCAAAGTACGGGGATCACCGGCATGAGCCACCATGTCTGGCTGTATGTTTAACTTTTTAAGAAACTTCCCGGCCAGGCGCAGTCGCTCACGCCTGTAATCCGAGCACTTTGTGAGGCCGAGGCGGGCGGATCACAAGGTCAGGAGATCGAGACTTTCCTGGCTAAACGGTGAAACCCCATCTCTACTAAAAATATAAAAAATTAGCTGGGCGTGGTGGCGGGTGCCTGTAGTCCCAGCTATTCGGGACACTGAGGCAGGAGAATGGCGTGAACCCGGGAGGCGGAGCTTGCAGTGAGCCGAGATTGCGCCACTGCACTCCAACCTGGGCAACAGAGCAAGACTCCATCTCAAAAAGAAAACAAAAACAAAAAAAAAAGAAGAAACTTCCCTTCTGGCCGGGCGCGGTGGCTCACGCCTGTAACCCCAACATTTTGGGAGGCCGAGGCAGGTGGATCCCCTGAGGTCAGGAGTTCAAGACTAGCCTAGCCAACATGGCGAAACCCCGTCTCTACTAAAAATACAAAAAAATTAAGTGATGTGGTGGCAGGCGCCTGTAATCCCAGCTACCTGGGAGGCTGAGACAGGGAGAATTGCTTGAACCCGAGAGGCAGAGGTTGCAGTGAGCCGATATCGAGCTACTACACTCCAGCCTGGGCAACAGAGCGAGACTCTGTGAAGAAAAAAAAAAAAGAAGAAACTTCCCTTCCACATTATTTTCCAAAATGGTTGTACCATTTTACATTCTCATCAGCAGTATATAAAGTTACTAATTCCTGCACATCTTCACCAGCATTTGGTGTGTACAGTCTCTTTCATTTTAGCTGTTTTAATAGGTATGTTCATTGTGGTTTTAGGCGGGGTGCGGTGGCTCAAGCCTGTAATCTCAGCACTTTGCGAGGGGTTTTACGTTTCTGCCTTCTGGAAACCTCTGTGGTTTGTTGAAAGAGTCACTTACACTTGCTGTGCCCTTGGCTTCACCCTTCACTCCTGTGCCCCTTAGTCTCACTCCTCTTTCCCCTCTCCACAGACTCCCTAAGGCCCCCTCAAATCCAGGGGTAACAAATCCAGGTGTCATGTTACCCTGCAACTCACCCTGAAGCACTTGGCATAAGTGCTGTTCCCCTTCAAATTCTTCACCTACTAGGTTGTCAACCCTCTGAAAAGCCTTCCAGGGCCACGTGGGAGCCTCGTCTGGGTGCATATAGCTCCTCGGCCGCCTCCTGCTGTGGATCTGATGTGGTGTTGAAGTATGAGACCTGGGTTTGTCTTCTCCCAGCTCTTCCACCAGTAGAAGTCCCCTCCAAGGGCAAGGCCTGGGTCTGCTCCTGCAGTGGTCCTTGCTCTGGACCTGGCATAAAGGAGGGCTCCAGGAGGGTTTGCAGTTGAATATGTGAGAGAAAGCTCTCTGTCTCTTTTTTTTTTTTTTTTTTTGAGACGGAGTCTCACTCTGTCACCAGGCTAGAGTGCAATGGTGTGATCTCGGCTCACTGCAACCTCCACCTCCCGGGTTCAAGTGATTCTTCTGCCTCAGCCTCCCAAGTAGCTGAGACTACAGGGGCATGCCACCATACCCAGCTAATTTTTTGTATTTTTAGTAGAGACGAGGTTTCATCATGTTGGACAGGCTGGTCTTGAACTCCTGACCTCAGGTGATCCATGCACCTGAGCCTCCCAAAGTGCTGGGATTACAGGCATGAGCCACTGCACCCGGCCGAGAAAGCTCTCTTATTGTCTTTGCCCCTAGCTACAGATAAGGCAACCACGGGGCAAGAAACTTACTGCGTATTGAAGAGAAAATCCCAGCTTCCTATCCAGGCTTCAGGCAGGGCCCATGCTATGGCCTGGAGCCCCCTTTGACCTCATCTGCTCCACTTGCCTCTTGCTTGCTGCTGGTCTTTTCTTCCCTGAACCCACCGTCCTGTTCCTGCCTCTCGCCCTTGGAAGTGTCTGGTCCTGCTGCTCTTCTCCCTGTTAAGCATGTGACAAGGAATCGTATGCTTCAGGTCACAGGTTGAAAGCCCCCTTCTCGGGAAGACCTGCCTTGTCTTGTCCACCCAATATAAGTGTCTACTTGGTCACTAGCCACTGTCACTGGTCGTGATTATCTTACCATCTGCCATTTTCTCATTTATTTGTTTGTTTTCAGTTAATAGAACATTGCTTCAGGAGAGCAAGGAATTTGTCTGCAGTTGCCCCTTATTTCCTCATGCCTAGCACAGTGTCCAGTGTTTATGGGGGCCCCATATTGAATGTGGAATTTTGTTTTTTTTTTGAGACAGGGTTTCACTCTGTTGCCCAGGCTGGAGTGCAGTGGCATGACCACATCTCACTTCTTCCTTGACCTCTTGGGCTCAAGTGATCCTCCCACCTCAGCCTCCTGAGTAGCTGGGACTGCAGGCATATGCCACCATGGCTGGCTAATTTTTTTATTTTTTGTAGAGACATGGGAGTCTCACCATGTTCCCCAGGATGGTCTCGAACTCCTGGGCTCAAGCAATCTTTCTGCCTTTGCCTCTCAAAGTTCTAGGATTACAAGCATGAGCCATTGCCTCAGCTGAATATTGAATGTTTAATATAATGAATCAGGCCGGGCGCGGTGGCTCATGACTGTAATCTCAATACTTTGGGAGACTGAGGCAGGCGGATCATTTGTGGTCAGGAGTTCTAGACTGGCCTGGCCAATATGGTGAAAATCCTTCTCTACTGAAAATATAAAAATTAGCCGGACATGGTGGCATGCACCTATAATCCCAGCTACTCGGGAGGCGGAGGCAGGAGAATCGCTTGAACCTGGGAGGCAGAGGTTGCAGTGAGCCAAGATCACACCACTGCACTCTAGCCTGGGTGACAGAGCGAGACTCCATCTCATATAAAAATAAAAATAGTATAGTGAATCAGGCTGGGTGAGGTGGCTTATACCTGTAATCCCAGCACTTTAGGAGGCATGAGGATCACTTGAGCCCAGGAATTTGAGACGAGCCTGGGCAACATAGTAAGACCCTGACTCTACAAAAAATTAAAAGTAAAAAATTAACTGGGTGTCATGGCTTGAACCTGTAATCCTAGCTACTCGGGAGACTGAGGCAGGAGGATTGCTTGAGCCTGGGAGGTCACAACTGCAGTGAGCCATGATCATGTCACTGCACTCCAGCCTGAGTGACAGAGGAAGGAAGAACCTGTCTCAAAAAATAATAATAATAATAATAATATAGTGAATCAGGGCAGAGCTAGAAAAACAACCCAGGTGTCTGGGCCTCTGGGCCAAGACTCTTCTCCTGTCTGGACTTCCCAGCCCTGCCACAGCGCGGCAATAGTTTGACTAGGTTTTTGTGTCTTGGGTTGGGGGGGTCCCACCTGATGGCATATGGTTCTGCCCAGGGCTCAACCTATCATTATTTCCTCACATCTTTGGGAAAAGTGCCACCATACAGGGTCCTCCTAGGGCCCTCCACAGGGCTCAGGAGCCAGTGGGGCAAGAAGAGGTGCAGGCACAGGGACCATCTTGAATGGCCTAGCTGGACAGGGGCCTAGCCTGACTGTCCCCTGTTGTACAAATGGGACAGATGTCAAGAGGGGTTCAAAGTTACACAGTGAATTGGCAGCTTCAAGGACCTAGAACCTACTTCTCTCTGATAGTGAAATTCCCCAAATTAAAAATTCAGAGAATTGGCCGGGCGCGGTATCTCACACTTGTAATCCCAGCTCTTTGGGAGGCTGAGGTGGGCGGATCACCTGAGGTCAGGAGTTTGAGACCAGCCTGGCCAACATGGCGAAACTCTGTCTCTACTAAAAGTACAAAAATTGGCCAGGCATGGTGGCTCATGCTTGTAACCCCAGCACTTTGGGAGGCTGAGGCGGGTGAATCACGCCGTCAGGAGGTCGAGACCATCTTGGCTAACACAGTGAACCCCTGTCTCTACTAAAAACACAAAACATTAGTTGGGTGTGATGGCACGCACCTGTAATCCCAGCTACTCGGGAGGCTGAGGCAAGAGAATCACTTGAACTCGGGAGGCAGAGGTTGCAGTGAGCCAAGATCGCGCCACTGCACTCCAGCCCGGGCAACAGTGCAAGACTCCGTCTCAAAAAAAAAAAAAGTACAAAAATTAGCCTGGTGTGGTGGCACACACCTGTAATCCCAGCTACTTGAGAGGGTGAGGCAGGAGAATTGCTTGAGTCCAGGAGGCGGAGGCTGCAGTGAGCTGAGATCGTGCCACTGCACTCCAGCCTGGATGACAGAGCGAGACTCCATCAAAAAAAAAAAAAAAAAAAAAATCAGAACATGAGCTGGCTTATTTGCCTAGAGGCTTGGAGACCTCTGACTGGTTCCATTCTGACCATAGGCCCTGTCCAGGCAAAACTTGGGCAAGCTGGCCAGGCCTAGAGAAAGGAGAAAGGCATGCCCCTCTACCCCGACTCACTCATGGGGAGGTGGCGGTGGTGAGGACCAGAAAATGGCATCCCCTTGGCCTAGGGGCACTGAGTCAGGCAATGATGAGGGGTTCTCCTGCTGCCATGACTCACCCTCCCACCACCCACCTGTCTGCCTCTCCAGGGAGAAATTCCCGGGTTTTGGGACGGACATTGAGGGTCACGTTTCATCCCCAGACAGAAGGCTAGGCCCCTGGAGAGAAGGAGTGGGATTCAGTGTGCTTCGCGCGACACTGTCTTGCTAGGAGACAAGCAGCCTCCCACCTTGGCAGAGGGCAGGGCTGGGGCAGCCCAGGCTCTGCTCAAAGGACAGTTTTCTTTTCTTCCCCAGCCTGGTCCTGCCAGCAGCTTGGGTTTCAGTCTGTATGCTGATGCAAGGAGCATACTGGCCTGGATTGTCTGGTGGCATTTAAGGATGGACAATAATGGCCATGATGATTAAAATGATACTCGCCGTTCACCAAGTTGTTTACTGCAGGCCAGCCACCGTGCTCCGTATTTTCCACCCATCATTTCTTTTAATTTTCACAAGTAGGTACAATTATCATCCCTATTTTCTTCCTCTTTTTTTGGTCTTCTTATTTTTTTTCCTTTTTTTTTTTTTTTTTGGAGATGGAATTTCACTTGCCACCTAGGCTGGAGTGCAGTGGCGCGATCTCGGCTCAGCTCGCTGCAGCCTCTGCCTTCTGGCTTCAGCCTTCCAAGTAGCTGGGATTACAGGTGTGCGGCACCGTGCCTGGCTAATTTTTTTGTGTCTTTGTTTTTTTTGTTTTGTTTTGGTTTGGTTTTTTTTGAGATGTACCCTTGCTCTGTCACCCAGGCTGGAGTGCAGTGGCGTGATATCGGCTCACTGCTACCTCCACCTCCCAGGTTCAAGCAATTGTCCTGCCTCAGCCTCCCAAGTAGCTGAGATTACAGGTGTGCACCACCACACCCAGCTAATTTTTGTATTTTTAGTAGAGATGGGGTTTCTCCATATTGGCCAGGCTGGTCTCGAATTGCTCACCTCAGGTGATCCACCCACCTCAGTCTACCAAAGTGTTGGGATTGCAGGCATGAGCCACCACGCCTGGCTTCTTTTCTCTTTTATGTTTTGTTTTTAATCTCCATTTTCAAGGTGAGGGAACTGAGGTGCCAGGGTAGGTGGAGTGATTTGTCCGAGGTCACCTAGCAAGAGAGTGGCAGGGTTGGAATTAGAACCTGCACTTCTTTTCTTTTTTTGAGATGGAGTCTCGCTCTGTCGCCCAGGGTGGAGTGCAGTGGCGCCATATCGGCTCACTGCAAACTCCACCTCCCGGGTTCAGGCCATTCTCCTGCTCCAGCCTCCCGAGTAGGTGGGACTACAGGCGCCTGCCACCACGCCTGGCTAATTTTTTGTATTTTTAGTAGAGAGGGGGTTTCACTGTGTTAACCAGGATGGTAGAACCTGCACTTCTAAGGGAGCAGAGTCCAGCCTCTTCCCTGACCCTGACGGGTGCCCTCCTGATGGGGCTCCCTGGGGAGTGGAGGGGCCTTGCTTTGCTTCTTCTTGACTGACTGGTACTCTTTTTATTATGTATGTATTTATTTATTCATTTAGCGATCCTCCTACCTCAGCCTCCAGAGTAGCTGGGACACAGGTATGCGCCACCACACTCGGCGAATTTTTTAATTTTTTGTAGAGATGGGGTCTTCTTCTATTGCCTAGGGCTAATGTTGGACTCCTGGGCTCAAGCGATCCTCTTGCCTTGGCCTCCCAGCATGTTGGGATTACAGGCATGAACTACCGCACCCGGCCCGTACTCTGTCTTCACCTCCTCTGGGAAGCCTTCCTCAGTCTCTGGCTCTCAGGTCGCCCGTGCATACCTGTCCTGAAACTGCTTTCCCACCTGTGTTCCCAGGGCAGAGAGTGGATGCCCATGGATGGTTTGTCAAAGGAATAAATTAGCCTTTTTTGGAGGAACTGTCTACTAAAATATTCTTTCTTCCCCTGCTGCAGGGCTGGGGCCCCAGCATCCCTTTACCCCTCTAAGTCTCCCGTCCACCTCTTCAGAACCAGTGAGCGTTTGCTGAATAAATAGAGGCATGAATGTCTGAATGAGTGATTTCTGTCTATGCCATGGAGAATTTTTTTTTTTTTTTTCAAATCTGTAGTGTCTATACCTTCAGAGGGATGGGCCAGGCCAGGAAGGTGAGTCTCAGCTTCTGAGCTGGGTCTCGCCCAGGACCCTCCGCTGACAGCATGACAGGGAGTGGGAGCAGGCACCTGCCGTGTCAGGACCTTTGTCTACATGAAATAGGAATGAGCAGGTGAAGGCCATCCTGCCCCTGCTGTGGTGCCCAAGGTTGGGTGGTCAGCCCACACACAGGGATGCAGGGACAAGGTGGGCTTCTCCCTGGCAGGACGGAAGAAAGTGAAACCCCTGCAAATGGCCCTGTGTCTGGCAGGCCAGGGCCTCGTTATCCTGGATGGGGGCCTCCCTCCGCTCAACAGGCCCTGCAGAGGGGAAGTGGCCCATGGAGGGGCTGGACATCAGGCCTCCTGCAACCTGTCCAGAAGTTGGATGTTTGCCCTGGGGCCTTCCAGTTCGCAAACTTGGTTGGGGAGTGCTCAGCGTTGCCTGTTTGGGGAATGAGGGGCCTGAGGAGGCCCCTTACCCCACTGATGCCCCAGAACTGTTTGCCCCCTACCCCAGCCCAGTGGTGGCAGTAGAGGTGGCAAGGTCATCCCCTGCCACCCTTAACCTGTATCACTCTTCTATAGCAGTTATAATTGTATCAAATGCATGTGAGATGTCAACTCTGGGAAGGCAGACACTGTCTGATTTATTCTCCAGTGGACAAGAACTGACGCTGCCCAGTATCACTTGGATCAATAAATGAAAAAATCAGACACGAGTCAGAATCTTTACCATTTACTAGTTTTATGAGTCTAGGGTAATCTAAGTTGGAGCCTATTTCTTTTTTGTTTGTTTCTTTGAGACGGAGTCTTGCTCTGTCACCCAGAGCAAGTGGCGTGCAATGGCGCGATCTCAGCTCACTGCAACCTCCGCCTCCCGGGTTCAAGAGATTCTAGTGCCTCAGCCTCCCAAGTAGCTGGTATTATAGGCGCTCGCCACCACACCCAGATAATTTTTGTGTTTTTTGTTTTGTTTTTTTTTTTTTTTTAGTAGAGACGGGGTTTCATCATGTTGGCCAGGCTGTTCTCAAACTCCTGACCTCGAGTGATCCGTCTGCCTCGGCCTCCCAAAGTGCTGGGATTACAGATGTGAACCACTGCACCCAGCCTATTTCTTAACTGCAAAATGGAGACAATCCCTGTGAGGATGAACAATCCCTGTGAAAATTCAACAGGATGAGGAATGGTGGCTCACGTCCATAATCCCAGCACTTTGAGAGGGAGGCCAAGGTGGGAGGTTTCTCTCCTAGATGGGCAGCATTGATAGGCACAGGCCCTGGGAAGGGGAAAATATGGCCCGGGCCACTGGGAGATAGCAGAGCTCCTAAGGAAATCGGCCACTGGCAGAAGGGTGGCTTTCTCTGGGCTGGGCTGTCTCACTCTTAAGGCAGCTCCGAAATTGTCCAGCCCAAGAAAAGGGTTGAGAATCCAAGCACCGGGCTTTTGGATGGAACCTGGCTTAGGCAAGCTGTTCTCATCCTTGCCCACATCTAAGGATCTAGTACTAAGGATCAAGTACTAGATCTAGAGTAGGCTGGAGGCTGTCCCCGCTCTCCTCCCCCCAGGAATAGACAATTCCTAAAGAGCCATGAAGTACCCCGTTCTCCAGGCTCTGCTGCCACCACCAACTGGCTAAGGGAACTGGAGCGGTTTCTAACTTTGTGGAACCTGTTTCCAGTGTAGAAAAGCATCTGCGGTAGCAAGCACAATGATGTATCCTGTGTTGATGGGATGGATAGGTGGTCAAGAAGGGGCACCAGGACAGTTATGTCCATCCGAGGCTGTCACTGTAAGGAGGACCAATCGTTTCTTGGAGTCTGTAAGGGCTGGGCCACTCCCATTCTCTCCATCCCAAAAGGGACCCCAGAAACCAAGCAAGCCAGGAGCAGGCAGAAGGCTATTATGTATCATGCTTTTAATACAAACTTAAAAAAATCTGGAACAATAGAAACTGTACAGATTTGATCAATCTTTTTGTTTTGTTTTTAAACTAAAATCTCTAAACACACCAATGTCCCATTCCAAAATATTGCACAACATTCTGAATACAAAACCCTTGATTGTATTCCTCCTTCACTAAAGAAAAAAGTTCATGACCCTGCTCCCCGGGCTCCTCTCCAGGCTTGCCTCAATGCCCCCTTCCCATCCCTAGGGAGAAAACTAGAGAATCTATAACTCACTGCATTGAGAAAAACACATCATTCTGGACTAACAGTTTCCATTCTTCAGAAGATAATCCACCTTTTGATTTGTTCCTGGGAAAGAGGGATAGATAGAGGATGGGGAAAGGGGAGAAAAGGTTTTATTTCTCCTCTTTTTTTTTTAAAGTTTGTTTTTCCTGAAAAAATATGTTTCTCTCATCTTTTTAAGAAAAAATCTTGAAAAGAAAAAAATTATGTTTTTTACGTTAGAAATATACATATATTATATACCTCTTACATTTTACAAATGTAGCAAATTATTCAATACAAACGGACACCAAAAAATGTAAAAAATAAAAAAAAGTTTTCCTACGAAACCAGGTAAATTAGTGCAGATTTCTGTTTTTGTATTCTTAAAAAAAATAAAATTGAAGCAAAAATGCCTAGATTTGAGACAAGACAGACTGAACTGGGCCCAAGAGCGCAGCACTGGAGTCATGCTCCTGAACACACATTTTTCTTCGTATTTCAAAAGACACAAAGGGGTTGGTCTCCCCTCTCTCCCTACATGTGAGAAACAAGCCGACCTGGTGTGGGTGGGTGCCTGTGTGTGTGGATGGGAGGAGGGCTAGAAGGGGATGTAAGGCAGCATCCAACCTTTCCCAGAGAGAAGCTATCTGCTGGGTCTGTCACCTGTGTGGGAGCCGAGGATGAGGGAAACAAAGGGTGGCCCAGACTGGGCTGGCCCCTGAGAAGTCTAGGGGAACAGATGGTGCTGGGCTGAGAAGCCAGGACATTGCCTGCCGGGGGAGGTAGAGCTGGTGCCTACTGCAGGGAGAGGAGGCTGGCAGTGCTGGCCTGGGCTGGACCCACTGCCATAACAGTTGCCTACTTGGGGTCCCTGGGTAGGATGGAGTGGGTGGGGTGCCAGGGGCTTTGGTGCTTTCTGGTGATTGGGACCCTGATGCCAAGTGCCCACTTTGCAAAGAAGAAAAAGTTAATGACCCTGCTCCCTTGGCTCCTGTCCATGCTTGCCTGGCCTCCTAGAGTTGGAGGAACAAGCCCTCTCCTGGCAGAGGCAGGAGAGCAAGTGCTCTCCTATGATCCAATACATCAGGCGGGAGTGCTGAGTCCGTCAGGACACCACTCCTCGCAGCATCAAGGTCCAGTGGGGTTGGGTCAGGGCAGTGAGAAGGGGTGGCAAGAGGTACCAAGAAGCTCTCAACCAGGCAGGGGCACAAATGCACTCAACACCTCCAAACTAAGAGACCCCAAAGTCTCAACTCCAGGCTCAGGGCTGCCCCCGCACAGACACTAACTCTAAAATCCCACCCTGCCTCTCTGCCCACCCCCAAGGGTGCTCAGGTGAGCAGCTCCCTCTGGGCTAAGGCCAAACAACAGGAGGGTTGAAGTCCAGGGACTTCTCATAGGCATCAGGGGCTTGGGTATTCCCTCTGCCCTTCAGAGCTAACTTATTATTATTTTTTTGGTCAAAAACAAAACTGCAGATCCTTCCACAGTCTGCAAACCAGTTCCTTCTGCAGTGTTTTCCTCTGGGAGTGTCTTGGGCTAAGCCACAGCGGTGTCACCCCACCACACACACTGCCCTGCAAAAGGACTGCCAATACCCCCAGCCCATTCCCCAGCCTCACATATAAATAAGGACTTGCGACCCAGAATCACATCCAGAAGGGAAGTTTCACATGGCTTGGAATCCTTTAAAAAAGGACAGCAAACCAAATACACACACACACACCCCTCCCTACCCACAACATCCAGCCTGGGGAAGAAGGGGCTGCATGAGGGAAAGAAAGCCCATACACATCAATGGCCAGGGCCATGATGATGGTCTGGGCCTAGAGGGAATGGTGGGGTGGGGCCATAGGACAGAGATGAAAGGAGTTTCACTAGACGAAGTGCTAATCTCCCTGTAGTCACAGACATCAGCTCCAGGGGGAGGGTGTCAAGTGGCCAGCCAGCAACTCCCTGTGGCCCAGCCTGAAAGGGAGTGGGGACTGGGGTCAGACCTATTCAGGTGGCAGGGCCCGAGAAGGCCTGCTGAGGTTGGATGGCTTTGAGTGCGAGGATAGCTGGGTGACAGAGGCAGTGACACGGGCCAGCCTCTCCCTGTTCCAGGGAGGGTCAGGCTCCAGCTGCAGCTCTTTCTTCCCTATGAGCTTGGACACATCAATCCTAAACTAGGAGTGTGAAGGAGGAAGGGAGGAGCAGGGAGCAGCAGTTCACATCTGGACCATTCTTAGCACAGGAAGCCACTCATTAAAGATGTTATATAGAAAACTACATGTAAGAAAAAAAAAAAAGAAAAAGAAATATAAAACCCAAACCAACCAAATAAATCACAGGCCGGTGGGCGAGCGGTAAGGGGTGAGTGAAACACACTTGGGTGCTTTGCAGGGCCCTCCCATTCCGTGCCTGGGCTGGATCTTTTTTCTAGAAGTAAGAGTGAGAAGATCGAAAATCTTTTTGTACATTTTTCTTTTCCTCTTTTTTTTGGCCTTTCCTTTCTCTTTTCTGTGGTCTTGGGTGCTCCTGGCCCCACGGGCAGGTAGATGGTCAGTTGGCCAGCACCACGGGCTGGAACTGCTGGCTGGGATACTGCATGGTGTTCAGGTTGTAGCTGAGGCCTTCCACAAAGGGTGTCTTCTCCAGGAAGAGGCTGTTGGCACCACCTCCAAATACCTGGGCCATGTCAAAGCTGCTGCTGTTGCAGGTGCCAGCCCCACTGCCTCCAAACGGGCCTGGGGTGCCGCTGCCCTGGCCATCGGCCGCATCAAAGAAGAGGCTGGGTGAGCCACCACCGTTGTACACGAACTCCTTGGCATTGGGTGAGAGCTGGGACTGAGGGGCCGGGTTGGCCGTGATGAAGTTCAGTGAATGCATAGACAGAGAGAGGCTCTTGTGCTTCAGCAGGCTGTTGGTGGGTGAGCGGGCCATGCGAGGCTGCTGTGGTGGCTGCTGGCCACCCGCCCCACTGCTGGCTACACCCCCACCACTTGCTGCCCCGCCCCCCTTCTTCATCTTAGTGGAGCCAAATTTGGTGGCAGCGAAGGAGGCGGTGGTGAAGGTGATGGGCTGAGCGGAGCGGGGAATGAAGGTAGGGCTGGGTGACTGGCCAAAGGATGGCGATGGGGAGTTGGACAGGGAGCTGTCCTGGCTGCCAATGGGCACGAACACCTGGGCGTCAGGGTTGAAGCTGCTCTTGATCTCCTTGTCCAGCTCTGGGGCACCGCAACCCTCACTGTCATCCAGGTACAGCACTTTCACAGCTCCCTTCTCACCAATCTGGTAGGACACCTCAAAGGGATCAATCCAGACACTCAGCTCCTCAGGCACATTGGCCCGCACATCTTCCACCGCCAGGCCACTCCGCTTGGCGGCCAGCTCCACCACGGGGTCCACCATCTCCCCAATGTGAACACAGCGGAAGCCAGAGCCTTTCAGTGGCTTCTCAGGGTACCAGTGGCCTTCATATTTCTTTTTCAAAAGCCGCTCTAGCTCCTCCCCAAACAGGTCTGCCCGGCGCCGGGGCAGCTTGTTGTACAAGTAGGAGATGATGAAGTTCAGGGCCACTTTGATCTCTAGCTGCATGGTCCTTTCCTAGGCAGAGAATCAGCACAGGGCACGTGTACAGCCTTGGGCTCCAGGCGGCTCTGGGAAATGAGAGGCACCGTGAGAAAATATGCAGAAAGCTGGTGGTGACCAACAGCTAGGGATAGACAGAAAAGCACCAACTTTGGATCACACAGAACCAGGAGCCTATTTCTGCCCCACCAGTGGCTCATGTCTGACTGTGGGCCCCAGTTTCCTCATTAGTAACATGAGGCCATCATGAAGTTAAGGTAGTTCAAGGATATAAACTGCCTCACAGTGTACCTGGCAATTAAAAGGTAATTGATAAAGTTAGCTACTATTGGCCGGGCGCGGTGGCTGATGCCTGTAAGCCCAGCACTTTGGGAGGCTGAGGCAGGTAGATCACGAGGTCAAGAAATCAAGACCATCCTGGCCAACATGATGAAGCCCCATCTCTACTAAAAATACAAAAATTAGCTGGGCATAGTGGCGCATGCCTGTAGTCTCAGCTACTTGGGAGGCTGAGGCAGGAGAATTGCTTCAACCCAGGAGGCAGAGGTTGCAGTGAGCCGAGATCATGCCACTGTACTCCAGCCTGGCGACAGAGTGAGACTCCATCTCAAAAAAAAAAAAAAAAAAAAAAAAAAAAGCTACTATTTTAAAGTAATTCTAAAGAAATAGGGAAGCTGTGTTTTCCACCATCTTGAGAATTCAGGTCACTGTATGAATGACACTAAAAAAATCAAGTCCCTAAATCAGGTGAAGAAGAAGTCTCTTGCTGTCTCTGCAATATCTTGGTGAAGTCGTGCCCCCAAACTGTCACAGACTAAGATGTAAGTTTAAAATATTTGGTTGTCCTCCTTAAATGAAAAGGGATACAGGTCACTGAACAGGAAAGAGCACTGCCAATTCTTCACTGGGGGCCTGGACTCCAGTCACATCCATCTGTCATCATGGGCCCCATGGGTGTGTATGCTGTCTGGTTCAGTCCAGGTTTGCAGAACTGATTTAAGAACTCCGGCCAGGTGCAGTGGCTCATGCCTGTAATCCCAGCACTTTGGGAGGCTGAGGCGGGTGGATCACCTGAGGTCGGGAGTTCGAGACCAGCCTGACCAACATGGAGAAACCCTGTCTCTACTAAAAATACAAAAAATTAGCCGAGCATGGTGGTGCATGCCTGTAATCCCAGCTACCCGGGAGGTTGAGGTAGGAGAATCGCTTGAACCCAGGAGGCGGAGGTTGTGGTGAGCCGAGATCGCACCATTGTACTCCAGCCTGGGCAACAAGAGCGAAACTCTGTCTCAAAAAAAAAAAAAAAAAAAAAAAAAAAAAAAGGAATAAGACATAAGACAAGAGCATGAGCCCCAGGAAAAAGGCAAGACCTGTCACAATCAGAGATGTGGACCAACAAGGGAACTGCTGACTCGGGGCTGCCACAGGGAAGCAGAGAAAAGGAGGGGGAATCTCTGTAGTTTCTGGTGAGAATGTAAGTGATGAGGGTGGCAGAGGAAAGAAATTTTCCATCACCCTGCAGCCTCCGGTAGGGACCCATCATCACTCAGTCTCCCAGGGACTGTCTGACCACCTGTCCTCGGCAGCAGATCAGATTTATCAAGTGTTTTGAGATCCCCGGAGAGAAGGCAGCCCAAGATAAACACCAGATTGTTATTTTGGGATTCTCTCACAGCCAGATCCCACTGAGGTCAAAAAGGTTTATTCCCTTGGCCTGGGCCAGCCTCATGTCTCAGGAAGATGATCTGTGAGGTCCTGAGAGCCAGTGATCCTAATCTCATTTTCTCCAAAAGGGCAGCTCCGGGGCTCATGCTGGGGGAGAAACTGAACTGAAAGAGCCATCTCTGAGAGGAGGCAGAGCCAGAACATGTTCCTAGCCAGACCTCTGGGCAAGGCTGTGCTGCTGAGCTAAGCAAAGAGACATGACTGCTCCATGAACTGTCAAGGGCATCTTCTGTCCTATGAAAGACTTGGGGCTGGATTTTGATTCAAATCCTTTCTGGATCCAGCTTGAAGTATCCAGGTGCTAATTTCAGGCTTGGGGATTTTGAGTTTTCTAAACACCTGCCCCAACACATTTCCCTGTAATTCTCAGGCCTGGGCCCATGGCTCTTAAGGGGCATTTAATTTAATTTAATTTTACGTATGTATGTATGTATGTATGTATGTATGTATGTATGTATGTATGTATGTGGAGACTGAGTCTCGTTCTATCGCCCAGGCTGGACTGCAGTGGCGTGATCTTGGCTCACTGCAACCTCCACCTCCCAGGTTCAAGTGATTCTCGTGCCTTGGCCTCCTGAATGGCTGGGACTATAGGTGCCCGTCACCACGCCTGGCTAGTTTTTGTATTTTTAGTGGAGATGGGGTTTCACCATGTTGGCCAGGCTGGTCTCAAACTCCTAACCTAAAGTGTTCCGCCTGCCTTGGTCTCCCAAAGTGCTGGGATTACAGGCATGAGCCAACACACACGGCCTTAAGGGGCATTTTTGGGACTAAATCCTCAGAAAAAGATTTCTGGGGTGAATGTATCAGAGAAGACTCACTGGGTCAATCTGGAGCAGCATGACAGTGGCTGAATCTAGTTAACCCTCATTTCAGTTCTGAGGAACAGAGAAGGTCACATGGGAGTCAGCAGAGGTACCACAACTATGCCTCTCCCAAACCCTCCACAAGAACACTCAGGACTCAGAATACCCTGGTTTCCCTCTTTTCCCAGCCTCCAACACAGACTTCATCTCTAAGTTTCTTCAAATGTCTATTTTTTTCTTTTTCTTTCTTTTTTTTTTTTTTTTTGAGACGGAGTCTTGCTCTGTCGCCCAGGCTGGAGTGCAATGGCACGGTCTCGGCTCACTGCAACCTCTGCCTCCCCGGTTCAAGCGATTCTCCTGCCTCAGTCTCCCAAGTAGCTGGGATTACAGGCGTGCACCACCACTCCTGGCTAATTTTTTTTTTTTTCAGTAGAGACGGGGTTTCCCCATGTTGGCCAGGATGGTCTCGAACTGCTGACTTCGTGATCCACCCACCTCAGCCTCCCAAAGTGCTGGGATTACAGGCATGAGCCACCGCGCCTGGCCTCTTTTTCTTTTTTTGAGACAGGGTCTCACTCTGTCACCCAAGCTAGGGTGCAGGATCACAGCTCACTGCAGCCTCCACCTCCCTGGGCTCAGGTGATCCTCCCACTTCAGCCTCCAAGTAGCTGGGACTACAGGCATGTACCACCACACCTGGCTTTTTTTTTTTTTTTTTGACATGAAGTCTCTGTCACCCAGGCTGGAATGCAGTGGCGTGATCTCGACTCACTGCAACCTCTGCCTCCTACGTTCAAACAATTCTCCCACCTCAGCCTACTGAGTAGCTGGAATTACAGGCATGCACCACCACACCTGGCTAATTTTTGTATTTTTAGTACACACGGGGTTTCATCACGTTGGCCAGGCTGCTCTTGAACTCCTGGCCTCAAGTGATCCACCTGCTTCAACCTCCCAAAGTGGTAGGTTTACAGGCCTGAGCCACCATGTCCAGCCTCATTTTTTTTTGTATTTTTATGTAGAGATGGGGTTTTGCCATGTCACCCAGGCTGTTCTTGAACTCCTACGCTCAAGTGATCCACGTGCCTCAGCCTCAAATGTCTATTAATGATCAATACAGACCAATTTCAGGGCTTTTTTGGGTATAAAAAGTAAGGATAGTAGAGGCCGGGCACGGTGACTCACGCCTGTAATCCCAGCACTTTGGGAGGCCGTGGCGAGTGGATCACAAGGTCAGGAGATTGAGACCATCCTGGCTAACACGGTGAAACCCCATCTCTATAAAAATACAAAAATTATCCAGGCGTGGTGGCACGCAGCTGTAGTCCCAGCTACTCGGGAGGCTGAGGCAGGAGAATCGCTTGAACCCAGGAGGCGGAGGTTGCAATGAGCTGAGATCGTGCCATTGCACTCTAGCCTGGGTGACAGAGCAAGACTCTACCTCAAAAAAAAAAAAAAGTAAGAATAGTAGAAAGAATAAAGGGCTTTCTGTTTATGAGGA
This sequence comes from Homo sapiens, assembly GCF_000001405.40. Lineage (NCBI taxonomy): Eukaryota > Metazoa > Chordata > Mammalia > Primates > Hominidae > Homo > Homo sapiens. The sequence goes on from NC_000022.11 coordinate 41,441,372, forward strand.
TCAGGCTCATCAGCAGATACAAAACTACCCACCAGAACCATGAGCCTTCTCTCAGGAACAGAGGTCTGAAGGGCCACATAGTCCATAGAGGTGTCCAACAAGGAGCAGACTAAAAAGTTGTGAAGAGCCAGGTGTGGTGGCTCACACCTGTAATCCCAGCACTTCGGGAGGCCAAGGCAGGTGGATCACTTGAGGCCAGGAATTCAAGACCAGCCTGGCCAACGTGGCGAAACCCCATCTCTACTAAAAACACAAAAATTAGCCGGGCATTGTGGCTCATGCCTGTAATCCCAGCACTTTGCGAGGCTGAGGCGGGTGGATCACAAGGTCAGGAGTCCGAGACCAGCCTGACCAACATGGTGAAACCCCGTCTCTACTAAAAATAAAAAATTAGCCGGGTGTGGTGGCACACGCCTGTAACCTCAGCTACTCAGGAGGCTGAGGCAGGAGAATTGCTTGAACCCAGGAGGCGGAGGTTGCAGTGAGCCAAGATTGCGCCACTGCACTCCAGCCTGGGCAAGAGTGATTTTTCTCAAAAAAAAAAAAAAGAAAAGAAAAAACCCCATAAAAATTAGCCCAGCATGATTGCGGGTGCCTATAATCCCACTACTCCGTAGGCTGAGGCAAGAGAATCGCTTGAACCTGGGAGGCAGAGTTTGCAGTAAGCCGAGATCATGCCACTGGACTCCAGTCTGAATGACAAAGTGAGAGAAATTCTGCCTCAAAAAAAAAAAAAAAAGAAAAAAAAGTTGTGAGGAAAGTTGATACTGGTTCCCTAGAATGGAACCTGTTGTTAAAGACAGTGTTTCCAAAGTATTTTTGAAATCTAAAACAGACTGAAGTCAACATATGATACTTCTCCCAAGGTACTGCATGGCCTCTTAAAATGCACCTCTTGGTATTTCCACTGAGAGCAAAGGGTTTCTACACCTTTCTAAGCCTCCTCAAACCTGGCTGCATAATTGCCTTCCAAGTTAACTACTCCTGAACAGTTCGGCCTCAAAATGAGAGCATTTTAAATGCAGGCCAAAGTCATTGGGAAATAAGCCTCCCACCCCAAAATACAATAGAACCACTGTCATCAGCCCTGCCTAGCTAACCATTTTCTGCAGCATAAGCAACTAAAGCTGCACACCAATTTATACCTCAGTGATGTTGCCGCACAAATAAGGAAGCATATAATGCCACCTTTGCCTCTTTAATTAGAGAACAGGCTGGACCAGATGGCTGTGGGGTGGAACCTTACAAAAATGATGGACAACCAGAATGAGATTTTCTGCTCTATCAGCTCAGGCTCTAATTTTGACTGCAAGAAGCTTATGGAGCAGAGGATTAAAGCACTGGTGCTGGCTTGTCTTTAGCTAAAGATAGGAGTGGCCATTCAGAGGAGTTTGTTCATTTTTTAAAAAGCTATGAACAAATTCTAGAGCTTATATATAAAATATTTATGGAAGTATGGTAAGATTAGAAAGCTTAGAAATAACTACCTGTCAATAAAGGGAACAAGTAAAGGGATTCGCTTAAGTGGCTGCAGAGGACACTAAGATCTTTTCTAACCCCAGTGTAGGCACAAACGGCGAAAAAGGGAGCAAGAAGAATAAAAATGGTGAGGTGTTTAACAATAGCAAAATCTCCCTTTTGTCAACCTATTAAAAAGGGCAAATATGAGAGCAAAATTCTGTCCAATTTCACTAAGAATTTTATCCTCACTTGTTTACTTCCAGCAGCAAAGTTAAACCTGGATTCTGATCCCTTGTGCTGACTTGTGTTTTAAAGAGCAGGTGCCTAGGAGAAAGACGACGGGGGAAGAAGTGGGGCGTGAAGCTCAAAAGAAGCCTCAGTCAGTGCAGATTCCAGAGAGAACTTCTGATAAAAATGTGAGGAAGGTGTGTGTGTGTGTCACACGCGCGCGCATGTGTCTGCCTGCTCTAATGTCAGAAGCGAAGGAAGATTTTTTTCCCCCCCTCGAGACAGTCTTGCTCTGTAGCCCAGAGCTGGAGTGCAATGGCGCCATCTTGGCTCACTGCAACCTCCGCCTCCTGGGTTCAACCAATTCTCCCGCCTCAGCCTCCCGAGTAGCTGGGATTATAGGCACGCGGGACCACGCCCGGCTAATTTTTGTATTTTTAGTAGAGACGGGGCTTCACCATGTTGGCCAGGCTGGTCTCGAAATCTTGACCTCGTGATCCGCTCGCCTCCGCCTCCCAAAGTGTTGGGATTACAGGCGTGAGTCACTGCCTAGCCAGAAGATTTTTTTTTTTTTTTTTTTGAGATGGAGTTTCGGTTTTGTTGCCCAGGCTGGAGTGCAATGGCGCGATCTCGGCTCACCGCAACCTCCGCCTCCCAGGTTCAAGCGATTCTCCTGCCTCAGCCTCCCGAGTAACTGGGATTACAGGAATGCGCCACCACGCCCGGCTAATTTTGTATTTTTAGCAGAGACGGGGTTTCTCCAAGTTGGTCAGGCTAGTCTCGAACTCCCGACCTCAGGTTATCCGCTGCCCGCCTCAGCCTCCCAAAGTGCTGGGATTACAGGCGTGAGCCACCGCACCCGGCCGGAAGGTTTTTCAGAAAGAAAATTCTGTTTCAAAGAGGAAAAGGAGGGATAATGGTGATGGAATCCACTGAGCCCCAAACCCAAAAAGATACTCAGACACCTCTAAGCCTTAAATGTGCAAACTGTCCTACAATGACGGACTACAGGACTCAACTAAGTGTGGAGGGGCCAGCAGGTGTCACAGACCGGGTGGATGCGAGTGCCCTGCCGCTGTCCGGGGAGTGAGAGCCAAACGCAGGCAGCTCCTCTCCTTGGTGAGACACGGGATCCGCCCCAACTCGCTGGTCCCAGAGGCAGCGGCCCAGACAGGCGGGTGTGTATTGAAAGGCTTCCAGGACTGGTGCTGACTGACTGCAACACCGCGCCCAGTCTCTCATCATCTCCCCCTAGACACAGACCGGTCAACCTTAGGTCTGACAACAAGGCCCCTTTCGGCTATGAAGACCCTTTCTAGGGCACTCCATGTTCCTCAGGAGCTAGGAAAACTCGACTCAACCCAAACGTAGGCGGAGAGGCGGGCGGTGAGGGCCCGCTCTGCACTCTGGGAATTGTAGTCCTCAAACACCTCCGGACCAGGCGATAGCAGGAGTGACCTACTTTCCCTGCACACTACACTTCCCTGAGCACTTTGCGAAGGCCCAACTGGCCGCAATACGCATGCCCGGTAAGGGGAGCCGACCGAGGGTCGAAGAGCCCAGGAAAAGTTTCCGATGCACATGCGCGCTGAGGCGGGTCGGCGCCCCCCTCCCATCGCCTAATACATTTCATGTAGATTCTACCCAAAAGGCCTACTCCCCGTATTGTATGGCCCCACCACATCCTCTAGGCTTTACGAGAGCCTAACTTTCCCACCTTTCCCTTCATCGCCTCCCATTACTGATGAAACTAGGATCTGCTTCTAATGAGTTTTTTCTGGGTGAAGGGGGTGGGCTGGCTTAGATAAGGTCACGACCCCCTTCCCCCCACCCAATCTGAATTCCAGGGCCTGGGCGGTCCGTGTGGGGTTGCTGGATGGACGGTGGATTCAAAGGGAAACGGATCTTTTTCACTTAATGCCTAGCGGACTCGGCTCCAGCACCCCAAACAGCCAGGAAAGGAAAGGCAGGAATCAAACCCAGTTCTCCCGTCCTCTCGGCCAAAGAAATTTCCAGTCAAGCTGTGGGGAGGCGCCAGGCCAAGGCCAGCAGGGCCCAAGCCTCACCCCATTTCTAATCGAAGACTGAGTAACCAGATCCGGGAGAGGGAAATAGGAAAAGGTTCCCAGGCAGAGAAGAAAAAAACTGTACACCTGACACCTGAGCATCTTCTCATACTAAAATTCTGTGTGTCTCCTCCCATTGCAAGGTCTGCTTTACGACCAGACTTACCAGATCCTCGGCAAGCTCCCCCGCTGGGTGTTAAACCTCCTTAATCCTTCCTCCCACACAAGCTTCTTTCCCCCTATGCTTCACGGAGGGATGGGGGTAGAAGCCCAAGAAAGCAATAGGATTGTTTTTCTGCCGGAAAATCAGAGATGAAGGACCCATTCCCAGGGTACGGTGGGTAAGAAGGAGAAAAAGACCGTTTAGATACGGAGTAGCACCAGAGACTGGCCTCCACCCGTCCCCAAGCTGAAGCTTGCTGTGCGGGGTTCTGGTTTCTCCTGGGGGAGGGAGAGGGCCTGCCGGCTGTGCCTCCTCTCTGCACCCTCCTTCCCCTCCCAGATTTCTGGTGGTCAAGGGCACAGTTCATCCTCCGGACAGGAGGGGAAGGAGTTTGGGGGTAGGGCCCCACCTCGCAGGCACCTTACCAAGATAAGCAGAATCCACTCACTGGCACTGCTCTAAGGGTACTTTTTTCTGCCCAATTTTCCATTAAAACACTTAAGAGTATAAAGAGCTCAGCCGAAACGGTGAACTCTGGCTCAGTGGCCCAAGGACAATCTCCACTGACCTGTCCCGTCGCCAAAGGGGGTGTCCACCCTCCACCCTTCAGGCTCCACAGAGCCAGAAATAGAGTCTATTAACAATTACCACCCCCCTTCCCTGCACACGGGAAAAGAAGCAGAAAAACAAGGCCTGGATCCCCTTCCTTCCTCGGATTTATTTAACGGTGGGGGGAGTTATGTTTCTTTGGAGAACAAGGAAGATCTAGCGAGTAGCTAGGATATAAAGAACCGGGGGAGGCGGGGAAGGGAGGAAATGCACCCCACCCAGGAGAGGGCCACTCTTGGAACTGGGAGAAAAAGGAGCTCTTGGGCACCCCAGGAGCACAGATGGCGTGAGAAGAGGAGCTGGGGAAAGTGGGGTCTGGAGGGAAGCTGGATGGGGAAAGAAAATGCTGGCCAGGCGGGGAGGGAGCGGCAGCAACGTGGAGAGTCCAGCAAAGCGGGAGTGGGGCGGGGTGGAAGAGGTAGTCCGGCCGGCTGGGTCTCGGGGCGGGCCCCCCGCCCGCACGCCCCCCAACTCACTCACTCGGGTCTCCGCGGCGGCGGGGCGCTCTACCGGCCGCGGGGCGGCTTCTCCCTCCAGGGTGGCCTGAGCGCGGGGCGGAGGTCGCTCTCCTTTCCTTCCCGGGCGTCGCCGGGCCAGGGGACCGAAGTCCTTTTCGTCGTTGAGGGTTGGGGGACGAAGCAGGGGGCTATGGACTATGACTCTCAATAATTTCTTTCAGCTCTTAGGAGGTCGGGCTCGGCAGCGGGGGGCCCGAGGGCGGGCGGGCGGACTAGCGGCGACGACGCGGGGATGGCGGATCGGAGGGTGGTTCGTGTCGCGCAACGGCAGACGGTATGGGCTGTCGCCGGCAGACGGTCCTGCCCTCCTGGCCCCGCGTCGCCCGAGCCACGGCTTGCCTCAGCCAACAACCCGCACCTTCCCGCGCCCCGGCCCGAAGTGAGCAAAGTCAATGAAAAGTTTCACCCTTAGCAACCCTGCGCACGGATCCGGCTTCCCCACCCCTGCGTGATGCGTCCCTCCGCCCTGCAGGGGCGGGGCCAGGGCCCGGCCGGGACTACTTCCCAGCCAGCCCCGCGCCTCAGCTCGCTGGTATCTCGCGGAGCAGCTCCTGTGCCCTTCTGTGCTCGCCGGTCGTGCGTCCGGCTCCCCGTCTTCCCCTCCCTGTCACAGCGCCGCGCCGCACTCCTTTCCTTCATTCCCATACCACTCTGAACTTGTGCGCGTCGTGTGAGGTGTTCTCCCAGGGGCGCTCCGTGAGGGCCGGGGACCACCTGGGGCCGGGTTGCTCACGAGCCGGGCACAGTGCACTCTCCCTTTAGTTGTGTTTGGGGGACGAGTATCGCGGGGGAGGGGAGGGAGTCACCATGCCCGCCGGAAACCCCCCGCTGAGTCGTCCGCCCTGCACCTGCCTCGGAGCCCATGGTTCGGACGTTTGCCCGAGCCGTTTCCCGGGGCCTTCCCTCCAGCTCCGAGCGTCTGGCCGTGTCCGCGGCGATAGCATCGCCCCGTTACGGCCTCTGCGGGAGGGGGAACTGAGGGGACGACGCGGGCTCTGGAAACATTTCGGACCCGTTTCGGGCAGGCATGAGTCTTCCGAGCGCCTTGTGATTCCTCGGGGGGCTCAACGTCGAAAGAAAGGCGAGGGAGACTCTGGGGCCTGGGCCACGCTGTGCGGGAGTAAGAGGAGCCGAGGACGAGGCTGACGGCCGTGAAACTAGCCGAGTGCCACAAAGGACCTTCCCCTCACCGCCTCTGGCGCTCCTTTCCTTGCAGCCTGGAGGGCCGGCTCTGGCTCTGCGCAGGCGCGCGGGCGCAGCCCCTCTCCCAACTCTTGTTTGCTCTTTCTGGCCAGCGACCCCAGTGTGGGGCACGCGGGAGAGCCCCACATTTCTTCTAGTCGCAGTCCCGCCGGCGTGGGGTGGCCCCTGACCGTGCAACGGGCGCAAGGCTCGCACCCACTACGGCCCCTCGGGCGGCGGAGCGAGGCTCCGCGAACCCGGGACTGGGCGCGCCAGGCCCGCGCGCTGAGGCCCCCTCCCCCGGCTCTGGCCACGCGGGCTGCTCTGCCTCTGTGAGTGTGCGGGACACAGAGCCAGGGGGAGGGAGGGCCGTGTTCTGCGGTCACAGGCAGACAGGAGTGCCGGAAGATGCAGTCTGGAGCCCCCGGGGGACTGTGAGTGAGGTCTTCTCCCCGGTCCCTCCTTAGATCTCCCATTTCCCAGTTCTCCCCTCCCGCCCACACCTTTTTTGTCATTCCAGACGGTTCCGGCCCAGCAGCAGCCGCCATCCCCACGTTGGGTGGCGAGATCCGAAAGTTTCCAGCTACGAACAGTTTGCTTTTTTTTTTTCCTTGATCGCTTTTTTTGGCAAGGGCGGAGAGCACCAGTAGCGTGGGGGGTTTAAATGCACTTTCCCTGAATGCAACAGAGAAATGCCGGGCTGGAGGGCAAACTCCACCGGGACAGGGAGGCGGGAGATAGCCTGAGCGCCCCCCCATCCCCCACACTCTGAGCGTCGCAACCCCGGGGGCACCTCCAGGGACTACTTGCCTTGTGCGTCAGCGAGTGACAGCGTCACACACACGCCCCCTCCCGCACATGCCCGCTGCACCCTCCCTTTCCCCCTCCCCTTCCCTTCTCTCTTTTCCCCTAGCTCTTCCCACCAGGCAGAGAGGCTCAGCCGACCCACACGCTCCCAGAGCACTGAAAGCTAAAAATATAGCCGGTGTGTTAGCAACAGCCTTCCCATTGGTCGGGGGAAAGGGAGAAGCGGTGTCTGATTGGGTTTAGGATCCAGCCGCTAAGACTGGGCCCTTGGGAGTGTGCGTTTGCGCCAGCGGGCACGGCAAGGGATGCTGGTATTTGTAGTCATTGATTAAGGCAGCCATGTAAATAGGTGGGTTTACATCCCAGTTCGGCTACCGACTGTGTGATCTTGATTTAATGCAGCAAAACGCTTGACATCACCAAACCTCAGTTTCCCCATCTATAAAATGGAGCTCGTGTCGGGGATTAAATATGATGCTGTATGTAAAGCCTGGCTCAAATCGTTGCTATTCTTAATTTAAAGATTAGTGTTTGGGCCAAATTGCCTCTGCACATCCTGCATATCCTGGGCTGAGTATGGTGTCCACTCTCCAATGTGAAACTTCTGACAATGGTAAAGGTGAAGGTGAGCTGAAGCGAGTTGTCCTACGGCATCTTAGGAGGAACAGCTGGAGTACATATAAGCAGTTAGAGGGTAGACGTCTTCTACCATTCCGGACAGGTTGAGGGAGGGCGGACTGAATCCTTGGAAGGAAGGCCATGAGTTTCTGCATGTTTGTGCGTTTAATAGAATCTCTTCTGCAACGCTGGAAAGACATCAGCCCTGAGTAGCATCATTAGAATGAAATGAGAAATCCAGCCTCCTTGGTGGGAGCTCTGGGTAAAAGGTTAGCATATAAGTAGGAAAAGATAAAATCGAGGGGAAAAAACGTAACCGCCCTTCTCAACTGCTGATGTCTCCATTTATCATGTGGTGATGAAGTTTTTTTTTCCTTCCCAGTGTGTGATTACATCTTGCCAGGGCTTAATTGTGAGCTGAATGCCTACTCAGGCATTCCAGATTCCCCTCCCATTTTGAATAATCATATGTTGAACGGCATGCACCGTGCTTGCAAAATAGTGAGCTCCATGAGCAAGCAAGTGAGGCAGGGAGAAGGTGGGGGCACATCACCTGTCTGAGAGTAAGCAAGATGTGACGCCATGACAAGTCAGGCTGGTCATAATTGGCCCCAGTTAACTCGCATAGATGCGTCACCCTTTCATACACACTCCAGGGCAAGAAATTTTGTATTGTTTCTTTGAAGTTATCCAAGAAAATACTTCCTCAATTTGATCTCTTCAGCAGGTGCAAAGGAAGAAACTGGCTTTGGGGAAGCGTGGTTGCCTACTTAAGAAAAATTATTTTTAAAAAATTTTTATTTATTATTTATTTTGAGACGGAGTCTTGCTCTGTTGCCCAGGCTGGAGTGCAGTGGCATGATCTCGGCTCACTGCAACCTCCACATCCTGGTTTCAAGTGATTGCCCTGCCTCAGCCTCCCGAGTAGCTGGGATTAGAGGTATGTACCACCACACCCGGCTAATTTGTGTGTGTGTGTGTGTGTGTGTGTGTGTTTTGAGACGGAGTCTCGCTCTGTCGCCCAGGCTGGAGTGCAGTGGTGCGATGTCGGCTCACTGCCAGCTCCGCCTCCCGGATTCACACCATTCTCCTGCCTCAGCCTCCGGAGTAGCTGGGACTACAGGCGCCCGCTACCACGCCCGGCTAATTTTTTTTTTTTGAGACGGAGTCTCGCTCTGTTGCCCAGGCTGGAGTGCAGTGGCACGATCTCAGCTCACTGCAAGCTCCGTCTCCCGGGGTTCACGCCATTCTCCTGCCTCAGTCTCCCGGGTAGCTGGGACTACAGGCGCCCGCCACCACGCCCTGCTAATTTTTGTATTTTTAGTAGAGACGGGGTTTCACCGTGTTAGCCAGGATGGTCTCGATCTCCTGACCTCGTGATCCGCCCGTCTCGGCCTCCCAAAGTGCTGGGATTACAGGCGTGAGCCACCGCGCCCGGCTAATTTTTTTGTATTTTTAGTAGAGACAGGGTTTTACCGTGTTAGCCAGGCTGGTCTCCATCTCCTGACCTCGTGATCCACCTGCCTTGGCCTCCCGAAGTGCTGGGATTACAGGCATAAGCCACCATGCCCAGCCGACAAATGATTTTTTATATATTCACCAATACTGTGAAGTCTAGTAAACAAGGTAAGTAAACAAACCTGTCTTGCTAAGATGCTAAAATGCAGTGTTCAAAGAAAGTAACATTTTAGCTTTGGTGGTGTCAACAGGCCACTCGGGACAGAGCTGATAAGGAATTGAGTGACTGGGAACAGATGGAAATAATCAGAGTCTTTTAAGACAGGAAAATTCCAAGCAAGGCAAAGAATCTTTTCCTTCTATGTCCTTGCTTCAAACTACAATAAAAAAGCTCCAGGTCTGGCTGGGCACGGTGGCTCACGCCTGTAATCCCAGTACTTTGGGAGGCCAAGGCGGGCAGATCACCTGAGGTCGGGAGTTTGAGACCAGCCTGACCAACATGGAGAAAGCCCATCTCTACTAAAAATACAAAATTAGCCGGGCGTGGTGGCACATGCTTGTAATCCCAGCTACTAGGGAGGCTGAGGCAGGAGAATTGCTTGAACCTGGGAGGCAGAGGTTGCAGTGAGCCGAGATTGCACCATTGCACTCCAGCCTGAGCAACAAGAGTGAAACTCCATCTCAAAAAAAATATTTTAAAAAAACCCCACAAAACAAAAAAAAATGCTACAGGTCAGGGCTGGGCGTGGTGGCTCACACCTGTAATCCCAGCACTTTGGGAGGCCAAGGCGGGCGGATCACCTGAAGTCAGGAGTTTGAGACCAGCCTGGCCAAAATGGTGAAACACTGTCTCTATTAAAAATAAAAAAAATAAAATAAAAAAAAAAACTAGCCGGGCTTGGTGGTGGTTGCCTGTAATCCCAGCTACTCAGGAGGCTGAGGGAAGATAATTACTTGAACCCAGGAGTCGGAGGTTGCAGTGAGCTGAGACTGCGCCATTGCACTCCAGCCTGGGCGACAGAGTGGGACTCTTGTCTCAAAAAAAAAAAAAAAAGAAAAAGAAACCCTGTCTCTACTAAAATACAAACAATTAGCCGGGCATGGTGGCACGCGCCTGTAGTCCCAGCTACTAGGGAGGCTGAGGCAGGGGAATTGCTTGAACCCGGGAGGTGGAGGTTGCAGTGAGCGGAGATTGTGCCACTGCACTCCAGCCTGGTGACAGAGCAAGACTCCATCTCAAAAAAAAAAAAAAAAAAAAAAAAACACACAAAAAAAACTACAGGTCAGAATAGAGTGACACATAGTCTCTCTGAAATTTAGTCAGTTCAGTTTCATTCCCTGGGAAGTTAATTTTAATTTAGAAGCTGCTAATTGGCAGGCCAAGGTCCACATCTGGCAGATTTATTTTCTTGGCATATACTGACATATTACAGTTTTAAAAGTGAGTTGCCAATGTTGAAAATTTGGGATATTGTACAAAAATATCCTAAGTTGCCACTTGTCCTAAATTCAAAATATCTGGCAACACTGGGCATTCAAACTGGCAGGAATTGTCTGGAGTTGAATAGCAGCTGTCTCCTTTAGACAGGGCTTGTGTTCTCTGGTTGCCTAAGGTCCCCACTACTCCCCTATTGTGTCCCACACAACGAGGCTGAGGGTCACATACCATTTATCATCACACTTGGGCTATTCTTCTTTTACCCCTCCCTTTTCAATCAATGATATTACTCACCCAGACTCCTGAGTTTGTGACCCCTTTTTCAGTTTAATTTAGCAAATAATTGTTGGAGTGGTTGCCTATTGTATGCCCTGCGTGGAAGGAGAGGCAAAGGGAACTCAAGGATCTTATTTATGATCTAGTTAGTTGTGAGTGTTGTTGTTTTTTAATAGACACAGGGTCTTGCTAGGTTTGTTGGCCAGGTTGGTCTTGAACTCTTGGCCTCAAGCAATCCTCCAACCTCCCAAATTGCTAGGATTACAGGTGTAAGCCACTGTGCCTGGCCTAGTTGATTTTATTTTTATCCCCTGTCCCGCCAACTCCATCCCCAAGCAGCCCCTCTTCTAGTTAATTGTTTTAAAACTTGAGGTTGTCGTCCATTAGTGGGGGTCATAAAATTACCCAGTTTAGGCCGGGCACCGTGGCTCATGCCTGTAATCTCAGCAGTTTGAGAGGCCAAGGCGGGCAGATCACGAGGTCAGGAGTTGGAGACCAGCCTGGCCAACGTGGTGAAACACCATCTCTACTAAAAATACAAAAATTAGCAGGGCGTGGTGGCAGGCACCTGTAATTCCAGCTACTCAGGAGGCTGAAGCAGGAGAATCGCTTGAAACCTGAAGGCAAAGGTTCCAGTGAGCCAAGATCACGGCACTGCACTCCAGCCTGGGCAAAAGAACGAAACTCCATCTCAAAAAACAAAGAAACAAAATCCAGTTGAATGGATTTCAGTCAGGAATTTTAGAATAGAATGAAAGAAAATGAAAATATCAGGCCAGGCATAGTGGCTCATGCCTATAATTTCAGCACTTTGGGAAGCCGAGGCAGGCGGATCATAAGGTCAGGAGTTCGAGACCAGCCTGGCCAATATGGTAAAACCCTGTCTCTACTAAACATACAAAAATTAGCCGAGCATGGTGGCGGGCGCCTGTAGTCCCAGCTACACAGGAGGCTGAGGCAGGAGAATCGCTTGAACCCGGGAAGTGGAGTTTGCAGTAAGCTGAGATCACACCACTGCACTCCAGCCTGGGTGACAGAGTGAGACTCTGTCTCAAAAAAAAAAAGAAGAAAATGAAAATATCAGATTATAGCATGCACAGTAATATTGTTTCATGAAACTTTTGTTTCGGTTGTATGTAGGTACTAGACATGAAAATAATGCAAATGATAGAAATTGTTGTGGGGTATGGTGCTTCTGGAAGCTTTCATGAGATGTCAGGGGCTTGAAAGGAAGAGGTATCCATTTGGCCAGTAGATAGGAAGGTAGAAGGGTATTTCAAACAAAGGAAACAGACAGCCATGGAAAAGGCAGCGAGTATTCAAGGGATGTCCCTTCAACTGCCTGATGGAGTGAGGAGCACAGATAGAAGTCAAGTAAGGAGGCCGGGCGTGGTGGCTCATGCCTGTAATCCCAGCACTTTGGGAGGCCAAGGCCGGGGGATCACCTGAGGTCAGGGGTTTGAGACCAGCCTTGCCAACATGGGGAAACCCCATCTCCACTAAAAATACAAAAATTAGCTGGGCGTGGTGGCACATGCCTGTAATTCCAGCTACTCGGGAGGCTGAGGCAGGAGAATTGCTTCAACTCAGGAGATGGAGGTTGCAGTGAGCCGAGATTGAGCCACTGCATTCCAGCCTGGGTGACAGAGCAAGATTCTGTAAAAAAAAAAAAAAAAAAGCTGGGCGAGGTGGCTCACGCCTGCAATCCCAGCACTTTGGGAGGCTGACTGCTGTCTCTACTAAAAACACAAAAATTGGCTGGGCATGGTGGCACGCGCCTGTAATTCCAGCTACTTGGGAGGCTGAGGCAGGTGAATCGCTTGAATTCAGGACGTGGAGGTTGCAGTGAGCCCGGATCCTGTTACTGCACTCTAGCCTGGGTGACAGAGCAAAACTCCGTCTCAAAAAAAAACAAAAACAAAAAAGCCTGTGATCCTAGCACTTTGGGAGGCCATGGCTCAGGAGTTTGAGACCAGCCTGGGCAACATGGTGAAACCCTGTCTCCACTAAAATATGAAAAATTGGCCGGGCGTGGTGGCCCATGCCTGTAGTCCCAGCTACTCGGGAGGCCAAAACAGGAAAATCGGTTGAATCTGGGAGGCAGAAATTGCAGTGAGCTGAGATTGCACCACTGCAGTCCAGCCTGGGTGACGGAGCAAGACTTCATCTCCAAAAAAAAAAAAAAAAAAAAAAAGCCAAGAATGGGATTATGAAATTGACAGAGGAGCAGGTTTCAGTGGAATTCACTTGACTGAGGTTGAACTGCTGATTTGAGATGCTACAGGGCATTAATCTTATACATACAGAGGCTGATGGAGTGCAGTTAAGGTGATGTTTTGATGAAACTAAGGAATAGTTTTTGAAACATCTGTAGTTACAAGATGTCATGTGGACCAAAGCAGTTAATAAGTAACTTAAATTTTTTTTTTTACGGAGTCGCTCTTGTTGCCTAGGCTGGAGTGTAGTGGCATGATCTCTGCTCACTGCAACCTCTGCCTCCCGTGTTCAAGTGATCCTCCTGCCTCAGCCTCCGGAATAGCTGGGATTACAGGCTTTCACCACCACACATGGCTAATTTTTATTTATTTATTTATTTTGAGACGGAGTCTTGCTCTGTTGCCCAGGCTGGAGTGCAGTGGCACGATCTTGGCTCACCACAACCTCAGCCTCTCGGTTGGGTTCAAGTGATTCGCCTGCCTCAGCCTCCGGAGTGGCTGGGATTACAGGCATTCATTCGCCACTACACCTGGCTAATTTTTGTATTTTTAATAGAAATGGGGTTTCACCATGTTGGTCAGGCTGGTCTGGAATGTCTCCTGACCTCAGGTGATCCACCAACCTCGGCCTCCCAAAGTGCTGGGATTACAGGCGTGAGCCACAGCGCCTGGCCAAAAATTTTTGTTAATTTTTTTTTGTTGTTGTTGTTATAGACAAGGTTTCATTTTTTAAGAGACAGGGTTTCATTTTGTCACTCAGGCTAGAGTGTAGTGGTGCCATTGTAGCTCACCGTAACCTCGATCTCCTGGACTCAAGTGATCCACCTCAGCTTCCCAAGTAGCTAGGGCTATATGCACGTGCCACCACACCTGGCTAATTAAAAAAAAATTTTTTTAGGCCGGGCGCGGTGGCTCACGCTTGTAATCCCAGCACTTTGGGAGGCTGAGGCAGGCGGATCACGAGGTCAGCCTGGCCAACATAGTGAAACCCTGTCTCTACTAAAAATACAAAAATTAGGCTGGGGACAGTGGCTCACGCCTGTAATCCCAGCACTTTGGGAGGCTGAGGCGGGTGGATTGCCTGAGGTCAGGACTTCGAGACCAGCCTGACCAACATGGTGAAACCCGGTCTCTACTAAAAATACAAAAGTTAGCTGGGTGTGGTGGCAGGCGCCTGTAATCCCAGCTACTCGGGAGGCTGAGGAAGGAGAATCGCTTGAACCCGGGAGGCAGAGGTTGCAGTGAGCCAAGATTGCGCCATTGTACTCCAGACTGGGCGACAAGAGCAAGACTTCGTCTCAAAAAAAAAACAACAAAAATTAGCCGGGTGTGGTGGCACATGCCTGTAGTCCCAGCTACTCGCGAGGCTGAGGTGGGAGAACCACTTGAACCCGGGAGGCAGGGGTTGCAGTGAGCTGAGACCATGCCATTGCACTCCAGCCTGGGTGACAGAGTGAGACTCCATCTCAAAAAAAAAAATTTTTTTTTTTTTGTAGGGACAGGGGCCTCACTATGTTGCCAAGGCTAGTCATAAACTCCTGGCCTCCCAAAGTACTGGAATTAACAGGCATGCGCCACCATGCCCGGCTAATTTTTGTATTTTTAGTAGAGACAGGGTTTCTCCATGTTGGTCAGGCTCGTCTTCAACTCCCGACCTCAGGTGATCTGTCTGCCTCGGCCTCCTAAAGTGCTGGGATTACAAGCATGAGCCCGGACTATTTTTTATTCTTAACTAGGGCTTTTTTGCTTTTTTGCACATTCTAATTACAGTCTGAAAATGATCTGGTCTCTCTACCTCTTTTGAGCTACCACACCTTAGTCAGTTTTCTTTTGCTTGTAATACCTAAAACTATGTTATTTATAAAAAGAGAAATTTATTTCTTATAATTCTGGAGGCTGGGAAGTCCCAGGTTGAGGGGGTACATTTAGTGAGAGCATTCTTGCTGGGAGGTGGCACAGGGCATCACATGGCAAAGGGGCTGAGAGTGCTGGCTCAGTCTCTCCTCTTACAAAGCTATCGGTCCCGGCCGGGCGCGGGGGCTCACGCCTGTAATCCCAGCACTTTGGGAGGCCGAGGCGGGTGGATCATGAGGTCAGGAGATTGAGACCATCCTGGCTAACACGGTGCAACCCCATCTCTACTAAAAAAATACACAAAAATTTAGCCGGGCGTGATGGCGAGCGCCTGTAGTCCCAGCTACTCAGGAGGCTGAGGCAGGAGAATGGCGTGAACCCGGGAGGTGGAGCTTGCAGTGAGCTGAGTTCGCGCCACTGCACTCCAGCCTGGGCGATGGAGTGAGAGTCTGTCTCAAAAACAACCACCACCACCACCAAACAGCTATTTTTGGGCTATCGGTCCCATTTATATGATAACCCATTAATCCATTAACAGTGAAAGGATGGGCTGGGTGCGTTGGCTCATGCCTGCAATCCCAGCTCTTTGGGAGGCCGAAGTGAGTGGATCGTTTGAGGTCAGGAGTTCAAGACCAGCCTGGCTAATATGGTGAAACCCTGTCACTAATAAAATTACAAAAATTAACCAGGCATGGTGGTGAACACAAAAATTAGCTGGGCATGGTGGCACGTGCCTGTAGTTCCAGCTACTCAAGAGGCTGAGGCAGGGGAATTGCTTGAACCTGGGAGGTGGAGGTTGCAGTGAGCTGAGATCATGCCACTGCACTCCAGCATGGGTGACAGAGACGCCGGCTCAAAAAAAAAAAAAAAAAAAAAAAAGTGAAAGGATGAATCCCCTCATGCGGGCAGAGCCTTCATGACCCAATCATTTCTTGAAGGTCCCACTTCTGAATACTGCCACATTGGGAATCAAGTTTCAACATGAGTTTTAGAGGGGACAAACATTCAAACCATAGCAATCACCTCACTGATGCATTAGAATTGCTCAGAGCTCCCTACACACATCGCCCTAGGCTGGGGGTGGTGGCTCATGCCTATTATCCTAACTTTGGAAGCCAAGGCAGGCAGATCGCTTGACCTCAGGAGTTCAAGACCAGTCTGGCCAATATGGTGAAACCCTGTCTCTACAAAAAAAAAAAAAAAAAAAAAAAAAAAAAAAAAAAAAAAGCTGGGCATGCTGGTTCACACCTCCCAGCTACTCAGGAGGCTGAGTTGGGAGGATTGTTTGAGCCCAGGGGGTCGAGGCTGCAATGAGCCGTGTTCATGACACTGCACTCCAGGTTGGGGGACAAAGTGAGACCATATCCGAATCAATACATATCACCCTGTTCACGACTGTCTTTGCTCAAGTTGATGCCCCCCCCAACAAATGCCCTTATTTGCCTACTGCACCCTTTGCCTGTAGGTTCTGACATATCAAAGTCCAGTTTATTATCCAGTTTCCTTGACTTCAAGCATTCATTCAATACTGAACACCTACCTGCTACCTACTGGGCAAAACAAACTTGCTTCCTGCTCTTGTAGACACGGTCGTAGGTTACTTTCACTAATCACCAAATGCTTTAAGAAAACACATAGGGTTGGGTGTGGTGGCTCACACCTGTATTCACAGCACTTTGGGAGGCTGAGGCAGGAGGGTAACTTGAATCCAGGAGCTTGAGACCAGTCTGGGCAACACAGCGAGACCTTGTCTCTATAAAAAATACAAAAAACAGGCCAGGCTTGGTGGCTCACGCCTGTAATCCCAGTACTTTGGGAGGCCAAGGTGGGCGGATCACGAGGTCAGTTCAAGACCAGCCTGGCCAACACAGTGAAACCCCATCTCTACTAAAAATACAAAAAATTAGCTGGGTGTGGTGGCGTGCATCTGTAATCCCAGCTACTAGGGAGGCTGAGGCAGGAGAATCACTTGAATCTGGGAGGTGGAGGTTGCAGTGAGCGGAGATTGCGCCACTGCACTCCAGCCAGGGCAACAGTGCAAAATTCCATCTCGAAAACAAAAACAAAAAACTAGCTGGGCAGGGTGGTGCATGCCTGTAGTCCCAGCTATTCCAGAGCCTGAGGTGGGAGGATTGCTGAGTCTGGGAAGTAGAGGTTGCAGTGAGCTGAGATCGTGCCACTGCACTCCAGCCTGGGTGACAGAGATGCCGTCTCAAAACCAACCAACCAAACCAAAAAACCACATAGGATGCTAAGTGGGAGTACAAGGGGAACTTAGATTAAGGGTCCGGAGAGGCATCTTTGAGGAAATATTTGGCTAAGGTCAGAAGGGAGTAGGGGTTAGCTGAGTAAAAGGGAGGGGGGCACAAGCATTCTAGAGGGATCAACATGTTAAAAATAAACCCAAAGCAGAAGCCAAAAGGAAAGCAGCAGTTGTGGAACTGAAAAGGAGCCTATGGCTGCAGTGCAGAGAAAGGGGTGGCCAAAAGCGCCCGGAAAGTGCTGTAGTCCTATGGCCATGGCCTTCCCCTGCCTTCCTGTGGTACCTCCAAGCTAGGCCTAGAACCCTTCCTTTGTGCATCCTCTGGGTTATACTGGAACCTTTTTTTGTGTGTGTGTGAGATGGAGTTTCACTCTTGCTGCCCAGGCTGGAGTGCAATGGCACGATCTCGGCTCACTGCAACCTCTGCCTCCTAGGTTCAAGCAATTCTCCTGTCTCAGCGTCCCGAGTAGCTGGGACTACAGGCGCACAGTGCCACCATGCCTGGTTAATTTTTGTATTTTTAGCAGTGACGGAGTTTTGCCATGTTGGCCAGCCTGATCTCGAACTCCTGGGCTCAAGTGATCCGCCTGCCTTGGCCTCCCAAAGTGCTAGGATTACAGGTGTGAGCCACCGCGCCCAGCCCATCTTTTTTTTTTTTTTTTGAGGCAGTCTTGCTCTGTCACCCAGGCTGGTGTGCAGTGGCGGGATCACTGTTCACTGCAGCCTCAATCTCCAAGGCTCAAGGGATCCTCCCATCTCAGCCTTCTGAGTAGCTGGGACTAAACTACAGGTGCATGCCACTATACCTGACTAGTTTTCATATTTTTCATAGAGATGGGTTTTTGCCATGTTGCCCAGGCCGGTCTTGAACTCCTGGGCTCAAGATCCGCCTGCCTGAGCCTCCCAAAGTGCTGGGATTACAGGCATGGGCTACTGTGCCCAGCCTCCACCATAACTGGAAGCTATCTCTTCAGTTCAAAATTAAAGTTGGACAGGAAGGAAAAAATAGTACGTTTCTAAAGATGACTTTGATCTATCTATAATGAAAGGTATGGGTGGTTTTGAATTCCTTCCAGTGGTAATAAGAGGACAAAGTACTTAACCAATCCCACTACCTCTGTTTTGAATCACAAATTCCTGGGTGACTAAAATAAATTCCTAGAGTTAAAGTTAAATGGGGAAGGTGACTACCAGAAAATAAACACCAACTTTATTAATATAATAGCAACAGAAAGAGTTTCCAATTTCTCAAAAGGAAAATAATATGAGACTAGTGGGCTATGATGATGCCTGTGAATAGCCAGCTACTGTACCCCACTGTAGCTGGACAAGTGTTAAACAAGTAAATGCCTTTCAAGAGGGCAGAGCCCTGCCCCCCCACCCCCCCCCCAAAAAAAACGGGAAATGCCTACATTTCTTGTTCTGATAGCTTCCCACCACACACCAAAGGTTCCTCAAGGACAGCTGCCACCAGAGCTGCTGCAAGAACATGTTTTTCACTGGGCGTCGCTTCACAGTCAGTTCCTCAAGCAGAAGACTAAAATATTATTTCTTTTTAGAAGATCTTGGTTGAGGGAGAACATACCAATATGGAGAACAGATCTTTGCTTCTCGAATTCAAGAAAAACCATTAACTAATCTATCAAGTTTTCTCCGATATGGTGTGCCAGAGTGCTCTGTGAAGAATCCTTTTCCATCCCTACCACGTGTCTGGGTGAAGGGAGAGGAGGGGGTGGCAAGCTGCCAGTACACTAGCAGGCACTCCTGGTGATGCTCTGGGCTCTGCTCCCTTTCTGCTGGTAGTAGTAGGCATGTTTTCTGGCAGCTGCAGCAGACTGATGTTGGGGGGAGGAAGGGGCCACCCACCAATCACCTCTTCTTGAAGCCGTATTTTTTGCGTTCATAGAAGAGGTCTGTCTTAGAGCTCCCCAGATTGACAATCTTTGGGCAGCCATCTCTCTGGAAAACAGAACAGAGAAGTTGTTAAGTCTTTGAGCCTGAACCAAGAGTGACTTAAGATAAAAAATTTAAGCCCAGTGTGGTAGCATGTGCCTTTAGTCCCAGCTACTACTCGAAGGCCGAGGCAGGAGGATTGCTGAAGCCCAGGAGTTCGAGACTAGTGGGCTATGATGATGCCTGTGAATAGCCAGCTACTGTACCCCACTGTAGGCAACATAGCGAGACCCCCATCTCTTGAAAAAAAAAAAATTGGTCACAGAGTTCAAATTCTCATCTTAGTATTTGAAGAACTCAATAAATGGGTTTGTAAATGTGTCCAAACACCAGTTATCTCCTTAATTGGGAGGCCCAGATCAGCACTGTTTCTTCCCTATCTCTTAGCACTTATGAAAGATCATTTATAGGCCGGGCACGGTGGCTCATGCCTGTAATCCCAGCACTTTGGGAGGCCGAGGCAGGTGGATCACCTGAGGTCAGAAGTTCGAGACCAGCCTGGCCAACATGGTAAAACCCCGTCTCTACTAAAAATACAAAAATTAGCCAGACGTGGTGGTGCGTGCCTGTAGTCCCAGCTACTCAGGAGGCTGAGGCAGGAGAATCGTTTGAACCCAGGAGGCGGAGGTAGCAGTGAGCTGAGATCACGCCACAGCACTCCAGCCTGGGTAACAAGAGAGAAACTCCATCTCAAAAAAAGAAAAAAAGACCATTTTATAACCTTTGGATTAATGGTTTAGCCATTTATCTTACCAATTATCCTATTTGATCTATCATCAATAATTTACTAAACACCTAAGAATGTGCTCAGGGCCTGCCTACCCTCTATCCAATGACTTGCAATTCATGTAGAATGCTGGATTCTCAGCCATGTCTGCTGCTATGACACAGTTGAGGTAGACTATGAAACTCTTTTTTTTTTTTTGAGAAGGAATCTCGCTCTGTCGCCAGGCTGGAGTGCAGTGGCGCGATCTCGGCTCACTGCAACCTCCGCCACCCGAGTAGCTGGGACTACAGGTACACGCCGCCATGCCCGGCTAATTTCTTTTGTATTTTAGTAGAGACAGGGTTTCACCATGCTGCTCAGGCTGGTCTCAAACTCCTGAGCTCAGGCAACCCGCCTGCCTCAGCCTCCCAAAGTGCTAGGATTACAGGCGTGAGTCACAGTGCTCGGCCATACCTTATATTTTATTTTTTTTTGAGACGGAGTCTTGCTCTGTTGCCAAGCTGGAGAGCAGTGACATGATCTCGGCTCACTGCAACCTCCGCCTTCCGGGTTCAAGCAATTCTCCTGCCTCAGCCTCCCGAGTAGTGGGGAGTACATGCACCCGCGACCATGCCCAGCTAATTTTTGTATTTTTAGTAAAGATGGGGTTTCACCATGTTGGCCAGGATGGTCTTGATCTCTTGACCTCCTGATCCACTCACCTCGGCCTCCTAAAGTGATGGGATTTCAGGCGTGAGCCACCGTGCCTGGCCCTTACATTTTAAATACCATAGGAGACTAATGGGTTTTATGTGTCTTCATTAATTCACTTAATTTGACACATGGTCTTGGGGGTACAGAGCACTACTGGCTAGAGATAGATGGCTGTTGACAGACCATGCACTAATTTGTCATGACAGGCTGCCCTGGCCATTTGATGAGCTTGAGTGCTTTCAGTGAAGCCCCTGGGAAGCTGTGTTATATAGAAATGATGACTCCATCAGTTGATTAGGGATGATGGGAGAAAAACCGGGGAAGCTGTAACTGGAAAACCCTTACAGGTCTGTTGATTTTATTAAACACCCATGTCAGAGTTTGAGTCCTGTGATATTAGGTGATAGTATGAATTAATCAAGTCCTTAGCCATCTCATTTCTAACTCAACTAATATCCTTCTTTGGGGGCAGACATCAACAACTACAAAAATCTCTGCAACTAACACTAACATTTTAGGATCTCCTAGAAAAGAAGTATCGAGTCATTACATTGAGCACTTCCATCTCTGAAGCCTGGTGTACCAAGGAAGCCGCCTACCAATAGCTTGCTAGGTGAACCCAAGTAAGCAACGTAATCTATATTTCATGTCCTCGTAAAAATGAGGCACTAGCTGCCTCTCCTGGACAAAGGCCTGATATTAGACATAATAACAGGACTCTCAACTCTTTAGAGAGGCTATGAAACTCATGATATGATGATAGCTTAAACTGTGCCTTACTGACTTGTGCAAATGTGGGCAAGTTGCTTCTCTTGGGACTTATATTACTCCTCAGCTGCAAAAGAAGAAGACTGGATCAGGTCAAGGTTTACAAACTATCCTTATAGATACCCAAATATTCCTGGAAGGTACCAAGTAATGGTATGACCCAATCCTCCAATCTGCACAGCTCTGTTCTTTACTTACGGGTTAGCTTTTTTTTTTTTTTTCTGAGGTGAAGTCTCATCTGTCGCTCAGGCTGGAGTGCAGTGGCGCTATCTGGGCTCACTGCAACCTCTGCCTCCTGGGTTCAAGCAATTCTCCTGCCTCAGACTCCTGAGTAGCTGGGATTACAGGCACCCACCACCGCACCCAGCTGGTTTTCGTATTTTTAGTAGAGATGGGGTTTCACCATGTTGGTCAGTCTGGTCTCGAACTCCTGACCTCATGATTCGCCTACCTGGGCCTCCCAAAGCGCTGGGATTACAGGCGTGAGCCACTGCCCCTGGCCTACTTACAGCTTAGCTTTAAGATGGTAGGCTCCTGCCCAGCCCCAAAATTTAATTAATTTACATTAACTTTTAACCTTTCTCCTTAGGGGTGCAATGATGAGAAAAAAAAAATAAAAGGTTAAGAAACACTGAGTCACGACGGGCGTGGTGGCTCACGCCTGTAATCCCAGCACTTTGGAAAGCCGAGGCAGGCAGATCACCTGAGGCCAGGAGCTTGAGACCAGGCTGACCAATATGGTGAAACCCCATTTCTACTGAAGATACAAAAATTAGGCTGGACACGGTGGTCCATGACTGTAATCCCAGCAACTTTGGGAGGCCAAGGTGGGTGGATCACAAGGTCAGGAGTTCAAGATCAGCCTAGCCAACATGGTGAAACTCTGTCTCTACTAAAAACAAAAAATTAGCCAGGCGTGGTGGTGCACGCCTGTAATCCCAGCTACTCAGGGGGCTGAGACGGAAGAATTGCTTGAACCCAGGAGGCATAGGTTGCAGTGAGCCAAGATCACACCACTGCACTCCATCCTGGGAGACACAGTAAGACTCTGTCTCAAAAAAAAAAAAAAAAAAAAAAAGCCAGGCATGGTGGCATGTGCCTGTAATCCCAGCTACTTGGGAAGCTTAGGCAGGAGAATCGCTTGAACCTGGGAGGCGGAGATTGTAATGAGCCGAGATCGTGCCATTGCACTCCAGTCTGAGTGACAAGAAAGAAACTGCGTCTCAAAAAAAAAAAGAGTCAGACCACCTAGGCCCTAGTCCTGGGTCTGTCACTTATTAGCCACGTGACCTTGGGCTAACCAAGTTGCTTAACATCTCTAAGCCTTAGCATCCTCATCTGTATCACACAGAACTTTTGGAAAACAATGTTCAGCTAAGTACCTTGCATATATTAAGAGCTTCATAAATGTTAGTGCTATTTTTCTTATTTTCTGGTTGGGCGAACTGAGGAAAATGGTAAACAAAAGGAATAAAGGAATCAAGATTAAGGGGATTACATGATGTGGCACCATAAGAACCTACAAATCAGTCCTCTGGTAGCAATGTCCATAGACATCATCCCTGTCTCCTGGTTATTCTTGTGGCTTTGAAAAATTATAAATGAGAATACCTAGCTTAGCTTACCTGTCTAATTCCCTTATCAATTATGAAAGTTGCAGGAAGACAATAATAACAAGGGGTACCTTGGTTGTAGGAAGGTTTCTGCATAGGAAAGAGCCTCGGCCACTTAATCTACATGATGATCTGTAAGGCTGAGAGCCTGGATCATGTCACTGGACTTCTTTGTGTTCCTTGGAAACTAGTGCTGAAAATGTGAGCTAGATTCCATCTCAAATGTCCTCAGAACATTCGTGTATAATGTGAAGTAGGGGAAGTGACATCTAGAATAAGTCTCAGGGACAGAATGAGGCATGAGGATCCAAAGGTATCAGTTCACACACCACATTCAGAGGAGTCAGACAGCAATTAACATTTATTAAGCATTCTCTGGTTGCAAGCTTACGCTACATAAGAACTCTAGCTAGACCCATGCAAAAATTCAAGAAAATGCTGTCTTAAATGGCTTAAACAGATATCCTGTATCTAGTTTAGGAACTGTTTGTTACTTTTCTTCACTGCTGTTACCTTATCATGCTTTCACTGCTTATAGACCAGAAGTAATTAACAAACACCTACTATGTGCTAGACACCCTACAGGGGATACCTCTGGATGACTTACAGGGACAGCACCAAAATACAAGTACCATGCTTGCACCGCATGTCAGGCACTGTATCATGACCTAAAGAAAAGGAGAGGCAAATAGACAAACCAAAGTCCTGCCTCTAATGAAGTGTAATCTAGCTAGTAGACTAGATTTGGATTTTCGGACAGCAGAATGTGACTTGATAGTTGAAGGTAAATGCAAATCAGAGTTGAGGACAAGAGAAAGGTCCAAATCATTATGTTTTTGGTACTTCAGGACCTTTCTCATCTCCCTAAACAACAGAAGATTCAATGGTGTACTCACTTTTTTTTTTTGAGAAGGAATTTCGCTCTTGTTGCCCAGATTGGAGTGCAATGGTGTGATCTCGGCTCAGCTGACTGCAACCTCTGCCTCCTGGGTTCAAGCGATTCTCCTGCCTCAGCCTCCCAAGTAGCTGGGATTACAGATGTGTGCCACCACGTATTTTTAGTAGAGACGGGGTTTCACCATGTTGGCCAGGCTGCTCTCAAACTCCTGACCTCAGGTGATCCACCTGCCTCAACCTCCCAAAGTGCTGGGATTGCAGGCATGAGCCACTGTGCCTGGCCCAATGGTGTGGTCTTATCTGGCCCAATCTCTCCCACTTACTGGGGGTAGGCAGGATCCAAGTGCGTGAAATGAGGTACTGGCGTTACTGCCTTCACCATGGGCACATCCCAGAAACACTTGTAAAAGGACAACATAAGGCCAGGCGTGATGGCTCACGCCTGTAATCCCAGCACTTCGGGAGGCCCAGATGGGTGGATCGCAAGGTCAGGAGTTTGAGTCCAACCTGGCCAGCATAGTGAAACCCCATCTCTACTAAAAATACAAAAACTAGCTGGGCATAGTGGCATGCACCTGTAGTCCCAGCTACTCGGGAGGCTGAGGCAGGAGAATCGCTTGAACCCAGGAGGCGGAGGCTGTGGTGAGCCGAGATGGCGCCACTGCACTCCAGCCTGGACAACAAGAGTGAAACTCCATCTCAAAAAATAAATAAATAAATAAATAAATAAAAGGACAACATAGTGAAATAAGGACACTACAAGGTTTAGTTGAACAGCCTGGGCTTGTCAGAGGAACTACAAAATGGGCATCATAATAATAATCCCTATTTCACAAACTTATTGTGAGGAACAAGGTGTGATAACATCTATAAAAGACCTATTCTTCGCTCATGGGAATATGAAGAATTACGCATCTTTTGCCTTATTCTGAATTAGAATTAAATTAGATAACTAGGTACCATCATTAACCTAGTGAGACTGTATCATACTTCCTTTTGTTTTTTGAAGAAAACAAGCTGATTCATAGTTTTCTCCCACAAAGAACCCTGCTGCCAATACTAACCGAAAAAAATGGGGTAAATCTTGCCTGTAGCACTAGTCTATAAGCTCTCTCTCCTGGCATTTGGCTCAGAGTTGAATAGAAAGTAGCCACTGCCACTACACAGTGTCAAGGGACAAAAAAAATCACGATGCAGGTCCACAATCATTTCTGCAATATTAAACCAAAGGCATCTGTTACCTGCTTAAAGCTGAAGTCAACTTGAATTGTCCCAAATTCAACTTTGTCACGATATACACCCAAATAGTGCTTAATGATAGATTTAAGTGGCTATGACACAACATGGGCTGTACAGGACTTATAAACAGACAGGGTCTCTGTCACCCAGGCTGGAGTGCAGTGGCGTGAAAATGGCTCACTGCAGCCTTGACCTCTTGGTCCCAAGTGATCCATCCGCCTCAGTTTCCCAAGTAGCTGCGACCACAGGTACACACCAGCACACCTGACTAATGAAAAATATGTTTTTTTGGCCAGGCGTGATGGTTCATGCCTGTAATCCCAGCACTTGGTGAGGCTAAGGCAGGAGGATCACTTGAGCCCAGGAGTTCGAGACCAACCTAGGTAACAAAACAAGACCCTGTCTCTACAAAAAAAATTTAGCCAGGTATGGTGGCGCATGCCTGTAGTCCCAGCTACTTGGGAGGATGAGATGGGAGGATCGTTTGAGCCCAGGGGGTCAAGGCTGCAGTGAGCCTTGCACATGATCATGCCACTGCACCCCAGCCTGGGCCACAGAGCAAGAGACCCCATCTCAAAAAAACAAAAAACAAGAAGCAAAAAACAAAAAACAAAACACTTTTTTTTTTTTTGAGATGGGATCTTGCTCTGTGGCCCAGGCTGGTCTTTAACTCCTGGACTAAAGTGATCCTCCTAACTTGGACTCCCAAAGTGCTGAGATTACAGGTGTGGGCCACCACGCCCAGCCGGATGTCATTTCTGAATAAGAATAACCACAGAGACATGAATGAGAGGGCTCTCCAAATTGCTGGTCTTGACAAAGATTTGCTTCCCTTGCATTCTTCCCCTTGATGCAAAATAACTGCCTTTTATTGGACTACACCCAGTTTGACTCACAGAACTTGAAGAAATTATAACCTAGATGACTAGATGAACACAGTAATCTCCATAGACCATAGGAGATTGCAGTGGATGGCAAAGTGTTACTAAACAAAAGGAGGAAAGGTCAGATGGAAAGCTGTACACTTACGTCCTTCTCCTGGATGGTGCACTCCTTACAATAATAGGCATCAGAGACCCCAGGTCCTCCACAGATCACACAGCGCCCCTGGTAAGATCCATAGTTACACTCATCACATATGCGCACCAGAGTGCAGGGACGCACATAGGAGTCACAAATCACACACTTGCCATCACCTGTAAGGAAGAGAATGGAGTCATGCTCACAAGTTCTTCAGTCCTCTGCTATCTCCTGCCATGGGGAAATATACTAGTCTCCTGGGAAATACACTAGTCTCCTTTTGACAGTGACTTTAGGGCCCTCCTCTTGGCATCACAAAACTTGGTTTCCCCAGTGTCCATCTCAAGCCCCTCAACACATACAAAAGTTTACCAATTAACATATGTGAAGAGCTTAGAAAAGCACCTCGGAGATGATAAGCCTGTATAATTGCTGGCAAAGTGCTGTGTGTTGGGGAGGGGTCATGCTACTCTGGCGATTCTTCCCGTTGAAAACTAGAGAGATACAGCGTTAAATGTGCAAGCGGCAGTGGGGAGTTAGAGGGGCCTTTGGCTAAAGTGCAGCATTCAGTGTTCACATACTTCCAGGCACATCTACTCAAAGCCCTCTTTGTGGCACTTTTGCTGGTTCCACAGAAAACTGGGAGTGGGAAGGGTGGGTTGTTGGGACGGTGTGTTCCACTCACATTTTTCACACAGTCTTCCGATGGCTGCAAGATGAAAGATGGTAAAAAGTACAATTAGAATAAAGGTTTTGAGAAAGAGGAGAAGTACATCCTCGAGCTGGGGGTAGGGACATGAGTAAGGACTGCAGTGAGTGAGACCTGCGGATAGCCATTTTATCATTACAAATTTCCATATGAACCAAACCTACATCCAAGCACCCTCCTGAATCTCCTCCAACGCCCTGGGCAAGCTCAGAGTTTCTCTGGACCTGGTTCAGACCCCACCCCCCGATACCTGCCTGGGGCTCCCAGCACGCGCACCCCCGCCCTCTTCTCATCAGAGGCCACAAACCTGCGCGCTCCTACAACACCCCGCGCCTGAGAGGCGGGAAACGTGGCGCCTGCGAGGCAAGCCCCTAAGGAAGAGACGGGAACCCCCGACCCCCCAGCTCCTAATACCACCCCTGCCCAGACAGCCAGGGGTAGGGCGCAGTCTCACCAACACCAGCCTGCTTGCGGCAAAAGATCAAATCAGGATGATGTTTAGCCATAGCTCCTAACTAAGCCGGCCACCGGAAGCTTCGGGAACTTCCGTCCGACCTTTAACCCCCATTGTTCCTGCCTCCACGTCGCTGTGATTGGTTCTCTAAGCTTCCGTCAGTTTACAATCCTTGCACCAGGCCCGTCTTGCTCTCGCGCGAGTTTTTGTCGCTGCTGGGCGGCCAGGTCCTGGCAGGTGCATGAAACTCTTAAAAACTCTCCCAGATTTGGATGGCGGAGATAACTAAAATTTGTTCTTGGGTAAAACATCTTTGTGCTTGGTATCTATTTCTGCAAGTGTCTTTGGGCAGTCCGATTTCCTCTTGCGTGTCTGTTCGTTGCACGTGAGCTCCGCCCATTGCGTTCACAGGGTTCTGGCGCCTCTAGGGAGGCCTCGCCTTCACCGTGACGCCCCACTCTTCCGGGCACGCCCCTGCCCAAAGGCTTTAAAGGCGCCGTGTGGGACGTCACTTTAATGCGACCTCATCTTTGTCAGTGCACAAAATGGCGCCCTACAGCCTACTGGTGACTCGGCTGCAGGTGAGCGAGCTCAGGGACCTCTGGGTTCACGGGGGCGGGGTGCCTCCTACTGTGCCGGCGGCTGTGGGCGAGGCAGGGCGAGGCGGGCCCAACCTGGGGCCAACTTCTCGTGTACCTGTCCCGGTTGTGGGCCCGGCACCCGTGCCCGCTTCTCTGGTGCCCTAGGTCAAGGCGTCCCCGGCACAGTCAGCTTTCCTGGCCCTGTCCCTGCCTCGCAAGAAGCGTGGGCCCAAGCAGCGGCGGCCGGGTGAAGAGCGGAGGCACCTCTTTCTTCTTTTTGAGGACAGCATTGCCTGCTCCCGTGGGGTGTGTTTCCATTCCTCAAGGTGAGGACAAGGTGACTAGGGGGCGCGGTCGTTGTTGAGTCTTCTAGGCCCAGTTCCTGAGGCCTCACTTCCCATCTCTTAGCAACAGAGGCATGACAGCATCTACGGTTGCCAGGCCTGGAGTCTGGAGAAGAAACTAGGACCCTGTACCACCTTTTGAGGACCCTGCGGAACGTGGAATGTCGGGGAGGGGGGCGGTCTTCTGGGCCCATACGTAGTAAATAATATAATAATAGTCTCTCACCTTTGCACAAGATTTGAGGCCTGTTTTAATTCTTCATAATATTATTTGATTCCTGTAATCGTAGGAATGAGGTGGTTTTTCTCATTTGATAGATGATAAAGCTGGTAGAAAGTAGGTGAAAGTTCTGATTCTCAAGAGTGTCACCGAAGTGCTGTGGCAGAAGCATGGGCCCTACCACCACTCAGTTCTTGTTTATGTCAGCCTGCCCTCACAGAACTTTATGAACCACGGTGCAATTATTTCTGTTTGTCAGAATGCAGTACGAATATTTTGAGCCTCACAATAAGTTGCTTGTCAAATATGGGAGGATAAGGAGACTCCAGTTTGACCTTGACTCCCCTGTTAGGAGCTATCTAGAAAGCTGACTGACTGCCAGATGATTTTTTCACTTCTAACTTGACAGCCCTGGGAAGGTGTTATACTCAGAGGTTCAATGTCAAATGTGTACTTTGTTAATAAAAATCAAGCAAGCATCTGTAGACATTCTCTGTCAACCTTTCACATTTAACTTTGTGAATTCCTTTTGGATCAAGTGGCGCAACTTTGATAATAGAATTTTACGAGTTGTTATGCGTTGTACTCTCAGGAAGCTTGTGGTACTTGAACTTATTTTTCATCACATTGCTTAAATTTAAACTTGAACTTATTTTTCATCACATTGCTTAAATTGAAACCATATGGTTTAAAGTAAAATCATCATTTATCTGAAAGAAAATATTTCTGATCTCAATTCCGGGCTAAGGGAAAGGATTTGCACCTAATTATCTCTTTACATCTTTTTTTTTTTTTTTTTTTTTTTTTTTTTTTTTTGAGACAGTCTTGCTCTGTCACCCAGGCTGGAGTGCAATGGCGCAATCTTGGCTGACTGCAACTCTGCCTCCTGGGTTCAAGTGACTCTCCTGCCCTCAGCTTCCCGAGTAGCTGGGATTACAGGTGTGCACCACCATGCTTGGCTAATTTTTGTATTTTTAGTAGAGACGGGGTTTCACCCTGTTGACCAGGCTGGTCACAAACTCCTGACCTCAAGTAATCGGCCTGCCTTGGCCTCCCAAAGTCCTGGGATTACAGGTGTGAGCCACCACACCTGGCCTCTTCACGTCTTTTGATTCTCTAGGTTAATGATGTGGAAATAGTTGTTTCTTCCTGTCTCATGATTTAAGGGAGTCAGGCAAGATTATTTGATAAGATAAATGATTATAGAGTTCTTGAACTTGGAAGAGAAGAATAGTATCACACCATTTTGAACCGAAAAGGATCTTGGAAAGTATGAGTATTAGACTGGTGTAGAAGGAGATCTGGGCTCTCTTTCCTGATCCTGTGACCTTGAGTAAGTTACTTCCTGAATCCATTGTCCATTGGAGATGATCTTCATTGAACAAATGTATATTCAGCAAGTGGATGTTAGAAAGTGATGAGCAAGTAGAATGAGTTTACAACCATCACGTAGACTAACCTCTTATACAGGTGGAAAAATCTAAGACCTTGAGAGCCTGGGTGACTTCCAGTAGCAGAGTCAGGATTAAAATCCTGGTCTCCTTGTTTGTTCCTTCAGCTAAGATGAATGAACAATATTATGCAGTTTGCACACTGCCTCCCAATAACCAGGCTGTCTCAAATAACCAACTAACACGGTTTCTCTGAGAAGCTTGTATATTTACCCCTTTTGTGCTTAGATACATTTGAGAAGTGATGGTTACTACCTTAATAGTCATGTATGCAAAACCCTATGCCTGTAGTCAATTCATTCCTACCTCATTCACCATATATTTACTGAGCGCCCAATGCTTGTTCTGGATACCGTGGTAAGCAAAGACAGTCCCTGTTCTCGTGGAGCTTCCACTGTATTCTAATGTACCTGACTGCAGAGGGCCTTGGAGATCTTTCTCAGCCAAATATAGTATTTTTCTTTCCTTGGCTGGACCAAAGGTGAAGGTAGATAATAGAATGATGGGTGTTACTCCCAGCACTAAGAGTACCTAACATTTATCTTACTGTGTATGACTAATTTCACATGACTCTGTGAGATGAGGCAGGCCT
The DNA here is from genome assembly GCF_000001405.40 of Homo sapiens. Taxonomy (NCBI): domain Eukaryota; kingdom Metazoa; phylum Chordata; class Mammalia; order Primates; family Hominidae; genus Homo; species Homo sapiens. Next base: position 41,471,790 of record NC_000022.11, read on the forward strand.
ATTAGCCTGATTTATAGATGAAGAAACAGGATTAGAGAGCAAACATAGTGTTATGGTTGAGAGCATGGACTCTGGCATCAGGCAGCCTAGATTTGAATACCGTAATGACTCTAACACTCATGTAGCTGTGTTTTGGGTAAGTTACTCAACCTCTCTGCACCTGTTTCCTTGCCTTTAGATACAATAATAATAGTATGTCTGTTTCAATCATGTAATAGTTGTAAAGTATTTAGAACCCTGCCTGGTACTTAATAAGGGCTATATAATTGCTAAATAAATTTGTGGCAGGGTGCAGTGTCTCACGCCTGTAATCCCAGCACTTTGGGAGGCCAAGGCAGGTGGATCACAAGGTCAGGAGTTCGAGACCAGCCTGGCCAATATGGTGAAACCCCATCTCTACTAAAAACACAAAAATTAGCTGGGTGTGGTGGCAGGCGCCTGTAGTCCCAGCTACTCGGGAGGCTGAGGCAGAAGAATCCCTTGAACCCAGGAGGCGGAAGTTGCAGTAAGCCGAGATCGCGCCACTGCACTACAGCCTGGGTGACAGAGTGAGACTCCGTCTCAAAAAAAAAAAAAAAAAATTGCCTGGGGCTTTATCAGTAGTTGTTAGTAGGTATGGTTTGAATCTGGACATGTCTGATTCCGAAGCCTGAGGGCTTAGCAACTGGCACTATGCTGCTTCCCTTTGGCATCGAGCTCAGCCTGTGGATCAGGGCACCATAACCTCAGAACAGTGCCAAGTTGAATGTGTACTCTCGTTTGACAGTACCTGCTACCAGGTAGTAAGATTAGAAATAAGAAAATAGAACGTGGGTTTTGTTTTATTTTGTTTTGTTTTTTTAAAGAAATGGGGGTCTCGCTATGTTGCCCAGGCTAGTCTCAAATTCCTGGGCTCAAGCAATCCTGGCTTGGCTTCCCAAAGTGCTGAGATTACAAGCGTGAGCCACTGCAACCAGCTAAGGAGGTGAGATTTTTGAAAAACCACATTTATTCTCTGGTTTTTAGCATTTATTTTTGTGCATATGACTGAGTAGTACACAAGAGGGGCTGAGCAGTTGCAAGTATGTTTATTAGGTGTTTGGTTTTGCCTTGAGATAACTGGGGTGCTGAGGTTTCATGTGACCTTGGGGGAAGTCATGTAACCTCTTGCATATAAATTTGTGATGGCAGTTAACTACAAAAATATTTGGCAGAAACTCTGTGCCATGTTAAAATAAAATCTTGGTTTGAATTGTGAAACAGATGATTCTGGTTGTATGGTCACTGTGATAACCTTCGCAGATATCAGTTGTTATTAGAATTGAGTGAATGAATTGGTAAATAAGCTTCCATCTTAGATGTGGACAGAGGGAACAGACACACCATCCTGAGGATTAAGGGAGCACAGCATTACCTTTCAAACCAACTGCTTCACAGTGTTCTTTGAAAGCTTTGGCTGGGCTCGGTGGCTCACGCCTGTAATTCCAGCACATTGGGAGGCCAAGGCAGATGCATCACCTGAGATCAGAAATTCAAGACCAGCCTGGCCAACATGGTGAAACCCAATAGCTAATAAAAACACAAAATAAGCCGGGTGTGGTGGCACATGCCTGTAATCCCAGCCACTCGGGAGGCTGAGGCAGGAGAATCACTTGAACCCAGGAGGTGGAGGTTGCAGTGAACCGAGATCACGCCATTACACTCCAGCCTGGGCAACAAGAGTGAAACTCTGTCTCAAGAAAAAGAAAGAAAAAGCTTAATGTCTAGCACTGCCTAGCATTGTTCTAGACACTGGGGGTGCAGTAGTGAACAAGAATAGTGGGGCTTAAATTGTTGTCCTGGGGAAATTACGTAGAAAAATAAGAATATTGTATTACTGAGTGTTGTGGGGAAGATAAGGTAGAGAGAATAGGGGTGGGAACATGGCATTTTTAACTGGGGTGTTTGGGGAAGACCTCGTAGAAGAGGTGACATCTGAACTGGGACTTAAATGATACGAACGCAGCTGTTTACCATTTTTGGAGGAGACTTCAAATAGAAGGAGCATGTGCAGAGCACCCACCTAGGTATGAGCTGAGTGTGTTGAGGATAAGAGCTAAGGCCAGTGTTGCTACAGTGTCCTGAGGAGCGAAAGGTCTGAACAAGAGGCTGGGGCTAGGGTCAGGCAGGCTTCGGTAAGGAAATCCAAGTGTAGTGAAAACTGGGAGATTTTAAGCCAGGGAGTGATGTGATCTGATCATCTGGGCTGCTGCGTGCATGATGGACCATAGAGGGTCAAAAGGAGGAGGCAGGGAGACCAGTGGGGGACTGTTGGAGTCATCCCAGGAATGGCAGAGGAGTCTGGGACTAGGGATCTGGGGGGTGGAGATAATGAGATGTATTCAAAATTGGGATATATTTGGAGGCAGATGGGTTGGCGCATGGGAGGGATAGAGAATAAGGGTGACTCCTGGGTTTGGGGTCTTAGTAACTGAGGGATGGGTGAGCTTGATTGAATTCAGTGGTCGTGTGTTTGCAGTCATTTTTTTTTTTTTTTTTTTTTTGAGACAGGGTCTCGCTCTGTCACCCAGGCTGGGGTGCAGTGGCGCGATCTCGGCTCACTGCAAGCTCTGCTTCCTGGGTTCATGCCATTCTCCTGCCTCAGCCTCCCGAGTTGCTGGGACTACAGGCGCCTGCCACCACGTCTGGCTAATTTTTTGTGTGTTTTTAGTAGAGACGGGTTTCACGTGTTAGCCAGGATGGTCTCAATCTCCTGACCTCATGATCCGCCCGCCTCTGCCTCCCAAAGTGCTGGGATTACAGGCGTGAGCCACTGCGCCTAGCCTTTTTTTTTTTTTTTTTTTTTTTTGAGACGGAGTCTCACTCTGTCACCCAGGCTGGAGTGCAGTGGCGCGATCTTGGCTCACTGCAAGCTCCGCCTCCCAGGTTCACGCCATTCTCCTGCCTCAGCCTCCTGAGTAGCTGGAACTACAGGCGCCCGCTACCATGCCTGGCTAATTTTTTTTTGTATTTTTAGTAGAGACAGGGTTTCACTATTAGCCGGGATGGTCTCGATCTCCTGACCTCATGATCTGCCTGCCTCGGCCTCCCAAAGTGCTGGGATTACAGGCGTGAGCCACTGCACCCGGCCTGCACAGTACTTATAAAAATTAGCTAAGGGCAGAATCTCATTGATAAATTTTTGATTCTTTCATCAGTTCTCAAGTACTTTATTTCACAGGTGAGAAAGCCAGATGACGTCAAGTGTCTTACCCAGGGGCCCTCACTTGAGTCGAGTATGAGCATATTGTCTCATGTGGACTCTGTCCTATCTGGTCTTATTGTGAAACCTGGTGTGTGTCCAAGAGGGCCATCTTGTAAATGCTTACCTTTTTTATAAAAAAAAAAAAATTGTTTTTTCCTTTTTTTTTTTTTTTTTTTTTGAGATAGGGCCTCATTCTGTCAGCCAGGCTGGAGTGCAGTGGTGTAATTATAGCTCACTGCAGCCTTGACCTCCTGGGCTCAAGCAGTCCTCCCACCCCAGCCTCCCTAGTAGCTGGGACTAGAGGCATGTGGCACCATGCCCAACTAATTTTTTATTTTTTGTGGAGATGGGGATCTTGCCATGTCACCCAAGCTGGTCTTGAACTCCTGAGCTCCCAAAGTGCTGGGATTATAGGCGCGAGCCACTGTGCCTGGCTAGTGGGAAGAGAGTGTTGAGTCTTCCTTGGCTCCAGCTTTCTTTGACTTGCCTCGTTTTCCCAGCACCTGGTTTGGAAGGCAGTGGTGGGCTCTGGGCCTCTCAGCATGAAGGAAGGAAGGTATTGTAGAGAGACTTCTTGTAGCCTTTAAAAAGCAGCAAATGGGCCGGACGTGGTGGCTCACGCCTGTAATCCCAGCACTTTGGGAGGCTGAGGTGGGTGGATCACAAGCTCAGGAGTTCGAGACCAGCCTGGCCAATATGGTGAAACCCCATCTTTACTAAAAATACAAAAAAAAAATTAGCCAGTCGTGGTGGCGCATGCCTGTGATCCCAGCTACTCAGGAGGCTGAGGCAGGAGAATCAGCTGAACCCAGGAGGTGGAGGTTGCAGTGAGCCGAGATCGCGCCACTGCACTCCAGCCTGGGCAACAGGGTGAAACTCTGTCTCAAAAAAAAAAAAAAAAGCAGCAGATGGACCCTCAGGAGCCTTAGGAGACTTCTGCCACTGGCTTACTGGGTAGCTTCGGGCAAAGTCTCAACTCTCTGTGGTCCTGCAGTTAGTTACACATCTGCAAAACAGTGTAATTAATAACTACCCTTCAGTTAAGAAGGGTTCTGAAGGCCTAATATTTGAAAAGTTGTTTTGACTCTGTTTGATGTGTTATAAAGCATTGTGAGCCGGGTGTGGTGCCTCATGCCTGTAATCCCAGCACTTTGGGAGCCCAAGGCAGGTGGATCACCTGAGGTCAGGAGCTCAAGACCAGCCTGACCAACATGGTGAAACCCCGTCTGTACTTAAAATACAAAATTAGTCAGGTGTGGTGGCGCATGCCTGTAATCTCAGTTACTTTGTGGGCTAAGACAGGAGAATCGTTTGAACCTGGGAGGCGGAGGTTGTACTGAGTTAAGATTGTGCCATTGCACTCCAGCCTGGGCAACAAGAATGAAACTCTGTCTTAAAAAAAAAAAAAAAAAAGGCCAGACGCAGTGGCTCACACCTGTAATCCCAGCATTTTGGGAGGCCAAGGCAGGCAGATCACCTGAGGTCAGGAGTTTGAGACCAGCCTGACCAACATGGTGAAACTCCATCTCTACTAAAAATAGAAAAAAATTAGCTGGGTGTGTGGGTGGTCGCCTGTAGACCCAGCTACTCGGGAGGCTGAGGTACGAGAATCGCTTGAACCTGGGAGGCAGAGCTTGCAATGAGCCGAGATTGCGCCACTGTACTCCAGCTTGGGCAACAGAGCGAGACTCTGTCTCAAAAACAAAACAAAACAAAAAAACAAAAAAACACACACACTGCAAATAGTTTCTGATATTATTTTAGGAATAGGCCATTTCTAAGATTGAGAGTAGGGACAGATTTTCCCCTTGTAGAATATCTTCATTTTGGAAGTCTTGAAAGGTAGGGAGAATGGGCCAGGCATGGTAGCTCACGGCTGTAATCCCAGGACTTTGGGAGGCCGAGGTGGGTGGATCACTTGGGGTCAGGAGTTCAAGACCAGCCTGGCCAACATGGTGAAACTCTGTCTCTACTAAAATACAAAAAATTAACTGGGCATGGTGGCGTGTACCTGTAATCCCATTTACTTGGGAGACTGAGGCAGGAGAATCAGGTTCAAGCGAGTCTCCTGCCTCAGCCTCCCAAGTAAATTAAAGGTAGGGAGAATGGTTTCCATATTATTTATTTATTTATTTATTTATTTATTTATTTATTTTTTTGAGACGGAGTCTGGCTCTGTCTCCCAGGCTGGAGTGCAGTGGCGCGATCTCCACTCAGTTCAAGCTCCGCCTCCCGGGTTCACGCCATTCTCCTGCCTCAGCCTCCTGCGTAGCTGGGACTACAGGCACCCGCCACCACGCCCAGCTAATTTTTTGTATTTTTTTTTTTAGTAGAGATGGGGTTTCACGGTGTTAGCCAGGATGGTCTCAATCTCCTGACCTTGTGATCCACCTGCCTCGGCCTCCCAAAGTGCTGGGATTACAGGCGTGAGCCACCGCACCCGACCTCTTTAGTTTTATTCTGCAGCACCTGGGCCAGAGGAAGGGGCACCAGCTTTGGAGCCAGGCCTGGAATTCCACCTTGCTGCGTGACCCTGGGCAAAACAGTTAGCATTCCAGAGCTTCAGTTTCCTCATCCATTAAATGGGCACAATGCCTTCTGCCTCACAGGGTAGTCGTGGGATTGTGTGGATAAAGTACTTGGGGCAAATCCAGTGCAGGGTAGAGGCACTTGGTGAATATTCATTTCTGTCTCCAGCCCCTGCAGATGGCCCGCGGCATCCATCACCCCAGCCTTTATCCTTAGCTCATACGTTTAAAAAAGACCAGTTGTGGCCGGGCACAGTGGCTCACGCCTGTAATCCCAGCACTTTGGGAGGCCGAGATGGGTGGATCACGAGGTCAGGAGTTTGAGAACAGTGTGGCCAATGTAGTGAAACCCCGTCTCTACTAAAAATACAGATATGAGCCGGGCATGGTGGTGTGCGCCTGTAGTCCCAGCTACTTGGGAGGCTGAGGCAGAAGAATCGCTTGAACTCAGGAAGCAGAGGATGCAGTGAGCCGAGATCACGCTGCTGCACTCCAGCCTGGGCAACAGAGCGAGACTCTGTCTCAAAAAAAAAACCAAACCAGTTGTGAAAATTGCTTGTTCCTCCCATCATCTCCCCAGATAGCAGGTAAGTGGTAGTTGTTCAAGGAAACCTTTTTTTCAAGATAGAGTCTCGCTCTGTTGCTCAGTCTGGATGCAGTGGCATGATCTCACTGCAACCTCCACCTCCTGGGTTCAAGCAGTTCTTTTGCCCCAGCCTCCCAAGTAGCTGGGATCACAGGCACGCACCACCATGCCCAGCTAATTTTTGTATTTTTTGTTTTAGTAGAGACAGGGTCTCACCCTGTTGGCAAAGCTGGTCTCCAACTCCTGACCTCAAGTGGTCCAGCTGCCCCAGCTTCCCAAAATATTGAGATTACAGGCGTGAGCCACTGCGCCTGGCCAAGAAAACCCTTTCAATACTGTTTTAAAAGAGTTGGGGGAAGAGGTAGAAATGAATCTTTTGGTTTAGTTTTTTAATTCTCTAAGGACAACATTGGGGAAGTGAGCTTTAGAGTTATATTTGCAGTATTTATTTTTATCATGAAATATTCAAGTCTAGGCCCTTGGTGAATTGAGGCCTGGTGAGTATTTCTGCTTTCCCCCTGGAGAGATTGAGATGGTTTCTGATTGGGAGCTTTAATTCTGTGGGCATTTGTGGGACTTACCAAAGAGGTATCTAGAGTTCCTTTAAAACCCCCGCCCTGTCCCTGCCACATATCTTCTTTTTTTTTTTTTTTTTTTTGAGAAGGAGTCTCACTCTGTAGCCCAAGCTGGAGTGCAGTGAGTGACACGATCTCTGCTCACTGCAACCTTTGCCTCTGGGGCTCAAGCAATTCTCCTGCCTCAGCCTCCCAAGTAGCTGGGACCAGAGGCATGCGCCACCACACCTGGTTAATTTTCTTGTATGCCACACTTCTTTAGTTCCTTGTAGCCGGGCTCCTTGACCTTCTGCAGGGCATCTGTGGTTGTGGTATTTATAAGCACTCACTGTGTCATGAGTGTGTTCACAGAGCTCTAAGACAAGGGCCCTGTCTGTGGAAGAGCTTTTAGGGTGGTGAGGGAGAAGTCATCTAAATAGCTATAATACACGGTACTGAAGCAAGGAGTAGGTGGGGGAATTTGCTGGGTGGGACTAAGTACAGCCTCAGCCACCCGTCCTGGAACATGGATGTAGTGGTGGTGTGTTTGGTCCGCCCACAGACAATGACAGATGCCCATCCAGGCCTGGAGGAGCGGAGAAACGCATTACCCACCATCTGTTGAGCAATCAGGCCCTCTGTGCCAGTCACAGAACTAGGTCTTGTTTTACAAATATTGCCTCATTTGTCCTTCACAACAACCCTAAGAAGTACATATGAGTAGCCTGTTTCACAGTGATGAAACTGAGTCCCAGAGAGGTTAAATAGCTCCTCTGAGGTCACAGCTAGCACATGGATGCAGATTTGACTGCAGAACCCAGGCTTTTTACCAGTCAGCCAAACCGTTTCCCCAGAGGGAGTAGAAACTGATCTCTGTGGAGTGGGCTGGATATAGGGGATACAGTTCAGTCGGCTCTGTGCCTGTTTGGGTTATGTCTTTGAGACTGTGATTGTCTCCTGCCCTAAACACCAGTGAGGCTGGTGGGGGAGAGGCTAGAGGGGTGGGTTGCACAGAGGCAGCTTTATTCCTTGACTGAGCTTCAGCTCAGCCTCACAGGCTGCCTGTTGAGCTTGCAGAGAATGCCCGTCTCAAGTGTGTAGGTGCAGAGCTGCTGCCTGTGGGGCCAGAGCAGGGCTTGGGATTTGTATGCAGTTCATAGTGTACGACTGATGTAGGCAGCAAAAGAGAATTAGTCAGATGAGCGAATCTGTCATCAGCCTATTCCTTAAAGGAACCCCCTGCTGCCTTTGGTACCCATTTAGAGGCTTTGACTTGGAGAGACATGGCTCCTTGCTCCCTTTCCAAGCCTCTGAAAAGGACTGCATCACTTTTGTTCCTGCCAGTTGCATAGCAACCAAGCTAGCTGACTGCCTGCTGGCAGGAGGGAATTGTTTAGCTTTGATTTCTTAGGAGAGGAGCCAGGCATCGCCTACCAGGAGGGGGAGAAAATTGTTAGAAGCCCTGCAATGGAGGTGTGGGAAGATGCTTCTCCTTAGGAGGGTGTGGACTGATGTGCATTCCTGTGTTGCCCACTTAGACAGAGTCCACCTGAGACTTCTCTGCCAGGAAGGGCTAGGCAGTTAGTTGCTAAGAGATGTGAGCCCGAAGTCATCCTTCTGTGAAATGGGCTGCCGTGTAATGTATGAGTTCCCCACTGCTGGAGACAGCTTGGCTAGGTTGGGTGAGTGTGTTAGGCATTCAAATACAGAAGGAGTGGATAGATGAGGCCTTTTCAGTTCCATTTCAATTCCAAGATGTGCTGTCCTGGTGCTTGGGACCTGCTCTGGGGCTCTGGTCTTTGGTGGCTGGGGAGGGAGAAGTAGGCGGCATAGTGGAAAAACATCTGCCCGTAATCCTCTCCCCAGTACACAGGCAGGCCACGTTTTAGTAGCAGCATCTCATTCTCCCAGGCGAACTGAGTAATAGCAGCTTACGTTTATTGAATGCCTGCCAGAAGCCCAGCTACCAAGCTCTATGCCTTTCGTATATATTTTTTGTAATAGAATGCAGTATATTCATAAAAGCTCTCTTCTCCCCGTCCCAGTCCCCAGGGCAATTTTGTGTTTATCATTCTAGACTTTTCCTCTGTATTTACAAGTCTTTCTAATCCTCACAAAATCTCTGCCATTTTTGTTGTTGTTGTTGTTCTTCCGAGATGGAGTCTTGCTCTGTCACCCAGGCTGCAGTACAGTGGCTCGATCTTGGCTCACAGCAGCCTCAAACTCCTGGGCTCAAGCAATTCTCCCACCTCAGTCTCCTGAGTAGCTCAGACTATAGACACAGGCTAATTTTTGTATTTTTTTGTAGAGATGGGGGTCTCGCTTTGTTGCCTAAGCTGGTCTTGAACTCTGGGCTCAGGAGTGGTGGTGATCCACCTGTCTCGGCTTCCTAAAGTGCTGGGATTACAGGCATGAGCCATTACCCTCGGCCAAAATCTCTGCTCTTTTACCCCCATGTTACAGAAGAGGAAATTAAGGCTCAGAGAGGTAAAGAATCTTACCTGAGGTCCCACAGCTAGGGAAGCTGAGATTCCAAGCCAGATCCCTCCAGCCCTAGAGTGGATGCCATTTCTGTGACTCGGCACTTGTCTTGGAGTGTTTCCATGATGGCACTCTGACAAGTGCTTGGTGACTTCTCTGTCAGTTGTTAAAGCAACTGTCTCAAGAGACCTGGCCTCTCCCGGACCCTGGCCTGTTTGGGTGGCTCGGCACCCTCAGCTCTGTAGCTTGCTCTGTATGCTGGGGCTCACTGGTACATGGCTCCCCAACAAGCAGTGCTGTATGCACCATGCTGGACAAGGTGGGCAGAAGCCTGCCCGAGAATAGGTCAGTCCGTTTCGATTGTAGTATTCTCTGAATACAACTGGTCCCAAGGGAAGACCTCCGACCTCCGTCCTTTGGGAAGAGAGGGCAGCATGTCTGACTTTGGCCGAGTGGGGTTGTGGGGAGTTCTGAGTGGGTGTACATGTGATGTGCCGTGGGGTGGGCCCTTTTCCCATCTGCCACAGCTCTGAACCCGTGCTGTTGCTCATCACGGCTTCTGCCAGAGGCACTTAACTTGAGTTTGAAAGCACAATCCAGAAGGCCGGTGGTCGTGTCACGGCTCTGCCTTCATCTGTTTCATCAGTAAGTCTTTCTTGAACTTCTTCTATGTGTTGGACATTGTCCTAGGTTCTGAATATATTGTGACCAGAATAGACCATTTTTTGTCCCCATGGAGCTTATATTTTAGTGGACTTTACTTTCCCATCTGGTCCAAGTCTCTGTCTTCTCATGTAAACAAGGGACAGAATGACCTGTAGTAATCCCACTTGGCACAATTGTTAGGGTAAGAGAGCTGTTGTCATCTCGCCAGCAGCATCCTTTCTTCCCTTGTCTTGCCTAGCCGTGTGGTGCCTGGCTCCCCGGTGGGGGTCTGCTGTGGGGATGCCCCTTCCCTCAGCGTTTGCCCACTGTTCTGTGTTGGTAGATGCAGGATCAGCAGAGCCTCCCTTACTCCCTGGAAGCCCTGGAGATTTGTGGCTCATCCAGCTAGACTCAGCAAAGGCACTTAGGGTCAGCAGTTGGGACCAACAACCCCCTGGAGGACTCAGCCCACCTGGCCGCTGGGCCTGAAGCAGAGGTTGGGAGACACTGTCGGTAGCACAGGGAGAAAGTCTCGGCCTCTGCAAGTTCCCAGCTGTTTGACCTTAGGCAGGCCCCTTCCTGTCTCTGAGCCTCTGCAGCTTCAGGCAGTTAGGGAGGCTGAGCTATGCACAGCAAGGTTCACAAGAGTCACACAGAGATGTGTGGGAGGTGATAGTTACTCCAAAACAGATCTGTGGGCATCTGGCTACTGGTCACCCTGATGGGAGACTCCCACTTAGGTGTAAAATTAGGAAGTTGTTTTGTGGCTGAGGAAGTGCTATAACGATGCTTAGGATGGAGAAGACATAATTGTGGTTTTCAGTGATTTGAAGGGCTGGTTGTGGAAGACTGACTAGCCTCATTTGATCTGGTTCCAAAGGATAGGACTAGGAAGTTAGGCCTGTCATGTGCCAGGCACTGGTCTAGGTTCTCTCCTTTCATCCTCACTGCAGCCTGTGAAGCATTATCCCCATTTACAGATGGGAAAAATTGATGTTTAGAGGGATTAAATAAAACCACAGAAGGTTATACAGCTTGTAAGGGGCAGAGCTGGGATTTGAGCCCAGATCTCCAAAGCTGGAATGATGTAATGGGGGCACATTTTCATTTGATTTAAGAAGCATTAGTTTAAAATCTTAGAACTGACCAGTAGTAGAATAGGCTTTTGGGAAGAGAGTGAGCTTCCAGACCTAGTCATGTTGAACCAGGGGGCTTATGGGAGTTGATGAGGGGAGATTTTCTGCCTCGAGGCCACCTCAGTCCTGCCCTCAGCCCCTTTGTTCCCCAGAAAGTGGGGGAAAGTGGAGGGCGAGGGCGCAGTGAAAGTATTTCTTCTAGATGAGGGCCTGGGATTTACCAGTGAGGATTTTACAAGGCCTGAGACGTAGGCTCCAAGTATGGGAAAAAATTTTCCCGTTTCCCAGTTTTGGGAAAACTGTGTTGGATGGCCTTATGGGTGACCTCAGGAATGTCTCTGTGGCCTGAGGTTGAACTGAGCATTGAGTGTGTTTTACTTTTGGAATCAGGAAATAAAAACAGAACTCTGTAAAGTTATTTTTAAAAAATATGGCTGGGTGCAGTGGCTTATGCCTGTAATCCCAGCACTTTGGGAGGCCAAGGCGGGCGGATCACTTGAGGTCAGGAGTTCGAGACCAGCCTAGCCAACATGGCAAAACCCTGTCTTTACTAAAAATACAAAAATTAGCTGGGCGTGGTGGTGCATGCCTGTAATCCCAGCTACTCAGCAGGCTGAGGCAGGAGAATCGCTTGAACCCAGGAGGCAGAGGTTGTAGTGAGCCAAGGTTGCGCCACCGTATTCCAGCATGGGCGACAGAGTGAGACTCCGTCTTAAAAAAAAAAAAAAAGAAAATTAAAAATATGCCCAAGGCATCATCATCATCCTTCCTTAAATAATACTGGGCTGGGCATGGTGGCTTACACCTTTAATCCCAGCACTTTAGGAGGCTGCAGTGGGAGGATGGCAGATACTTGAGGATGTGTTCTCTCAAAACGACAGTAATCTAAGAAAAATCCATTGAATCCAGGAAACAAGAATCCAACTCAAGAGGAGGACAGGATATTCTAAGGATACTAATGGATGTGAGTTCCAGAGAGGTATTAGACCTTATGGGGAAGGAGACAGAGGCTCCAGGAGATGACGAGGCTGGTGGATCTCCTGACGCATTCATAATATCGAGTGTCGTAGCCGATGGAGAGTTTGAGAATGAATTTGTGATAAGTACACCAAGTGTTGAAGTTTGTTGTCTTTGGGGCAGGGAAATGGGGGGTTGGGACTTGAGTCCTGGTTTCCTTTATAATGATAGTTTTTAAATTTTAATAATGCGTAAAGATGTTACTCTGATCAAAATAGAAAATTACATTAAAAACAAAAGTATCAAATACTACTAATAAAGATTAGTATTATCAGGGTTGTATTTGCTCAGAAACTTCAGCCCTGACACCTGTTCAGTGTGGGTACAATGGATTCCATGGTACCAGGGATTGTGGGGAGGGAGAGATGCAGCATGGACTAGTGCTTGGTGCCTTGCTTGGAGTCATTGAGTATTAGAGACCCACAAGATATCCTGTACCAGGCCAGGGAGCTGGTGGATGGGTAATGATGATAGATGTCCCTGGATGGGCTTCAGGGAGTCTGTAAAATTGTGTGTTTTATGATTTTTCTATATTTTCTCCATGAAATATATCTTGCTTTTTATAACGGAGGAAAAATTCTGGTAATTTTTTTTTTAAATAGAGACTAGGTCTCACTATGTTGCCCAGGCTGGTCTTGAACTCCTGAGCTCAAGTGATCCTCCTGCCTCAGCCTCTCAAAGTGCTGGAATTACTTTTAGTATTTTACATATTACATAATTACATACTTGCTATTCTTTGGGAACCCATTCATATTATTTCATGCCTCACAGTAACTCAGAATAACATTCATATCATTTCATTCCTCACATAATACTGCAGATATTATTCTTTTTTTCCAAGTGAGGAAATTGGGGTGAAATGTGCTTGTCATGTAGGTAGTAAGTGACAGAGCTGGGCTTTGGAGTCAGCTCTTTTTTTTTTTTTTTTTTTTGAGATGGAGTTTCACTCTTGTTGCCCAGGCTGGAGTGCAATGGTGCAGTCTCAGCTCACTGCAACCTCCACTTCCCGGGTTCAAGTGATTCTCCTGCCTCAGCCTCCTGAGTAGCTGGGATTATAGGCGTGTGCGACCACACTCTGCTAATTTTTTTGTATTTTTATTAGAGACGAGGTTTCTCCATGTTGGTCAGGCTAGTCTCAAACTGCCAACCTCAGGTAATCCACCCACCTCAGCCTCCCAAAGTGCTGGGATCCGTGAGCCACTGCTCCTGGTCAGGTTAAGTTATCTTCACTGTGCCACATTGCCCCTTGTAAACAGCAGGTTATAGTTCAGGTTTTTAGGACAGCGAGCCACACCCTCCCCTGCCTGGCTGGGTTTCCACCCTGATCTTCCACTATTTCCTGCTTTGTCTTTTTTTTCGAGATGGAGTTTCACTCTTGTTGCCCAGGCTGGAGTGCAATGGCACAATCTTAGCTCACCACAACCTCTGCCTCCCGAGTAGCTGGGATTACAGCATGCGCTACCATGCCCGGCTAATTTTTTTTTTTTTTTTTTTTTTTTGAGACGGAGTCTCGCTCTGTCGCCCAGTCTGGAGTGCAGTGGCACGATCTCGGCTCACTGCAGGCTCCACCTCTCAGGTTCACGCCATTCTCCTGCCTCAGCCTCTCGAGTAGCTGGGACTACAGGCGCCCACCACCACGCCCGGCAAATTTTTTTTTGTATTTTTAGTAGAGATGGGGTTTCACTGTGTTAGCCAGGATGGTCTCGATCTCCTGACCTTGTGATCCACCCGCCTTGGCCTCCCAAAGTGCTGGGATTACAGGTGTGAGCCACGGCGCTCGGCCCGCCCGGCTAATTTTTGTATTATTAGTACAGACCGGGTTTCTCCATGTTGGTCAGGCTGGTCTCAAACTCCCGACCTCAGGTGATCCGCCTTTCTTGGCCTCCCAAAGTGCTGGGATTACAGGCTCGAGCCACCGTGCCTGGCCTCCTGCTTTGTCTTTTACACCCCAGCATTTTGAGTGATTGGCAGCTTCTGCATGCTTCACTTGGTGAGTCTCTGTGTGCATGCTGTGTGTTCTCTTCACCTGCCCTGCAAATGCCTGGTTGCCCTCTGCGACCCTGCTCAGGCGCTGCTCTCTCTGTGAAGCCTTGTGGAAACATCCCAGGCAGAGCTTCTCATTCTCTGTGCTCCACTCCTGCCCCTTGTGTGTGTGTGTGTCCTTCTTTCAAAGGTTACAGTGAGGTTTTGCATTTACTTCCTGATCTTGGCTAGACTGAGGCATATTAGTCTAGTGACTGTCTCACTCTTCTTGGTATCTGAGTCCTATTGCTTGGCACATAATAGAGTGCAAATGTGCTGCTAGGAAAGAGGGTACACGATAAGCTACTGTCAACCTCTTCTTTTTTTTTTGAGACGGAGTCTCGCTCTGTCACCCAGGCTGGAGTGCAGTGGTGTAATCTTGGCTCACTGCAACCTCTGCCTCCCAGGTTCAAGCGATTCTCCTGCCTCAGCCTCCCAAGTAGCTGGGACTACAGGTGTGTGCCACCACGCCCGGCTAACTTTTTGTATTTTTTTTTTTTTTTTTTTGAGACGGAGTCTTACTCTGTCGCCCAGGCTGGAGTGCAGTGGCGCGATCTCTGCTCACTGCAAGCTCCACCTCCCAGGTTCATGCCATTCTCCTACCTCAGCCTCCCAAGTAGCTGGGAGTACAGGCACCCGCCACCGTGCCCGGCCAATTTTTTGTATTTTTAGTAGAGACGGGGTTTCACCATGTTAGCCAGGATGGTCTCGATCTCCTGACGTTGTGATCCGCTCGCCTCGGCCTCCCAAAGTGCTGGGATTACAGGCGTGAGCCATTGCTCCCGGCCCATTGTGTAGCATTTCTACACCTTCAAGGTCCCTCGTGATACCTGGTTCCTTTTTGTCTCCTCAGTCTTATTTTCTGCCATTTCTTCTTCACTTTGCCACAACCAAGCTGCTTTTCTTTTGTTTTCTTTTTTTTGAGACAGTCTGTCTCTGTCGCCCAGGCTGGAGTGCAGTGGCGCCATCTCGGCTCACTGTAGCTTCCGCCTCCCAGGTTCCAGTGATTCTCCTGCCTCAGCCTCCCGAGTAGCTGGGATTACAGGCGCCCACCACTACGTCCGGCTAATTTTTGTATTTTTGATAGAGACAGGGTTTCACCATGTTGACCAGGCTGGTCTCGAACTCCTGTCCTCAGGTGATTCACCCACCTCAGCCTCCCAGAGTGCTGAGATGACAGGCATGAGCCACCGTGCTTGGCTGCTTTTCTTTTCTTTCAGTTGCAAGTGCTTTCTTGCACATGCTGTTCTCTCTGTGCCAAATTCCCTGGACTCCTTCCCCTAAAGCCCATTTGTTTAGCCTCAGATCAAACATCACTTTCTTGGAGAAGCCCTTCCCCCATTCTGGATTAAGCTGTCCAGCTTTATGCTGTTACAGCAGCTTAACTTTTTATCACAGCACTTCTCTCACATAGTCACTTACACAGTCCCTTGAGTGATGACTTGACATGTTTTCTCACCTAAAATTCAGGCACCACAACACATAGTCTGGGACTGGAGAAACATTTAATGAATCAGGAAGACGTTAGTTTAAATTGGGGAGGTAGTATGGGAGGGAAAGCATTGACTTGATAATTGGAGGGCTTGAATTCTGCCCCTAACTTCTGTTAACTAGGTATGTGACCTTGGCATTCATATCCTCATCTGTCAAACAAAGAAAAAATTCTTGGTGATCTGGGGTCATCTTGAGTTGTGATAATCTATACTTCTAGATGAATCATCAAATTAACACAGCTCTAGAGGGCTGCTTATCTAGGATGAGAATCCACCTGCCTGCTTGGCCTCTCCACTTGGGTATCAGATAGTCCAATGTCCAGAACCAAACTCCTGATCTCACCGTGCATGCCTGCTCTTCCCGTTGCCTTCCCCATTTCGTTTATAGCAACCCATTTTCCCAGTTACTTAGGTCCAAAACCTAAGTTATATTCTTGATTCCTTCTCTCACACCCCTTGGCCAACTTTTCAGCAAATCCTACTATTATTACCTTCAAAATATATGCATCTCTAGCCAGTTTTTTTGAACTTGAACTCAAACATGATCTGGTTTGAGCCTGATAAAATCTTGCCTACTTTTGCGCTTGATTGCTCATATTTCTGTGGCCTCACTGAATCTTGCACCTAATGTGCACAATAGCAACTATAATACTACAGCACTTTCTGTTTTGGTGTCTTCCTTATTCTACCAGATGGTAATCCTGACGGTAGGGGCCCCATGGTGGTGTTCCCAGTGTCCAATGTGGTACAACTAGGCATCCCTCAGGTGCGCTATAGCAGATGGGACGTGGGCATGTCAAGATAGTGAGCCCTGGCTTTACCCTACCCTAGCAGGGTGACATGCTGAGCCTGCCGGTTGCCTCCTGGCAGCAGTTTAGTCTGCTTACTGCTCTGTGGTGTCCAAATGTATTATTTTGTTAATGTGCCTTAACTTGGAAAAGCTTGGAAGCCTCATGGTAACAGCATTTGGCACCTAGGAAGGTATTCATTGTTAAATGAATTCTTTGTTAAGTGAGGTAGACTACAGGGATCATTCTCCCTGTTTTATAGAAGAAAGAGTAAGCTGTGTGACCAGCCAGTGGCCTGATCATAATCGAGTGCTGTTCTGAGTCTCATGTGCGTTCTGGGGCAACACACTGGGTTGCATTTCACATGTGCACACATGTAGCTCGTTGCTTCCTTACCTGCATGTACATGAAGGTGAAGGCTGTGGCTAAGCCAGAAGGGCCTGGGTTCTGGGGGTTTCTTCCTTGATACAGATAAATCCATTCTGACATTGCTGTGCTTTCCTCCAGGCCTTTGGGGATTAAGGGGGTTTACTGGAGAGCCTGCTTGCTGGGGAGGAATATTTATAGACTGTGAGCTGGAAGGAACTTTGGAGAACATCAGGTTCAGTGGTTACCAGATGTGGCTATCTCAGAGTAACCTGGTAATCTTTTACTGATGCTTAGGCCCTACTGCAGGTGATCTGGTTCAGAGCTCTGGGAGTGATAGGGCTTAGAAGCTGAGTTTTTACAAAACCTTCCAGGTGATTTTGATACAGCTGGAATAATCCAGTTCCTCCTCCTCCCCTTTTTTTTTTGAGATAAGATCTTGCTCTGTGGTCCAGGCTGGAGTGCAGTGGCACACATGATCACAGCCCACTGCAGCCTTGACCTTCTGGACTAAAGCTGTCCTTCCATCTCAGCATCTCAGGGAGCTGGGACTACAGGCGTGTGCCACCTTGCTCGGCTAATTTTGTTTATCCTTTGTGGAGACAGGGTCTCACTGTGTTGTCCAGGCTGGTCTCAAACTCCTGGGCTCAAACCATCCTTCTGCCTTGGCCTCCCAAAGTGCTGGGATTACAGGTGTTGTGAGCCCTGCACTGGCCAAATAATAATACTCTTAATAGTAATACCCAGACCACATTCTTAATTTCTTCCAAAATGTCTTTGATAGCTATCTGTTTCCAAATCGAGATCTAATAAAAAACATACATTGCATTTGTTTTTCCATTTCTGCCTGTCTTAATCTACAGCAGCACCCCCGCTCCCTGCCCCAGCACTTTCTTCCCCATGACATTGACTCTTTGAAGAGACCAGGCCAGTTTTCCTGTAGAATGTCCACCTTCTGGGTTTCATTGTTCTTTTTTCCTCCTGCATTTCCCTTACTCTGGAGGTAAGGTTCCAAAGCTTGCTTAGATGCAGGTTAAACATTCTGGGCAAGACTTCTTTATAGGTGAGGCCGTGTCACCAGGAGGCACCGGTGTCGGGTGGTCCTGCTGTCGGTGGTGCCGTGTTTGATCTCTGGGTTAAAATGGTGGTAATCAGATCCTGCTATTGTAAAGGTACATTTTTTTTTTCCTTTTCCTTCATAGTGATAACTTCCTGTAAGTAAACTTGCTGAAACAAAGGGTTTGCACATTTCAAAAAACCAAAACGCTTTTGATTATTGTCAAATTGCCGCTAAACAATTCTGCTATTCTATATTTTAAGGAGTATGCTTTTCTTCACTATTTGCCTGGTTTATTTTTTCTTTTTCTGATTACAAAAGAAATGTATATATCATGCAACATTTAAAAGTTACAGGCCGGGCACGGTGTCTTACACCTGTAATCCTAGCACTTTGGGAGGCCCAGGCGGATGGATCACCTGAGGTCAGGAGTTCAAGACCAGCCTGGCAAACATGGTGAAACCCTGTCTTTACTAAAAATACAAAAATTAGCTGGGCGTGGTAGCACGTGCCTGTAGTCCCAGCTACTCAGTGGGGGGCTAAGGCAGGAGAATCGCTTAAACCCGGGAGGCGGAGGTTGCAGCCAGCCGAGACTGCGCCACTGCACTCCAGCCTGGGCGACAGAGCAAGACTCTGTGTCAAAAAAAAAAATTGTGGTCAAATCTAACAGAAAATTTGACATTTTAACCACTTTCAGTGTTCAATTCATTAGTACTAATTATGTTCATAATGTTGTGCAACCATCACCATTATCTTCTTTGTAAACAGCTGTAGAGTGGCATTCCATGGTGCATGAGCCAGAATTTATTCAATCAGTGCCCTGTGTATGGACAATTGGGTTGTTCTCTTAAAAACAGCGCCGCGGACAGTACCTTTGCCTGTCTCTCTGCTCTTTTATATATTTTAATTAGATAGTTTCCTGGAAGAGGGAAAGCTAGTCAAAGAGTGCAAACACTTTACATTTTAATATGTATTACCTAATTGTCTTTCAAAATGTTGAACCTCTTTACAGTCTAACTAAAAGCATCTAAGACTGATAAAGTATTGATTTGCCTTGATAACTGTTGGCTCTCACAAGACTAACTCAACCTGCTCTGTATTTTAATCCTGCTTAGTAAGGAAGAGCTGGTTGGGAAAGTAGAAGCAACATCCCTTTTTTTAACTAATTGGTATTTATGTAACACCTCCTGTGTATCGGGCTTGCTTTTCAGGCCGGGGGATTTTAGTTATGAATAAACAGAGACAATCTCTCCCTAGTGGAGCTTACAGACTAAAATATTTGGAGACAGACATCATCTCATGAATGAAGTCAAGGAGAGGTAAAGGGCATATATAATAGGAGGCTCTCATAGGGCTGGGGATTCGGAGAAGGATTCCCTGAGAAAGTGAAATGTATTTGGAGTTTGATGGATCAACTGGATGTTCCCTAGGCAAAGGGCAGACTGGGAATGGAGGTGGACAGCAAACATTCCAAGCAGAAGAAAAACTGCATCTGTAAAGACCTGTGGCAGGTCCCTTTAGAATGTGTTCTGGCCAAGGAGGTTCATCATGTTCAGTGCCCTTGAGGAAGGCGGGTTCTGAATTTCCCAGATACCAGATAGATGAGATCCCACTGCCAGGGGCCCATGAGCAGAAGGGGTTTGAGAGGGATGGGAGACTTTCCAAGGCAAATTCTAACAAATTACAAATAATCTGGAGAGGAGAAAGAGAGGCACCTAAATAAATCAGTTTAGAGTTTTAGAATGACTTGTCCAAAGTTGGAAGGGGGTCAGGTAACCAAGGAGGAACAGTGCAGAGCAGCTGGAATACATCAGAAGGGGGTCAGGAATGCCAAAGGACCTGATGAGCTAAGGCTTCTGGAAAATGCTAATCAGCCACAAGGGCCTTTAAAACTGTCTGCAGTAAGAAAAATAAGAAGAGGCATGCTGTTTCTGGCAACATCCAGAGAACGAACACAATGTCACCACTTCTAGTTTTACGTTCATCTCCTTTATGGAGGAAACAATATAGTATAACACATGTGGAGTGCTTTTATTATGAATAGGCCATATGCCAAGCACTTTATGTAGATGATTTCATTTTTATCAATGCTGTGAAGTTTATCTTCATTTTATTTATGGCAAAACTAAGATGTGGGGAGCTTAAATAACTTCCCCAGGGTCACAGCAGTTAAGTGGTGGAGCTGGGTTGGGCAATCTGACTATAGTTCTTCAATCCGAACTACCACACTGTTCTGGGAAAGGAGGGGCCATATGAGGTGAGAGGGACTGGCCGAGATTCTAGAGGTAGCAGGATCTAGAAGAAGTGATCCATCACAGAAGGAGAGACCTGAGCTTGCATCCTGGAGTCAACTGCATACCAGCTATCGAATTCTGACTTACCTCCCTGATCTCCAGTTTCCACATCTGTGAGATGGGAATAAGTTACTTGCACTGTTATATTGGGAATTCAAAATAGGCACAGAAAGTGCTTGGCATGGAACAGATGCTTAATTAGTAATTTTTAATTTTTATTCTAAAAGCAGGGTAAATACCCAAAGCTAGTCTTTTATTTATTTATTTAACATATGAGAGATATGTGGTCCATGAATGAATGATATGTGGTGTCTTAGTCCATTTTGTGTTGCTATAACAGAATATCACATACTGGGTAATTTATAAAGGAATTTAGGCCGGGCGTAGTGGCTCATGCCTGTAATCCCTGCACTTTGGGAGGCCGAGGCAGGCGGATCACCTGAGGTCAGGAGTTTGAGACCAGCCTGGCCAACATGATGAAACCCCGTCTCTACTAAAAATACAAAAAATTAGGCCAGGCGCAGTGGCTTATGCATATAATCCGAATACTTTGAGAGGCAGAGGCAGGCAGATCACCTGAGTTTGGGAGTTAAAGACCAGCCTGACCAACATGGTGAAACCCCGTCTTTACTAAAAATACAAAATTAGCTGGGTGTGCTGGTGCATGCCTGTAATCCCAGTTACTCGGGAGGCTGAGGCAGGAGACTCGCTTGAACCTGGGAGGCAGAGGTTACCGTGAGCCGAGATCACGCCATTGCACTCCAGCCTGGGCAACAAGAGCTAAACTCCATCTCAAAAAAAATAAAAAAAGAAAATTAGCCAGGCGTCATGGCAGGCGCCTGTAATCCCAGCTACTCAGGAGGCTGAGGCGGAAGAATATCTTGAACCTGGGAGGCGGAGGTTGCAGTGAGACGAGATAGCGCCACTGTACTCCAACCTGGGCAACAAATGTGAAACTCCGTCTCAAAAAAAGAAAAGAAAAGAAAAGGAATTTATTTCTTACAGTTCTGGAGGATGGGAAGTCCGAGATTGAGGGGCTGCATCTGGTGAGGGCCATCATGCTGTGTCATCACTTAGCAGAAGGCGTAAGGGCAAGAGAGAGGGGAGGAAGGGGGCCGGATTTATCCCTTTATCAGGAACCGACTCGCATGACAACTAACCCACTTCTGTAATAACAGCATTAATCCGGTCATGAGGGTAGCGCCCTTCTGACCTAATCGCCTCTTAAAGGCCCCACCTCTCAACACTGACATTGGGCATTGAGTTGCCAACACATAAACTTTGGGGGACACATTCAAACCACAACACATGGTGGCCTTGCCCTTGAAGTTAGTCTACAGGGTAAGCATATTTCTTGCCCATGTGTAGAGAATGAAATTAAAAAAAAAAAATACAGGGTAAGCATGTTGATATGGCCCCCTCTTTTAACAGTTTCCATGTGACATTTCATGCACTACAGCCTCTCACTGCTCTGAAGCCAGGAGTCAAGCTGAGATTTCCCCTGAGGACTGGAGAAGATAGGTGAACTGGCAAAGACTGAAAGTCTAGCTGTCTTTTACTTTTTTGTTGCAATGAGCAGATAGACTAGTGAGAATGAGTGTTTCATCCTTACTAATTTATAAACCTAAGCTGTTCAATCTGGCAATTTAAAATTCAGTGACATAAGAAATTCCATTCCTTGGCTGGGTGCGGTGGCTCATCCCTGTAATCCTAGCACTTTGGGAGGCCGAGATGTGAGGATCTCTTGAGTCCAGGAGTTCGAGACCATCCTGGGCAACATGTTGTAAAAAATAAAAAGGCCAGGCGCGGTGGCTCACACCTGTAATCCCAGCACTTTGGGAGGCTGAGGCAGGCAGATCATCTGAGGTCAGGAGTTCGAGACCAGTCTGACCAATATGGCAAAACCTCCTCTCTACTAAAAGTACAAAAATTAGCCAGGTGTGGTGGCACATGCCTGTAATCCCAGCTACTTGGGAGGTGGAGACAGGAGAATTGCTTGAACCCTGGAGACAGAGGTTGCAGTGAGCTGAGATCACACCAGACAGCACAGATCTAGAACATGTTCATCAGGACAGGAAGTCCTCTTGGACAGCACTGGATGTTGGGAACAGACACTTTCACATAGTTGGAAAGCAGAACGGCACAGTGATTAAGGGTGAAATGTGTAGCTGATTTCATTTGTGTTTAACACTGTGAAGTGTATCTCCATTAAGCACGGAGGTTTAAGGAGTTAAATGACTTGTCTGGGGCAACAGCAGGCACGTGGGTCACTCAGGCTGGATTTGGATCCCGCCTGAGATAATCATAGGAGCCGCTTCACTGGGTGGCTGTGAAGATTAGGCCATGTAATATATTCCAGGTGCGTCACACTGTGCTTGTCTCATATTAGAGACATCATAGTCTTTCTTTACCCATAAGTTGTATTCTGTATCTTTTTTTTTTTTTTTTTGAGTCAGAGTTTCGCTCTTGTTGCCTAGGCTGGAGTGCAATGGCGTGATGTCGGCTCACTGCAACCTCCACTTCCCGGGTTCAAGCGATTCTCCTGCCTCAGCCTCCTGAGTAGCTGGGATTACAGTCGTACGCCACCATGTCCGGCTAATATTGTATATTTAGTGGAGATGGGGTTTCACCACGTTGGTCAGGCTGGTCTTGAACTCCTGACCTCAAGTGATCCGCCTACCTCGGCCTCCCAAAGTACTGGGATTACAGGCGTGAGCCACTGCGCCAGGCTGTATTCTGTATCAACATATGATTTTGTCCTTTTTGTTTTTTGAGACAGAGTCTCACTCTGTCACCCAGGCTGGAGTGCAATGGCGGGATCTCGGCTCACTGCAACCTCTGCCTCCTGGGTTCAAGCAATTCTCCTGCCTCAGCCTCCCGAGTAGCTGGGATTACAGGCGTCTGCCACCACACCCTGCTAATTTTTGTATTTTTAATAGAGATGGGGTTTTACCATGTTGGCCAGGCTGGTCTCGAACTCCTGACCTCAGGTGATCCACTCGCCTCAGCCTCTCAAAGTGCTGGAATTATAGGCGTGAGTCTCCACGCCCAGCCTGTTTTGTTTTGAGGCAAGGTCTTGCTCTGTTGCCCAGGCTGGAGTGCAGTGGTGAGTTCATAGCTCACTGCAGTCTGGAACTCATGGGCTCAAGTGACCCTCCTGCCTCAGCCTCTTGAGCAGCTGGGACTATAGGTGTATGCCACCATGCTCAGCTAATTTATGTTTTATTTTATTTTGTAGAAACAAGGCCTTGCTGTCTTGCCCAGGCTGGTCTTGAACTCCTGGGCTCAATTGATCCTCCTGCCTCAGCCTCCCAAAGTGTTGGGATTACAGGTGTGAGCCACTGTGCCTGGCCTGTTTTGTCCTTGACAGGTCTTGCTATGTTGGCCGGGTTGGTCTTGAATTCCCGGTCTCAAGCAATCTTCCTGTGTCCGAAAGTGCTAGGATTACAGGCATGAGCCACCGCTCCTGGCCCAGCATTATTTCTTAAGCCCATCTACGTATTGATAAGTAGTCTGTAGTTTGCTTAACCGTGCCCTGGCTGTTGGGAATTGGGGCTTTGCCTTTTCCCGGTACTATAGATAAGATTACAATGTATTGTCTTGCCTACTGACCAGGCAATAGGTATTGTTACAGTTATTTTTATTTCTTTTTTTTTTTTGAGACTGAGTCTTGCTCTGTCGTCCAGGCTGGAGTGCAGTGATGTGATCTCGGCTCACTGCAAGCTCCACCTCCTGGGTTCATGCCGTTCTCCTGCCTCAGCCTCCCGAGTAGCTGGGGCTACAGGCGCCCGCCACCACGCCGTAGTAGAGACGGGGTTTCACCGTGTTAGCCAGGACTGTCTCCATCTCCTGACCTCGTGATCCACCCACCTCGGCCTCCCAAAGTGCTGGGATTACAGGCGTGAGCCACCGCGCTCAGCCACAGTTGTTTTTATTTCTAAGGAAACTGAAACTTAGGGCAATTAATTTGTAAAAATAAAGAAACAGGTTGGTAATTTCACATTGGAAAGCTGTCTGAGATTTGTTAGTAAGTGAAAAAGATGAGTTGCAGGCCAGGTGTGGTGGCTCACACCTGTAATCCCAGCACTCTGGGAGGCCAAGGTGGGTGGATCACTTGAGGTCAGGAGTTTGAGACCAGCCTGGGCAACGTGGTGAAACCCCATCTCCACCAAGAAAGTACAAAAATTAACCAGGTGTGGTAGTGCACGCCTGTAGTGCCCAGCTACTTGGGGGACTGAGGCAGGAGAATTGCTTGAACCTGGGAGGCAGAAGTTGCCGTGAGCTGAGATCGTGCCACTACACTCCAGCCTGGGCGATGAGAGCAAGACCCTGTCTCAAAAAAAAAGTAAAAGAAGAAGAGTTGCAGAACAACTTGTATGGTTTCTCATTTGTGTGTAGAACATGGTGGGGGTAGCTGTGTGTACACTTAGGAACGCACAGGGTAATAATCATGGAAACGTACTCAGTACTTTATATAATCCCTCCAGATCCTCACAATAGCTCTGTGAAGAAATGATTGCTTGGAGAGGTTAAATTGTCCAGGATCAGTAAGTTGTGGGGCCATCCTTAAACCCAGGGCTCTGCTACTCCATCTACCCCATGCACTGGGCTCCTCCACCCGTCACAGGGATAGCGTTTATCACTGCAGCAGAAATACACTACCTTCTTCCTATGCACACGCACTGTGGAAGGTCCTTTGATGTCATGTCATTGGTGGGTTCTTTGCACCTACCCAGTGAGGCAGGCAGTGAGGAGCCATCAGTCAGGTTTGAGCTTGAGGGCAAATGGATGTGAAGTCTGGACTGGGGATGTTGCCCCTGCCATAGGTTAGAATGGGTGATGGTCAGGGGTGCTGTTTCAGAATGTGGCCTGTTCTTACTGCTGGGTGACTCGAACAGGGAATGGCTGCTCTGGGTACATACTGGGTTCAGGTGCTGAGATTGACAGCGTTTGGATTATATATCCAGGTGACATACAGAAGGGAGCCTGGGGCAGTGGCTTCAGCTTTGCCTCTTCCCTTACCCAAGGTATGACGAGGAACACCAACCACCTAGAAGGGAAGCAGCTCTTCCCTTCTTGCTGTCATTTCTTTTTTCTTTTTTTTTTCGAGACGGAGTTTCGCTCTGTCACCCAGGCTGGAGTGAAGTGGGGTGATCTTGGCTCACTGCAACCTCTGCCCCCTGGGTTCAAGCAATTCTCCTGCCTCAGCCTCCTGAGTAGCTGGGATTATAGGTGCCCGCCACCATGCCCAGCTAATTTTTGTGTTTTTAGTAGAGACAGGGTTTCACCACGTTGGCCAGGCTGGTTTCAAATTGCTGACCTCAGGCGATCCACCTGCCTCAGCCTCCCAAAGTGCTGGGATTACAGGTGTGAACCACTGCACCCGGCCTCTTGCTGTCATTTCTTTGGATTCATTTATTCTTCTCTGGTAACAAGGTACCCTTGAAGGTTGTTATTCATAGTTTAAGATTAACTAATACAGGCCCGGTACAGCGGCTCATGCCTGTAATCTCTGCTTTGGGAGGCTGAGGCGGGAGGATTGCTTGAGGCCAGGAGTTTGAAATCAGCCTGGGCAATGTAGTGAGACCCTATCACTACAAAAAATAAACCTAAAAGAATTAGGGTGGGCGCAGTGGCTCACGCCTGTAATCCTAGCACTTTGGGAGGCCGAGGCAGGTGGATCACCTGAGGTCAGGAGTTCAAGACTAGCCTGACCAATATGTAGAAACTGCATCTCTACTAAAAATACAAAAATTAGCAAAGTGTGGCGGCGTGTGCCTGTAGTCCCAGCTACTTGGGAGGCTGAGACAGGAGAGTTACTTGAACCCGTGAGGTGGAGGTTGCAGTGAGCCAAGATCATGCCACTGCACTTCAACCTGGGCAACAGAGCAAGACTCCCTTTAAAAAAAAATAAAAAAAATATTGGGAGGCCGAGGCAGGCGGATCACGAGTTCAAGAGATCGAGAACATCCTGGCCAACATGGTGAAACCCTGTCTCTATTAAAAATACAAAAATTAGCTGGGCATGGTGGTGGGTGCCTGTAGTCCCAGCTACGCGGGAGGCTGAGGCAGGAGAAGTGCTTGAACCCGGGAGGCGGAGGTTGCAGTGAGCTGAGATCGCTCCACTGCATTCTAGCCTGGCGACAGAGCAAGAATCCATCTCAAAAATAAGTAAATAAACAAATAATTGGGTGTAGTAGTGTGCGCCTGTAGTCCCAGCTACCGAGGAGGCTAAGATGGGAGGATCATTTGAAGTCAGGAGTTTCAGACTGCAGGGAAGTATGATCTTGCCCCTGCACTCCAGCCTGGACAACAGAACAAGACACTATCTCTTAAAAAAAAAAAATTAACTAATACAGATCCCACCATAACAATCATTTATTTATTGCTGTGTAACAAATTGCCCCCAAACTTAAAGGCTTAAAACAACAACAAGCATTTATCTCATATTTTTGTGGGCCAGGAATTTGGGAGTGGCTTGGCTGGGTGGTTCTGGCTTGGGGCCTCTCCAGAAGTTGCAGTGAAGATGTCAGCCGGGGCTAGCCATCTGACGGGTTGAACCGGGGCTGGAGCATTCGCTTGCAAGATGGCTCACTCACACCTGGCAAGGTGGTGCTGGTTATTGGCAAGAGGCCCCTGTTCCTGTCTAGGTGGGCCTCTCCCAGGATTGCTTAACAATATGGGGACTGTCTTCCCCCAGAGCAATCCAAGAGAGAGAGCAAGCCAGGCAGAAGCTGTTCTTCTTATGACCTAGTCTCAAAGTCCAATAGCATCCCTTGTCACATTCTATAAAGTAGAAGTAAGTCCGCCACACATTCAAAGGGAGGGTAATGGCTGGGCACGGTGGCTCATGCCTGTAATCCCAGCACTTTGGGAGGCCGAGGCAGATGGATCACTTGAGGTCAGGAGTTTGAGACCAGCCTGGCCAACGTGGTGAAACCCCGTCTCTACTAAAAATACAAAAATTAGACAGGCATGGTGGTGCGTGCCTGTAATCCCAGCTACTGGGAAGCTGAGGCAGGAGAAATTGAAGCTTGAACCCAGGAGGCGGCGGTATCAGTGAGCCGAGATCCCACCACTGCACTCCCACCTGGGCGGCAAGACTCCGTCTCAAAAAAAAAAAAAAAAGGAAGGGAATTAGGCACCACCTTTTGAAGGGATGAGGAAACATCCAAAGCTCACGCACAGGGTTTTCCTCATTCATTCTTCCCTCTGACCCATGGATATTTGTTGAATCTCCAGTATGTGCCAGGTAGTCCAGACATAGAGATGAGTAAGATAAATAAGGCTTGATCTCAACCCTCAAGAAGCTTATAGTGCAGGTAGACTAATAGCTATGGTTTGGATAGTGTTTTACAGCTTAATGAGCACTTTCACTTATGGTCTTATTTAACCTTCCCAGTACCCCGTGTGATCACCAGAGCTGGTTATATCCCTATTTTCTATCTCCTCTGGGTTTTAGTCAATGAGGGCTTTTCTTACATTGATACACCTTACATGATAGAACTTGACTTTGATCCCAGCGATTTTTGTCTATAAATCCCTTGCACTTTTTTCCTACCCCAGGCTGTGTTCCTTGTGGCTGCTTTGTCATCCCTGTCCTGCAGATGAGGAAGCTGAGGCTGCAGTTACTGAACAGCTCTTGACACTTTAATTCCTGGATTTTTTTCACCATACTGAGCTGCCCTCGGGGATGGACTCTCCTAAGTGCTCCATTGACAGTGGCTGTCATGTTTCTTCTTGCAGAAAGCTCTGGGTGTGCGGCAGTACCATGTGGCCTCAGTCCTGTGCCAACGGGCCAAGGTGGCGATGAGCCACTTTGAGCCCAACGAGTACATCCATTATGACCTGCTAGAGAAGAACATTAACATTGTTCGCAAACGGTAAGGCTGCAGATGGGAGGCTGTGACTGTCAAGGGCATTGCGTCTGCTGCCTGCCCGTCAGGCAGAGAAGGAGGTGTTTTGTGAAGGATGCTTGGTGATAGTGGCAGGGTCAAGGTATTCAAGGTACAAAGGTTTCTGCTGAGGAAAGGCATTCCAGATCAGTGGTGTAACTTCTGTCCTCTCTGCCAAGGGAGAATCTGTGTTATCAAGAAGCCTCTAGATGTGAACCACAGCCAGGTCTCTGAGACACTTTGGCACTATAACCTGAACCTCCCAACCTTTTCAGGGCAGGCTGCTGACCCTCGGCCTGCCCTCTGGAAGCCACCAGGCCCAGTGCCTGGAGAATCATCTTCTATTTCCTCTTCAGTGCACAGGCACAGAGGAGAGCTCAGGTCTGAGACCCAGAAGATAAACTAAGATGGGACCTTTTTAATTTAATTTTATTTTATTTTATTTTATTTTATTTATATATATTTGAGGCAGAGTATATATATATTTATATATATAAAATAAAAATATATATAAATATATATATATTTGAGGCATAGTCTCGCCCTGTTGCCCAGACTGGATTGCAGTGGTGCAATCTTGGCTCACTGCAACCTCTGTCTCCCCAGTTGGAACGATTCTTGTGCCTCAGCTTCCTGAGTAGCTGCAATTACAGGCACCTGCCACCACACCCGGCTGATTTTTGTAGTTTTAGTAGAGATGGGGTTTTGCCATGTTGCCCAGGCTGGTCTCGAATTCCTGAGCTCAAGCAATCAGCTTGCCTCGGCTTCCCAAAGTCCTGGGATTATAGACGTAAGCCACTGCGCCTGGCCTATTTTATTTTATGATTTTATGTTATGTTATTTTATTTTTTGAGACAGTCTCACTCTGGTCCAGGCTGGAGTACAGTGGTGCAGTCTCGGCTCACTGCAACCTCCGCCCCCCAGGTTCCAGCAATTCTCATGCCTCAGCCTCCCGAGTAGCTGGGACTACAGGGACGCACCACGATGCCTGGCTAATTTTTTGTATTTTTGTGGAGATGGGGTTTCATCATGTTGGCCAGGCTGGCCTCAAACTCCTGACCTCAGGTGATCCACCTGCCTCAGCTTCCCAAAGTGCTGGGATTACAAGTGTGAGCCACTGTGCCCAGCTGGGACTATTTTTTTTTTTGAGACAGGGTCTCACTCTCTTGCCCACACTGGAGTGTAGTGGCACGATCACAGCTCACTGCAACCTCAATCTCTTGGGTTTGAGTGATCCTCCCACCTCAGCCTCCTGAGTACCTGGGACCACAGGCGTGAGCCACCATGCTCACCTACTTTTTTTATTTTTTGTAGAGATGGGGTATCGCCACATTGCCACTGATCTCGAACTCCTGGGCTCAAAACTGTTCTCCCACCGTGGTCTCCCAAAGTGCTGGGATTACAGGCGCGAGCCATGGTGCCTGGCCTAAGGTGGGATCTTGAGCATGTCTTTTTTCTGGACCTCATTTTCCTCACTTGGTAAAATGGCAGTCAGCTCTGCCCTGCTGTCCTGTGTGCCAGGTCCTGGGTTAGATGCTGCCACCAAAAGGATGAATAAGGTACCACAGAGGATGAGGAGTCGGGGCTGGCAATGCACACCAGCCTGCACTGCCACACTTCCACCTTGCTCTTCATCAGGCATGAAGGAGAGCTGTCATAGAAGTTTGCTTTGATTGATTGGAACCTGAACAACTGCAGATGGGGCTGTGCCCTTGCCTGCCTGGTGGCTTCTTTGATACTGACAGTGGTGATCCTGGGAGAGAACAAATCTGAGTCTACCCGCTGGGTAGCTGAGGCTCAGCTGGAGAAGGAACCTGCCCACAACCATGCAGTGCATGAGTGGTGGTGTCTCGTCTTTGTACCCTCTAGTACTCTAACCACTACCCCATACTCCCTTTCTCATGCCACTTTGCTTTCTATCTACTGGTATCCCCACTTCGGTTTTAAGGGTAGGGACTTCCTTAATCTGGATCTCCAGCCTCCAGCACAGCATCATCTAATTATAGTAAAGGACCTATTGTTTGTCAAGGACGGCTGTGACAGGAGTACCCACCTTGTTGTCCAGTCTGGCCTGGGTACTTGACACACATTATTTCTGTTCTCAACAACCCCTGTAGGTTGTTGCTTTCCATCTCTGCCCCCCACCATTCTGCAGGTAACAAAATTGAAAGTCAGGTTGGGGAAATACCCTAAGGCCATACATGTATTGAGTGACTGACCCCACACTCAAGCCTGGGTCTCTGTGACTCCAGGGCTTGTTCTTGTGGGTTTCTTCTGGGCTCCATGTTAGAATCACCTGGGAAGCTTTAAAAATGACGGACACCTGGGCCCCACTCCCAGCAATTCTGATTCAAGTGATCTAGGCATTGCTATTCAAAATGTGGTCCATGGGCCAGCAGCATTGGCATCACCTAGGAGCTTGTTAGAATTCCAGCATCTTAGACCCCACTCCAGACCCACTGAGTCAGAACCGGCCATTTAACAGGATCCCCAAGGGACTTACGTGCCTGTCAAAATGTGAGAAGCACTGGCCCGTTCCCCAGCAGGTCCCATAGTGCAGTCAGGACGAAGAACCACTGTCCCTGTCAATATAGGACGTTGTATTTATTCTTGGAGCTCTCACACCGCTGCTCAGTGGAAAAGTGATAGATTTTTCTTTACTCTGTAAAACACTTCCACCTTGCTTTCATCAGGTATGAAGGAGAGCTGTCATAGAGATTTGTTTTGTTGTTGTTTGTGTTTGTTTCTGTTTTAGACTGAGCCTCACTCTGTCACCCAGGCTGGAGTGCAGTTGTGCAATCTCGGCTCACTGCAACCTCCACCTCCCAGGCTCAAGCGATTGTCCTGCCTCAGCCTCCTGAGTAGCTGGGATTACAGGCGTGCATCACCATGCCCAGGTAATTTTTGTATTTTTAGTAAAGATGGGGGTTTCACCATGTTGGCCAGGCTGGTCTCGAACTCCTGACCTCAAGTGATCCACCTGTCTCAGCCTCCCAAAGTGCTGGGATTACAGGTGTGAGCCACTGCGCCTGGCCTTTTTTTTTTTAATTAATAAAAAAATTTTAAAGATGGGCTGCCCAAGCTGGTCTTGAACTCCTAGGCTCAAGTGATCCCCCTGCCTTTGGCCTCCCAAAGTGTTGGGATTACAGGCCTGAGCCACTGTGCCCAGCAAGAGGTTCGCTTTGAGATAACTTGACAACAGAGTATTATTCACTATTTAGTTTTTGCATTAAACAATTAATAACAACAACAAAATACCCTTTAAGGCACTGGGAGTTTTTTAGTTTTAATTTTATCATTAAAATTGACAACTACAACAATATTTTTCCTTGCTTACTTTTATTCCAACCTTGCTTTGCAACCAGAAAAGTCCAATAAATTTTTTTCTTTTTTTTTTTAAAGTCCAATAACTTTGAACATTTTCCAGATTAGTACAGACGAGGGGATTGTTCTCTGTTTTCTTTTTTTTTGAAACGGAGTCTCGCTCTGTCGCCCAGGCTGGCTGGAGTACAGTGGAACGATCTCGGCTCACTGCAACCTCTGCCTCCCAAGTTCAAGTGATTCTCCTGCCTCAGCCTCCCGAGTAGCTGGGATTACAGGCGCCTGCCACCACGCCCAGCTAATTTTTGTATTTTTAGTAGAGAAGGGGTTTCACCATGTTAGCCGGGATGGTCTCAATCTCCTGACCTTGTGATCCACCCGCCTCAGTCTCCCAAAGTGCTGAGGTGACAGGTGTGAGCCACCACACCTGGTCTGTTCTCTGTTTTCATTGTTGCCACAGAGCAGGTCTCAACAAGGTGG
This sequence comes from Homo sapiens, assembly GCF_000001405.40. NCBI lineage: Eukaryota > Metazoa > Chordata > Mammalia > Primates > Hominidae > Homo > Homo sapiens. The sequence continues at coordinate 41,503,676 of NC_000022.11, forward strand.
GGGGTGGTCAGTTTTGTCCCTAGGGCCCATTTGGTGATGTCTAGAGATATTTTTGGTTGTCATAACTTGGCTGGGGTTGGGGCTTACTGTTACCCAATGGGTAACCAGGAATACTACCAAGCATCCTACAGCGCACAGGGCAGCCCCACAACAAAAGAATTCTGCGGCCCAAATAGGTTCATAGTGCCCTGGCTGAGAAACCCTGACACGGAGAAAGAGGGCAGAGGTGAGGTTATGCTAAAAAGAATTATATTCTAGCCGGGTATGGTAGCCCACGCCTGTAATCCCGGCACTTTGGGAGGCCGAGGCAGGCGGATCACTTAAGGCCAGGAGTTTGAGACCAGCCTGGCCAACATGGTGAAACACTGTGTCTACTAAAAATACAAAAAAATTAGTCAGGCATGGTGGCGAGCGCCTGTAATCCCGGCCACTCGGGAGGCTGAGGCAGGAGAGCCGCTTGAACCCAGGAGGTGGATGTTGCAGTGAGCTGAGACCACACCACAGCACTCCAGCCAGAGTGGTGTCTCTGGTGACAGAGGAAGAGACTCTGGCTCAAAAAATAAAAATAAAGCGTTCTATTCTAAGAATTTTTTAGAAGGCCAGGGGACTTGCTGGGCGACTTCTCTTCCACCTTGTGTCTCCAACAGAAGGGGTCTAAGTCTGTTCTTGAGAACTGGATCTGTGTCATCTGGAGAGCAGAGGGACAGATGGATATGAAGACCCATTTTGTCATCCTCAGTTAATCCTCAGGGACATTCAATGATGAACCCATCCTAAAGCTTCAGCATTGCTGAGCTTTTTTATATAGCTTCAATCATTTGCTTCCAAGGTCTTGGGTTTTTAAGCCCATGTGCTATTTTTTGTCTCCCTCGGGGCCCAGAAGGAGGGGCTGTGAGTCATTGCCCGTACACCAGCCTTGGCGGTGCTGCCGCAATCGGCGCAGGCTGTACCTCAGGCTAGTGCTGTTTTTATTCATAGAGATGCTCAGAGTTGCCAGTTGGTCTGCTGTTGCCAGCAGATCCAGCACCTTAGGGACTTTTTTTTTTTTTTTTTTTTTTTTTTTTTTGAGGTAGGGTCTTGCTCTGTTACCCAGGCTGGAGTGCAGTGGTTCGATCATGGCTTACTGCAGCCTTGACCTTCTGGGGTCAATCCATCCTCCCACCTCAGCCTTCCCAGTATCTGGGACTATAGGCACATGCCACCATGCCTGGCTTCTTTTTATGTTTTTTGTACAGGTGGAGTTGCCCAGGCTAGTCTCAAAACGCCTGGACTCAAGTGATCTGTCTGCCTCGGCCTCCTAAAGTGCTAGGATGACAATCGTGAGCCACCACACCCAGCTGGGAACTCTTACTTTGAAGAGGTTGGGTAAACTTGGGGGTGAGGGACTGGAACCCAGCTTGCAGAAGGAAGTTTCTCTGCCATCTCACTATGCATATTGATGATAACAGTAATGATAACTGAGAAAGGATGAGGTGGCTCACACCTGTAATCCCAGCTCTTCGGGAAGATCATGTGAGCCTAGGAGTTCAAGACCAGCCTGGTCAATACAGTGAAAACCCATTTCTACAAAAATAAAATAAATAAATAAATAAAATTAGCCAATGTGGTGGTGCGTGCCTATAATCCCAGTTACTCAGAGGCTGAGGTGGGAGGATCGCTTGAGCCTGAAAGGTTGAGGCTGCAGTGAGCTACAATTGTGCCACTACACTCCAGCCTGGGTGACAGAGCAAGACCCTGTCTCAAAATAATAACAATAATAATAATAATAATAATAATAATGAAAATGGAACATTCACCATGTGCTGGCCCTATTCCAGATTCCAGGTGTGGAGAGACCGGGTAGATTAGCGTCAGGAGCACAGCCGTAGGGCCACACTGCTGCCTCTTCGTGGTCCAGCTGTACCCCTCACTGGCTTCGTGGTCTGGAGCAAAGCTACTCTGTCCCTCTGTGCTGCAGCTTCCTCATCTGTGCTGTGAGGATAAAATGAGTTTTATACATGAAAATACTTAAGATAATGCTGAGCTGAAAGTAAATGCTACGATAACGCTGGTCTCTAGTGACAGAAAGCCAATCAGTAGTGGCAAAGGGGCGGGAGGGAGTTAACCAAGGGGTGGGGAAACTTGAAGGAGAGATGGTCAGTATCTTGATTGTGGTGCTGGTTTCACAGGTGTATACAGTGTCAAAACTTAGCAAATTGTGTACCTTAAATATGCAGTTTATTGTATGCCAATTATACCTCTGTTTAAAGCTGTTTAAAAATGAAAGGCTATAGAAGTGGAAGCTGTTATCTCATCCCAGTGCAAGCCCTGGTATTTAGAGATGGGCTGGCTGAGCTGAGGAGAGCAGTTGCTTATCTTGTTAAATAGTGGTTTCAGTAATAGGTCAGGTTTGGGCTTTTTTGTTTTTTTTTTGTTTGTTTGTTTTTATTAGAGACAGCATGTCACTCTGTTGCTCAAGCTGGAGTGCAGTGATGTGATCAGGGCTCACTGCAGCCTTGATCTCCTGGGCTTAAGTGATCCTCCCGCCTCAGCCTCCTGCGTAGTTGGGACTACAGGCACGCATCACCCTGTCTGGCTCATTCTTTTTTTTTTTTTGAGATAGAGTCTTGCTCTATTGCCCAGGCTGGAGTGCAGTGGCGCTATCTCAGCTCACTGCAAGCTCCGCCTCCCGGGTTCACGCCATTCTCCTGCCTCAGCCTCCCGAGTAGCTGGGACTACAGGCGCCCGCCACCACGCCTGGCTAATTTTTTTGTATTTTTAGTAGAGACAGTGTTTCACCATGTTAGCCAGGATGGTCTCCATCTCCTGACCTCATGATCCGCCTGTCTCGGCCTCCCAAAGTGCTGAGATTACAGGCATGAGCCACCGCACCCGGCCTCATTCTGTTTTTTATAGAGACAAGGTCTCACTCTGTTGTCCAGGCTGATCTTGAACTGGCCTCAAGCGATCCTCCTGCTTTGGTCTCCCAAAATGCTAGGATTACAGGCGTGAGCCACCACACCAGGCCCCCAGGTCAGGGTTAAACTCAGAGCTTCTGACTCCCAGTCTGAAACTTTTTTCTTGGCCTCAAACAATAGGACAGAGCCTGTCAGGTGTGGGTTGAACTCTGCTCCTCCTTAGGAAGGAAGTCTCAAGCTTGGCCTAAGCTTTGAGAATTCTGGGGGGCAGAGCGTGAGGTCTGAAAGGGGCTGTTGTGGCAGGCAGGGCGGCCACAACAGCCCCTTTGCTCTGTTGTGTGGGTGCAGCCGGGAGTCAGCCGGAACGTTGAGCCTGGCAGGGAGAGTGGACCCGCGCAGAGCTCAGTCTAGATGGCTGGGAGGCTTGTGGGGAGAAGACGGTTGAGTCCTGACAGGGCCGGACCCCAGGGCAGGTTTGGACTGCCATTTTGGCTCTGATGAGGAAGGGAGGGGTGGGGCCTCCGGGGAAATGGGGTCTAGGAGGAGGAGGAGCTGTGAGAGGCCAGTGGCAGTGACCCGGTCTCTGTTCTTGAAAACTGACAGATACTCCTGTCTATGTCTGGAGCTAATGGGCAAAGTCTTAGTGTCATAGTTGGGTAGCCAGGCATCCCAGGCCTGAGGTGTGGAGGGTTGTAGATGGCGGACAGGGTGGACAGGTGAAGGGGATGCTGGTCCTGATTCCCTGTGCCTTAGTGGGGCTGAGGGCACAGAGGGAAGTAGCGAAATCTAGCTGTGAACTTGGTCACTCTCCTGAGCCTGTTTCTTGGTTGTTGTTAAATGGCTTTCTTGGTTGTTGTTGTTGTTAAATGGCAGGAATGATGAGATATGCATGTTGCGGGGACTTAGTAGGAATTACGATGCTGGGAAAGCCAGGATCCTTTGAAAAGAACCAGCGCTGCCCTCTTGTGATGTTGTCATTCACTTACTCATCAAGTAATTGTGGAGCACCTAACAAGTGCCAGGTGCTGCAGGAGGTGAGGAGGTGGTGCAGTGAACAGGACCCAGCAGTCCCCACCCAAGTGGAACGTTGAGGTCCTGAGTTCAGACTCCCTGTCCCTGGCCACTGTTGAGGTTGCCACATGGACTGAGAGGGAGAGGCAGGGCGGGAGGAGGCCGTGCAGCTAGCACCAGGCCACCCTTCTGCTCTTCTCCCCACAGACTGAACCGGCCGCTGACACTCTCGGAGAAGATTGTGTATGGACACCTGGATGACCCCGCCAGCCAGGAAATTGAGCGAGGCAAGTCGTACCTGCGGCTGCGGCCGGACCGTGTGGCCATGCAGGATGCGACGGCCCAGATGGCCATGCTCCAGTTCATCAGCAGCGGGCTGTCCAAGGTGGCTGTGCCATCCACCATCCACTGTGACCATCTGATTGAAGCCCAGGTTGGGGGCGAGAAAGACCTGCGCCGGGCCAAGGTGAGCAGAAGGTGGCTTTGGGGGTGGGCAAGTGGGCAAGACTGGGCGAGAGGCCTCACCCTCACACTGGAGCAAACCAGGGCATTGCCTCCAAATTCTCACACCTCTTTGGATTGGTCTGCTTTTAAAACTTGATTTTACTTGTTTCTCTTTCTAAAAATAGCACTTGCTCATTATGTTAAAAAATACAGAGGAAGCCTAAAGAAAGAAAAAATCATCCTTGACCTTACCACACTGCAGGTCCTTTTTCTGTCCTGTTGGAGGATGATGTGGATCCTGCCAGGTGCTCTGGAAGGGGCCATGCAGGCCTCCCTGTCTGCCTGAGCAGTGAGGGGTGCATCTTAGCATAGTTTGCCAGCATCCCATTTGCACCCACTCCCGCTCTCCTCTGACCCTCCAAGGACCCTCTCCGGGAGGTAGGCGTGCTAGGGTCACTATTTGTAAATTTGAGGCGGCAGTGGCATCATACTTGAGTTCTGTAACTACATGAGGGCACGATTAGGGCTCAATGCTGATCCTGGCTCCCACTCTGGTGCTCTGTCACTGAGGAGCCTCCTTTGGGGGCCATTCTTCTGTGAGTTTTGCTTAACTACATGGGGGTGGCTGTATGCCATGCTGAAGGCTTTTCCCCCACCCTTCTATGAAATCGAGTTCCTGCTCCTTCTCCCAGGCTCGGCTTGTGGGACCTTTGTGTCAGCCTGCTCTTGGCAACAGCGGGCCTCTCTCTCCCAGCTCTGGGCCTCCCCACTCTCCAGCCCCTGCAGTGGGAGTGGGTCCCCCTCACGGGGAGGGGCGTTGGCAGGAGCTGAATGCTGGCAGGGCTGCGGCCTGTGGGCATGTGATTGAAAGTGCTCCAGCTCCCAGGGTCAGCATGGCTCAAAGCCTCCCAGCCCCATGGGAAACACTCGGGGCGGCGCTCTCACTCAGACCCTCTCTTCCACCCTGGCCCCCTGGTGGTATCCTGGCTCCACAGTGGCTCTTTCCCCTCAGCTGAAAGGACAGTCCTGCCTGCCGGCCGGCGGTTTCCACATTAGCAACAACACTGGTGGGGGTAATAATGTTACAGGAGCTCCCACAGTGCCGGGAACTGCACATGGCCGGGAACGTGGGTCCTCTGCAGCCCTGGGGACAGCTGCCCACAACAGGGCTGCTACCTTCTGGGGCTGGCTTTCTGCTTGCTTTATGGGCTCAGAGTGAATCTTCTGGAGATGAGATGCACACTCATAGCATTCAGAGCTCATTCCCTCATGCGTTCAACAAATTGAACATTCTTTATGTGCCAGGCACTGGGCTAGGTACTGAGGTTCAGTGTGAACAAGTCAGGCAGGGGCCCTGCCTTCAGGGATCTGCTTGTGGGTGTGGACACTAAACAATGGCCGAGGTAGGTAACTGCAGATCTGGGTATGTGTTAGGAAGGGAAAGTGCGGGACTTGGTCAGTATAAAAAAGAGGTCTAATTTAGATGCTGGGGGAAAGAGAGAGCTTCTTTGAGGATGTGACAGATAACCTGAGGACTGAACATATGAGTTGCATTGACTGGAGGAAGAACATGCTAGAAAGAACAGCATTTGCAAAGACCCTGAGCCAGGAAGAAACTTGATGCTTTTGTGGAAGTGAGAGGGGGCCTGTACTGCTGGAGTTCTCTGTGTTTGGAAGAGCGGGTGGTATGAGGTGGGCAGGGGCAGCCAGGAACGCGAGGGCTGTGGGAACGCTATGGTCACCATCCTCAGAGTCCTAGAACAGTTTAAGCGGAGAAAGAATATGGTCTTTTTTTTTTTTTTTTTTTTGAGACAGAGTCTTGCTCTATCCCCCAGGCTGGAGTGCAGTGACACACAATCTCGGCTCACTGCAATCTCGGCTCACTGCAACCTCCGCCTCCTGGGTTCAAGCGATTCTCATGCCTCAGCCTCCCGAGTAGCTGGGATTACAGGCACCCACCACCATACCTGGCTAATTTTTGTATTTTTACTAGAGACAGGGTTTCACCACGTTGGCCAGGCTGGTTTCAAACTCCTGACCTCAGGTGATCCACCCACCTCGGCCTCCCAAAGTGCTGGGATTATAGGTGTGAGCCACCACGCCCGGCCTAGAATGTGGTCATTATTACGTGTATTTGTAAAGTGTCCCTCTGGCTAGGGCTCAGAGGCAGTGACCTGTCTAGGGTCACAGAACCAGAGATGGATCCAGGCTGAGTCCAGGCCGAGACTCTGGCACCAGTCTGGGGTCCTCCCACACCCCTTCCTCACACTTAACACAGACGTGTAGTCACATGCGCCCAGACACGACCACAGCCTCCTGTCCTGGATACCAATTTCATAAGTGACCGATTTGTAAATGAAAAAGCTGATGTATTAATTATTAATTGGAAAGAGACTGCTCTGGAAACCCACGTTCTTTGCCATTCTCTTACCTGGGGGAACCCAGTGGGCCTTCAGAGGGCACACACTGGTCTGGAGTTTCAGTGAAGGGGTGTGTGGTTTGAGTGTATCTCATCAAGGGTCCGAGGGCACTGGCTGAGGTCCCTTCTCTGAAGCATCGCTCTCCCATGCCGGAGGCTGGCAGGTCCCATTTCCTAGTTCCTCCTTTGAGACTCAGTAGAGTCCACTAGAATCCCACCGTTTTGTTACTGGGGTCAGTCTCACTGACCCCACACAGGGACCTCCCATGTCTTCCAGATAAACCCTGGCCTCACATCTGCTGTGCAGTGGGCCCTTCCCTGTCCCTCAAGGAAGCTTCCTTCAGATTATAGGCAGGATGGCTACAGCCCGTGTCATCATTTCGTTTGGCTGAAACCTCCTTTTCAGAACAGTGGTCCCTTCGACAGCCTTCCATTTGGGCCCATCAAACACATTACCAAGAATTCAGCACTTCCGACAGTCAGACACCAGTCCAGGGGGCTCTCTCAGGTGTCGTCTAAGCCTGGGATCTCCAGCAAGTTATTTCAAAAAAAGCCTCTGGGGTTTTTGTTTTGTTTTGAGGCAGGGTCTTGCCCTGTCACTCAGGCTGGAGTGTAGTGGTGCGATCTCGGCTCATTGCAGCCTTGAACTCCTGGGCTCAAGTGATCTTCCTGCCTCGGCCTGCAAGTAGCTGGGACCGCAGGTGCACAGCTAATTTTTATTTATTTTATTCTTATTTTTATTTTTTGAGACAGTCTCGCTCTGTCTTGTAGGCTGGAGTGCAGTGGCACGATCTCGGCTCATTGCATCCTTGTCTCCCAGGTTCAACCAATTCTTGTGCCTCAGCCTCCCGAGTAACTGGAATTACAGGTGTGCACTACCATGCCTGGCTAATTTTTGTATTTTTAGTAGAGACAGGGTTTCGCCATGTTGGCCAGGCTGGTCTTGAACTCCTGACCTCAAGTGATCTGCCTGCCTCAGCCTCCCAAAGTGTTGGGATTACAGGCGTGAGCCACTGCACCCAGCCACTGCGCCTAGGCCAGGGCCTGCCTCTGCACTGCTGGCCTCATCTGGGGACTTGAGTGCCACAGGCACTCTTGGCAATTATTTAGACCAGTCCCTTCTCCAGATAAGGAAACTGAGACCCAGACCAGGGCAGGGACTTGTTCCAGACCCACCACCCTGGCCAGGTGTCACAGAACTGGGGCTCCATCTCTGCTCCCCTGTCCTTCTCTCTGACACTGCTAGTGGAGACTGGGCCAACATCCAAGCTCTTTGGAATTATTTTTAGAAGGTCTCTAAGAGAGGGCCTGTCTCCAGTGCCAGTATTTCAGAGTCAGAAGGGAGGCTGATGGGGTGGGGAGGGCTTGGTGAGGGTCACCTGGACACAAACCATGTTGCTAACGCCCAATTATTGATTTGTCTCAATAGGACATCAACCAGGAAGTTTATAATTTCCTGGCAACTGCAGGTGCCAAATATGGCGTGGGCTTCTGGAAGCCTGGATCTGGAATCATTCACCAGGTAAAGCTGGGCTCAGTCTGCCGTCCCAAGGGCCCAAGCCAGAGAAGTATGTTCCAGGCCTATGGGGGGAGGGGGTTTGAGGCCCAGGGGGGCTGAGGGGAACTGGATGACATATCCATCAGCTCTTATGCTCTTCCTCCTTTGTTTTGAAACTGATTTTCATTATGTCATTATACGTGCTCATTTTCTGGGTGAGAAGTTAAAATAATACCTCCTAACCACCCAGGTAACCAGCATTTTAAGTGCGACATGTTTCTTTCCACATTGTCTTCTGGGTGTGTACTCAAGCATCTCTATTCCCATAAACTCTCATACAGAACATGGTATTATTTTGTTTTTTTTCACAAGTGTCACCCCTTGTGGCATGCATCACTGACATTTGATGAGCCCATACTGTGTCTCAGGTACTAGGCTGAGCACTTGAAAGATATTTGCCATGCCCTGTGAGGTAGGTGCTTTTACTATCCACACCCTACAGAGGAGGCAGCTGAGGCACAGAGATGTTAACCTTCTTGCCCAGGGACACCTAGCTGGCTTACTGTGGAGCCAGGCCTGTGGGCAGGAGGGCTGGTCTGGAGCGAGTGCCCCATGCCACCGTGCTGCTCTGCCGCCTCCCTCGCCCCCAGAGCTCTTTCTGCTTCTGCACGTGGCGCTCCTCGGATTTCTTTTTGGCTCCTTCATGGTGTTCTGTAGGGTGAAGGTACCATAGGTCATGTGGCCATGTCAGCCGGGGGCTCCTCTGAGGTGTCCCAAGGATGGATCTTCTTTTGGTGGACAGTTGGACAGTTTTGTCTCTGGAAGTGCAAGTGTGAACGTGTATATCCTGGGGAGGTGGGTGCTTCCCTTTCTTCCAAGGGCACTGTTAGGGACCACTGACCTAGTTTGTGTCCATTTACATCCACCCTGTATGTATGAAACCTGCCTCTTCGCACCTTTGCAAGGTGGCCCTTCCCCCCACCTCCATCCCAGACCTCACTGTCCTGGCCTCCTCAGGATGTGCTGAGTCAGGCTGTAATCTGACGCCGCATGGGCTCCCAGCACCGCCCCGCTCTGAAACCAGAGCCAGCAGGGGATCACTCCTCTGCCCTGCCCAACCATCACTCTTGCCAGGAAGGGGCTGCGTGGAATGGCCGTTTGCAGCGGCCTGTGGGGACTAGAAAGCCCCTCTCTGCAGCAGGGTTAGGGAGTCAGGTGGACCCAGTCTTGGCCTTCTGTTACAAAGGGCACTGCAATGCAGGTGTCTCCCTTTCTACCTCAGTACAAATGCCCAGGCCTTTATGGCAGCTCCTGGGCCAAAGTTTGGAGCCGTGAGTGATGGCAGCTCACATCTGCCACCGGCTAGCTGCTAAGCATACAGCAGCTCGTGTGTTTGTTTCTTTAAAAAGAAAATGCCCAGGGGCCATGGGAGTACTTTGCAGCTTTACTTTCTTCCCGCCTTGATGTCACGTCTTCAGCAGCCTCAGTCCATTAGGTCCAACCCAAACCTGAACCCCTTTCCCTCTGGGAAGTGCCCTGGCCCCACTTGGCCCGCAGACCTTCCTCCACATCACAGCTTTCTGGTTCCTCTGTGGAGCCTCCCCGGCCCTCCCCGTGCCTGGCACAGTGGCTTCCAGTGGATCCTCTGTGGGATCTCTTCACATTATGTTCCAGCATCTGCCAAGTGCTTTCTGCACTGGATCATGTGCTCTGTGGGGACAGGGACTGTGGCTTATTTATTCCTCTCTAGCTCTGGGTTTGGGACCAGGTCAGTACAGAGCAGGTCCTTAATGTATGTGTGTGTTGTGTGGATGGATGGCTGAATTTCCAGGTGTAGTTCTAGGCATTAGTCCTTCTTCCCAGCCCTCACCCCCATCTGTCCAGCCACACCCACAGACCGGGGAGCTCACTGTCACGGCCAGCGTCATCGTGACATCTTCTGCAGTCCTCATGTCTGCCTGACCTCTCCCCCTGGATGTGGACCACAAGTGTCTACACCGTGTGGACCACAAGTGTCTACACCGTGTAGACCACCCCGAATTCTGTGTGCCCAGCCTTCGTGGATCCAACTTTTACAAGCTTGAGGCTCTTTAGGGATGCACTAGTCTTAAATCCTTGTACGTGGCAGCATTGGCCAGTTCTTCGCAGCCAGGTCTTCCCTCTGCATCCCCAAGAGATGAGACCTTTGGACCTTAGAGTCTGCTAGGCAGATGCTTGTCCTGAGGCAGAGGCCCTGGGGTTTCTGTAAGATTTCTGGGAGCACTGGTGGGTCCTGAGAGTTCACAGAGCCTGTCACACCTCTCATGTGTTCTTCCCCACATCCCCGGGTGGGGCACTAACTCCATCTGACTGATGAGCGGCAGAACCTCAGGTGAAGGCTCTTGCTGCAAAACAATAAATAAAAATGTTGCTTCCCGCAGGCACTATTCTGTGCCTCATGGACAGGATCTCATCCAGTCATCAGTGAACCAATGATGTGAGCACGATTGTTAGCTATTTCTTGATAGGGAAACTGAGCTCCGAGAGAAGTGACTTGTCCATGGTCCCACAACAACTAGTAGATGGTGGGGCCAGACCTCAGACCCCCCGATACAGGACGCCTGGCTCAGGGCTTGCCAAGCAGTGTCCTGCAGCTTCAGGGGGCCAGTGCCTCAGAGGTGCCTGGTGCCTGGGCCACACTTGGGTGTTGAGCCTATACAGCACCCAAGGTGTTGAGCACTTGGGTGTTGAGGTGTTGCTGCCTTTCTTACCAAATGTTTTGGGGGAAGTGCTCCCCACGGCTGGGAGGAGCGCCTCAGTGAAGGGAGTACTGTGAAATGGGACAGGTGATGAGGCAGGGTGGCATCGCGCCTTGAGCAAGTCACATGGGTTCTCAGAGCCACCTCCAGATGCTGAAGTGGACGAGGCATCACCTATTCTTTGCAGTTGAGGAAAAGTTCATAGCTTTGTGTACCCACTGGGGCCTCCCAGGACTTCTTCCTCAGGGGCCTTGTGGGGCTGGAGCCAGCTCCTGGAAGAACCACCAACCCCGATGAGAAGCCAGGTGGGGATGCTCCACACCCAGGATGAGGCCGGGCCTGGGCCCATCACAGGACAGTTTCTCTGGTTCTTGTCACATCCTGGGGTCATGGTGGTATGGGTGTTTGGTTACTGTGCTACAAATGAGGAAACTGAGGCATGGGGCAGCATTCAAAGGCCCAAGACATATAGCAGGAAATATCAGAGCTATTCAAGAGCCCAGGCCACCTGTCTCCCAAGGCTCTGGCTCTTCTTGGCCACCCTGGAGACGGCCTGGATTAAATGGGGCTGCTCCTACCAGTTCCATCCTGGGAGAGTGGCTGGACGTGGTTGGGAGGCCCCGGGTCAGTGGGGCCATTTTTTGGTATTCTCGGCTGAGGGCTTCTAAATATAACATCTTGGATTATTTTTCAGATTATTCTGGAAAACTATGCGTACCCTGGTGTTCTTCTGATTGGCACTGACTCCCACACCCCCAATGGTGGCGGCCTTGGGGGCATCTGCATTGGAGTTGGGGGTGCCGATGCTGTGGATGTCATGGCTGGGATCCCCTGGGAGCTGAAGTGCCCCAAGGTGAGGGTGGGGAGGGACTCATTCTGGGCTGGCTGTGGGGTGGTGGTTGGTGGGGATGAACGGGAGACGGTGGGACCCAGGAGGGAAAAGGGAACAAGTTAGACTCGAATCTTCTGGGAGGGAGGTAGAGACCAATAAGCAGCAATGTGAATGGCAGCAGGGCCATCCTGACTTCGTGGCTGGCACAGGCACACACGGCCTCTCACAGCCGCCTCGCCCCCTCCTGTCCAGGTGATTGGCGTGAAGCTGACGGGCTCTCTCTCCGGTTGGTCCTCACCCAAAGATGTGATCCTGAAGGTGGCAGGCATCCTCACGGTGAAAGGTGGCACAGGTGCAATCGTGGAATACCACGGGCCTGGTGTAGACTCCATCTCCTGCACTGGTGAGGAAGGCGGCCAGGCGACGTGGCCCCTACCCTGTGCTGGGCCTGATGGGTCTCCAGTTGGGAGTAGAAGCGGTGAATGGCCTTCACTTGAGAATCTGTCTGTTCCATTTGGGGACTTGGGATAGACAGAGGTAGAAGGAAAATTGGAGACAGCATTAGAGATTGTCTAGTCCACATCCTCATTAAACAGATGAAGAGATTGAGATACCTGTCGAGGCTGCCGGTGACTTCCTAACTGTGTGGCCACACACGGTTAGGAGCCAAGTCAGCTTCTGCTGCTGGGCCCAGGCCATAGCACTAGGCCACCTTGGGTGATCTAGACGAATCCAGAGAGGACAGAGGCAGTGGTGGGAATGGGCAGAGCCAGGGCTTCATTCATGAAGCAGCTGCAGGCCCACATCCTCCCTTCGCTGAAGTTCGAGCCTCACTCACTTCCCTTGGATTAGAGATCGGTGCCTGTCCGCCTCCAAGACCAGGTAGGAGCCAGCTGCTCCCTGCCTGTCACTCCTGGTGACCTGGCCTGGATGCCTGGTCCTCAGAAATCCAGGGAGATTTGTAACAGTCTAGACTTCCCAGGTGCCTGCCTGGGCTCCCTGGCAGCCCTGCAGAACTCTGGTTCCCCTGCAGTGATGGGGGCTCACTCCTGCCACGGGACTGCTCAGTCAGGACGTTGGTAACAGGCCCATACCTCCGTCCTAGTGGCTCCTGAGGCAGGTGGCCTGGTAGCAGCTGCAGTACCTGTGAGCCCCACCAGTTCTGTGACGCTTTGTGGTCCAGACAGTGTGTATCATTTCAGTTTTTGTTTTTGTTCTTGTTTTTTGAGACAGAGTCTAACTCTGTCGCCCAGGCTGGAATGCAGTGGTGCAATCTCGGCTCACTACAACCTCCGCCTCCTGGGTTCAAGCAATTCTCCGGTCTCAGCCTCCTGAGTAGCTGGGATTACAGGTGTGCACCATGATGCCTGGCTAATTTTTTTTGTATTTTTTTTTAGTAGAGATGGGTTTTCACCATGTTGGCCAGGCTGGTCTCAAACTCCTGACCTCAGGTGATCCACCCACCTCGGCCTCCATCACTGGAAAACTTGAGACACAGAAAAGTGTCTCCACCATGGTATGGCTGAAGGAGGGCAGGCCACCAGGCAGACAGACCAAGATCCGAATGTCAGCATCTACCTTTATGTGCTTTATGGCATGACCTTGAATCTCTCTGAGCCAGTTCCTCCCCTGCCAAAAAGAATAGCAACTGGGCAGTGTCTGGTCAGGTCAGCCTACAGTACGTGGTGCCTGTTCAATCTCTTGGGCGACAGTCAGGCCCCAAGCTCGCAGCTCAGTGTGTGGGGGCTGAATCTTCACCTGAGTCCTCTTCATTCTACCCAGCAGCCACCCTGAGCTGGGGCCCTGAGCTCTGATCCCCATGGCCTCCCCTCACCGGCCCAGGTTTTTACCCAGGGCCTCAAGGGATGAGTCGGCCCGCTGTCACCACATCTCTCTGAGTGGGAGGAGAAGCAATGCAGCTCCCTGGTGTGAAGATGCAGGTGGCCGCGTAGCAGGTGTGTGGGACCCTGGCCCGGCCACCAGCCAATGCCCGGGGCTCTGTTGCTCCACAGGCATGGCGACAATCTGCAACATGGGTGCAGAAATTGGGGCCACCACTTCCGTGTTCCCTTACAACCACAGGATGAAGAAGTACCTGAGCAAGACCGGCCGGGAAGGTGAGCTGGCAGGGGCAGGCCCGTGTGGGTGGAACAGTCACATGCCCGCTCCTCCCCAAGACAGAGCTATGCCTTTCCCTGTAGGGCAGGGGTTCTTAACCCATTGTCTCCAGACAGGCGTCCGAGGCTCTGAGAAAGCCCTGAAGAGGTGCAATATGTTTCTGAGTAGATTGTCTGGAGCTCTCTCCAGCTTCTCAAAGGGCCTGGCATCTGAGTTCAAGATAGCCCCACCTCAGGATGGGCATTTCATTTTCCCTGGAAGGTGGCTGAATGCCCGCCCTTCTCGGCCTGGTCCCTGCTGCCCCCTACAGGAAACTCCGGAAATGACATGGATCGCTTCTGTTGATAATTCCTGACCTAGCAGGGGAACATTTGGAAGGAGAACCACTTTCCCAGCCTCCCCTGACAACTTCCCTGAGGCTCTAGCCTGGCTTCTTTGGAGCTCAGAGGGCATTGGCACCTGTGAAGGGTGGTGCGTTGTGGGAGTGAACGAGGAGCCAGAGACCAGGGGCCATGGGGAGAGCCGTAAGCACGTGGAATCCTTGGAAGGCTCCTCCCTTTCCTTATTGAGTGACTGCTTCTTCAAAACCCAGCTCTTCACTTCCAGGACACCCTCCCCGGCTCTGAACCTTAGCTGGCGCTCCTCCTCTGTGTCTCCGTGTCCCTGACAGCTCCTGCACTAGGGTGTGAGCTCTGTAAGGGCAGAGACAGCAGCCTTGGTTTCTTCATTGGCCTAGTCAGTGCCCAGGGTGGGCCTGGTGTTTGGCAGGTGCTCAGGTGGGTGGTGAGTGAACTCTCAAGAACAGTTTATGTTTCACGTGCTCCATCCCCGTCCCTTGTTGATTTCAGACATTGCCAATCTAGCTGATGAATTCAAGGATCACTTGGTGCCTGACCCTGGCTGCCATTATGACCAACTAATTGAAATTAACCTCAGTGAGGTGAGGAGACAATTAACTGGGTTCAAGAAGTTTCTGAGAGTAGTGGGGAGCAGGGCGGGTCCTGCCTAAATACTCACTGAGGGCCGGGTGGTGGCTCACAGCTGTAATCCCAGCACTTTGGGAGGCCAAGGCAGGTGGGTCAGTTGAGGTCAGCAGTTCAAGACCAGCCTGTCCAACATAGTGAAACCCCGTCTCTACTAAAAAAAAAAAAAAAAATACAAAAATTAGCTCGGCATAGTGCCATGTGCCTATAATCCCAGCTATTCAGGAGGCTGAGGCAAGATAATCGCTTGAACCCGGGACGCAGAGGTTGCAGTCAGCCGAGATCGCACCACTGCACTCCAGCCTGGGCGACAGAGCGACACTGTCTCAAAAACAAAACAAGAAAAACCTCAGGGTGACTCGTGGGCCCCTGGGTCCCCAGTGTTCCTGCAAACTGCTTCCTGAAGCAGCCTGGAGCAGTGGGTGGGGAGGGGGGAGACACAGCCACGGGGAGAGCAGAGGTAGCTCTGGCTGCTGAACCAGAAGTGGATGTCAGTTTGCCACCAGCTCAGCTTTAGGAGAAGCCAAGGTTTCACCCTGAAGGGTTTTTGTTATCTGAGTTCAGAGGGCAAATCCCAGCAGGGTTAGGCACCCTGAGACGCACAGATCAGAGCAGGTGTTTGCAGAGCCAGAGGAAGGGCAGGCTAGAGGATCCCGTCTGCAGGAGTTCACACCTCGGCTCTGCCACTTAAGTTGTGTGGCCTTGGTCACGCACTTAGCCTCTGTAGGCCCCTTGCTCCATCACGTGTGGAACCTACAGCAGTCGTGAGGATTGAATGAATTCATGTAACTAACACTGACGGAGGTTTACTGCATGCTGCGCACATAGCTGAGTGCCTCGCATTTACTGATGATTATGATATGTAAAGCGTCTGGCCTTAAGTCCATTTTTGTCATGATTCCAAAAGCGGCCGGGCATGGTGGCTGACACCTGTAATCCCAGCACTTTGGGAGGCCGAGGCGGGCAGATCATGAGGTCAGGAGATTGAGACCATCCTGGCTAATGTGATGAAACCCCGTCTCTACTAAAAAAATACAAAAAAATTAGCCAGACGTGGTGGCGGGCGCCTGTAGTCCCAGCTACTCGGGAGGCTGAGGCAGAAGAATGGTGTGAACCCGAGAGGCGGAGGCTGCCGTGAGCCAAGATCGTGCCACTGCACTCCAGCCTGGGCAGCAGAGCGAGACTCCATCTCAAAAAAAAAAAAAAGATTCCAAAAGCAACATCGAATGGGAGATAATGAACTTAGGAAGCTGACAGCCTTGATCCATTCCATGCCTCTGCTGTCTCCTAGCTATGTGACTTCAAGCACAGCATGTCACTTCTGAGCTTCAGTTCCTTCATCTGCAGAGCTGAGCCCAGCCTTGCAGGGCTGGAGGGAGCCCGGGAGCGGGTGTGTGCAGAGCCAACTGCTCAGTTCTTCCCTGTGATGAGGTTTCAGTCAAGAGAAAGTCGTTGGCCTCTCTGTGGGGACGTGGTGAGGCAGTGAAAGAGGCTGTCCCCGCTTCAAGGTTTCTTCCCTCCTCTCTTTCTTCTCCTTGCATGTTTGTTTCTTCAGCTGAAGCCACACATCAATGGGCCCTTCACCCCTGACCTGGCTCACCCTGTGGCAGAAGTGGGCAAGGTGGCAGAGAAGGAAGGATGGCCTCTGGACATCCGAGTGGGTGAGCACCTTCCACCCCATCTGTTTAGCAGGTCTCAGGGCCAGTGGCTCTGCCCAGGGCTGTAGACAATCACCTATGCCTACTGTGTGGCACTTTCTAAGGTGGGCAGTTTCTGAAATGGGTTTATTATTGAAAAATTACTTTTTCGGCCAGAAGTGGTGGCTCATGCTTGAAATCCCAGCATTTCAGGAGGCCAATGCAGGTGGATTACTTGAGTCTAGGGGTTCAAGACCAGCCTGGGCAACATGGAAAAACCCCGTCTCTTAAAAGAAAATGCAAAAATTGGCCAGGGGCAGTGGCTCACACCTGTAATCCCAGCACTTTGGGAGGCCGAGATGGGTGGATCATGAGGTCAGGAGATCGAGACCATCCTGGCTAACACGGTGAAACCCCATCTCTACTAAAAATACAAAAAATTAGCCAGGGGTGGTGGCAGGCACCTGTAGCCCCAGCTACTTGGGAGGCTGAGGCAGGAGAATCGCTTGAACCCAGGAGGCGGAGGTTGCAATGAACCGAGATTGTGTCACTGCACTCCAGCCTGGGTGACAGAGCGAGGCTCCGTCTCAGAAAAAAAAAAAAAAATTGGCCAGGTGTGGAGGCGCATGCCTATAGTCCTAGCTACTCAGGAGGCTAAGGTGGGAGGATCACTTGAGTCCTGGAGGTCAAGGCTACAGTGAGCCGAGATGGTACCACTGCATTCCAGCCTGGGCAACAAAGGCAGACTCAAAACTGCAGACTCAAGCAACAGAGCCTGCCTCCAAAAAAAAAAAAAAAAAAAAAAAAGAAAGAAAAGAAAAATTACTTTTTCTTGGCAGAAAAGAAAAATATGTTTATTGTAGAGAATATTCACAATCAAGAAGAATTTTTAAAACTCCTAATCTCAACCCCCAGCCAGGAGCAAGCTCTTAGAGCTCTTGGAGAGGTGTGCTGTGTTTCTGTGTATTGTGTGCATAGATTTTCCCGTTTTACATTTTATATCACCCATGCTGCTTTATGTGACTTTTCATGCTTTACACATGCAGACGCCCTGGCATGCCAGTCACTGGCATCTGCTGCTGCTGGGTACAGTGTGGCTGTGAAGAGCATGGAGCCTGGAGCCAGATGGCCTGGGCTTGAATCCTGGCTCTGCCACCTAACAGCCACTAACAGCTGAGTGACCCTGAGCAAACTACTTCACTGTCTATGTGTGGGTTCCCCATCTGTAAAACAGGAGTCATGATCGTACTGACACCTTTGAAGGTGGTGTTGGGCCTACTGCTGCTATCACCAATGAGAAAAATAAATAAAAAATAAAGTTGTCTGGAGAAGTGACAATATGTGAAAAGAGATTTCTATACCGTCTGGCCGAAAATAAGGGCAATATAATGTGTTCGCCCTTATTCATTGAAGTAATTTTAAGAAAAAAAATATTTGGTGGTTTAATAATTAGAAAGTAAATTACTAAATTAATAAAAGAAACTATCTTGGCTGGTTATATGGGCTTTTGCCAGTAATCCCAACCCTTTTTTTTTTTTTTGAGACAGAGTCTTGCTCTGTCACCCAGGCTGGAGTGCAGTGGCACAATCTCGGCTCACTGCAGCCTCCGCCTCCCAGGTTCAAGCAGTTCTGCCTCAGCCTCCCGAGTAGCTGGGACTACAGGCGCCCGCCACCATGCCTGGCTAATTTTTGTATTTTTAGTAGAGATGGGGGTTTCACTGTGTTAGCCAGGCTAGTCTGGAACTCCTGACCTCAAGTGATCTGCCTGCCTCGGCCTCTCAAAGTTGTGGGATTACAGGTGTGAGCCACCGCGCCTGGCCAGTCCCAACACTTTGAGAGGCTGAGGCAGGAGGATCATTTGATCCCAGGAGTTCAAGAGCAGCCTGGGCAACATGGTGAGACTTTGTCTCTACAAAAACAATTTATTGAATTAGCCAGGTGTGGTGGTACTCACCTGTGGGTCCCAGCTACTCAGGAAGTTGAGGCAGGAGGAGTTGCTTGAGCCCCAGGAGTTAGAGACTGCAGTGAGCAAGCCTCGACTGTGCCCTTGCACTCCAGCCTGGGCGACAGAGCAAGACCCCATCTCAACAACAACAAAAAGAGACTGTCTAGACAGAAAGTGCGATGTTATTCAGGTTTTATAGACTTTTTAAAAAGAACTCTTATTGCCCTGATTATAAAACAATCTTTAAAACCCAGAAAATACTAGAAAGTATAAAAGAAGAAAATTAGCATCTCCTGTCAGCCCCAGCCCATCAAGGATGGCTGTTCGTATGAGCCCTCTGACGTGCCTACACGTGTACATGATATTGCTGTAAAAGGGGTCATAGTCCTAATGTGTTCAGCATCATGGCCAATGGCTACAGCATCTTTCTTCAAATGACGCCACGTCATGAGTTAGCCTGTCCTTTATTGTTGGATATTTCGGTTGCTTGCAACTGGTCTCTGTTAAAAAAGTCTCTGGCCCAGCCCAGATGGTGAACTCTTTTGGCCAAGTCTGGATAATTTGAAGTCAGGTGGAGACCTCTGCTCACTGTCTCCTCCTGACCCTTAACCCCACCACCCACAATGCACCAGGTCTAATTGGTAGCTGCACCAATTCAAGCTATGAAGATATGGGGCGCTCAGCAGCTGTGGCCAAGCAGGCACTGGCCCATGGCCTCAAGTGCAAGTCCCAGTTCACCATCACTCCAGGTTCCGAGCAGATCCGCGCCACCATTGAGCGGGACGGCTATGTGAGTGCCCATATCCCCCTGCCCATCTCCCCCACCCCATGCTGAGTAATGCCTCCAGGCGGCACAAGCCCAGAGGCCTGTTGGGCCGGGGCTGGGGCAGGTCCCAGTGGCTGCCCTGGGGTTCCAGTACAGCACTTCGTCCTGCAGCCACCACATCACCCCTTCCCATCAGACTCTCACCCACCCTTGACATTCTGTCTTCCTCTCTCCCTGGCAGGCACAGATCTTGAGGGATCTGGGTGGCATTGTCCTGGCCAATGCTTGTGGCCCCTGCATTGGCCAGTGGGACAGGTAAGAGGCGTATCTTTTGACAAGACAGCCCCTTGTGCACAGGGTACAGAGCCCCAGAAGTTGGAGGGGGAATTATTGGGGTGGAGAGAAGAGACTCCAGCCAAGGTCTCTAGCTCCAGGGACTCTTGCCCATTAGAAGCCTCTGGCAGACATGCCTGGGAAGAGGGGCTGGGTGAGGAAGGGCCCTGCAGAGGCACTGGGGGGCAACTTGGCTGAAGCCTGGGCTGGCAGGAGGAAGCCAGCGCGGCCTCACCCTGACGGACACAGCAGGAGCCGTTTGGGAGGAGGCAGTGCCCCAGGTCAGGAAACTCAGGCCTTGACCAAGGCCTTGCCTCTGGCTTACGTGTGGTTGCAGGCTGGGCCCAGTGATCCTGAGGTTCCCTTCTGCTCTGCGCGTGGCCCCAGGAGGAGGCAACCCTGGCAGGGCCTCTTCATTTTCCCTCGGTAGGAGCTAGGCTGGGCTGCGCCACAGGAACCCAGCTTATCTGTCCTCGGGACAGGCCAGGTGACAAGGCCAGATATCCCTAACCCTGATCCCTCTGACCTGGCAGGAAGGACATCAAGAAGGGGGAGAAGAACACAATCGTCACCTCCTACAACAGGAACTTCACGGGCCGCAACGACGCAAACCCCGAGACCCATGCCTTTGTCACGTCCCCAGAGGTGAGACTGCCCAGCTGCGCACAAGCCTGGGATGGCCTCTGGGGGTCCCTGGCGGGTCAGAGGAGGAGGCAGAAGGAGATGGGGACTGGGGTCATCCAAGTGGTAGCCAGGAGCTACAGGCCTTCCCAGCCTCAGGCGCATGCTTGGTGCTTCCTGCCTGGGGCTCCCTGGGTCATGGGATTATGAGATATTTATACAGTGGTTTGTGCTTATGAGCATGGAATTTGGAATCTCACTCACTGCCTAGGACACATCCCAGCCCTGCCTCTAACTCGCTGTATGAGTGTGGCCAAGTCACTTACCTTCTCTGTGTCCCCGTAATCCTCGGGATTACCTGGGAAAGTGCGTGGGACACATGCAGTTTCCAACCCCAGGTAGGAGTTCCACAAAAGCGAGGCCTTTGCCATTGTTCCCGTGGCCAGAGTGAGCCTTGCCCTTGGCGGTATTCAGCCCTGGCCGTGACTGGCACATGGCCAGGCTCTCTTGACTTGGTTGTTTATCTGCGTGTTCTACAAATATGTCTTGCTAAATGGGTGAAGGAATGGCTCCTTCCATGTTTTTAGTGTCCTGCGCACTGAGCAGGTTTGCATCATACCAGCATTTCTGCGCCAGGGCCCCCACTCCCTCCAGGATAGCTGTGAGGAGAGAGAACAGCACTGCCGGCCCGGCCCTGCAGGGATGGGAGAGGCCGCACTGCCCTTGGCTTCCTGAGTCCTCTGCAGGCCCAAGGCCCCGTGGTCCCAAAGATCGTCCTGCAGCTCTGGCCTCTGAGGAACACAGGGGTCTGGGAAGAACATGGAAATTTCCTGGGTTCCTTTCTCAGTTTTGGCCTAGGCTTTTGGTAGGTGCAGGAGACAGGAGTGGCAATTGGTGCTGACCAACAAACTGGCCACCTCCATTTCAGATTGTCACAGCCCTGGCCATTGCGGGAACCCTCAAGTTCAACCCAGAGACCGACTACCTGACGGGCACGGATGGCAAGAAGTTCAGGCTGGAGGCTCCGGATGCAGATGAGCTTCCCAAAGGGGTGAGCGCCCACGCCCCCTGCTTGCTGGTTGCTGTGTGGCCACGTCACTTCCTTCTCAACCTCACAGCACCTCCTGTGCAGGCAGGGAGGGCGCTGCTAGTGAGAAGGAAGCAGCTCTGTTCCCTGGGAGGGGAGGTGGGGCCCGAGGAAACTTGCCTTCTGAGAGTCTGTCCTTGTGGGAACTGAGGACTCAGCACCCCACGCATCCCCATTCCCTGCTGCAGGAGTTTGACCCAGGGCAGGACACCTACCAGCACCCACCCAAGGACAGCAGCGGGCAGCATGTGGACGTGAGCCCCACCAGCCAGCGCCTGCAGCTCCTGGAGCCTTTTGACAAGTGGGATGGCAAGGACCTGGAGGACCTGCAGATCCTCATCAAGGTCAGCAGCATGGGGACGGCAGGACAGCCCCACCCTGCCAGGGCCCCCCGTCCCCTGAGCATCGGGAAGGGCCATGAACCTGGAGGAAGTGAGCACAGTCAAGACGCAGGTGGGAGATGGAAGGGAGGTTTGGCTGCAGAGCAGAGAGGGTATCGCAACGCAGTCCAGCGTCCCCCTTCTCTGTGGCCCCGAACTGGGCAGAGCTAGATCTGGCCAGCCTCCGTCTGGGGCCCTCAGCCATCCAGCAGCAGCTGATCAGAGCCACCTCCAGTGGGTGTGGGCAGGTGAGTACAGCTCAGGCTGGGCTGGGACAGTGTGTGTGATTGCACAGCAGGCTCCACACCTGGCACGTCCACACAGGCTCTGGAAGCCATGGACAACTCCTGCCCCCACAGTTGGGCACCCGTGGATATGGGATGGCTTGTGTTTGGCACCGACCAAAAACAAGCCTTTTTGGTGTGGCCAGAGGCCTCCAATCTGTGTCAGATATTTATTTATGCTGCTTATTAAGGGGTCTCCAGGCACCCCTGTGACAGAAGAGACTAATCAGTCATCAGCCAGGACCCAGGCATGTCCTGGGCTCCTGTGTCCAGCATGAGGTCTGTGGCTGATCTTGCAGCTGAGGCCTGAAGGGTGAGCGAACATTGACCTGTCCCAACTTTGGGCGGCCTCTGCCCCATAAGGGAGACTGAGCAGCCAGAGGCCTTTGAGGGGATGAAGGCCTGGCCTGAGCCCATGTGGCCTTAGGGTGGAAGCACCAGGACCACAGAACACGTGTCTGAAGACTTGCCTGCCTCTCACCCCTCTGTCACCCCTCCTGGGCCCCGGGGCCTGCTGCCTGCCTCTGGAGGGCTTGTCATCCACCCCTCCAGGGCCATGCCCTGACCTCTGTCCTCTCTACTTACCACCCAAGGTCAAAGGGAAGTGTACCACTGACCACATCTCAGCTGCTGGCCCCTGGCTCAAGTTCCGTGGGCACTTGGATAACATCTCCAACAACCTGCTCATTGGTGCCATCAACATTGAAAACGGCAAGGCCAACTCCGTGCGCAATGCCGTCACTCAGGAGTTTGGCCCCGTCCCTGACACTGCCCGCTACTACAAGGTGGGTCAGAGTTGATAGGGGCAATGCCAGTGGTCACTCCTGAAGGGGCCTGCAAGGCAGGTGCAGGGAGGACATTAGGGGAGTGGAAACTGGGAAGGAGGCCGACCAAGCCCAAAGGGGACTGCTGTGGAAGGGAGGAGAGGCCTGCAGCCCCTCCCTGTGGCTGAGAAGGCATGAGGCCCAGGTCCGGTGGTACAGCCGGGTCCCTGCACCAGGAGGAGTTAGTGAGAGATATCTTAGGATATCTGGCCCTAGACAAAGACAAGGAAGGGGGCCGACTCAGGAAGTCAGAGGCCAAAAGCTCAGAGAGGGGGCTACACGGGGCCTCACAGTGAGCAGGCAGAGAGGGTCTGAGGTGATTGGACTTTTTCTGCTTTGAGAAACAAACAGAACCAGGGCTGAACCCAAGTCCTGGCCCAGCCGGGTGAAAGGACTCTGGCACCCCCTGGTGGCTGGGTGGGGCAGAGGGTGCTCCCAGGAAGGGGGCGCCTTGAGCTTCACAGATGCATCTTGTGTGGGGCCCGGAGGCCGTCCCTGTCTCACCCAACCTCCCTCCACACACACCTGCCTCTGCCAAGCACCAATGGGTGGCTTCTGTCTTCTTTGCCACTGCAAACAACCACGTGCCTCTGTCCCCTCGGGGCCTCGTTTGGGTCTCATTCACGCAGGCTTCACTTGCCCTTAGGCAGCAGGCGAGGAAGGGCCCCTCCAGCCCCTTTACCGGGAGCCTCAGGATGCCCAGGCGCCAGGTGGGTGAGGCCAGGCAGGTAGGGCCAGACAGGTGAGGACGGTGCCCTCCTCTGCCTTATAACCTTACCCCCGCTTGCCTGACAGAAACATGGCATCAGGTGGGTGGTGATCGGAGACGAGAACTACGGCGAGGGCTCGAGCCGGGAGCATGCAGCTCTGGAGCCTCGCCACCTTGGGGGCCGGGCCATCATCACCAAGAGCTTTGCCAGGATCCACGGTGAGCTGGAGTCTGTACCCAGGCCATCCTCATCCCATCCCTAGTGATCAAGGTCACTCTCCCTGCCCGTGGCTGAGTTGGGCCTGGTTCTAGGCTGTGTCCACTGCAGCCCACAGGCCCGTCAGCCTCTTGCCCCTTCTTAGGCTCACACAGTGCACATCCGACGCTCAGCTTCCCGGCTTCCCGCAGGCCCTGCTTCCAGGCTTGTAGATCTGAGCCGCTGAGATCTAGGACATGTGCCAGGGGGTTCTTTCTGATCATGAATGTGCAGCAGGAAGGCCTCGCAGACCTCAGCACCAGCGCACACTTGCTAGGGGCACCCCTAGTGAAAGGGAGCAGACCAGGGCCCCATAGTCACTGCCCGGGCATTGTCCCAGGCAGCAGGATTAGGGGCATCTCCCAGAGCCCCAGATGGGTTCAGAAAATGAAGCTCTCCAGGCTAGTCAGGCCCCCGATGACCGAATGCCGCCTGCTTTCCAGAGACCAACCTGAAGAAACAGGGCCTGCTGCCTCTGACCTTCGCTGACCCGGCTGACTACAACAAGATTCACCCTGTGGACAAGCTGACCATTCAGGGCCTGAAGGACTTCACCCCTGGCAAGGTTAGGGGCCCGGGTCCCCCTGAGGTGGTGGGGTGAGGGGCAGCCACCTTGTTTCCCCTCCTGCACTGGCCCCAGGGTAGCTTCTCCCAGGAGGCTTCATTCCAGCTGGAAAGGCCCCCAGTTCTCCAGGTGGCCCCACAGAGAAAGCAAAGTGGCTTCTCAGAGTTGGGGGTTGGAGTCAACCCGGGGCCCTCACACCTCCCCAACCTCCCTTTACTCACCAGGACCTGGCACTCAGGGGACAGCCCACCCACTGCAGGACCCTCTGGGCCCCAGGAATCCCCTGTAGGTGCCACCTGGGTCTGACCTGGGCCATCAGGCACAGACTGGCCTAGGATTTGGTTTGCCTGCTGACCTCTTAGGTCCCCAGGCAGTGCCCTGTCTCCCTGACCCCCCTGCGGGGCCAAGGGCACACAGTACCCACCACTTCCACCCACACCCACCTTCTCCTTGCAGCCCCTGAAGTGCATCATCAAGCACCCCAACGGGACCCAGGAGACCATCCTCCTGAACCACACCTTCAACGAGACGCAGATTGAGTGGTTCCGCGCTGGCAGTGCCCTCAACAGAATGAAGGAACTGCAACAGTGAGGGCAGTGCCTCCCCGCCCCGCCGCTGGCGTCAAGTTCAGCTCCACGTGTGCCATCAGTGGATCCGATCCGTCCAGCCATGGCTTCCTATTCCAAGATGGTGTGACCAGACATGCTTCCTGCTCCCCGCTTAGCCCACGGAGTGACTGTGGTTGTGGTGGGGGGGTTCTTAAAATAACTTTTTAGCCCCCGTCTTCCTATTTTGAGTTTGGTTCAGATCTTAAGCAGCTCCATGCAACTGTATTTATTTTTGATGACAAGACTCCCATCTAAAGTTTTTCTCCTGCCTGATCATTTCATTGGTGGCTGAAGGATTCTAGAGAACCTTTTGTTCTTGCAAGGAAAACAAGAATCCAAAACCAGTGACTGTTCTGTGAGTGATTGGTGTCTGTGCCGTTTGTTGTCAAGTCCAGGGTCCAGGAAGGGTCTTTTCAGTCAAGGTCAGTGGAGGCCCAACAGCCACAGCCACAGATGGATCCATCACTGCAGTGAAGGAGGAGCAGGGCCTAGATGGTGGAGGAGCGGGGCAAGCTGGTGGGCACTCCTGGCCTTGCCTCACTGTCCAGCTCGAGACACTATCTCCTTAGCATCGGCCTCAGCTGCTGTTGTCTTCACAGCCGGCCATACCACCTTCCCGCAGGCTGGTAGGGTCCACTGTCCAGCCCCAGGGCTAGTTGCTGGTCCACCAGGAGAGAAGGCCCAGGCCTGGCTCACTGATGGATCCCTGCCAGGGATAAAGAACACGCACATTTCACTGACATGCTGGCTTGAACCAACCTGGACAGGAGGTGAAGGGAGCCCAGCAGGCCCAGCACAGGCAAAGAAGAGGCGGGGCACACGGCAGCCAAGAGGCTCTGGAGAGATGTGGGAGCCACAGCAGTGCTCCCAACGGGCACGCAGCACGCAGGGCGCAGACCCTTCTCCAGGGACTCCAGGCCCTGATAGGGTCAGGGACCCTTCCTCACCCTTAGGCCTGCCCTCCAGGGCCACCTAGGTTCTAATCGTGGCAGGAAGGCTGAGCAAACACAAGGCCCATGCTCCAGACGCATCCAACAGGGAGCAGCCTTGAAAGCCACTCTTCCCCGGAGCCCTCCCTTTTATTTCACTGCTGCAATGCTGCTCCTACAGGGAGCCCTACCTTTTTTTTGTTGTTTTTTTTTTTTGAGACAGTCTCGCACTGTCACCCGGGCTGGAGTGGAGTGGCACGATCTTGGCTCACTGCAACCTCCACCTCCCGGGTTCACACCATTCTCCTGCCTCAGCCTCCCAAGTAGCTGGGACTACAGGCGCCCGCCACCACACCCGGCTAATTTTTTGTATTTTTAGTAGAGATGGGGTTTCACCGTGTTAGCCAGGATGGTCTCAATCTCCTGACCTCGTGATCCGCCCACCTTGGCCTCCCAAAGTGCTGGGATTACAGGCGTGAGCCACTGTGCCCCAGCAGCCCTACCCTTAATCTCAGGGCTTTGATCTCTCCCAAGCCCCTTCCTTGATTTCTTTCTCCCTCAAACCCCTCCCTACCCCCCAATTTTTTAAAGATAGCATTTCATTGTGTTGCCCAAGCTGTAATGCAGTGGCACAACCTTGAACTCCTGGGCTTAAGGGATACTCCCATCTCAGCCTCCCAAGTAGCTGGGACCACAGGGCACGCCACCATGCCCTGCTAATTGTTTTTTATAGAGACAACTTCTCACTTTTTTAGCCAGGCTGGTCTCAAACTCCTGGCCTCACACGATCCTCCCACTTTGGCCTCCCAAAGTGCTGGGATTATAGATGTGAGCCACTGCACTTGGCCTCAAAGCCGCTTTATCAGTGGTCTTGTCCACCGTGAGCTCTGTCCCCTTTGCAAGCTGACTCGCCCACCCCACCAGCAGCCATGTACCTTTACTGCCTCACAGCCCTGGCCTACAGAAACTCAGGCTCTCCAGGGAGAAGTGACCAGCCAAGACCCCCCAAACAGGATCCCTGACCTGCTGGGGGAGATCCCAGAGCAGAAGCCCCAGGACACAGCTTCCAGCCCTGCACTCCGGCTCTCCCGCCTCATGGGGGCTTCAGCACCATCAGAGCCACTCACCACAAGCGTGTACGGAGCCTCCTTCTTTGGCAGCTCCTCACTGGAAGTGGTGGCATCTGCTGAGCTGGGCCCTGTGGGGGACGTGTCAACAAAGCTCTCGTCCACCACCCGGAAGCGGATCTCCTCGCCGGTGTCCATGTAGAGGTCGTGTGCTCCTTCCTCCGTCTCGTACTCCCACACCCACACCTGCTCCGCTTCGTCGCTGAGGGGGTCCAGGGTCAAGGCAGCAACCAGATAGTGGGAGGGGCTTCCCTCAGCACCCACTCCCCGACCCCGCAGGAAAAACCAATCTCAGGGTGAGATCACTGTGGCTGGGAAGTCACAGGAAAAGCAGGTCCCAGCCCCATGCACAAGGCCTGGGCCAAACAGAGAGGAACAAGCGCTCTTGGAGGCCAGGACCCAGGAAGGGGAACATGGGGTCCCCAGCCAGGCACCACGGCCAGACGCACATGGATCTCAGAGCACCAGAGCAGGAGGGGACGAGACAGGGTCCGAGTCCCACCTCTCAAGACAAGAGCAACCTGGGCCTCCTGCCACGGAGCCCCACACACCCTTTTCATCAAAGCCTTGTGACAGGCTGATGGGCACCCAAGGACTTGCCGTTTTCAAGAGGACATAGTGGGATGGGAGGTCACCTGCCCACTTGGATGACAGGTGGTGAGAGAACCAGCCGGGCTGCGCCAGGTTTTCTAACACATCCTGGAGTCACATGCAGACCCAGAGCCGTGCTGCCACCCAGCCAGGGCAGTCCCCCTTGGCTCTCCATCGTCCCTGGCAGAGCCCACACAGGGGAGCCATGGGTTCTCTGGTGGCAGTCCCACTGTTGGGTCCTGCCTCTGTGCCAGGTCCCGTGCTGTGCACCGTGGGTACAGCTGTGACATGTCAGAGTCCTTCCCAGTGAGGAGCCTCAGATTTGTGGATAGCCCCACAGAAACAGACAACCCCAGTACAGCAAGGTGAGGGGTGGGACAGGGACAACGGAGGCCCAGGAGGAACACATCTTAGCCCACGACCCGGCACACAGGCAAGGCCTCACGTCCCAGGGACCAGTGCATGCCTCCAGGGCAAGTGATCTTTAAGATGATTCCTGCAGGGACAACCTAAGTGAAGTGAACCGGAAGTGAATGGTGTCCCCCAGGACACCACAGCTCTAATGGTGTGCAGTGTACAACCCAGACAGCCAAGCCTGATGGCCCCGACAAAGACAGGCATGTGGGCATCACATGACTCCCTGCATGGGAGGCACAGACAGGCTGGTGCCTCTGGAGCAAAAGCACAGGCGAGGGGCAGGCACAGAGGCCAGTGACATCAGGTTACAGGCCCCAAAGGCCACCCTAAGGAGTGGGGACCTTCCTTTGGAGAGGCCTGAGCTCCCTGTGACAAACCACTTTAACCCTTGGAGGATACAACTTGGCTGGCTGCTGCAGTGACTCTGGGGGGATGAGAATGTCATCGAAGAAGCCTAGAGAGACTGGAAGGAAGGAAGCAGGTGACGGCCTGAGATGGGGGTCCCAGTGGACGCCAAACACTGCGGGGTCTTATGCTTGACAGGCAAGCCCTGCCTGGGGCTGCCCACGAGGCGGATGTCGCTGTGGAAACCTAGGCCCCTTCCCCACCTAATGCCTCTGCGTACACCACCCACATAGCGGAGCAGCCCTGGGCAAAGCCCGGAGCACCTAGTCCCCAAAACCTCTGCACACAACAGGGGCCAGTGGGCGCTAAAGACTCCCAGTCACTTCCGCCAGCTTCAGTGCCCACCCTGAAGTCCTGAGTGACGGCCTCACAGTGAAACCGCACTGCTGATGGAGGTCCTCACACAACACATAAAAGGGAGGGTGGGCAAGCTTCTCTGACACCACGGGGAAGGTTCGGCCTCGACACCTGAGCCCTCCCCTGACCATGTGGGTGGACACAGACCTCCTGCCCCCACAGTGTTCCCAAGTCTTGTCTGAGGCGTCAGGGCCACTGTTACCGTGCACTCCTTCTGGGCTGCAGCCTTTGATCTTCCCAATGAGAATCTCATCTAGGAATGGATGAAACACCACGCAGCGAAAATGGACTGGAAATGAAGACAGCCCATCAGTGATGCTGACCGGGGCCCCAGTGCGCTCCCATGTCACCCTCAGGTGCCAGCACACCTGGGGGCCTGTGTGGCTGCTCCATGCCACATCCCCCTGCAAGCCTAGACCCTCCCTTTGTCTCCTGCAAGTTCACAGCATGGCCCCCACAGGGGGGCAGCAGCAGCTGTCCTGTAACTGGGCACTCCCAAAACTGCCAGGTTACTCACACCTGAGCCCAGATTCTGAGCCATCAGTGGCTCCAAAGTCAATTTCAACCTCCCTCCAGGCTCTCCTTCAGCTCCTAAAAAGGGCAGAAGCAACTGGTAAAGAACGCAGGGTTTGGAAACTCCCACCTCCTGCTGAGCAGCAAAGTCGGCCCCAGGCACAGCTCTGACCTGGAGAGGAGGCTAAAAATGCCCTGGTGTTGTGAGGCGCAGGCCAGCAGCCCAGCAAAAATGCCTCTGTGGGTTCTCAGGCCATGCTGCAGGTGGTCCCCACTCACCTGACTGCAAGGAAAACACCAGGTGGGGTCTGTGCCCACATCGCACACTCTGACCCCAGGCCCTGGCATTAGCTGTATGTCACCTTGTCACTCAGGCCCTTGCTCGAAGCCCCAAAGTAGGAGTCCAACGCTGACCTGAGAATCAGCACGCGGCTGCCCCCTGCTGGTTACCAACAGAGTTCCCACCGTGAGGATAAGGCAGTGGCTCAGAGCCAGGGTGACCCACTCACAGCCACATAGCCATGGGGAGACACCTGGTCTTTCTGTACCCACCAGACAGGGCCACCGGGTCGAATCTTGCCTTCCTCAGACAGGTTTAATCCCAAACACAGGCTTCCACGATGCCGTCAACCATTTAGTCGGCCAACATGCCCCCCAGGACGGCAGGGACCCTGGCATCAGCAGGGCATGAGGAGAGGCAGCCGATGGACCTCTCACCCTGGGAAGACACAAACGTGAGCCATCACAGCCACCATGAAGATGACTGGGCCTTGTGCTGACCTCCCAGAGAGCAGATGAGGGCGGCCAAGGGCCACTTACGCACAGATGGAAAAACCCTGTCCCCCACATGGCCCAACATTCAGTTTGGTTTAATAAATCCTCACAGAGGCCGGGCGGGGTGGCTCAAGTCTGTAATCTCGGCACTTTGGGAGGCCGAGGTGGGCAGATCACCTGAGGTCAGGAGTTTGAGACCAGCCTGGCCAACATGATAAAACACCGTCTCTACCAAAATACAAAAATTAGCCGGGTGTGGTACCAGGTGCCTATGATCCCAGCCACTCAGGAGGCTGAGGCAGGAGAATCACTTGAACCAGGAGGTGGAGGTTGCAGTACGCCAAGATCATGCCACTGCGCTCCAGCCTGGGCAACAGAGCAAGACTCCGTCTCAAAAAAAAAAAAAACTTCACAGAGCCTGCACCAGGTTTGTGCCAGGCCCAGTCTGGGCACTGGGCTCACGGGGGTGGGACAGCACATGATCCTGCGCCCAGGGAGCCCCAGGCTGGAACAACCACATCCAAAAGCAAATGCTGGGCACCCGGAGTCCCCCATGGATGGATGAGTAAACAAAACATGCTGGAGACACACAATGGAATATTATGCAG
The DNA here is from genome assembly GCF_000001405.40 of Homo sapiens. Taxonomy (NCBI): domain Eukaryota; kingdom Metazoa; phylum Chordata; class Mammalia; order Primates; family Hominidae; genus Homo; species Homo sapiens. Next base: position 41,534,352 of record NC_000022.11, read on the forward strand.
CCTTACAAAGGAAGGAATTCTGACATGCACTACAGTGTGGCTCAACCTCGGGCTGAACCTTCACATGGGGCCAAGTGAAAGCAGCCAGACACAAAAGCCACACAGTGTGCGACTCCATTCATGTACAGTGTCCAGAACCACATCCATAGAGACAGAAAGCAGTTAAGTGGCTGCCAGAGGCTGGGTGAAGGACAGGATTAGCAGTGACTGCTACTGGGCGGGGTTTCTTTGTAGGGTGATAAAAACGCTGTGGAATGGCCCCGCGCACGGTGGCTCAAGTCTGTAATCCCAGCACTTTGGGAGGTCGAGGCGGGCGGATCACCTGAGGTCAGCAGTTCAAGACCATCCTGGCCGACATAGTGAAACCCCGTCTCTACTAAAAAAATACAAAAATTAGCCAGGCGTGGTATTGGGTGCCTATAATCCCAGCTACTTGGGAGGCTGAGGCATGAGAATTGCTTGAAACCAGGAGGCAGAGGTTACAGTGAGCTGAGACTGCGCCATTGCACTCCAGCCTGGGCAACAAGAGTGAAACTCTGTCAAAAAAAAAAAAAAAAAAAAATTGTGGAATTAGATAGTGGTGATGGCTTAGCTGATGAGGGTGTTGTTCCTGGTGGGAGGGGGCCCTCTCCTGCCCTGCTCATATCTGCCTACTTACCATAACCCCTGGAGGCCTGTGGTGCCAGTCACTGTATTCCTCCATTCCTATAGTTCCTCCAAACTGGAACTTGCATCTAGAATTTTTAACAGATTCAACTCCTAGCGTTTAGCAACAGAACTGCCTCATAATCGGTGTTGAGTTCTTCCACCAGGAACTATATAATGCTTGTTTGTCTCTCTTTGGGGGAAGCTAAAAAGTTAATGATCATTGATGAGATCTGTCTTCATAAGGAGTTGCAAAATGGTGATAATGTAATTAAAAAAAAAAGATAGTGGTGATGGTTGCACAACTCTTAATATACAAAGCCACTAAATTGTATGCTTTGAAAGGGTGAATTTTGTGGTATGTGAATTATATCTCAGTGAAAAAACAGAAGGACACAGAGCAACAGGCTGGTCAGCCAGGAGAGTGCTGGATCTGCAGTTCATCTCACAAGAGCCCCACCTGGAGGTCTAGGGATGTGTAGCCTGCAGAGGGGATGCCTGGAAAGTCAGAAAGGATGAGTCTAAAGGACCATCAAGAAGAGGAAGGAAGCTGGGCGCAGTGGCTCACGCCTGTAATCCCAGAACTTTGGGAGGCCGAGGCGGGCGGATCACTTGAAGCCAGGAGTTTGAGACCAGCCTGGCCAACATGGCAAAACCCAGTCTCTACTAAAAATACAAAAATTATTAGCTGAGCAGGCCGGGCGCTGTGGCTCACGCCTGTAATCCCAGCACTTTGGGAGGCCAAGGCAGGATGATCCCCTGAGGTCGGGAGTTCAGGACAAGCCTGATCAACATGGAGAAACCCCATCTCTACTAAAAATACAAAATTAGCCGAGCATGGTGGTGCATGCCTGTAATCCCAGCTACTCGGGAGGCTGAGGCAGAATTGCTTGAACCCGGGAGGCAGAGGTTGCAGTGAGCCGAGACTGCACCACTGCACTGCAGCGTGGGCGACAGAGTAAAACTCTTGCATTTTTTAGAGACAGGGTTTTAGCATGTTGCCCAGGCTGGTCTCGAACTCCTGACCTCGTGATCCGCCCGCCTCAGACTCCCAAAGTGCTGGGACTACAGGCATGAGCCACCATATCTGCCCCGTGAAAAAGTTCTGGAGGTGGGCCGGGCGCGGTGGCTCACGCCTGTAATCCCAGCACTTTGGGAGCCCAAGGCGGGCGGATCACGAGGTCAGGAGATCGAGACCATCCTGGCTAACATGATGAAACCCCGTCTCAACTAAAGATACAAAAAAAAATTAGCCGGGCGTGGTGGCGGGCACCTGTAGTCCCAGCTACTCGGGAGGCTGAGGCAGGAGAATGGCGTGAACCCGGGCGGCGGAGCTTGCAGTGAGCCGAGATCACGCCACTGCACTCCAGCCTGGGCGACAGAGCGAGACTCCATCTTAAAAAAAATGAAAGTTCTGGAGGTGGATGGCGGTGAAGGTTGCATAAGAATATGAATGTGCCTAATGCCACTGACTTACACACTTAAAATGTTTAAATTGGTAAATTTCATGTTATGTATATTTTACCACAATAGAAAAAAATGAAATAAATGATAAACATGTCAAAAAAGGTTTAAAAAAAAAAAAAAGGCCAGGCGCAGTGGCTCATGCCTATAATCCCAGCACTTTGGGAGGCCAAGGCGGGCGGATCGCCTGAGGTCAGGAGTTCAAGACTATTCTGGCCAACATGGCAAAACCCCATTTCTACTAAAAATACAAAAATTAGCCAGGCGTGGTGGTGGGCACCTGTAATCTCAGCTACTCGGGAAGCTGAGACAGGAGAATGGCTTCAACCCGGGAGGCAGAGAGGTTGCAGTGAGCCAAGATGGTGCCACTGCACTCCAGCCTGGGTGACAGAGAAGACTCTGTCTCAAAAAAAAAAAAAAAAAAAGGCTTTAAAAAAAAAAAGGTGGGGGGTGTCTCTGCACCAACTCTAGCTGAGGAGGCTGCCCGATTTGCAAATCAATATAACATTTAAAAATGTTAAAAAATAAATAACTAAAGGTGGTCACAAAGGAGCGCTGCTCTAGACTGAGAGCAGGGCCCCCGATCAGTATGGGGCAGGCGGGGGCAGGGTACAGCAGGTCCCAGGCTTGGAGGATGTGGGGAACACGGGCTGGCACCAAATGTCGAGGGATAAACTTGGCCAGTGGGGGTCAGGGTCCCATGCCACAAAGGCCATCATCTGTGAGCACTCCCCACGTGCGGGGCGCTAGACCACAGCTTCACTCAGACTTGCTCGTTGACTCCTCACAGATATTTGATGAAGGAGGAAGGCTCTATTACTGTTATTATACTGTGTGCACAGATAGGGAAACCGAGTTTCAGAGAGGTCAAGCAACTGCTCCCAAGGCCCAGGCAAATAAATATTCCTCTGAGCAAAGGTGAAGGCACAGCATGACCTGGTGCTGAGCCCTTCAGCACTGGCTCAGTGACAGCCCTGAGTGAGGCTGTGGGGTTGCAGGAGAGGGAGCAGTGGGAACAGGGCCTGGGGTCAGGCATCAGCCTCAAAGCATGGCAATTGGTTCCCACCACAAAATCACAGTTCACCCTGCATGGTGCTCAACAGGACTTTTATAGCTGCAGGGTTAACCCCATTGTACAGAGGAGGAAACCAAGGCCGAGAGAAGCAGAGGTACCCGCCCAAGGTCCCCATCCAGGAGACCAGAGCCAGAATTAATTCAAATCTAGGTCCTTGTGATCACTCCATGCCTCCCACCTGGTTCCCAAGAAAACAGAGACTCAGGACAGATGAGGGTGGGGGCTAATAAAAGCCAGCAGTAGAAATCTTCCAATTGAATAGACAGAATTTCCTCCAACTTTTTTTTTTTGAGACGGGGTCTCTCTCTGTCACCCAGCTGGAGTGCAGCGGCGTGTTCTTGGCCTCCTGGGTTCAAGCGATTCTCCTGCCTCCACCTCCACCTCCCAGGGAGCTGAGATTACAGGTGTGTACACCACCAGACCTGGCTAATTTTTTTTTTTTTTTTTTGAGATACAGTCTCACCCTGTCGCCTAGGGTGGAGTGCAGTGGCACAATCTCAGCTCACTGCAACCTCTGCCTCCTGGGTTCAAGCGATTCTCCTGCCTCAGCCTCCGGAGTAGCTGGGATTACAGACATGTGCCACCACACCCAAATAATTTTTTTTTTTTTTTTTTTGAGACGGAGTTTCACTCTGTTGCCCAGGCTGGAGTGCAGTGGTGCGATCTCGGTTCACTGCAAGCTCCGCCTCCTGGGTTCACTCCATTCTCCTGCCTCAGCCTCCTGAGTAGCTGGGACTACAGGTGCCTGCCGCCACACCTGGCTAATGTTTTGTATTTTTAGTAGAGACAGGGTTTCACCGTGTTAGCCAGGAGATCTCCTGACCTCATGATCTGCCCGCCTCGGCCTCCCAAAGTGCTGGGATTACAGAAGTGAGCCATCGTGCCTGGCTTTTTTTGTAGTTTTAGTAGAGATGAGGTTTTGCCATGTTGGCCAGGCTGGTCTAGAACTCCTGACCTCAGGTGATGCACCCGCCTTTACCTCCCAAAGTTCTGGGATTACAAGCGTGAGCCACCACACCCGGCCGCAACTTGACTTTTTTCTCCAAGTTTTTCTGGAAGTTCTAGTACCTATTACCACTTGTCTCCTGGACAACCAAGGCCCCTGTCCAAATGCGGAGACTGGGCTCAGCTCGGCATCCTTCTCTGTAAACAGAGGCCCTCGTGGTTGTTTTCACACTGCAATCTTATTTCTCTGCTAATGAAAATGCTCCTAGTCTGTACAAAGACAGCCTGTTTCTTCGGCCTCTCGGCGTACCATGGTAACATCCATGCGAACTAATTAATTCCCTGAATGGCTGGACACAGACACTAGGCAGTCTCACAGCATACTCTGGAATGTTCTGGCATCTCTGTGCTGAGAGGCTGACCAGTATGGACTACAGCAGGGCTTATCCAACATGAGCTCGTGTGACAACCACCTGGTACCTTGTTAAAACAGTCTTTGGGGCTGGGGGCAGTGGCTCACGCCTGTAATCCCAGCACTTTGGGAGGCCGAGGTGGGCGGATCACGAGGTCAGGCGTTCGAGACCATTCTGACCAACATGGTGAAACCCCCTCTACTAAAAATACAAAAATTAGCCAGGCGTGGTGGCACGTGCCTATAATCCCAGCTACTCGGGAGGCTGAGGCAGGAGAATTGCTTGATGCTGGGAGGTGGAGGTTGCAGTGAGCCAAGATCACACTTCTGCACTCCAACCTGGGCAACAGAGCAAGACTCTGTCTTAAAAAAAAAAAAAAGTATTTGGACCCATCCCCCAAGATTCTGACTCAGGCGGAGGGAGGCCTGGGGCAGGCTGAGAATTGCGCTCTGAGTGCCCAAGGGATGGCAGGCTTGGCGCCTGCGCTCTGGGAGCCTGAACCGTCTCAATGGGCCTCTCACCATCTCCTATACACTGGTTTGGTCCAGACATGAGAATGAAGAATGCCCCTCTCCTGGGGCTCATCACCTCCCTTGACTGGTGGTCCTGGCTCCTCTCAGGGTGGTCCTCTCTCTACTCCTCCCTCCTTCCAGGATCTGGTGATCACCTTCCATTCCTGGATGCACACCCTTTTGCAATGTGACTGCAGTTTCTCCCACCCAGAGGTGAAGTCTATTTCTCCATCCCCTCACCCTAGCCAACGGGATGGAAGCAGAGGCTTGAGAAGTACTTACGCACTGAACTTTGGAACCTTAAAACCGCCAAGCCCAGCCTGGCCTACTGAAAGATGAGACCATGTGGGGCAGAGATGGGCCAGCCCAGCCCAGGCCCCCAGTAACCAACCAGTCTGCCAACCTTCAGAATGTGAGACCGTCCTAGATTGTCCAGCCCCAGGCCAGCCAGATGAGAGGAAAACCACCCAACTGACCGACAGAATAGGGAGAAACAATCCACGCTGATAAGTCACTGAGTGCTCGTTAGGTGCCAAGGCTCTGTCCTAAGAGCTTTCATGTATTAACTCCTTAATCCTCACAATGGTCTTAGAATATAAAATCTATCCTAAACTGCAGTTGACATCCTGAACTGCAACTGACAGATAAGGAAGCAGAGGCACAGAGCAATGACATATTCAGCCAGGACACACAGCTAGTAAGAAGCAGAGCTCAGCTTTTAATCTTGAGGCCACACTCTTACCTACTGTGTCCTACTATCCAAGTCCCCCACCCCCAGCCAGCCTGCTGATCCCCCTTCCGTCTGCTCTCCACAGGCAGCGGGAAGCCCGAGGAATGGACAAGGTGCAGGGCTCAGTAGCAATGAGACCAAAAGGGCACAGACACAGAGCTATGAAGTCAGAGCTGAAGAGGCCTTGAAAACCAACTAGTCCACATCCCAGGCCTCACAGATGAGGGAACAGAGGCCCAGAGAAGAGAAGTCTGCCGCTGTCACCGGGTCAATTCCTGGCCGATTCAGGATGAGGCCCCACGTCTCCCAGCCTCCAGGACTCCCACCACCCTCTGGCCATCTCTTTGACTTTAGCCTTTTAAAATTTTTTCATATTTTATTTATGTATTTAAAGACAGGGTCTTGCTATGTTGCCCAGGCTGGCCTTGAACTCTGTGGCTCAAGAGATCCTTCCGCCCTCAGCCTTACAGGCACGCACCACTGAACCTGGATTTGGCTTGACCTTTGGCTACAGAAAACTGAGCCCCAAGAAGCCCAATGCCCCAGGGACAGAAGATACCCACCTTTGGTGTGTGATGCGCCATCCCCAGGGAATACATAGGCATCCTCCAGTTTGGTGATATCAAACAGACAAATGCAGAGTCCCACGTTGTACACGACCTGCATGCATACAAACACAGACACACAAGTACACATGGATACAGAGTGACCACAGGCCCAGCTCCCAGGCAATCTGAGCCCCTCACAACCACAAGCAAGCCATGATTATCTCCTTTTTTAGGTGAAAATGAGTTTGTGGAGGGGACCAGGGTAAGGAACCTCAGAAGGATGCAGAGCTCTGGAAGGAGCAGGGCCTCGGGTGACAAAACAGGTCCAGGTTCCAAGGCCAGCTCCACCACCCACTGTGTGACTGCCAAGAGGGTCACTTCACCTCTCTGAGCCTCGGTCTCCCCATCTGCAAATGTGAAATACCAGGCTGCAGAGTTATAAAATAAAGAGAGATAACAGATGTGAAGCCCCTAGCCTTGTACCTGGCTCGTGTATTGGAAACCATCATCATCAAGGATCTTTGTTATTACTAGTGAGGACCAGTGACAGGAATGCTGCCTAAACGTGCACTCTCCGACATCCCAAAGCCAATGCCAGAGCTCACAGTTTAGTGAGCGTCACAGCCACAGCTAAACCCCACTGTGCTCACAACATCTCAGACACACAGACGCAGCCACAGGGACTGCAGCTGGCAGAGGGACACAAGACCTAGGCCCCAAGAATGTGCAGAAATCCCATGCCCTCACCCCACACCACTGTGGTTCAAACGACTGGCTACTCAGTGTCTCCTTATCTGCCACCGTGTCATCACCCCCACTTAGAACCCTTGCAAGAACTGTCCAAGAATTAGCAAGAAGCTCAGAGAACTCAGAGTCGTGGCCAGACCTCACCAAGATAATGCCACAAGATCTGTGCCCTTTGTCAGACCATGGATTTCTGTGTGGGCCCCCTCTCAAACGATTCATCTAATCAAATACTAGAAGACTTGTCCCAACAGGACCTCTACCCCAAAGGGACTATATTCCCTTCTTGGACTTTCCACACCTTCTCTCTCAAGGTCCACACCTCCATCCCCCAACAGACCCTCATCTTCAACCTCACAAAGTAACCAGAAGCCATCCACTTAAAGACTCCATGAGTTCCCTTCACTATCTAGCAACCCCCAAATCAACCTCACCTCTTCTGAAGGGACCTGTCTCATGCGTAAAGCCAGCTAAGCATCCTCTTTCTGGCTCCTTCTCAGCCCATCACCTTCTGATGCTCCACGGATAAAGACCAATACCTCAACTCCGACATCCTACAGGGCTGTGTGGCCTGGCCCCCACCCACCTGTCCAGCCCACCCTCCCCTCTGCCCAAGCCACACCAGCCTCTTCCACACCATGGTGGGTATTTTACCCCTTCTTCTTTTTTTTTTGAAGCGAAGTTTCACTCTTGTCACCCAGGCTGGAAGGCAGTGGTGCGATTTCAGCTCACTGCAACCTCTGCCTCCTGGGTTCAAGTGATTCTTCTCCCTCTGCCTCCCAAGTAGCCGGGATTACAGGTGCCTGCCACCATGCCCAGCTATTTTTTGTATTTTTAGTAGACATGGGGCTTCACCATGTTGGACAGGCTGGTCTCAAACTCCTGACCTTGGGTGATCCACCCGCCTCAGCCTCCCAAAGTGGTGGGATTACAGGTGTGAGCCCCCACGCCCGGCCTGTATTCCTTCTTCACAGGGCCTTTGCACATGCCAGTTCCTGCCTTCAGGGCTCTTCTCTCCACCCAGCCCCCTCCCACCCTAGAAAGGAATCCTCTGGTTGGCTCCACTTCACCATCAGATCTCACCTTCAACCCCACCTCCTCAACAAAGCTGCAGGTCCCCTCATTCCAGGGGACGTTCCTTTGTTCCACAGGTGTGTGAACACCTGTCCCTCATAACATTTACCTCAATTTGTCACCAAACACTCAACTGTGGACCCTTCTCATTCATATCTGCTTTCCCACCACACTATAGCACAGAGCCTTGTCTCTGTTTCATTCATTCAGTCAACAAATGGCCGGGCACGGTGGCTCACACCTGTAATTCCAGCACTTTGGGAGGCTGAGGCAGGCAGATCACCTGAGGTCAGAAGTTTGAGACCAGCCTGGCCAACATGGTGAAACCCCGTCTCTACTAAAAGTACAAAAATTAGCCAGGTGTGGTGGCAGGTGCCTGTAATCCCAGCTACTCAGGAGGCTGAAGCAGAAGAATAGCTTGAACCTGGGAGGTGGAGGTTGCAGTGAGCCAAGATCGCTTCATTGCACCCCAGCCTGGGCGACAAGAGCGGCACTCTTGTCTCACACACACAAACACAAAACAGAAAATTATGGGACATCTACTCCCGCCAGGCTTTGGCTAAATGAGGGGATACTTCAGGGAAGAAGGCAGATAAGGTCCCTGCTCTCAAGGAGAGGGAAAGGAAAAAGTCTAAGAAGGAAAGAGAGTGATGTGACACAGAATACCTGGAAAGGGAGGACTGTCAAAGAAACGGCAGTGGGAAGACCTCTCAGCTGGTACTAAGGCACACAGGCACAGCACAGAGAAGGCGCACAAATATTGGCTGCTGGAATGAAGGGATGAACCTCCTGACAGTTAATTCTGTACTACTAGAACTCTCCATCTTCACGAAAACAATGCATTGACCCGAGGCGATGGCGCACACCTGTAATCCCAGCACTTTGGGAGGCCGAGGCGGGGGGATCAAGAGATCGAGACCATCCTGGCCAAAATGGTGAAACCCCGTCTCTACGAAAAATACAAAAATTAGCTGGGGGTGGTGGCGCGCGCCTGTAGTTGTCCCAGCTACTCGGGAGGCTGGGGCAGGAGAATCGCTTGAACCCGGGAGGCGGAGGTTGCAGTGAGCCGAGATCGCGCCACTGCACTCCAGCCTGGACGAAAGAGCAAGACTCCGTCTCAAAAACAAAAAACAAAACAAAACAAAACAAACAACAACAACAACAAAAACAATGCATGGCTGGAAGGACAGCAATATTTTATCCCCATTTTAAAAATGGAAACTGAGGCCCAGAAGGGGTCAGTAACTTGCCTGCAATTGCAAAGTAATTTAGAATTGTGGAATCTAACACTTCCAGTTACAACTCCCTTTTTCAAGCCCATTTTCTTTTGATCCCCTTCAATATCTCCTTTCACGGTGAAGAAAAGTTCTGAGACATTAAGCTGCTTGCCCACGGCCAGGGCTTGGCATGACCGAGGCCGGGCCTGCGGCCAGTGGGCGGCGCTCGCTCTCCCACGCCAAGGCCTGCCCGCGAGCCGTGGGCCCAGTACCTTGTTGGCCAACTTCTTGTTCAGCTCCTCGGCAATGGAGTCGTTGAGCTTCCTCTCAAACTGCCAAGGGGGGATCCGGACGGTGTCCACCATTTCCACCAGGACGAACATCCCGGCCTGCGCTGGGGGCTCTGGGAACAGGAGGGTCAGTCACGCACCAGGGCCGGGGGCAGGGAGAATCCCCGAGCCCCTTGGTCCCGTCCCAGTCGCTGAGGCCCCCAGGCTGGCGGTGAGGTTGCACGGGGCGGTCTCGGGGGCCCGGTCCGGGCCATGCTCCGCTACTACAACATGAGGAAACTGAGGCCAGAGGGAGGCACTCTCCGTCCACAGCTCCGGGTGCGCGCCCGCGCCGCGAGACCCCGCCACGCCACGCCACTCCACGCCACGCCACTCCACGCCCCGCACCCGCGCCACGTGCCGCCGCTCGTATCACGCACCACGCACCACGCACCGCGCACAGCCGCTCGCGCTTGCGCGACTGCGGGCGAGATTCCGAATCCATCGCTTCCGGAAAACTCACCAATAAGAAACCTCTGTCCACCCCCACCCCGCCGAGGCGGGGCGGGGCTGCCTGTGTGCTCGCGCACAGCGTGGGGCAGAGAGAGGGCGAGGAGAGGGCGGGGCCTCCTCCTTTCACAGGAGCAGAGCGGTTCCCCCGCCCCCGACAGCGCTTTCTGTTGCTAGGCGACCTCCGTGCAATCCCGCCTGATTATCCCTCGCCTGGCCTGTGCTTTACCCGCATTGCTGTCCTCTGCTCGGCAGCCAGAGTGATCCTTTGGAAACGCAAACATATATTACCACATCTAAGTTAAAAAAAAAACCCACCGCAAACATAACATGCTTAGCACCCTTAAGTGTTCCGGAGACAAGGAGAATTAGCAGGAAAGGGGCACTTGGGACTGTTCTGAGATGATGGAAATGTTCTGTATTTTGTTTTCGGTGGTATAACATTGACGTATATAATTGTCCAAACTAATTGAACTCGGCAAGATTTTTGCATTTATTTGTAGACATTATGTTCCAATTGAAAAGTTATAATAAATTGGAACAAAAAACACAACCCATTGAACTTAGAATACTAGATCCAAGCCGGGCGTGGTGGTGTACACCCGTAGTCCCACCTACTCAGAAGCCTGAGACAGCAGCATCGCTTGAGTCCAGGAGTTTGAGGTTGCAGTTTGAGGTTGCATGCTGCACTCTAGCATGGGTGACAGTGACACCTCATGTCTAAACGAAAAAGAAGAAGAAGGAGAGGCGGAAGAAGAAGAAAGAAGAAGGAGAAGAAGAAGAAGAAAGAAGAAAGAAAAGGGAAAGAAGAAAGAAAAGAAGAAAGAAAGAAGAAAAGTCCAAAACCTTTATGGTAGTTCACACGGCCCTGCAAGATCTGACCATACCCCCCTCCTATAGCCCCATCATGCTCTGTCTCGCTGACATTCCAGTCTCATTCATCTTCACGTGATAGCATGGGCTAAGAGAATTTGGTAGCTTACCCAAGATCACGTGTTGACAAGTGGTAGAGGTGGGCCCAGTCTGAACCTCACTACCCTGCCTCTAAAAATTGGTGGGGTGTAGATGTATACTGTAGTGGGTTTTTTTGTTTGTTTGTTTGTTTGAGACGGAGGATCGCTCTGTCGCCCAGGCTGGAGTGCAGTGGCGCGATCTTGGCTCACTGCAAGCTCCGCCTCTCGGGTTCACGCCATTCTCCTGCCTTAGCCTCCCGAGTAGCTGAGACTACAGGCGCCCACCATCACGCCTGGCTAATTTTTCGTATTTTTTTTTAGTAGAGACGAGGTTTCACCGTGTTAGCCAGGATGGTCTCGATCTCCTGACCTCATGATCTGCCCACCTCAGCCTTCCAAAGTGCTGGGATTACAGGTGTGAGCCACCGCGCCCGGGCTTGTAGTGTGTTTTAACCAAAATAACAATTTAGGTACTTACAAAAGATACTTGGGGTAAATGACAGAGGCACTTGGAAATGTATGGTGCCTTAATTTGCTGATTTCACAAGCATAGTGATCTCTCAGTGACACTGGCTGCAGTGATGCTAAATGTGGCCTTCCCTGCATCTATGATTTTATTTTTAGGTGTGCTTCTATAGGATTTGAGGTACTTGAGGACAGCAGCAAATGCTACTTCAGCTCTTTATTCCCACAATCCCCTAACACATTCCTAGGAAGCATTGAGTAAAGGTGTTTAGGGATTACCATTAATTCTTCCTCTCAAATGTTTCCTCTTCATTCCACTCCCACTGCTATTGCTTCGGTTCAGGCCTTTTCTTTTTTTTTTCTTTTGAGACGGAATCTTGCTCTGTCGCCCAGACTGGAGTGCAGTGGCATGATCTCAGCTCAATGCAACCTCCACCTCCTGGGTTCAAGCGATTCTCCTGCCTCAGCTTCCCAAATAGCTGGAATTACAGGTGCCCACCACCACACTTAGCTAACTTTTGTATTTTTAGATAAGATTTCACCATGTTGGCCAGGCTGGTTTCGAACTCCTGACCTCAGGTGATCCCCCCCATCTTGGCCTCTCAAAGTGCTGAGATTACAGGCATGAGCCACCGTGACTAGCCAATATCTGGTCATTTAAAAGTATGTGGCGGGGCCAGGCGTGGTGGTTCACACCTGTAATCCCATCACTTTGGGAGGCCGAGGTGGGTGGATCACAAGGTCAGGAGATTGAGACTATCCTGGCTAACACGGTGAAACTCTGTCTCTACTAAAAATACAAAAAAAAAAAAAAAAAAAAAAAAGTAGCCGGGCGTGGTGGCACGCGCCTGTGGTCCCAGCTACTTGGGAGGCTGAGGCAGAAGAATCACTTGAACCCGGGAGGCAGAGGTTGCAGTGAGCTGAGATCACACCACTGCACTCCAGCCTGGCGACAAAGTGAGACTCCGTCTCAAAAAAAAAAAGTGTGTGGTGGCCAGGCGTGTGGCTCATGCCTGTAATCCCAGCACTTTGGGAGGCCAAGGTGGGCGGATCACCTGAGGTCAGGAGTTCAAGACCAGCCTGACCAACATGGAGAAACCCCGTCTCTACTAAATACAAAATTAGCCGGGCGTGGTGGCGCATGCCTGTAATCCCAGCTACTCAGGAAGGCTGAGGCAGAAGAATCGCTTGAACCCAGGAGGTGGCGGTTCTGGTGAGCAGAGATCGCGCTATTGTACTCCAGCTTCGGCAACAAGAGCAAAACTCCATCTTGAAAAAAAAAGTGTGTAGCACCTCCCTCCTCCCACTCTCTCTCTTGCTCCTCTTTTCCCCATGTGATGTGCCTGCTCCTCCTTTGATTTCCGATATCATGGGAAGCTTCCCGAGGCATCCCTGGAAGCTGAGCCTATGCCAGTACCATGCTTGCTGTAAAGCCTGTGGAACCATGAGCCAACTAAACCTATTTTTTTTTTTTTGAGACGGATTCTTGCTCTGTCGCCCAGGCTGGAGTGCAGTGGCATGATCTCGGCTCACTGCAAGCTCCACCTCCCGGGTTCATGCCATTCTCCTGCCTCAGCCTCCCAAGTAGCTAGGACTACAGGCACCCGCTACCACGCCCAGCTAGTTTTTTGTATTTTTAGTAGAGATGAGGTTTCACCGTGTTAGTCAGGATGGCCTCGATCTCCTCACCTCATGATCCACCCGCCTTGGGCTCCCAAAGTGCTGGGATTACAGGCGTGAGCCACCGTGCCCAGCCAGCCTATTTTCTTTATAAATTAACCAGCTCTGTTGCCCAGGCTGGAGTGCAGTGGCGCTATCAGGGCTCACTGCAACCTCCACCTCCCCATTTCAAGCGATTCTTCTGCCTCAGCCTCCAGACTAGCTGGGATTACAGGCGTGCACCACCACACCTGGATAATTTTGGTACTTTCAGTAGAGACAAGGTTTTGCCATGTTGGCCAGGCTGGTCTGAAACTCTTGACCTCAAGTGATCCTCAGCTTCGGCCTCCCAAAGTGCTGGGATTACAGGCATGAGCCACCACTACCAGCCAGGTATTTCTTTTTTCTTTCTTTTTTTTTTTGTGCGTGTCACCCAGGTTGGAGTGCAGAGGTGCCATCTCAGCTCACCGCAACCTCCGCCTCCTGAGTTCAAGCGATTCTCCTGCCTCAGCCTCCTGAGTGGCTGAGAGTATAGGCACATGCCACCACGACTGGCTAATTTTTGTAGTTTTAGTAGACACGGGGTTTCACCATGTTGACCAGGCTTGTCTCAAACTCATGACCTCAGGTGATCTGCCTGCCTCGGCCTCCCAAAGTGCTGGGATTACAGGCGTGAGCCACCACGCCAGGCCCAGGTATTTCTTTATAGCAACGTGAGAACAGCCCAAAACAGAACCCACATGTGATGCTGTTCTCATTCATTCGTGCATTCATTCAACATACTGTTGTGTACAGTTGTTGGAGATGCAATGCAGAAGAAAAACTGGGCCTCAAACCGAGCTTCAACTCAGAGCACTTGGTGCTGGAGTTGGGGGGCAGCAGGGTGGGCACTGAGAGAAAGAGCGAGTTTGTACTCTCAGGTAATTAAAAGTATTTGGAGCCAGGCACAGTGGCTCATGCCTATAATCCCAACATTTTGGGAGGCCGAGGCAGGAGGATTGCTTAAGGTCAGTTTGAGACCAGCCTGGGTAACAAAGTGAGATACTGTCTCTACTAAAAAAATAAAATAATTAGCTGGGTGTGATGGCACTTGCCTGTAGTCCTAGCTACTTGGGAGGCTTAGTTGGGAGGATTGCTTGAGCCCAGGAATTTGAGGCTTCAGTGAGCTTTGATCATGCCACTGCCCTCCAGCCTGGGTGACAGAGCAAGACTCTGTCTCTGAAATAAATAATAATATTCGGGCTGATTTACATGGGAGATGACAACTGGTAAGCTAAGAGGTTAGAGACCTAAGCAGCATCCAGATCAGAGGGCCTTATGATTATATTAACAGCTAACATTCATGAGCACTTACTATATGTCAAGTACTACTTAGGTGCTTTATATGCATTAAGTTTGATCCTCAGAACAGCTGTATACAGTAGGAGCTATCATCGTTATCTCACTTGCCCAATTGTCTCATTTTGCCTCATCTAAGGTAAACAGAGGTTAAGTAGGTCATTCAAGGTCATACAGCCAGTAAGTGGCAAACCTGGGACCCAGGCCCCAGAGTCCCTAATCACGACCACCAGGCTGTGCCCCGCCATGACGTTAGAAGTCAGGAGTTCGAGACCAGCCTGGCCAACCTGGTGAAACCCTGTCTCTACTAAAAATACAAAATTAACTGGGCATGGTGGCGCATGCCTGTAATTCCAGCTACTCAGGAGGCTGAGGCAGAATCACTTGAGCCTGGGAGGCAGAGGTTGCAGTGAGCCGAGATTGCGCCATTGCACTCCAGCCTGGGTGACAAGAGTGAAGCACTGTCTCAAAAGAAAAAAAAAAAAAGAAGGCTAGGATAGGAAAATAACACAGGGACATATCACCTGGGTAGACAGCAAATGGGAAGGGGCTGGAGCGGAGGCAGGACCAGGAAGGAGGTTATTGTGTGGCCGCAGCAAGAGATGGTCAGAGCAAGGCTGGTAGCCATGGAGAGTAACGCTGGTCAGAGTCCAGAGGTCTTCAGGGGGTGGAATGGGTGGGATGACCTGGAGGACAGAAGTGGGAGGAGCCGACGCCTGTGGGCTTTAGCCTTCACCTCTGAGATGGGAAACTGCAGCGGGGCCAGGCTGGGGGCAAGGGGCCAGAGCTGAAGCGGTCAGTGTGTGGGTTACCAGGCTACTGTTACAGTATTCCGCTCACAGGATTGCAACAGTGATGTGTTGGCACGTTTGGTTTACTCATTGGTAAAACCAGAGATCAGGCCTCTTTATGAATTCTCCATGTTGCTCCATGGAAGGTTTGAGGTACAAAAACACACAAGCGGGCCGGGCGCAGTGGCTCACGCCTCTAATCCCAGCACTTTGGGAGGCCAAAACAGGTAGATCACAAGGTCAGGAGATCAAGACCATCCTGGCTAACATGGTAAAACCCCGTCTCTACCAAAAATACAAAAAATTAGCCGGGCGTGGTGGCGGGAGCCTGTAGTCCCAGCTACTCAGGAGGCTGAGGCAGGAGAATGGCGTGAACCCGGGAGGCAGAGCTTGCAGTGAGCCGAGATCGTGCCACCACACTCCAGCCTGGGTGACAGAGCGAGACTCCGTCTCAAAAAAAAAAAAAACCAACAAAAAAAAAACCACCACAAGTGGCTTCATTTTCAAGCTCCGTGACCACAGAGCTTCTCTACCTATTGCGTCCCTGCATGTGCTCTGGCCTAACCCAGTGTCTGATACATGTTATTTGAATGAACAAAATAATAATAAAAGAATTGGCCGGGCGCAGTGGCTCACGCCTGTAATCCCAGCACTTTGGGAGGCCAAGGCAGGTGGATCACAAGGCCAGGAGTTCAAGAACATCCTGGCCAAGATGGTGAAACCCCATCTCTACTAAAAATACAAAAAATTAGCCAGGCACGGTGGCATGTGCCTATAATCCCAGCTACTCAGGAGGCTGAGGCAGGAGAATCGCTTGAACTTGGAGGGCAGAGGTTGCAGTGAGCTGAGATCATGCCACTGCACTCCAGCCTGGGCGACAGAGTGAGACTCTGTCTAAAAAAAAAAAAAAAAAAGAATTGCTGAAAGTATAGGAGTGAGGGAGAAATAGGGCTGGAAACTCACCAAGGCAGGAGAAAGAGAGTCACTCAGGATGACTAGGAGCATAGCATTTCCATGCCACAGCACACGAGTTGAGCACCTGCAGGGATGCCCATGACCCTCTCAGTGCCCCACGGCCTCTCTGTAAAAGGGAAGCAGCAATAGATCCCATCTCAAATGACTGTCCATCAGCAGAGTGCTGGCTGAAAAAAAAAACATGGTACATCACATACCAGAAAAATGTGAAGCCATGAAAAAGAATGAGAATGTCCTTTGTGTATTGATATAGAATGATATTTAGGATATATTGTTAAATCCAAAAATACAAGGTGCAGAGCACTGTGTAATGGTGTAATGGGATGTTACCATTTGTGTAAAAAAGGGAGAAAAATAATTATCTAATATTATTTTATGCAGAAAATAGCTCTGAAGGGTTCATAAGAAGTGGATTACACTGGTTGTCTCCGGAGTAAGGAATGAACAGCTGAAGCGGGGTGAGGGGCAGTGGGAGGGGAGAGAATTTTTTCCTAAATGCACTTTGGAATCTTTTTTTTTTTTTTTTTTTTTTTTTAAAGAGACAAGGTCTTGGCCCGGCGCAGTGGCTCACACTTGTAATCCCAGCACTTTGGGAGGCCGAGGCGGCTAGATCATCTGATGTCAGGATTTCGAGACCAGCCTGGCCAACATACCCCATCTCTACTAAAATTACAAAAAATAAGCCGGGCATGGTGGCGGGCGCCTCTAATTCCAGCTACTCGGGAGGCTGAGGCAGGAGAATCACTTGAACCCAGGAGGCAAAAGTTGCAGCAAGCCGAGGTCATGCCATTGCACTCCAGCCTGGGCAACAAGAGCGAAACTCTGTCTAAAAAACAAACAAACAAACAAACAAACAAACAAAAAACAGAGAGAGAGAGAGACAAGGTCTCACTCTGTCATCCAGGTTGGAGTGCAGCAGTGTGATCATAGCTCACTGCAGCCTCAAACTCCTGGGCTCAAGCAATCCCCCAGTCTTAGCCTCCTGCATGGCTGTAGCTGTGTACTATAGGCACGTACCACTCCACCCGGCTAATTTTTTTATTTTTTATTTTTGTAGGAATGGTGTCTCACTATGTTGCCCACGCTGGTCTCGAACTCTTGAGCTCAAGTGATCTTCCCTCCTCGGCCTCCCAAAGTGCTGGCATTAGAGGTGTGAGCCATTGTGCCCGGCCAGGAATCTTCTTTGTGTGGGATCATGGGACTATATTACCTGTTCAAAATGAATAAAACAAAATTTAAAAAGCAATTAAGATTTTTTTTCACATCTTAAAAAAAAAGCTTCTCTTGGCCCCCTTTCCTGGCTCCCTTTTCCTCCAGTGAATGCTCCATTTTTCTGCTCCCTTTACTAGCAAAACTGCTTGAAACAGTCGTCTGTACTTGTTGGGTCCCTTCCAAACCTCTCTTCTCTCTCCGACCTGCTTCAGCCAGGGTTCTGCCCCTGCTGCTCCAGGGAATATGCTTCCTGAGGGTCATTAATGGACTCCGTGTTGCCAAATCAGTGGTAATTCTGTCCTCAGTGGCAGTTTTTGTCCCAGAAGGTCAGACACCCTTTCCCCTGTGGCCCAGCCATGTTCTCCACCCACCTCACAGACTCCTCTCTCGGCCTCACAACAATGGTGGGCCTTGGGCTCACTTTCGGTTCTGGGTACACTCCTGCGGGTACCATGCCTCCACACAGCACCTGCCGCTCATGTCTCCACCCCTTCCTGCCAGCCTAGCCTCTCTCCCTGAGCACGGACTCCACAGCTCCATCTGGTCACTCGAGTTTAACATGCGTCACAGTGGGACTCCTGGCTGGCCCTCCCAACAAACCTGCTCTTATTCATCTTCCCTGTCTCTTTTTTTTTTTTTTTTTTTTTGAGACAAGGTCTGTCGCCAAGGCTGGAATGTAGTATTGAGATCCTCCCACTTCAGCCTCTCCAGTAGCTGAGACTACAGGCGTGCACCACCATACTCAGCTAATTTTTGTATTTTTTATATTTATTTATTATTTATTTATTTATTTATTTTTGAGACAGAGTTTCACTCTTGTTGCCCAGGCTGGAGTATAATAGTGTGATCTCGGCTCACTGCAACTTCCGCCTCCAGGGTTCAAGTGATTCTCCTGGCTCAGCATCCCAAGTAGCTGGGATTACAGGCATGTGCCACCACGCCTGGCTAATTTTTTGAATTTTTTTAGTAGAGACAGGGTTTCACCATGTTGGTCAGGCTGGTCTCGAATCCCTGACCTCAGGTGATCCGCCCGCCTTGGCCCCCCAGAGTGCAGGGATTACAGGCATCAGCCACTGCGCCCAGCCTCATTTTTGTATTTTTTTTAGAGATGAGGTCTTGCCGTGTTGCCCAAGCTGGTCTTGAACTGAGCTCAAGCAATCCTCCTGCCTCAGCCTCCCAAAGTGTTGGGATTATAGGCGTGACCCACTGCGCCCAGCCTCTTCCCTGTCTTAGAAAATGACTTCTCCACTCTTCGTTGCTCAGGTCCAGGCTTCAGAATCATTCTCCACTCTTTGTCTCTCACACTCTTTGTGAATCCCTGAGCAAATCCTGTTGTTGCTGTCTCCAAAATGCATCCAGAATCCAACCTTTCTCCATCAACTCCACTGCCATTTTTGGGTCCCAGCCACCCTCAATCCTCCCCGGGCCATCGCAGCAGCCCCAGTACAGGTTTCCAGGTTCCTGTCCTCACGCCCTGCCGCCTACAGGCAACACAGAAGCCAGAGAATTGCTGTTTCAGTGTCAGTCAGGAATTTTCTCTCTTCCCCTGCAGACTGTGCAACACCCCATCTCCCTAGAGGAAAAAGCCCAGGCCTCAGGATGGCCTTCACAGCCCTTGGGGTCCCCCTGCCCCAGGACTCCTCCAACCTCATGCCCCACTCCTCCGCCTGGCGGCTGTTTTTCAGACACCCCAGACCCACCCCCACTCAGGTCCTCCACCTGTGCCGTTTCCTCTCGCTGAACACCCTTCCAGTCACCTCCTCCAGCTCCTTGCTGTAACGTCACCTTGGTGAGGCTTGCCCTGGCCCCCTGTTTTATTTTTGTTTATTTATTTTGTAGAGACAAAGTCTCATTATGTTGCCCAGGCTGGTCTTAAACTCCTGAGCTCAAGCGATCCTCTTGCCTCAGCCTCCCAAAGTGCCAGGATTACAGGTGTGAGCTACCAAGCCCAGCCTTGACCCCCTGGTTTAACCACTCACCACCATCCCCACACTTCCCTGTTTAATTTTCCCTGGCATTGCCTAGGCTAGCATTCCTAGTCTTCCAACATGACATTATTTATTTATTAAGCTATTTTTGTTTGTTAGGCTTTTTTTTCTTTTTTCGACAGGTCTTGCTCTGTTGCCCAGCAGAGTGCAGTGAATTCCTGGGCTCAAGGAATCCTCCTGTCTCAACCTCTCCAGTAGATGGAACTATAGGCACTTGTCACCATGTCCAACTTTTTTTTTTTCTTTTTGAGATGGAGTCTCGCTCTGTCACCAAGGCTGGAGTGCAGTGGCACGATCTCTGCTTACTGCAAGCTCCGCCTCCTGGATTCACGCCATTCTCCTGCCTCAGCCTCCTGAGTAGCTGGGATTACAGGCACGTGCCACCACTCCTGGCTAATTTTTGTATTTTTAGTAGAGACAGGGTTTTGCCATGTTGGCCAGCCTGGTCTTGAACTCCTGACCTCGGGTGATCCACTCGCCTCAGCCTCCCAAAGTGCTGGGATTACAGGCGTGAGCCACCGTGCCTGGCCTTATTTATTTGGGTACTTTTAAAACCTCTCTCACACACCTATAATCCCAGCGCTTTGGGAGGCCGAGGTGGGCGGATCACAAGGTCAGGAGATCGAGACCATCCTGGCTAACACGGTGAAACCCCGTCTCTACTAAAAAATACAAAAAATTAGCCGGGCATGGTGGTGGGCGCCTGTAGTCCCAGCTACTCGGGAGGCTGAGACAGGAGAATTGCCTGAACCCGGGAGGCGGAGCTTGTAGTGAACCGATATTGCGCCACTGCACTACTCCAGCCTGGGTGACAGAGCGAGACTCCATCTCAAAACAACAACAACAACAACAACAAAAGTCCCTGCATGGAGGCCAAGGCACAGGCAGAAGTGCCACTGGGAAAGGAGATTCTAGAAAAGGCCTAAACACTAGACATCCTGGGCCAGGTGCGGTGGCTCACACCTGTAATCCCAGCACTTTGGGAGGCCGAGGCTGGCAAATGACTTGAGGTCAGGAGTTCAAACCAGGCTGGCCAATATGGTGAAACTCCATCTCTGCTAAAAATACAAAAATTAGCCAGGTGTGGTGGCAGGTGCCTGTAATCCCAGCTGCTCAGGAGGCTGAGGCAGGAGAATCGCTTGAACCCAGGAGGTGGAGGTTGCAGTGAGCTGGGATTGCACCGTTGTACTCCAGCCTGGGTGTCGCAGCAACTCCATCTCAAAAAATAAAAATAAAAATAAAAACCACTAGACATCCAGATGTCACCCAGGATGCTGCTCCCTGGTTTGGCTTGGGCCAAAAGTGAAATGCAGAGAGTCACCAGGTATTTGGTGAGGGCCTCAGAGGCCCTCCTATAGGGTCCTGTGCTCTGGGGGGACTGACAGGAAATGGAAATAGACACGTAGGGAGATCATTCCAGGTGGTGCCATTGAGAGGGTCACATGGATAACATGATGGGGCATAACTAGAGACCACTGCCCTCACCAGGGCACCAGCTATAGCTTTGTTCAGAAGGTGAGGACGAAGGGGAACCCTCAGCATTGAGAAGGCTGGAGGCCTATGGCCCAGAGGGCCCAGGAGTGTGTGTGAATGGATGGATGGCTGAGGGAGACTTGGCTCACAGCCCAGACCAGCCCTGGAGCAGCCAGGAGACAGACTGCTACCCCAGCCTCAGGATCTCAGGGCAGGGTGCGGGGGAGGTTGACTGGGCCAGAGCCCGCTACCCATCACAGAGAGCTACTCCCACGGACCTGGGAGGAATTCTGGAAGGAGTCTGAGCAGCAGCTGCAGAAGGAGACCCTGCCCCACGGCCCAGGGACCTCAGCTGGGGGAACCCCCTCACCTCCCCCATTCTTCTGCCTGCAGTGATTGCTACCCCAGACAAGGGTGCCAAGCTCTGAAGCCTGCTGGCCACAAAGAGGCTCTGCCAGGTTGCCAGCTATGCTGTTTGTTGGCAGAAGCATGTCATTCTTTCCCCTCTCATTTCAGATGAGGAGCAGACCTCTCATCAGGTCCCCCAAATCCCATACGATGTGGCTGCTGCCCTTCTCCTACATGCTGTTCCAGCCACATCTGCAATCGTAAGTTGCTTGAATGTGCAGAGTTGTTTCTCCCCTCTGGGTGTTCCCTTCCCTGCCTTTTTTTTTTTTTTTTTTGAGAGGGAGTCTCGCTCTGTTGCCAGGCGGGAGTACAGTGGGGTGATCTTGGCTCACCGCAACCTCTGCCTCCCGGGTTCAAGCGATTCTCCTGCCTCAGCTTCCCGAGTAGCTGATACTACAGGGACACGCCACCACACCCAGCTAATTTTTGTACTTTTAGTAGAGACGAGGTTTCACCATGTTCGCCAGGATGGTCTTGATCTCTTGACCTTGTGATCCACCCACCTCGGCCTTCCAAAGTGCTGGGATTACAGGTGTGAGCCACCACACCCAACCCCCTTATTTTTTATTTTTGTAACTTGTGATTCTACATTTGTCTGTGGATTTTGTATCATCTGTATCATTTGTAGATGAGATGCGAGCTCCATGAACTCAAGGAGCTCACCTGCGTTGTCTGCCGCTGTCTTCCTGGAGCCTTGGCCATCTGGTACATGGTAGGCAGGCAATAAATATTTGCTGAACGTATGAATGAATGCACAAATGATGTGGTCAGATCTGCAGGAAAAGATCTTCCCTGGCAGAAGGGTGGTAGTCGGATTGGAGGAGACAAGTGGGAGACAAGGAGAGAGGAAGGAAGGACCACTCTGATTTACTGAGTCCAGGTTGGAGGTGAGTCCCACTGTAGGGGAGATGGGCATCTAGGGGATTGAAAAGACATTTCAAAGACAGTGTGGCATGGCAGGAAGAATAGGAATGTAATGAAGCCAGAATCTCTGTGTGTGTGTGTGTGTGTGTGTGTTTGAAACGGACTCTTGCTCTGTCGCCAGGCTAAGAGTGCAGTGCCGCGATCTTGGCTCGCTGCAACCTCCGCCTCCCGGGTTCAAGCGATTCTCCTGCCTCAGCCTCCCGAATAGCTAAGACTATAGGCACTTGTCACAATGCCCAGCTAGTTTTGTACTTTTAATAGAGACAGGGTTTCACCATGTTGTCCAGGATGGTCTCGATCTCTTGACCTCGTGATCCTCCCGCCTCAGCCTCTCAAAGTGCTGAGATTACAGGCATGAGCCACCGCGCCTGGCTGAACCTCTGTGTTTTAATACCAGCTCCATCACCAGCTGTGATGCTCTGTGCCTGAGCATCCTCATCATCTTGTCACACGGCACCAACACCTTAGAGGTGTATGTATCTCAAAGGGATGTGGATTCAATGCCACATAGGTCCAGGCCTGGCCACCACAGGTGGGCTGACCGTCGATAACAGGAGTGAGAATTGTAATTCAGGTGGAATCAGTAGTCGCAGGGGCTATTTGGCTCTAACCCACCTCTTCGGCTTCTCCAAGGCAAGGGAGGCTTTCGAGGAGATGAGCTTTTGAATTCTCAGCTTTTCACAAAAATAGCCTCCACGCCGGAGCCCCTGGTTTCAGCCAGACGATTTCTTTGTTACTCAGCTGCTGGTGGGTGGGTGGGTGGGGCTGCGGCTGCTCTCTTCCTGAATGAACAGCTGTGCCCTCTCATCGCCGGCTCAGGAATAATCATAACACTGCTTCAATGCTCGGCCCAGCCTCCTTCATTCACTGCTCTCTGGCTGCCTGGCAGCTCTGGGCACATGTTCAACAGCCCATGGGAGGGGCCAAGAGAAAGGAGACTGGACGTGAAGGGAGGGGTCAGGGCCTTGGCCACAGCAGCCGGGCCTCAGCCTCCTGAGAGCTGGCCTCCGGGACCCTGCCTCATGTTCCGCATTCCCTTCCCTCACCCTGTACCCTGACACTGCCTCCTTTCTGTTCCTCCGCCACCCCAAGCTCATATACAGCCAAGGGCCTTCCAACCTCCCGAGCTTCTTCCCTCTCGATGTCTTCTCTCTAGGTCCTGACAAGCTGGGTCCCGAGGTCACCTGGAGTGCAGAAATGTCCGCCCAGCCACTCCCCCTCTGCTGGCCAATCAGCTTATAACCCATCACTCAAACAACATGGGGGCCCCCGGGAGAAGGGCCAGCCTGGGCATCCACATTCCAGCTCAAGTCCTGATGCCAGTTCTGGTTGGCCAAGCCTGGGCCAGAGGTCCTACAGACCAAGAGAGGGGAGAGGTGATTCCCCAGGTGACAACATCAAGGCAGTTCCCAGCAAACAGGATAGTAAGGGTGGCCAGGGAAAACTGCCAGCGTCCACCATGGCTCCAGCGCTTCTGCTGGGAGGGCAGGTTGGTGTGTTTGAAAAACATAGGTCCACCGGGCGCAGTGGCTCATGCCTGTAATCCCAGCACTGTGGGAGGCCAAGGTGGGCGGATTGCCTGAGGTCAGGAGTTCGAGATCAGTCTGGCCAACATGGTGAAACCCTGTCTCTACTAAAAATACAAAAAAAGTAGCCGGACGTGGTGGCGTCCTCCTGTAATCCCAGCTATTCAGGAGGCTGAAGCAGGGGAATTGCTTGAACCAGGGGTGTGGAGGTTGCAGTGAGCCAAGATCGCACCACTACACTCCAGCCTGGGCAACAGAGCAAGACTCCGTCTAAAAAAAAGAAAAAAAAGAAAAAAAAAACATAGGTCCAGAGATCAGGCTTGGGGCCTCTGCTCCAGCACTCCTCCACTTCGGAGCCGCGTGACTCAGTGGAGCCCCACGAGCTCTCTGAGCTGTTTCCTCATCCCACCGAACCCGATAGAGCTGTCAGAAGAAGCAGGCAAGGGGCTAGGCGCAGTGGCTCATGCCTGTAATTCCAGCACTTTGAGAGGCCGAGGCAGGTGGATCACCTGAGGTCAGGAGTACAAGACCAGCCTGGCCAACATGGCGAAACCTCATCTCTACTAAAAATACAAAAATTAGCCAGATGTGGTGGCACATGCCTGTAGTCTCAGCTACTCAGCAGGCTGAGGCACGGGAATTGCTTGAACCCGGGAGGCAGAGGTTGCAGTAAGCTGAGATCACACCACTGCACTCCAGCCTGGGCGACAGAGTGAGACTCCGTCTCAAAAAAAAAAAAAAAAAAGAAAGATATTATTGCTGGAGGAGAGGAAGGCAAAGAAGAAAGAAGAGACGATGTTATCCCAGCACTTTGGGAGGCCAAGGTAGGAGGATCGCTTGAGGCCAGGAGTTTGAGACTAGCCTGGGCAACATAATGAGACCCCATCTCTATAAAAATTTTTTGAAAACTTAGCCAGGCATGGTGGTGCACCCCTGTAGTCCCAGCTACTCATGAGGCTGAGGCGGGAGGATCATTTGAGCCCAGGAGTTGGAAGCTGCAGTGAACTGTGATTGAGCCACTGCATTCTAGCCTGGGTAACAAAGCAAGACCCTGTTTCAAAAAAGAAAAAATAAATAAATAAAAAGGAGGAAAGAGAGAGGAGAATTTAAAGGGGAAGGGAGGCTCCTCTGGGTAGAGTTCTCAGGTGGGGCTGTGAAATAAAATCAGAACCCTGGCTGGGCGCGGTGGCTCACGTCTGTAATCCCAGCACTTTGGGAGGCTGAGGTGGGTGGATCACGAGGTCGGGAGATCGAGACCATTCTGGCCAACATAGTGAAACCCTGTCTCTACTAAAAATACAAAAAAATTAGCTGGGTGTGGTGGTGTGTGTCTGTAGTCCCAGCTACTCAGGAGGCTGAGGCAGGAGAATCGCTTGAACCCGGGAAGCGGAGGTTGCAGCGAGCTGAGATCAAGCCACTGCCCTCCAGCCTGGGCGACACAGCAATACTCTCTAAAAAAAATAATAATAATTCAGAACATCCCCAGGTAACCACAGGCAGCATTTCTCAACAGTCTCTCCTGCAGAACCAGAAACCCAGACTGTCTGAGCCTGATTGTCCTGAGAGGTTCTGGAAGGGCAGGGGCGTGTGGTGACACTGGGTGCTCCTGGGTTCCAGTACCTCTCTAGCCAGTTGGAAGAATATAGGCAAGTCAAGTCCTTCCTCCTCCCTGAGCCTCTAATTCCTCACCGGTAAAGTAGGGATGATAAAAATAAATTATTAAATTGTTGTGAGGTTTCAATGAGGGCAAAGCTTGCTGCCTGAAACAGAGCAAGCTCTTGTGGCGTCTTAGCTATTTGTATTAGTTACTTGTATTTTTCTCTGCGGTTTCCCTTTTAACTCCCACCTCCTTTTTATTTTAAAAAGACTCCTTTTGAAAATGCCAGCCTGCCTCAGTAGTACCAGGAGACACCAGGGAAAGGCTTCCTTCTTTCCAAGCTGAGGCTGAGAAGGAATGGGAAGAACGAAGAGAAGCACCTTTGTGGAGGCCTCCTCCAGCTGGCCCTGGGTTTAGGAACATCACACACTCAACCTCCAAAGGCCCTCAGGGGCTGGCCCAAGGTCACACAGCTTGACAGTGCGGAGCACTTCGAAGCCAGGGCGTGTGGTGTAGAACAGGCTGGGTGCCTGAATTCAATCAGCCCTCTCTACTTCTCTACTCAGAGCCTCCCAGGCTGTGGGGTGTTCACCTGTGCACCTTCAAGCCGATCACTTCCTTGGGGTCCTCGTCAATTCAATTCCATGGAAATATTACAAGGGGTAGACAGAGATGAGCCGTGTCAGTGTCTGTACTAGCAGAGGGCAGGACCACTGAGCGTCCGGAGGGGAGACGAGTGTCTGGGTGTCCCTGGGAACCTGGCTTGTCTCGACCCCTCTGGGGGGCTCCTCTTGGCTCTGACCTCCATTCTCCCAGACTCACCCCCACTCATGCCCACCCACCCCGAGGGGCCCCCCAGTGTGCACTCACACACTCACACTCAAACTCACCACCCCACTTGCTCTCTAATTACCAGGAACGTGGCGCTGTCTCAGGTTCTTCCTCCCCTGCATTCCTCAGCAGCTGCCCTCACTGGGCAGGGCAAATTATACCGTGGCCCGACCATAAAAGCCACTTTCCAAAAAAAGAAGCTTTAAGGCCCCCGAGAGACGCAGCTGAGCCTCTCACCTGGCAGTGCCTGACTCAGGAGGTGATGTCTGGGCCATGAGCCACAGAGCCTGGTGTCCCTTTAAGCAGGGAGTACAAATTCTCATCCCTCCCTCCTGCTCTCCCTGACGTCAGCTGGAAGGCGTGTGAGTGAGTGAGGGGCTGAGGTACCGCCCGCGCGAGCACACACAGACACACACACACACACACACACACACACACACACACATCTTCCAGACCCATCCCCTGCCTGCCAGCTCCACGAGCCAGAGAGAGACAGAGCGCGGACGCCGCAGGAGGCAGTGCCTGGACCCCAGCTGCCCAGGAGAGGTGAGGGGCTAGATGGGGCCTGAGGACACTGTGCCAGAAACTGTGGCTTTGGCCAGGCCGAAGGAGAGAGGTACAACGTGAAGGTGGGGGCTGGATCAGCCCAGTTCAGCTTACAGATAGGGTGTTGGGGGTATAGAGGATACCACCTGTCTCTCCCTCCCTCATTCTCTCCCCGTGACCCCCAAATGAGGTGAGGCCGTGTGGCTCCCGTGGGAGCATGTCTGTGTCTGTGTCTGTGTCTGTGTCTGGGACCTGCGTCTGGCTCAGGAGGCAGAGAGCAGCAGATACCTGCCAAGCCGCAGCCTCCTGTCTGGGAAGCAGCGGGAGAGAGGACCGCCTTGACCAGAGAAACCCCAGTGCCGCTTCCAGTTGCTGAAAGCAGAGTGCAGCAGGGACCCTTGCTGGTCCTTCCCCTGGAATGTTGGGCTGGGAAGGGACCGGCTGGGAAAGGCAGACAGTTGGACCTGGAGCAGCTGTCTTATCCTGACTCTATTTTTTCCCCAGTGTGATGGGGATAATTGTGTTAGTTGGCTTAGAGAGGTGGCTCCGTGTGGTTATTCTCTTCCCCCAGGTACCACCCCACCCCGAGCCCTTGCTTCTTGCCTGCCTGCTGGTCTGCTCTGACCTCCACCCTTGCCAGGGCACAGCCCCCGGAGGGCAGGGGTGATAAGTCAGGGCCTGCCAGGCCTCTATCTTGGGATACAGGGACTTAGGGTGGCCTTGGCTGGTGCCAAGCCCATGAATGGCCTGACCCTGGCACAAGGAGTCCAGGCGGAGATAAGGGGCGACGCTGGCACCCACAAGGAGACAGCAGGTTCCTGCCAAGCTGCCAGCCTGCAGGCTCTTCCCAGGGAGAGGGGAGGGGGACACAGAGCGAGAACAATAATAAATACAGAGTGTGAACTGCTGCATCCACTGGGGCTGGGGTAGGAGAGGAGGAAGTATGCCCAGTGGGGGGTGGGCAACCTCTCTGAGAGCCTGGCATCATGCTGCCTGGCTGTGATCCGGCAGGGGCCTCTCCCTGGGAAAGGGGGTCTCCAGCTTTCTGGGGGATGGGGAACTGGTTTCCCAAACCTGACTCCATCCCAGAGTCCTCTGGACCCTCCAAATTCTGAATGTTTCCTCCTCCCAGCTTTGCCCTGCCGCCCCCCATTTCCTTGAAGTCTTCTCCAAAAATGTCTGTTTTCTGTGTCTGCCCATCTTGACCCATCCTCACCCCCTTCAAAAAAAAAAAAAAAGACAGGTATAGACAGGAACTGCCTGCCCGTGTCCTGGGAAAGGCCAGAGGACAGTTTTGGCCACAGATGGCTCTCCCAGGCTTGGAGAGACATGGCTAGGCAATGTTCACGGATGCGCAGGGGGATTCCCTGAGGGGGACTTGGGGACACTCTCAGATGGCTGGTGGGGAGGGGACACCTGCCAGCCAGTCTGGAGTAGAGCCCCCTAGGGGGTAGAGGGCGCTCAGGACCTGGCTGAGCCAGTCATGTCCACGGTCACAACTGGGGCAGCCAGGACCCAGAGCCTTGTAGGAATGGGGCTTGGGGCAGTTCAGACCTTTGTCCATGCTGAGCAGCAAAATGGGAGGCTAAAAGTAGTAGGGAGCTCTTCTGCCCCACAGCCAGCAAAATGACACTCCTGGGCTGGGGGGCTGGCATGGCACACCAGAAAGCTGTGGGGTCACACTGATTGGAGTTCAAGTTCAGATGCTGTATGTATGTATGACTTTGACCAGTCTATTCCTCTCTCTAGGGGGTCTCAAAATGGGAAAGTGACTTGCCTAGGGTCGCACAGCCAAGCACAGGTGGGACTGGGGTGCGTATTTGGCTCTCCCAGTGCCGTCCTGGTTTCCCCACCACCACCCAAGCCACAGAAGCCCAAAGGCCTTAACCACAGCAGTTCCCCAGGGCAGCCTGGGCATGTGACAAGGAGGACTACAGGGTCTCTTAAATAATTAAGCTCAAGTATTGGCTGGGGCAGCCCTCATGCACAGACGCAGGCACACAGGCTGTGTGGGGGAAGGACCAGGTTTAATCAGGTCACCTCAGGCTGCAAGAGCAGTTCAGGCACTGATGTATTTTAAGGAGCATCTGGGAGGCTGGGGGAGGGGGAGGAGCCAGGGAAGTGTCAGCTCCTGCCCGGGGGTCCTGAGTTTGTTTTCTCACTCTCCCAGGGCCCACCATGCACAAGCTCCCGATGTTCGGGAAGCCCTTCCAGCGTCATCCTTGTGTTCCCCGTCCTTTCTATTTTTAAACCACCGTACCCATTCCTCCCATCTGCTCCCCTGTGATGGGGGCTTGGGGCTGGGACATTTTTATTGGGGGAGTTGTTTTTAAGCTTAGCAGAGTTGGTGAGTGACTCACCCAAGGTCATGGTCTGAGTCAGCGCAAAGCCAGAAATAAAAGCCCCAGTCCTGGCTCCCCAGGAATTCCACACCCGACTCCTCCTTCTCCAGGGGAGGGTGGGCGCCACCCTCAAGGAATGGCTGGTCTTCACCTCCCCAGACATCTCCAGAGGGCAGATATGCTGCACCTGACCTGCTGTGAGAGCTCAGCGAGGCTCTTCACCTCTCTGAGCCTCAGTTTACTCTTTAGAAGATGGGTGTACTAAGCCAGGCGCAGTGGCTCATGCCTGTAATCCCAGCACTTTGGGAGGCTGAGGCGGGCGGATCACGAGGTCGGGAGATCGAGACCATCCTGGCTAACACGGTGAAACCCCGTCTCTACTAAAAATACAAAAAAAAAAAAAGAAAAATTAACCGAGCGTGGTGGCGGGCACCTGTATTCCCAGCTACTCGGGAGGCTGAGCCAGGAGAATGGCGGGAACCTGGGAGGCGGAGCTTGCAGTGAGCCGAGATCGCACCACTGCACTCCAGCCTGGGCGACACAGCAAGACTCCATCTCAATTAAAAAAAAAAAAAAAGAAGAAGAAGAATGGGTGTACTAATGGTAGTTACTGCATCGGGTTCTTATGAGTACGAAATGAAAAAATGGGGCAAAGGGCTTGGCACATGGTCAGTATCAATAGATCACTAGATGGTGGCTGAGGCTCACATCAGGACTTCCAATGCTGCTTTTTTAAAATTATTATTGTTTTTGAGACAGAGTCTTGCTGTGTCGCCCAGGCTGGAGTGCAGTGGCGCGATCTCGGCTCACTGCAAGCTCCGTCTCCCGGGTTCACACCATCCTCCGGCCTCAGGCCTCCCCAGTGACTGGGACTACAGGTGCCTGCCACCACGCCCAGTTAATTTTTTGTATTTTTAGCAGAGACGGGGTTTCACCGTGTTAGCCAGGATGGTCTCAATCTCCTGACCTCGTGATCCACCCGCCTTAGCCTCCCAAAGTGCTGGGATTACAGGTGTGAGCCACCACTCTTGGCCCCCAAGCTGCATTTTAATAATCTGTTTCTGTTCCCCCCGCTGGACTGGGGTGCTCTAAGGACAGCTGTTGCCCCACGTTTGTTGTTCTGGTGCCTGCACTCAGTTTGATTTCATTTACATATGTGTTTTTGAAAACCTCGGAGGAGAATTGGCCTGACCTTCATTAGTCATCTGGACCAACGATGATTCACGTAGCTGAAGAGAAAGGTGAGGTCCAGAGAGGAGCAGGTGCCTGCCCCAGGTCACACAGCACTGGGTGGCTGACCAGGCTGCCTTTCCCTAATCCGCTCAGACTGAGAGGACTCATGGTCAAGAGAAGACCATACAGTCAGGCGCGGTGGCTCACACTTGTAATCCCAGCACTTTGGGAGGCCAAGGGGGTTGATCACCTGATGTCAGGAGTTCAAGATCAGCTGGCCAACATGGTGAAACTCTGTCTCTACTAAAAATACAAAAATTAGCTGGGCATGGTGGTGAGCGTCTGTGATCCCAGCTACTCGAGAGGCTGAGGCAGGAGAATCACTTGAACCCGGGAGGCAGAGGTTTCAGTGAGCCGAGATCGCGCCACTGGACTCCAGCCTGGGAGACAGAGTGAGACTCAAAAAAAAAAGGATGGGTGCGGTGGTTTACGCCTTTAATCCCAGCACTTTGGGAGGCTGAGGCAGGTGGATCACAAGATCAGGAGTTTGAGACCAGCCTGGCCAACATGGTGAAACCCCATCTCTACTAAAAATACAAAAATTAATCGGGTGTGGTGGTGCACGCCTGTAATCCCAGCTACTCAGGAGGCTAAGGAAGGAGAATTGCTTGAACCCGGGAGGCAGATGTTGCAGTGAGCCGAGATCATGCCACTGCACTCCAGCCTGGGTGACGGAGTAAGATTCCATCTCAAAAAAAAAAAAAAAAAAAAAGAGGACTATGGCCAGGCACAGTGACTCACACTGTAATCCTAGCACTTAGGGAGACTGAGGCTGCAGTGAGCCATGATGGTGCCACTGCACTCCGGCCTGGGTGACAAAGTGATACCCTGTCTCAAAAAATTAAAAAGTAAGAGAGAACCATGACAACCATTTCCTGCCCCATTCTGCATCCTTTTAGGGGAGCTGAGAATTGGAGCAGAGTCCCAGCATGGGCTGTGGTTCATCTGCCAAGAAGGCTGAGTCACCACCCAGAGTGCCCCATGACACTGCATCCAGCCTCAGGTTATCTCCAAACAGCCTGACATTTGTGTTTACTTCTAGGCCCCTTTGTCTGCAGAGTCAGTCATTTGGGGTCTGGCCTTCTGCAGGGAAATGAAGATGAGCTTGGCTCAGAGCCCAAACTCAGGGCCGGGGGACAGGGGGATGCACACTCGCCGGGGGGCCTTTGACACAGCTCTGTGGCTCCTCCCGACAACCTGGGTAGGATGTTATGATCAGCCCCATTTGACAGATGAGGGATCTGAGGCACAAAAAGGGAGAGTTGGCCGGGCGCAGTGGCTCATGCCTGAAATCCCAGCACTTTGGGAGGCCAAGGCGGGTGGATCACCTGCAGTCAGGAGTTCGAGACCAGCCTGGCCAACATGGTGAAACCCCATCTCTGATTAAAAAAAAAAAAAAAAAAAAGGCTGGGCGCAGTGGCTCACGCCTGTAATCCCAGCACTTTGGGAAGCTGAGGTGGGCGGATCATGAGGTTGGGAGATCAAGACCATCCTGGCCAACATGGTGAAACCTTGTCTGTACTAAAATACAAAAAATTAGCTGGGCGTGGTGGCACACGCCTGTAGTCCCAGCTACTCAGGAGGCTGAGGCAGAAGAATCGCTTGAACCCCACAGGCAGAGGTTGCAGTGAGCCAAGATCACGCCACTGCACTCCAGCCTGTTCACAGAGCAAGACTCCATCTAAAAAAAAAAAAAAAAAAAAAAAAAACACACAAAAATTAGCTGGGTGTGGTGGTGGGCGTCTGTAATCCCAGCCAGCTACTTGGGAGTTTGAGGCAGGAGAATCACTTGAACCTGGGAGGCAGAGGTTGCAGTGAGCCGAGATCACGCCACTGCACTCCAGCCTGAGGGACAGAGTGAGACTCTGTCTCAAAAAAAAAAAAAAAAAGGGGGAGGGTCACCGGACTCAGTGGCTCACGCCTGTAATCCCAGCACTTTGGGAGGCCGAGGCGGGCAGATCACGAGGTCAGGAGATCGAGACCACAGTGAAACCCCGTCTCTACTAAAAATACAAAAAATTAGCCGTGCGTGGTGGCAGGCGCCTGTAATCCCAGCTACTCGGGAGGCTGAGGCAGGAGAAAGGCGTGAACCCGGGAGGCGGAGCTTGCAGTGAGCCAAGATCGCGCCACTGCACTCCAGCCTGGGCGACAGAGCGATCCTCCGTCTCAAAAAAAAAAAAAAAAAGGGAGGGTCACAAAACTGGGTTGCAGTGGAACAAGGATTTAAACTCAGGCAGTCTGGGTCTCAGGCTGCCCTCTTACCTGACTGCTCGTTCTGAAGGGCATTATTCCTGGCAGGAGATGGCCCCAGAAGGACACACGAAATCCCCCTGGAGCTGGCCTTTAGCTCTGTTTGAGTGGAAACAAATGTTCTAGAAACATATCAGTTTCTCTGCTCTTGGGGGAGTTTATTTTCCCATTTAGTTTCTCAGGGAAAGTTCTTTTGGAAAAACTCCAGCCTCATCTTGGCTGAACCAGGAACAGAATTTATATTCACAGGAAGAGCACTGGTTTACTGTTAGACAGATCTGGGACTCTGTCACCTGCTGTGTGACTTTGGGCAAGTCACTCAACCTCTCTGAGCCTCAGCTATCTCATCTGTAAAATGGAAAAATTGTAATTTCAACTCTATAGGGTAACTGGGAGGTTGAAACGTAGAAAATAATTTCTGTAAAGACTTTTGCACAGTACATGGCATTCAGCCAATGAAAGCCTCATTTTCACTTGCCCTCTTTGGCAGCAATGCTCTGGAGAGGGGGTCTGAACTGGAGGGTTGCTCCGTATCTCCATCTTCCCTTCTCTCTGGTCTCTCGGGCTGCTGGGCATTGTACAGCTCCTCCAAGCCCACGCCCTGGCAGGGCCCAGAGAGGGAAAGGCCCTGTACCAGCTCACACAGTAGGTCAATAGCAATACAGAGCCTGGACACAGGACTCCTGCCTTCCCACTGGAAGGCTCCAGATCATACTGATTCAAATTCTGGCTCAGACTTTGATTGGTGTGTGTCCTTGAGTGAGTGATTTAACCTCTTTGAGCCTCGATTTTCTTGTCTACAAAGTGGGGTAATAATAGCACCAGCCTTGAAGAGCAGTTGCAGGAATTAAATAAAACAAGAGACTGTGGAGCTTTGAGGGGTGGGCGATCCTTAGGGAAGAAGAGAGGATGAAAGTGAATGGTGGGCTTGGCCCAGCTCGGCTGGGTCTCTCCTTCCCCCACTCCCTCTTCCCTCAACACCCAATTCCACAGCCTTGTCTAGGAGGGGCAGGCTCTCGCCCAGCGCCCAGCGCCTACTCAGTGCTTCCCACATCCCACCTCAATTCTCATTTCATCCTCAAAAGAGCCCTTGGAGGAGAGAGTCTTTTTTTTCTCTCTCCCTCTCTTTTTTTTGAGACTGGGTCTTGCTCTGTCGCCCAGGCTGTAGTGCAGTAGCTTGATTACCACTCACTGCAGCCTTGACCTCCTGGGCTCAAGCAGTCCTCCCACCTTAGCCTCCTGAGTAGCTGGGACCACAGGCATGCACCACTACACCCAGCTAATTTTTTTTTTAAGACAGTGTCTAACTTTGTCCCCCAGGCTGCACTGCAGAGGCGTGATCTCCGCTCTCTGCAGCCTCGACCTCCTGGGTTCAAGCAATCCTGCTGCCTCAGATGCCCAAGTAGCTGGGACTACAGGTGCGCCACCGCCATGCCTAGCTAATTTTTGTAATTTTTATAGACACAAGCTTTCACCATGTTGCCCCAGCTGGTCTTAAGCTCCTGGGCTTAAAAGATCCTCCTGCCTTGGCCTCCCAAAGTGCTGGGATTATTGGCGTAAGCCACCTTGCCTGTTGGAGGAGGAATTCTTGTGATCCCCATTTCCCAGATAAGGAAACTGAGGCTGCAATGGGCGACAGGGGAGAAGCCTGTTCTCTCTGCCTTGTGGAAGCTGCCTGTCTCCTGCCCCTGCCTGAGCTCTTGCCCTGAGGCCAACTCGCTGCCTCCTCTTGGTCCTGTCTTTGCTGTGGCTCTTCTGCCTCCCTTCTGCTCTCTGGTCTCTCTGCCACCTGAGAGCCCATCATGGGGAGGCTGCCCTCGACCCTGGCCCAGAATCATCAGTGGGTTCTTCCCCCATCCCTGCAGCCCACTTAGCATGAGGCCCTGGAGCCGCACAGTCACTTGGGTGGGAGGTCTGGCTGGCCAGAGCAGGCCCCAGCTCAGCCGCGTCTCCCTGGTAACCACCATGAGCTGCATCTCCCCCTCTCCATCCTCCTCTTCCCTCCCTGCCCCTCCATGGCCTCCCAGCACTGGCTGTCACTGCCAAGCACAATACCAGGCCTGGGAAAACTGCAGTTGGGAGGCCAGGACCGCCCTGCTCCCTAGAGAGAGGGAGGCAGGGCCTCTGTCCCCATCGCCTGCCAACCCTCACCCAGGTGGGGCAGGTGGCACTCAAGGAGTGCACTGCAGGGCGTCTGGTGCTTCCCAGCTGTGTCATCTTGGGTAACTTTGCTGCCCCGTCTTCTTTTTTTTGGTAACAGCTTTACTGAGATATCGTTCATATACCATAAAATTCACCTGCTTAAGGCGTTCAGTTCAGTTGTTTTTAGTACATTCACAGAGTTGTGCAGCCATCACCACAGCCAATTATAGAACATTTCCATTCCCCAAAAAGAAACGTTCTACCCATTGGCAGCCCTCCCCTCTCCCTCCTTCCCAGCCCTGGTGACCACCAGTGGACTCCCTGTCTATGAGGATTTGCCTCAGAGATGGAATCATGCCCTCTGTGTTTTTGGGACTGGCTTCTTCTCTGTGACCTTGCAAACATTCTCGCATAATGTGTGCAGGGTTCATCTAGGGTGTAGCGTGAATCAGTATTTCTTCTTTTCTTTTTCTTATGGCCAAGTGCTAGTCTACCATGTGTCTAGACCATAATTTATTATCCATTCATCTGCTGATGGGCTCGGGCTGTTTTCACTTGTTGGCTGTTGTGAATGAGCACTGGTGTGACCATTCATGAACATTTATGTCCAAGTGTTTGTGTGGTTGCTTTTTTTTTTTTTTTTTTTTTTGACAGAGTCTGGGTCAGTCACCCACCCTGGAGTGCAATGGTGTGGTCTTGGCTTGCTGCAACCTCTGCCTCCCGGGTTGAAGCAATTCTCATGCCTCAGCCTTCTGAGTAGCTGGGACTACAGGTGGATGCCATCACACCCGATTAATTTTTGTATTTTTAGGAGAGACGGGGTTTCACCATGTTGGCCAGGCTGGTCTCGAACTCCTGACCTCAAGTGATCTGCCCACCTTGGCCTCCCAAAGTGCTGGGATTACAGGTGTGCGCCACCACACCCGGCTGTTTGTGTGGTTGCTTCTTGAAGCTTCCGTATTCTTCTCTCTAAAATGAGGATAATGGGTGAAAAGGCCAAACCTGGTTTGCCCTGCCAACCTGGCATGAGCTTAGACAGAAAAGCCCCACTTCAGCCTTTTCAGGGTTGAGGGTCTGTGAGGCAAGCCAAGCCCGGGGCTCCAGTGCCTTCCTGACTGGAGGGGGAGGGTTTTGGGAGGAGGGAGGATACTACTCCACCTCCACCCCTAGGCATGGCAGAGCCAGCTCAGCATCTTGGTTCAGAAAAATTCCACTTGCTGTATAATCTTGAGCAGAGGCCAGAAGACCTGCTCCAGTGGACTCCTGGACTCATCCAGGCCTGCCATGCAGGGTGTTCAGGCTTTCTGAGCTCTGGACTCCAAGGAACCTTACAGGAACCTTGTGGGTGATTTTCCTTCCCTGGGAACTCCAAGCTCTGGGGTGGGAGGGGTATAAATTGGAGGCCACAGGCCTGTAACCCCAGCATTTTGGGAGGCCGAGGGAGGTAGATCAACTGAGGTCAGGAGTTCGAGATCAGCCTGGCCAACATGGTGAAACCCCGTCTCTACTAAAAATACACAAATTAGCCAGGCGTGTTGGCAGGCACCTGTAATCCCAGCTACTTGGGAGGTTGAGGCAGGAGAATCACTTGAACCTGGGAGGCAGAAGTGACAGTGAGCCGAGATCACACCACTGTACTCCAGCCTGGGTGACAGAGTGAGACTCTGTCTCAAAAAAAAAAAAAAAAAAATTAGCTAGGTGTGAGGGTGCATGCTTGTAAATTCCAGCTACTTGGGAGGCTGAGGTGGGAGGATCGCTTCAGCCCAGGAGATGGAGGCTGCAGTGAGTCATGACCATGTCAGTGTTCCCCAGACTGGATGAGACCATGTCTCAAAAAAAAAAAAAAAAACAAAGGATCAATGCTAGCCCCATTTTACAGAACAGAAAATAAGAGTCAGAAGTTAAGAGTGTTGACCAATGCGCTGGACGAGTTGGCTCATGCCTGTAATCCCAGCACTTTGGGAGACCAAGGTGGGCAGATCACCTGAGGTCAGGAGTTCGAGACCTGCCTGGCCAACATGGTGAGACCCCATCTCTACTAAAAATACAAAAAATCAGCCAGGTGTGGTGGCAGGCGCCTGTAATCCCAGCTACTCAGGAGGCTGAGGCAGGAGAATCGCTTATACCCAGGAGGCAGAGGCTGCAGTGAGCCGAGATCGTGCCAATGCACTCCAGCCTGGGCAACAAGAGTGAGACTCTGTCTAAAACAAAAAAAAAAATTTGACCAGAGCCAAGGCTATGTAGCCAGAAGGTGGAGGATGCAGGATTCAAACCCAGGCCTGGGTGTGGAGCCCATACTCCCACCTGCCATGTTGGAGCTGATGTGTGGCTTGGCTTGCTTGAAGTCACCAAGTTGTAGGTGACAAAGCTAAGGTTTGAACCCAGATGTGTGACTCTGAAACAACTGACCCTTATGCCGAACCATATTCTAGACCATCACTGGCCACCCTACCCAGCCACCTCCCAGGCCCCTGGAGTTAAGAGAATTGAACTGCAAACTGGAAGGACTTAGGGGTCATATGACCCCTAGTTTTGTTTTTCTGGTGAGGACTCTGAACCACGATGGGGTCGTTTGTGACTTGAAGTAACGCCGTGAGGATAGCAGGTGGGACCAGCCCTCCTCACTGTGGCCAGGGTTCAGGAGCTGCTCCCCTGGACTAGGCTCACCTGTGCCTCTTTCTTCCTCTTCCAGACGGAGCCCGTGGCTGGTGAGGCCGCAGAGCAGGGCCAGGCCGGGCCCTGCCCGCAAGGACGACCAAACCCCTCACCGGCCCCTGGGCCCCAGAGCCCACCAGGCTCTCCTGCTGGCCCCACCATGACTTCAGAGTCGACGTCACCCCCAGTTGTGCCCCCGCTCCACTCCCCCAAGTCCCCAGTCTGGCCCACCTTCCCCTTCCACAGGGAGGGCAGCAGGGTCTGGGAGCGGGGTGGTGTCCCACCTCGGGACCTACCCAGCCCTCTGCCCACCAAGCGGACCAGGACCTATTCAGCGTGAGTACCTGCCCCTTGCCCAGGCCCCTGACCCTTGTCAGGACAGGGGCTGACCATCCCCATCCTCTTCCAACTCCTGTTGTCCTCACCTGGGACAGGGGAACTGTGTGTGGACCTTCCAGTAACTGGATGGATGTTTGTCCCATACATCCATTCATCCATCCACCCATCCACCCATCCATCCATCCATCCATCCATCCATCCACCCACCCACCCACCCACCCACCCACCCACCCACCCACCCACCCATCCATCCATCCATCCATCCATCCATCCATCCATCCATCCATCCACCTGTCCATCCATCCATCCATCCATCCACCCACCCATCCATCCGTCCATCCATCCGTCTGTCCGTCCATCCATCCACCCATCCATTCATCTATCCATCTATTCCACAAAGATTTACTGAGCTCCTGACCAGTCAGGATCCATAAGCTGCTTACAATCCAGAGGGAACTTGTTCACCATCCATTACCACCCAGCAGGGTTAGGGGTGAGGACCCAGCATGGGGTACCAGAGGAGATGATGTCCTGGTTGGGTATGGAAGATGTATCAGGTGAAGAAGGGAGCTGGCGATTCTGGGCAGATGGTACAGCATGGGCAAAACCCAAGACACGGAGTTAACCTTTGGAGAGGGGTAGGTAGGCGGGACAAAGACTAGGCCTGGGCCTTTGGGGTAGGTCACCGATGAGGTGGCATAGGGGAGTAATACGGGTCCATATGGGGGAGGCCAAAGGATCTTTTGGGAAGGACAGGGTCTCGCTCTGTTGCCCAGGCTGGAGTGCAGTGGTGCAGTCATGGCTCACTGCAGCCTCAACTTCCTGGCCTTCAGCAATCCTCCCACCTCAGCCTCCTGAGTAGCTGGGACGACTGGTGCGTGCCACCACCCCCAGCTCATTTTTTTAAAAAAATGTTTGGGCCAGACATGGTGGCTCATGCCTGTAATCCCAGCACTTTGGGAGGTCGAGACAGGTGGATCAGTTAAGGACAGGAGATCAAGCCAGTATGGCCAACATGGCCAAACACTGCAAAACCCTGTCTCTACTAAAAATGCCAAAACTTAGCTGGGTGTGGTGGTGGGTGCCTGTAATCCCAGCTACTCAGGAGGCTGAGGCATGAGAATTGCTTGAACCTGGGAGGTGTAGGTTGCAGTGAGCTGAGATTGCACCCCTGCACTCCAGCCTGGGTGACAGAGAAAGACCCTGTCTCAAAAAAAAAAAAAAATTTTTTTTGTAGAGATGGGAGTCTCCCTATGTTGTCCAGGCTGGTCTCAAACTCCTAGGCCCAAGTGATCCTCCCGCCTCAGCCTCCCAAAGTGCTGGGATTACAGGTGTGAGCCACCGTGCCTGGCCTCATTATCGTTGAATGGGGATGACTGTGTGGTTTCTGGCCTGGGTCAAGTTTCTCACAGCCCTGAGGCACGCTCAGCAGAAAGGGCCCAGAATGGCTGTAGGGATCCGGGGAGGAGTTCCTCAGGCCACAGCTCCAATCCCACTACCCTATCTCCAGGACAGCCCGGGCCTCAGCTGGCCCCGTGTTCAAGGGCGTCTGTAAGCAGTTCTCACGCTCACAGGGCCATGGCTTCATCACCCCCGAGAACGGGTCCGAGGACATCTTCGTACATGTGTCTGAGTGAGTCCCCTCCACCTCCCTGTTCTTGGCCCCTGCCCTAGTGTCCCCAATGGTGCCTCAAAAATGGCTCTCCAGGCCTCTCCTCTCACTGGCTGAGGTCTGTATTCATGGTGCCTTTTCTGTCCTCTGAGTAGGGGCTGAGGGTGCGTTGGGAGAGGAGGGCTGGGGCCAGGGAGGGAGTGGGCACGCAGACCCCAGAAGCCTGGGAGCCAGCGGCTGGGCCCTGGATCCTGTTACAGCATCGTGGAGGTCTGAGAGGGCTAGGCCAGCTCCTGAGCCTCTTGGCCTGGAAAGGGCCTTCATGTGGGTGGGCCAGGAGGTAGAGATGGATATCATGTCTAGGCCTGGCCCCACCCACTTCTAATGCCAGGAGGACCGGGGGAGGTCACTGAGCTTCTCAGAGCTTTAGGGACCTCCCCGTGCCCTTTCACATCTCGGTCCCCAAGGGACCCAGAAAGGGAGGTACAGTTTATGAGTCCCATTTTATTTTATTTTATTTATTTTTTGAGAGGGAGTCTCGCTCTGTCGCCCAGGCTGGAGTGCAATGGCACAATCTCGGCTCAGTGCAACCTCCACTTCCTGGGTTCAAGCGATTCTCCCACCTCAGCCTCCCAAGTAGCTGGAATTACAGGTGCCAGCCACCATGCCTGGCTAATTTTTGTACTTTTAGTAGAGCCAGGGTTTCGCCATGTTGGCCAGGTTGGTGTCAAACTCCTGACTCAGGTGATCCGCCCGCCTCAGACTCCCAAAGTGCTGGGATTACAGGCGTGAGCCACTGTGCCCAGCCATGAGTCCCGTTTTACAGATTCGAGAGCTGAGGTTCTGAGAAGCAAGGCCTGGCCAGGCCTCCTGGCCTAGGGAGGCTTAGGGCCAGGCTGCCCCCAAGGCCAGGCCACAGGATTGTCTGGGGCACAGGGCCTGCTGCTGGGCTAATACCCCTCTTCCTGCCCGCCAGCATCGAGGGGGAGTACGTGCCAGTGGAGGGCGACGAGGTGACCTACAAGATGTGCCCTATCCCTCCCAAGAACCAGAAGTTCCAGGCCGTGGAGGTGGTGCTCACTCAGCTGGCCCCCCACACTCCCCACGAGACGTGGTCTGGCCAGGTCGTGGGCTCCTAGGCTGAGTGGTTCACAGGCCAGCTGGCCGGGGGTTGGGGAGCCACACAGGGTGAACGGGCAGCAGCCGGCTCCATGCCCCACTGCCCTGGCTGATGAGTCCTTCGGTGGCCTCAGTGTGCACGTCTGTCTGTCCGTCTGTGCTTGTGGCTATGAGCGTGTGCCTCCACCCACCCCACGACCCGTGACTACTGTGCAAGCTGGCCAGGAGGTAGGTGGAGGGCAAGGCCACCAGACCTGGCTTCGCGCTGTCCACTGCCTCTCTCCTCCCCTCCCTGCCGCAGACACGCAGGACCCGCTCGCCCTCCTGCTTACCCGTCCCCACGGTGACTGAGCTGCGAGAGCCTGCGCTGGGCTCACTCCCTGGCCTCCGCCCCTGAGCTGTCCCGTGTCAGTCCCTGGCCCGGAGCCAGGCTCTCTGTGCTACTTACATCTCCCTCCCTTGGCTGAGGTCCCCCGCCACAGCCTGGACCCTTCCCTCAGAAGCCTGGCCGATGGGTGCTTTTGGGGAGCCTCTCAGCCTCTGGCAGGGGAGGAGGACTGACACGGAGGCACACAGGCCTCTCACTGCCGAGGCCAGCCTTCCTTCCTGCTCTGCTCTCTCAGTGCCATGGAGAGGCAGGAAGAGGGGCCTGAGGGCGGAAGGGGTTTGGGGCTCCCATTTCGCCGGCCAGTCCCTCCTCCTCAGCCTGGCAGTGGCGCTGGGCTCCTTCCCCTGGGCTGTACTGAGCCGAGCCCAGGGGTTTGCAGAGGGTGGGGGTCCATCTCTCCAGCTTGGCTGCAGACCTCCTTTACCCTGACTCACAAGCCCCACTGATGCTCTGGGCCATGCCCGGCTGACGGCTGCTGTGGATGCCGCGAGGGACGGACACACGTCCGGGGCACCCACGAGGAGGGCCCCCAGCCTGGGAGACTGGCCCTGCGGCCTCCACGTCAAACTCTCTTCCCAAAGCCCTAACAGACCAGTGGCCGAGGTGTGGCTCTTATTGCATCCATCCCTGAAGATGTGTGGCTGTTGCTGTCACCTGGAGTCCTTTTGGGGCCAAGATGTGTGTGCACCCGGGGTCGTGGCCATTCACTCCCAGGCAGGGGTGAGGGTGGCCTGGCCCAGGAGGCCAGGAAGGAGGGCCCTGTCTGCCTCCACCTCTGGGTGCACCCCCTGCCTA
Organism: Homo sapiens; assembly: GCF_000001405.40. Classification (NCBI taxonomy): domain Eukaryota; kingdom Metazoa; phylum Chordata; class Mammalia; order Primates; family Hominidae; genus Homo; species Homo sapiens. Next base: position 41,576,059 of record NC_000022.11, read on the forward strand.
CCACCCTCCCTTCTAGAGAGCACATCGCCTGACCGGGGAGAAGTGGGGCCGTGGTTCGAGGGAGGGCTGGCCAGGGGTGGGACCCTTATGAGACTCAGTCTGTGAGTAAAACTGGGGGCTCAAATGCCCAGGATGAGGGGATCAGTGACTGTCTAGGAGGATCCCTTGCCTTGTAGGTGCCCCAAGACCGCAGGGTAGAAATCAGCCGGGATGCCTGCATCCCACCCCCGGCCCCAGGGCCCACCACATAAAATCTGGGAGCCCAGAGCTGCTGAGGTGTGGTCAGCTCCCCTAAAATGGGCACGGCCCAGCCTGTCCCATGAGGAATAAAGGCCCCTGGCCCCCTTGAGAGAGGGCTTGTTGGTGAGGGCTGACTCCTGGGGGCCCCCAAGGCTCCCCTCCTGTGGGGAGGCCACCTTTTAAGGCACCACTAGCAGTCAGGATATGGTGGCATCAGCCCTGGGGCCTCCTGGGTGGCAGGGGGGCAGCAGCTCTCCTCCCCACTCACAGGCCCTGCAGTGCTCATTTGGAATTCCTCCCAAGACCCCTGGCCACCCAGACCCCCCATTCTTCCTAACACTGGCAATAAACCCTCAACTGTGACCCACCGTGGCCTGAAGCTGCCTCTGTGTCAGGGTCCCCAAGGAAGGGGCTGGGGGTGGACACACCAAACCAGCTCTTCTTTGGGGATTCAATGGCCCCCTCCTCGACTGCATCAGACTTCCTTTGTGACCTGGGCCAAGTCCCTGCCCTCTCTGTGCTGTTTACTTGTCGGCAAAGTAGTGGCTGTGACAGCATGTGACTGGGGCCAATTATCCATTCAGACACAGCTGACACCTACTTTGTTCTGGGAACTTTAATACTGTGACAAAGTTCTCTAAAATAGGCACCTTCCCCACCGTACCTCATCGCCCAGGGCAGGCAGGCAGGGCAGGCTAGATCTCGTACCGATACTTGAGCACGCCTCCTCCTGGTGCAGAAAGAAACCTCTTCTGTACCGAAATACAAGCAGCAGCTGTGGCCTGGGCCACCAGGTGGAGCATGGGGAACACTCTGGGCCCTGGGAGGACGAAGCCAGTGCCACTAGGAGCAGACTGGCTGGGGACGGTTGTCCACACAGACTCTGGCCCCATCTGGGTGGGCTTGCAGCAGGCGTCCTGGGCCAGAGGAGGGGCCCTGGCATCTATCCAACACCAGGACCTCTCTTTAGGCCTAGGCCAAACTCTTCAGAAGTCACGACACACAGATGTGGGCCCCGGTCACGCCTCATGAGCTGTCTCTGGGAAGAAAATCTCCCGGCATCGCTGCACCGTGTCCTGAGGAGACACCACGCTGTGGCCAACAGTCCGGGGGTCGGCAAAGATCTCAAAGTCGTTCCCACCCTGCACACAGAGGATGGGCAGAGGAGGGATATTTAGGTGGAGTCCCTCTCCACATTGGCTGCTACGGACCTGCCCCTCCTCCTGCCCCTTCAGAACTGCCAGGAAGCCCACCTTCTCACCCCTTGTCAGACCTGCCCTGACTTGCTGTGTGATGTAGAACAAGTGCCCAGCCTCTTGGGGCCCCAGCTTTCCAATCTGTGTAACGGGGCTGGTGAGCAATGGTTGTTCTCCAGGAGCCCCCTAAGAGGTCTGTTGTGTTGCCCCATGTTCTGGCCTTGACCTCAGGTGATTTGCATTGGAGAAGCCACCAGACCTGGCTTCTCACTGTCCACTGCGTTAGGGGAAACCTGGGGTGGGCCACACTCACAGGGCTAGTCTCGTTCCCAAAGAAGTGGATGGTGTCGAAGCTGTCCTGGTCCAGGCTATCCAGGCAGTAGCGCTTGTCCCAGCCCTCGGGGAAGACGTCAAAGCTGATCATGCCTCCTGTGGGCAGGGGTGGGGACTGTTATTCCCTGCTGGGAGGGGCAGACAAGGCTAACAGAAGGGCTGCTTGTTCATTCATTCATTCAACAACCCTTGAGTGCCTACTGAGGGCCAGGAATAGGACACGGGACAGACTTAGGATCCTCAAGGAAGTTATGACACAGGTTGGAGAATGAACAAGACCATGAAGTGGGTGGGGGAAGCTCATCCGGCCAGGGTGATCAGGGGAGACCTCTGAGGAGGTGGCAATGAGCTGGGACCTGAGCCGAGTGGGGATGGCTGGGGCGCAAAGTACAGCCCCTGAGGCAGGGAAGAGAACGAGCGTCCCAGCAACGGAGGAGGCCAGGAGAGGTAGGGGGAGGACGGGCAGGCCCTGGGCATCACATGGAGAGGGAGGAAGAGCCTGGGGAGGACTTTGGGCAGAGGCATGTCATGACTCCAGCTCCAGCCTCTCTGGCCACTGGGGAATGGGTGAGGTGGCAGAGGGGAGCCCAGTTGTGTCAGGGTCAGTTGGAGCCTGGGACAAGCTGCTGGCAGTGGAAGTGTGAGCACCGGTGGGATTCCAGACAGGGGGCCCTGTGACTTCTAGGAGTTTGGACTTGGGAAGGGGTGGGGGAGAGCATTCAAGGGAGAGGCTCTGGTTTTTTGGCCTGAGAAACTGGGTGGGCATGGGGCGTTTACCTCTGAGGTATGAGGTGGGGAAAACTGGGGGCCAGTAAACACTGAACCCCTTTCTGCATCGGGCTCAGCCACCCTCTCTGCCCTGAGCCGGGGAGGGGCTACTAAAGCTACTGGGGGCCACAGCCTGGTCTTGGCAGGGGCAGATGGTTTGAGGAGGGGCCCTGTACCAGGCCTCCCAGGTCCTCTGCAGGGTGGACGTACCTCGAGAGAACCTCAGCCCTTTGCCAGCAAACTCTGTTTTCAGGGCTTCCACGAACTTCTCCCGGATCTTCTCTTTCTGCAGAGGGGAGGGAGCGGATGGCAGCTCAGAGGACCTGCTGTGTGCCAGGCCCTGGCTGGGCACACAGTCCACGTGAGCGTGCTGAGCATTCTAGGTGGGTAGGACCCCCAACTGTGCAGATGCGCAAACTAAGGCTCAGAGAGGGGTTGTGCCTTGGTCAAGGTCACCTAGCCCTGGTGGCAGAGCCAGGGCCTAAATCCAGAAGGGATGGGGCTGCCAATGGGGCTGTGGGCTGGGTCTTCTGAAGGAGACCTCAGAGGAGAGACACGAGTAGGAAGGGCGAGGAGACGGGGCAATCTGGATCCCACATCAGTGTCCACCTCAGGGCAGGGCTCGATCCTGTTATCTGTAACCAGCTCAACAAAGCAAATACTCAGAAATGAGCATGGGAGCTGAGAGCAGGAGACCTGTGAGGAGGTGGCTGTGGGCATTCACAGAGGGCAGCAGGATGCCAGGCATGGCAGAGCACCCAGCATGCAAAGACGCGGCTGGGCTGGGGACTAGGTAGTGCCCAGGCCGGCCCCGTCCCTCTGAGCAGGAACTCTGGCAGCAGCTCCGCAAACGTGGAGCAGGGGGACATTCTCCCCGCCAGCCCCCAGGATCTCCATCTCAGAGGGCCACAAAGGGGAGCAGCTATGCCCAGTCTGAGGGGCAGCTGAACATCTAAACCAGCCAGCAGGACATTCAGCTGACAGAGGGTCTCGAGACCGGGCTGGGAAGTCTGACCACATCCTGGGGGACCAAGAGGCGCTGAGGATTCTGGAGCACAGGAGTGGGGTGGCTGGTATGGCCCTGTAGTCAGAGCCGGGTAGGACTGGGGCGGAAAGGCAGGCAGTGGTCAGCAGCATGGAGCTTGGAGAAGTGGCCCAGGGAGGATGTCAGATATAAAGCCAGACACCCCCTAGCCTGAGATCTGAAGGCAAGTAGCCAGGCTTGGCTACTGTACTCCTCAGCTGTGTGACCATGGGCAAGTCACCTGACCTCTCTGAGCCTATTTCCTGGACTAAAGGACAGAGAAGTAATGAATGACCCCTGCCTGCTTCCCTCTCATGGAAAAGCAGAGATAAGGGATGTGAGCCCCCTGCCAGCCTTGGCCTGGCTTTCCAGCAGGTAGGTGGGCCCCAGGGAGGCCAGAGTCCCCACCAGCGTCCACTCTGTAGGCCCAGGGCTACCACTAAGACTGCCCCAGGCTCTGAAGAAATGTTTCCACATGGCCGAGGCTGGCTGCACCTCCCTTCTCTGGAGAACAAGGCTGGTCACTAGACAGCCCCATGTGCAAGGCCAGCCTCAGCAGGGACCGGCACTGTGACCTCGAGCTGGTTACTCACCCTCTGGCCTCAGTGTCCTCATCTAAGGAAGGGAAGTACTCATCCCCGCTTCAGGGTTCTGGAAGATGAGCTGGGTTAAGCATTTATTTACACCAGCTCTGGGCCAGGGCAGGGCGCACAGATCAGGAAGGTTCATGCTCCTCCAGTGCCAGAAGGGAGCAAACAAGAGCCAAAAATACTTGAGAAGGCTCTGGGGTGGGGAGTTAGGGTGTGGCTCCCCAACTCCATGCCAGGTGGGGTCCATGTGCCACCTCATCCAGTGCTCATGACAGCCCATGGGATGGGAACTGCTATTACCCCCACCTTACACATAAGGAAACTGAGGCACACGTTAGTAAAGATGCTTTTCCAGGTTACAAGGCAAATGGGTAGAGCTGGGACTGGGAACCTGGGTGGACAGGAAGGGATAACTTCTCAGCACGTGTATTGGGGGGGAAGGGTTCTTTGCCTAAGACCAATCCTAACTACCCCAAAAAAAAAGTCCCCGTGGCCGGGCGCAGCGGCTCACATCTATAATCCCAGCACTTTGGGAGGCCAAGGTAGGCAGATCACTTGAGGCCAGGGATTTGAGACCAGCCTGAACATGGCAAAACCCTGTCCCTACTAAAAAATACAAAAATTAGGCCGGGCGCGGTGGCTCATGCCCGTAATTCCAGCACTTTGGAAGGCCAAGGAGGGCGGATCACAAGGTTAAGAGATCGAGACCATCCTAGCCAGCATGGTGAAACCCTGTCTCTACTAAAAATACAAAAATTAGCTGGGCGTGGTGGCAGGCGCTTGTAGTCCCAGCTACTTGGGAGGCTGAGGCAGGAGAATCGCTTGAACCCGGGAGGCAGAGGTTGCAGCGAGCCGAGATCTCACCACTGCACTCCAGCCTGGCGACAGAGTGAGACTCCATCTCAAAAAAAAAAAAAAAAAAAAAACCCAAAACCAAACCAAAACCAAAACCAAAACCAAAAAACTTAGCCAGGTGTGGTGGCATGGGCCTGTAATCCCAGCTACTCAGGAGGCTGAGGCAGGAGAATTGCTTGAGCCTAGGCAGCGAAGGTTGCAGTGAGCTGAGATCATGCTACTGCACTCCAGCCTGGGTGACAGAGCAAGACTCTATCAAGAAAAAAAAAAAAAGTCCCTGTGCCTGTGGGCACTGCCTCCCCTAAGCCTCAGGGCACAGGTGGGAGTCAGGAGTCACTGAGCTGAGAGGCACCCTCAGGGAGGCACCAGAGGGCCAATGGCAAAATCAAATCTTTGCTCTGCAACCAACTCCCTATGTGACCTCGGGCAGGGCCCTTCTCATCGAGCCTTGGTTTCCTCATTTATAAAATGGAGATAATACAGCTCATTTCATTCATTCAAAAGGTATTTCTTGCCGGGCACAGTGGCTCACACCTATAATCACTTTGGAAGGTTGAGGTGGGTGGATTGCCTGAGCTCAGGAGTTCGAGACCAGCCTGGGCAACACGGTGAAACCCCATCTCTACTAAAATACAAAATATTAGGCCGGGCACAGTGGCCACGCCTGTAATCCCAGCACTTTGGCAGGCTGAGGCAGGCGGATCACGAGGTCAGAAGATCGAGACCATCCTGGCCAACATGGTGAAACCCCGTCTCTACTAAAAATACAAAAAATTAGCTGGGCATTGTGGTGCATGTAATCCTAGCTACTTGGGAAGGCTGAGGCAGAAGAATCGCTTGAACCAGCGAGTCAGGGGTTCCAGTGAGCCGAGATTGTGCCACTGCACTCCAGCCTGGTGACAGAGCAAGACTCTGTCTAAAAAAAAAAAATTAGCCGGGCGTGGCAGCATGTGCCTGTAGTCCCAGATACTTGGGAGGCTGGGGCAGAAGAATTGTTTGAACCCGGGAGGTGGAGGTTGCAGTGAGCCGAGATTGTGCCACAGCACTCCAGCCTGGGTGACAGAGCGAAACTCAGTCTCCAAAAAAAAAAAAACAAAAAAGGGTATTTCTTTGCGAGGTGCGGTGGCTCACACCTACAGTCTTGGTGCTTTGGAAGGCTGAGGGAGAAGGCCCACTTGAGGCTAGGAGTTCAAAACTGGCCTGGGAGACACAGCGAGATCCCATCCCTACAAAATATTTTAAAAATTAGCCTGGCATGGTGTAATGCACCTGTGGTCCCAGCTACTCAGGAGGCTGAGGTGTGAGGATCGCTTGAGCCTGAGAGATCGAGGCTGCAGTGAGCTAGGACTGGATCACTGCACTGCACTCCAGACTGGGCAACAGAGTAAGACCCTGTCTCAAAAACAATAACAACAAAAAGTATGCCATGTGCCAAGCATAGGGGATCCAGAGGAGAACAAGCCGCAGAAATCCCTCATGGAGCTTACAGTTCTGGGACAGGGACAGACAGTAATTCGGATTTTAAAAGTAGATGATGAAAGTTGTCCAAGGCTACTTGGGGAGAAATAAGGTAGGGGAAGGAGGAGGAAGTGCAGCAGTGGATGTGATACTCTCGGAGGCCCCACTGGGAAAAGGATGTGAAAGGGGATTTGAAGGAGGGGAGGGACGAGCTGGGCCTGAGAGAAGTGTGCTCTGACAGAGGCACAGCACTCTAGAATCAGCCAAGAGGCCATAGCTGGAGCAGAGGGCAGGGAGAGCCACCGAACAGGTCAGAGAGAATGACAGAATGACGTGGACGGGCCAGCATGGAAAGGTCTGGATGGGTGGATTGCTCCATCCCCGAGAGGGAGGGAGGCGGTGGGGAGAAAAGCAAAATGCACATCAAGGTTTAGCAGGGGCAGTACAGGCAGAGGTGAGAGGACCTTGGTGTGTTCCAGGAATAGAAAGTGGAACTTGAAGGGCATAGAAAGGAGACGCGGAGAGCCAGAGCCAGACAGAGCCCTCAGGGCTTGAGGCACCATAGCAGGGGGCTAGGACATCATCCAGTTGGCAACGAGGAGCCAAGGAAGGATTGTAAATGAGGGGGTGGGGCTGGGGGGTGAATGCGGCTGACATGTTTGAAAGGTTCTAATGGGCTGTGCGTGGTGGCTCATGCCTGTAATCCCAGAACTTTGGGAGGCCGAGGCAGGCGGATCACCTTAGGTCAGGAGTTCGAGACCAGCCTGGCCAACGTGGTGAAACCCTGCCTCTACTAAAAAAGTACAAAAATTAGCTGGGTGTAGTGGTGCATGCCTGTAATTCCAGCTACTTGGGAGGCTGAGGCAGGAGAATCGCTTGAACACGGGAGGTGGGAGTTGCAGTGAGCTGAGATCATGCCACTGCACTCCAGCCTCTATCTATTTTTTTGGAGACTCTATCTCCAAAAAGAAAAAGAAAGAAAGGTTCTCAGTGGCATTGCTGGAGAGCAGGCTGGCAGGGCTATGCAAGGGGTAGGGAGGGACAGAGAGGAAAGTTGGGGCAGCCTGGGGCTGGGGAAAGGGGTAATCTAGAAAGTGGGGTCTCAGTTCTGCAGATGAACAGATTTGACACTGACTCGAGAGGCTGATGAAATAAGAGTTGTTGGACCCGATGTGGGTGGGAAGGTGGAAATGATGTTCCCAGGTGTTGGCCTGGCTCAGTGGGTGGCTGCCTGGTGCTGGTCACCTAGGAAGGGGGACCAGCAGCATTGTAAAGATGCAGGTGTGTCTACAACAATGGCACACAGTAGGTGCCTGAAAGGGTATCAGTTAAATCAGAACACATCCCCCAGTCTATTTTACTGATGAGAAAATAAAGGCTCAGATAAATTGAGTGACTGAGGCCCTACAGGCCTAAGATTGCATAGCTAGTGGTACCTTGTCCAGTTCGGAGAACTCGATCCTCTCCTCCAGGGTGCAGCTCCGGCCGATGGGCGAGATGTTCAGCATGCCATTCCGGAACTCGATGAAGGTTCCACTGGTGGTGAGGGAGGGCGGGGAGCCAGAGAGAACCAGAACGGCCCTGAATTCAAATCTAGCCCCACCTGGGACCCCAGCCTCCTAGGACTTCAAAGGGGACAAGAATCCACACTCCCCGCAAAAAATCAGGGGCCCAAGTATCTCCAGGTTCCCTCTGAGGGACCCACACTTCTCCTCCCTCAGGCCCCAGGTTCTGGAGACCAGGCTGGTGGGACCTCACCGCTTCTTGGGCAGCCTGAGCAGGGCCATGTAGCTGAGGCAGAAGTTGATCAAGTCCTGCAGCAGCTCCTCCCCCAGGTGGTTCTGGATGGTCTGGCCAAGGAACACAGGGCTCTGAGCGTGGCCTGGGCTGCCTGACCCTGAGACAGGCACAGTGTCTCTCCCCCAGCCCAGGACAGAAGCCCCCTTGGACTGCTCCACTATGGAAAAGTGGGGTGCCCCTGGCTAAGCCCTGGGGGACACTGACCTGCTTGGAGAGCAGTCGTCCGTGCTTATACTGCACCGTCCCGTTCTCGGCAAACACATAATCAAACTTCTCAATGACTTCAGGGTCACATAGAGGACAGGAGGAAGAAAGAGTGTGAGACCACGTCTGTGACCCCACGGGCAAGTAAAGAGAGAGGAAGCCTACACCCTTGGTTTCACATTCAAAGGCCATTTGTTCAATCTGAGGCTACAACCTGCTTCTCCAGCCTTTCTCCCTCTGCAGCTTGGTTTTCTTCCAAAGAAGCCAGTCACACCTGTGGGCCTCTGCACACAGGCATCCATGCAGGTCCTTCTGTCAGAACCGCCCTTCCCTGGCTTCCCTGCCACTCATCCTCCAAGATTCAGCTTCCTCCTCTGGAAGCCATGCAGTACTCTCTGGCAGAGGGCATCATTTCCACTCTGTGCTCCCCTGCCCCTCTGCAGAGGGGCTCCCTTCTGTTCTATAGCTGCCATCGCACTGGGTTCTCAAGGCTGGCTGCATGGGAGAGTTGGAGGTTTCAGCTCTGACTGCCAGGCGAAGCAGTTGGAGTGGGTGGGAGGTGGGAGGCACAGGGAGCACAGCCCAGAGGCTGTTGCGGGGTCTGGGTGGCACGTGGTTACCTGGACTATGATGGCGTGGTGGAGATGGAGACAGAGGGGACAGGGAGATATTTTGGGGTTTGCTGATGGAATAAACAAGAGGTGGGGAAAAGGAAAAATTCGAGGAAGTTTCTGGCTTGAGGAACTGGAGGCACCCACTTTGACTGGGCTGAGACCAGGGGCTCTGAGGTCCAGTCGATTTCCTGGATAACTTCAGAGTCATCCTCTGTTAAATGGGATGATCACGCCTACTCTAAAGTGTGATTGTGGGGATCAAATGCAATGACATTAACACATGATCATTTTTGACAAATGGTAGCCATCATTGGTTCTGCCCTTTTATTTATTTATTTATTTATTTATTTATTTATTTATTTATTTTTGGATGTGTAGCCTCACTCTGTCACCCAGGCTGGAGTGCAGTGGCCTGATCTTGGCTCACTGCAACCTCCGCCTCCCAGGTTCAAGCGATTCTCCTGCCTCAGCCTCCCGAGTAGCTGGGATTACAGGCACGTGCCAACACACCCAGCTAATTTTTTGTATTTTTAGTAGAGACGGGGTTTCACCATGTTGGCCAGGCTGGTCTTGAACTCCTCATCTCAAGTGATCCATCCGCCTCGGCCTCCCAAAGTGCTGGGATTACAGGCGTAAGCCACTGTGCCGGCTGGTTCAGCCCATTTTAAAGATGAGGAAATCAAGACTCAGCAGGGAGAAATGAGAATGTAAACTGCATAAGGGCAGGTTCTGCTTGCTTTGCCCCAGCCATTTCTCAAGGGCCTGGCACAATCCCTGGCAATAGGAAGTGCTCAAGTGTTTGTCAAATCAGTAAGGGAACTATCTGGCTGCTCTCTCTCTATTTCTTCTGCCCCACAGAAGCAGGACTGGATCTTTGAAGACGCCCAGGAATCTCTCAAACTCCCCACTCCCTCTACCCCCAGCCTCACTCCTACCTTCATCCCCGTCACCCAGCTGCTCAGCGATCTTACAGTAGTCAGAGCCGCCCACCACACCGATCTGCACTCTACTTCGTAGCTTCTGCAGGAAGGCGGCCACCTCAGGGTCAATTTTCTATGGGGGGAGAGGGGAAGCATAGCATTCTGGCTTTCAACATGTCTGGGACCTCCACTTAGCCCTCACTTAGTGCTGAGAACCCAGGAAGCCCACATTCTACCTGGATCTGAAGCAGTACAAAGCTTAGACACCAAAAATTAGACAGGTTGGACACTGTGGCTCAGGTCTGCAATCCCAACACTTTGCGAGGCCAAGGCAGAAAGATCACTTGACCCAGGAGTTTGAGACTAGAGCCTAGGCAGCAAAGGAAGACATTGTCTCTATGAAAAAAAAAATTTTTTTGGAGACGAATTTTTGTTCTGTCATCCAGGCTGGAGTGCAGTGGTGTGATTCTGGCTCACTGAAACCTCTGCCCAGGCTGGAGTGCGATGGCGTGATCTCAGCTCACTGCAACCTCTGCCTCCCGGGTTCAAGCGATTCTTCTGCCTCAGCCTCCCGAGTAGCTGGGATTACAGGCGCCTGCCACCATGCCCAGCTAAGTTTTAAATTTTTAGTAGAGACAGGGTTTCGCCATGTTGGCCAGGCTGGTCTTGAACTCCTGACTTCAGGTGATCCATCCGCCTGGGCCTCCCAAAGTGCTGGGATTATAGGCGTGAGCCACCGTGCCTGGCCGAAAGTTTTTAAAAATTAGCCAGGCATGGGCTGGCACGGTGGTTCACACCAGTAATCCCAGCACTTTGGGAGGCCCAGGAGGGTGGATCACTTGATGTCAGGAGTTCGAGACCAGCCTGGCCAACATGGTGAAACTCTGTTTCTACTAAAAATTAAAAAAAAAAAAAAAAAAAAATTGGCCATGCGCGGTGGCTCACGCCTGTAATCCCAGCACTTTGGGAGGCCGAGGCGGGTGGATCACAAGGTCAGGGGATTGAGACCATCCTGGCTAACATGGTGAAACCCTGTCTCTACTAAAAAATACAAAAAAATTAGCCGGGCGTGGTGGCACGCGCCTGTAGTCCCAGCTACTCGGGAGGGCTGAGGCAGGAGAATGGCGTGAACTTGGGAGGCAGAGCTTGCAGTGAGCTGAGATCACGCCACTGCACTCCAGCCTGGGCGACAGAGCGAGACTCCGTCTCAAAAAAAAAAAGAAAAAAAAATTAGCTGGGCGTGGTGGCAAGCGCCTGTAATCCCAGCTACTCAGGAGGCTGAGGCAGGAGAATCCCTTGAACCCGGGAGGTGGAGGTTGCAGTGAACCGAGATCATGCCATCGCACTCCAGCCTGGGGGACAAGAATGAGATTTCATCTCCAAAAAAAAAAAAAAAAAAAGATATTAGCCAGGCATGGTGGCACTTGCCTGTAGTCCCAGCTACCAGCTACTCCAGAAGCTGAGGCGGGAGAATCACTTGAGCCCAGGAGTTCGAGGCTGCAGTGAGCTGTGATAGCGCCACTGCACTCCAGACTGAGTGACAGAGTGAGACCCCGGTCTCTAACAACAACAACAACAAAATAGCATCACAATCAAGTTGATTTTTGAGGAGCCAAAGAACAATAACAAAAATAGCCTCACAAAACAATGCTTAATATTTGCTCTGGGCAAATAGATCCAGATAAAGGCCTGGAGGGAAGCCACACCACAGTAACCACATTAACTTGGGGAGCCGGCCAGGCTCCCCAAGTGCGGTCAGAGTGGACTTTACCCTTCTCTGTTACGTTTCCATTCTTTACCAGGAGAGTGTGCTCATGAAAATGTGTACGATTAAAAATTAACTTTCAAAAGGCACTAAGCACAGAGGCTGGCCCGTAGACAAATTAATAGGCTGTTCTTATTCAGGTTGTTATGTTTGTGGAGCAAAAGGTCAGAGGGAGGAGTCAGAACTGTGCCTAGGCCCTGCCACTTTTGTTCCAGTTCTTTTATTCATTTATTTGTTTGTTTGAGACGGAGTTTCACTCTTGTTGCCCAGGCTGGAGTGCAATGGCACAATCTTGGCTCACTGCAACCTCCACCTCCTGGGTTCAATCGATTCTCCTGCCTCTGCCTCCCCAGTAGCTGGGACTACAGGCACACGACACCACGCCCATCTACTTTTTGTTTTGTTTTGTTTTGAGACTGAGTCTCCCTCTGTCGCCCAGGCTGTAGTGCAATGGCACATTCTCGGCTCACTGCAACTTCTGCCTCTCGGGTTCAAGTGATTCTCCTGCCTCAGCCTCCCGACTAGCTAGGATTACAGGTGCATGCCACCACGCCTGGCTAATTTTTTGTATTTTTAGTAGAGATAGGGTTTCACGATATTGGTCAGGCTGGTCTTAAACTCCTGACATCGTGATCTGTCTGCCTCGGCCTCCCAAAGTGCTGGGATTACAGGCGTGAGCCACTGAACCCAGCCTAATTTTTGTATTTTTAGTAGAGACGGGGTTTCACCATGTTAGCCAGACTGATCTAGAATTCCTGACCTCAGGTGATCTGCCCACCATGGCCTCCCAAAGTGCTGGGATTACAGGCGTGACCCACAAGCAAATGGCCCACCTTTGCTCCAGTCCTGCTATCTTCCTCCCGGATCCACCCCTGCAGGAAGGCCTCCAGGGCCCAAGCCAGGGCAACTTCACCACAGAGGATGGGGAGGGGCATTCGGGACCTAAGAGAGGAGGCTAAGACCTGGGTTCCCATCAGCCACTGCCCAGTAAAGCCCATCCCACTGCTCCCCCACGCTAGGAGACCTGTTGGTTGGTCCTTGAGGCCCCCAGACTGGAGGGTGGGTTACCCACAGGGAGGGCATGAATGAAGCCTGCTTACTGATGCATCCAGCTGGTGAGGGGGCTTTTGGGGACTCACTCACAATGAGACCCAATGGGAGAAAAACTGAGCAGAGGTAAGAGGCTCAACACAGCGAGAGTCTTTAGAAGAAAACTAGACTCTTACCCTCACTATTCCTCAGTGTCCTCACAGCAAACAGGCTAGGCCTGGAGCCTCTCACATCCGGGTGGGTAGAGCTCATAAACGAATTTGAAAAGAAGCCCTCTCTGCTCCACGACTGGGGGTGGAAGGTAAAGTGGGTGATGGGGCTTCAGAAACTAGACCCAGTCCCAGGCCTGCAAAGGTCGGGGTGGGAAGACTCCGAGACGCCCTGTCTCCCACCAGATGATGACTGACGCTTGGCTGTGTGCTTGTGTGCCTGGAACCCCGGTTCAGAAGCCAGCTCCGACCACTGGTGTGTCGTAGGGCTGAACTAGGGTGGGATCCCCAGCTCAGGAGGCGGGGGCGTCCGTGAGCCAGGCCTTAGCGGCGTGTGACAGCCTCCGGGGAGGGAGGGAGCTAGGCCCCTGCTCGCAGCCTCCTCCCTCCAGTACTGGATCCAACCCCAGCACTCCCAAGCAGAACACAGGCAAGGACGCTGCGGGGTCAGTGACGTGAGGGCCAGGTCCCCTCACTCCCGGTGGGTGGCCCCGGATGTCAGGGGGCCGGGTACCGCCGCATCCCACACTCGGTCCCCGGGTGTCCACGGTCACGCTGCTGCAGACCCCACACTCAGCCTCGGGGGTGTCCGCGTGACACTCCCGGTGGGAGCTTCCAATCTTCAGGGTCCTACCTGGCGAGCCGGCGTGAGGGTCCCGTCCACGTCAAACAGGCAGAGGACGCGCTCCTTCCTGCGGGCTGCCTGGGCGGTGACTGCCATGGCTGCAGGTCCGCGCGCGGGGCGGAGTCCCGAAGATGCAACGGCAGAAGCAGCTCAGGGATAAGTGCTGACGGGGCGGGGCATTAGGGGGCGGGGGCCAGTGGACTGCCTGATTGGCCAAATGAAGAAGGGGCGTGGTCTAGGCGGGCGGAAGCGGGGGCGGGGCCTGAGCTGATTCTCATTGCTCGTGGAGGAGGGGAGCGCGGCATAGGGCGGAGCGGAGCCCTCCAGGTTCGATTGGATTGCTCCAAACAAGGCGGAGGAGGGGCCTGAGCCTGGGACCCGCAGGAAGTGAGAGGGTGAACCCGGAAGACAGGGGCGGGGCCAGAATTGGCGGGTTGATAGTGATTGCAACAGGCCGATTAAGGGGCTGGGTCGGGCGGGGCCTCTACCATGCAGTGCAGTGTCTAGTGGGCCAGGCGGGACTAAGAGAGCCGAGGTCGCTCCCCATCCACTCTCACAAGGTTTGTGGCCATCTCTTTGCCTTACAAATTTTGAGCTGTAGGAAATCTCCTGAGCCGGGCGCGGTGGTTCACGCCTGTAATCCCAGCAGTTTGGGACGTCGAGGCGGGCGGATCACCGGAGGTCGGGAGTTCGAGACCAGCCTGACCAACATGGAGAAACCTCGTCTCTACTAAAAATACAAAATTAGCCAGGCGTGGTGGCGCATGCCTGTAATCTCAGCTACTCAGGAGGCTGAGGCAGGAGAATCGCTTGATTCCAAAGAAGCCAGAGGTTGCGGTGAGCCGAGATCGCGCCATTGCACTCCAGCCTCAAAAAAAAAAAAAAAAAAAAAAAAGGAAAGAAAAGAAAAGAAAAGAAATCTCCTGAAGGCCTTTGTTCAGGCTTTGGACTTTGCCAAATTGCCTTCCCCGAGCCTTATTCCTTCTGTCCACACATAAGACCCAGCTCTCAGGGTCTACCTGCTTGGAGACCTTCCCAGATTCTTCTTTTTTTTTTTTTTTTTTGAGACAGAGTCTCGCTCTGCCCAGGCTGGAGTGCAGTGGCGGGATCTCTGCCCACTGCAACCTCCACCTCCCAGGTTCAAGCGGTTCTCATGCCTCAGCCTCCCGAGTAGCTGGGACTGCAGGCGTGTGCCACCATGCCCACCTAATTTTTGTATTTTTACTTACTTTTATGTTTATTTTATTTTATTTTTGACACAGGGCGATTTATTTATTTATTTATTTATTTTTTGAGACTGGGTCTCACTCTGTTACTCAGGTTGGAGTGCAGTGGCATGATCTCGGCTCACTGCAACCTCCGCCTCCCAGGTTCAAGTGATTCTCCTGCCTCAGCCTCCTGAGTAGCTGAAACTACAGAAGTGCGCCACCACGCCCGGCTAATTTTTTTTTTTTTTCTGAGACGGAGTTTTGCTCTTGTTGCCCAGGCTGGAGTGCAATGGCACGATTTCAGCTCACCACAACCTCTGCCTCCCGAGTAGCTGGGATTATTTTGTACCCACTACCACGCTCGGCTAATTTTTTATTTTTAGTAGTAATTTTGTATTTTCACCATGTTAGCCAGGCTGGTCTCGAACTCCTGGCCTCAGGTGATCTGCCTGCCTCAGCCTCCCAAAGTGCTGGGAATACAGGCATGAGCCACCGTTCCCAGCCAACCTTCCCAGATTCGATTCACAATTATTTAACCATTGCGTTGACTTTGGAGTCACTTCCAGGTTGCCTTCCCAGCTCCACCACTATGGGACCTTGGACAAGTCACTTCACCTCTCAGAGGCTTTGTGTCTTCACCTATAAAATGGGATGAACACCACCTGCTTTGTAGGTTTGCTTTTCACATGAAAATAAGTAACAGGCTGGGCGCGGTGGCTCACGCCTGTAATCCCAACACTTTGGGAGGCCGGGATGGGCAGATCACCTGAGGTCATGAGTTTGAGACCAGCCTGGCCAACATGGGGAAAGTCCGTCTCTACTAAAAATACAAAAATTAGCCGGGCATGGTGGCAGGAGCCTGTAATCCCAGCTACTTGGGAGGCTGAGGCGGAAGAATCACTTGAACCTGGAAGGCGGTGGTTGCAGTGAGCCGAGATGATGCCACTGCGCTCCAGCCTGGGAGACAGAGGGAGACTACACCTCAAACAAACAAACTAACTAACTAACTAACTAACTAAATAAATAAAAAATAACTGTAGAGCTGGATGCGGTGGCTCACACCTGTAATTCCAGCACTTTGGGAGGCCAAGGTGGGTGGATTGTTTGAACCCAGGAGGTCAAGATCAGCCTGGGCAACATGGCAAAATGCTGTCTCTACTAAAAATACAAAACATTAGCCAGGCATGGTGGCAGGCACCTGTGGTCCCTCAGGAGGCTAAAGTAGGAGAATCACCAGGAAGCTGAGGCTGCAACGAACCAGATCTTCCCACTGCACTCCAGCCTGGGTAACAGTAGTGAGACCCTGTCTCAAGAAAAAAAAAAAAAAAGATGCAGATCATATGAGTCAGCAATTCAACTTTTAGAAAATAGGAAAAGAGGCTGAGCGCGGTAGCTCACGCCTGTAATCCCAGCACTTTGGGAGGCCAAGGCAGGCAGACCACAAGGTCAAGAGATCGAGACCATCCTGGCTAACGTGGTGAAACCCCGTCTCTACTAAAAATACAAAAAATTAGCCAGGCGTAGTGGCGGCACCTGTAGTCCCAGCGACTCGGGAGGCTGAGGCAGGAGAATCCCTTGAACCCGGGAGGCGGAGCTTGCAGTGAGCCGAGATCACACCACTGCACTCCAGCCTGGGCCATAGAGCGAGACTCTGACTCGGAAAAAAAAAAAAAAAGGCCAAGCGCGGTGGTTCACACCTGTAATCCAGCACTTTGGAAGGCTGAGGTGGGCGGATCACGAGGTCAGGAGATCGAGACCATCCTGGCTAACACGGTGAAACCCCATCTCTACTAACAATACAAAAAATTAGCTGGGCGTGGTGGCGGGTGCCTATAGTCCCAGTTACTTGGGAGGCTGAGGCAGGAGAATGGTGTGAACCTGGGAGGCGGAGCTTGCAGTGAACCGAGATCACGCCACTGCACTCCAGCCTGGGCAACAGAGCAGACTCCGTCTCAAAAAAAAAAGAAAGAAAAGAAAATAGAAAAAAGGAAAAATATATGGAATTGTTTAAATGAACTAAGACCCATCTAGAAGATGAAATGCTACGAAGCCATGAAAATCTGCATTGTGTTTGTGTGCGTGTGCACGTGTGTGTGTAGAATAGGGTCTCACTATTTTGTCCAGGCTGCTCTCAAACTCCTGGCCTCAAATGGTCCTCACGACTCAGCCTCCCAAAGTGTTGGGATTACAGGCGTGACCAAAGTGTTGGGATTACAGGCCTGACCCACCGCACCAGATCCCCAGGCACAATTCTTGTTTTTCTGACTGGGTAGCTATGGTGTCCTGGAGAGATCATTGGAGTTGGAATCAGGAGAACTGCAGTTTGGTCCTGGCTAACTACAAGGACTTGGACAGGTCACCTTTCCTCACTGGGCTTCAGTTTCTTTATATGTAATGAGGATATAAACCCCACGTGATAGAACTATGAAAGGTGATGAGAGGTGACAGCGTACTAGCAGCCCTCGCTCACTCTTGGTGCCTCCTCAGCCTCGGCGCCCATTCTGGCCGTGCTTGAGGAGCCCTTCAGCCCGCCGCTGCACTGTGGGAGCCCTTCTCTGGGCTGGCCGAGGCCGGCGCCGGCTCCCTCGGCTTGCGGGGAGGTGTGGAGGGAGAGGCACGGGCGGGAACCGGGGCTGCAAGCGGCGCTTGCGGGCCAGCTAGAGTTCTGGGTGGGCGTGGGCTTGGCGGGCCCCGCACTCAGAGCGGCAGGCCGTGCCGGCCCGAGCAGTGAAGGGCTTAGCAGCCGGGCCAGCAGCTGTGGAGGGTGCGCCGGGTCCCCCAGCAGTGCCGGCCCACCGGCGCTGCGCTCGATTTCTCACAGGGCCTTAGCTGCCTCCCCGCTGGGCAGGGATCGGACCTGCAGCCCGCCATGCCTGAGCCTACCCTCTGCCGTGGGCTCCTGCGCAGACAGAGCCTCCCCGGCGAGCGCCGCCCCCTGCTCCATGGCGCCCAGTCCCATCGACCACCCAAGGGTTGAGGAGTACGGGCGCACGGCGCGGGACTGGCAGGCAGCTCCACCTGCAGCCCCGGTACAAGATGCACTGGGTGAAGCCAACTGGGCTCCTGAGTCTGGTGGGGACTTGGAGAACCTTTATGTCTAGCTAAGGGATTGTAAATACACCAATCGGCACTCTGTATCTAGCTCAAGGTTTGTAAACACACCAATCAGCAGCCTGTCTAGCTCAGGGTTTGTGAATGCACCAGTCGACACTCTGTGTCTAGCTACTCTGGTGGGGACTTGGAGAACCTTTGTGTCCACACTCTGTAACTAGCTAATCTAGTTGGGACGTGGAGAACTTTTGTGTCTAGCTCAGGGATTGTAAAGGCACCAATCAGCACCCTGTCAAAACGGACCAATCAGCTCTCTGTAAAACAGACCAATTGGCTCTCTGTAAAATGGACCAATCAGCAGGATGTGGGTGGGGGGGTGGGGGAGGCGGTGGGGGGGTGGGGGAGGCGGTGGGGGGGTGGGGGTGGGGGCGGGGGTGGTGGCGGGGGTGGGGGGGGCGGTGGGGGCGGGGGGTGGCGGGGGTGGGGGTGGGGGGCCAGATAAGAGAATAAAAGCAGGCTGCCAGGAGCCAGCAGTAGCAACCCTCTGGGGTCCCCTTCCGCAACGTGGAAGGTTTGTTCTTTCGCTCTTTGGGTCCACACTGCCTTTATAAACTGCAACACTCACTGCGAAGGTCTGCAGCTTCACTCCTGAAGCCAGTGAGACCACGAACACAACCAGCAGGAACGAATAACTCCAGACTGGCAGCCTTAAGAGCTGTAACACTCACCGCGAAGGTCTGCAGCTTCACTCCTGATCCAGCGCGACCACGAAGCCACCGGAAGGAAGAAACTCCGAACACATCCGAACGTCAGAAGGAACAAACTCCGGACACGCCACCTTTAAGAACTGTAACACGGCCGGCGCGGTGGCTCACGCCTGTAATCCCAGCACTTTGGGAGGCCGAGGCGGTGGATCACGAGGTCAGGAGTCCGAGACCAGCCTGACCAACATGGTGAAACCCCGTCTCTACTAAAAATACAAAAATGAGCCGGGCGTGGTGGCGCATGCCTGTAATCCCAGCTACTCAGGTGACTGAGGCAGGAGCATCGCATGAACCCAGAGGTTGCAGTGAGCCGAGATCGCACCACGGCCCTCCAGCCTGGGTGACAGAGCAAGACTCTGTGTCAAAAAAACCAAAACAAAACAAAACAAAAAAACCAAACTGATGCTTATTCCTTTACTATGGGCTGACCACCACACAGGACACTTGACCAGGTATCTTCATTTTCCTGTTCCATGACTGAAGAATTCCTAGAAACAGATGAAGTGCGAATTCCTGGGCCCTACCCGTAGTGCTTGGATCCAGAACATCTGGAAGGTGGCCCACTGGGCAGGAGGGGTGTTTGTCTCCTATGGACTGGATCTACTTTTCTAAAAACAGAGATAAGCACCCTTGGCCCCTTAACAAATGGGCTGCTGCTTACAAATCCCTTTCCTACAGTCTCTCCGTAAATTCTCATAACAACCCTTTCCACATGATGAGGCCACTGAAACCCAGAGAGGGAGAGTTATTTGCCCTGAGGTACAGACCCAGGAGGACCAGGTAGGGGGGTACCTGTGGCCACCACTATGTCCCTTTAAGAGGAAGGCTTATCCCTGGCAACTGGTGCTCAGATGGGGACCAGGGGAGGCCTTGGGGAGAAAAGAGCAGGACTGGTGGGAGGGAAGACTGGACAGAAAGGTGACTTGGAGGGACCCAGAAGCAGCCAGGACTGAAAGTGGAGGGCCTGAGACCTGAGCCTGGCAGGATTCTGCTATGAAGGGAAGACCCTGGGCTCTTCTGGGCCAGACGTGTGGCTGAAGTTTGGAGGTTAGTGACTTTCATGTTTGGTTTGGGTATTTCACTTATTTTTCCCAACACATCTCTGAAGACAGTACCCTTATACTCAATTTCCAGAGGTAGGTACTGACATCAGAGAGGTGCAACGGCTTTTCTAGGGTCACACAGCACAGTCGAGATTCCTCCTCAATCCCGTCTTGCCAAAACCCAGGCTTTTCCCTGGCTCCTGGCTATTGGTAGGAGGCCATGTGTCAGTATGTCCAAGTACCGGGGCTGTCAATGCTCTTTTTCTGTACCTGGTATGTGACTTGTTGTGTATGGGTGGTCCAGGCCCAAGGGGCAGCCTCTGTGTAGTGGGGTTTACAGGCAGGCTGACAATTCCTGGAGTTCTCCTCCCACTAGTGACTTTGGGCAGGTCCGTCCCACTCTGTGAGGTGGTTGTTCATTTACAAATGGGGTCAACACCCTCCTAAAGGCTGTGTAGTTAAGAAGCCTAGGGGCAGCAGGGGAGGTGTGCTGTGTGCTGAGGTTGGGGGAGACTGTGGAATTCTTTTTTTTTTTTAGATCTGTTGCCCAGGCTGGAGTGCAGTGGCACCATCTCACAATCTTGGCTCAATCCAACCTCTCCCTCGTGGGTTCAAGTGATTCTCCTGCCTCAGCCTCCCAAGTAGCTGGGATTACAGGTGCATACCACCACACCCAGCTGATTTTTGTATTTTTAGTAGAGATGGGGTTTCACCATGTTGGCCAGGCTGGTCTTGAACTCTTGACCTCAGGTGATCCACCTGCCTCGGCCTCCCAAAGTGCTGGGATTACAGGCGTGAGCCACCTCGCCTAGCCTGTTTTTTTGTTTTGTTTTGTTTTTTAACTTTCAAAATGCCTGCAGTGCTTACATTGTCTTCATAATAAGCAAGTCCATTGAGTCTAAACAAGCTGAAGGGCGCATGCTCAGATGGCTTTGTAGGAGGAGGTGGAGGCTGTTGCTGGGTTGGCTCAGGCCCTCTGGGGCTCTCTCAGACAAAGTCAATGGGGACAGATATGGCCCAGGCCACAACACTGTTCCACCTGGGGGTGTGGAACAGGAGCGGCAGCCTGACAGCTGGGGTCAGTGGGCTCTGCAGGTCAGAGCTCAGCCCAGAACTGTGAGAACTTGGGCAAGTCTCTCTCCTGACCTTGCAAGCCAGGGGTGGGGAGCGGAGTCATACTGGGAGGGACTTAGAAAGGATCCAAGGCCTTTGTCATGGTCTCAAAATCTGGGGCTCACCCCATGCCAGGCCCTGCCCTGGGAGGTACTGGGCTGGTGGGAGTGCGTTGGAGGTACCCATGGGAGCAAGGAGTCAGCTCTGGGTGGGGACAGGTCAGAGGACATGCTGGAACTGGGCCTTTAGCACTGAACAAGGGGTGGGGAAAGGGGATCCAGGTGGAGCAAAGGGTGAACCGAGGCTTGGAGGTGTGAAACCACCAGAAGTGACAGGGACTGGGACTGGCACTTGCAGCAGGGTGTGGGGTAGGACCAGGGTGTTCAAGGACAAGATTGAGAAGGGCCTTGATAAATGAGGACAAGGAGCTTGGCTCTTACCCCATGGGCTCGTAGGGGTCCACACGGGCTGAGGGGAGCTGGACGAGCTTACTGAGGTGGCCGAGGGTACCCAAGACCAGCCTGGCATTGGGCGTTGGGCAGTAGGCTGGGCCTGGTGTGCAGGGCCACAGCGCCACCTGGTATCCATCACTCTCACTGCAGCGTGACCTTGCCTGGCTCTCCAACCTGGGAACCAGTGGGGCAGCCTCGTCCCAGACACACTCTGCCTCTTTCAAGAGCAGCCAGGCCCTGTGGTCAAGGGCTCACATTCAGTGGTGTGCCAGGCCCCCACTAGGCTCCTTGCGTGCCCTCTCAGCTACAGCCTGTCTGGGCATGAGGAGCCACAGACCCAACCTAGAGCCAAGTTGAAAGTAGAAGTGAACACTTTTCGGTGAGGTCAGACACTCCTGATAGCTAGAGGAAGACTACAGAATTTGAAGTTATCAGACAAAGCATTGAGCTGCACCAGCTGCAAGGTGACCTTGGGCAAGTGATATTCTCTCTGGGCCCTTCCCCCATCTTTATAAACCAGTGGTGAAATTCAGACATCCTTCCCTGTTATCACTTCTTATCTACAGGCTCACAACCATGCAAAGGAGACACATCCAGACCCCGCAGACTTAAGCTCCAAGGGACCCAAAAGCCTGGGGTCGCTTCATGTTGGATGCATGTGCAGACCTGATTCAGGCACCACACAAATGCAGCAGGCAGAAATGAGTTTATTGCATTAGAAAAAACACCGAAGAAAACCAGCAAACACCTCCGTACTAGACAGTTATTAGTTTGACTCAAGGGCATAAAGAAAACTCAGATACTAGATTTACTTCTGGGAGGGGGTGATGGTCTCATCCCTCCTCCTTCCCTATCCCTTTAAACCAATGGACCTCTAGAGGTGTCCACTGTGCAATACAAGTACGTGACTCATTTCCCACTGTGCTTGCCTGTTCACATCCAGGCGGAGTTAGCCGGCCACAATGAGAATGCTCCTGAGGTGCTGGGACAGACAGAAATATGAGGATGGGGGTAGGCAGTTGAAGCCTGAGCCTGAGTTTACAGTTAGTGACAGTGGGGCTCCCATTGGGAGGGAGAGCTTGCCTTCCCATGGAGCTCTGGGAAAACTGCTCAGTGATCCCTCGCTCTCTCCCCACAAACCCTAGGGCACAGGCAATGGCACAAATGGCTGCTAGTATAAAGGGGGGTGCTGTTCAAGGAAATGAGTGACTCAAATTCTCTCAGGGGAGCTGCTCCTGGGCCTAAGGGTGCCTGCTGGAAGAAGCAAACCAGCTGAAACTGGATCTGGAAGAGGAGAAAGGAAAAAAAGGAGCTGTGATGCCCAGAACCCCCTGGATGGAGGGGAGACCCCAGGCAGAGGGGTCTGGAGCAGGACCCTGGAAGACAGAGCCGGGCCAGGCAAGCTGGAAAAGGGAACAACACTGGTGGGAAACAGAGCACTGGCCAAGACCAACCTGCTACCCTCCCAGAAGAAACCCAGCCTCAGAAATTCTTTCTCTTTGGGCCCAATTCTGCTAGTAGATCACGATTATACAACAGTCCCTGCTAGTTTCTGCTCTAATCTATTATTTCCATGCACACTGGCAAATCAGTGGGTCTTGAGAAGAATTAAACTTTCAATCATTTGGCCTCTACAAGTTCCCAAATGTCACTTGACATCCCAGCTGGTCATGCCCCTGGTCAGGTCGCAGGCAAACACTAAGGCAGAATGACAGCTCCTCTAGCTGAGACTCTGATGATGCCAAACTGTGATGGCTGATGGCAAAGATAGCAGCAGATGGGGCCAGAAATGAGCAGCAGCTTTTTGGAGAGGAAAGGCCTGTGCTGCAGGCCAGACTTCCAGGAAGAAGCAACATAATTCAAGTCCGTGAAGTGGCAAGAAGTTGTGGCAGAAGGGGCCCAAGGATGTCAGACCTGAGACTCGGGTACCTGGCAGCTCTGAGTCCCTTCTTCATGCTCACTTTCCCAAAATCTAACTAATGGAGGTTCATGTGAAGAGAGGGAATCTGAAAGTCTCTCTGGATTAGAGACTCCCAGACTGTTCCCTGCCTATAACCTCCTAGCAGCAAGTCATTAGGAAAATGCCCACTCATGCCCCAACCTGCCTTTCTAAAGTCAGAATGACAATGGAAATAACGTGTGCCTTCAAAACACATTTAGGATAAGGGAAAGTCCCTATCAGAAACGATTCTAAATTTTCTTGCCACCTTGATTCCACTTCATTATTTTATTTTTTTGAGATGGAGTCTCACTCTGTCGCCCAGGCTGGAGTGCACTGGTACGATCTCGGCTCATCGCAATCTCTGCCTCCCGGGTTCAAGCGATTCTCCTGCCTCAGCCTCCCGAGTAGCTGGGACTACAGGCATGCGCCACCATGCCCGGCTAATTTTGTATTTTTAGTAGAGACGGGGTTTCACCATGTTGGCCAGGCTGGTCTTGAAGTCCTGACCTCAAGTGATCTGCCTGCCTCGGCCTCCCAAAGTGCTGGGATTACAGGCGTGAGCCACCGCGCCAGGCCTCACATCATTATTCTTTCCATATCAAAGGTATTTTCTGGCCAGGCAGCGGTGGCTCACGCCTGTAATCCCAGCACTTTGGGAGGCCAAGGGAGGTGGATCACCCGAGGTCAGGAGTTCCAGACCAGCCTGGCCAACATGGCAAAACCCTGTCTCTACTGAAAATACAAAAATTAGCCTGGCGTGGTGGCACGCACCTGTAATCCCAGCTACTCAGGAGGCTGAGGCAGGAGAACCACTTGAACCCGGGAGGCAGAGGTTTCTGTGAGCCGAGATCATGCCACTGCACACCAGCCTGGGTGGTAGAGCGAGACTCCGTCTCAAAAAATAATAATAATTAAAATAAAGGTATTTTCTTAGAGTAGGGAATCCCATCCCTTGGTCCCCAGCTAAATACTGCGTACTGGCCTGGATGGTGGTTACAGAGACTGCAAATAACCTACATCATTACTTGCAGAAAAAAGGCCTTGGCTTCTACTGCTCCAGCCCAGACCTCATCCACTATGACAAGTCAGCTATGCTGAGGAAAGGCAGCCTCGGGGGCACAAAGGCAGGTTTCCCAAAATTGATGGCAGAAGATTGGCAATCCATCTAGGTGGAAGGAGGAATGGCTTTATCCTGTTTTCTCCGGCCTGATACTTGCTGTTACTCCCTTGATCCGGAGGCAATGGCTGCTCCAGCACTGGCCTTGCTTGGGGTAAGGGAGGGAAGGTGAGGGTTGTGGCTAAAGAGTTCACTTAGGTTAGGTTAGTCATCCTGAAACCGGTCCCATGTACACCAAATCCTTTGGTTCATTTAACACTAGAGTAACTTTCTGGGTCACGGATGTTCTAAAACTCACCTGGGTCCCACAGGTGTTGGCAACTTGGGTAGAGCGTGAGTGTTCTCTGGAAAGAGTTCTAGGTTGGGGCTCCCGCAAACTGTGACTCGCTTTCTGTTTAAACAAAGCCCCTCCCTTTCTCCAGTGTGGAGGACGCTTAGGAAACAGCATCCGAAGTGAACGCACAGACAAGACAGCCTTAATAAATTAGTATAATACTATTAGAAGGGGTGGCATTTTGTTCTGTTTCTTAGCAGCATTGTCTACATGCGGCCTGACGGTCTCCTTCCCTGGGAAATTTAAAAAGCCGTCCCCTGGTTGTTAGCTCTGATGTAAAATTATAAAATAGAAATCTGGTAGGGTTTGTTTTGTTTAAAAAGGAAAAGCCCTGGTGAGGCAGGGCGGTCCCAGGCAGTCCTGTTAGCTCTGGCCGTTGGGTCTGCCCACGGAGCTCCCTCCTGGAGGCTGGATCTGAATGGAGTCCAGGAGGGGCCGAAGTGCCTGTCCAAAGGGCCTGCAAGGAAACAGAGACATGAGAGGGGTGGGCTCTGGGATGTGGCCTGCTGTCACACACCCTGTGCTGCCCACGGGTAGGGAGGAGGAGTGGGCGCTGGTGGCAGCAGAAGCAGCACCAGCAGAGAAGGAAAGAGCACCTCGTCACCTCACTTAAGTTTCCCACCTGCCTCACACACCAGTGTTCTTGGAGGGCATCTCCGAAATAGCCTGCTCTGTATTTTTATTCCTGGGGTTCCCTCCTCAGGGCCTCACCTCTAGAGCCTGGTTAGCTGTGGTTTGAGTAGGCTGGCTACATACAGAGAACTAGAACTTTCTGTGCTCTATGTGCTTGTGTCTTTAATTCTTGTGAGCAAGGAAAAGATCAAATTTAAGCAGGGAAACTGAGGCAAAAGAAGAAGGATATGAAAAAGAAGACAAAGGGGTGAGGACAGCAAACAACTGGATTTTTTTCAGGAACAGAGGTCTGCCAGGGAGTACAGGGAATATTCTGGAAAAATGACAAATGCTAGGTTGCCAGTATTAATGCCTTTCTTTCACCCCGAGACAGAGTCTACCTCTAGCCTAGAGCTGGAGTGCAATGGCGTGATCTCGGCTCACTGCAACCTCTGCCTCCCAGGTTCAAGCAATTCTCCTGCCTCAGCCTCCCAAGTAGCTGGGATTACAGGCGTGTGCCACTGCGCCTGGCTAATTTTTTATTTTCAGTAGAGATGGGGTTTCACCATGTTGGCCAGGCTGGTCTCGAACTCCTGACCTAGTGATTTGCCTGCCTCGGCCTCCCAAAGTGCTGGGATTACAGGCATAAGCCACTGGGCCCAGCCATTAATGCCTTTCTAAAGGGCTCCTAGGTTGCTCTCATAGTAACAGATGGAAAAAAAACTACAAATACTGGAGTTTGGAGATTTTCCATGATTACGACAACCATAAATAAGGTTGCCCAGAAACTTTTAAGTCACTGGCTTTTTCTTCAGTGGATACTGCCATTTTTGAAAATCATCTCCAAGTTTAAAGGAATGAAGTACTCCAAAGTATAGACAGATGAAACCTAGAAATATCAAACCTAATTCAGACAATTCCAGGAACTCCACCCATAAAATAATAACAGCAAGCACATTCTGGCTACTCCAGTTTGCTCAGGGCCCCATAACCTAGATCCCTCAGCAGAGCTGTGGGACTGCAAACTCATCGAATGATAGGAAGGCAGGGCCAGGGCTGGCGGACTGGGGCTCCTCACCAGCCTGCCACAGCAGTCTTGTTTCCTATGCAAGCTCTTCCTGGGAGGTGCTTCCTCAGATATAAAAAACAGCCCACCTTGCTGGGCCTGCGAAACCTGCCAGGATCTCTGTTAAATAAGGCCATAGTTCAGGAGAAACTGAGTCAGAATAAGCAAATAGACATGGTCCTGGAATGAGCAGAGGCTGCCTGAATGCAATCAACGACAAGAGGGAGGAGGTGAGATGGCTTTGGGGGTGTTGTGTCCTTTCGGGGTATACTGCCTGGATGATGGCCTGCAAGGCTCTTCCAAGGCTTGGGGCACATCAGGACAGAACGGGCTGCAGAGTGTTCTTGAAGAAAACATCTGTTGAAGACTGTGCTGTAATACATGAGGGCAAGTAGAACATAGTCGTTGAGGGAGTCAAAGAGTTCATGGTGCAGTGTAAGGCAAATCAACAGCTACAAAACAAGCCCCCCTACTATTTTTCTGACCCCCTCTCTGCTTGTCTAACATTGCATTTTAACTGGGTGCTTCTGGGGAGTGGCATGCTTCGAGCACAATGGGAAGGACAGACGCCAGAATTTTGTGCAAGTACTGAAGCCAGTGTCAAGTGGGTGTCTAAGTTCTGTGGTTGCACTTAGGCCAGGGCAGAGCTGGTCTAGCTCTGAAGGTGGAGGTAATACAGGTGCGCATCAGTGGGTGGAGAGAATGGCAGCCTTCTGTGTTAGAATCTGCCATCAGGGCAGGCCCACCTGGTTGGGAGGGCAGATGGGGGCCAGAGGAAGGGCACTGACCGTGAATGGGGATTTTCAAGGTTGGCCAAGGCAGGGGCAGGGACAGAGGCCACACTTACGTGGAGAGAACTTCAGAGGGCAGGTCTGTGATGTAAGAAGGAATCTTCCGCCCAGTCAGGAACTGTGCCACTTCGTTGCTGAAGGTGTTACAATTGTGTTCAAAGAGGTTGTAGGCCTCACCTCTGTACATTGAAAGGTTTGCAGAACATATATGAGAAACCAGCAAGCGTCTATGTGGAATAACTCAAGCTAGGCAGTGGAATGGTGAGCACAGCTCAATGTGAGGATTGCGATTTCCCCCGTCTCATACACCAGAAAAGCACTGCTTATTTGCCATTCTGGCCATTAATAACTGATTTTTAAGGGAAGGAGAAACTGAAAAGACATGGCTCCTACACAGTTTCAGGAGAATCTTTACATTCACGAAAGCAGAACTCTGGTGTTAAGAGTTTACCCCCTTACTGAAACTGACTAAAGCCTCTTTCAGAGAAAATCTGCTCAAGTTTGTATTTCATCCCAACCCTTCTGCAAACCCTGTTTTTCCTTCTGCAAACTTGGCCAATACAGGTTGAGAACAGCGCTTGCCGATTTTAATCAGAAGGAATGAAAAGCCCTTATTTCCTCTAAAAATTTCGGCAGAAAGTATGTTTGAAGGAATATCTGTATCAGAACAACTTAGAGCTTTTTGTAGCATAACTGCCTTTTCTTCATGTTAATTCAGCAAAAAACTGGGCCAGGCCTTGTGCTGAGTGATAAGGATGATATGACATGGCAGCTGCCTCCAGGGGTTATTATCTAGCTGGGGAGACAGACACAACTAACCACCACCCCTGTCTCCACTCACCGGAACAGGGACTCCCCCAGGGAGGAGAGGTACTCCAGAAAGATTTCTTCTGTGACTTCTGTACTCCCCACATCAACCACAGAGTCTGGAGGCCCAAGCAATGTCCCTCCCTAAAAGAGCCAACCCAAAGGAAGTCATTAAGTTACCATCTCCACTGAATGTTTTAATGTGGCTTCCCACAGTAGACCACAAACACTCTGTTCTGACTTTTTTTTTTTTTTTTTTTTTTTAGACGGAGTTTCTCTCGTCACCCAGGCTGGAGTATAATCTCAGCTCACTGCAACCTCCGCCTCCCGGGTTCAAGTGATCCTCCTGCCTCAGCCTCCCAAGTAGCTGAGATTACAGGTGCCTGCCACCATGCCCAGATAATTTTTTGTATTTTTAGTAGATACAGGGTTTCACCATGTTGGTCAGGCTGGTCTCAAACTCCTGACCTTAAGTGATCCACCCACCTCGGCCTTCCAAAGTGCTGAGATCACAGGTGTGAGCTACTGCGCCCAGCCTGACTTCATATTTAACTTGCAGAGCACCCTGGGCAGATGAAGAATGTGATTTGCTATTTGTATCAAGGATGCAATAGCTTAGAAGCATTGGTGTCCAATCCTTTGGCTTCCCTGAGGCACACTGGAAGAAGAATGGTCTTGGGCCACACACAAAATACACTAACACTAATGATAGCTGATGAGCTTAAAAAAAAAAAAAGATAAAAAAATCTCATGTTTTAAGAAACTTTACAAATTCACGTCAGGCCACTTTCAAAGCTGTCCTGGGCTGCGTATGGCCCACAGGCTGCAGGTTGGACAAGCTTGGCTTAGAGCTTTCTGGTCACTTTTCATTGCCATGTGCTGGCAGCATAGTTAGGAGTCGGACTTCTTGTTTCTAGAGGGGAGGGGGGGCCCTGGGAAGCTGATTCTCTTGCAGCTCTGACTCCTGATGCTGTCCACTTACTCAGCTGAGAAAGAGAAACCCAGAATCTGAAGTCTACTTTTGTCCCCAGTATGTCTCATCATGAGGACAGAACAGGACAACAGAAATGGCTCACACTTCACAGGCCATCTCTCCATGCCTATTTGCATAAAGTATGCAGCCAGTTTTTCTTATGATATACTTGATATCCCGTGTAATAATGGAAAAACGAGGACGGTGAGAAATCTGGCAGGCTGGCAGATATTTCCATAATTCAGTTCTTTTTGGATCTGTGAGCCTAATCCTTGCCCTATCACCATCATAGGGCAAGGGAGTTAATGGCTCCCGAAAGGCCTACAGAAAACCCTCAGCCATGTGGTTAACAGACTGCCAGAGAAAACTGAAGGAGAGACTGAGGTTGAGTGGGGAAACCAGCCACTGGGGAAGCAACGGGATCAGCAGGAGAACAAATCTGGGAAGGGATAACACTCCAGAACAGAGCTCCCTGAAAAGATCATTCATTCATAGCCACTGAGCACCTCCTACATAGCTGACATTGTTCTGGGCACTGAGGAAAGCATGGTGAGCAAGATAACCATGGTAGGCAGAGAACAATTATCTCAGAGTTGTAAGAAACTAAAAGGTCACTCTTTGACCCCTCTTATTCACTCATATAACAACTATGGATTGAGAACTTATTATGTGTCAGGCCTTATGCTAGGCACTGGGGCTGTGGTGTGGACAAAATAGATGAGATTCTTGCCGTTAAGAAGCTTAGTGTAGCAGGGAAGGGAAACTGAAAAATCCCCTTAACCAGTATATAATTATGAGCTGCAATTAAGGGGAGGCTGGAAAAGTACAGAATGCCAACAGTACGTATGACAGGAGACCTTCCCGGTCTGAGGGATCAGGGAAGACTTGCCTGAGAAAGTGACACAACTCAAATCTGAAGGATGGAGAGGCGTAACCAGGTGAAGGATCAAGAAGGTGTACTGATGTCAGAGTGCAGGTTTCAATGTCTACGGTGTGTTCAAAGAATGAGAAGAGAGTGAGGGTTGGGAGGGAACAACCTAAAAGAGGCTGGCCAGAGTCAGAGTCAGAGACCAGATCAGGTAGGTCCTGGGAGGCCATGCTGAGTTTTCTGGCTTTTATTCCAAAAGCAATGGGAGAATTCTGGCTTATGCAGTAGATTGCTTGAGCCCAGGAGTTTGAGATCAGTCTGGGCAACATAGGGAGATCCTATCTCTAAAAAAATAGAAAAAAATAGCAGGGCGTGGTGGTGCTGAGTCCTAGCCACTCAGGTGGCTCAAGTGGGAGGATTCATTGAGCCTGGGAGGTGGAGGCTGCAGTAAGCAAGACTGTGCCACTGCATTTCTGGCCTGGGTGACAGAGCAAGACCCCGTCTCAAAAAAAAAAAAAAAATCCTTCCTGTAGGATGTAGCAAAAACAAACAAACACACAACCAAAATGAATGGCTGCTTGGCCATTGCTTGAGCACCTACTGTGACAACACTTGGATAGCTGATAGAAATTTTTGGAAAAGGCTGGGCGCTGTGGCTCACGCCTGTAATCCCAGCACTTTGGGAGGCCGAGGTGGGCTAATCACGAGGTCAGAAGTTTGAGATCAGCCTGGCCAACATGCTGAAACACCGTATCTACTAAAATATACAAAAAATTAGCTGGGTGTAGTGGCAGGCACCTGTAATCCCAGCTACTCGGGAGGCTGAGGCAGGAGAATGGCGCGAACCCGGGAGGCGGAGCTTGCAGTGAGCCGAGATCGCACCACTGCACTTCAGTCTGGGCGACGGAGCGAGACTCCATCTCAAAAAAAAAAAAAAAAAAAAAAAAAAAAGAAATTTTCGGAAAAGGGTGTGGGCTTTAGTGTGATAATCCTGGGTTCTAGGACTGGTGTCCCTTATTGGCTGTTTAAGTTTGGGCAAGTCTTGATGCTTCTCAGAGCCCTCATCATTCAGCTTAACATCAGTTGCGTTCCTAGGATGAGCCGGACACTGTGCAGGGGATGGAGATGGAAGGTCTCAGCTCGCAAGGAGCTTACACAGTTCCCTGTGGAGAACCAGAAACAGCTCATTTCACCATAACATGCTCTCTGTGAGACAGAAGGACCCACACGTGCCATGGGAACAGAGAGGAGAGGAACTGGCTGGGGTGTCTGGGAAAGGTTTTATTGAGCCAAGTCTTCAGGTGGCTTTGAGGAACAATGCCAGAAGTCCATAGTAGAAGCAAAGCTCCTGGTCTACAGGAGCCCCCAGGAACCTGAGACTGCAGGACAGAGTGTAGGGGAAGACACTCACCGGGGGGCAGCTGGAGATACCACCACTGCCGAAGAAGAACTCATCCTTGTGCACAACTATGGATGTGTGCCTGTCACACAGAGAGAGACACAGTAAGCCAGAAAACTTAAACTTTTGAGAAAAAGCAAACACCATAATGCAATGAGAGTAATTTCTGCCCAAGGATAGGACTGTGGGGACCAGTCTTATAAAACCAACAAACCAAAGGTATGAATATGATAAATACCACAGATCAGGGCTTCTCAATCTTGGCACTATTGACATTTGAGGCTGGATACTTCTTTGTTGTGTGGGGCTGTCCTGTGCATTCTAGTCTGTTGAGCAGCGTCCCTGCCTCTATCCACAAGATGCCAGTAGCATCCTCCTCCCTGTATGACAACCAAAAATATCTCTGGACATGGCCAAATGTCCCAGGGTGAGAGAGCAAAAGAACTGATGAGAAGCACTGCTTTAGGGCTTGAAGATTTATAGCATGGAGAGCTAGGTTTCATGCTGGAAGCCACAGACTAGAACCTGAAATGCATAGAGTGCTGCCTTGTTTCAAAACTAGTCAAAGTAAGGAGACCCACCCAACTTACCAGATGCCTTCCAGTTGTTTCCCTGTGGAGAGAAGAAGAGATTTAGCCACTTGGGACTAGAATAAGTGGCCCCTCAGCCTTGGTAAATTCATGACATCACTCAAACCCAGGGTAACCTGTCATAAACCTCTTGAGGGACTTTCTAGGAATGCAAGTCCCCTCCAGTAAGGTCTTTAGGTTGTGACAGAGTGTAAGTAAGTTGAAAAGTAATGAGAGTCTTTTATCAGAATGCAAGATTAAAAACACTAGTATAAAGGTACCCCAGTTTTATGTCTGCTATTCTTTCCTCTTTGGGGTCAATTCAGCTATGCCTTTTTAACTTCTCTGTCTCACGTACAGTAAGACTATAGTAATACAATGAATGTTATTACTCATTTCTTCATTGAGGTGAAATCCTTCAGAAACTGATAGGATAAAACTTTGCAAATGCTATCCATTTAAATAGTTAAAGCACGTTATTCTACCTCTATGTGCCAGAAACAATGTTAGGTGTGGAAATGCAAACAGGAACGTATCACTTTCCTGCCCTTGAGAAGCTCAAAGTCAAATGGACTGAGACACACAAATAATTAACTAAAACACAATGTTAATATGCTGTATCATAGTGGTAAAAATAAGGTACTAAATATAATAAACTACTTTTGTGAGCTTCCATTACCAATGACAAGTAAGGGCAGGGATGGACATTTCTGTGGGAGAGAACAAGATGTGCACATGCATGGCTGTGAAGTCTAAAGCCTGCAGGGCAGAGTGAAGGGGGCAGTGATGGTGCCAAGGGGAGGAGCGGCCAACAGGATGGCCAGCAAAGCGGGCAGGCCTGGACTCAAAGAGGCTGTGAGGCTGGAGAGTGCCTTGATCAGATCCATGTTCGGAAAAGATAACTGTAGTTGTGGGATAGCAGATGAATTGGAGGGAAGAGAGCAGACCAAGCAGACCATCACAAGAGTCCATGAGAGATACTCTACAGCAGTGCTCAGGAGGCAGAGGAAGGGCATTGAAAGACGTGGAGTGTCAGCAAACATCACCCACTCACTCCTGCTTATCACTTCACACGGCGACATGGCAGATTACTGATTGCTAACTGCTACCTTCGCTGTTTGCCCTGTGCCTTTCTTTTTTTTAGAGGCAGAGTCTCTCTGTTGCCCAGGCTGGAGTGAAGTGACGTGATCTCGGCTCATTGCAACCTCTGCCCCCCGGGTTCAAGTGATTCTCATGCCTCAGCCTCCCAAGTAGCTGGGATTACAGGCATGCACCACCAAGCCCGGCTGATTTTTGTATTTTTAGTAGAGACAGGATTTTGCCATGTCGGCCAGGCTGGTCTCGAACTCCTCGCCTCAAGTGATCCACCTGCCTCAGCCTCCCAAAGTGCTAGGATTACAGGCATGAGCCACCACACACTTGGCATAGCATCCTCAGAGATAGTTAAGGGGACCATATGGGTTCAGATCCTGGATTTTCCACTTCCTAGTGGTGGATCTTGGGCAAGTTTACCCAGCCTGTTTAAGTCTGTTTCTCCAGTTCAGAGTTGCTGTGACTGGTAATGTTAATGTATAGAAAGCTTCACAGTATGTGATATACAGATGTCTGATAAATGGAGGCTCTTATTAGGTACAATGACCTCCTTGGGGAAAAGGGTAAAGACTTCCAGAAGATAAAAATAAATTCTACTTCAGACATGTCACAGTGGCCCACCCCTGTAATCCCAGCACTTTGGGAGGCCGAGGCAGGCAGATTACTTGAAGCCAGGAGTTCAAGACCAGCCTGGCCAACAGAGAAACCCAGTCTTTACTAAAAATAAAAATAAAAAAACTCTCTGGGTGTGGTGGCATGCACCTGTAGTCCCAGCTACTCAGGAGGCTGAGGCACGAGAATTGCTTGAACTTGGGAGGCAGTGAGCCGAGATTGCGCCACTGTACTCTAGCCTGGGCAACAGAGTGAGACCCTGTCTCAAATAAAACAAAAAATAGGCCAGGTGTGGTGGCTCACACCTGTAATCCCAGCACTTTGGGAGGCCGAGGCGGGCAGATCACATGAGGTCAGGAGTTCGAGACCAGCCTGGTCAACAACCCCGTTTCTACTAAAAACACAAAATTAGCCGGGCATGGTAGTGCATGCCTATAGTCCCAGCTACTCGGGAGGCTGAGGCAGGAGAATCGCCTGAACCCAGGAGGCAGAGGTTGCAGTGAGCCGAGATTGCGCCATTGCACTCCAGCCTGGGCAACAAGAGCAAAACTCTATCTTAAAAAAAAAAAAAAAAAAAGACAAGGTACGGTGGCTCACGCCTGTAATCCCAGCACTTTGGGAGGCCGAGGCAGGCGGATCACAGGTCAGGAGTTCAAGATTAGCCTGACCAACATGGTGAAACCCTGTCTCTACTAAAAATACAAAAATTAGCTGGGCATGGTGGCAGGCACCTGTAATCCCAGCTACTCGGGAAGCTGAGGCAGGAAAATCGTTTGAACCTGGGAGGTGGAGGTTGCAGTGAGCCGAGATCGTGCCACTACTGTACTCCAGCCTGGGCAACAGGGTGAGACTCTGTCTCAAAAAAAAAAAAAATTCTACTTCAGTATTGGTAAGTAAAATCTAAGAACAGATTTCAACATCCAGCAAATTAATATGAAATGCTATATCTATTTTACATGTAAAATTCCATTCTTTGCTGTTAGTGTTCCCAGGCTAAATGGAATAACAAGAAAATGAAATGTAGCGGAGTACTTCTGCCTCTGTTCCAATTCCAGAGATCAGTCTGCTTTTCACCAAGAGATCTGCTGCTCTGGCCCGGAAGACCACAAGTGGGCCGGGCGTGGTGGATCACCTGAGGTCAGGAGTTTGAGATCAGCCTGGCCAACATGATGAAACCCCGTCTCTACTAAAAATACAAAAATTAGCTGGGCGTGGTGGCAGGCGCCTGTAATCCCAGCTACTTGGGAGGCTGAGGCAGAAGAATCACTTGAACCCAGGAGGCGGAGGTTGCGACGAGCTGAGATGGCGCCATTGTACTCCAGCCTGGGTGAAAAGAGCGAAACTCTGTCTCAAAAAAAAAAAAAAGACCACAAGTGGATAGAGGGATCCTAGCCAGGGGTTTCTGGGGATAGCACCCTAAAGAATGTGAGGCAGGTTCTGACCTTATCCAAACTGAGGTGAAATTTCACAGTGGTTGATGAGAACCAGACTGGATGCCAAAGGGGAGTGGTAATCCATTTAGGACGAGCATCTTCAAACCCTGGGTTCCACTGGGCTATAAGATACTAAATCTCCTCTTTCCTGTTTACTATATGTAAAATGGGGAGACTAACATTCCTTTTTTTGAGACAGAGTCTCACTCTATTGCCTAGGTTGGAGTGCAGTGGCACGATCTTGGCTCACTGCAACCTCCGCCTCCTGGGCTCAAGCAATTCTGGTGCCTCAGACTCCCAAGTACAGGCTGGGATTACAGGTGTGCGCCACCATGCCCAGCTAATTTCTGTATTTTTAGTAGAGATTGGGTTTCACCATGTTGCCCAGGCTGGTCTCGAACTCCTGACCTCAGGAGATCTGCCCTCCTCAGCCTCCCAAAGTACTGGGATTACAGGTGTGAGCCACTCTATGTGGCCTAACACTGCATTTTAAATAGAGCTGATGTGCCCTTCTGAACTGTCATTTATAAATCAGCTGTTTAAATGGCTGCAATTTGTTTATTTACGTGAAGACATTTAATAGTTCAGTGAAACTGGAGAAATTAAGGATACCTGCTTTCTCTTACCTGTTCCTTCTTTTTTTTTTTTTTTTTTTTTGAGACAGTCTCACTCTGTTGCCCAGGCTGGAGTACGATGGTGTGATCTTGGCTGACTGTAACCTCCGCCTCCCAGGTTCAAGTGATTCTCCTGCCTCAGCCTCCTAAGTAGCTGGGACTACAGGCGCTCACCACCACGCCTGGCTAATTTTTCTATTTTTAGTAGATATGGGGTTTCACCATGTTGGCCAGGCTGGTCTTAAACTCCTGACCTCGTGATCCGCCCGCCTCGGCCTCCCAAAGTGCTGGGATTACAGGCGTGAGCTACCGCGCCTGGCCCCTGTTCCTTTCAAATGAAGCTTTTCTCATTTACTTTGTGAGGAATGCTACGCTTACAAGGAGGAAGTACAATATAGTGAATAAGAACACAGGTTCTGGTGTAGACAGGTTGGGTGTGAATCCTACTGGCTTAAACGGTGAACTAATGGTTTATTGAGTGACTACTACCTTCCAGGCACTATCCTTGGCACTAAGGATACATCAGTAAACAAAAACCTCCTTCATGACACTTACTAGGTGGGGGGAGGGGACAGTCAATAATAATAATGATGATAATAAGTCATAACATGTTAGCAATAGTGAATGGTATAGAACGAACAAGAGTAGGTTAAGGGGGTCTGGGCGTAGTGGCTCACGCCTGTAATCCGAGCGCTTTGGGAGGCAGAGGCGGGCGGATCACCTGAGGTCAGGAGTTCGAGACCAGCCTGGCCAACATGGTGAAACCCCATCTCTACTAAAAGTACAAAAATTAGCCAGGCATGGTGGCACACACCTGTAATTCTAGCTACTCGGGAGGCTGAGACAGAAGAATCACTTGAACCCGGGAGGTGTTGCAGTGAGCTGCGATTGCACCACTGCACTCCAGCCTGGGCGACAAGAACAAAACTCTTGTCTCAAAAAAAGAAAAAAAAAAAAAAGAGTAGGTTAAGGGAGTTTCAGGGATGATCAGGGTGGGCCTCTTTGAGAATGTGATATTTGAGTGAAGATTTTTTTTTTTTTTTTGAGACAGGGTCTTGCTCTGCTACTCAGGGTGGAGTGCAGTAACGCGATCAAAGCTCACTGCAGCCTTGACCTCCCAGGCTCAAGTGATCCTCCCACTTCAGCTTCCCAGTTGCTGAGACTATATGTGTACCACCCAGGCCTACTTTTTTTTTTTTTTTTTTGAGACGGCGTCTCCCTATGTTGTCAAGCCTGGACTTGAACTACTGGGCTCAAGTGATCCTCCCACCTCCAGGCGTGAGCCACCAGGCCCAGCTTTGAGCCAAGATTTAAAGGAGGCAAGGGAAAGAGGGATGCAGGGGCAATGACATGCCAGGTTTATCTGAAGGCCTGTAAGGAGGCCAGTGAAGTTAGAATGGGTGAGGAGGGGAAGTAGAAGATGACCAGAGGTAATGGAGGACCAGATCACAGAGAACACTGCAGAGGCTGAGAACACTAAGCCTGAGCT
The DNA here is from genome assembly GCF_000001405.40 of Homo sapiens. Taxonomy (NCBI): domain Eukaryota; kingdom Metazoa; phylum Chordata; class Mammalia; order Primates; family Hominidae; genus Homo; species Homo sapiens. The sequence goes on from NC_000022.11 coordinate 41,613,059, forward strand.
GTCCAATATGGTGACCACTGACCACATGTGGCTATTTAAGTTAAATAAATGCACAAATTCAGTCCCTCAGTTCCACTAACCACATTTTAGGTATTCAATAGCCACATGTGACTAGTGTTTACTTACTGGACAGTGCAGATCTAGAACATTTCCATCACTGCAGAAAGTTCTATTGGACGCACTGTTTAAACTATAGTTTCCTATTCTGTAAAAAAAAGCATAATAACACTGCCTGCCTCATAACATTTCCAGGATTAAAAGAGACGATACATGACACATGCGTAGCACAGGGTCTGGGACATAATACATGCCCAATAAAGGCTAACTCATTTCTTCTAGGGTTTATAATTTGAAAGTTTTATAGTTGTTCTCATAGTACCCTGGTATTGAAACTATTCACGTGTCCTTCTCCCCAGTTAGACTACAGTTGCCTCAGTAACCAGGACAGTTTCTTATGTATCTTTATAACTCCAGCACCTAGCAAAGGACCTGGTCCTGAGATGTGACATGAACATCTGTTGAGATGAGCTGTTCTGTTTAGTTAGCTTTGTTGGTTGACACACAGTGCTATTGAGGACAAAGTTCCTAACCCCAATCTGGGCTGCCTGGCTTGTTATTGCAATGACTCTGCCACCCTGGCATACTGCACTCCCAGTCTACTGCTGTCTTCTCAGATGCGCATGCTCACTGACTCAGGAGTACAGCTGGCAGGTATGGATGTATCATCAGCTCAAACCCATTCCTACTAAACAGATTTTTGAAGAGGGGCCTCAGTTATTTCACACCTGAAAAACAACTCAAAAGTTGCAGGATACAAACCCTACTTTATTCTCCTTTATATCCTTTGTATCATCACTGAATTTGCCTGTAAGCTACACGCCACACTTCCTATTCAACTGCATCAAGGTACACTTAGGATCTCATCCATTCATAGAGTGGAGATAGGGACTATAGAAAAAAGATCCCCTTATTTATTCATTCTTTCTTTTTTTTTTTAAGACGGAGTCTCGCTCTGTTGTCCAGGCTGGGGTGCAGCGGTGCAATCATGGCTCACTACAACCCCCGCCTCCCGGGTTCAAGCAATTCTCCTGCCTCAGCCTCCCGAGTAGCTGGGATTACAGGAGCTCGCCACCATGCCCGGCTAATTTTTTGTATTTTTAGTAGAGACGGGGTTTCTCCATGCTGGCCAGGCTGGTCTCAAACTCCTGACCTTGTGATCTACCCGCCTCGGTCTCCCAAAGTGCAGGGATTACAGGGGTTAACCACTGCACCCAGCCTGTTCATTCTTTCACTTATTCATTCATCCACCAAACACTTGGAGCCAACAATAACATTAAAAATGAATTGAGTGAATTTACATCCTTTCTTTTTTCCTTTTGAGACAGAGTCTCACTTTGTTTCCCAGGCTGGAGTGCAGTGGCGTGATCTCGGCTCACTGCAACCTCCGTCTCCGGGGTTCAAGTGATTCTTCTGCCTCAGCCTCCCAAGTAGCTGGGATTATAGGTGTGAGCTACTGTGCCCGGCCTACATCCTTTTTTTTTTTTGAGATGGAGTCTCACTCTATCACCCAGGCTGAAGTGCAGTGGCATGATCTCGGCTCACTGCAACCTCTGCCCTCCGAGTTCAAGCGATTCTCCTGCCTCAGCTTCCCGAGTAGCTGGGATTACAGGCATGCGCCACCGTGCCCAGTTAATTTTTGTATTTTTAGTAGAGATGGGGTTTCACTATCTTGGCCAGGCTGGTCTTAAACTCCTGACCTCAGGTGATCCACCCGCCTTGGCCTCCCAGAGTGCTGGGATTACAGGCATAAGCCACCTCACCCCACCTTGTTTTCTTCTTCTTTTTTTTTTTTTTAACAAAAAAGTTCCTTTTCACCTGTTTTCCACATGCATATCTGCAGAAGATTTCATTTCAAGGAAGAGTTTCACAGCTAAAGAGCATTTGAAAACCACTGGTCAGGCCACATGCAGTGGCTCACGCCTGTAATCCCAGCACTTTTGGAGGCTGAGGCGGGCGGATCACGAGGTCAGGAGATCAAGTCCATCCTGGCTAACATGGTGAAACCCCGTCTCTTCTAAAAAAAAATACAGGCCGGGCGCGGTGGCTCAAGCCTGTAATCCCAGCACTTCGGGAGGCCGAGGCGGGAGGATCACGAGGTCAGGAGATCGAGACCATCCCGGCTAACACGGTGAAACCCCGTCTCTACTAAAAATTAAAAAAAAAAAAAAAAAAAAAAAATTAGCCAGGCACGGTGGCGGGCGCCTGTAATCCCAGCTACTCAGCAGGCTGAGGCAGGAGAATGGCATGAACCTGGGAGGCACGCGCCACTGCACTCCAGCCTGGGCACACAACAAGACTCTGTCTCAAAAAAAAAAAGAAAATTTAAAAAAGCAGAATCACGCAGGGCCTTGTAAGCCATATTCCTTTCCATTTTGCCTTAAAGAAATTGAATGATTATTAAATTAATTCATTAGATGAGTATAAAACAGTTCACACAGTGAACAAAAATCAAAAACAAAGCACAATAGATGGCATTAAAACAGAAAAAACCTCTCTCAGATTTGAATAAATTTTACTTAATCTTCAAGCTTAAGTTCAAGTCTCAATCATTTCTATAATCAATACTTACTGAACACCTGCTCCAACAGGCCACTGGGGACATATAGGAAGGGGACAGAGTCCTTGCCCTCCAGGAGCTCCAGGCTCTTGCCAAAGCCTCTCTGACATGCTCAGCTCACCATGGCCTCTCTTATTTCAAAGCCTAACATAGTTCATGCACCACTCACTCACTTTGGCACCTAATCATAATCTGTTTTATATTGTTATCAAATGTTATATGTGTACATTCATTATTTAAAGGAAAATAATATTTTAAGAAAAACTCCTGGGCTGGGCATGGTGACTCATGCCTTACTTTGGGAGGGGGGTTTGTTCAGCATTTTGGGAAGCTAAGGTGGGTGGATCGCCTGAGATCAGGAGTTTGAGACCAGCCTGACCAACATGGTGGAACCCAGTCTCTATTAAAAATAGAAAAATTAGCTGGACATGGTGGCACATGTCTGTAATCCCAGCTCCTTGGGAGGCTGAGGCAGGAGAACTGCCTGAACCCAGGAGGCGGAGGTTGCAGTGAGCCGAGATCGTGTCATTACACTCCAGCCTGGGCAACAAGAGTGAAACTCTGCCTCAAAAAAAGAAAAATTCCTGGAGGACAGAGTTCACGTCATATCTTTTATTTCATTACTATTTGTACTACAAAATGAAGTAAAGAATTGAGTATAGTGTAAAATCTCTAATATTCATTAGAATTCATTCTGCCAAGCAATTTATATATTCTATGTCTCCAAATCTTTAAGTCTGAAAACAGTTTTGAAATGGGCTTGTAAAGAAAAATAAACGTGATGCATGTACACGAAACTTCTGATCAGAAAATAATAAACAAATATGAAGTACTTCTTACCACAATTAAAACACACACACACACACACACACACACACACACACACACACACTTCTGCATGTACTGTGGCACAAAAAGAGGTCAAGAAACTTAAAGAGCAGCCAAAATTATTAAGAGGAGGAACTGAAGGACACTTATAATAGCTAATTATTTTAGGCAATTGGTGACTATGAAAAAAGGTGCAATGAGGCTATCTGCTCAATTAGAATGCTGAAGATAATTTTGGGACCATTTTTCATAGTGAATGAAAAGCTATAGAACAGTAATGCCTTCACTTGAGGCAATTCCAGGAGGCTGAAAACAGGACAGGCTAAAACTACGGAATTTACATTGCTTCAGGAAAGGGGAATTACCTTGGGCTTTATCTAGTCTAATCCTGAACTGCGACAGAGCTAGATGAGGTCTCCCATTGGAGAACTGACATAACTGAAGCCTGAGAGGGTACTGCAGATGAGATCACATGGATTTAATTTGGGAAAATGGAGACTAAGAGGCATGATCATAAATCTAGATTGTAAGTGGCACATACACATTGAACCCAGCTTTTTTTCTCATCCAAACTTGAAACATTTGGCAAAGGATGCCTTTACAAACTTCAGGAAGGCATCTACTTTACTTCAATTTTAAAGGAACGTATTACACAGAGGTGGTATCTCAAAATGACAGAGAACGCGAGCTCTGGAAGTCAGACTGCCTGTGTTCATAACCCAGCTCTACCACCTAGTAGCTCTGGGACCTGGGGCAAATTCCTTAACACTCTACTTCTCAGGTTCTTCAATCAAGAAAATGGAGGCAATAACAGGACTTATCTCACAAAGTTGTGGTGAGGATTATAATGCACGCAAAGTACTCAGAAAAAAAGGGTCTGACACATGGTAAGCTCTCAATAAATAGTGGCTATTAATATACTTCTAGAATTCATCATAAAAATCAGGAAACAAATTGATTTTTTAAAGGTTCAAATGTATTTAGGAATGGGAAATCAATATATGGCTACTTATAGCACTGGGACATACCCAACTTCAAGATTTGTGTTGTCTGAATGGGATGAATCAGTAAGACCATGCCTATTTTCCTTAAGTGTTCAACTCTAGAAAGTAATGACTACTAGCTTTGCTAATTCTTTCTTCATTAATTTTGCAAAAGGTATAAAAGCAATATGGAAAAAAGAGGTAGAGAAGACAGAAGTAGATTAGCACACAAGGTGATTTCCTCAGATCAGAATCTGATGTGCCCAATGAATGGGTGATGTTCCCATGTTTGGCTGAGGCATTCCAGGACTTTACATCTATATAAAAGGGCGGGGAGTGGGAAGGGGGCAGGTCTATTACTCCATCTTCAGTTACAGCACTTTCCCCTTCACCCACTACACTCCACAAAAGCCTTCTTTCAGTTCCAGTATCAGGCCAGACTCTTTCCTGTCTCAGGGCTTTGGCAGGTTGATCTTTCTCCTACCTGGAACACTGTTACTCCCTTACTACCCTCCTGTGGCTACTTCTTCCTCATCCTAAATTCCCACTTTCAAAGTCACTACCCTTGATACCCTTATTTAAAATAGGTCTCTTCACTGGGTGCAGTGGCTCATGCCTGTAATCCTAGCACTTTGGGAGGCTGAGGCGGGCGGATCACTTGAGGTCAGGAGTTCAAGACCAGCCTGGCAAACATGGTGAAACCCTGTCTCTACTAAAAATATAAAAATCAGCCAGGTGTGGTGGCATGCGCCTGTAATCCCAGCTACTCTGGAGGCTGAGGCAGGAGAATCACTTGAACCTGGGAGGCAGAGGTTGCAGTGAGCTGAGATCACCCCACTGCACTCCAGCCTGGGCAACAGAGCAAGACTCGTCTAAAAAAAAAAAAAAGGTCTCTCTTGTTATTTTCTATCACAGCACCCAGTGTGCTTCCTGTGCAGAAGGCACTTATGCAATTTGTAACTAATTATTTATGTATTTATTTTTAATGTCTCCCCCATTAGATAGCTCCATGATGGCAAAGAACATCTTTGTTCATTATATCAACCTCATTTACCTTAACACGTTGACTAGCATAGAGCAGACGCTCAATAAACATCTGCTGAATGAATGAAATAATGACTCCTAAGGCTCCTTTCAGCTGCCCAATAATTATTAGGTAATAGGATAAAAAATACCCAGTGTAAAGGGGGAGGTTTTACGTGGGGTATAGGAAATATCTGATTCCTCACTATGATAAAAAAACAAACAACTAAATGGCTCCATTCCAAGAAGTTTAGTTAAAACTTGACTGATGTGGGCTGGGCATGGTGGCTGACGCCTGTAATCCCAGCACGTTGGGAGGCCAAGGCAGGCGGATCACAAGGTGAGGAGATCGAGACCATCCTGGCTAACACAGTGAAACCCCGTCTATACTAAAAATACAAAAAATTAGCCGGCTGTGGTGGCGGGCGCCTGTAGTCCCAGCTACTCGGGAGGCTGAGGCAGGAGAATGGCGTGAACCCGGGAGGCGGAGCTTGCAGTGAGCCTAGATCGTGCCACTGCACTCCAGCATGGGTGACAGAGCGAGACTCCGTCTCAAAAAAAAAAACCAACAAAAAAAAAACACTTGACTGATGTAATCTATTAATGAGTAACAGCTTCCTCAGTGACTTTGTAAGTTTTGCTTTCAGATGTGCCTCAATCATTTTAACAACTGGTTATCTAGGCCCAAATCCCTGTCAAATAATGGGTTGGCTACATAAGAATTAGCTGATAAGCTCATTAAAAATACAGATTTTTGGACCAAAACTCCAGGAGATTCTGATTTAGTATTTGTGAAGCCTTAGAATCCATATAATTAAAATTTTCTCATTTTAAATAGATATTATGTGTATGTAATACACAGGTCCAGAGGTAAGAAACAGTTTACAGCAAAGTTTCTCTTCTACCCCTGTTCCCCTGGCATCAAGTTCCCCTTTCCATAAGCTACTGCTGTTATCAATTTCTTGTGTATCCTTACGGATAATTATTTGCCTAAGCAAGCACATATATATCCTTTGATTTGCATATTTAAAGAGCTATTCTAACCTTGTTTTTTCTAATCTCATTTACAATATATGTTGGAAATGAGGGTATCTGCATTTTTAACAAGCACCCTAGATGATTTTGATGTGAAGCCAAATATAGAAACAACTCATGGACCCACGGTTGTGAGATTAAGTTCAATTCACTACGACATATTAGAAACTCAAGGACATTGAAGGATGCCCTCAAAAGTAGCCTCCCTTACTTGATCTCTGCCCCCTCGTCTCACAGAGATGAACTAAATCATTCGCCAGTGTCTCCACAGAAGCCAGGAAAAACTAGCCATTCAAATGGATGCTGTCAAAGCTTCAATTTTCAATAATTGGAATTCTTTCCTGCTCATTGTTACCCGAAATTACAAACCTGACAATTCCTGTGTTACACAAGACATTCCTGTATTTAAGTTGAAATAAGGTGTGATCGTCACTGAATGAGGGCTGGTTTTTCTCCTGCCAGTTAAGTAGTTTAATGGAGCACAACCGAAATACTTTCTTTACTAATCCTTATTCACACAGCCTCATCCAAACTTCCCCCAAAACTGCTTTCTTGCCATTTGAGCAAAAGCAATTAACTTAGAAACTGTGGGGAGAAGACTGCTTGGTGAATTCTGGAGTTCGGGGCTCCTCTTATCCTGACTTGACCTACCTGGGGGCGATGGCTGGGTCCCTAGGCAGCTCTATCTCCCCCATCCCACCTATCCCTGGGACTGCAAAGGGAGCTTCCTTTTGGCACTGAGACAAGGTTCTCCGAGAGCCACCCGACCTCCGCAGTGTCTCTGTCACCACGAGGGGCACCGCGCGGCAGGCATCCTCACCTTTCCTACACCGCGCCAAGGAGGCAGGAGTGCACTGGGCTACCCGAGCGAGGCAGAGAACCCGCCGGGATCCAGCGCTGGTTTACCCCACACCCTCGTCGAAGGGGCTCTCGAGGGCTCGGTTTCTGCCCAAGCCCCCTGCAAGGTGGAGGCATGACTCCTCCATCCCTTCCCCTTGAATTCAAACGTGAGGATGGTATCTGCGAGGCTAAAGCGGGGCTCAGATGGCCCAAACTTCAGACCACTCTCTTCTCCACTCGGCTTTTCTTCCATCCTCCTGGCCATGTGTCTCCCCGTGAGTCGTGGCCCAAGTCTCCCCACCTCGGCCAGCCGCCACCCTCTGGCCTGGCTCCCGCCCTCCTGCCCACCTGGCCCCTTCCCCCTCACCCAGCATGATGGGGCTGAGCCGCCGGGCCAGGCCTTTGGACAGGTCGTACACGTAGAGCTTCACCGGATAGAGATTCGGCGGCTCCATTGGGACCCGTGGCGACGGCGGCCACGACGGCCCTCGGGCACCCGGCAGCGGCTTGGACCTTCCCGTACCCGACGGGAGTGCGAAGCGGAGGGAGAGGGGGGGACCGAGCCCGGGCCCGGGCTGAGGGGTGGGGGAGAGGCCGCCCTGCGCTGCTCGCGCCCCCACACCCGCTACCGGCAACGACTACTGTGAGGTGACAGAGAGGGGACAGGGAGGGCCCACACGGAAGAGGGGGCGGGGGCAGGGATGCACTTTTGCGCATGTGCTTACAGTCCTGACGTAGGAAGGGGCGGGGCTTTGCCGAAGGGGGCGGGGCTCTCGCTGATGGGTTGGCTTTCGTCAGGGACATAGGTAGAAGCTGGTTGGGGAGTGTGCGTGCCAGCCTGACGCGATATAGTGCGCACATGCGTGATGACGTAGAGGGCGTTGATTGGGACCGAGTACAGGGCCCGCGCATGCGTGGATTGTCGTCTTCTGTCCAAGTTGGTCGCTTCCCTGCGCCAAAGGTAAGCGGGCCGTTATCCATTTGTGTTGTTCGCCAGCTAGGCCTGGCCTCGTCCCGCTTCGCTCGGTCGGTCTCGCGCGCCCCCATAGCCTTGCTAGAGGGTTAGCGTTAGCCTTAAGTGTGCGAATCCGAGGAGCAGCGACAGACTCGAGACCACGCTCCTTCCTCGGGAAGGAGGCGGCACCTCGCGTTTGAGGCCCGCCTGCGTTTGAGGCCCGCCTGCGCTTGCGGCCCGCCTGCGCTTGAGGCCTGTCTGCGTTTGAGATCTCATTGGGCGTGATTGAGGAATTTGGGGAGGTTTTTGGGCGGTATTGAGGACGAGGGGGTCCGTTAGTCAGCATAGAATCCTGGAGCGGGAATCCCTCACCGTCTAAATGGCGTCGGGGGCGGGACCTCCGGGATCTGGCTTCCGCGGGCCGCCGCCGGCCCTGAAACGTGAGGGATAGCTGAGATGAGGCAGCTACTGGGATGGCCCCCATGCGCATTTACATGCAGTCCGACTGCCGAGCTTTCGAGGCAGCAGGATTTACCGTCCACATTCCTCACTACTAACCAAGCTTTTAGAACAGATCTCACAAGAACCTAGAGGTCGGTATTTTTTCGATTTAAATTTGCCTGTTACTGACGTTAACGTCTTTCGCCTAGTGAGCAGTAGCCAACATGTCAGGGTGGGAGTCATATTACAAAACCGAGGGCGATGAAGAAGCAGAGGAAGAACAAGAAGAGAACCTTGAAGCAAGTGGTAAGTGACTTCAGCATGTAGTGCCATTCGGTGTGTGGAAGAAAGACCTTCCCTGCCTATCTCTGCTGGATGGACTTTGCTGTTTGATGGCCTGCCCTTCTCCTCCCAGATAATTCTGAAATTCTTTTCTTCCTTTGAACTTCGCAGAGCTACCCTAGGCTCTTATATGCAGATCTTACTCTAGTGTGCCCTAAGTTTTTTTTGGACACTGGTAGTTTGACATCTTTTGGTCCCTGATAAATGGCCATGACCATAGGTATTTTTTGTCATCTTAAGTGGTTCAGGTGAGACCCTTCTCATCCAGGAAAGTAGTGTTACCATTCCAGGACCTCAGTGTAAAAATGCCCCCACCCTGCAATAACTACACCAACCAAAGAATAAACGCAAGCAACACAGTTACAGGAAAGTGATTGATTCCCTCACTATAGCCTCCACGTTTGGGAGTGTATGTGCAGGCAACACAGTAACACATAAAACAAAGGAAGAGAAATAGGGGTACATGTAATCTTCATACTGGTTAATTTAACTCCTGAGCAGAAAAATTTTGAATATTTTTATTAAAAATGAGAAACGGCCAGGCGCGGTGTCTCAAGCCTGTAATCCCAGCACTTTGGGAGGCCGAGGCGGGCGGATCACGATGTCAGGAGATCAAGACCATCCTGGTTAACACGGTGAAACCCCGTCTGTACTAAAAAAAAAATACAAAAAATTAGCCGGGCGTGGTGGCGGTCGCCTGTAGTCCCAGCTGCTCGGGAGGCTGAGGCAGGAGAATGGTGCGAACCTGGGAGGTGGAGCTTGCAGTGAGCCGAGATGGCGCCACTGCATTCCAGCCTGGGTGACAGAATGAGACTCTCTCAGGAAAAAAAAAAAAGTGAGAAACATAGGAAATACAAAAAAGAAAAAAATTTGCTATAATCTACCACTCTAACACAACCACTACCAGCATTTTGACATTTTTGTATTTTTCTTTCAAGTATCTTTCAATATTTATTTCCTAATGAAATATATATATTTTTTAATTTTTTAATAGAGACAGGCTGGAGTGCAGTGGTGAGATCATCGTAGCTCACTGTAACCTCAAACTCCCGGGCTCAAGTGATCCTCCTGCTTCAGCTACCTCAGTAGCTGGGACTACAAGTGCCGCCAACTCCCAATAATTTCTTAATTTTTTGTAGAGACAGGATCTTGCTATGTTGATCAGGCTGGTCTCAAACTCTTGGCCTCAAGCGATACCCCCAAGCCTTGGCCTCCCAAAGTTCTAGGTTTATAGTCATGAGCCTCCATGCCCAGACTGTATCTGATTTCTTTTTCTTTTTTTTTGGAGACAGTCTTGCTCTGTCGCCCAGGCTGGAGTGCAGTGGCGCGATCTTGGCTCACTGCAAGCTCCGCCTCCCGGGTTCATGCCATTCTCCTGCCTCAGCCTCCCGAGTAGCTGGGACCATAGGCGCCCACCACCACGCCCGGCCAGTTTTTTGTATTTTTAGTAGAGACGGGGTTTCACTGTGTTAGCCAGGATGGTCTTGATCTCCTGACCTTGTGATCCGCCCTACTCAGCATCCCAAAGTGCTGGGATTACAAGTGTGAGCCACTGCGCCTGGCCTATCTGATTTCTTGTATTGTAACGATAGTGCATATACATTTATTTATTTATTGAGACAGAGTCTTGCTCTGTCGCCCAGGCTGGAGTGCACTGACTCAATCTCGGTTCACTGCAACCTCCGCCACCCCAGTTCAGGCTATTCTCCCATCTCAGCCTCCCAAGCAGCTGGGATGACAGGCGTGTGCGCCACCACACTCGGCTAATTTTTGTATTTTTAGTAGAGGCAGTGTTTCACCATGTTGGCCAGGCTGGTCTTGAACTCCTGGCCTTAGGTGATTCACCCACCTCGGCCTCCCAAAGTGCTGGAATTACAGGTGTGAGCCACTGTGCGTGGCCTATAGCTCATTTTAAATATACCATAATTTGGCCGGGTGTGGTGGCTCACACTTGTAATCTCAATAAATATACTGTAATTTGTCTGGGTGTGGTGGCTCACGCCTGTAATCCCAACACTTTGGGAGGCTGAGGCGGGCAGATCACTTGAGGTCAGGAGTTCGAGACCACCCTGGCCAACATGGCAAAACCCCATCTCTACTAAAAAATACAAAAGTTAGCTGAGTCTGTGGTGGCATGCACTTGTAGTCTCAGCTGCTTGGGAGGCTGAGGCACGAGAATTGCTTGAACCGGGGAGGCAGAGGCTACAGTGAGCTGAGATTGCAACACTGCACTCCAGTCTGGGCAACAGAGTGAAACTCTATCTCAAAAAAAATAAAATAGGGGCCGGGCGCGGTGGCTCACCTCTATAATCCCAGTACTTTGGGAGGCCGAGGCAGGTGGATCACAAGGTCGGGAGATAGAGACCATCCTGACTAACATGGTGAAACCCCGTCTCTACTAAAAAAATACAAAAAATTAGCCAGGCGTGGTGGCAGGCGCCTGTAGTCCCAGCTACTCTGGAGGCTGAGGCAGGAGAATGGCGTGAACCCGGGAGGCAGAGCTTGCAGTGAGCTGAGATTGCATCACTGCACTCCAGCCTGGGCGACAGAGTGAGACTCTGTCTCAAAAAAATAATAATAAAATAAAAAATAAGGCCGGGCGCGGTGGCTCACACCTGTAATCCCAGCACTTTGAGAGGCCGAGGCGGGTGGCTCACGAGGTCAGGACATCGAGACCATCCTGGCAAACACGGTGAAACCCTGTGTCTACTAAAAATACAAAAAAATAGCCAGGCGTGGTGGCAGGCGCTTGTAGTCCCAGCTACTCGGGAGGCTGAGGCAGGAGAATGGCGTGAACCCGGGAGGCGGAGCTTGTAGTGAGCCGAGATTGCGCCACTGCTCTCCAGCCTGGGCGACAGAGCGAGACTCCGTCTCAAAAATAAAATAAAATAAAATAAAATAGGTCAGGCACGGTGGCTCATGCCTGTAATCCCAGCATTTTTGGAGGCCAAGGTGGGCAGATCACCTGAGGTCAGGAGTTCAAGACCAGCCTGGCCAACATGGTGAGATCCTGTCTCTACTAAAAATACAAAATAAGCCAGGCGTGGTAGCGCATGCCTGTAATCCTGCTACTCAGGAGGCTGAGGCGGGAGAATCGCTTGAACACGGGAGGTGGAGGTTGCGGTGAGCCAAGATCGCGTCATCGCATGTTTAAGGTTCTTGACACACATTGCCATTTTGTTCTCCAGGAGACAGCTAATTAAACTTATTAAGAAGCAGCAGGCCATGCACAGTGGCTCACGGCTGTAATCTCAGCACTTTGGGAGTAGGAGGCTGAGGCAGGCTATCACCTGAGGTCGGGAGTTTGAGACCAGCCTGACCAACATGATGAAACCCCATGTCTACTAAATACAGAAAATTTGCTGGGCATAGTGGCACATGCCCGTAATCCCAGCTACTTGGAGATGACCAGACATTATATACCTTTTTAGGAAAAAATATGTTACTTATGATAAAGTCATGCTGAAGAAAGAAAACCTGAATCAGATTAAGCCTCTCTAGGTCCTTAGTAGGAAGGACAGAGGACTCTGTTAATCTACACCAAAAGAGGTCAATCGGCAGGCCAGGCAAGGTGGCTCATGCCTGTAATCCCAATACTTTGGGAGGCCACGGCAGAGGATCGCTCAAGCCCAGAAGTTCAAGGCTGCAGTGAGCTATGATTGCGCCACTGCATTCCAGCCTGTGTGAGAGAACAAGACTGTTTCTAAAATAATTAATTCAATAATTTTATTTTTTTATTTGAGATGGAATCTCTGTCGCCAGGCTGGAGTGCAGTGACTAATCTCGGCTCGCTGCAATCTCTGCCTCCCAAGTTCAAGTGATTCTCCTGCCTCAGCCTCCCTAGTAGCTGGAATTATAGGCATGCGCCACCACACACAGCTAATTTTTTGTATTTTTAGTAGAGATGGCGTTTCACCATGTTGTCCAGGATGGTCTCAATCTCTTGACCTTGTGATCCACATGTCTCGGCCTCTGAAGGTGCTGGGATTACAGGCATGAGCCACCGTGCTTGGCCATTTATTTATTTTTATTTTTTTTGAGACGGGTTCTCGCTCTGTCACGCAGGCTGGAGTGCAGTGGCGCGATCTTGGCTCACTGCAGCCTCTGCGTCCCAGATTCAAGCGATTCTCCCACCTCAGCCTCCATAGTAGCTGGGATTACAGGCATGCGCCACTACACGCAGCTAATTTTTGTATTTTTAGTAGAGATGGGGTTTCACCATGTTGTCCAGGATGGTCTCAATCTCTTGTCCTCGTGATCCACATGCCTCGGCCTCCCAAAGTGCTGGGATTACAGGCGTGAGCCACTGTGCCCAGCCAAAATAATTTTTTATTTTTTATTTATTTTTTTGAGACAGAGTCTTGCTCTGTGGCCCAGGCTGGAGAGTAGTGGTGTGATCTCTGCTCCCTGCAACCTCTGCCTCCCAGGTTCAAGTGATTCTCCTGCCTCAGCCTCCTGATTAGCTGGGATTACAGGTGGGCACCACCACACCTGGCTAATGTTTGTTTGTTTTTTTTTTTGTTTTTTTTTTTTGAGACCGAGTCTCACTCTGTCACCTAGGCTGGAGTGCAGTGGCGTGATCTCGGCTCACTGGAAGCTCCCCCTCCCGGGTTCATGCCATTCCCCTGCCTCAGCCTCCCGAGTAGCTGGGACTGCAGGTGTCCACCACCACGCCCAGCTAATTTTTTTTTGTATTTTTAGCAGAGACAGGGTTTCACCGTATTAGCTAGGATGGTCTCGACCTCCTGACCTCGTGATCCGCGCGCCTCGGCCTCCCAAAGTGCTGGGATTACAGGTGTGAGCCACTGCGCCCAGCCTAATGTTTGTATTTTCAGTAGACACAGGGTTTAACCATGTTGGCTAGGCTGGTCTCGAACTCCTGATCTCAAGTGATCCTCCCGCCTTGGTCTCCCAAAGTGTTGGGATTACAGGCATGAGCCACTGTGCCCCGCCTAATTAATTTTTTTAAAAAGGCAATCAGCAAAATTCAGAATGTGGAAAAGTGTATAACACAAAGCATCTTGGCTCTTCAGAAGATAAATTACAAGGGAAAAAAGAGAGGGTATCTGTAGATGAAGAGGCTTTAGAAAATTAAGTCAAAGCTAATGTTTAGAAATGTAGGTTTGGGTGATAAAATTATAAAGAAACGTAAGGGGTGGGTGTGTGGTAGATCATGCCTATAATCCCAGCTCTTAGGCCAGGGCGGGGTGGGGTGCGGTGGCTCACGTCTATAATCCTAGCACTTTGGGAGTCTGAGGTGGGTGGATCACCTGAGGCCGGGAGTTCAAGACCAACCTGGGCCAACATGGTAAAACTGCGTCTCTACTAAAAATACAAAATTAGCTGGGAGTGGTGGCGGGCGTCTATAATCCCAGCTAGTTGGGAGGCTGAGGCAGGAGAATCGCTTGAACCTGGGAGACGGAGGTCGTAGTAAGCCGAGATTGTGCCACTGTACTCCACCCTGGCAACAGAGCGAGACTCCGTCTCAAAAAAAAAAAAAAAAAAAAATAGAGGCCTGGTGGGGAGGATTGCCTGAGCTCAGAAGTTTTAGATCAGCCTGGGCAGTGTAGCACAATACCATCTCTACAGTAAACTTAAAAAATTAGCTGGTCATGGTGGCACACACCTGTAGTCCCAGTTGCTCAGGAGGCTGAGTCAGGATGATGGCTTGAGCCCAGGAGTTCGAGGTTGCAGTGAGCTATCATCGCGTCACTGCACTCCAGCCTGGGTGATGGGAGTGTGACCCTATCTCAGAAAAAAAAGTCAGGATATTGACTTTTTTGGGGAGGTGGGTGTTGTAATTGGGAGGGAATGTAAGAGGGATTTCTGGGGTGTCTGGCAAGACTCAATTTCCTGACATAGGTGGAGATTTTATGGTTGTTCACCTTATAATAATTTATTAGGTTATACTTTCCTTTATGGCCTTTATTTATCTTATATGGTAAACAAATACGAAAACAAGGACAAACATTTTCTTCCATTTTTTTCCCCATAGGAGACTATAAATATTCAGGAAGAGATAGTTTGATTTTTTTGGTTGATGCCTCCAAGGCTATGTTTGAATCTCAGAGTGAAGATGAGTTGACACCTTTTGACATGAGCATCCAGGTAAGACTACCTTTTAATTTAAGACAAATTTAAAAACAGTATTGGCTGGGCATGGTGGCGGCTCATGCCTGTAATCTCAGGACATTGGGAGGCCGAGACGGGCAGATCACTTGAGCCTAGGAGTTTGAGACCAACCTGGTAACATGGAGAAACCCCGTCTCTACAAAAAATACACAAATCATCCAGGTGTGGTGGTGCAAACCTGTAGTCCTAGCTACTCAGGAGGCCGAGGCGAGAGGCTTGCTTGAGCCCAGGAGGTCAAACAGAAAAAAGAAGTAGGCTCCTCCTCTTGCAGAGATGGAAGTATAAAGGAAGAAGGGAAGTTCCCACAGTTATAGTGTGGAAAAGAGTGAGTGATACTTGGGAGTTGACTACTGCCTGTGGTTGGGGAAGATGGCTACAATAAAAAGGCAACTTCAATTTTAAAACAGGCACAGGACTTGAAAAGACATTTCTCCAGCTGGGCGTGGTGGCTCATGTCTATAATCCCAGCACTTTGGGAGGCTGAGGCAGGCGGATCATGAGGTCAGGAGACCAGCTTGGCCAACATGGTGAAACCCTGTCTCTACTAACAATGCAAAAATAATTAGCCAGGCATGGTGGTGCGCTTCTGTAGTCCCAGGTACTCGGGAGGCTGAGTCAGGAGAATCTCTTAAACCCAGGAGGCGGAGGTTACAGTGAGCCGAGATTGTGCCACTGCACTCCAGCTTGGGCAACAGAGTGAGACTCTGTCTCAAAAAAAAAAAAAAAAAAAAAAAACAATTCTCCAAAGATATGCAGATGTCCAACAAGCACAGGAAAAGATACTCAGCATGTTTAGTCATTAGAGAAAGGCAAATGAAAACCATAATGAGCTACCACTCACACCCACTATATAAACAAACTAAAATTTAAAAAACACCAGCAGAAAATAAGTGTTGGCAAGGCTGTGGAGAAATTGGCGTGATTGACTGTACCTGACCTGTTCTTGTTTCTTTAAATTGAGGTTGTGTTTCATGTAACATAAAATTAACTATTTGAAAGTATACAATTCAGTGACACTTAACACATTCACAATGTTATGCAGCCACCACCTCTATCTTATTCCAAAACATTTTGAATGGCTAAACAGTGGCATATAGATATACATTCCATGAAAAGGAATGAATAATTGATACATACTACAAAGTAGATGAATCTTGAAAGTATTATGCTAAGTGAAAGAAGCCAGATACAAAAAGTCAAATATTGTATGATTTCATTTACATGAAATATCCAGAATAGGTAAGTTCTTAACGCAGAGGGGTGGTTGGTTACCTGAGGCACAGGGAAGAGAGGAACAGGGAGCAACTGCTCAATGGGTATGGGGTTTGCTTTTGGGGTGATGAAAATTTTTTGGAACTAGAGTTGGTAGTTGCACAACATTGTGAATGTTTGTGTGTGTATTTATTTATTTATTTATTTTTATTATTATTTTTGAGACGGAGTCTCGCTCTGTCACCCGGGCTGTAGTGCAGTGGCGTGATCTTGGCTCACTGCAAGCTCCGCCTCCCGGGTTCATGCCATTCTCCTACCTTAGCCTCCAGAGTAGCTGGGACTACAGGCACCTGCCACCATGCCTGGCTAATTTTTTGTGTTTTTAGTAGAGACGGGGTTTCACCGTGTTAGCCAGGATGGTCTCAATCTCCTGAAGTGATCCGCCTGCCTCGGCCTCCCAAAGTGCTGGGATTACAGGTGTGAGCCACTGCGCCCAGCCTTGTGTGTGCATTTATGCTTTTTTTTTTTTTTTTTTTGAGTTGGAGTCTCGCTCTGTCACCAGGCTGGAGTGCAGTGGCACAATCTTGGCTCACTACAACCTCTGACTCCCTGGTTCAAGCGATTCTCCTGCCTCAGCCTCCCGAGTAGGTGAGATTACAGGCACGTGTCACCATGCCCAGCTAATTTTTGTATTTTTAGTAGAGATGGGGTTTCACCATATTGGCCAGGATGGTCTTGGACCCCTGACCTCGTGATCTGCTCGCCTCGGCCTTCCAAAGTGCTGGGATTGCAGGCGTGAGCCATGGCACCCGGCCTTGCTTTTTTTTTTTGAGATGGTGTCTCACTATTGCTCAGGCTGGTTTGGAACTCCTGGGCTCAAGCAATCCACCCACCTCAGCCTCCTGTGTGGCTGGGGTTAAGGCATGTGCCACTATGCCTGGCACATTGTGAATGTATTAAATACCTCTTAATTGTTCACTTAGAAAATCTAAATTTCAGCTTAATTAAAAAGATTAGTGTTTCTTTTTTTTTTTTTTTAATTTATTTTTTTTATTGATCATTCTTGGGTGTTTCTCACAGAGGGGGATTTGGCAGGGTCATAGGACAATAGTGGAGGGAAGGTCAGCAGATAAACAAGTGAACAAAGGTCTCTGGTTTTCCTAGGCAGAGGACCCTGAGGCCTTCCGCAGTGTTTGTGTCCCTGGGTACTTGAGATTAGGGAGTGGTGATGACTCTTAACGAGCATGCTGCCTTCAATCCATTTAACCCTGAGTGGACACAGCACATGTTTCAGAGAGCACAGGGTTGTGGGGTAAGGTCACAGATCAACAGGATCCCAAGGCAGAAGAATTTTTCTTAGTACAGAACAAAATGAAAAGTCTCCCATGTCTACTTTTTTCCACACAGACACGGCAACCATCCGATTTCTCAATCTTTTCCCCACCTTTCCCCGCTTTCTATTCCACAAAACCACCATTGTCATCATGGCCCGTTCTCAATGAGCTGTTGGGCACACCTCCCAGACGGGGTGGTGGCTGGGCAGAGGGGCTCCTCACTTCCCAGTAGGGGCGGCCGGGCAGAGGCGCCCCTCACCTCCCGGACAGGGCTGCTGGCCGGGTGGGGGGATGACCCCCCCACCTCCCTCCTGGACGGGGCGGCTGGCAGGGCGGGGGGCTGACCCCCCCACCTCCCTCCCGGACGGGGCGGCTGGCCAGGCAGAGGGGCTCCTCACTTCCCAGTAGGGGCGGCTGGGCAGAGGCGCCCCTCACCTCCCGGATGGGGCGGCTGGCCTGGCTGGGGCTGACCCCCCACCTCCCTCCCGGACGGGTCGGCTGCTGGGCGGAGAGGCTCCTCACTTCCCAGATGGGGTGGCTGCCGGGCGGAGGGGCTCCTCACTTCTCAGACGGGGCGGCTCCCGGACAGAGGGGCTCCTCACTTCTCCGACGGGGCGGTTGCCGGGTGGAGGGTCTCCTCCCTTCTCAGATGGGGCGGCTGGGCAGAGACGCTCCTCACCTCCCAGACGGGGTCACGGCTGGGCAGAGGCGCTCCTCACATCCCAGACGGGGCGGCGGGGCAAAGGCGCTCCCCACATCTCAGACGATGGGCGGCCGGGCAGAGACGCTCCTCACTTCCTAGATGGGATGGCGGCTGGGCAGAGACGCTCCTCACTTTCCAGACTGGGCAGCCAGGCAGAGGGGCTCCTCACATCCCAGACGATGGGCGGCCAGGCAGAGACACTCCTCACTTCCCAGACGGGGTGGCGGCCGGGCAGAGGCTGCACTCTGGGCACTTTGGGAGGCCAAGGCAGGCGGCTGGGAGGTGGAGGTTGTAGCAAGCCGAGATCACACCACTGTACTCCAGCCTGGGCACCATTGAGCACTGAGTGAACCAGACACCGTCTGCAATCCCGGCACCTCCGGAGGCCGAGGCTGGCGGATCACTCGCGGTTAGGAGCTGGAGACCAGCCTGGCCAACACAGCGAAACCCCGTCTCCACCAAAAAAATACGAAAACCAGTCAGGCGTGGCGGCACGCGCCTGCAATCGCAGGTGCTCGGCAGGCTGAGGCAGGAGAATCAGGCAGGGAGGTTGCAGTGAGCCGAGATGGCAGCAGTACAGTCCAGCTTCGGCTCGGCATCAGAGGGAGACCGTGGAAAGAGAGGGAGAGGGAGACCGTGGGGAGAGGGAGACCGTGGGGAGAGGGATAGGGAGAGGGAGAGGGAGAGGGATTACTGTTTCTTTTGTGTACTTCGTAGAGAAGAATTTTCACAGATTTATTATATATCTCATGTCTCATAATTTTAGAATTTGGAACTGAACAGAAACTTTTCATGTTCTAATTTGTGTACAAATAGTTCTTGGTAGGCAGGGTGTGGTGGCTCACGCCTGTAATCCCAGCACTTTGGGAGGCTGAGGTGAGTGAATCACTTGAGGTCAGGAGTTCGAGACCAGCCTGGCCAACATGGTGAAATTCTGTCTCTACTCAAAATACAAAAATTAGCCGGGCATGGTAGTGCAGGCCTGTAGTTGCAGCTATTCAGGAGGCTGAGGCAGGAGAATTGCTTGAACTGGGGAGGTGGACGTTGCAGTGAGCCAGGATCACGCCACTGCACTCCATCCTGGGTGACAGAGAGAGACTCCATCTCAAGAAAACAAGAAATAGTTCTTGTAGTTGGCACACCAGAATATCTTGCACCAAAAAAAAAGAATAAGCTGGGTGTGGTGGTGTGCACTTGTAGTCCCAGCTACTCAGGAGGCCGGGGTGAGAGGATTGCTTGAGCCCAGGAGTTTGAGGCTGCACTGAGCTATGATTGTGCCAGTGAACTCTAGCCTGGGCAACAGAGTAAGACCCTGTCTCTTGGAAAAAAAAAAAAAAAGAAAAGGCTGGGCGCGGTGGCTCATGCCTGTAATCCCAGCACTTTGGGAGGCCGAGGTGGGCGGATCACGAGGTCAAGAGATCAAAACCATCCTGGCCAAAATGGTGAAACCTCGTCTCTACTAAAAATACAAAAATTAGCTGGGTGTGGTGGCGTGCGCCTGTAGTCTCAGCTACTCCAGAGGCTGAGGCAGGAGAATCGCTTGCACCTGGGAGGCAGAGGTTGCAGTGAGCCGAGATGGCACTATTGCAGTCCAGCCTGGGCAATAGAGCCAGACTCTGTCTCAAAAAAAAAAAGTGTATGTAAAATAAAATAATAGAACTATGAATAAAAACAATCGTTAATTTAAAGTGGTTCTCAAACAGAATTACTTGCAGGACATTAAAACACAGACTACAGAACCTTGCCCCACAATCAAAATTTCTGATTCTCTATGTCTAGAATGGGGACCAAGAATTTGCATTTCTAGTAAATTGTCAGGTGATGCTGATGTTACTGATTTGGAGACCATTACTTTGAAGAGCAGTGCTTTAACCTTTTTTAGACCGTGGACCTATTTTTTTTTTTTTTTGAGACGGAGTCTCGCTTTGCTGCCCTGGCTCTTGGCTCACTGCAAGCTCTGCCTCCTGGGTTCACACCATTCTCCTGCCTCAGCCTCCTGAGTAGCTGGGACTACAGGCACCCACCACCACACCCGGCTAATTTTTTGTTCTTGTTTTTTAGTAGAGATGGGGTTTCACCATGTTAGCCAGGATGGTCTCCATCTCCTGACCTCGTGATCTGCCCACTTCGGCCTCCCAAAGTGCTGGGATTACAGGCATGAGCCACCGCACCTGGCCAACCGTGGACCTCTTTGAGGATATGATGACAGCTACATACCTTCCCCTCAAAAAAGATAGTACTCACAATTCTACCTGTAATTTCAGAGAGTTAATGGAACCCTTGATGCCTAAAGACCTCAGAAGAAAATGTAGTGTTAGGTAGGAAGGAAATGAGACATTCATAGATGAGCACAATTTGATAACCGATAATAAGTATTCAGTAGTTGATAAGCAATAGAAAACATTTTCTAAAATTCTGTTTTAGTTTTTGTTTTTAATTTTTAGAACCTAAAAGGAGCCCTTACCAGATTCTTTTAAAAGTTTGTAGACTCCTCAGAGTAGATTAAAATATTTATGGAAATGACTACTTGCCATGTGGATTGTTGTCAGTGACTAGCTATAGTACATGTTCTGCATTTAAGGAGAGAATAGCTGTGGACGAAGGCCAGCTAGAGCTCAGGCAGGACATGGAGGGGATCACCATGGTTGGTTTATTCCTCAGCTTTGCAGGTTCCAAAACTTAATTTTTTTTTTTTTTTTTGAGACAGGGTCTCGCTCTGTCATCTAGGCTGGAGTGCAGTGGCATGATCTCTGCCCACTGCAGCCTTGACCTCCTGTGCTCAGGTGATCCTCCTGCCTCAGCACCCCTGAGTAGCTGAGTAGTGGGGACTACAAGCATGTGCATGCCCAGCTAATTTTTTTGTTTTTTGTAGAGACATTGTTTTGCCATGTTGCCCAGGCTAGTTTCAAACTTCTGTAGCAATCCTCCTGTGTTGGCCTCCCAAAGTGCTGGGATTATAGGCATGAGCCACTGTACCTGGCCCGAAGACTTAATTTTGTTAGTGCTCCAGAATTAGGTAGGCCCCTAGAACTGATGAACTCTCTTTTTTTTTTTTTTTTGAGATGGAGTCTCGCTCTGTTGCCCAGGCTGGAGTGCAGTGGCGCAATCTCAGCCCACTGCAACCTCCACCTCTTGGGTTCAAGCGATTCTCCTGCCTCAACCTCCTGAGTAGCTAGGATTACAGGCACGTGCTACCACATCCAACTAATTTTTGTATTTTTAGTAGAGTTGGGGTTTCACCATGTTGGTCAGAATGGTCTCGAACTCCTGACCTCGTCATCTGCTCGCCTTGGCCTCCCAAAGTGCTGGGATTATAGGCATGAGCCACCGCGCCTGGGTGAACTGATGAGCTCTTACAAGACCTGATGTACCAGATGCTGACATTAGTTTATATAGAGGGGTAGACCTTTCCTGTTACTGGAATACTGATGTCTTTAACTGGGTAGTTAAACAGTTTTATTTCAAGGATGCGCTTACTGGTAGTTATTGACTTATTTTCAGGTCACATGTACTTAAGCATTGTAATTATTTTATATAGTCATCCCTTGTTATTGAGGGAATTGGTTGCAGGACTCCCCGTGGATTCCAAAATCCGAGGATGCCCAAGTCCCTTAAATAAAATGGCATAGTATTTGCATATAACCTACACACATCCTCCCCTATACTTTAAGTCATCTATAGGTTACTCATAGTACCTAATACAATGCCTATGCATCACTTCATTCACATGGCTTCAATGTAGTACTTGGCACATGGCAAATTCAGGTTTTGCTTTTTGAAACGGGAATTTCTTTGTTTTTCCTGAATATTTGAGATTTGAGGTTGGTTGAATACATAGATGCAGAACCAGCAGATATGGAGGGCCAACTGTGTATATAAACTCTGTTTCCTGATACCAAGGTACTTGAAAGATCACATGACCTGTCCAAATTCAGCCAGTTAAGTAAGTGACATCAGTAGGACTCAACTCCAGGTTTTCTGATTCCAATGCTTTGCTTCGCCCCAACTCCCATAGCACAATTTCCTCCCTCTGATACTTCTTTTCCTTTTTTCTTGAGATAAGGTCTCACTCTGTTGCCCAGGCTGGACTGTAGTGGTGCAGTCTCTGCTCACTGCAGCCTTCACCTCCTGGGGTCAAGCGATCTTTCACCTCTGCTTCCCAAGTAACTGGGACCCTGTGCTGCCATGCCCAGCTAATTTTTTTGTTTTTTTTTGTTTGGTAGAGATGGAGTCTCACTATGTTGCCCAGGCTGGTCTCGATCTCCTAGGGTCAAGTGATTCTCCCACCTCAGCCTCCCAAAGTGCTGGGATTGCTACAGATGTGAGCCACTGTGCCTGGCCTGAATATACGTATTGTTAATTCTCTGATTTCAATGGCAGGGACTGCTTATACTTCTAATGTATACTTACTGCATTCTGGTTTTTGTTAAAATTTGATATTTATGCCCATTACTTTCACTGATTCATTACCCCTGAAGGTAGGGATCTTGCCTTATTTTAGTGCCATATACAAATTCAGTGCACATATTTTGAGCAACTAATAGGTACTGAGCACTTATGGAGCTTCCATTTAGTGGTAAGTAAATATTAATTGAATTTTTTTTTTCAGTGTATCCAAAGTGTGTACATCAGTAAGATCATAAGCAGTGATCGAGATCTCTTGGCTGTGGTGTTCTATGGTACCGAGAAAGACAAAAATTCAGTGAATTTTAAAAATATTTACGTCTTACAGGAGCTGGATAATCCAGGTCAGTAATATTTTAAGATCAGCTTTTCCCTTATATATGAGAATATCAGTACTCTGATCAAAGAGGACTGTGGAGAAGGAAGCAAGTTACATCTTGTCTAGGAGTATGCTTTCCTCCATAAGGGGACCTTGCTCGATGTGGACTTTGTTAAATGGGTTAAACAGCTCTGGGGTGAAAAAGGGTCCTTCTGTTAGTCTTGTGGTAAAGGCAGCCACTGACATTCTTCTGATTTTTCTTTCCATTTGACTCCCTGCCTCTGATCAGGTGCAAAACGAATTCTAGAGCTTGACCAGTTTAAGGGGCAGCAGGGACAAAAACGTTTCCAAGACATGATGGGCCACGGATCTGACTACTCACTCAGTGAAGTGCTGTGGGTCTGTGCCAACCTCTTTAGTGATGTCCAATTCAAGATGAGTCATAAGAGGATCATGCTGTTCACCAATGAAGACAACCCCCATGGCAATGACAGTGCCAAAGCCAGCCGGGCCAGGACCAAAGCCGGTGATCTCCGAGATACAGGTGGGCATATTTCCCCGTTCTCTTAAATTGGCACTTAATTATTGTTTTTTTATTTTTTATTTTTTTAGGAGTTCAGGAGTCTTGGCTCAGCCTCAGCCTCCCAAGTAGCTGGGACTATAAGCATGTGCTGTTGTGCCCAGTGCAGTTTTATTGCTTTCTGTGTACCTGACTTCAGGCATGTGCTTTTTACCATTTAGAATAAAATAAAAAAATAAAGTGAAGCCAGAAGATGCCTGTGTAACATTAACACTGCAGATGGCCATGCCATTAGCTGTCTAAAGGACTCTGTCAGAACAAGATTGTCTTGATTTTTTTTTTTTTTTTTTTTTTTGAGACGGAGTCTCACTCTGTCCCCCAGGCTAGAGTGCAGTGGCACAATCTTGGCTCACTGCAACCTCCGCCTTCCAGATTCAAGCGATTCACCTGCCTCAGCCTCCCAAATAGCTGGAATTACAGGCATGAACCACTGTGCCTAGCTAATTTTTGTATTTTTAGTAGAGATGGGGGTTTCACCACGTTGACCAGGCTGGTCTCGAACTCTGGACCTCAGATGATCCACCACCTCGCCCTCCCAAAGTGCTGGGGATGACAGATGTGAGCCACTGTGCCTGGCCAGTTGTCTTGACTTTAATATTACCACGAATGGTGATTATTTGAAAAGTTGTCTGAAGTCATTATAGCAGTTGGTTTCCTTAGTCACTTTTTCTAAGTCCTGAAAATGTTAATAGTCTAGTTTTCAGGGAGCTTTTAAAAGCATGTTTCAGTTTTAACTGAAAGAACTTCTCACTTGCTGAAAATTGTTTTTTCCTCCCTCACTTTTGTTTACCCTTGCAACAGGCATCTTCCTTGACTTGATGCACCTGAAGAAACCTGGGGGCTTTGACATATCCTTGTTCTACAGAGATATCATCAGCATAGCAGAGGATGAGGACCTCAGGGTTCACTTTGAGGAATCCAGCAAGCTAGAAGACCTGTTGCGGAAGGTTCGCGCCAAGGAGACCAGGAAGCGAGCACTCAGCAGGTGTGCACTCAGCCCGGGTCAGCTGCCTACACTGCCCTTAAATCAGAAGCAGGCTGGGCGCGGTGGCTCACACCTGTAATCCCAACAGTTTGGGAGGCCAAGGCAGGCGGATTGCTTGAGCCTAGGAGTTGAGACCAGCTTGGGCAACATGGCAAGACCCTCTCTCTACCTAAAAAAAAAAAAAAAAAAATCAGAAGCAATGCACTGCTACACATTGCTTAACAAACCAGAAGCAATACATTGCTCTGACCTGACTGGCTACTTAACTCGACTATGCCACTGCCTCACTGTCTTCCTCTAAAATAGTTTATTTCAGGATAGCAGAAGCTATTTGCTGCTTTATCTCTGGCAAGAGCTGGCATGATATTTCTCTAAAGTAACACAGCCCTCCATTTCGTGGGGGTAGACAGTTATGGTCTAAGAGTATCCTTAGCTGTACTCACTAGTACAGTCATGTGTTAATTAATGATAGGGATACCTTCTTAGAATTGCGTCATTAGGCGATTTTGTCATTGTGCAAACATAGAGGGTACTTCACACACCCAGAGAGTACAGCTTGACTACACACCTGGGCTGTGTGGTTAGCCTGTTGCTCTTAGGCTACAAACCTGTATAGCATATTACCATACTGTTTACTGTAGGCAATGGTAAGTATTTGTGTATCTAAATGTATCTAAAGGTATAGAAAAGGTACAATAAAAATATGATATAGGCCAGACACGGTGGCTCACGCCTTGTAATCCCACCACTTTGGGATGCCGAGGCGGGTGGATCACAAGTTCAAGAGATTGAGACCATCCTGGCCTACATGGTGAAACCTTGTTCTCTACTAAAGATACAAAAATTAGCTGGACGTGATGGCGCGCGCCTGTAGTCCCAGCTACTCAGGAGGCTGAGAATCGCTTGAACCCAGGAGTCAGAGGTGGCAGTGAGCCAAGATCATGCCACTGCACTCCAGCCTGGTGACAAAGTGAGACTCCGCCTCAAAAAAAAAAAAAAAAAAAAAAGAAATATGGTATAAAGATAAATGGTATACCTGCATAGGGCACTTACCACGAATGGAACTTACAAGACTAGAAGTGGCTCTGAGTGAGTAGTGAGTGAAAGTGAAGGCCTAGGACATGACTGCATACTTTTATATAACTGGCAGCACAGTAGGTTTGTTTACACAGCATCACTACAGATGCATGAGTGATGCCTTGTGCGACAAACTTACGACAGCTATGATGTCAGTAGGTGACAGGAAATTTTGAGCTTCATTATCATCTTAACAGACCATCATTGTATGTGCGCCCTATTGTTGACCAAAATGTTAGTGGTGCATGAGTGTGCATTATTTGCTTTATTCTTCTCTGTAAATTGGTGACAACAATACCTGCCTCATTAGGTTACTGTGAAGAGTTAGTGAAGAGCACAAAACAGAGCCTGTTAGGGAGCAAAAACTCATAAATGTTAGTTATGATCATTGTTAAAATTGTGTCATTCTGATTTCTTATAAACCTGAGACCAATGGGAACCAGATTGCTAGATTCTTTTTCTTTTTTTTTTTTTTTTTTTTTTTTTGAGACAAAGTCTCACCCTGTTGCCCAGGCCAGAGTGCAGTATGATCACAGCTCACCTTAGCCTCGACCTCCTGAGCTCCAGTGATCGCCCCATATCAGTGTTCTGAGTAACTGGGACCACAGGCGTGTGCCACCATGCTCTGCTGATTATTTTTTATTTTTATTTTTATTT
Source organism: Homo sapiens (assembly GCF_000001405.40). Lineage (NCBI taxonomy): Eukaryota > Metazoa > Chordata > Mammalia > Primates > Hominidae > Homo > Homo sapiens. The sequence continues at coordinate 41,639,526 of NC_000022.11, forward strand.
TTTGTGAGATGGGGTCTCACTGCTTTGCACAGGCTGGTTGCAAACTCCTGGGCTCAAGAAATCCTCCCATTTAGGCCTCCCAATGTGCTGGGATTACAGGCGTGAGCTACCATGTGTCCATGTGTAGCCTAGATTCTCTCTCTTTTTTTTTTTTTGAGATGGAGTCTTGCTCTTTTGGCCGGGCTGGAGTGCAGTGGTGCGGTCTCAGGTCACTGCAAGCTCCGCCTCCCGGGTTCATGCCATTCTCCTGCCTCAGCCTCCTGAGTAGCTGGGACTACAGGCGCCTGCCACCACACCCGGCTAATTTTGTATTTTTAGTAGAGACGGTTTCACCGTGTTAGCCAGGATGGTCTCGATCTCCTGACCTCGTGATCCGCCCGCCTCGGCCTCCCAAAGTGCTGGGATTACAGGCTTGAGCCTCTGCGTCCGGCCTAGATTCTGTTTTTTTTAGAGAGCCTTGATATTAGAATCCTAAAGGTTACTCATTGTTTCTTCCTAAAGACCTACAGCCTTTTATTTATTAAGAGACGGTGTCTCACTCTTGCCCAGGCTGGAGTACAATGGCACCACAGCCTACAACTCCTGGGCTCAGGCAGTCTTCTGTGGTCTTCCTGTCTCAGCCTCCCAAGTAGCTTTTTTTTGAGACAGAGTCTTGCTCTGTCGCCCAGGCTGGAGTGCAGTGGCGTGATCTCAGCTCACTACAAGCTCCGCCTCCCGGGTTCATGCCATTCTCCTGCCTCAGCCTCCCGAGTAGCTGGGACTACAGGCACCCGCCACCACGCCGAGCTGATTTTTTTGTATTTTTAGTAGAGACGGGGTTTCACCGTGTTAGCTAGGATGGTCTTGATCTCCTGACCTTGTGATCCACCCGCCTCAGCCTCCCAAAGTGCTGGGATTAAGGGCGTGAGCCACCACACCCTGCCCCAAGTAGCTTTTTTTGTAGACTTGGGGCTCTTGGTATGTTAACCAGGCTGGTCTGAGACTCCTGGCCTCAAACGTTCCTCCTCAAGCTTTCATTCTGGAGTGGTTTCCTCAGTATAGGGGTCCATGACCTTTGGTAACTTTTAAGCAGTTTTTAAGAGTTTACTGACAATTCTACCAGAAAACCCAAGAAATTTTTTTGAGGAGACCTTGAATCACTCATTGCCACAGTTGTAGTTTTGTCATTGTTCTCCTTTTCCTCTTGGAAACTATTTTTCTTTCCTCAGACAAGTATCTTGTCACCTCTTCACCTGTCTTGAAATGATGCGATGTTGTTTATACTACAGTTTGGAAGTCTACTACACATTTTGGTGGAGATGGATGGGGAGGATAGAATAGTGGGTAAATGTAGGCCTTGTTGTCAGATTGTTTGGATTCTAGTCCTGGTCCCTTTGCTATGCGACCTGACTTCTCTGAGCCTTAGTAAAATGGGAGCAAAAAATGGTACCTCCTTGGGTAGGTGCAGTGGCTCACGTCTGTAATCCCAGCATGTTAGTAGGCCGAGGCAGGAGGATTGCTTGAGTCCAGAAGCAAGACCAGCCTGGGCAACCCAGGGAGACCCTGTCTCTCTTTATTAAAAAAATTAAAAAACTGTACTTTCACATAGGATTGCCGTGAGCATTAAATGAGATAACCTAGGCATAGTGCTTGGCCCGTGGTAATTATTTATAAATGTTAGCTGTTCTTATTTTGTGGAACAGTCATTGTAGGATGGATACTTGATATAAATAATAATAAATTGGAGATATTGAGAACTAACAATGCCTTAGGGCTAAGGCCTAGAAAAATATTAAACTTACGCTTTTTAAAAAATTTTTAATTTTTGTGGGTACATGGTAGGTGTATATACTTATAGGATCCATGAGATATTTTGGTATAGGCATGCAATGCGTAATAATTACATCAGCATAGATGGGTTATCTATCACCTTAAGCACTAATCCTTTGTATTATAAGCAATCTGATTATACTCCTTTAGTTATTTTAAAATGTACTGTTATTATTGACTATAGTCACCCTGATCTGCTCTAAAGTATTAGATCTTATTCATTCTTTCTATTTTTTGTACTCATTAACCATCCCCACTGCCCCATCACTACCCCCTTACCCTTCACAGCCTCTGGTAACCATCCTTTTCTGTGTCCATGAGTTCAATTGCTTTACTTTTTATCTCCCAGAAATAAGAACATTCAAAGTTTGTCTTTCTGTGCCTGGCTTATTTCACTTAACATAGTGAAACAACATTGCATAGTGAATGCAACAACATTTATGTTGTTACCAATGACAGGATCTCCTTTTTTTTTGAGCCTGAGTCTTGCTCTTGTTGCCCAGGTTAGACTGCAATGGCGCGATCTCGGCTCACTGCAACCTCTGCCTTCTGGATTCAAGCAGTTCTCCTGCAGCCTCCCAAGTAGCTAGGATTACAGGCATGCACCACCACGCCCGACTAATTTTGTATTTTTAGTAGCGACACAGTTTCACCATGTTGACCAGGCTAGTCTCGAACTCTGGACCTCAGGTGATCCACCTGCCTCAGGATCTCATTTTTTATGGCTGAATAGTACTCCATTGTACTACACTTTCTTTATCCATTCTTCTTTTGATGGACACTTAGGTCGCTTCCAAATCTTGGCTGTTGTGAATAGGGCTGCAATAAACATGGGAGTGCAGATATCTCTGATATACAGATTTCCTTTCTTTGGGGTGTATACCTAGCAGTGGGATTGCTGGATCATACAGTAGTTTTCTTTTTAGTATTTTCAGGAACCTCCAACCATTTTAACTGAGGTGAGATGATATCTCAGATTATGTTAGAGTTTTTTCCTGTAGAGTTGTTTGGGTTCCTTATATATTCTGGTTCTTAATCCCTTGTCAGATGGATAGTTTCCAGATATTTTCTCTTCTCTTTGTCGATCATTTCCTTTGTTGTGCAGAAGCTTTTTAACTTGATGTGATCCTATTTGTCCGTTTTTGCTTTGGTTGCCTATGCTTCTGGAGTATTACTTAAGAAATCTTTGCCAAGCTCAATGTGCTGGAGAATTTCCCGGTATGATTTTGTGGTTCCACATACATTTTAGGATTGTTTTGTCTATTTCTGTGAAGAATGTCATTGGTATTTTGATAGGGATTACATTGAATCTGTAGATTGCTTTGGGTAGTCTGGGCATTTTAACAATATTTAAACTTACTGTAGCAATCTATAGAGTGAGACCCTGTCTACAAAAAAAAATAGTTACTTTTGAAGATTGTGCAGTTTTGTAATTGGTTGCATTTATCGTCAACTCTCCTTCAAGCAGCCTTTAGACACTGATTTTCACATCTAAGAAGCCACCAAATGGTTGATGTTGTTAGTAATGCATCTGTTACCAACACTCATCTGTGAGTCACATCATGCATTTCCAAGTTGATCTGAAGGTATATTAGGTGCTTGCCCCAGGAACCAAAATTTCTATTTGTGGCTCTGCTCAAAACCAGTGTTGTCTCCACGGTGTGAACCTGTATATCTTCGAACTATACAGACACTTGTCTAAACATGTTCTTTTCTTTAAATACTGCTAGGTGTTCCACAACAGTGAAGATTTGGTTATTGGAGACTGTTCTTTTCTGATAAAAGTGTTATAGCTGGCCGGGTGCGGTGGCTCACGCCTGTAATCCCAGCACTTTGGGAGGCCAAGGGGGCGGATCATGAGGTCAGGAGTTCGAGACCAGCCACACCAACATGGTGAAACCCCGTCTCTACTAAAAATACAAAAATTAGCCAGGCTTGGTGGTGGGCGCCTGTAGTCCCAGCTACTCAGGTGACTGAGGCAGGAGAATCACTTGAACCCGGTTGGCGGAGGTTGCAGTGAGCCGAGATCACACCACTGCACTCCAGCTTAGGCGACAGAGCGAGACTCCATCTCAAAAACAAAAGAAAACAAAAAAGTGTTAAAGCTGTAAATTTGTCTCTGAGCATGGCTTTAGCTGCATCGTATACATTTTGATATATTGTGTTTTTACTTTCATGCAGTTCAAAATAATTTTAAATTTTCTGGCCGGGCGCGCTGGCTCATGCCTGTAATCCCAGCACTTTGGGAGGCCGAGACGGGTGGATCACCTGAGGTCAGTAGTGCCAGACCAGCCTGGCCAACATGGCGAAGCACCGTCTCTACTAAAAATACAAAAATTAGCTGGGCGTGGTGGTGGGCACCTGTAATCCCAGCTACTCAGGAGGCTGAGGCAGGAGAATCACTTGAACTCGGGAGGCGGAGGTTGCAGTGAGCTGAGATTGCGCCACTGCACTCCACCCTAGGCGACAGAGTGAGACTCCATCTCAAAAAAAAAAAAAAATTAGCTGGGCGCAGTGGCATGTGCTTGTAGTCCCAGCTACTTGGGAGGCTGAGGCAGGAGAATCTCTTGAACCCGGGAGGCGGAGGTTGCAGTGAGCTGAGATTGCGCCACTGCACTCCACCCTAGGCGACAGAGTGAGACTCCATCTCAAAAAAAAAAAAATTAGCTGGGCGCAGTGGCATGTGCTTGTAGTCCCAGCTACTTGGGAGGCTGAGGCAGGAGAATCTCTTGAACCCGGGAGGCGGAGGTTGCAGTGAGCCGAGATGGCGCCACTGCACTCCAGCCTGGGTGACAGAGCAAGACCCTGTCTCCAAAAAAAAAAAGAAAAATGTTTTCCTCGTGATTTCTTCTTGGGTTTTTTATAAGTGTATTGTTTAATTTTCAAAAATTTCAGGTTTTCCCACATTTCTTTCTGTTGTGGACCTCTAACTTAGCTCCATTGTGGTTAAGGAACATACTTTATGGGATTTCAACCTTTTTCCATGTACTGAGACTTGTTTTGTGGCCCAACATATGATCTCTCCTAGAGAATGTTCTATGTGCTTGAGAAGAATGTGTATCATGGGTTATTTTACGTTCTTTTTTTCCCCCATAATATAAGAATTTTTTGCATATTGTAAATATATGTGTACATTGTTATTATTGCAGAACACATTTTCTTTTTTTGGAGATGGAGTCTTGGTCTGTCGTCCCAGGCTGGAGTGCAGTGGCACGATCTTGCCTCACTGCAACCTCTGCCTCCTGGGTTCAAGCAATTCTCCTGCCTCAGCCTCCATAGTAACTGGGACTGCAGATGCACACCGCCACGCCTGGCTAATATTTTTTTGTATTTTAGTAGAGATGGGGTTTCACCGTGTTGCCCAGGCTGGTCTCAAACTCCTGAGCTCAGGCAATCCGCCCGCCTCAGCCTCCCAAAGTGCTAGGATTACAGGCATGAGCCACTGCACCCGGCCTGCAGAACACATTTTCAAGAGGTCCTGTTGCTGCTTAAGCTGTTGGTATAAGTGCTCTGGAGTAATATGTCATGATGGAAAAGTACATGAGCTTTGAAACAGGGATACTTGAGTTTGAATATGGATTTTTATTGTGTGTCCTTGGGCAAGTCATGTAACTTCTCTGAGCCCTCACTTATAGAAGGTCAATAATAAGGTTCTTGAGTGGCAAGCAATAAAAACTGACCTTGAGCTGGGGGCTGTGGCTCACACCTGTAATCCCAGCACTTTGGGAGGCCGAGGCGGGCGGATCACCTGAGGTCAGGAGTTTGAGACCAGCCTGACCAATATGGAGAAAGCCTGTCTCTACTAAAAAATACAAAATTAGCCTGGTGTGGTGGTGGGTGCCTGTAATCCCAGCTACTCGGGAGGCTGAGGCAGGAGAATCACTTGAACCCGGGAGGTGGAGGTTGCAGTGTGGAGATCGTGCCATTGCACTCCAGCCTGGGCAACAAGAGCGAAACTCCATCTTTAAAAAAAAAAAACAAAAAACAAAAAAAAACAAACAAAAAAGGCTGACCTTGACTAATTTCAGCGTATGAGTCAAATAATTAGTTCTAGGAATCTACGTAGCAGGAACTAATGACAGTGTCTTTAGGGTGCCATTATGAGAAGAAAGTATCCTCTGGAATCACATCCTTTCATGGCCACTGCTCAGAGACCCCGACTCTCAGATGAGAACGTCCTATGGCCTTCTCCAGGGTCAGATATGCCCACCACTTGGCCAGAAGAAGGCACAGCAACTTGAGTTTGACTAACATTCTCCCAAAACTGTAGTCGGGGAAGGGTAATTCCCAAAGAAAAATTGGGGTGTTTTTTTGTTTTGTTTTGTTAAGTAACCCTTATTTTGATGGGGCTTTATTCTTTCTTCTTTTTTTTTTTTTTTTGAGATAGAGTCTCGCTCTGTCGCTAGGCTGGAGTGCGGTGGCACGATCTTGGCTCACTGCAACCTCCAACTCCCTGGTTCAAGCGATTCTCCTGCCTCAGCCTCCCGAGTAGCTGGGATTATAGACTGTGCGTGCGCCACCATGCCTGGCTAATTTTTGTATTTTTAGTAGGGATGGGGTTTCACCATGTTGGCCAAGCTGGTCTCGAGCTCCTGACCTAGGATTACAGGCCTAAGCCACCGCACCCGGCATGATGGGTCTTTATTCTTCAAAGCAGGAGGAAGGGATCCTAGAAAAACAGAGACAAGGCCAAACATGGTAGCTCACACCTGTAATCCCAGCACTTTGGGAGGCCAGTGCGGGTGAATCACGAGGTCAGGAGTTCAAGACCAGCCTGGCCAACATGGTGAAACACCGTCTCTACTAAAATAAAAAGAAATTAGCTGGGTGTCGTGGCAGGTGCCTGTAATCCCAGCCACTTGGGAAGCTGAGGCAGGAGAATCGCTTGAACCCGGGAGGTGGAGGTTGCAGTGAGCCGAGATCACGCGACTGCACTCCAGCCCAACCAATAGTGTGAGACTCTGTCTCGAAAAAAAAAAAGCAGAGACAAGACAACTAGTACAGTACTTACAGGGTTATTATGATGATTAAATGAGAGAATAGCTGTGAGGTGATTGATATAGTGCTGTGCTTAATACAAACTATCATTTTATTATACGGGTTGAGTGTTTCTAATCTGAAAATCCAAAATTAGAAATGCTCTACAGTCTGAAACTTTTTTGAGCACCGACCTAATGTTCAAAGGAAGTGCTTATTGGAGCATTATGGGTTGTTAGATTTTTGGGTTGGGAATATTCAACCAGTAAGTACTATAAAATGCAAATATTCCAAAAAAAATCTGAAATCTGAAACATTTCTGGTCCTAAGCAAGCATTTTGCAAAGGGATACGCAACCTGTAGTACGTTCTTTATCATTGTTTTAAGTAGTTAATATATTGTGGTACAGATTCTGAGGTGGTATAGCAAATTCGATTGTATTATTAAAAAGCATATTTATATTTTGAGAGCTTGCTTAGGATTATTGGAGAGAATAAAACAGTGAAGCTTTGGTGTTATGAGGGAATTTTAGATAGAAAAGTGCAGTTTTTCAGTTCATGCTCTTTCATTTTTTACTCCCTCAGGTTAAAGCTGAAGCTCAACAAAGATATAGTGATCTCTGTGGGCATTTATAATCTGGTCCAGAAGGCTCTCAAGCCTCCTCCAATAAAGCTCTATCGGGAAACAAATGAACCAGTGAAAACCAAGACCCGGACCTTTAATACAAGTACAGGCGGTTTGCTTCTGCCTAGCGATACCAAGAGGTCTCAGGTAGGTAGAGATGCCTTTTGTTGTTGTTGTTTTTGAGACAGGGTCTCATTGTGTCGCCCAGGCTGGAGTGCAGTGGGGCGAACATGACTCGCTACAGCCTTGACCTCCTGGACTCAAGCGATCCTTCTGTCTCAGCCTCCCAAGTAGCTGGGATCACAGGCATGTGACATCACACCCAGCTAATTTATTTATTTATTTATTTTTTAAGAGACTGGATCGACTGGGCACAGTGGCTCATGCCTGTAATCCCAGCACTTTGGGAGGCCGAGGCAGGTGGATTACCGAGGTCAGGAGTTCAAGACCAGCCTGACCAACATGGAGAAACCCCATCTCTACTAAAAATACAAAATGAGCTGGGCATGGTGGTGCATGCCTGTAATCCCAGCTACTCAGGAGGCTGAGGCAGGAGAATCACTTGAACCCGGGAGGCAGAGGTTGCGGTGAGCCGAGATCACGCCATTGCGCTCCAGCCTGGGCAACAAAAGCGTAACTCCGTCTCAAAAAAAAAAAAAAAAGAGACGGTGTCTCGCTATGTTGCCTGGGCTGGTGTCAAACTCCTGGTCTTAAGTAATCCTCCTGCTTTGGCTTCCCGAAGTGCTGGGGTGCTGGGATTACAGACATTGGCCACTGTGCCCAGCGTTTTTTTGTTTCGTTTTGTTTTGTTTTGTTTAATAGAGATGAGGTCTCACTATGTTGCTCAGGCTGGCCTCGAACTCCTAGGCTCAAGCAGTACTCCTGCTTCAGCCTCCTAAAGTGCTGGGATTATAGGTGTGAACCACCACACCTAACCCAAGATGCTTTCTTACTGAATTTTCTCCAACTGAAGAGTTAACTAGGAGGAGAGACATTGATCAGGCTGACCAGTTAAATAACTTTCATATGTGCATCTTTCCTTTCCTTCTCCTTCCCTTTCCTTTTCTTTTTTCTCTCTCCGACTCCCTCCCCTCCCCTCCCCTCCCCTCCCCTCCCCTCCCCTCCTCTCCCCTCCTCTCTTCTGTTTCTTTTCTTTCCGCTAGTCAAGTGAAGCAGTGGGAATGGAAAAGGAACAAAGAAATCTGTAACTGGTTGTGATCAATTAGTTGTAAACACCACCGCACTTGGACGAGCCATGTGCACCTTTCTTGCTAACCTGTTAAACCACAAAGACTTAACTCTTTGGGACTGTGGTATCTGGATCAGTGATATTTTGATAGCTAGAAAGTTAAACTGGGCCAGTGTCTGAAAGAGATGTCAGTGAAAACCTCACCCCTTCATCACTCAGTACATGCTGCTGTCAGTCTAACAGTCTTGCTCAGGTACAATAGCAGAAAATACTTTATAGTTAATTAGGGAGATAAGGAGTTAGGAAAAGTATGAAGTGTGAAGTGAACTCATTTTTTTTAGGGAGAGAATTTATTTTTGCTAGTGATATTTTTCCTGTGCCTTGGGATGACATACATCTCCCTTTCTGCATCTGAAAGACAGATGCAGGACGCAGAACATTGTCTTTTCTCATCCTCTTACCTTTGCTCAGTCTATAGAGGGATTTAACATCAAAAATTAAAATTGAATGAGTCATGCTTCCTGTATGCAAAATGTGGAAGAATCTGAGATTTTACATAAGTTTAGGGCCTATAAGGATGACTAAAATATTATTTTGATTCAAGCCAGAGAGTTTTGCCCTACTCTTTGAAGGAGAAAAAGATAAGGAATTTTCTTTTCCATTTTGGAAGTAACTAATTTTTTATATTGATTTATTCATAGGCAGTAAGCTCTCTGGTCACTGAGTTTCTTTCTTGGTCCAGTATGTTTGAAAAAACCTTGAGAGTTCTTTTGTTCATAAAACCCAAATTTGAATCTGCTACTAAGCTGTTATTAGTCACATATCCAGGATAAAATACAAACATCATTGGGTATGGTGGCTCATGCACTTTTGGAGGCTGAAGGAGGATCACTTGAACCCAGGAGTTTGAGATCAGCCTGGGCATCATAGCGAGACCCTGTCTCTACTAAAAAACTAAAAATTAGCCAGGCGTGGTGGTGCACAGCCTGGGGAAGAGAGTACAAAAAAAAAAAAAATATATATATATATATATATATATGTATGTATGTGTGTGTGTATATATATATCTCTCTCCAAACAATACAAATAATCTTTGCAGTAGCGCCATCATGGTTGACTGTAGCTTCAACCTCTTGGGTTCAGTTGATCCTCCCACCTCAGCCACCTGGGTAGCTGGGACTACAGGCTCATGCCACCACGCCTGGCTAATTTTTTGTATTTTTTTTTTTTTCATAGAGACAGGATCTCACTATGTTACCCAGGCTGGTCTCGAATTCCTGGGCTCAAACGATCCAGCTGCCTTGGCCTCACAAAGTATTGGGATTACAGGCATGAGTCAACGTGCCCTGCCTTGGAAGTAGTACTTATATGTGTGTGTCTCTGCCTTCCACATTGAGACCTAGCACAGTACCTGACATAGGTCCTCTCATTTAATAAATAGATGTGGTGGCCGGGTGCGGTGGCTCACGCCTGTAATCCCAGCACTTTGGGAGGCTGAGGCGGGCGGATCACGAGGTCAGGAGATCGAGACCATCCCGGCTAACACAGTGAAACCCCATCTCTACTAAAAATACAAAAAAATTAGCCAGGTGTGGTGGCGGGCACCTATAGTCCCAGCTACTCGTGGGGCTGAGGCAGGAGAATGGCGTGAACCCCGGTGGGTGGAGCCTGCAGTGAGCCGAGATCGCTGCCTGGGTGACAGCGAGACTGTCTCAAAAAAAAAAATAATAATAAATAAATAAATAAATAGATATGGTTTGGGCTGGGCACAGTGGCTCACACCTGTAATCCCAGCTAGTCAGGAGGCTGATGCAGGAGAATCACTTGAACCTGGGAGGTTGCCGTGAGTCGAGATTGCGCCACTGCACGCCAGTGACAGTGTGACAGACTGCATCTCAAATAATAAATAATAATAAATAGATATGGTTTAAGCATGCTTTGTGTGTCAGGGATGGTGCTGACAGGTCAGTACATTTTTTTTTTTCTTTTTTTGTGTTGGGGGGATAGAGTTGCTCTGGTACCCAGGTTGCAGTGCAGTGGCGCCATCTTGGCACACTGCATCCTCGAACTCCTGGGCTCAAGCGATCCTCCAGTCTCAGCCTCCCAAGTAGCTGGGACCACAGGTGTGTACCACTATACCGAGCTAATTTTTAATTTTTTTATACAGATAGGGTCTTGCCATGTTGTCCAGGCTGGTCTTGAACTCCTGGGCTCAAGCAGTCTTGCCTCAGCTCTCAAAGTGCTGGGATTACAGGCATGAGGCACTGCACCTAGCCTATTTTATTGTTTTTGCAAAGAGGATCTCACTGTGTTGCCCAGGTTGGAGTGCAGTGGCTATTCATAAGCACAGTCCCACTCTAAAACAGTTTGAACATCTACCTCTTGGGATTGTTACAGAAGATAAAGTAGTTGGTGTAAAGTACCTGCAGTCACTCAATAAATGTTAATTCCCTGTTGGAGAAGGAGGATGCCCCAGGTGAGCCATCTTCCTGCTCCTTAGAAGAGAGCTGATTTTAACTTGCTAGTGTCATCATCTTCGAGTTATTTTGCATCTCCTCGTAGCCTTCCCATTTGATCCTTGTCGTTCTTCTCCTTCAGATCTATGGGAGTCGTCAGATTATACTGGAGAAAGAGGAAACAGAAGAGCTAAAACGGTTTGATGATCCAGGTTTGATGCTCATGGGTTTCAAGCCGTTGGTACTGCTGAAGAAACACCATTACCTGAGGCCCTCCCTGTTCGTGTACCCAGAGGAGTCGCTGGTGATTGGTAAGTAGCGTGGACCATGGATGAGTGACTCTAACACACAGTGCAGTTTACGGAGCAGCGCTTTGTAAATGGGCACTGCTTGGACACTGTACAGGAAATGTTAATGGAGTATGTTGAAAGTGTTTCAAGCTCTGCCTGGTGCAGTGGCTCACACCTGTAATCCTAGCACTTTGGGAGGCTGAGGCGGATGGGTCACCTGAGGTCAGGACGAGCCTGGCCAACATGGTGAAACCTCGTCTCTACTAAAAATACAAAATTTAGCCAGGCCTGGTGGCTTGCGCCTGTGATCCCAGCTACCTGGGAGGCTGACGCATGAAAATCGCTTGAACCTGGGAGACAGAGGTTGCAGTGAGCTGAGATCACACCACTGCACTCCAGCCTGGGCCATAGAGTGAGACTCTGTCTCAAAAAAACCAAAAGTGTTTCAAGCTCAAATTTTGGAAATGTGGGAATGAAGAAAGTTAAACAGATTTTTTTTTTTTTTTTTTTTTTTTTTTTTTTTTTTTTTTTTTTTTTGGAGATGGAGTTTTACTCTTGTCACCCAGGCTGGAGTGCAGTGGTGCAGTTTCAGCTCACTGCAACATCTGCCTCCCGGGTGAGGACTGTGGAATTTAGCTTTATATATATATATTTTTTTAATTTAATTTTTTTTTTGAGACAGTGTCTCACCCTGTCACCCAGGCTGGAGTGTAATGGTGCAATCTCGGCTCACTGCAACCTCCACCTCCCTGGTTCAAACGATTCTCCTTCCTCAGCCTCTGGAGTAGCTGGGATTACAGGCACCTGCTACCACGTCTAGCTAATTTTTGTATTTTTAGTAGAGACGAGGTTTCACCATTTTGGCCAGTCTGGTCTCGAACTCCTGACCTCGTGAGCCACTGCACCTGGCCTTATTTATATTTATATTTTTATTCATTTTTTTGTTGTTGTCGCCTAGGCTGGAGTGAAGTGGCGCAATCTCGGCTCACTGCAATCTCCGTCCCCTGGGTTCAAGCGAGTCTCCTGCCTGAGCCTCCCAAGTAGCTGGGATTACAGGTGCACGCCACCACGCCCGGCTAAATTCTGTATTTTTAGTAGAGATGGGGTTTCACCATGTTGGCCAGGCTTGTCTCGAACTCCTGACCTTAGGTGATTCACCCGCCTCGGCCTCCCAAAGTGCTGAGATTACAGGCGTGAGCCACCACGTCCAGCCTGGAATTTAGCTTTTTAAAAACAATTTCCCATGTAATTCTTTGAAGCATCAGATAGCAAAAAGCAAACAAAACCAAAATAAGTCCACAGCTTTTTCTCCAGTGTTGGAAATTAAAGAGGATGTGAACCTTGCCGTTGTGTTTATTTGTGCAGTCTAGACCCTATCTTCTTTTGTGCTATGGCTCATGAACACCCCAGATTTGACTCGATTGGTTTTCATTAGTAACTGGGGTCATGTCATTAACCTAGTGTCAGTAAAAGTGAACTGACATTAATAATTTGCTTTTTTTTTTTTTTTCTGGAGACAGTGTCTCACTCTGTCACCCAGGCTAGAGTCCAGTGGCACCATCTTGGCTCACTGCAGTCTCAAGCTCCCAGGCTCAGGTGATTTCCCACCTCACCCTCTCGAGCAACTGGGACTACAGGTCCACACCACCACGTCCAGCTAATCTTTTGTAATGTTAGTAGAGACAGGGTTTTGCTATGTTGGGCAGGCTGGTCTCAAACTCCTGGGCTTAAGCAATCTACCTGTCTTGGCCTCCCAGAGTGCTAGGACTGTAAGCGTGAGCCACCTCACCTGGCCAATAATTCACTTTCTGTTTGTTTGTTTTGAAACAGTCTCACTCTGTCGCCCAGGCTGGAATGCAGTGGCAATGTCTCTGCTCTCTGCAAGCTCCGCCTCCTGAATTCAAGCGATTCTTCTGCCTCAGCCTCCCAAGTAGCTGGGACTACAGGCGTGCACTACCATGCCCAGCTAATTTTTGTATTTTTAGTAGAGATGGGGTTTTACCATACTGGCCAGGTTGGTCTCGAACTCCTGACCTTGTGATCCACCCGCCTGTGCCTCCCAAAGTGCTGGGATTACAGGCGTGAGCCACCATGCCCGGCCATAATTCACTTTCTTAAGTGGAATGTTTGGGGCTTCTAAACCTCTTATTCCTTTTTAAATTTTCCTTTCTGTGTCTCTGCTGTCCCCATTTTCCCCTCAGCTGTGGGGTCCTCCAACCCTTACCTGTTGAGATATTATAAGCCCTTTAAAGGCTTGGTGTGGTGGCTCATGCCTGTAATCCCAACACTTTGGGAGGCTGAGGCTGGAGGATCACTTGAGCCTAGGAGTTGGAGACCAGCGTGGGTGACTTAGAGATACTTTGTCTCTACAAAAAATCTTAAAACTAGCTGGGTGTGGTGGTGTGTGACTGTAGTCCCAGCTATTCAGGAAGCAGAAGTGGGAAGATTGCTTGAGCTTGGGAGGTCAAGGCTGCAGTGAGTTCTGATTGCAGCACTGCACTCTATCCTGGGTGACAGAGCGAGACCCCGTCTCAAATAAATAAATAATAAAATTAAAATAAGCCCTTTAAAGAAAATGGAAGAGAAACTTTAGGGCTAAAAGAGAAGAAAGGAGGAAACCTTTTTAGGAGGCTAGTCACTGGGCTTTTTGTTTTCTAGGGAGCTCAACCCTGTTCAGTGCTCTGCTCATCAAGTGTCTGGAGAAGGAGGTTGCAGCATTGTGCAGATACACACCCCGCAGGAACATCCCTCCTTATTTTGTGGCTTTGGTGCCACAGGAAGAAGAGTTGGATGACCAGAAAATTCAGGTGACTCCTCCAGGTATGTGGCAGAGATATTTCCAGGGCTTCTGAACCTTGCCCATACTTTGGAATCATCCATGGACTCCTAATGCAGACCTACTGAATCATAGTCTCTGGGAATGGGGCTTAAAAATGTCTATTTTTAAGCTTTCTTGGGTGAATTTAGTGCACAGCCAGGTAAGGCCACTAAATATGGTGATGGGGTGCACAGCATGCGCAGCCGTACAAGGCTGATCTGCAGCTAGGATAGAGAAATGTCTGCCTAGGGGACTGTTTGCAGATTACTGACACAAGTTCTTGGGACCTCACTGCCGACACCTTTCTTTCCAAAGCCATTGTTTGGCACCCTTGTAATGTCTAATGTTTGGTTTAGTTCCTATACAAACCAACCATGGGGTTTGCCAAGATAGTGAGGTATAGCGGAAAGACCATGGATTTTAAAGTCAGATTTGACTTTATCTTGTGCTTATGTGTCTGGAAGCTTGCTTGCTTTTGTTTTGGGCCCATCTCTGCTGCTTGTTAGCTGGTCAACGTGGGCAAGTAATTTAACCTTTCTGTTTAATATTCCTTAGCTACAAAGATGGGCGTTCTGGAGCACCTTTCCCTCGGGGTGGTTTTACATTTGAGATGAGTTACTGTAGTTTTAACTTTGATCCTCAGCATGCTCAGGAGTGCTCAGTTACTAAGCTATTGTATCTCAGCTCCAAATTCACCCTTTTATGCTCTGCACTACTGAGGCTGAAATGATCCAAACCTAATTTCATCTTTCACAGCTGGCTCTCAGGCTGTGTCTATAGTGGGTGCTAGAGGGAGACCAAAGGGCAGAGGAGAGGTGAGGGATTTGCTTCTTCCTGTTTGCTCAGTGTGGTCAGCATTGTCAGCAAAGGCTTTCACCTGGTAGCAGCAGTTAGTTACAGGGCGTAGATTTTTTAGTCCTTCCAGAACCAGCCAGTAACTGAACTAAAATCAGCCTGATAACTCTTACCTGTTTCCTTTTATTTATCACGTGGTAGAGGGTAAGGAAAAAAGGGGCGAGGGTGAAGCTCAGAGAAGGCCCCCATGGAGCTGGGACTTAGCCCTCCAGGGAGGAGGCACTGTCCGGCTAGCTCTGGATGTATCAAAAAAGCTGGAGACTGGAACCAACTGCCGCCAGGTAAAGGGTCTTTGCTGGGGCAATACAGGTAGGAACAGTAAATACAGGAGGGCCGCAACCACAGTTTTGCTTTCTGCAGTTTCAGTTACCCATAGTCAACCATGGTCCAAAAATTTTAAGTGGAAAATTCTAGAAATAACTTAAAAGCACAATCCCACCTGGGGCAGGAATCATCTGTTTGTTCAGCATCTCCACACTGTAAATGCTACCCACCAGTTAGTCACTTAGTAGCTGTCTTGGTTATCAGATTGACTGTCAAGGTAATCAGTATTGCGGTGCTTGTGTTCAGGTCACCCTTATTTAATAACGGCCCCAAAGCACAAGTGTAGTGGTGCTGGCAGTTTGGATATACTAAAGAGAAAGTCATAAAGTGCTTCCTTTAAATGAAAAGGTGAGAGTTCTTGACTTTAAGGAGGAAAAAAATATATGCTAAGGTTGCTAAGATATATGGTAAGAAGGAATCTTCGAACCACAAAATTGTTAAGGGAAAAAATTCATTTTAGTTTTTTTTTTTTTTTATGCTGAGGTTGCTAAGATACATGGTAAGAAGGAATCTTCTATCCACAAAATTGTTAAGAAGGAAAAAGAAATTCATCTTAGTGGCCAGGCGTGGTGGCTCACGCCTGTAATCCCAGCACTTTGGGATGCCAAGGTGGCGGATCACGATGTCAGGAGATTGAGACCATCCTGGCTAACACGGTGAAACCGTCTCTACTAAAAATACAAAATTAGCCAGGTGTGGTGGCAGGCTCCTGTAGTCCCAGCTACTTGGGAGGCTGAGGCAGGAGAATGGTGTGAACCCGGGAGGTGGAGTTAGTGAGCTGAGATTGCGCCACTGCACTCCAGCCTGGGTGACAGAGCGAGACTCTGTCTCAAAAAAAAAAAAAATAGTTTTTTCCCCCCCTTCTTTTTTTACATAAATTGAGACAAGGTCTCACTATGTTGCCCAGGCTGGTCTCGAACTCCTGAGCTCAAGTGATCCTCCTGCTTCAGCCTCCCAAAGTGCTGTGCTTACCGACGTGAGCCACCATGTCCGGCCCAAGCTAGTTTTCCTGTTGCACCTCAAACTGTAAAAGTTACTGCCACAGTACATGAGAAGTGCTTAGTTAAAATAGAAAAGGAGGCCAGGCACTGTGGCTAATGCCTGTAATCTTAGCACTTTGGGAGGCTGTGGCAGGTGGATCGCCTGAGCCCAGGAGTTTTGAGACCAGCCTGAGCAACATGGTGAAACTCTGTCTCTGCAAAAAAATAAAAAAAAGTAGCCAAGTGTGGTGGCATTCACTTGTAGTCCCAGCTACTTGATAGGCTACTTGAGCCGGAGAGGTAGAGGCTACAGTAAGCTGTGATCACACCACTGCATTCCAGCCTGGGTGATAGCAAGATCCTGTCTCAAAAAAAAAAAAAAAAAGATGAAGGCTGGGCGCGGTACCTCACGTCTGTAATCCCAGCACTTTGGGAAGCCGAGGTGGGCAGATCCCCTGAGGTCAGGAGTTTGAGACCAGCCTGGCCAACATGGCGAAACCCCATCTTTACCGAAAGTACAAAAATTAGCCGGGCGTGGTGGCGCCTGTAATCCCAGCTATTCAGGAGGCTGAGGCAGGAGAACCGCTTGAACCTGGGAGGCGGAGGTTGCAGCGAGCCGAGATTGCCCACTGTACTCCAGCCTGGGCGACAAGAGTGAAACTCCATCTCAAAAAAAAAAAAAGATGGAAAAAAACATTAAATATTAAATTTATGAACGTATGACATGGACAAACATGTTTCAATTGACGGCAGTCAGGTTTGGTGCTGTCCGAGGTTTCAGGTATCCTCCCGGGTTCTTCAAACATATTCCCCAGGGATAAGGGATCTACTGTATACAGGAAGGGGCACCCCTCCTCCCTTGCAGTCTTCTGGAAACTGCAGAGGGAGTCTGTTAGGCAGATGATAACAAAAACCAGCTGGTGGAGTTCAAGAAATGGGGCCTACGGGGCCCCAGCCCCAGCACCACAGGACATAAAAGGAAGAATTTGGAGCTGAGAAACAAGTGACTGCAACACTTGAAGTCAAATCAAAGAAAATTTATCTCCTTTCTTCAGGCTTCCAGCTGGTCTTTTTACCCTTTGCTGATGATAAAAGGAAGATGCCCTTTACTGAAAAAATCATGGCAACTCCAGAGCAGGTGGGCAAGATGAAGGCTATCGTTGAGAAGCTTCGCTTCACATACAGGTGAGTCAATCTCAGGCTTTCTGGAACTGCCTCCTGAGTTGAAAATCTTATTAGAAACAGCTTGGGCATAGGCCAAGAGAATGGCACTACTCTTTTCAGCAAACTGACAGATTACTACTTGTTATTAATAGTTTTTTGAAAGCCATATAGAGAATGGAACCTTTTATTATGTTGGAGACTCTGGGATTTTGTGGTTTCTCTGTTGTGCTGTACTTAGCCAGATTAGTTGGTTGAACAAATTTGAAAAAATAGCAGGATTCTTATTCGCCCTTCTCCTTGATTGTGTTTGTTATTCCACAATGAGCAAAAGTAAATAAATCTAGTGTAAATTGTTAAAGGCTTAAAAGAATGATTAAGTAATTCAAGTCATTCCCTCTCACATATATAATAGACCAACTCTCAGAGCCTGCATAATGGGACACTAAACGTAATTTTTTTCACATGTCATTTTTAAAAATTTATTATTATTATTATTATTATTATTATTATTATTATTATTATTATTTTGAGACAGGGTCTCTTGTCACCCAGGTTTGATTGCAGTGGTGTTACTGTAGTTCACTGCAGCCTTGACCTCCCTGGGCTCAGGTGATTCTCCCACCTCAGACTCCTGAGTAGCTGGGACCATACCCTTGCACCACCACACCTGGCTAATTTTTGTATTTTTTGTAGGGACGGAGTTTCACCATGTTGCCCAGGCTGGTCTGGAACTCCTGAGCTCAAGCCATCCGCCTGCCTCAGCTTCTCAAAGTGCTGGATTACAGGCATGAGCCAGGGTGCCCAGGCTGGTTTGCTTTCTAAGTTGACTTGAGACAAAGTCTTGCTCTGCCATCCAGGCTGGAGTACCGTGGCACGATCATGGCTCACTGCAGCCTCGATCTCCTGGACTCAAGCAGTCTTCCTGCCTATGCCTCCTGAGTAGCTGGGACCACAGGCGTGCACCAACATGCCTGGCTGATTTTTAAATTTTTTGTAGAGACAGGGTCTCACCATGTTGTCCAAGCTGGTCTTGAACTGCTAGACTCAAGCATTCCGCCTACCTTGGCCTACCAAAGTGCTGGGATTACAGGCATGGGCTACTGCACCTGACCTCAACTGTTTTACTTGGGGTGTTTTTCTCAGCTCACCCCGGACCTGTAGTATCTCAGGTGGTTTTATTCTAATTTTTTCAATGTTTAAATTGTCATGTTTCAGTTGAGTTACATTATTGTTTTAACAGAAGTGACAGCTTTGAGAACCCCGTGCTGCAGCAGCACTTCAGGAACCTGGAGGCCTTGGCCTTGGATTTGATGGAGCCGGAACAAGCAGTGGACCTGACATGTAAGGAGGTTGAATAGAGTAGTTCTTTTCATGGGAGGCTTTCTTACTGGTTCCACTCTGCACCAGTAATTTGGGTGCATTTCCCAGTCCTCTCTAAACACTTAACCTCATTCCCCAGACCCCCTCTGTTTGGAAGCTTTTCCAGACCAGCTTAAACAGCCAGGGAACAGATTTGGCTGGTTCCATAGTGAGAGGAGGAGAGTGTCAGGCTTCTGAGACCTGCCTCTGCACTAGGCCGCCCTGTGACTACATGCTGGTGAAATTTAAAAAATAATATAAGAGGCTGGGCACGGTGGCTCATGCCTGTAATCCCAGCACTTTGGGAGGCCGAGGCGGGTGGATCACGAGGTCAAGAGATTGAGACCATCCTGGCCAACATGTCTCTACTCTGTCTCTACTAAACTCTGTCTCTACTAAAAATACAAAAAATTAGCTGGGTGTGGTGGCGTGTGCCTGTAGTCCCAGCTACTCGGGAGGCTGAGGCAGGAAGATCGGTTGAACTCAGGAGGCAGAGGCTGCAATGAGCCGAGATTGCACCACTGCACTCCAGCCTGGTGACAGAGCGAGACGCTGTCTCAAAAAACAAAACAAAAACAAAAAATCAATAAATAATTTAAGAGGAAATAAGTGGTGGATTTGGGTTTAGAATCCAGCGACTCGCAGCCGGGCGTAGTGGCTTACGTCTGCCTCCTAGGTTCAAGCTATTCTCGTGTCTCAGACTCCCGAGCAGTTGGTCCCCGCCCGGCTAATTTTTGTATTTTTAGTAGAGACGGGATTTCGCCATGATGGCCCGGCTGGTCTCAGAATGATCTATTTTAGACAAAATAGCCCCAGTGTTAAAAGCAGAAGAGTTATTGGACCATTGTTACTGTGGTGCCTGCTTAGCTGTGTCTGGCGAAAGAGAAACGTTTTGAGCTAAACAGCCCATCTCCTCCTTTCAGGCCTTAGGCAAATTCAGAAGTCGGTGGCCTAGTGCCTAGCAAGGTAGTTTAGGACACAGGTGCCTGCCACCAAGCCCGGTTAATTTTTTTGTATTTTTAGTAGAGACGGGGTTTCACTGGGTTAGGATGGTCTCGATCTCCTGACCTTGTGATCCGCCCGCCTTGGCCTCCCAAAGTGCTGGGATTACAAGCAGGAGGCGCTGCGCACGGCCTATTTTGTGTTTTTATTAGTGATTGGGTTTCACCATGTTGGCCAGGCTGGTGTCAAATTCCTGACCTCAAGTGATCCACCTGTCTCGGCCTCCCAAAGTTCTGGGATTATAGGCATAAGCCACCATGCTCACTACTTTTATTTTTATTTTTAGTACTGAGCATAGGCTGGACCTCAGTACATTCATTCATTCATTTGAGACAGGTTCTCACTCTTGTCACCCAGACTGAAGTGCAGTGGTGGGATCTCGGCTCACTGAAACCTTTGGCTCCCAGGCTCAAGCAGTTCTCCTGCCTCAGCCTTCCGAGTAGCTGGGATTACAGGCACCCGCCACCATGCCTGGCTGATTTTTGTATTTTTTGGTAGAGATGGGGGTTCACCATATTGGCCAGGCTCATCTTGAACTCCTGACCTTAGGTGATCCACCCGCCTCGGCCTCCCAAAGTGCTGGGATTACAGGCAAGAGCCACTGCACCCAGCTTCTCTGTACTTTTAAAACTCTACAGATGATTCCCAGATTGGGAGCCAGTGCTCTTGCAGAGGTTCCCATGATGTGGACCAGGGGACTTCTGATGCAGCAGGAGCACAGTTTGGCTCCAGCATTGTGCCATCTAGGTACACCAGCAAGAGCTCCCCTCCATGCTTGGCAAATACGGGCATGTGAGCTGCCCATCTCATCACCCTTGCCCTTGATGTGACACAGCTCATGTCAGAAGCTTGATTTAACAATATAGTTGTAAGCTAACAAAAAAGGAAACAAAAGTATGATCTTTCCTCCAAAGTTGCCTTTTCCTGTCATACTTGCTCCCCCTGTTTCAGCCAGTCATCTCCCCATCCCACTCCTATTCTTCTTACATTCTGGTTTCCAGCTCTGTGATTTCAGTTAAATAATAAATCCTATTCTATCAGTAAGTCCTGCCAGTTCTGTCACTTCTCATGTTTATGGGTCCTCCCACCCACACCCCACTTCACCTGTCTTATCTTACCCTCTTTCAGTTCACCCTCCATGCAGCTATCAGGGGATTCTTTGGATAAGGCCTAATTCCTTGGCAGGCATCCCAGCTTCCATGACCTCATCATACCCATCTTTCTCACCTCTCTGCTGGCCCTGTCCTCCTTAACACCCTACCTTCCAGCTATATGTCACCTGCTATTTCTCTCCCAGTGCCTTCTGCTTCTTATCTTTCACCACCCCTCCTGTGTTCCAGTGTGCCTGTACAGTCGCTTCTTGCATGGTGTTGCCCAACTCCACTGCATCGTTTTTATCCACCTCCTCTCTCTCACTGGGCTGTAAGCTCACCGCAGGCATGAGCACTTGTTTGAATTCCCAGAATCTAGCTTAGTATCTCCACTGTACCACTGCCCTTTGGGAAAGTCATGTAATCTCTCTCCTTTTCTCCTCTGTAAAACTGGGGACAAATCAAGAGGCTGAGGCAGGAGAATCGCTTGAACCAGGGAGTCGGAGGTTGCAGTGAGCCAAGATCGCGCCACTGCACTCCAGCCTGGCAACAGAGCAAGACTCCATCTCAAAAAAAAATCTAAAAAAAAAAAAACTGGGGACAAATTTACCTATCCTATAGGTTGTTAGAAGGAGTAAATAGAGTAAGTTTAAAGCATTTACAACAGTGCCTGGCGGTAGTATGTGTAATTACAGTAAATGCAGGTGTTGGAAGGTACTTGGTAAATGCTGGAAAGACATTTCCCTAGACCCCTCCCACCTTAGCAGTTAGGTGCTCTCTCTTCTGGTTCTCAGAGAGTTCTGGAAGTGGACAGCAAGCTGGGGCTCGTGACTCACCAGGCCACTCTTCTGTGTTTTGATTTTCTAGTGCCCAAGGTTGAAGCAATGAATAAAAGACTGGGCTCCTTGGTGGATGAGTTTAAGGAGCTTGTTTACCCACCAGATTACAATCCTGAAGGGAAAGTTACCAAGAGAAAACACGGTGAGAAGCTGAATGTGGACATGTGGGCTATTTTTAAAAATTGCTTTTATGATAGTCTTATCACAGTGGGCAATATCCTTTCAGAAATATCTATTCACAGTCTAGTTAAAATGGCTTTTATCCAAAAAACAGACAATAACAAATGCTGGCAAAGATGTGGAGAAAAGGGAACCCTCATACACTGTTGGTGGGAATGTAAATTAGTACAGCCACTATTATGGAGAATAGTTGGGAGTTTCCTCAAAAAGTGAAAACTAGAGCTACCATATGATCCAGCATACCATATGATCCAGTCAGTATATACCCAAAAGAAAGGAGATCAATATATCAAAGAGATATGTGCACTCCCATGTTTATTGCAGCACCATTCACAATAGCCAAGATCTGGAAGCAACTTGTGTCCATCAACAGATGCCTGGTAAAGAAAATGTGGTACACGTACACAATGGAGTACTATTCGGCCATAAAAAAGAATGAGATCCTGTCATTTGCAATAATATGTTAAGTGAAGTAAGCCAGGCTCAGAAAGACAGACATTTACATGTTCTCACTTATTTGTGGAATCTAAAAATCAAAACAATTGAACTCATGGAGAGAGAGCATAGAAGGATGGTTACCAGAGGCTGAGAAGGGTAGTGAGGCATTGTGGGGTTGGTGGGGATGGTTAATGGGTACAAAAAAAAAATAGAATGATTAAGATCTATTCGATAATACAACAGAGTGACTATAGTCTAATTTAATTGTACATTTAAAAATAACTAAAGGAATACAATTGGAATGTTTGTAACACAAAAGATAAATGCTTGAGGGGATGGATACCCCATTTATGCTGATGTGATTATTTCACATTGCATGCCTGTATCAAAATACCTCAGGTACCCCACAAATATATATACCTAGTATGTACCCACAAAAATTAAAAATGAAAAAATTTTAGAAAAGAACTGTCTATACAACCATACATATTTACACATACCAACATACATATTTCAGCACAAATGGAATAATACATTGTTTTCTAGTTTGCTATTTTTGTTACTCAGCTATATATGTTGGACAGTTATTTATATCCACACTTACCTATCTCATTTTTTAAAAAATGAGGCTGCAGAGTAGTTCATTGGATAGATATACCAGGTTATTTAACCAGACCTGTATTGACAGGTGGATATGCTGCAGTGAACATGCATTTCCATCGTGTTCTTGTGTGAATAGATCCACAGGATGCATTCTTGCAGTGAATTGCTTCCAAAACAGTGATTTACCCTCTATCCAAGAAGGAGTGAATGTTTTCCTGCACTCTCACCCTTCCAGGACTTAATTTTTTTAATTTCTATTTAAAATGATACAGAAGTTGGCCAGGTGCGGTGGCTCACACCTGTAATCCCAGCACTTTGGGAGCCTGAGGTGGGCGGATCATGAGGTCAGGAGTTCAAGACCAGCCTGGCCAACACAGTGAAACCTCGTCTGTACTAAAAATACAAAAATTAGCCAGATGTGGTAGTGGGCGCCTGTAGTCCCAACTACCTGGGAGACTGAGGTAGGAGAATCCCTTGAACCCGGGAGGCAGAGGTTGCAGTGAGCCGAGACCACACCATTGCACTCCAGCCTCGGTGATAGAGTGAGACTCCATCTCAAAAATGATACAGAAGTTATATCCTTTTTTTGTTTTTAGACAGTCTTGCTCTGTCACCCAGGCTGGAGTCCAGTGGCTCAATCACAGTTCACTGGCTCACTGTAGCCTCAACCTCCTGGGCTCGAGTGATCCTGCAGCCTCAGCCTGCTGAGTAGCTGAGACTGCAGGTGCACACCACCATGGCCGGTTGATTTTATTACTTTAGAGCCAGGGTCTCACTGTATTACCAAGGCTGGTCATGAACCTGTAAAAGATTTTCAAAGGAAGGAAGGAATGACTTACCCAGAGTGAGCAACAGTTTTGGGTAAACTGATGGCATTCACACTACTTGTAATTTCCTCCTAGGTGTGATCTGTGTTTTATTTTGCACTTTAAATGAAGCTACCTTATCGAGATAAGTCTTCCCCATGGTGTCCTAGGCTGGCATCACAGCTTTATGGTTAATTGCAGCCCAGATTATACGAGGTCCCCCATGCCATGTAGCTGGGATGCCACTTGTATGTAGCATTTCCAGTCACTCTCTCCTGACCTTTCCCCCCAGATAATGAAGGTTCTGGAAGCAAAAGGCCCAAGGTGGAGTATTCAGAAGAGGAGCTGAAGACCCACATCAGCAAGGGTACGCTGGGCAAGTTCACTGTGCCCATGCTGAAAGAGGCCTGCCGGGCTTACGGGCTGAAGAGTGGGCTGAAGAAGCAGGAGCTGCTGGAAGCCCTCACCAAGCACTTCCAGGACTGACCAGAGGCCGCGCGTCCAGCTGCCCTTCCGCAGTGTGGCCAGGCTGCCTGGCCTTGTCCTCAGCCAGTTAAAATGTGTTTCTCCTGAGCTAGGAAGAGTCTACCCGACATAAGTCGAGGGACTTTATGTTTTTGAGGCTTTCTGTTGCCATGGTGATGGTGTAGCCCTCCCACTTTGCTGTTCCTTACTTTACTGCCTGAATAAAGAGCCCTAAGTTTGTACTATATACTGTTCTTTTGTGTGAAGGAGAAAGGTGTGTATGCCTTGCATCCAAAACTTGCTAGCCATCACTTAGCTTAATTTTCTCTTTCATTGGGAACACTCATCACCACAATGGAAACAAAACAAGTATCAGAGGGGCGGGTGAGAGTGTGACGGGTCAGGGCAGGCGAAGGCATTTTGGGAGTAAGAAGCCCTAGCAGGATTATATTATCCTTATCCTCTGTCCTCTAGCCTGTTTTCCTTTAAATGTGTCATGTTAAGGTATAAAAATCAGATTTCTGAAGCAGTAAGAAGGTAACACTTAGTTCTGGGGCCATTTGCTTCGTGAGTAAACAGCAACTCCTTCTCATTGCATTCCTCTTAATGCAACATTAAGTCATGCAAAAATATACCCATTTTCTGTTGCCCTGAGAATTTGGGTTCCAGAATAAGTGAAATGAAGAGTTACTCCTCTTGTGTTTCAGGGGAGCTGTAGGAAATTCAAGATGAGAAAATGTCCTAGTATTTAAAGAAGGGGAAGAGGACAGGAGTGTCTTTTACCTTTTCTTCTTCTACATCCCTGCTCTGTCCTCCCTGTCCCTTTCCTGCTCATTCTACTGCCACTGCTTTTGAAGAATTAGCCTGAGGGAAGGAAGGAGAGCATCTGGAATTGTTGGTCTCCTCTGAGGATGTGAGTAAGGGTTTGCAGGTCCTGTGTCCTTCAGGACTAGAATGAGCAGCACCTCATGAGGAAGAGTGTAGGAGGGGCCAAATTACTCCTTTCAGCTTTGGATTCTTGGCTCTAAGCTTTATAGGTTTTTTTTTTAACCTGTTATTGCTTTTGTTTCTGTTTGAAAGGAGATACTGTATTTTTTTGTATTTCCTTACGTGTCTGGGCAAGAGGGGAAGATAATTCTCCCATTAGATGCTTAGAAATTGTTGAGAAATTGGACCATTCCCCTTAAATGGAGCAAGTTTGGAAACTGGATTCTATAGGGGGTTAATCTACCAAGGTAGATTGAAATTACACTAGTCACAGCCAGTCACCTGCAATAGGAGGGCAAGGAGTAGCCCCACTGAGCCCTTGGTATCCGACCCTGGATGCTGGAGCTAGTGAAGAGCAGCCCTGGGGTGAGCTCCAGGCTGGCTTTGCTGTGCACACTATGCCCAAGCCTACGCTCCTTTGCCTCCTACTTCCAAAATGGAGAGAATGAGAGTTCAGAGGTCAAACACCTACCAGAGCCAGGCAGGTATGTGAATGTTAGACAAATCACCCGAGGTCTGTGATAAACAGCAACAGAGTGATATTTCTCTGTAAATCAATGATGCCTTCTCTGCCTGCTGAGTCCCCCACCCAGGAGAGAAGAAATACCATGTTCCAGTGGAATTGGTTAGGCCTTTGGAAGCTCACGAGGCTGATTTAGCAAATTTACATCTTAGTGCCATCATATATACAAGTGACCTTGGGCAGTTTATGAGGCATTTTGAGCCTTAGCTTCCACATTCTTATAATAACGTCACATGGTGAAAATGAGAAAATACGTAAAAGAACATGGCACTCAATAGATACAGTTGGCCCTCTGCATCCGCAGGCTCCACATCGATGGATTCAACCTACATGGATCAAAAATATTTGGGGGCCAGGCGTGCTGGCTCACGCCTGAAATCCTAACACTAGGAGGCCCAGGCAGGCGGATAACGAGGTCAGGAGTTCGAGACCAGCCTGGCCAGCATGGTGAAACCCCATCTCTACTAAAAATACAAAAAATTAGCCGGGCATGATGGCGTGCACCTGTAATCCCAGCTACTCGGAAGGCTGAGGCAGGAGACTCGCTTGAATCTGGGAAGCAGAGGTTGTAGTGAGCCGAGATCGCGCCACTGCACTCCAGCCTGGGCAACAGAGCGAGACTCTGCCTCAAAATAAATAAATAAATAAATAAATAAAACTTGGGGAAAAAATCGATGGCTGCGTCTGTACTCTTGCTCTTGTCGCCCAGGCTGGAGTGCAGTGGCGCGATCTTGGCTCCCTGCAACATCTGCCTCCTGGGTTCATGCGATTCTCCTGCCTCAGCCTCCCGAGTAGCTGGGATTACAGGCGCACAACACCGCACCTGGCTAATTTTTTACTTTTAGTAGAGACGAGGTTTCACCATGTTGGCCAGGCTGCTCTCAAACTCCTGACCTTAGGTGATCCACCCGGCCAGGCCTCCCACAATGCTGGGATTACAGGTGTGAGCCACCGCGCCGGGCCAGACTTTAAATTTTGTCATTAGCCCGCCGGGCGCGGTGGCTCACGCCTGTAATTCCAGCACTTTGGGAGGCCGAGGAGGGCGGATCACCTGAGGTCAGGAGTTCGAGAGCAGCCTGGCCAACGTGGTGAAACCCCATCTCTACTACTAAAAATAAAAAAATTAGCCGGGTGTGGTGGTGGGAACCTGTAATCCCAGCTACTCGAGAGGCTGAGGCAGGAGAATCACTTGAACCCGGAAGAAGGAGGTTGCAGTGAGCCGAGATCACGCCACTGCACTTCAGCCTGGGCGACAGAGCGAGACTCTGTCTCAACAACAACAAAATTGTCATTATTCCATAAATAATACAGTATGACAATTATTGACATAGCATTTACATTTTATTAGGTATCGTAAATTATCTAGAGTATAATTTAAAGTATCCGGGAGGCCGTGCGTAGTTCATATGCAAATACTGCGCCATGTTACATCAGGGACTTGGGCAACCTCAGATTTGGGTATCCGCATGGAGTGCCCTCTGGCGCTTGACTTCTACCGCGGCCATCGCGCTTCCATCCGCCAGGTGGCGACACAGCCGGCGCGGAGCGCCGATCTGGGCCTGCGCATGCGCGCCACGGACGAGGCAGGCCGGGTGCCTGGGCCTGGGAGCCATAAGCCGGAGAGTCTGGCGGGCTAAGCTCAGCGGCATCCGGGTTCCTTGTGGCCGCCGCAGCAGCTCGAGAACACGAATCCGTTTGGCCAAAACTGAAACAAACACACGGATGCACATATGTCTGTTTACTTCTAGGCCAGGTGCAGAGGGAACGTCTGGAATGACACTCAACGAAAACTGCGGTTACTTGGGAAGATGAGCCTTTTACCTCTCAGCCTTTCCCCTTCTGTAATGTCTTGTTTTAATGTCTTGTTGAAAACCAGAAGAGGCCGGGCGCGGTGGCTCACGCCTGTAATCTTAGCAGTTTGGGAAGCTGAGGTGGGGGTGATCACCTGAGGTCAGGAGTTCGAGACCATCCTGGCTAACACGGTGAAACCCCGTCTCTACCAAAAATACAAAAATTAGCCGGGCGTGGTGGCAGGCGCCTATCATACCAGCTACTCGGGAGGGTGAGGCAGGAAAATCGCTTGAACCCGGGCGGCGGAAGTTGCAGTGAGCAGAGATCGCGCCAATGCACTCCAACCTCAAAACAAAACAAAACAAAAAAGTAAACAAAAAAAACAGAAGAAAGGCAGGGCAGGACCACGAGCTCTGAGGGAGATTAGTCATCCACTTCCTCTCCCTGCCGACTATCCAGAAATTCCATCCTCATTAGCATCCGTATTAGGAGAGGAAACACACCCAGGTTTTACTGGAACGGGAGCTATGTATTCAGCCTTTCTTGTTTAAGCCACACTGCCCCTGACTGTAAGGACCCTGATGCAACCTTCTCTGCATCATGTATGGAAGCAAATCCTACGTGGACTTCTATCTTCTGAGGACTCAGGCGGCTCGTGGGCCATGCCAGCACTTCTAGTGTTCCTCGCTACCCTGCAATTTTAGCATGACCATTTATTTATTTATTTGTTTGTTTGTTTATTTATTTATTTATGACTACAAAGATCCAGAAGACAAACATGACCATTTCTTTCTTTTTTTTTTTTTTTCTGAGATGGAGTCTTGCTCTGTCGCCCAGGCTGGAGTGCAGTGGCACCATCTCAGCTCACTGCAACCTCCACCTCCCGGGTTCAAGTGATTCTCCTGCCTCAGTCTCCTACGTAGCTGGGATTACAGGCATGTGCCACCATGCCCAGCCAATTTTTGTATTCCTAGTAGAGAAGGGGTTTCACCATGTTGGCCAGGCTGATCTCCAACTCTGGACCTCATGATCTGCCTGCCTTGGCCTCCCAAAGTGCTGGGATCAAAGGCGTGAGCCACCGCACCTGGTCCTTTTATTTTTATTTATTTTTATTTTTTTTGAGACTCAGTCTCGCTCTGTCGCCCAGGCTGGAGTGCAGTGGCACAATCTTGGCTCACTGCAAACTCTGTCTCCCGGGTTCAAGCAATTCTCCTGCCTCAGCCTCCCGAGTAGCTGGGTTACAGGCATCACCACGCCCAGCTAATTTTTGTTTTTGTTTTTTGAGACTGAGTCTTGCTCTCTTGCCCAGGCTGGAGTGCAGTGGCATGATCTCGACTCACTGCAACCTCTGCCTCCTGGGTTCAAGTGATTCTCCCGCCTCAGCCTCCCAAGTAGCTGGGATTACAGGTGCCCCCCACCATGCCTAATTTTTGTATTTTTAGTAAAGACGGAGTTTCCCTTTGTTGGCCAGGCTGGTCTCGAACTCCTGACCTCGTGATCCACCCGCCTTGGCCTCCCAAAGTACTGGGATTACAGGCGTGAGCCACCACGCCCGGCTAATTTTTGTATTTTAGTAGAGATTTTGTATTTAGTAGTAGTAGTAGTAATTTTGTATTTAGTAGAGATGGGGTTTCACCATGTTGGCCAGGCTGGTCTCAAACTCCTAACCTCAGGTGATCCACCTGCCTTGGCTTCCCAAAGTGCTGGGTGGGATTACAGGCATTAGCCACCGCGTCTGGTGGAA
This sequence comes from Homo sapiens, assembly GCF_000001405.40. Classification (NCBI taxonomy): domain Eukaryota; kingdom Metazoa; phylum Chordata; class Mammalia; order Primates; family Hominidae; genus Homo; species Homo sapiens. The sequence goes on from NC_000022.11 coordinate 41,668,840, forward strand.
ACATGACCTTTTTTTTTTTTTTTTTTTGTTTTTGAGACGGAGTTTCACTCTTGTTGCGCAGGCTGGAGTGCAATAATGGCGTGATCTCAGCTCACTGCAACCTCCGCCTCCTGGGTTCAAGCAATTCTCCTGCCTCAGCCTCCCGAGTAGCTGCAATTACAGGTGTGTGCCACCATGCCTAGCTAATTTTGTATTTTTTTAGTAGAGACAGGGTTTCACCATGTTGGTCAGGGTGGTCTCGAACTCCAACCTCAAGTGATCCACCTGCCTCGGTCTCCCAAAGTGCTCAGATTATAGGTGTGAGCCACCGCGCCCAGCCAACATGACCATTTTTATTGCTGTGGTTTGACAAGGCGTCCCCATCCCTTCATCACTACCCCGCACCCTCCTCCCACCTTAGTTATCTATTGCTGTGTAACAAATTACACCCAGGAACTATTGGCTTAAAACAATAAGCATTCCTCTCCTACCTGAAAGCTAGAGTGAGGCTGGAGGATCTATTTGCTGGGAGGCCGTAATGAGCATGTTTCCAATTATCTCTGTCTTATGTTTTGACATCTTGGGGGGCCTTCCAGACCCAGGAATAAACTGCTCCTCTCAGGGCTAGCTTACTCATAGAGACAGTTACCACATATTTGTGAGAATGCCTCTCATGCATGCCAGTCACCTCCTTTATCTTTCACATACCAAAGCATTATTCCTCCTGTACTAACTCATCCCAGGACCAGATGCCAGGCAACTAGAGACCACCCCATAGCCCAAAGCCCACTGGAACGATTCAAACTAGCCAATCAATCCTAAACCGTTTATTCTGTCCTGCCTTTCCTGAGGAAACTCTGATAAAGGATGTGGCCTATGATTCCCCTTGCTCTAATTCTGACTCGTAAACAAAGCGCGATGTTTCTCCCATGGCCCTGTGCTGTGTGGAATGCCCCTTCTCGTAGGAAACGTACATTCTTTCAATGGCATTGACTTAGTGTCATCACTCAATCTGTTAATTAAAATCCCACAGGAGGCCGGGCGCGATGGCTCACGCCTGTAATCTCAGCACTTTGGGAGGCTGAGGCGGGCGGATCACGAGGTCAGGAGTTCGAGACCATTCTGGCTAACATGGTGAAACCCCGTCTCTACAAAAAAAATACAAAAAATTAGCCGGGCGTGGTGGCAGGTGCCTGTAGTCCCAGCTACTTGGGAGGCTGAGGCAGGAGAATGGCGTGAACCTGGGAGGCGGGGCTTGCAGTGAGCCAAGATTGCGCCACTGCACTCCAGCCTGGGTGACAGAGCGAGACTCCGTCTCAAAAAAAAAAAAAAAAAAAATTCCACAGGTACAAATGAAACAGAGGCTCATTCCCATGGCTGGCAAAGGTGATGCCAGCTGTTGGCTAGAGGCCTTAGGACCTCCATGTCCTTAAGTCCATGGCAGCTGACTTCCCTTATAGCCAGTTATCTGAAGAAATGAAGGCAGAAACTGCAATGTCACATCGATTCTGCCAGACTCTGAGTTGGTGTGGTAGACTATACGAGGGCGTGAATCGCAGGTGAGGAGCACTGGAGCCATCTTGGAGGCTGGCTGCCACAGGTCATTGTGAATATTGACTTGCTACTTTAAATTATTTCCTTCCTTCACAAGAGTATAGTTATCTTCCATCCCCATGACCCTACCCCCAAGTAGATACATCAGCTCAAGCCAGAGGCCATACTTGATTTTTCCAAATGTAACCTGGGCTAGACATGGTGGCTCATGCCTGTAATCCCAGCACTCTGGGGGACCAAGGCGGGCAGATCACCTGAGGCCAGGAGTTTGAGACCAGCCTTGACAACATGGTGAAATCTCATCTGTACTAAAAATGCAAAAATTAGCCGGGCATGGTGGTATGCACCTGTAATCCTAGCTACTCGGGAGGCTGAGGCAGGAGAATCTCTTGAACCCGGGAGGCAGAGGTTGCAGTGAGCCGAGTCTGCACCAATGCACTCCAGCCTGGGTGACAGAGTAAGACTGTCTCAAAAAAAAAAAAAAAAAAAAAAAGTAACCTGATGCCAGGGGAATGGGGGACACTCATTTCCAAGAACAAGCTGCCTTTCCATCCATCAGTTTGAGATCAAAGATAATGAAAACGTTCAAATACAACAAATAAATAATCTCTTTAGGTCAATACTGTAAATGTAAAACTATTTAATTGCAGGTTCTCTTGGGAAAGAGTTTCAGGAAACACTGAAAATCTGAAATTCCTAACCAGTTGTGTTTGGGGTCAGGGGAACCTTTGAGACCTGATGAAAGCAACGGATTCTCTCTCAAAAATAAAATGTTTAGAAACAAAAATCAGAAGGCAATCTCAGGCTGGGCCCAGTGGCTCACGCCTGTAATCCCAGCACTGTGGGAGGCAAAAGCAGGCGGATCACTTGAGGTCAGAAGTTTGAGACCAGTCTGGCCAACGTGGTGAAACCCCATCTCTACTAAAAAATACAAAAATTAGCTGGGCGTGGTGGCACACTTCTGTAATCCTACCTACTTGGGAGGCTGAGGCAGAGAAATTGCTCGAACCGGGGAGGTGGAGGTTGCAGTGAGCTGAGATCATGCCACTGCACTCCAGCCTGGGCAACAGAGACTATGTCTCAAAAAAAAAAAAAAAAAAAAAAAAAAAAGAAAGCAATCTCAGACATTAGTTATGTTTAAGTTAAAAAAAAAAAGTAGAATGTTACAGAGCTGGGGGAAAAGGAAATTATGAGGTGGGGTAGCTAGGAAAGGCCCTAAAGAAAGGATGTTTGGAGCCGGGAACGGTGGCTCACGCCTGTAATCCCAACACTTTGAGAGACCAAGGTGGCGGGGGGAGGCGGGGTGTGGGCCATGAGGTCAGGAGTTTGAGACTAGCCTGGCCAACGTGGTGAAACCCCGTCTCTACTAAAATACAAAAAATTAGCCAGGCATGGTGGTGGGCACCTGTCATCCCAGCTACTTGGAAGGCTGAGGCAGGACAATCACTTGAACCTGGAAAGCGGAGGTTGCAGTGAGCTGAGATCGCGCTATTGCACTCCAGCCTGGGCTACAAGAGCCAGACTCTGTCTCAGAAAAAAAAAAAAGAAAGAAAAAAGTCATTACGTTGGCTGGGCGGGATGGCTCACGCCTGTAATCCCAGCACTTTGGGAGGCTGAGGCAGGTTGGATCACTTGAGGTTAGGAGTTCCCGACCAGCCTGGCCAACATGGTAAAACCCCGTCTCTACTAAAAACACAAAAGTTAGCTGGGCGTGGTGGCGTGTGTCTGTAATCCCAGCTATTCAGGAGGCTGAGGAAGGAGCATCGCTTAAACCCAGGAGGCGGAGGTTGCAGTGAGCTGAGATTGCTCCACTGCACTCCAACCTTGGTGACAGAGCGAGACTGTCTCAAAAAAAAAAAAAAGTAATGTGTCATTTAATGACAGAGGTAAGTTCTGAAAAATGCATTGTTAGGCAATTTCGTCACTGTGTAAACACCATAGAGTATACTTACAAAAACCGGCTGGGTGCGGTGGCTCACGCTTGTAATCCCAGCACTTTGGGAGGCCGAGGTGGGCAGATCAAGAGATCAGGAGTTCAAGACCAGCCTGACCAACATGGGGAAACCCTGTCTCTACTAAAAATACAAAAATTAGCCGGGTGTGGTGGCGTGCTCCTGTAATCCCAGCTACTCAGGAGGCTGAGGCAAAAGAATCGCTTGAACCCAGGAGGCGGAGGTTGCAGTGAGCTGAGATTATACCACTGCACTCCAGCCTGGGCGACAGAGTGAGACTGTCTCAAACAAACAAACAAAACCCTAGATGGAACAGCCTACTATACATACACCTAGGCTACAAACCTGTACTGCATGTTACTGAATACCGTAGGCAATTGTAACACAATGGCATTTGTGCATCTTAACGTAGGAAAGGTACAGTAAAAACACAGTATTACAATCTTAGGGGACCACTGTCATATATGTGGTCTGTCATTGACCAAAAACACTGAATGCATGACTGTGAAAAAGTAAGCACTGTGTAAAATTCCACCATCCAAAAATATAAAACTGCTTCAGGGGTGGTGATGAGAACACTGGAGTAAGCTGGGAGAAATGACCAGCCCAGGATGCACAGAACAGGTCCGACTGGCTAAGGTGGCTGCCAGGTTCCCCCAGGTGTGCTTCTTGCTAGAGCAGGGGTATATTGGCCCAAGCTGGCAAAGAGGGGATCACTATGGTACCCAGTTACTTGCACCTTGGAAGATTTCTCAAGCTGAGTTATTAGGCTCTCAAGGAACTTATCCTTAAGATAATAAGTAGAAGAGGCAAGTGAGGGGGCAGTGGCTTTAGTCACCAATACCAATCCTGCATGTGCCAAGGGTTACTAGAAACCCTGATTCTCCAACAGTGATTCTCAATTGGGGGTGATTTTACTGCCGGGGGCATTTAACAATGTCCGGAAACATTTTTTGGTTGTGGGGGGGTGCTGCTATTGCCACCTAGCGGGTAGAAGCCAGTGATGCTACTAAACATACAACACACAGGGCAGTCCTCACAACAAATTAACCAGCCCCAAATGTCAACAGCACGGAGGTTGAGAAAGCCAGTTCCAGTGATAGCAATGCTCCAGTTGAGTGTGTATAAGACGACATTTTGAACTGCCAAGGTAGAAACTACCTGGTAGGAGGAGACAGCTCTTCCATAGCCTTCTGGTAAAAAAAAGTCTAAGCAAGTGGCCAGGCGTGGTGGCTCACACCTGTAATCCCAGCGCTTTGCGAGGCTGAGACAGGCAGATTACCTGAGGTCAGGAGTTCAAGACCAGCCTGGCCAACATGGTGAAACCCTGTCTCTACTAAAAATACAAAATTAGCTGGGCGTGGTGACGCACGCCTGTAATCCCAGCTACTTTGGGGGCTGAGGCAGGAGCATCACTTGAACCCAGGAGGCAGAGGCTGCAGTGAGCCGAGATCGTGCCATTGCACTCCAGCCTAGGCAACAAGAGTGAAACTCTTTCACAAAGAAGAAAAAAAAAGTCTTAAGCAGCTATCACCACTCTAGTAAAGCTAAGTATGTCTTCATTCCAATTTTAGCCGGATACTTACTAAGAATCAGGCACTGCCATTCTGTCATCAAAATGGAACAGATTTATTAGGATGCTCACAAGAATGGAGAACACATGAACTAGCACTCTCCTCATGTGACAGAGAGTACATCTGACCCACATGGTGGCAGGACACAGGGGAAGGGCTCTCAGAGCTGGTGCCAAGTGTCCACCAAAGAAAGTCCCATTCACCAGAGACAGGCTGTTTCCTTGGACTCCACCATCTCTGTTACAGCTACCAGCCAGGTCTCCATGATCTTCCTGGAATCCTTCATGCCAGCATCAGTTCATGCTCTCTGAGCTTGTCACTCCCGACTCTTTCAAGACCCAGGTCAACTGCCCCATGGCTCACCCACCCAGGCTGCCTCCGGAGTCCTGCAGCACATCTCTTTGGTATGCTGCTGCCCTGCTACCCTCAAGGGCATGGTTGTGGGTAGGGGGAGAACATCAACATCACATTACCAAAAGCAAACAGCAGGGGTACATTAGTAAACGACACTTGGACATAGCCGAACAACCTCACAGAACACATGCTTCCTCCCCAAATGATACCTAATCCCCCAAGAGCAAATGAAACCCCTTGATCACTTGAACACGTATGAATGATTCTGTGTGCCAGGCACAGGGACACACAATGAATGCTGTTTAATTCCACCACACCCCGCACACAACAGGAAGCTAGTGGCTGAAAGCTGGAACCAGATCTCTGTCCTGGCTCCATCAGCTTTCTCCTGGCTCTTTCTGCCTTTCAACGGTGCCACCACCCTGCTTCTGTCTGCTCTGAACACTTGTTCCAAAAAGGGAGGATAAAAGGATGAAGGATGGCAGAGGGAGGGAGGAAAGGAAGGGGGATAGCAACCCTGTAAAACAGAACAAAAACAACACAAAAATCCAGAAACCAGATTTAGTACTACATTTTATAACAATAGAGAGTAGCTGAAAATACTACATGCTAACACAGATAATATGATACACAACCTCAGGGGGGAAGCTGGCAGGGAGCACGTGGCAGAGGCCACAGGTTTAGACTAAGAGCCTTTCAATGGACTGCTGAATGGATTGGATCTGCTGTTTCAGCTGCGAGCCTTCTTTGATGGTGACAGAACAGGCGATGACAGGCCTGGAGACCCCACAGGCTCTCCCCAGGGCCTGCTTGGAGCGCACAAACACGTAGGGCACATTCTTGTCTTCACACAGCAGCGGCAGGTGCAGAATGATCTCCAGTGGCTCGGCGTCTGCAGCCATCACGATGAACTCAGAGATGCCCCTGTTGAGGGTTTTGGTGGCTGCGGAGAGAAGGACGTGAAGCTAATAGGTGATGTGGGCTTGGGCAGGGCAGCCACAACAAACTGGGAAGAATGCCTAGGCACACACAATTATGTGTCCTAGACCGGCCCTGGGATATGATAAAGGATTCAAACACCAGTCAGTCATACACAATGGCATTTTCTCAAGCCCTACATTAAATCCACCACTTATCCTCAAAACACGTCCTGAATCTGACCACTTCTTCTTCTTCTTTTTTTTTTTTGAGATGGAGTCTTGCTCTGTCACACAGCTGGAGTGCAGTGGTGCGATCTTGGCTCACTTCAACCTCCGCTTCCCGGGTTTAAGTGATTCTCCTGCCTCAGTCTCCCAAGCAGCTGGGATTACAGGCACGTGCCACTGTGTTTAGCTAATTTTTGTATTTTTAGTAGAGAGAGGGCTTCACCATGTTGTCCAGGCTGGTCTCAAACTCCTGACCTCAAGTGATCCACCCACCTCGGCCTCCCAAAGTGCTGAAATTACAGGTATGAGCCACTGTGCCTGTCCTAATCTGACAACTTTTTTCTTTCTTTTTTTTTTTTTTTTCTTTTTTTGAGATGGAGTCTCACACTGTCGCCCGGGCTGGAGTGCAATGGCGCAATCTTGGCTCATTGCAACCTCTGCCTCCCAGGTTCAAGTGATTCTCCTGCCTCAGCCTCCCAAGTAGCTGGGATTACAGGTGCCTGCCACCATGCCCAGCTAATTTTTTGTTTCACTATGTTGGCCAGGCTGGTCTCAAACTCCTAACCTTGTGATCCACCCACCTTGGCCTCCCAAAGTGCTGTGATTACAGGCATGAGCCACCACGCCTGGCCCTGACCACTTCTTTCTACTCCTCTGCTATACTCGTCCAAGTCACCATCATCTCTTACCTTGTCAACTGCAACAGCTTCCACAAACCCCCACCAGCAAGTAGTAGTATATTAATAATATAGTATTTCTCAAGGTATCTGTGACTGAGAGTCAGAGTTTTACCATCTCAATCTGCCATAATCAATACTTCTAGAAAGCTGATCCCACATGCGACTCACCATGCAAGTTCAACACCCCACAGCACCGTTTCAGATGCGTACTCTCCTGACTGCTTGCCTCTGTGGCTCAGTGCGAATACTCTGCATTCATGCTGGAGTACTTGAGAAGGGCACACACTCTAGAGCTACACTGTCTGAGTGCAAATGCTGGCACTCATTCTTGTTACACAAATGACCTTGAGCAAGGTGTTTAACTTCCCTTACTTTTATCATCTATAAAATAATTCTACCTAACAGGATTCTACCTAATAAAAAAAGAATTACCTAATTCTTTTTAACCTAATTCTTTTTTTTTTTTGTATCAAAGAAAATATTTTATTCAAGTTCCCAAAACAAACTTCAGGAGTTATGCTGGGTTTGAATTGAAGAAAAAAGGCCAAGTTAAAATAGGAAAACAAATGGTTTTCATTTGGTGGCAGCTGAAATCAAAGTATACATGTATATACATTCTAATCCATCATCTATCCCATGTGGCATTTTCCAAGGTTTTAAGAGTCTACCACGCCAAACCCTTTGCCACTTTCACTGCTTTTGCTTTGCTTTTCCCCTTTCTTTTCTCTCGCTTTGCCGTCAGCCTTTTTCTTTGCCTTTGGTTCATCCATATTGGGTACTGTCCATGCTGGTCTAGAAGAGTCTTTTTGTTTCTCTTAGTATCAGTCTCCCTTTTCATGTCATCTTTTTCATCTTTTACCTCACATTGCATTTTCTCTTGGCAATGTTTGGGTACCACCACAGTTGCTATCTCTTGAACATCTTTCATTAAAACATCACCGTCTAGTTTGAGAATACTTTTAAGCCTGCTGGCCTCCTTTGGGGCATTCTTTTTTCTCTTTTCAGCACGCATCTTTCTTTTCCACTTACTCCGTAAGCTTTTAGCCATGTTTCACCTGAGAAACGAACACCCACACCTCAGCTCTTTTTAACCTAATTCTAATTACCTAATAATTCTACTTAATAGGATTATTGAAAGGATTAAACCAGTTAATAAGAATGATGAGGCTGGGCATGGTGGCTCACACCTGTAATCCCAGCCCACTGGGAGGCTGAGGCAGGTAGATTGTTTGAACTCAGAGTTTGAGACCAGCCTGGGCAACATGGCAAAACCCCATCTCTACTAAAAATATAAAAAATTAGCCAGGTGTGGTGGCGTACACCTGTAGTTCCAGCTACCTGGGACGCTGAGGTGGGAGGATCACCTAAGCCCAGGAGGTCGTGGCTGCAGTGAGCCATGATCAATGCCAATGCACTCCAGCCTGGGCTGCAGAGTAAGACCCTATCTCAAAAAAAAGTAAAATAAATAATAATAATAATACCTGACACATGGCAAATGCAAAGCATGTTCATTTCTATTGATATTACTATAGCTTACTCACCCTACAAAAGTCATAGGAGTGACTCTTTTATAAGTGTTAAGTAAGATCATAGCAATCTTGCTGTTCAAAATCCTTCTACTCATTTACCATTGTACTCACTGCTAACAGTGGCCTACATGGTCTCATGTGATCTCCTAGTACCTCTCATCCCCACACTTAGTTCCAGCCACACACCAGCCTCCTTAGAATCCCTCAAGCATGCCTTTACACCATGCCCAAAAACGTTTCTTTCCAACACCCTCATCTATTCAGTTCTCTGCTCAAACTCCTCAGACAGACCTTCTCTGAATACTCCATCTAAAAAGACCCACCACTGCCATTCCTATCCCCCTTCTCTACTTTATTCTGTTTTACAGCATTCTTTTTTTTTTTTTTGAGACGGAGTCTCACTCTGTCGCCCAGGCTAGAGTGCAGTGGTGAGATCTCGGCTCACTGCAAGCTCCGCCTCCCGGGTTCACACCATTTTCCTGCCTCAGCCTCCTGAGCAGCTGGGACTATAGGCGCCCGCCACCACGCCCGGCTAATTTTTTGTATTTTTGGTAGAGATGAGGTTTCACCGTGTTAGCCAGGATGGTCTCGATCTCCTGACCTCATGATCTGCCCACCTCGGCCTCCCAAAGTGCTGGGATTACAGGTGTGAGCCACCGCGCCCGGCCTCTTACAGCATTCTTTACCACCAGGCATAAAACCTATGTCTTTCTCCACTGGAATGTATACTCCAAGAAGGCAGAGACTTCATTTTGTTCACCAGTGCATCATCAGCATATATACATGCGCCTGGCACATAGCAGGCAATCAATAAATATGGCAAGAAAGAATACCTGACACTGAGGCAGAAGTACGGAAAATTGTTGCATCTCCCTCCCTGAACTCCCAGTAAGCATATTCTGAATTAAGTCGCTGAGACTGAGCATCTCCATTCAAGGACCTGTGTGCTTATCACCGTGCAAAGTATGGCAAGAGGAAATAAGGTTGCTCTGTGTCCATGAGTCCTCATCTACCTGAAGTGTAAGAAGTCACATCCCTGCCCAGCCAAGCTGACCTGAGTGCATCAAGTGAGAAGAGAGACCTCCCAGGAGAGCTGGTGGGTCACCCTACAATGCCCCACTGGCCACTGCTATACCAGGCACTGCAGTTACTGCAGTGTGACGAGCAGGGAGGAAAGAGCACTACGACGAGACCCACAGAGTCTACTTTATCTTCCTTCAGCAACACAGGTAAAAGCGATTGTAATAGTTCTCCTAAATCTCAAACACAGTTGACAAAATCTCTGATGTTTCCATTAAAAATCTTCAACGACAAAAGAGCTCTACCACATCAAACTACCCAGCATCTATTAAAATGAGAGTATTCTGGCTGGGCATGGTAGCTCACGCCTGCTGTTATCCTAACACTTTGGGAGGCCAAGGCAGGCAGATTGCCTGAGCTCAGGAGTTTAAGACCAGCCTGGGCGACAGAGCGAGATTCTGTCTCCAAAAAAATAAAATAAAATAAAAATAAGGCTGGGCAGCCGGGCACAGTGGCTCACGCCTGTAATCCCAGAATTTTGGGAGGCCAAGGCAGGCGGATCACTTCAGGTCAGGAGTTCGAGACCAGCCTGGCCAACATGGTGAAACCTCGTCTCTACTTGAAAAAAAATAAAAATAAAAATAAGGCTGGGCACAGTGTCTCACGCCTGTAATCCCAGCAGCACTTTGGGAGGCCAAGGCAGGTAGATCACCTGAGATCAGGAGTTCGAGACCAGACTGACCAACATAGTGAAACCCCATCTTTACTAAAAATACAAAATTAGCTGGACGTGGTGGTGCATGCCTGTAATCCCAGCTACTTGGGAGGTTGAGGCAGGAGAATCATTTGAACCCGGGAAGCGGAGGTTGCAGTAAGCTGAGATCCTGCCATGGCACTCCAGCTTGGGCAACAAGAGCAAAACTCTCCAAATAAAAAAATAAATAAATAAATAAAATAAAATTAAAAAAATAATAATGAATAAAGTGAGAGTATCCTATATCACCTCTGGGCAGAAGCATCATGCATACATAATTATTCTACTGAAAAACAGCTTTTTTTTTTTCCTTTTTTACAAAGGGAGGTAGTGCTCGCTTCAGCAGTACATATACTAAAATTGGAACAATACAGAGAAGATTAGCATGACCCCTGCACAAGGATGACATGCAAATTCGTGAAACGTTCCATGTTTTTGAATAATTGCATCCAAAAAAAAAAGGGAGAGGGGTAGGGAATGTTTCTGGGAACCAAATGAAATTCATGAATGTTAAGTATCCACCGTATAAGGGATGCTAAAAAGCATTAATATCCCTTTCCTTCTGATGGCTCTGGTGAGGTCATACAGCCACTATACAGTCTCCACAACTGCTTTCAAATGGCTCAGCAAAAATAAAATTCACTTATAGAGTGAAAAAGAAGGTAAATGTGGCAAAATGTTAACAATTGGTGGGTCTAAAAAAAATTCTTAGCCCATCAGCTTTAGCATCTAATGCCAAAGTCCTCCCACTGGTTGTAGTCGAGAGCAGCTAGCCCTCCTCCCAAACTGGAAATCAGATCAGAGGCCCCAGATGGAAACAGGTGCCTTTAACATTCCCCCAGAGCATCCTGTGGCTGCCTTACCCTCATTGGCTCCTTTCCGAAGCTGCTTATAGTTACATGACTGCTGAACGAGGTCCAGTAGCTTCTTGGTGAGGTGGGCATCGGCAAGGGGATAGGCCTTTGGATTCACATCAGCCTCAGTCTATGGGGGGGACATAAAAATATCAGACAAATTGAGCCAGAAGTTTTCCTACCTGAGTCACAAAATACTAATCAACAATTGAGACACAGGGGGCAGCTGCCCTGCTCCCTAACCCTCAAACACACAAAACACCAGGTAGTTAACAATGGACTTTCCACTCCTACCTTCGAAAAAAAGGAAATACACTATTAGGAATTACACAGTTCAGTAAAGTATACTAAAGCTCATGTACTTTTGTCTTTCTTCAGCCGAATGTTTGATAATATTACAGCAAATGGATTACAAACGGGTTCCCATGGCTCCGCATCCATTTGAGTCCATGGCTAATCCATTTCTGTTTTTATTTTTTAGATGGAGTCTTGCTCTGTTGCCCACGCTGGAGTGCAGTGGTGCGATTTCAGCTTACTGCAATCTCTGCCTCCCGAGTTCAAATGATTCTTGTGCCTCAGCCTCCCAAGTAGCTGGGACTATAAGCGTGCACCACCATGCCAGGCTAATTTTGTATTTTTTGTGGAGACAGGGTTTCACCGTGTTGGCCAGGCTGGTCTCAAACTCCTGGCTCACGCCTGTAATCACAGCACTTTGGGCGGCCGAGGCGGGTGGATCACCTGAGGTCAGGAGTCCATGGGTAATCTTTAAATTTGAACTTCCGTATTCCACCTGAATTTACTGAATCAATAAGATATAATTTACAGTAAATGTAGCACAAAGTTTTCTTTCCATTCCCCACTCCATATGCGTATCTTCTGTTCAAACCCATGGTTTCCAACACATTAAAGTATTTCCTCACCTCCTCTACAATACACACAAAATGGTTCCAAAATTGCTACACCAATATACCACCTCTACCAACAAACTCACCAAAGTCAAAATTTATTTTTGTTCTTAGGATATATCCTATCAAAGCCATCCAGTGGCAGGACTTTGTTCAAAAGTTATTCAAATTAAAATTTTCCTTGTGGTTAGCAATTTGGTATACAAGTAGATTTATTTTGTAGTCAGCTTGCTTTAAATTTTATTTTTCAAATATGTAAAATATCTTCATGGTTTAAAAGTCAAAACTATGCAAGTGATAGCAACTCAATATTTTGAAAACTGGGAAAGGGAAACAATCATCTTCTGTGCCTTTCCTAAATGCTGTATTAGGCGGTAACCAGGTAGAAGATGAGAAGTACCTCTTGTATCACTCTTCCGCCTAATAAATAAAGAGGGAATGGTACAGTTAAATATCACCAACTTGCAACCCTTATTAACTAATTAATGGCATTTGCAGTTATGTTAAAAATTCTTACTTTATAGATATATACTGTAATACTTATGGATAAAATGATGTCATTCAGATCTGTGTCAAAATAACCCATGTAGGGGACGAGCGCGGTGTCTCACGCCTGTAGTCCTAGCTACTCGAGAGGCTGACGCAGAATAGCTTGAACCCAGGAGGCGGAGGATGCAATGAGCGGAGATGGCGCCACTGCACTCCAGCGTGGGCGACAGAGCGAGACTCCGTCTCAATAAATAAATAAATACACACCCATGTAGGGAGCATATTGGGTGAGTGGCCTGCCTATTCCGCTCCTTCCATCTCATTCCCACTGCTCCAGTAAATCATTTTCATTAATTTTTCTCTTTTTTTTTTTGTTTTTACAAACACATATTTATATACAAGGATATATTCATATTATAACCCAGGTGCGGCCCCACATGTCGCCATCGTGTGTAACGTGCGAATCGCGAGTGATTCACTGCGGCTACCACCTAACCTCGGCCTTGGAGGCTGGACATAGGGTGGACGGCAGTCGCTGGAGACGGAGATGGCCTGGTGGGACCACTCATCTATAGCGCCTGCCTCGGTGGTCTCCTGCCCGACACCGCGCACCTGCCTTTTCCTCCTTCCGTTTTTTTACAGCTTTTCTGACACAGCGGGACCACGCTCGCGGCACCACAGCTCTCGGGAGGTGACCCGGAGATAATGGCCCAGTAGGAACACTCACCATAGCGTCTGTCTTGGTAGTCTCTTGCCGGACACCGCGAGGATACCACGCGTGTCGGTTTGGACGGTCTGCTGCCCAGCACCGCAAGGACACGGATGCCCCGCCCCCAAGAGCAGGAAGTGACGCCACTGCCGCCAGCGGAAGTGACGTCCAGGGCCAGCCCGTACACCAGGACGCCCTGTCTTCTACGTAACTCCTTATCTTAGGCGAATTTGTCTTGGTCCCAGGACAACTAGGAAGAATTAGGTGAAGGATGGAGGAGTTCTCTAAAGGAAGGGGGTTGGGGGAGGTCAAGGGAAGACCTCCATATTATTTTTCTCTTCCTCATACATTTATTTATTTAGAGACGGAGTCTCCCTCTGTCGCCTAGGTTGGAGTGCAGTGGCGCGATCTCGGCTCACTGCAGCCTCAGCCTCCTGAGTACCTAGGATTACAGGTGACCGCCATCACGGCCGGCTGATTTTTGTATTTTTAGTAGAGACGGGGTTTCACCACTTTGGCCAGGCTGGTCTCGAACTCCTGATCTCAGGTCATCTGCCTGCCTCAGCCTCCCAAAGTGCTGGGATTACAGGCATGAGCCACCGCACCTGGCCATCCTTTCTTTTTAATGTCTATAGAGTATGTCTCCTTCACATGTTACCTACTTAAACATTTTCTTTTTTGAGACAGGGTCTCGCTCTGTCACCCAGGCTGGAGTGTAGTGGTGGCATCTTGGCTCACTGCAACCTCCTCCGGGGTTCAAGCGATTCTCCAGCCTCAGCCTCCAGAGCAGCTGGTACTACAGGCATGCACAACCACGCCCGGCTAATTTTTCTGTATTTTTAGTAGAGAAGGTCTTTCACCATGTTGGCCAGTCTGGTCTCCCAATTGCTGACCTCAAGTGATCCGCTTGCCTTAGCCTCCCAAAGTGTTGGGATTACAGGCGTGAGCCACCGTGCCTGGCCTTATTTTTTCGATTAATCTTTCTGAGGGGGACTTTCCTGGGCTCAAGTGGTCCTCCTGCCTCAGACTCCCAAGTAGCTGGGACTACATGCATGCACCACCACGTCTGGCTAATTTTTTAATTTTAGAGGCACTGTCTTATTATGTTGTCCAGGCTGGTCGTGAACTCCTGGCCTCAAGCAATCTTCCTGCCTGGGCATCCCAAAGTACTGGGATTACAGGTGTGAGCCACTGTGCCCAGCCCATTTATATATTTTTTAATCTTTCACTATTATGTAAATGCTATAATGTCTAATCTCATCTATACCTAATCTATATTATGTTTCATTCAGTATATCTGTAAGATAAACTCCTAGAAGTGGGATTAACGAGTCAAAAGATATAATATGCATTTGTAACTTTTATATCTATTCTAAATTGACCCTATATAGGGTTTAACAACTTGCACACCCACCAGCAATGCATGACAGTGACTAATTCCCCAAAACTTTGACAACAGTGTCAAACTGAACTAGCTTCGTTGCCTGGGGTAAATATCCAGGGTTTGTTGTCTCATGCCAAGAAAATTTAGGACATGGACACACAGGAGTTTAGGAGCAGGGTTTTTTTTTGTTGTTTTTTTTGAGATGGAGTTTTGCTCTGTTGCCCAGGCTGGAGTGTAGTAGTGCGATCTTGGCTTACTGCAACCTCTGCCTCCTGGGTTCAAGCAATTCTCCTACCTCAGCCCCCACCAGTAGCTGGGATTACAGGTGCGCGTCACCACACCGGGCTAATTTTTGTATTTTTTAGTAGAGACTGGGTTTTGCCATGTTGGCCAGGCTGGTCTCGAACTCCTGACCTCAGGTGATCTACCTGCCTCGACCTCCCAAAGTGCTGGGATTACAGGTGTGAGCCACTGCGCCTGGCCGGGAGCAGAGGTTTAATAGGCAAAAGAAAGAGAAAGAACAGCTCTCTCTGGTGAGAAAGAGGGGCTTCGGAAAGGAAAAGACCCAGCAGTATGCTCTACTTTCTATTTCAGCAATTTCTCCTTTTGTTTTTTTTCTTTCCTTCTACTTTCTTTGGGGTTATTTTGTGCTAGTGTTTTTTTCTACCTTTTTATCCCGTTTCTCCCTAGCATTAGCATCTTAGGCTCCAAGTAATACTTTCATTATATCCTTTCATTTGTTTCTTCCCCCCTCTGCCCTTGTCACTTATGCTCTGGTATGTGGTATTTTCATTATTGTTCTGTTCTATTTTTGAATTCCTACTACAATTTTTAAATCTCTCTGATAGTTTATATTTTTCATTTCAAACTACTTTGTTACTAATTTTTAACTTATTTCCTTTTGGGTTAGGCAAAAATGGTATGTAATATTACCAATGTTAAAATTTGCAGGGCTTGCTTTATGGCCAATTTTCAAAAACGTTCCATGTTTGAAGAGTGTATTCTGAACTGGCTGCAGTGGCTCAGGCCTATAATCCCACCAACTTGGGAAACTGAGGCTGGGGACTGATTGAGGCCTGAAGTTTGAGACCAGCCTGGGCCACACAGTGAGACCCCCATCTCTAAAAATATTTAAAAACTTAGCTGGGGCAGTCCAGGCACAGTGGCTCACACCTATAATCCCAGCACTTTGGGAGGCCAAGGTGGGTGGCTCTCTTGAGGTCAGGAGTTCAAGACCAGCCTGGATGACATGGTGAAACCCCCGTCTCTACTAAGAATACAAAAATTATCTGGGTGTGGTGGCAGGCACCTGTAATCCCAGCTACTTGGAGGTTGAGGCAGGAGAATGGCTTGAACCCGGGAAGCGGAGATTGCAGTAGGTTGAGATGATGCCACTTCACTCCAGCCTGGGCGAAAGAGTGAAACTCCATCTCAAAAAAAAAAAAAAAAAGAATTACACCCTTTTTGTTGTTGAGACAGGGTCTCACTCTATCACTGAGACCAGAGTGCAGTGGCATGACAATAGCTCACTGCAGCCTCGACCTCCAGGGCTCAAGCGATCCTCCTGCCTCAGCCTCCTCAGTAACTGGAACTACAAGTGTGGGCCACCACTCCTGGCTAATTTTATTTTATTTTATTTTTTATTTTTTGAGACGGAGTTTTGCTCTTGTTGCCCAGGCTGGAGTGCAGTGGCACAATCTCGGCTCACCGCAACTTCTGCCTCCGAGGTTCAAGCAATTCTCCTGCCTCAGCGTCCTGAGTAGCTGGGATTACAGGCATGCGCCACCATGCCCGGCTAATTTTTGTATTATTAGTAAAGACGGGGTTTCACCATGTTGGCCAGGCTGGTCTTGAACTCCTGACCTTGTGATCCGCCCACCTCAGCCTCCCAAAGCGCTGGGTTTACAGGCATGAGCCACTGCACCCGGCCAACTCCTGGCTAATTAAAAAAAAAATTGTTTAGGCTGGGTGTGGTGGCTCACGCCTGTAATCCCACCTCTTTGGGAGGCTGAGGCAGGCAGATCACTTGAGGTCAGGAGTTGGAGACCAGCCTGACCAACACGGCAAAACCCCGTCTCTACTAAAAAAATACAAAAAATAGCCGGGCATGGTGGCACATGCTTGTAATCCCAGCTACTCGGGAGGCTGAAACAGGAGAATCGCTTGAACCAAGGAGACAGAGGTTTCAGTGAGTCAAGATCGTGCCACTGCACACCCAGCCTGGGTGACAGAGCGAGACTCTGTCTCAAAAAAAAAAAAAAAAAAATTTGTAGAGACAGGATCTCACTATTTTGCCCTGGGTGGTCTCCAATTCCTGGGCTAAAGAGATTCTCTCGCCTCAGCCTCCCAATTTCTGGGATTGCAGGCTTGAGCCACAGTGCTTGGCCACATCCCGTCTTTTAACTGGAGCACTCAGTCCCTTTACATATTTAAGTATTGGTATAATGGTTTCAAATTTTCCTTCTTTTGTGCCTTCTATTTGTTCCACTTGTTCTGTTTCTTTTTCTTTCTTTCCTTTCTCTGGATTTATCATTGCATTTGCACTATTTTCCCCTCTACTGATTTGGAGTTTATTCTTTTATCTTTTTTTTTTTTTTTTAAGAGACGGCATCTCCCTCTGTCGCCCAGGCTGGAGTGCAGTGGCGCAATCTCGGCTCACCGAAACCTCTGCCTTCCATATTCAAGGAATTCTCCTGCCTCAGCCTCCCGAGTAACTGGGACTACAGGCATGCACCACCACGCCCAGCTAATTTTTGTATTTTTAGTAGAGATGGGGGTTTCACCATGTTGGCCAGGTTGAACTCCTGACCTAAGGTGATCCACCCGCCTCGGCCTCCCAAAGTGCTGGGATTACAGGTGTGAGCTACCACGTCCGGCCATACAAATGTTTTATTTGATACTACAGTAGGGATTTTTTTTTTCTTTGACACAGTCTTGCTTTGTCACCCAGGCTGTAGTGCAGTGGCATGATCTCGGCTCACTGCAAACACCGCCTCCCCGGTTATAGTGATTCTCCTGCCTCAGCCTCCTAAGTAGCTGGGATTACAGGCACGCACCACCACGCCTGGCTAATTTTTGTATTTTTAGTAGAGATGGGGTTTCACCATGTTGGTCAGGCTGGTCTTGAACTCCTGACCTCATGATCCACCCGCCTCAGCCTCCCAAAGTGCTGGGATTACAGGCGTGAGCCACCGTGCCCAGCTGGAAATTTTGGTTAATAATTTATCACAAGTTTTATTTATTTATTTTTTTGAGACGGAGTCTCAAACTGTCACACGGGCTGGAGTGCAGTGGTGTGATCTTGGCTCACTGCAACCCCCGCCTCCCAGGTTCAAGCGATTCTCCTTGCCTCAGCCTCCCAAGTAGCTGGGATTACAGGTGCCCACCACCACGCCTGGCTAATTTTTTTGAATTTTTAGTAGAAACAGGGTTTCACTATGTTGGCCAGGCTGGTCTCAAACTCCGGACCCCATGATCCACCCGCCTCAGCCTCCCAAAGTGCTGGGATTACAAGCATGAGCCACCGCGCCTGGCCCTGTTGCATGTTTTAAAATAGATATACTTAGAAATATTACATGGAACCCCCAAAGTATGTACAACTATGATATGTCAATTTAAAAAAACTTTAAAAATTGCCATTGTTTCCAACAACCCATTCTCTGGAAATCAGGATTCTCAAATCTCAATAAACATCAAATTCATAAAAGAGGAAGACTTCAGGAATCTGAACAATCATTAAATACCTAAATGTTTCACTATTAGTCAACAAAAAAGTTAAACTCAATTTTAAAACCAAACTAGCTTATAAACACTAATTGAAACTTGCTTAGGGTGTATTTATTTGCCTTTCAATTTCTTCAGGGGTTAAATAAATTAACGAATGATATCATACCACCAGCCAACCTAAATCCCTACCTAGCATGATCAGTTTGGTTTCGCTGTACACCAGACAGCCAAAACTTGCAAGGTTTTGATTGAACAACAAATACTGCGTGCTTACTCTGTACCAAGCATCAGGACTAGATGTTTACCATGCTTTATTTCATTTGATCCTCACAACACCCTCATGCACTGTCATCCCCATTTTACAGTTGAGGAAAACTGCAAAGTTCAACCTGAGACCATCCGATTCCAAAACGTTTCAGGGAGCTGCGTTAAAGCGAGCACTGAGTTTGGAAGCTTCAAGTTCTAGGCTCAGCCACGTACTAAGCTTCAAAATGCATGGGAGGAGGTTTGTGGGGAGTGCTACCGCCGGGATCCAAGCTCCACTGGAAGGATTAACTATAGAAGTTACAGTGCTTTACAAATTCTTCCCTCCTCACCAAGTGCCAACCAAAACTACTACGCCAGGACACACGTTTTAGAACTTTCCCTAGATGTTTAAAAGTCAGAGACGACCAAGAGTTTAGAGACGCCGCACGTGGTGCTACCAGACTTCTGGTTTTTGAAGCCACCGCCTTGCAGGAGAAGCCTTTCCTGCACTCCAGGCCGTGAGTCGCGCTCACTTCATGTTCCCCACAGCCCCCAAATGCCAAAGGCTCCTCTAGGTCCCTGGCGCGTGTGACTCGCGGCGGGCACTAAGCGCAGACCCATGGGAGATCTCCTCCTGAACCCCAGCAACGGGGGTGGGGTGAGGTAGGGTGGGTAGGAGAGGTTGATCCGAATCCCAGGGTCCCACGCCATCGTAGATTTCGTATGAAAAGAAACAAGGAAAAAAAAAAGTTGGAGCCAAGTTTTCTTCACCCAACTTTTTGCCCTCTCCCACGTGGGTTGGTCTCTTTCTCCCAGGCTGGGCCATGCCCCCTCCGCTCGCTGCAGGCCTTTTGCCAAGCAAACAGACCGTGCGGCAAAGCAACACAGCTGCGGGGATCCTAAGGTTTCCTGAGTTCTAACCTCGGGCCAGGCTGCTGGGACCCCGCCGCTGCTGGGGTTCTAACTAAGGGCCCGGCGGTTAAGACCCAACGCCGGCGGATGAGACGGCGCAGGCTCTAAGCCTCCATCTAACAGGCTAGGGAGTGAACGCAACCCTGAGTCTCCCGCTTCCCGGTCCCTCGGCCGGCGCACGCACTCACCATGGCTGCGGTTCCGCGGGCTCAGCACTCCTAGGGGAGCGCAGCTGACGTTTCAGAAGCACTCGCGTGCACCGGAAAAACTCACAGAAGCAGCAGCGGAAATGGCCCCGCGCGGCAGGAAGCGAAGGTGACGCTACGCGAGCGAGTGGGCCCCGCCCTCTACGGGGGCACTGGCGCGGAAACTGGCCCTGTGTCGAAGAAGGAACGTACTTTGGCGTTCTTATGAGCTGCCTAGTACAAATTATTGGCAGAAACAATGAATTAAACATTCAAAAAGTAACCCACCGGCCGGCCGCAGCGGCTTATGGCTGTAATCCCGGCACTTTGGGAGGCCGAGGCGGGCGCATCACCTGAGGACAGGAGTTCGAGACCAGCCTGGCCAACATGGCGAAACCTCGTCCCTACTAAAAAATACAAAAATTAGCCAGGCGTGGTGGCGGGCGCCTGTAACCCCAGCTACTTAGGAGGCTGAAGCAGGAGAATCGCTTGAACCCCGGAGGTGGAGGCTACAGTAAGTTGAGATCATGCCACTGCACTCTAGCACTCCAGCTGAGGCGACAGAGCGAGACTCTCAAAAAAAAAAAAAAAAAGGCCGGCCGGGTGCGGTGGCTCCCGCCTGTAATCGCAGCACTTTGGGAGGCTGAGGCAGGCGGATCACTAGGTCAGGAGATCGAGACCATCCTGGCTAACACAGTGAACCGTCTCTACTAAAAATACAAAAAATTAGCCGGGCATGGTGGCGGGCGCCTGTAGTCCCAGCTACTCGGGAGGCCGAGGCAGGAGAATGCCGTGAACCCCGGAGGCGGAGCTTGCAGTGAGCCGAGATCGCACCACTGCACACTGCACTCCAGCCTGGGCAACAGAGTGAGACTCCGTCTCAAAAAAAAGAAGAAAAAAAAGAGGGCCGGGTGCGGTGGCTCACGCCTGTAATCCCAGCACTTTGGGAAGCTGAGGCGGGCGGATCACCTGAGGTTGGGAGTTCGATACCAGCCTGACCAATATGGAGAAACCCCCGTCTCTACTAAAAATACAAAATTAGCCGGGCGTGGTGGCGCATGCCTGTAATCCCAGCTACTCGGGAGGTTGAGGCAGGAGAATCGCTTGAACTTGGGAGGTGGAAGTTGCAGTGAGCCGAGATCGCGCCATTGCACTCCAGCCTGGGCAACAAGAGTGGAAACTCGGTCTCAAAAAAAAAAAAAAAAATTCCAGCCACTAAACAGTTAAGGCCTGGCTCATTATAATTGGCTGACGTCCCTGCCTGCTCAGATATTTAATATTTTGAATAGAACTTTTGGGTAAAAGAGTCTTCAGGGTAACATTTATTTTCCCACCAACACTGATCCTAAGATGGGAAAAGTAATTCCCCCACAGGAAATCAGGATACTGCAAGCAACGAGAAAGGCATGTTGAGTGGTTAAACAAGAATACATGTATTCAATACAGTGTTCATTAAATGTTTGATAATAGAAGGACAGGCAGATCCAAGTATTTCATAGGAAGAAAGAAATCAAGCAGACCGCAGGTTATATCACCCCATCACACATTCAGGGAACTTAATCTTTTCATTCCAGAGGATGGGTTTGTTTAAAACAAGTTCTTCCTCCTAATTACTTTTGAACAATTCCCCAATACTGTCCTTACCTGCACCAAGAGCATGCTAACCAGGCCTGGCACCAGGGTCAGAGTTGAGGCTGGGGCATCAGCCCCCTTTGTGAGGTGGCCTCAGTGACAGGGGTGCTATGAGGTGGCGGCTATCCTACTGCAGCTGGCTGCATCAGATGTGCCAGGCCTGCCCTCTAGCTCCCAACACCATCTGCCTGATCTAAGCTTTGCCATGTTGTTGTCACTGCTGGGTGCCTGTGCTGTGGTGGGGCCATTCCATGGCCCTGAGTGGGAGCCAGTGCAGGGCCTGCTCTCCCAGAATCACAGCTGCAGGGACCCTCAGTGCTGTGGCAACCTGCTTGTCCTCTGCCTCTTTCTGGTCTGGCAGGTCCGGCACTGTTGGCACCAGGTCACCAGGACCCGCTTCAGCACAAGGAATGTCATCAAGGTGAGTGGGCCCCATACACCTTCACCCTTCTTCCCTCAGCACCATGATTGTCTCTGTCACTTGTTACAAGGACCTTGTTTTATGCCTGGTGTACCAGAAATGAATCAGAGGGAAACTCAGGCTGCTCAGGGAGAGCATCGGCCAAGCCCCAAACCCAGGAGTCACCCTGAGCTCCTCTCTTTCCCTCACTCCACACATTCAATCCATCTGCAGGTCCCAGGGGCTATACTTGCAAATTGTATCTCAAATCTGATCACTTCTAACCACACCACACCCTCCTGGGCAGAGACACCATCATGTCTCAACTGGACCATAGCAACAGCCTTCTGCCTGGTTCTTGCTGCTTCTCTTATCCAACCACAGCCTATCCTCCATACAGTCACCAGAATGGCCTTCTTCTTTCTCTCTCTCTCTCTCTCTCTCTCTCTCTTTTTTTTTCTGAGACAGAGTCTCACACTGTTGCCTGGGCTGGTGTGCAGTGGTGTGATCTTGGTTTGCTGCAACCTCCGCCTCCCTGGTTCAAGCGATTCTCCTGCCTCAGCCTCCCGAGTAGCTAGGATTACAGGCGCCCGCCACCACGCCTGGCAAATTTTTTTTTTTTTTTGTACTTTTAGTAGAGATGGGGTTTCACTTTGTTGGCCAGGCTGGTCTCGAGCTCCTGACCTTGTGATCTGCCTGCCTCGGCCTCCCAAAGTGCTGGGATTACAGGTGTGAGCCACTGTGCCTGGCCTCTTTTTTCTCTCTTTTAAAAAAAAAAATTGGTCCAAGGATAATACACACACACAATTACAAGTGTGTAGATCAGTAAATTTTCATAATTGAATACATCAGTTTGTAGCATGCAGATTAAGAAACAAATGATTACCAGCAGCCCAGAAGTTTTAGTCACAACTCTGCGGATTTCCTTTTCTTTTCCTTTTTTTTTTTTTGAGATGCAGTTTTGCTCTTGTTGCCCAGGCTGGAGTGCAATGGTGTGATCTCGGCTTACCTCAACCTCTGCCTCCCAAGTTCAAGCAATTCTCCTGCCTCAGCCTCCTGAGTAGCTGGGATTATGGGCATGCACTACCACACCCGTTAATTTTGTATTTTTAGTAGAGGCGAGGTTTCTCCGTGTTAGTCATGCTGGTCTCGAACTCCCGTCCTTATGTGATCCGCCTGCCTTGGCCTCCCAAAGTGCTGGGATTACAGGAATGAGCCACCACTCCTAGCCAACTCTGCAGATTTCTTTCTTGTTTTTCTTTTTTTTCTTTTCTTTTTTTTTTTTTTTTGAGATGGAGTCTTGCTGTGTGGCCCAGGCTAAAGTCCAGTGGTGCGATCTCGGCTCACAGCAACCTCTGCCTCCCAGGTTCAAGTGATTCTCTTGACTCTGCCTCCCTAGTAGCTGGGATTACAGGCATGTGCCACCACGCACAGCTAATTTTTGTATTTTTAGTAGACACAGGGTTTCACCATGTTGGTCTGGCTGGTCTCGAACTCCTGACCTCAAGTGATCCACCCACCTTGGCCTCCCAAAGCGTTGGGATTACAGGTGTGAGCCACCACGCCTGGTCGACTCTGGATTTCTTTCTTTCTTTCTTTCTTTCTTTGAGACGGAGTCTTGCTCTGTCACCCAGACTGGAGTGCAGTGGCGCGATCTCGGCCCACTGAAAGCTCCACCTCCCGGGTTCATGCCATTCTCCTGCCTAAGCCTCCTGAGTAGCTGGGACTACAGGTGCCCGCCACCATGCCTGGCCAATTTTTTTTTTTTTTTTGTATTTTTAGTAGAGACGGGGTTTCATCGTGTTAGCCAGGATGGTCTCAATCTCCTGACCTTGTGATCCGCCCACCTCGACCTCCCAAAGTGCTGGGATTACAGGCGTGAGCCAGTGCACCCAGCCTCTTCTTTTTTTTTTTTTTTCAGATGGAGTCACGCTCTGTCACCCAGGCTGGACTGCAGTGGCGTGATCTTGGCTCACTGCAACCTCCGCCTCCTGGGTTCAAGCAATTCTTGTGCCTCAGCCTCCTGAGTAGCTGGGATTACAGGCATGCGCCATGATGGCTGGCTAATTTTTGTATTTTTAGTAGAGAAGGGGTTTTGCCATGTTGGCCAGGCTGGTCTGGAACTCCTGACCTCAAGTGATCCACCCATCTTGGCCTCCCAAAGTGCTGGGATTACAGACATGAGCCACCATGCCCTGCCATCAGAACAAACTTTTAGAAACAGAACATAGCACTTAGCTGCTCAAAACCCTGCAATGGCTCCTATACTTACATTATCTGGCAAACTCAGAATAAAATTCTCGCTCCTAATCACGACTCTAAGGACCAGCATAATCTGTCCCATGTTTGTCTCCGATCTTATCTCCCAGTGCTCTCCTCATTACTGGTTCCATTCTGGCCACACAGTCTTCTTTGCTGTTCCTGTACATGTAATTTTGTTCCATCCTCAAGCCTTTGTACTTAATGTCTCTTCTGCCTACAACGCTCTTTCCTCAGATGTCACTTGGTTTGCCCCTTACTTCATTCAGGCTCCAGTCAAATGTCACTTCCTCCAAGAAGCCTTTCCTGACTATTCTGTCTGTGCGGATTATGCAAGTTATTATGTGTGCAAGGATTTTGCTTCTCTGTTCTCATCTACAGGTGCCACTGCAGAAGCGGGCAGTGCCCTCCATGAGGTGCGAAACTGTCTTCAAGCTGACTCCTGAATTCTTCAGTCCTGGAAAGTCCAGGGGCCTAGATTCTCAACAATGCGCACAAAGGCAGAGATGGGGATACCGGAGGAGCCTCCAGGAATCATGGGCCCAGAACCTGCTCTCTCCACAGCACCCATGTCCAGGCCCACCTTCGGGTGTCCACACCCACTCTGAGCCCATCTTTTGTACCACCTCCATTTCAAACACCTGTTTACTGCCTCAGAACAGTTCCTGGAAAGCATGGCAGGTGCCTTGGTGTCTCCATGATGGTCAGACTCGCCCTGCCTTGGACATGTGTCAAGAGATGGAGCAGCTGCTGCTTCACTCACAGGAAAGGTTGGTGTCACTGGAGCCTGTCATCAGTGTGAGGTCTCGCCCCACCTCCATGACCTTAACCACCTCTCTTCCAAACTTACTTTCAGCTGAGAGGCTGCAGTTCTGCCCCCAGAGAGCTCCTGCCTGATCCTTCCCACCAAACACTGAGAATGTGCACTTGGAAGTCTTGGCACTGTCGACCAGAGGCCTGGGAACCAGGGGGTAAAAACCAGAAAGCAGGCAGAGAGGATAGTAGAGAGACCCAGGCTCCAAGGTGGGTGAACCAGACAGGGAGCAGACGGGAGGATGCTTCAGAAATCCAGGCATCTGGGGAGTAGTTCCCAGTAGACTTTGGAATGGAGGGTGATGCAGAGACTAACGTGTTGGAGTGTGCAAACCAGAGACTAGTAATAAGTGAAACTGATGGCGAGATCTTGACACCAGGGTGGGACACCCAGGACCGGATGGGAGTTGAGAGTAGAACCAACATTCAGGAACTAGGGAATAGAAACCAGAGGGAGGCTGGAGGTGAGAATCTCCCTGAAACCCAGGCACATATGGGAGAGAACCAAGAACAGTTAAGATGTAAAATTGATGCAGAGACCCAAACACCTGAGTGGGAGAACCAGGATAAGAATGGAAGTGAGGATGCTGTGGAGACCCAGACATTTGAGAAGAAGGACAAGAAAGAGGCTGGAGAGGAGGATGGGGAAGAGATCCAGGCTCAAGGATTGGGGAAGCAAGGCCAGACTGGAGATGAGAATGGTGAGGAGACCCAGACACCACAGTGGGAGAAACAAGATCAGATGAAAGGTGATGCGGATGTGGAAATTCAGATGGAAGAGGGGAGAAACAAGGATCAGGTTGGAGGTCAGGATGCTGCACAAACCCAATCATGTGGGAGGGAGAACGTGGGAGAAGTAAAAAAAGAGAATAGTGTAGAGACCCAGGCCTTGGATTGGGGAAAACAGGAATGTGTTGGAAATGGGAATGTTACAGAGATCCAGACACCAAGGTGGGAGAAGCATGATCAAGGTGGAAGTAAGAAAGCTAAGAAGACCCAAGCATCTGGGGGAGAGAACCAGAAACAATTAAGTCATGAAATTCAAGTGGGGTGGGGAAATAAGGGCCTGAGAAGAGATGAAGATGCTAAGGAAACCCAGATAGCTACCAAGAAGAAGCTCAGGGAGATAAGAGAAGGATTGGGTGGTGATCCAGGCACTATGGTGGGGAAACCGGAGACAAGTAGCAAGTGAAATTTATAGAGAATTTGAGATACTATGTTGGGAGAATCAGAACTGGATTGGAGGTGAACATAGAGCAGAAATTCAGGCATCAGAGAAGAGAGACCAAAGAAAGGATGGATGTGAGGATGGCACAAATATCCTGGCACCCGAGGCTGAGATCCAGGAACAATTAAAAGGTGAAACTGATGTGGAGACTCAGAGCAATGAGCCACTTAGAGAAGAGGATGGTACAGACATTCAGTCACTAGGGAGGAGAGAGGTTAAAGGTGAGGATGATAAAGACACCCAGGAACTTGGGAGGAAAAATCAGGGTCAGTTAGGAAATGAATTTAGTGGAAAGATTCACATACCAAAGGGGAAGAATCAGGAACATATTAGAGGCGAAGATGGTGCACATACCCAGATATCTGAGTCAGGGAACTGGGGCAAATTAACAAGTCAAATTGATGGAGAAATGCATTCAGCAGAATGGAAGAAAGATCAGCAGATTGGAGGTGAGAATGGGGCAGAAATTCAGATACAAGGGAAGAGAAACCTGAGAGAAGTTGGAGGTGAGGACGGTGTAAAGACCTGGGCACCTGGGAAAGAAACCCAGAGTCAGTTTAGAAGTGATCTTGGTAGAAAGATCCTTTTATCAGAGTGGAAGAGCCAGAAGCAGATGGGAAGTGAGAATGGAACAGAAATTCAGGCTCCAGTGGAGAGAAACCAGAGAGAACCTGGAGGTGAGGACGGTGTAAAGACTCAGAGACCTAAGAGAGAGAACGAGGACCAGTTAGATAGTGAAATTGGAGGGAGCCATTCACCAGGGAGGAGGAACTGGGAGCTGATTGGAAAGGATGTTGCAGAAAATCAGGCATCAGAGAAGAGAAACCAGAGAGAGGTTGGAAACGAGGACGGTAGAATGATCTGGAGGCTTAGGGGAAAAAACTGGAGGCTTAGAGCGAAGAAACAGACTGTTAAAAAGTAAAGATAATGGAAAGACCCGTTTATCAGAGTGGAAGAACCAGGAACAGGGTGGAGGTGGGAATGATGAAGAAATTCAAATACAGGGGAAGAGAAACCTGAGAGGGACCACAGCTGATGATGGTACAGAGACCCAGGCTCCTGCAGGAGATGACCAGGGACAGTTAAGAGTTGAAATTGCTGAAGAGATCCAGGTACAAGGGCAAGGAAATAAGAATGACGGTGGAGTTGAGGATGTTGCAGAACTCCAGGATATAGGAAGCCAGAGAAAGTGCACAGATGAGGATGTTGGAGAGCCTCGAGCACCAAGGGGAGGAAACAAGGATCTGGTCAGAGGAGAGGATGCTGTGAGGGACAGTCTCCAAGTCGACTGTTCTGGGAGTGAGAGGCCCACAGGCAGGAAGCACAGCCTACCATGGCCTCCAGCCTTCACTGGCTATGGATGTGGGACCCGGGAACAGGAACAGGCAGTGGCTGTGAATGGTTTCATCTCTGCCCCCTGTCCTGAGATGAATCCTGTCCCCCACTGGGGTGAAGTCTTCCTGCTGGTGGGTGGGGAGGGAGAGCATCTGGCCAGCCAGGGCACAACCCCTGCCAGGGATCATAGAGTGGGGATCAGTCCAGCCTCCCAGCAGGCCCAACCTGAATCCTGGAGAAGACGACAAAGGGACAAAGGGGTGGATCCAGAGAAGGCCCCCAGCCTGACTCGGCAGTCCCAAAACCCTCCGTCTCTGACAGCTCCCTTGGGCATGCCCTCTGCCTGCTCCTGTCTCCCGTGTGGCCCAGCCCCGGAAGCTGCCATCATTCTAGCGGGTCCTCCCACCGCCCTCACTGTCCTGCCCAAGGGGACAGGCCTCAAGAAGAGCAAACGACTGCTCCTGGAGTCCCTCATGCGGAGGAGGATTGCACACCTGAAGTGGGGTCTTCCCCGGCGGATCCTGGAGTCCTATTTCCTGTTTAACTTCTTAGGATCTTGCTCATTGACCCTTGCTGGGGCGAGGCTCTCTGGACTGAACACAGGCCAGGAGCTCCAAGCCCAGCAGGAAAGGTATTGTGAGGCCCAAGGCTCCCCACCAGGCCTTAAGTCCCCAGAGAGGTTCCAGAGGGTTCAGCGCCCAGACAGAAAAAGCTCGAAACTTCCTATACAAGCCAGAGCTCTGGAGAGGAACAGACCGCACATGTCAGAGCCCATTAAGCATTTCCATCCAGCCTGAAAAGGCCAGGAGAGTCAGGCCACCAGGGGGCGCCAGAGAACCACAGGAGATCCAGGAAGCGCTTGCTAGGACCAAGCTCCCAGCTCCCAGGACCCCCAGGCCGGCAGCGGAGTCCAGGAGCTGGTGTGGCCCACAAAGGGTCGGAGAGCCTCCCAGTGAGAACAGTAGGGGCAGGAAAATGATCAGGTCAAGGGTCTCCCAGCTGGCAGAGAGGGCTCCCAGCAGAGTGAGGACTTCATTCTCTAGGGCAGACCACGCCCACTGGAGGAAGGAATGTACATCCTGGGAGGCCTCTAAGCTCCCCAGACTCAAATGCCAGCAGCTCACATACTGGAGAAGAGGAAGCCTGGAATCTACAGGGTGCAGAGGGGCTGGGCAGCAGCCTTCCTGCCATTCTGCAGAACCTGTCAGCTTCAAAGGGAGGCTCCACTCTGCGGTGGCAAAGCTGGGCCTGACCCTTCTGGCCAAGATGTCCTGGTCCCCACAGCTCGCCAAGCGCAAGCACTTGGCCCCTAACCTGAGCCTGAGGGAACCTGATTCTACTCTGCCTCCCAAAGTGGGTGATCCTCGTGCAGGGGAGGACAGCATCGGAGATCACACTGCTTCACAGAGGGATCTTCAGCTGCAAGGTCACTGCTGTACTGGGGCCACCCTTCCTAAGACAGAGAGTCCCCAGGGCCAGGAGGCACCTGGGAACCCAAATGGGGCTCCACAGAATACACGAGCCTCCAAAAAGTTTAGTATTATGAAGCATCTGAATTTTTTTCTCTTCCAGAATGGCTTTAAAAAGTAGACTCAGGCCCAGAGTCCTCAGGACATATCAGAAAAGCTTTGAGAGTGTCCTGATCCCTGCAAAGCCTCTAATAAATTGGTCATTTGGGCCCTGTGGTGTTCTGATTTCTCTGGCACATTTTCCAAGTGCCCCCTTTCGGGGTTTGGGATACTTTGTGGGTGGGGTAGAAGCCCCTTCCACTCTGTGGTTGTGGTTTAGGGAATGTGGGTCAACCCAGTGTCCTCTCCGAAACACCTGCCCCCCAGCTCCTCACAGTGGAGTCCACTGAGGTTCTATCCTGCTCTGTCTCCAAGCTAATCCTGATTGAGGCAGGACACTCCAAAAGCCTCAGCTGCTTATGGGGAGGGGTGGTCCTCTGCATGGGACGCTTTTTTTTTTTTTTTTGAGATGGAGTGTAGGTCTGTGGCCCAAGCTGGAGTTCAGTGGCTTGATCTCCGCTCACTGTAACCTCCGCCTCCTGGGTTCAAGCGATTCTGCTGCCTCAGCCTCCCGAGTAGCTGGGATTACAGTCATGAGCCACCACACCCAGCTAATTTTTGTATTTTTAGTAGAGGAGGGGTTTCGCCCTGTTGCTCAGGCTGGTCTTGAACTTCTTTCTCTCTGTCTTTGGTGTTTTGTTTTGTTTTTTTACTTTTATTTTTTGGTCTTAAGCTTCTGATTTATTTATTTATTTTTAAGATGGAGTCTTCCTCTGTCACCCAGGCTGGAGTGCAGTGGTGCGATCTTGGCTCACTGCAACCTCCACCTCCCAGGTTCAAGTGATTCTCCTGCCTCAGCCTCCCTCCCAAAGTGCTGTGATTACAGGCATGAGCCAACTCACCCAGCCTCTAATTGCTTTTAGATGCGAATCCTTGGGATCGCTTATTTTCCTTTTTTTTTTTTTTTTTGAGATAGAGTCTTGCTCTGTCGCCAGGCTGGAGTGCAGTGGCACAATCTCAGCTCACTGCAACCTCCGCCTCCCAGGTTCAAGTGATTCCCCTGCCTCAAGCCTCCCAAGTAGCTGGGATTACAGGCACTTGCCACCACACCCAGCTAATTTTTTGTATTTTAGTAGAGACGGGGTTTCACCATGTTGGGTAAGATGGTCTTGATCTCCAGATCTCGTGATCCGCCCACCTCGGCTTCCCAAAGTGCTGGGATTACAGGCGTGAGCCACCATGCCCGGCCTTCATTTTTAAAAAACAGTAGAAATAGCTTCCTTTCCTTCCTTTTTCAAGGCAAATGCCCCCTACTTTATAATTGCTTTTCAACTTTGGATGTGGTAAAGACATTCCTGCAGGGTTCTAAGCACAAACCGCTTTTGGCTTAGCTAGACACGATCCAGAGCACTTGCGTCCACCACTTGCCCTCAGTGGCTGCTGCTCGTCTGAGACTGCAGCGCCCTGGGTCCGCGCAGGCGCATTCCACACCGACGCAGGTCCGTCCTCCAAGTGCGCATGCGTGCAGTCTGCGCGGGAAAGAGTGCCGCCTCAGCTGAGGGCAAGCGAGGAGATGGCTGTGAGGCAGGCGGCGACGGCGGGCACTCCCGGGCCCAGGAGAGAGGAAGAGGCGGCGCTTCTATTCGAGAGGGCCCATTACCGGCACGACCCGCGCTGGCTGCTGCCCGTGACCCCCCGCCTGTGCCTGGCCTGCGCGCTGGAGCTGCTGCCGGACCCCGGCGTGTCGGTGCGGGCGGAACCTTTTCTTCAGAAGACCTGGGTTTGGCCATTTCCCTCAGCAAACGCGGCCAGGCCCTTGCCAGACCCGCTCCGGTGAACCCGACGCGAAACCGGGCCCCCGCGCTGTGTTCACTCTCCTCCCTGTCAGCCCGTCCCGGACCCGGCCGCAGCGGCCTCTCGGGCCCCTCAGCCCCAGGCCGGCCTGCGGGCCTCCGTGGAGCCCGGTCCACTGGCTCT
Organism: Homo sapiens; assembly: GCF_000001405.40. NCBI lineage: Eukaryota > Metazoa > Chordata > Mammalia > Primates > Hominidae > Homo > Homo sapiens. Next base: position 41,699,943 of record NC_000022.11, read on the forward strand.
GCGCCTGAAAGGACGGAAATCCGGATCCCCCGGGACCTCACCCAGTCTCAGGGACACACCTTCCCGCCTTCCGCCTTCTGGCTCCTTCCCTTTGCTGCCCCTGCCTCCATTTCCCGGGGATTCGGCCTTAGCTCAGGCTCCCGCCATTTCAGCCTCCCGCCATTTCAGCCTCCACTCACCTGCGGGCCAGGGGCGCATGCGGCGGCCGCTCCTCATTCCCTTCAGCTGTCGGGGTGTGAATCGGAGGAGGGGCAGTCTGGGCTCCGAGGGGACAGGAGTGACAGGTTACAGCCGGGCAGAAGTGGGGGTGAACGGGAAGACTGTTCCTTGGGCAGAGCTGGCCAAAGCGGGCTGCCTGGGTCCTCATTGCCTACCGCGTTTGCAATGAAGTGGTTTTGTTTGTTTCGAGACGGAGTCTCGCTCTGACACCCAGGCCGGAGTGCAATGGCGCCATCTCCGCTCACTGCAACCTCTGTTTCCTGGGTTCAAGCGATTCTCCTGCCTCAACCTACCCAGTAGCTGGGATTACAGGCTCCCGCCACCACGCTCGGCTAATTTCTCTATTTTTAGTAGAGACGGAGTTTCATCATGTTGGCCAGGCTGGTCTCGAACTCTTGACCTCAGGTGATCCACCCGCCTCGGCTTCCCATAGTGCTGGGATTATAGGCGTGAGCCACGGTGCCCGACCTGCAGTGAGTTTTCTTGTCCATGGAGGCATCCAAGAAGACTTTGGGAGGTCAAGTTTCTCTCCAATTCATGGGAGGGGAATTCGTGAGTGGGTGGATTGGCTAGATCAGCAGTTCTCAATTTTTTTTTTTTTTTTTTTTTTTTTTGTAGAAACGGTCCCGGGGGTCTCCCTGTGTTGCCCAGGCTGGTCTTGAACTCCTAGTCTCAAGCAATTCTCCTGCCTTGACCTCCCAAAGTCCAAAGTGTTGGGATTGCATCTGTGAGCCACCGTGCCTGGCTGCGTTCTCAAATATTTTGATTTCTTTCTTTCTTTTTTTTTTTTTTTTTGAGATGGAGTTTCACTCTTGTTGCCCAGGCTGGAGTGCAATGGCGCAATCTCAGCTCACCGCAACCTCCGCCTCCCGGGTTCAAGCGATTCTCCTGCCTCAGCCTTCCGAGTAGCTGGGATTACATGCATGCGTCACTACGCCCAGCTAATTTTGTATTTTTAGTATAGACGGGGTTTCTCCATGTTGGTCAGGTTGGTGTTGAACTCCCAACCTCAGGTGATCTGCCTGCCTCAGCCTCCCAAAGTGTTGGGATTAAAGACGTGAGCCACCACACCCGGCCAAACAGCTGGATTTTTATCTATTTCTGCATTCAGTCTGTTGTGCTATCATGTCATATAGTCTCAAAAACTCCACTGTACACTTGTGGGAGAATAAGAATGAGAAAGACTGGGCCGGGTCCGGTGGCTCACACCTGTAATCCCAGCACTTTGGGAGGCCGAGGTGGTTGGATCACGAGGCCAGAAGTTCAAGACCAGCCTGGCCAACATGGAAAAAATTTAAAAAAAAATGAGGAAGACTAAGAACATTTTAATATTATATGAAAATATTTTTGTTCTTGTGGACCTCTGGGAAGTGTTTTAGGCACCCTTAGGAATTCCCACACTGTGCTCTGGGAACTCGTAAACTAGCTAATAACCTCTGAATTTTCATTAAGGATGGAAATTCTGAGGCTGCTTTTCTTGGACAGTAAATCAGAGATGAATAAGACAGTGCAGCGGGGAGAAATAAGAGAACATGTTAGAACTTAGAAGAATGAACATGTTTGTAGTCAAGTGCTGTTCAGGGTAAGGAGAGGAATTAGGAAAGGTTTCTTAGAGGAGGAAGCATTCAAATTAGGTTTAAGAAGATGGGTGAGATTTGGACCAGAGGAAGTGGGAGGCTGATTATCCCAGGAGGTAGGTATTATAAGGATGGGTTTTGGGGATAATCAGAGTGTTTGAAGGGAAAGTGAAAGAGATGAGATTGGAGAGACAGGTTGAGGACAGTTACTTGAAGAGTTTGAAACCCAGCTAAGGAGCTTGAACATAATCTGTCAGATGAAGGAGAGTTACTAGGATTTTTTGAGTAGCTCATATAGATCACTACCTTAATCTATTACGTAGGATGAATTGGTGAAGGAAAAACAGGAGCCTTACAGTAGCACAGATGAGAAGCAATAAGAGATGCAACTTCTACCTTTTATTGAGCACACTTTTCTTTTGAGATGGTTTCGCTCTCGTTGCCCAGGCTGGAGTGCAATGGCGCAATCTTGGCTCACTGCAACCTCTGCCTCCCAGGTTCAAGCGATTCTTCTGCCTCAGCCTTCTGAGTAGCTGGGATTACAGGCGCCTGCCACCATGCACGGCTAATTTTTGTATTTTTAGTAGAGAAGAGGTTTCACCATGTTGGCCAGGCTGGTCTCGAATGCCTGACCTCAGGTGAGCCACCCACATTGGCCTCCCAAAGTTGGGATTACAGGTGTGAGCCACTGCACCCGGCTTGAACACACTTTTTTTCTTTTTTTTTTTTTGAGACAGTTTTCCTCTTGTCCAGGCTGTAGTGCAATGGCGCGATCTTGGCTCACCGCAACCTCCCCTCCCAGATTCAAGTGATTCTCCTGCCTCAGCCTCCCAATTAGCTGGGGATATAGGCATGCGCCACCACGCCTAGCTAATTTTGTATTCTTAGTAGAAACCGGGTTTCTCCATGTTGGTCAGGCCAGTCTCGAACTCCCAACCTCAGGTGATCTGCCTGCTTCGGCCTCCCAAAATGTTGGGATTACAGGCGTGAGCCACCATGCCCGGCCTCTGAACACACTTTTCTTTTCTTTTTTTTTTGAGACAAAATCTTGCTCTTGTCCCCCAGGCTGGAATGCAGTGGCGCTATCTCGGCTCACTGCAACCTCCGCCTCCCTGGGTTTACAGGCACCTGCCACCATGCCCGAGTAATTTTTTTATTTTTAGTTGAGATAGAGTTGCACCATGTTGGCCATGCTGGTCTGGAACTCTTGAGCTCGTGATACGCCCGCCTTGGCCTCCCAAAGTGCTGGAATTACAGGTGTGAATCACCGGGCCCGGCCTCTGTTTTTGCTTTCCTCACCAACTTGTTAGGCTTAAATGAGCTGGTGGACAAAAATGATTTGTGAAAAATAAATTGCTATGTAAATATAGGGCATTAGGAACCTTAGCTCATGTATAATCTTCTGTATGAATACATGGATTCCTCTGCGTAAATGATATCCTTTTCCAACCTCCCTTGAAGGAGTATGGATCTCACCGTAGTTTAAATGATCCCTTGTATCATCTTGTAATTGTATTTGGAAATTACGGTTGTTGGATTCAGAATAGCCAAAATTTGGTTGCTATTGAATGTTTTTCTTCATTTGCTTCAAGTTAGTGCGCAAGAAGCACATGTTGTCCTGCTTCCAAGATGCCCTTGTGAGGCATACCTCCCTGGTCACGCAACTGGTGTCTCAGGATCAGAGAGTCTGCATCCACTTCATAAGTGTGCTTTTTGGTAAGATTAAGAGGGAAATTTGACATGAGTTTTGAATGTATAGTATGTATATCTGCTTTTGGGGCTCTTGGAAAAATGATCTTAGATGATTTAGGTTTTTTGTATTGTAATACTTTATCAGCAAATTGTTTTGTCATAATGATGTAGAAATGGCCCTTTTTCTAAGATCCAAGATGCATTTTACAGTAACTGACTTTACTAGAGCCAAGAAGTTAGTAAAAGTAAGAAGATGAAAATGGGAAATGTTGGCCGGGCGTGGTGGCTCATGCCTGTAGTCCCAGCACTTTGGGAGGCTGAAGTGGGTAGATCACTTGAGGTCAAGAGTTAGAGACTAGCCTGGTCAACATGGTAAAACCCCCATCTCTACTAAAAATAACAAAAATTAGCTCAGTGTGGTGGCGCGTGCCTGTAGTCCCAGCTACTTGGGAGGCCGAGGCATGAGAATTGCTTGAACCCTGGAGGTGGAGGTTGCAGTGAGACCAGTTCGTGCCACCACACTCCAGCCTGGGTGACAGAGCAAGAGTCCCGTCTCAACAAAAATAAAAATTCTTCAAAGAGTCCAGTATACACGGTCTTTGTACAGGACCAGAATGGAGTCTGCTGACCTAGGTATGACCCTGCTCAACTTACTTTCCCTCTCCTGTGCCTTAATATCTTCATGTGTGAAGTATGATAGATTAAATTTTATCTGATGTTCTTTCTTTTAATGTGACGGTAATGTCCAGTGGAATGAGCCCTTTCAGGGAGGAAGGCAGCTAACTTGTATTTACTGCTTTTCTGTGCCAGAGACTTTTCAGGCTTTTAACTGCCAAGACAATTTTTAAGGGAGCTAGGATGATCTCCAAGCTTCAGGGAATTTATGCTAACAAGTGACAGAACTAGAATTTTATCCCAGGTCTGTCATAGACACCAGAGCACATGGGGTTTTTTTTTGCTGTACCGCATTGACAATTCTTACCCTTTTTTTTTTTTTTTTTGAGATGGTGTCTCGCTCTTTCGCCCAGGCCGGAGTCCAGTGGCGTGATCTCAGCTCACTGCAACCTCCACCTCCTGAGTTCAAGCAATTCTCCTGTCTCAGCCTCCCGAGTAGCTGGGATTACAGGCATGTGCCACCATGCCCGGCCAATTTTTGCATTTTTAGTAGAGATGGGGTTTTGCCATGTTGGCCAGGCTGGTCTCGAACTCCCAACCTCAGGTGATCTGCCTGCCTTGGCCTCCCAAAATGCTAGGATTACAGGCATGAGCCACTGCACCCTGCCACAATTCTTATCTTTTTTTGAGATGGAGTCTTGCTCTGTCACCCAGACTGGAGTGCGGTGGCATGATCTTGGCTCACTTCAAGCTCCGCCTCCCAGGTTCACGCCATTCTCCTGACTCAGCTTCCCGAGTAGCTGGGACTACAGGTGCCCGTCACCACGCCTGGCTAATTTTTTGAATTTTTAGTAGAGGTGGGATTTCACTGTGTTAGCCAGGATGGTCTCGATCTCCTGACCTCGTGATCCACCTGCCTCAGCCTCCCAAAGTGCTGGAATTACAGGCGTGAGCCACCGCGCCCGGCCAATTGTTATCTTTTTAAAGCCTGGGCAGGTCATCGAAAGTCAAAGTATTTGGTGCTGAGAGTAGAATTTAGCTGGAACATTGTTTATAGCTGCTTTTAGACTTAGAATTTACAATGTGCCTGTGTGGGTCTATTTCTCTTTGAAGAGAACTCTTAACCACTCCTTTTTTTTTTTTTTTTCTTGAGACAGTCTGTGTTGCCCAGGCTGGAGTGCAGTGGTGCAGTCTCAGCTCCTTGTAATCTCTGCCTCCTGGGTTCAAGTGATTCTCCTGCCTCAGCCTCCTGAGTAGCTGGGACTACAGGCACAGGCCACTACTCCCGGCTAATTTTTGTGTTTTTAGTAGAGAGAGGGTTTCGCCATATTGGTCAGGCTTTTCTTGAATTCCTGACCTCAGGTAATCTGCCACCTCGGCCTCCCAAATTGCTGGGGTACAGATGTGTGCCACCGCGCCCTGCCTAACCACCCCTTTCTTACCTCCCTCTGCTCCAAGGACTATTATGCAGCATGGAAGATGGGAGTGTGACAGACCTCTGTATTGAAGGTAAGTTGAAACCTTGTATCTAGCACTTGAAGATGAAAGTATTAGTCTGAATTGCAGCTCTGGTTACTTGAGACCTTGGCGAAATTGTCTGTTTAGACACAGATAAGAGGAACCCCATTAGTTTTCAATCACTAATTCAACATTTGTTTTTTACTTTTTTTTTTTTTTTTTGAGACGGAATCTTGCTCTGTTGCCCAGGCTGGAGTGCGGTGGTGCAATCTCAGCTCACTGCAACCTCTGCCTCGCGGGTTCAAGCGATTCTCCTGCCTCAGCTTCCCGAGTAGCTGGGATTACAGGCATCTGCCACCACACCCAGCTAATTTTTGTATTTTGAGTAGAGACAGGGTTTCATCATGCTGGCTAAGCTGGTCTCGAGCTCCTGACCTCAGGCGATCTGCCTGCCTCAGCCTCCCAAAGTGCTGGGATTACAGGCATGAGCCACTGCACCCAGTCTTTCTTTTTCTCTCTCTCTTCTTTTTGTTGAGACATGGGCTCATTCTGTCACCCAGGCTGGAGTGCAGTGGTACAATCATAGCTCACTGCAGCCTTGAACTCCTGGGTTCAAGCAATCTTCCCGCCTCAGCCTCCCGAGTATCTGGGACTACAGGTGTGCACTACCATGACTGGCTAAAAAAATTTCTTTTCGTTGAGACAGGGACTTACCATATTGACTAGGCTGGTCTCAAACGGCTATTCTCAAGCAATCCTCCTGCTTGGCTTCCCAAAGTGCTGGGATTATAGGCGTGAGTCACCATTCCTGGCCTTACATTTTTTCCTTGGGTATTTACTCTGTGCTAGATACTGGATCAGGCACTACGGATACATAGATAGATAAGACATGGTCCCTGTCCTCTAGGAGCTTACAATCTGGAGAAGAGATTGACTGACAGGCAAATAACTAGATTTGATGAGTGCTGTTACAAAGGCACATACAAAACTCTTTTTTAGTACATCTCGTATTGGTTCATTGAAAGTTGTCTGCACACAGATGGTGGTTAAAACTGTTGAAGTGGACTGAGCATGGTACAACATGCCTGTAGTCCTAGCTACTCGGGAGGCTGAGGTGGGAGGATCCCTTGAGTCCAGGAGTTTGAGGTGACAGTGAGCTATGATCATCCCACTGCACTCTAGCGTGGATGACAAAGTGAGACCCCTTTCTCTTAAAAAAAAAAAACAAAAATTGTCGAAGCGCATGGGTTTACCTATAAAGGGTTTGTAGAGAAAGAAGGTAAGAGCCCTGGTATGTGACGATTCTTGCAGAGAGAGTGAGAATTGTACTAGTTAGGATCCAGTCAGGAAATAGAAACCACACCAATTATTTGAATAGAAAAAAACTTTAAAGAATGGTTAAGTAGGCCGGGCGCAGTGGCTCACGCCTGTAATCCCAGCACTTTGGGAGGCTTAGGCCTGTGGATCACTTGAAGTCATGAGTTCGAGACCAGCCTGGCCAACATGGTGAAACCCCATCTCTACCAAAAAAAAAAAAAAAAAAAAAAAAATTAGCCGGGCGCGGTGGCGGGCACCTGTAATCCCAGCTACTTGGGAGGCAGAGGCAGGAGAATCACTTGAACCCGGGAGGTGGAGGTTGCAGTGAGCTGAGATCGCGCCACTGCACTTCAACTTGGGTGATACAGTGAGACCCTGTCTCAATTAAAAAAATAATGTTGGTTAAGTAGGTAACTGAAGAAAAAGAGAACAACCAAATTTTCATGGAGATAGCAATTATAGAAAACAACTCCCTCACTGGGGCTGGGGGAACAAAGGAAAGAGGCTGGAATTGTTAAAACTTAGAAGTTTGGAGGAAGGGCCTAGTTATGAAACTCAGACCTCTGAGTGGCACTGACTAGATAATACCGTTGTCTCTGGAGGAGGAGAGATGCAATGAAGGTGGTTCTGGAAAAACTGCAGGCTGGATTCGGCTGCTGTCATAGAATGGCACTGCCACTGCCAGGATAAAGAAGTGCTAAGGTGCCAGGCATCTTAATTGTGTGGGTCTGTGGTCCTAGCTACTCAGGAGATTGAGGTGAGAGGATCACTTGAGCTCAGGAGTTCAAGTCCAACATGGGCAACATAGCAAGACTGTCTCTTAAAAAAAAAGTGTTAAGGGGATACTTACATGAATGGGAAGACTTATATGAATGGGAAGACTTACATGAATGGGAAGCAGACAGGAAACCCATAGGAAACAAAAAGGAAGGAGCAAATCCCTTCTTCCTATAGCCTTGCCATCTCTTTCTAGTGCTCATTATTGGCAGAGCTTAATGAGGTTCAGCTAGCAAAGCAAAAATGTGATTTGCAGAGTCCAGTCTTAGTCTTCCAAGGCAGATTACAGGGTGGGTTCTGGAGCTCAAAGACAATAGTGTAATAACTGGTTTGATCCATTCCTTTGGCTACTTGGTGTCCAAACACCCTTCTCCACATATTTGAACTCCCATAGAACAAAAACAACTTTTTGTTTACCTAACAAGATGTAACTATCCTTCATTCATATACTTCATACAGACTAAGCCATTGTCAATTTGTCCCCAACATAAGGAGGTTAATAATTTATTTTTAAATTCAATCACAGTCCTATATGAATATTCTGTTACCGAAAGACTAAATTTTAAAGCTAACCTCCACCAAAACTTGTACAAACAATAAGGAAAAAAGGAGAGAGAAGAAAACAGTTACAGAAATATATTACAATCTTCATTTTCATAACTGGTCAAAACGATATAGTTAATATTTATAATTTCCTTCTTAATGGTGTTTGTTCTATGTATCCTTTGCCTTCAACGAGGGTCTCAACTGGTCAGGGTTTTTACATGGTAGGGTGACTCACACCTTCATTCCTGAAAGGTCTGAATCTTTTTTTTTTTTTTCCAAGCCAAACTGTATCCAGCTTTATTAAAGATACTTTCCATAAACAGTCATGGTATTTCAGGCAGGACATGGGCAGACAGTCGTTAACAGTATACAACAACTTTCAAACTCCCGTCTTCAGTGGATACCAAAAATCGGAAAGCCACTATAAAACCCAATGAAGTCTTCATCTGATGCTCTGAACAGGAAAAGTTTAGAGTGAGGGTTGACATTTCACATTTAGCATGTTGTTTAACAACTTTAAACAAGCCGACCCTGACTTTCAGGAAGTGAAATGAAAATGGCAGAATTTATCTGAAGATCCACAATCTAAAAATGGAGGCACTGTTCTTTCGACAGATGCCATCTCAGTGGCATCACTGGAAAGTCTAGATTGCCTGACACACTGGTAACCAATGATTAGGGGTCAGGTCCCAACAGATGTCTGGGTCTTAAGGGAGTTAAGTCTATGCTGAAAGGTAGAGAGGGAGAAGAGGACATAAAAACGAATTTGTTTTTCCATACCACAAGGCTTTTGTGCCAAAGTGGCCACGTGTGTCAAAGTCAGGGAATCCCTCCTCCTGGGAGCCAAGAGGAAGTCTCTCACAACTAGAAGGGAAAGATGTTTCCCCACATCAGTCCAGCTGTGAAGACATTCTATTAGTGACATATGCCCCTTCCCCAAAATATAACAGTGAAGTGTTCTGTGTGCTAACAACATAGCTTAAAAAAATTCTGCATTTTTATAAAACTTGATAAAAAATAGTATTTCAAACTGTACAGTCACCAGAAGTACACAGTTACCAAAAATGTACACACTTCACTTGGCATCTCCAGCACCTTCAGCTTTCTGTGCCTGGTCTGTCTTGGCATCTCCATTTTCTGCAGGGTTATTCCCTTCCTTGCCAGCATCCACTTTTCCCTTTTTCCCTTTGGGTACCTTCTCTTCTTTGCAGGGGCCTTTTTAGGCTTGGGCTCTGGCTTTGGAGGAGCAGATTTTGCAGACAACCTTGTGGATCTTCTCTGTGGTTCGTCCTTCACCTTGGCTTTATCTCCTTTAGCATCACCTTCAGCCTTTGTCTTGGGCATGGTGGCAGCAGCGACGGCAGCGGGATGTAGGTGCTGTGCGCGGGATGCAGCGGCACACGGGCTTTGGTCGGTCCAGGGGTTGTTCTCGCCTCTTCTTCTGAAAGGTCTGAATCTTCAGTGGCTCTTCCTTTTTTTTTGGTTGCTGATGTTTTTCATTAACTTTTACTATTGAATATGAGACTAGTAAGAAGAGCCCCAGAGAATACCTGGTTCCAGACATAGTCCTCCTTGCCATTATTGTTAGTGGCAACTGAGTTTCCCCTGGATATTGGGATCAGTCATTCCAGGTAGTAGAATAATCCCTTATTTGCCTATTGGTTGAATGACATGAGGCCTCAAAATGGCCAGATGATAGTCACAACTTCTAATTCAATGAAACCATTGTGTGACCTCTCATGGAAGCATTCTTTCCTTAGGAACTAAGATCTTTAGCAGAGCCCAAAGTTGCAGGATAGGATATGTTGTGGGCTAAATTTATATGTACCCCCCACCCCCGGCAAATTTATATGTGGAAGCCCTAACTCTCAGAACCTCTGAATGTGAGTGTCTTTGGGGATAGGGCCTTTAAAAAGTTGATTAAGCTAAAATGAGGCAATTAGGATGGACCCTAATCCAATCTGACTAGTATCCTTATAAGAAGAGCAAATTTGAACACACACACAGAGACACCAGGGGTGTGTGTGCACCAAGCAAAGACCATGTGAGGGCAAGTGAGAAGGTAGCCGTCTGCAAGCCAGGAAGAGAGGCCTCAGAAGAAACCAAATCTGCTGACACTTTGATCTTGGGCTTTCAACCTCAAGAACTGTGAGAAAATTTCTGTTGTTTAAGCCATCCAGTCTGTGGTATTTTATTATGGAAGCCCTAGTGAGCTATTATAGGATACAAAAATTCTGCAAGTGGGTTAGTAAGTGTAATAGGGAAATGACTCCCACTTTACCCCTTGATTCTCTGACCCATGTATTCTACTGTGGGTAAGACAGCACCGAATGTTGATCACCGCATCAAAATATATACCACATGGAAGATAGAACCCTATCCTTTCAGAGTGGTGTCTTTCAGATGGTGGAATAACTGAGTCTTCAGAGGCCATTCCACATTCTTTTAGGTCAGGTGGTTCCAGCTGATAGAGTATGGGATAAGGGCAGTGAATTTTATGGGTGTGATCCCATTGCCTCACTTCTTTTGTGAAATGAGTTCCTTAATCCAAGTGATGTTGTGCAGAATACCATGATATTGAATAAGCCATTCTGTAAGCTTACAAATGTGTTTTTGGCAGAAGTATCATGGTTTGGGAAGGCAAGTCTGTATTCAGAATACATGTTTATTCCAGTGAGGACAAATCTCTGCCTCTCCATTTGCTGTTGGCAGGTTAGGCACTCAGTCATAGCAGTAATCAATTTAGCCTTGACAAGGGAAAGTCCGTGTTGTTGAGCCCAGCGCATAGCCTCCAGCTCTGCCACCATAGCCAACTTGTACATGGATCCATTGAATAAGCACTTGATGGTGAGGGAAACAGGTGGATTAGCATTCACAAAATGTGCCATTTTGACTACCTGGTTACTGAGAATCTCTTCTTTAATAGATGTTCTTTAGGGAGCATTCACACAAGAGACAAGTGTCTTCCCACTTTATGCTCCCTCTGAAAGGTCCATCTTCTTCTCCAGGCCTCATTGTCACCAGTATTTCTTTTTTTTTCTTTTTTTTTGAGACAATCTCACTCTGTTGCCCAGGCTGGAGTGCAGTGGCGCGATCTCGGCTCACTGCAAGCTCTGCCTCCTGGGTTCACGCCATTCTCCTGCCTCAGCCTCCCGAGTAGCTGGGACTATAGGCGCCCGCCATTGCGCCCGGCTAATTTTTTTGTATTTTTAGTAGAGACGATTTCACCGTGTTAGCCAGGATGGTCTCGATTTCTTGACCTCATGATCCGTTCTGACCCCCCGGGGGATTTTCCTTCATCATTTTCCTTCTAGGCCACCCTTGAGTGGGGCTACAATCCTGCAGCCATCCACTTCTGGTTGGTATCAGCATGGCTTGCAGAACCATCAGACCTCAGGAACTTCACCTAGGTGGAAAGCACTAGAGGAAGACTAAGGGTGAGGGGTGAAGGACTTGCTCCTTCCTCATGGTTCCTGTTTGCTTTCTTCCTGCTTCTTGTTTCTGTGCGTGTTCGCCTAGAATGCTTCTTGAACCTCCAGTGACAGAACCTTCCCACAGCAGCTGCTGAATTTAGTTTGCAGCTTTTCCAACCTTACCAAATCTCTCCTCAAAGCCACCAGCAGAAGTACCACAAATGATTGTAGAGAAGGGTGGGTTTGGAGCTAAGAGATAATGTTGTAATAATTGGCTATAGGAACTTGCCTATAATTCTTTTTTTTTAGTATATATAAAGGAGCAAACTGAGGAAAGAAATAGTAGAGATAATATAAAATAGCAGTTTTTGGCCAGGCACAGTGGCTCACACCTATAGTCCCTGGGAGGCCAAGGCGGGCGGATCACCTGAGGTTAGGAGTTCGAGACCAGCCTGGCCAACATGTAGAAGCCCCATCTCTACTAAAAGTATAAAAAATTAGCCAGGCGTGGGGGGCGGGTGCCTGTAATCCCAACTACTCGGGAGGCTGAGGCAGGAGAATCACTTGAACCCAGGAGGCAGAAGTTGCAGTGAGGCGAGATCATGCCAGTGCACTCCAGCCTGGGCAACAAGAGTAAAACTCCGGCTCAAAAAAAAAAAAGCATTGTGTTTTTTTTGTTTGTTTGTTTGTTTCTTTGATACGGAGTCTCGCTCTGTTGCCCAGGCTGGAGTGCAGTGGCGCGATCTTGGCTCACTGCAAGCTCCACCTCCTGGGTTCACGCCATTCTCCTGCCTCGGTCTCCCGAGTAGCTGGGACTACAGGCGCCCACCACCACGCCCGGCTAATTTTTTTGTATTTTTAGTAGAGATGGGGTTTCACCGTGTTAGCCAGGATGGTCTTGATCTCCTGACCTCGTGATCCACCCGCCTTGGCCTCCCAAAGTGCTGGGATTACAGGCGTGAGCCACTGCGCCCGGCTCAAAAGCAGTTTTCAAACCTGGCTTCACAATAGACTTACCTGGAGAACTTTAGAAATACACTAGAATTTTATATTTAGAAAAATATTTTAAAGTATAAAACATTTAAATATATTTAAGTATATTTAAATAGAAATAGATGTGTGTGTGTGTGTGTGTGTGTGTGTGTGGAGCAATATATATATATATTCACATTAAACAAAACAATATATTGGGCTTTTCCCTTAGACATTCAATTGGTCTGGGGTGGGACTTGGGTATTAGTTTTGTTTGTTTGTTTTTTTTTTTTTTTTAGAGATGGAGTCTCGCTCTGTTGCCCAGGCTGGAGTGCAGTGGCGTGATCTCGGCTCACTACAAACTCCACCTCCCAGATTCATGCCATTCTCCTGCCTCAGCCTCCTGAGTAGCTGGGACCACAGATGCCTGCCACCATACCTGGCTAATTTTTTTGTATTTTTAGCAGAGACGGGGTTTCACCGTGTTAGCCAGGATGGTCTCCATCTCCTGACCTCGTGATCCGCCCATCTCGGCCTCCCAAAGCGCTGGGATTACATGCGTGAGCCACCGCGCCCGGCTGGGCATTAGAATTTTTTTAAAGCTTCCTAGGTGAGTCTAATGTGCAGCCTGAGTTGAGAACCACTGATAATAAATCAAAGAAGGCCAGGCATGGTGACTCACACCTATTATCCCAGCACTTTGGGAGACAGGCAGGAGGACTGCTGAAGCCCAGGCATTTGAGATTACCCTGGGCAGTACAGACCCTGTCCCTACAAAAAAATTAAAAAATTAGCCAGGCATAGTGGCATGTACCTGTAGTCCCAGCTGCTTGAGAGCCTGAGTGGGAGGATTGCTTGAGCCCAGGAGTTCAAGGCTGCAGTGAGCTATGATCACACCACTGCACTTTAGCCTGGATGACCCTGTCTCTAAACAAAGCAAAAGCAAAATCAAAAGAAAAAAAAAAAAGAAGCCAGAACTCCTTTAGTTTAGATGTGCACACATAGTTGTTTTTTTGTTTTGTTTTGTTTTGTTTTTGAGACAGAGTTTTTGCTCTCGTTGCCCATGCTGGAGTGCAATGGCACGATCTTGGCTCACTACAACCTCCGCCTGCCGGGTTCAAGCAATTCTCCTGCCTCAACCTCCCGAGTAGCTGGGATTACAGGCCTGCACCTCCATGTCCGGCTAATTTTGTTTTTCTAATAGAGACGAGGTTTCTCCATGTTGGTCAGGCTGGTCTCAAATTCCTCACCTCAGGTGATCCGCCTGCCTCGGCCTCCCAAAGTGCTGGGATTACAGATGTGAGCCACTGTGCCTGGCCTGTGCACACATAGTTAAATGGAAGAAATAGAAAAGTATAATACCAATTAGCCCAGGCAAATCACTATCCTGCACTGATTGAGTAGAAGGGCCATGGAAGGTGGACTCTGGGTTGGGGGTGCCTCCTGGTTAGTAATACTGTTGTGTCTGTTCAGTCCTTATTCAGATCACAACGCAGCTGAAGCTGGAGCAGACTATCCGTTGCCTGCTGGATGAGTGCCACAAAGAGGTCAGAAAATAGCTATGGGTTCTTGAGTCTCTCAGAATCCTCAGATGTCAGAGCTGGGTCAACCCTTTGAACAAATGAGAGATTGAAGTCCAGGGAGGAAAAGGAGCTTTCCTGAGGTCACTGAGTTGGTGGCAGAGTCAGAGCTAAGGCCTGGGTCCACTGATCATGCTCCAGTGTTCTTTACAGCTTTCTTCTTTCCCCTTTCAATCTCCCAAATGTTACCTCCATGCAATGAAGTGCCATCTTTCTGGCATAATCATCCCATGGTTCATTTTCCGTGACTTCCTAATTATAATACAGATTTCCTTGATGAAGTTGTCAAGGAAATATGTTCTCTATGTCTTGTTTTGGTGGTTTTATTTAATTTTGAATTGTATACATTACTTAGTACTGAAGGTGTTTGGTTCTATCAGCTTACTTTGTACTGAAGGCGTTTGCTTCTATCTGAGGTAAGCATTGAGTGGATATGGTATGTTTAATCTGCTTTCTTCAGTGTAGTCAAAGAAATTAGTTAGCCAGGCACAATGGCTCACACCTGTAATCCCAGCACTTTGGGAGGCTGAGGTGGGTGGATCACTTGAGGTCAGGAGTTCGAGATCAGCCTGGCCATTATGGTGAAACCCCGTCTCTACTAAAAATACAAAAAAAAAAAAAAATTAGCTGGGCGTGGTGGTGCATGCAAGTAATCCCAGCTACTGGGGAGGCTGAGGCAGGGGAATTGCATGAACCCAGGAGGTGGAGTTTGCAGTGAGCTGAGATCGCACCACTGCACCCCAGCCTGGGTGACAAAGCAAGACTCCATCTAAAAAAAAAAAATATCAGTTAAAGAGCAGCTTTTGTGTTGTATTTAAGACTGAGGAATAATATCAGAATAACTTTTTATTTAATTTGCAGAAGGAAAACAAATGTTTATCTTGTTAAAACCATCAAGAACATTTCATTATAAATTATATTTCAATTATATCATAGTTATTTTACATATGATTAATATGTCAGATTGAATTTATAATTATATATATCAGTGCTTATGATTATGATGAGATGATGCCACTTAACATTTATTGAGCACTTTCTATGGGCTAGGGATTGTATGAGGTGGTTTATATGTAATATCTCATTCAGCCCTATCAACAACCCTATAAAGCTGTTACTATTATTATTTCCCACCAGAGTTAAGAATCTTGCCAAAAGTGGTATGACTAGCTAGTCAATAGAAAAGGTAAAATATGGACTATTGACTCTCCCTGTAAAGCATGAAGCATAGTGCCTGGTATACAGAGAATGTTCAGTAATAGGAGCTATAATAACTATGATAACAATAATTTTTTTTTTTTTTTTGAGACGGAGTCTTTCACTGTTTCCCAGGCTGGAGTGCAGTGGCGCAATCTTGGCTCACTGCAAGCTCCGCCTCCCGGGTTCACGCCATTCTCCTGCCTCAGCCTCCCGAGTAGCTGGGACTACAGGCGCCTCCCACCACACCCGGCTAATTTTTTGTACTTTTAGTAGAGACGGGGTTTCACTGTGTTAGCCAGGATGGTCTCGATCTCCTGACCTCGTGATCCGCCCGCCTCGGCCTCCCAAAATGCTGGGATTACAGCGTGAGCCACCACGCCTGGCCAACAATAATTTTTTTTTTTTGCATCGAGTCAGTGTTCTGTCTTTATGACATTTCAAACTTTTGTCCCCCAACTTCTGGTTCTATGGAGGCAAAATATGTAGATTTTAATTCAGTTTAACAAACATGCACTGAGCTAGGTACTGAGGACTCTGAGAGGACTCAGTCCCTTTCCTCTGGGAGTTCCCAGTCCAGTGGGGGAGCTGGACACTAAGCTAAAAAAGCTGATTGCTGACTGTGGTGAGAGACACATGCAATACAGGCATTGGTGTGGGTAGGGAAAGATCAGTTTTGGTGGAAGATCTGTCCTGATCCTAATTGACAGAATGGAGCATATTCACTTTCTGTAGCTGTGTAACATGCCCTCCATGCGAGGCAGCCTGGCCACCCTGACCCTTCTTGGCAAGTTGGTGGATGCCATCCCTGCTCTGGCAGACGAGCTTGTAATGGAGCATGGTGAGTGACCTGTGGGAGGAGCTGCCACTACCCTTTTACCTGCTTTTATCATACTGCCATTTGGGTGTCCCATTCACTCTGTACACCTGGGAAGTCATTACTTTCCTGCTTTAGCCTTCAGTTTCCCCGTCTGCAAAATGTACTGTATGTCGGTCAATTTGAAAAAGGTCAGTTTTTTGACTCTATTCTTGGACTATTTCCATTCATTCTTTTTTTTTTTTTTTTTTTTTTTTTTTTTTTTTTTTTTGAGACGGAGTCTTGCTCTTGTTGCCCAGGCTGGAGTGCAATGGCGCAATCTCGACTCACTGCAACCTCCACCTCCCGGGTTCAAGCGATTCTCCTACCTCAGCCTCCCGAGTAGCTGGGATTACAGGCATGTGCCACCACGCTGGACTAATTTTGTATTTTTGGTAGAGACGGGGTTTCTCCATGTTGGTCAGGCTGGTCTTGACCTCCCAACCTCAGGTGATCCGCCTGCCTCAGCCTCCCAAAGTGCTGGGATTACAGGCGTGAGCCACCACGCTGGCCTTCCATTCATTCTTTTTTTTTTTTTTTTTTCCCTGAGACGAGTCTTGCTCTGTTGCCCAGGCTGGAGTGCAGTGGCGCGATCTCGGCTCACTGCAAGCTCTGCCTCCCGGGTTCACGCCATTCTACTGCCTCAGCCTCCCGAGTAGCTTGGACTACAGGCGCCTGCCACCATGCCTGGCTAATTTTTTGTATTTTTAGTAGAGACGGAGTTTCACCATGTTAGCCAGGATGGTCTCGATCTCCTGACCTGCTGTTGGACCCGCCTCAGTCTCCCAAAGTGCTGGGATTACAGGTGTGAGCCACCACGCCCGGCTCCATTCATTCTTTAACACAAATTAATTAAGTACCTACTATGAACCTTCCTTTTGGATGGAAGGAGGAATTCTGGAATATAGAAGCACTTTTTTCTGTCAGTGAAATGCAAATAAATATCTCCCAGAGGATTTACCAAAGGGTAAATAACTTCTTTAAGTTGGTTTCCCCTTTTTAAAAAAATTAATAATAATAATAATAATTTTTTGAGACAGAACCGGGCTACAGCGCAGTGGCATGATCTTGGCTTACTGAAATCTCTGCCTCCCAGGTTCAAGTGATTTTCCTGCTTCAGCCTCCTGAGTAGCTGGGATTATAGGCGTCCGCCACAACACCAGGCTAATTTTTGTATTTTTAGTAGAGGTGGGGTTTCGCCATGTTGGCCAGACTGGTCTTGAACTCCTGACTTCAAGTGATCTGCCCACCTCGGCCTCCCAAAGTGGTGGGATTACAGCCATGAGGCACCATGCCCAGCCTAATTATTATTATTTTTTAGAGACCAGATCTCACTATGTAGAGCAGGTTGGTCTCAACCTGCTGGTCTCAAGTGATCCTCCCACCTTGGCCTCCCAAAGTGCTGAGATTTCAGGAATGAGCCACTGCACCTGGCTTTCTTTTTCTTTTTTCTTTTCTTTTTTTTTTTTTTTGAGTTGGAGTCTCGCTCTGTTGCCTAGGCTGGAGTGTGGTGGCATGATCTCGGCTCACTGCAACCTCTGCCTCGTGGGTTTCAGCGATTCTCCTGCCTCAGCTTCTCAAGTAGCTGGGATTACAGGCGTGTGCCAGCATGCCCGGCTAATTTTTGTATTTTTAGTAGATGCTGGGTCTCGTCTTGTTGGCCAGGCTGGTCTCGAACTCCTGACCTTAGGTGATCCTTCTGCCTTGGCCTTCCCAAGTGCTGGGATTACAGGTGTGAGTTACTGTGCCCAGTTTGGTTTTGCCTTTAGATTAAGCATGCAGAAAGCATTTTTTGTGGGGGATTATAGGGACTTACCATTACTACCCCGTTAGGAATAATAGATTGGAGTTTCATATAGCAGTTGACATTGTGAAATTTCCCTTGGCTCCTTGGTTGTTTTCTGGACAGGCAACCTGATGGAGCATCTGTTGAGAGGCTTAGTATACCCCAGTGAGGGCATACAAGCTTCTGTCTGTTACCTTTATGGGAAGCTATACTCCTCACCAGTGGCAGCTGAGATGCTTTCAGGACACTTCCGTGAGAAGCTTTTTCCCCTCTTCCTTTCCATCCTGGATGGTGCCCAGACAAAGGAGCTGCAGATTAACTGCTTGGGTAAGACATGAGGCTGGAGAAAAAAGGGAGAATAAGTTTTTGACATTTTGCTAGAAGACTTGAGATATTGGGTTCTCTAGTAGTGGGGAAGTTTGCTGTTTTGCAAAAGGTAGAAGCCACAAGGCTTGAGAGATAAGAGACACACTGTGTGAAAGATGCCTAGAGTTGGTATGACATCTTAAGAATGTTGCCTTTGGAGGAAAATAGGAAGGAAAGTGGGACAGCAATTTTTTCTGCCTTTACTGCCTGCCCTGGTGCATCCTGTATTTGCTGGCAAGTTAATCTTTACATTGTATAGCTCACGTCCTGTCACTTTCTTAAGTCAGAAATTCTTCCATGGTTCCCTCTGGCCTCCAGGGTAAAGCCTAGGTGTCTTAGTGCATTTTATGCTGCTATAACAGGATACCACAGACTAGGTGATTTATAATGAAAAACTTATTGGTTCAGAAATTTATTGGTTTGTAGTTCTGGAGCCTAGGAAGTCCAAGATCAAGAGGCTGGCAGTTGGTGAAACCCCTCTTGCTCTGTCATCCCATGGTGGAAGGGCAAAGAGAGGGCAAGAGAAAAAGCTAGAGGGGACTGAACTTGTCCTTTTTTTTCTTTTTTCTTTTTTTTTGAGACAGAGCCTTGCTCTGTTGCCCAGCTTGAGTCCAGTGGTGCTTTCTCAGCTCACTGCAACCTCTACCTCCCCGGTTCAAGTGATTCTTTTTTTTTTTTTTTTTTTTTGAGACAGAGTCTCACACTGTTGCCCAGGCCGGACTGCAGTGGCGCAATCTTGGCTCACTGCAAGCTCCGCCTCCCGGGTTCACACCATTCTCCTGCCTCAGCCTCCCGAGTAGCTGGGACTACAGGCGCCTGCCACCATGCCCAGCTAATTTTTTGTATTTTTAGGAGAGACGGGGTTTCACCGTGTTAGACAGGATGGTCTCGATCTCCTGACCTCGTGATCCACCCGCCTTGGCTCCCAAAGTGCTGGGATTACAGGCGTGAGCCACCGCGCCCGGCCGGTTCAAGTGATTCTTATGCCTCAGCCTCCTGAGTAGCTGGCATTACAGGCACCCACCATCACATCCGGCCAAGTTTTATATTTTTAGTGGAAACGGGGTTTCACCATGTTGCCCAGGCTGGTCTCGAACTCCTGATTTCAGGTGATCTGCCCACCTTGCCCTCCCCAAGTGCTGGGATTAAAGGCGCAAGCCACTGTGCCTGGCCTGAACTTGTCCTTTTATGAGGAGCCTACTCTCATGATAACAAACCCACTCCCATGGTGATGGCATTAATTCATTCATGAGGGTCCAAACCCAAACCCCAAACTCATGACCCAAACACCACCCGTAGGTCCCAGCTCCTGATACCGCTGCATTGGGGATTCAGTTTCCAACACATGAACTTTGGGGAACACATTCAAACCATGGCACTAGGTTTCTCTGCTTGTTACTTGAGGCTCTTTAGAAGCCCCAACATACCCTTTTAACGTCCTCTCCTGCTATTTTTTTACATAAATACATAAGGTCTATCAACTGTTCTAAGCAGGGAGATTTCTTATTTTGGGCAGAACAGATGGGCACTGTAATTGGTGCCTGGTTGAGGGCCTGTTCTCAGGTAGAAGCTGTAGAGAAAAGCATAGTCTATTGGTGACAGCAGCTTCTTTTCAAAATTTGGATCAGGAGCTCTGTTATGAATGACCTAGCCATACATAGTGAGCATTCGTTCTATAGCTGGCCCTGTGCTGGGCTCTGAGGTCACAGAGATGATCAAATCCAAGCTTTATCTTAGGGGAGCTCACAGGCCAGTGTAGAAGACACACATGGACAACTAGAGTCTAGTGTGATGAGTGCCATCTTGGAGGTGCACAGCAGAGGGTAGGAGCAGGGGACAGGAGAAGCTTCCTAAAGGAAAGGATGCCTGGACTGAGTCCTAAATTGGGGGGGAGAGGAGGAAGGCAGAAACACGGGCCAGAGCACGAGGTATGAAGCAGCCTGTATCTGCGGTAACTTGCAGCAGGGCAGTGTTGGAGTTAGTGCATATAGAACAAAAGGGTGCAAATACAGGCCCTAGGGTGAGGCCCTTGGCAGTCCTACAGCTCACCTAACCACAGCAGAGGGAAATCTCAACTGGTTATACTGGGAATTCCCACTTTTATTTTTTAAAATTTTTATTTACTTATTTATTTTGAGACAGGGTCTTGTTCTGTCACCCAGGCTGGAGTGCAGTGGTAGGATCACAGCTCACTGCATCCTTGACCTCCAGGGCTTAAATGATCTTCCCACCTCAGCCTACCGAGTAGCTGGGACCACAGCCTGCACTACTATGCCTGGCTCAATTTTTTTTTTTTTTTTTTGACGGAGTCTGGCACAGTTGCCCAGGCTGGAGTGCAGTGGGCGTGATCTCAGCTCACTGCAAGCTCCACCTCCCGGGTTCACGCCATTCTCCTGCCTCAGTCTCCCGAGTAGCTGAGATTACAGGCGCCTGCCACCATGCCCGGCTAATTTATTTTTTATTTTTTATTTTTTTTGAGACAGAGTCTCGCTCTGCTGGCCAGGCTGGAGTGGAGTGGCGTGATCTCTGCTCACTGCAAGCTCCGCCTCCCAGGTTCACGCCATTCTCCTGCCTCAGCCTCCCGAATAGCTGGGACTACAGGTGCTTGCCACCACGCCCGGCTAATTTTTTGAATTTTTTTTTTTTAAGTAGAGACGGGGTTTCACCATGTTAGCCAGGATGGTCTCGATCTCCTGACCTCGTGATCCACCCACCTCGGCCTCCCAAAGTGCTGGGATTACAGGCTTAAGCCACTGCGCCCAGCCTTTTTTTTGTATTTTTAGTAGAGATGGGGTTTCACCATGTTAGCCAGGATGGTCTCGATCTCTTGACTTCATGATCCGCCCATCTCGGCCTCCCCAGGATATGTCCGCCTCGGCCTCCCAAAGTGCTGGGATTACAGGTGTTAGCCACCACGCCCGTTCTTTTTTTTTTTTTTTTTTTTTTTTTGAGACGGAGTCTCGCTCTGTCACCCAGGCTGGAGTGCAATGGCACAATCTCGGCTCGCTGCAACCTCCGCCTCCCAGGTTCAAGCAATTCTCTTGCCTCAGCCTCCTGAGTAGCTGGGACTACAGGCGCATGCCACCACATCTGGCTATTTTTTTGTATTTTTAGTAGAGACGGGGTTTCACCGTGTTAGCCAGGACAGTCTCCATCTCCTGACCTCGTGATTCGCCTGCCTTGGCCTCCCAAAGTGCTGGGATTACAGGTATGAGTCACCGTGCCCAGCCCGTGCCTGGCTAATTAAAAAATTTTTTTTTGTAGAGTCTGGGTCTCATTATATTGCCCAGGCTGGTCTTGAACTGCTGGGCTCAAGAGATCCACGTGCCTTGGACTTCCGAAGTGCTGGGATTACAGGCATGAACCACCACACCCAGCCAGAATTCCCGTTTTTAAATGCTACCCCTTTTTTTTTTTTTTTTTTTTGAGATGGAGTCTCGCTCTTTCACCATGCTGGAGTGCAGTCGCACGATCTCAGCTCACTGCAACCTCTGCCTCCCGGGTTCAAGTGATTCTCCTGCCACAGCCTCCCGAGTAGCTGGGACTACAGGCGCGTGCTACCATGCCCGACTAATTTTTGTATTTTTAGTAGAGACGGGGTTTCACCGTGTTGGCCAGGATGGTGTCAATCTCTTGACCTCGTGATCTGCCTGCCTCGGCCTCCCAAAGTGTTGGGATTACAGGCGTGAGCCACCGCGGCCAGCCTCTTTTTTTTTTTTTTTAAATAATAAAAAAAATTAACCCTATGCATGTTTGTCAGACCCGAGGGCCTCTTTTATCCTGGTCAACGGGAGTGCTAACCTTCTTTCAGACAACACTTAAAGGTCACCTCTTCTCTGGAGCCTTTCCTTCCCACCCTCTCCCCTCAGCCAGGGATGTAGTCACATCCTTTGGACCCTTGAAGCACCAAGGGTCTTATATTCTGTCTTATGTCATCTTATTCACTTACTTTACAACCCAAGATCCTCATAAGTTCTTATTTTATTTAATTTACTTATTTTTAAAGATGGGACCTGTTCTATTGCCCAGGCTGAAGTACAGTAGCATGTTCATAGCTCACTGCAGCCTCGAACTCCTGGCCTCAAGTGATCCTCTCACCTTGATCTCCCAAGTAGCTGGTATTACAGGTGCACGCCACCTTGCCAGCATTTTAATTTTTTTTTTTTTTTTTTTTTGTAGAGATGGGGTCCCACTATGCTCATAAGCTGTTTATGGTCTAATCCTTATTAACCTCTCAAGCCTCATCTCTCACTTCTCTATCTGTCCCCACCCTAACTCAGCCTTACTGAACCAAATCCATCTCCAGGAACACACCATACTCTCCTGCCTTTATATATTCCTCTGCCCAGAAGTTGGCTCACATCCAACTTCTCATCCTTCAAGATTTGGTTCAAATATCTTCTTATAGAAGCCTTCCCTGGGCCCCCAGGCTAGATTAGATGATTCATTTGATTTCCTGCGGTCCTCTGGGCTTTTTTCCACATTATTTAATTTTAATATTTAATATTCTGACATGCATTTCTTTACTTGTTTGTTAAAGTATGTATTATTTGGAACACTTTGGTGACTTACCATGAATCCCAGCATAAGTACCAGAATCCTTAACATAGCTTATGTGGTCTTTTGTGACTACTTCTCAAATGTAATTTCTGGACTTTTTTTTCCCCCAGCCATTCTGGCTTTCTTTCACTTTCTAGAATGTTGTTCTCTGTATCTGGAATACTTCTCCCCACTTCACCTACTTTTACGTACTTATTTTTCAGATTCAGCTTAAATGGTACTTGCTGATGGAAGGCTTTACTGATCCCCCACACTGGGTTAAATCCTCATATACATTTTCATGTATTTGGGTATTTCTCATTTACATCATTTATCACAATTATAAGGGTCATTTGTCTGACTTGGTTTTTTTTTTTTGAGATGGAGTTTCACTCTGTCACCCAGGGTGGAGTACAGTGACGCCATCTCAGTTCACTGCAACCTGTGTCTGCTGGGTTCAAGCGATTCTCCTGCCTCAACCTCCTGAGTAGTTGGGACTACAGGCACATGCCTCCATGCCAGGCTACTTTTTGTATTTTTTTACTAGAGAGGGGGTTTCACCATGTTGGCCAGGCTGGTCTTGAACTCCTGACCTCAAGTGATACACCCACCTTGGCCTCCCAAAGTGCTGGGATTACAGGTGTGAGCCACCACGCCTGGTCTTGTCTTACTTGTTTTTGTGTTTGTTTCTCCTACAGGAGTGTATGCTCCCTTTGTTAGTCAAAAAATATTTTTTGAGTTCCTGCTATGTGTCAGGAACTGTGCCAGGTGATGGATGATGTTATGTTGAAAAAACTCACATTATTCCTGCCCTCATGAAACTTATAGTTGAGTGAGGCAGTCGGGCTATGTTTATCTTGCTTACTCTTGAATCCCTAGACCCTTAGGCCTAGCACTTAGTGGGCTCTCACTAGATCTGTGTGGAAGAGAGTCGGGTGCAAAAAGCAAATTGGTGCTTAAGGATTCTAACCATTCTTCATATTTGTAGAGGGATGAAGAAGTTTCTCTGGGGATGTCTGAGGGGCTATCTTGGGAGTACTCTGGTGCCTGTGTTCCTCTTGCCTTACTTCCCAATCCCTTTGTTTCCTAGGTTTGCTGAGGCAGCTGTTGAAGTATGATCTCTTTGTGTCCATGATCATGAACCAGGATGGACTGGGAGAAAGTGCTAAGAATATCGAAGGGTCATCAGGAAATACCTCACTGCCTTTGGTGCTCAAAAAGGTAGTTGTCTTGTGATTCCTGGTCTCTAGGTTCAATAACAAGGGGACCCAAGTGCTTCTTGGGCCTTGTCTTCATCTACCACTCCTATCTCAGATTTCCAAGTGTTTTCTTACTGGGCAAAATAATATACTGGCTGGGGGCGGTGGCTCATGTCTGTAGTCCCAGCACTTTCGGAGGCCTAGGTTGGTGGATTGCTTGAGCCCAGGAGTGCAAGACCAGCTTGGGCAATATGGCAAAACCCTGTCTCTATAAAAAATACAAAAAAGTTGGGCGTGGTGGCTCACGCCTGTAATCCCAGCGTTTTGGGAGGCCAAGGCTGGCGGATCATGAGGTCAAGAGATTGAGACCATCCTGGCCAGCACAGTGAAACCCCATCTCTACTAAAAATACAAACATTAGCTGGGCGTGGTGGCACACACCTGTAGTCCCAGCTACTCGGGATGCTGAGGCAGGAGAATGCCTTGAATCTGGGAGGCGGAGGTTGCAGTGAGCCAAGACCGCGCCACTGCACTCCAGCCTGGTGACAGAACGAGACTCTGTCTCAAAAAAAAAAAAAAAAAAATTAGCTGGGCGTGGGCGTGGTGGTATGCACCTGTAATCCCAGCTACTCAGGAGGCTGAGGTGGGAGGATTGCTCGAACCCAGGAGGCGGAGGTTGCATTGAGCCATGATCATGCCACTACACTCCAGCCTGGGTGATAGAAAGTAGATTTCCTTTCATTTGTAAATTCTTTTTTTTTTTTTTTAAGTGCCGAGGTCTTGCTCTCTCCACTCAGGCTGGAATGTAGTGGCACAATCACGGCTCACTGCAGCCTCAACCTCCTGGGCTCAAGCGATCCTCTTGTCTCAGCTTCCTGAGTAGCTGAGACTACAGGTGTTCACCATGAGGCATGGCTAATTTTTAACTTTTCGTAGAGACAGGGATCTTTCTATGTTGCTTGGGCTGGTCTCAACTCCTGGGCTCAAGTGATTCTCCCACCTTGGCCTCCAAAGTGCTGGGATTACAGGTGTGAGCCACTGCACCTAGCCTCAGTTGTAAATTATTATTATTTTTTTTTTGAGATGTAGTCTCGCTGTTGCCCAGGCTGGTGTGCAGTGGCGTGATCTTGGCTCACTACAACCTCCGCCCCCCAGGCTCAAGCAATTCTCCTGCCTCAGCCTCCTGAGTAGTTGGGATTACAGGCGCCAAGCCACCATGCCCGGCTAATTTTTTGCATTTTTAGAAGAGACGGGGCTTCACCATGCTGGCCAGGCTGGTCTCAAACTGCTGACCTTGTGATCCGCCTGCCTCGGCCTCCCAAAATGCTGGGATTACAGGCATGAGCCCCCAGGCCCAGCCGTAAATTCTTACCTCTGCACTTCCCCTTCACATTTGGGCTGCCTGAAAATGGAGAATACTTACAGCAATAGAAACAAAGTCACCTCAGTTGCTTTAGGGATCAGATTCTGAGCTTGGTACTGAGAACCTTCTTTATCTGGATATCCTTCAGCCTCACTTTCCTGTCTCTTCCACCCCACAACCCAGTGCTCCAGCCACATGCAGTCTTTCCCTGGTCCTGCATATGCTAGGTCATCCTGTCTCACTGCCTGTGCAGTTGCTCTTCCTCTGCCTATAGGGCATTTCTCCTCTCTTTATCTGCTGATATGAGTCAGCCTTCAAGCCTATAGGGCTCCCCTGTCACCCTGGCTCCTTTAGGCGGAATGTGACCCACTGTCACCGTGCTTACCTCATACCATATTGTGGTTGACTGGCTGGGAGCTCTTTCAGGGCAAAACCTGAGTCTGGCATCTTTCCCCAGTGCTCGGCACGGGGGCTGGCAGAGCTGCAAACCCTGATGTGATAGCAGGGGTTGATTGCCCAAACTCTGGGGCTCTTTCTGCAGCAAGGAAGAGGAGGAGGAGCTCTGGTTAGAAGTGAGAAGGGAGGCCGGGTGCAGTGGCTCATGCCTGTAATCCCAGCACTTTGGGAGACCGGGACGGGTGGATCACGAGGTCAGGAGTTCGAGACCAGCCTGGTCAACATGGTGAAACTCTATCTCTACTAAAAATACAAAAATTAGCCAGGCGTGGTGGCACACACCTGTAATCCCAGCTATTTGGGAGGCTGAGGCAGGAGAATATAGCAAGAAAAGTTTGTCCTGAGACTACAGCAAGAAAAGAAAAGAACTGACTTCTAAAGAAAATAGTTTAGTCCATTTCAGAGTTTAAATGTCGGTCATCAAGTGTAATGAGCTAGGATCAGGTTTCTGACTTAGGAATCATACACGTATTCCATAAGTTTTAGTGTAGTTTTAAGCTTAAAACTTAACTTAAAAGCAGTAACTTAAAAGCAGTTACTGTTGCCATTTTCAAACATATGTACTTAAACAACAACAGGGAAACTAAAAATGTGTTATCAAATCACAAAACTGAAGTGTAATGAAATTTAACCAATTAAACTTCAAAAAAGAATATTTATTTTAAACCAAGAATCATTGTTTTAATGGATACATATCATATTTCTTTGATTCTGAGATACATTTTTTCACATTTTAACAGCTCTGAAATTGGGAGACATTTTACCATCAATGGTGCATCATAGTTTAATTGGGAGCACTTTTTCTTTCTTAGTGGTACATAAAATAATGGCTTGCGTTACATCAATAGCATCTTAAGATACAATATGTCATTTCTTTTATAAAAGAGAACAAGATAAAGATTAATTTCTTTTTTTTTTTTTGAGATGGAGTCTCGCTCTGTCGCCCAGGCTGGAGTGCAGTGGCGATATCTTGGCTCACTGCAAGCTCCACCTCCCGGATTCATGCCATTCCCCTGCCTCAGCCTCCCGAGTAGCTGGGACTACAGGCGCCCGCCACCACACCCAGCTAATTTTTTGTATTTTTAGTAGAGATGGAGTTTCACCGTGTTAGCCAGCATGGTCTCGATCTCCTGACCTCGTGATCCACCCGCCTCAGCCTCCCTAATTTCTAAACTCCTTTATATACTATCAGAAAATCTGGCTTTTTTTTTTCTTTTCCTGATAAGTCTGACAAGTAGGAAGGCTGTTTATGTGTCCACTTGTAAGTCCAATATGGCTGAGATGGGGTTAAGCTTGCAGTCCTCAGATGTATCTTTACCAGACATTAGTAGTCTCATGTCTACTTGGTCCTTTTTCTTAAAAGCTGTAAAACCAGGTATGCCCTCCATTCTTCTGGTGATGTATATTCTGTTTGGCATTTTTCTCCCCCAAAATCAGCTTCTATGATACTTAAAATCTGTGGTTGCAGTTAACGCTTTTCTTGATTTCTGAAAGTGTTAGAGGCATCCCTAATAGCTATGGTGACGAGTAGGAGTTTGGATATTATTCAGAGTGCAATGGAAATTCACTGAGATGTTTGGAGTAGCAAATATGCCTGATCTAAAAATTCTGATGGGGGAGGCATCACAGTTGTGGGTAGACTCCTAGATTTGGACTTGGCTGACCTGAGTTTGTGCCTTAGCTTTGCCACTTATCAGCTGTGTAGCCTAGAGTAAGTAACCTAACCTTGCTAAAGGTTCCCAAAGACTACCCCTAGGTTTGATGATTTGCTAGGAGGACTCATAGGACTCAACGTATAGTCATACTCATAGCTACGATTTACGGCAGTGTAAGGAAAGCAGTATCAGCAAAAGGAAAGGTGCATGGGGCGAAGTCTGGTGGAACCAACACAAGCTTCCAGAGTCCTGTCTCAGTGGAGTCACATGGGATGCACTTCTTAATTTCCCCAGGAATGAACTGTGACATGTGAAACCTTACCTACTGAGGAAGCTCATCGGAGTGTCAGTACCCCAGGTTTTTATGGGGGACTGGCCGTTCACGTAGGTATCCTCTGCTGAGCATGTACCAAAATTCCAGACTCCCAGAAGGAAAACAGGTATTCAGCATAAACTACAGTTGTCCCTTGTATACACGGGAGATTGGTTCCAGGACCGCCGGCATATACCCAGACCCACATATACTCAAGTCCTACAGTCAGCCCTGGCAAACTCCAGTAAGTTGGCCCTGTTCATATGCCAGTTTCACATCTAGTGAATACTGCATTTTCCATCAGCGTTCAGTTGAAAAAAGGCCACATATAAGTAGAACCACACAGTTCAAGCCTGTGTTGTTCAAGGGTCAACTGTTCATTGTACACATAGTTTAGTCACAGTGAGCCACTCTCTCAGTTCCGTTAGGAACCCTCCTGAAATCCAAGTTCCCAAACCCAGCCAAGAGCCAGCCTTGCAGAGAGGGTTTTCTAAGTATAATAGCCTCAGGCCTACTGTGTTAAATCTTTTCTGTGCACTCAATAAATTGAGGTTTATAGTAGAACCTTCCCTTGTTATGTCACAGAATTGTTGCAAACATCAAAGCCAGATGAGGGCCAGCTGGGCACAGTGGCTCATGCCTGTAATCCCAGCATTTAGGGAGGCCAAGGTGGGAGGATCACTTGAGCCCAGAATGGGCCATATACTGAGACCTTGTCTCTATAAAAAATTTTAAAATGAGCTGGGGCTGAGCATGGTGGCTCATGCTGTAATCCCAGCATTTGGGGAGGCCAAGGCAGGTGGATGGCTTAAGCTCAGGAATTTGAGACCAGTCTGGGCAACATGGTGAAACCCTGTCTCTATAAAAATAAAAATTAGCCAGGGTGGTGGTGCATGCCTGTAGTCCCAGCTACTTGAGGGGCTGAGGCAGGAGGATTGCTTACGTTGGAGAAGTTGAGGCTGCAGTGAGTCATGTTCACACGGCTGCACTACAGCCTGGGTGATAAAGTGAGACCCTGTGTCAAAAAAAAACAAAATAGTAATAAGGCAAGGCGTAGTGGCTCATGCCTATATTCCCAGCACTTTGGGAGGCCAAGGCAAGTGGATCACGAGGTCAGGAGTTCGAGACCAGCCTGGCCAATATGGTGAAACCCTGTTTCTACTAAAAATACAAAAATTAGCTGAGCGTGGTGGTGCACGCCTGTAGTCCCAGCTACTCAGGAGGCTGAGGCAGAAGAATCGCTTGAACCCAGGGAGGCGGAGGTTGCAGTGAGCCAAGATCATGCCACTGTACTCCAGCCTGGGCGACAGAGTGAGACTCCGTCTCAAAAAAAAAAAAAAAAAAAGGTACCAGGCATGGTAGCATGTGCCTGTAGTCCCCGCTACTCAGGAGGCTGAAATGAGAAGATCGCTGGATACCTGGAGGCAGAGGTTGCAGTGAGCCATGAGCCATGATCATGCCACTGCACTCCAGCCTGGGCAACAGAGTGAGACCTGTTTCATAAATAAATAAACCAGATGACTTTGAAAGTACTTTTGTTAATGAAGGCTTGAGCACTTATTGGTGATAACAGTTACAGTGTTCTTTGAGTGCCCCTGGTGAGTTTTACATTGTGTTCTTTCCTTATTTTTCTCACCTGCTGCTGTTCACGGAGACCCCTTCCCATAATCCATAACTGCTCTCCTGACCACCATCCTTGTGCCTGGTGCCATGTGGGACAGGAAGGATCGAAAATGAATTAGGCTATTGCCCTGAGGCACCTAGGCCAGTTTTTCTGGTCCTATTCGTGGTGTGACTGGGGTACTTTTTGCTGCCTGTTTCTCCAGCTTCTCCTCTCTAGAGATGAAACCCTGCAGGTGGCCAGTGCTCACTGTATAACTGCGGTGCTTGTCCACTCCCCAGCAAAGCATGCGTCAGCCTTCATCCACGCTGACATCCCAGGTAGGGGAACACTTCTAACCTTCTCCTCCCTATACTAGAAGGATGGGGTGGTGACAGGTTCAATTGTGTATGACAGACCCTATGAACTATGTCTCATAACATCTGAATCCTATTGCTACAGATTTCTTGTATGACCTTGAGCAATTTGTTACCGATTTTTGTCATTTATTTGGTCATCTATGAATAAAAACCTAATGTGGGGTGGTGAAAAGACCTGTGGACCAGGTAGGCAACAGGAAACAATATTTTTCAAGGGACTATTATGAGCAGGGACTGTTATGAGATGCATTGCAAATGTTACCACATTTAGGTCTTCATCTTCACTATTTTATAGATAAGGAAATTGAGGCTCAGAGAATGAAATAATTGGCAGGCCTAGTCATTGGCAGAGATGGGATAAAAAGTCAAGTCTCTCTGACTCTAAAAACTCTTTTTCCTTCATCCACGCCACTGCCCATTCTGAGAATTAGGAGACTTAAGTTCCAACTCTACTTCCGCCACTAATAGTGCCTCTTCTCTGGGACTCAGTTTCCCCACCTGTTAAAAAGAAGAGGTTAAACCATAACCAAGGGCACTTTCCAGGTTTATTAGTGGATTGATGATCATGACTCATGGAGAGGATATGTGAACAGATGAAGTAGCAAGAGTAAGGTGCTGAATAAATCCAAGGCCTTAGCATCAGTTAAGGGATCGTGATCACATGGCTGTCATTTATTGTTTTCTCATCCTCTCCCTTGTTAGAGTTCCTCTTTGAGCATCTTTCTTCTTCCAGTGAAGTGCTCGTCTGGTCCAGCTGTAACTGCTTGACACTCCTGGTAGAAGAGCCACTCTTTTTTTCCAAGTGCCACACGGTGTATGGTTGGTAGTAAGGGTCCTGTACTAGCTTTGGGTTGGGTGGACGGCAGTTTGCACTTGGGTAGCAGCCGCAGTGATGGGGGGCTAGCCTCCACCTTGGAGGGGAGCACTGAGTCTAGACATTTCATCAGCCCAAACTCATTACCAGATTTCATATGCAAGTATTGATATCCAAATGTTCTGCTGTTCGCTGATTATCGGAAGTATATATGTTTAGACGCTTCAGCAAGGGAAGGACACTTCTTTTAGCCACTAAATGAATTCCTGTTGCATGTTAACAACAACTCTAAACAGTGTTACTCAACCTTAGATTTAGTTCTTTCCCATGCCGCAGATATCTAACCATCCAGGTAGTCTCTAAGTTTTGCTAATTTATTCTTTCAAAGTTTCTTGAAACTGTCCTTCCTTGTCTGGGACTTTTTTTTTTTTTTTTTTTTGAGATGGAATCTCACCCTGTCACCCAGGCTGGAGTACAATGGCGTGATCTCGGCTCACTGCCACCTCTGCCTCCCAGGTTCAAGCAATTCTCCTGCCTCAGCCTCCCGAGTAACTGGGATTACAGGCATGTGCCACCACGCCCAGCTAATTTTTTGTATCTTTAGTAGAGATGGGGTTTTACCATGTTGTCCAAGCTGGTCTCAAACTCCTGACCTTGTGATCCACCCACCTTGGCCTCCCAAAGTGCTGGATTACAGGCATGAGCCACCACGCCAGGCGACTTTTTCTTTTTTTGAGACGGAGTCCTGCTCTGTCACCCAGGCTGGAGTGCAATGGCACAATCTTGGATCACGGCAACCTCTGCCTCTGCCTCCCAGGTTCAAGCACTTCTCTTGCCTCAGCCTCCCAGGTAGCTGGGATTAGAGGCGACTGCCAGCACACCTGGCTAATTTTTTTGTATTTTTAGTAGAGACGGGGGTCTCTCCATGTTGGCCAGGCTGGTCTTGAACTCCTGACCTCAGGTGATCTGCCTGCCTCGGCCTCCCAAAGTGCTGGGATTACAGGCGTGAGTGCACTGTCTGGGACTTATTATACCACATCTAGATTTTTAGAGTAGGCACATTCAGTCATTCATTTTATATTCCTAGTTTATGCCAGGCACCAGGCTGGGACCTGGAGATTTAGAGATAACAAATAACATTGGTTCTTGCCCTCAGAAAAGGGAGAGAGATGCAAAGGGAAATTTCATTATGAGCTGATTAGAGCTCTGCTAGAGGGAAGCACAGGAGCTGTGGGGGCTCAGGGGAGGTTCACAGCTCTGAATGGATCAGGGAAGGCTTTTTGGAGGAGTGGGGTTTTGACCTGATTCTCCAAGGAGGAACAGGAGTATGCCAAGTGGAGAAAATATGGCTTGGTCAGTAGGTGTTCACTGAAAACCTCAAGTGCCAGGGACTGTGCTATGGCTTGTACTGGGTGTTGGGGAGATGAATCAGATGAGGGCCCGGCCTCAAAGATCTCACAGTCTGGTCCCATTAGCTCAATCTTGTCAGGGTCCCTCCACGAGTGGCCTCCAACTCATACATGCTGTCCAGAGCCTGTCACCTCTTCTGGGTGGGCAGTGAAGGAACAAGAGAGCACTGATCCCTGGCCTCTGTCATGTCATCCTGTGGTAGGGATCGAGGCAGTGGTGAGGAGCCTGCAGGGAAGCCTGAAGATGAACAACATAGAGCTGCACAAGCAGGGCCTGCTGCTTTTCGCTGAAATCCTGACCCGGTGAGCAAAGTGGTGGAACATGAGGCTTGTAGGGGCCAGACTGCAGAAGGAAAAGTGGGCTTTCACTCCTGGTGGGGTCAGTGAGAAGAGTTCACCTACTCGTTTCTCATCTTCCATTTCTCAGGCAGCCAGAGGAGATCAAGCTGTTCACAAGCTCAGCCATGTGCAGAGATGCTGGCCGTGCCCTCCAAGAAGCAGTTAGCAGCCCTGTGCTGGAGGTGGCTGCTGAGGCCTTGAAGGCCACTTCTGCTTTTCTGAGGTGAGAGACCCAGGCAGGCTGAACTTTCCATCCCTGCATATACCTAAGGGCCTGTTGAGGCCAGGGTAGCGGATATTTAAGTATCCCTAGATTACTTATAATACCTAATATAGTTGGCCCTTCATAATTGTGGATTCCACATCCATGGATTCAACCAACCATGGATTGAAAAATTTTTTTTTTTTTTTTTTTTGGAGATGGAGTTTTGTTCTTGTTGCCTAGGCTGGAGTGCAATGGTGTGATCTCAGCTCACTACAATCTCTGCCTCCTGGGTTCAAGTGATTCTCCTGCCTCAGCCTCCCAAGTAGCTGGGATTACAGGTGTGTACCACCATGCCCAGCTAATTTTTGTATTATTATTAGAGGCGAGGTTTCACCATGTTGGCCAGGCTGGTCTCGAACGCCTGACCTCAGGTGATTCACCTGTCTCAACCTCCCAAAGTGCTGGGATTACAGGCGTGAGCCACCGCATCCAGCTGAAAATTTTAAAGAATGGATGGTTGTGTCTGTATTGAACACGTACAGACTTTTTTTCTTGTTATTATTCCCTAAACAATACAGTATACGTTGGACATGGTGGCTCACACCTGTAATCCCAGCACTTTGGGAGGCCAAGGTGGGTTGGATCACCTGAGCCCAGGAGTTCAAGACCAGCCTGGGCAACACAACAGAACCTGTCTCTACTAAAAATCCAAAAATTAGCCAGGCATGTTGGTGCACACCTATAGTTCCGGCTGCTTGAAGGCTGAGGTGGGAGGATTGCTTGAACCTGGGAAGCAGAGGTTGCGGTGAGCTGAGATCACACCACTGCACTCCAGCCTGGGTGACAGAGTGAGACCTTGTCTCAAAAGAAAAAAGAAAAAAAGAAACCAGGCCAGGCACAGTGGCTTATCCCTGTAAACCCAGCACTTTGGGAGACCAAGGCAGGTGGATCACTTGAGTCAGGAGTTCGAGACCAGCCTGGCCAATGTAGTAAAATCCCATCTCTACAAAAACTTAACTGGGCATGATGGCGCATGCCTGTAGTCCCAGCTACTCAGGAGGCTGAGGCACGAGAATTGCTGCAGAGGTTGTAGTAAGCCAAGATTGCGCCACTGCACTCCAGCCTGGGTGACAGAGCAAGGCTCTGTCTCAAAAACAAAACAAAACAAAACACCCAAACAGTATAATAACTATTTATATAGCATTTGCATTGTATTAGGTATTATATGTAATCTAGAGATGATTTAAAGTATACTGGAGGACCACGTGCGGTGGCTCATGCCTATAATCCCAGCACTTTGGGAGGCCAAGGTCGGCGGACCACCTGAAGTCGGGAGTTTGAGACCAGCCTGGCCAACATGTAGAAACCCTGTCTTTACTAAAAATATAAAAAATTAGCCGGATGTGGTGTCACACACCTGTAATCCCAGCTACTCAGGAGGCTGAGATAGGACAATTGCTTGAACCTGGGAGGCGGAGGTTGCAGTGAGTGGAGATCACACCATTATACTCCAGCCTGGGTAACAGAGTGAAATTCTGTCTCAAAAAATAAAATAAAATAAAATAAAATAAATAAAGTATGCTGGAGGATGTGCATAGGTTATATGCAAATACTATACCATTTTATGTAAGGAGCTTGAGCATCCTGGTTTTGGTATCTTCAGGGGTCCTGGAACCAATTCCCCACAGATACTGAGGGACGACTATGCAATGTCAATGCAATGTAGACGGGGCGCGGTGGCTCACGCCTATAATCCCAGCACTTTGGGAGGCTGAGGCGGGCCAATTACCTGAAGTCAGGAGTTCAAGACCAGCCTGGCCAAGATGGTGAAACCCTGTCTCTACTAAAAATACAAAAATTAGTTGGGCATGATGGCGCTTGCCTGTAATCCCAGTTACTCAGGAGGCTGAGGAAGGAGAATTATCTGAGCCTGGGAGGCGGAGGTTGCAGTGATCTGAGATCTTGCCACTGTACTCCAGACTGAGGCCACAGAGTGAGACTCCATCTCAAAAACAAACAAACAAACAATGGAATGTAAATAGTTGTCATGCTGTATTTAAAATTTTTTTTGAGATGAAGTTTCGCTCTGTCGCCCAGGCTGGAGTGCAATGGTGTGATCTTGGCTCATTGCAACTGCTGCCTCCCAGGCTCAAGCAATTCTCCTGCCTCAGCCTCCCGAGTAGCTGGGACTACAGGTGCGTGCCACCATGCCCAGCTAATTTTGTATTTTTAGTAGAGATGGGGTTTCGCCACGTTGGCCAGGGTGGTCTCGAACTCCTGACCTCAGGTGATCCACCTGTGTCGGCTTCCCAAAGTGTTAGGATTACAGGTATGAGCCACTTGCACCTGGCCTACATTTTATATATTTTTTTATTGTATTTTTTTCTTTTTTTTGAGATGGAGTCTCCCTCTTTCACCCAGGCTGGGGTGCAGTGGCGTGATCTTGGCTCACTGCAACCTCCGCCTCCCAGGTTCACGCCATTCTCCTGCCTCAGCCTTTCTAGTAGCTGGGACTACAGGCGCGCGCCACCACACCTGGCTAATTTTTTTGTATTTTTAGTAGAGACGGGGTTTCACTGTGTTAGCCAGGATGGTCTCGATCTCCTGACCTCGTGATCCGCCCGCTTCGGCCTCCCAAAGTGTTTTTTTTTTTTTTTTTTTTTGAGATGGAGTTTTGCTCTTGTTGCCCAGGCTGGAGTGCAAAGGCATGATCTCGGCTCACCACAACCTCTGCCTCCCGGGTTCAAGTGATTCTCCTCCTGCCACAGCCTCCCGAGTAGCTGGGATTACAGGCATGCACCACTACACCCGGCTAATTTTGTATTTTTAGTAGAGACGGGGTTTCTCCATGTTGGGCGGGCTGGTCTCGAACTGCCGACCTCAGGTGATCCCCCACCTTGGCCTTCCAAAGTGCTGGGATTACAGGCGTGAGCCACCGTGCCCAGCCATATTGTTATTTTTTTTATAGATTTTAAAAAATATTTTTGGTCCACAGTTGATTGAATCCATAGATGTAGAATCCACAATACAGAGGGCCAAATTATACTTCCAAAGTGTTATGTTATCATGTCTTTTGTATTTTCTCTGTTGTTTTGAATTTATATCTTGAAAGAAAATTCTCTTTCATTTTGGTAAGGAGTAGCAGAGGTAACTGTATCTGTTGACTCCATCACCTTTAATCAGAAGCTGGCAGCTCTTTAACACCTATGAACTCCAGCCTCTAGCCCTGGTTCTCTTACTGTAGTTCCTCTTTGAATGCTCTCAGCCACTCACAGAGCTTCAGCTACTAGCTATATGTTGATAATGCTCAAATCTATAGTTCTTGCCTAAAATGCCTGTGTTAGTTTCCTATTGCTACAGGACCAGATTACCACAAACTTGAAAACAACAGGTATTTACCTTCTCATGGTTCTAGGGGGCCAGAAGTCCAAAATCAGTATCACTGAAATGAAATCAAGGTGTCAGCAGGGCCACACTCCCTTTGGAGCTTCTAATACGGAACACTTCCCTGCCTCTTCCAGCTTCTGGTGGCTCCGGGCATTCCATGACTTAAGGTCATATCACTGTAATCACTGCCTCTGTGACTACATTGTCTTCTCTTCTCTATGTGTATAATCTCCCTCTGCCTTTTCTCTTTCTTTTCTTAAATTTTTTTCTTTTTTCTTTTTCTTTTTTTTTTTTTGAAACGGAGTCTTGCTTTGTCTCCCACGCTGGAGTGCAGTGGCGTGATCTCAGCTCACTGCAAGTTGTGCCTCCCGGGTTCACGCCATTCTCCCGCCTCAGCCTCCCGAGTGGCTGGGACTACAGGTGCCTGCCACCATCCCTGGCTAATTTTGTTTTTGTATTTTTAGTAGAGACAGGGTTTCACCGTGTTAGCCAGGATGGTCTCGATCTCCTGACCTTGTGATCTGCGTGCCTCTGCCTCTCAAAGGGCTGGGATTACAGGCGTGAGCTACCGCGCCTGGCCAAAAAATTTTTTTTTATTTTTTGTAGAGATAGGGATCTTGCTATATTCCCCAGGCTGGTCTTGAGCTTCAGGCTTCAAGTGATCCTCCCACTTTGACCTCTCAAAGTACTGGGATTACAGGCATGAGTCATTATGCCTGGCTGCCTCTCTCTCATAAGGCTACTTATGATGGGATGTAGGGGACCACCTGAATAATCCAGGATAATGGCTTTATCTCAGGATTCTCTGTGAAAACTTTACTGTAGAAAATAACATAGGTTCCTGGGATTAGGACCTGACATCTTTGGGTACCACCATTCAGCCCACTATAGTGTTTTCCTGAACTCCAGACCACATTTCCAACTGCCTGGTGCTTTATTCCAGAACCTTCAATCTCAATTTGTCCATGCTACTAGCATATAGAGAAAAACACCCAATTTGGGATCTAAAGAATTAGATTTGGGTCCCTGGCTCCACAAACAGTACTCAGTCACTTCTTGTTCATTCCTCTGATCTGCTTTCTGTTTCTTGAACACATCAAACTTATTCCTGCCACTAATTATTCCAACTCTGCCCAAAATAATATTCCCTTAAATCATTGTGTGACTGCGTTTTTCTTATCATTCAAGTCTCATTCAGAATTTCCTTTCCTAATTGACCTTATCAGACTGCTATAGCACCTATCAAACATTTGAAAGTTATTGTTTATTCTTTTTTTTTTTTGAGACGGAGTCTTGCTCTGTCGCCCAGGCTGGAGTGCAGTGGCGCGATCTCGGCTCACTGCAAGCTCCGCCTCCTGGATTCACGCCATTCTCCTGCCTCAGTCTCCTGAGTAGCTGGGACTACAGGCGCCCACCACCACGCCCAGCTAATTTTTAAAAATATTTTTAGTAGAGAAGGGGTTTCAGTGTGTTAGCCAGGATGATCTCGATCTCCTGACCTCATGATCTGCCTGCCTCGGCCTTCCAAAGTGCTGGGATTACAGGCGTGAGCCACCGCGCCCGGCCTCTTTTTTTCTGGGGGGTGAGGGGTCAGAGTCTCACTCCGTCACCCAGGCTGGAGTGCAGTCATGCGATCTTAGCTAACTGAAACCTCTGCCTTCTGGGTTCAAGCAATTTTTCTGCCTCAGCCTCCCAAATAGCTGGAATTACAGGCGTGAGCCACTGAACCTGGCCTATTCATTTGTTTTGTACCCCGCCTCCCCCCACTAAAATATAAGCTCCAGGAGCTAAAGGACCTTGTCAGTTTTTTCACTGCTCTGTCTCTGGCTCCTCATAGGTAGTCAATATGCGAATGTAGGATGTTAAAATGGACAGTGAGACTAAGGGATCCTAGCACCACAATGGGAAATTATTCCTTAGCAAGGTGCTTGAAATCTTAAAAAATAATAATAATAACCGAGGAAACCCATATTTATAGAGTAACTTTTATTTTGTTACCATATTTTCTCTTTTAATTTTCTAACACAGTAATGTATTCAAATAATACAAAACAAAATATTGGCTGGGCACGGTGGCTCACGCCTGTAATCCCAGCACTTTGGGAAGTCAAGGTAGGAGGATCGCTTGAGGCTAAGCGTTTGAGACTAGCCTGGACAACATAGCGCCACCCCATCCCTACAAAACAATATAAAATAAAATAGGCCAGGCACAGTGGCTCATGCCTGTAATCCCAGCACTTTGGGAGTCCGAGGTGGGTGGATCACAATGTCAGGAGATTGAGACCATCCTGGCCAACATGGTGAAACCCCATCTTTACTAAAAATACAAAAATTAGGCTGGGTGTGGTGGCTCATGCCTGTAATCCCAGCACTTTGGGAGGCCGAGGCGGGCGGATCACGAGGTCAGGAGTTCGAGAACAGCCTGACCAACGTGGTTCATCCCCGTTTCTACTAAAAATATAAAAATTAGCTGAGCACAGTGGCGGGTGCCTGTAATTCCAGCTACACAGGAGGCTGAGGCAGGAGAATCGCTTGAACCTGGGAGGCGGAGGTTGCAGTGAGCCGAGATCATGCCACTGCACTTCAGCCTGGGCAACAGAGCGAGACTCTGTCTCAAAAACAAAACAAAACAAAACACCAAAATACAAAAATTAGCTGGGCGTGGTGGCACATACCTGTAATCCCAGTTACTTGCG
The DNA here is from genome assembly GCF_000001405.40 of Homo sapiens. NCBI lineage: Eukaryota > Metazoa > Chordata > Mammalia > Primates > Hominidae > Homo > Homo sapiens. The sequence goes on from NC_000022.11 coordinate 41,738,668, forward strand.
AGGCTGAGGCAGGAGAGTCACTTGAACCAGGGAGTTGGAGGTTGCAGTAAGCCAAGATCACGCCACTGCACTACAGCTTGGTGACAGAGCAAGACTCTGTCTCAAAAAAAAAAATAAATAAATAAATAAGTAATAAAATAAATAAATAAAATTAGCTGGGTGTGGTGGCATGCACCTATGGTCCCAACTACTTGGGAGGTAAGGCGGGAGGATCACTTGAGCCTGGGAGTTTGAGGTTACAGTGAGCTATGATCACACCGCTGCACTCCAGCCTGGGTGACAGAGTGAGATCCTCTCTTGAAAATAAATAAATAAATTATAGAGGATTTATCATGAAAAGGAATAGGCTGGGCATGGTGGCTCACGCCTGTAATTCCAGCACTTTGGGAGGCCGAGGCAGGTGCATCACCTGAGGTCAGGAGTTCAAGACCAGCCTGGCCAACATGGCAAAACCCTGTCTCTACTAAAAATACAAAAAAAAAAAAAATTAGCTGGGCGTGGTGGCGAGTGCCTGTAATTCCCGTCTTAAATTTAAGACATTATTCATTGACTTGCCAGTTAGAAAGATCAATATTTAATTAGCTCACATTTTTTGTCTTCTCTACATGTCCTTGGCATTTTTGCTATTTAATATTTTGTTTTTAACCTTTAAATAATGTACCTAAAACTGGTATTTCTTGTTCCCTCAACTTGAAGCAGTGTCTCCTGAGTTCCTACGTGGTTAGCAGCACCCCAACTCTTCTTTTCCCCTCTCTTCCCTACTTCTACTTCTCAAGGCCAGTCAGCTATACCTTTAATTTTACATTGTGAAAGTTGTTAATATTTATAGTCTCTTCTGTAACTATATTTAAGTCTTTGTGATTTGACTCTAGGTTGGTTCTAAAAATTGAAACAAAAAATAGCATTTACGTGACAGTGACTTCAGTCTGTCTTCTTTCCTCCTTTGTCCTTCCCTGAATTTGAATCTCTAAATCTAGGACATGAATTCTAGAGTGGGAGGGATGAGTAAACCAACAAGGTAACAAAAGCATAAGTAAGAGCAATGTCAATCAGAGGCATCTATGCTGAGCTGGAAGTCTTCCAGCAGGACACTGCTAGAGGGGACCAGTAGTGCCTTTTGGGCAGGAAGTGGTATTTCAGTTGTACTATGAAGGGTGAGAGTTAGATTTGTGGAAGGACCTGGATTAGCAAAACATTTGGGTTCGAGAGTATAGAGATTGCTCAGGGTGCAGTAGCCAGTTGACCAGCAGGTTACATGAAGCGGGTGTTGCCTGGAGAAGCAGGAAAGCTGTTGGGTCAGAATTGTGGAGAGAGATGGATAGGGGGCAGGTTATTAAGCCTTGGATTATTTTACTTTTTTTTTGGTGGGGGGGGTGGAGTCTCGCTCTGTTGCTCAGGCTGGAGTTCAGTGGCTCGATCTCGGTTCACCACAACCTCCACCTCCCAGGTTCAAACGATTCTCCTGCCTTAGCCTCGCGAGTAGCTGGGACTACAGGTGCCCGCCACCACGCCTGGATACTTCTTGTATTTTTAGTAGAGATGCGTTTTCACCATATTGGCCAGGCTGGTATCGAATTCCTGACCTTGTGATCTGCCTGCCTCAGCCTCCCAAAGTGCTGGGATTATAGGCGTGATCCACCGCGCCCGGCCAAAGATGATTTTACTTTTGACTTTAACTTCCCAGAATGTTTACTGACGTGGTCCCTCTGAGGTGGGGTGGTTCAGAGTGTCTTTGGAAAGCACAACTAGAAGGAAGAATGAAGAGTGAGAGCTGCTAAAAAGAATTTAAAGAGGCCGGGTATAGTGGCTCACACCTGTAATCCCAGCACTTTGGGAGGCTGAGGCTGGAGGATCGCTTCAGCTCAGGAATTTGAGACTAGCCTGGATAACCTGAGGAAACGCTATCTCTACAAAAATTATCCAAGCTTGGTGTATGCCTGTAGTCCCGGCTACTCAAGAGGCTGAGGCAGGAAGATTGCTTGAGCCCAGGAGATTGAGGCTGCTGTGAGTTGTGTTTGTGCCACTGCACTCCAGCCTGGGCAGCAGAGCGAGACCCTGTCTCAAAAACAAAAACAAAAACAAAAACAAACCCAAGAATTTAAAGGTGGTGGAACTAGGGCTTGATGATCGTGTAGGATCGTCAAACTTGGAGCTTCCAGAGATGAAGAAGGAAAGGGGAAATCAAGCCGTAACCATATGCAGTTGACTGAGAACCTGTTAGAAGGCCCAACAGATGGCTCTCAGTGCTCAACAAAGGCTCAGGGATGAGGGTCTTGCTCTGTCACCAGGCTGGAGTGCTGTGATGTGATCTTGGCTCGCTGCAACCTCCAACTCCCTGGTTCAAGCGATTCTCCTGCCTCAGCCTGCCGAGTAGCTGGGATTACAGGCACGCGCCACCATGCCCAGCTAAATTTTGTATTTTTAGTAGAGACAGGGTTTCATATCATAATGTTTTAAGAAAGTTTACAAATTTGTGTCAGGCTGCATTCAAAGTTGTCCTGGGCTGCATGCGGCCTGTGGGCTGTGGGTGGGACAAGCTTGCTTTAGAGGGGACATGGCCCTGACGACACCTCAATTTCAGATTTCTAGCCTCCAGAACTGTGAGAGGATAAACTTCTGTTGTTTTAAGCCACACAGTTTGTGGTAATTTATTATAGCAGCCCTAAGAAACCAATACCCTGTGAAATAGTCATTCATTCATTTGACATCTGTTCTATTAATCATCAACTTACAATGCATCTGTCTCTGTTTAGGTAAAGTGAAAAGATGGAACTGGTCCCTTTCCTCTTGGAAACTCACAATTAAACTAGTCAATGACTGTTGGCTCTTCTGAGTCTATAGAATCTGAGGGTTCAAATGGGCCTTAGGTGTTACCTGTCTACATTTACCCCACACTCATAATGATTGAATCTCCAAAAGTACTTTTCCAGTCTCTGCGTATAGTCTCATAGAATGGGGAATCACTTCTCCCTAGAGATGGTCCCCAATACTTCTATAGACTTTGACTCAGAAAATTCTCAGGCTGATGCTGGGCGTGGTGGCTCACGCTTGTAATTCCAGCACTTTGAGAGGCTGAGGCGGCAGATCATGAGGTCAAGAAACCCCGTCTCTACTAAAAATACAAAAATTAACTGGGTGTGGTGGCGTGCGCCTGTAGTCCCAGCTACTTGGGAGGCTGAGGCAGGAGAATCACTTAAACCCGGGAGGCAGAGGTTGCAGTGAGCTTAGATTGCGCCACTGTACCCCAGCCTGGTGACAGAGCGAGACTCCATCTCAAAAAAAAAAAAAAAAAAGAGAAAAGAAAGTTCTCAGGCTGGGTGCAGTGGCTCATGCCTGTAATCCCACACTTTGGGAAGCTGTGGTGGGTGGATAACTTGAGGTCAGGAGTTTGAAACCAGCCTGGCCAACATGGTGAAATCTCATCTCTACTAAAAGTACAAAACTTAGCTGGGTGTAGTGGTGTGCGCCTGTAGTCCCAGTTACTCAGGTGGCTGAGGCAGGAGAATTGCTTGGATCTGGGAGATGGAGGTTGCAGGGAGCCAAGATCACACCACTGCACTCCAGCCTGGGTGACAGAGTGAGACTCCATCTCTGGATCTTAGTAACATTTACCTGTTGATCCTGGTTTTCCTCGTTGAGTTAACAAAGTTTGATCCCTCTTCCCCAGAAGAGCTTATTACTTATTGGAAAACAGTAGCTGTCACTCTCTTGATGCACGTTCAATTCTAGGTAGTGCTTCTTTTACCAGCAGGCTCTCCTCTGCGAGAAAACCTTGTATCCTTAATAGTAATAATAGACACAGCTGACATTTATAAGGACTTATTACGTATTAAGCATCATGCTAAGTGTTTGGCATACATTATCGAATTTGATCCCCATAATAAGTCTATGAGGAGAGTACTATTAGCCTCATTTAATAGATGAGGAAATTGATGGTTAGAGAGGGCAAGGAATGTACAAGAAGTTGTGCAGTTAGATAAGCATTGAAGTAAGGATTTTTTTGAGACAAAGTCTTGTTCTGTCACCCAGGCTGGATTGCAGTAGTATGATCACGGCTCACTGCAGCTTCTACCTTCTTGGGCTCAGGTGATCCTCCCACCTCTGCCTCTTGAGTAACTGAAATCACAGGTGTATGCCACCACACTTGGCTAATTTTTGTGGAGACTGGGTTTCACCATGTTGCCCAGGCTGGTCTCCATCTCCTGGACTCAAGACATCTACTCATCTCAGTCTCCCAAAGTGCTGGAATTAACAGGCGTGAGCCACCATTCCTGGCCTGGAGTAAGGATTTTTATCAGATTAGATTCCATGTTCTGATCCAACTGCACTGCCTCTCATTGCCTGAGAACCTGGGGTTATCTTGGGAATACCGTTGCCTTACCGTGAACCTGCTTTTGTCTCTCTGGATGCAGGAAGGACCATCAGAGCACTCCACCTGTGCAGTATGGGGAACTGCAGGCTTTGCTAGAAGCCATGCTAAACCGATGTGCGGAGTTTTCCCAGACCTTGCTGAGCAGGAGGCCCCTGGTCAGTGTACTGCAGCCTGCTGCTTCCGAAGATCATGCTGCAGTGTGTTTTTAGAAAGATAATTAGTATATTCCCTTACTTTTGTATGCTATTTCATGACTTTTTCTCATGCACACATGGCTACAATGAGATGCTTTTTCCCTAATAGCAGAACTATGAAGCTTAAGGATTACTATTGTCATTTTTACAGATGGGGAAACTAAAGCCACGAGGGTTAAATAATTTTTCTCTAAGGTCCAAAACTATAAAGTACCTAAGCCTAGAACAGTAAATTCCAGGGTGTTTTTACCCCAGTCTATTACACACATTCTCTGTTTATATCATATAAGCAGATAGGGTAAACATGCTCACAAAATTATTTAAGTCTGAATTCACTAGAATCTTAGAATCTGACCAATGTGCCATGTGTTGTAGCTGCTGGCTTTTAATAGCCTGTAGACTTAAGATATCAGGAAAGACACTGTCAGTGTGAATGTTGATTATGTCTTTCAGGATTAACTTTGGAAACTAAGCTCTTTACACCTGATGGAGTGGGGATTTTCTTGTGTTTTAGAGCAACTAATAGGGCCATTATAGTCAAGCTAATGCCCACTAGCCTGTGACAGCTTTCTGCATATAATAGACCAATAGTCATTCCTGTGGTTCAGAGAGACTGTAGGTTAGGGTCCCTCCAACACTGCTACCATTTTTTTTTTTCCCGAGATGGAGTCTTACTCTGTGGCCCCAGTCTGGAGTGCAGTGGCACGATCTCGACTCACTGCAACCTCCGCCTCCCGGGTTCCAGTGATTCTCCTGCCTCAGCCTCCCGAGTAGCTGGGATTACAGGCATGCACCACCACACCTGGCTAATTTTTGTAATTTTAGTAGAGACAGGGTTTCACTGTGTTGGCCAGGCTGGTCTCGAACTCCTGACCTCCACCTCGGCCTCCTAAAGTTCTGGGATTACAGGCATGATCCACTGCGCTGGGCCCCTGCTACCATTTTTTTTTATTCTGAGACGGAGTCTTGCTCTGTTGCCCAGGCTGGAGTGCAGTGGTGCGATTTTGGCTCACTGCAACCTTCGCCTCCGGGGTTCAAGCAATTCTCCTGCCTCAGCCTCCCTAGTAGCTGGGACTACAGGTGCCCGCCACCATGCCTGGCTAATTTTTTTTGTATTTTTAGTAGAGACGGGGTTTCACTATGTTAGCCAGGATGGCTACGATCTCCTGACCTTGTGATCTGCCTGCCTTGGCCTCCCAAAGTGCTGGGATTACAAGCGTGAGCCACCATGCCCAGCTTTGCTATGATTTTTTTTTTTTTTTTTTTTTTTTTTTTTTTTTTTGAGACGGAGTCTCGCTCTGTCGCCCAGGCTGGAGTGCAGTGGCGGGATCTCGGCTCACTGCAAGCTCCGCCTCCCGGGTTCACGCCATTCTCCTGCCTCAGCCTCCCAAGTAGCTGGGACTACAGGCGCCCGCCTCTACGCCCGGCTAATTTTTTTGTATTTTTAGTAGAGACGGGGTTTCACCGTTTTAGCCGGGATGGTCTCGATCTCTTGACCTCGTGATCCGCCCGCCTCGGCCTCCCAAAGTGCTGGGATTACAGGCGTGAGCCACCGCGCCCGGCCTATGATTTTTTTAAAGGAGCTATTTGCAAGGATATAGCCAAGATCTCTTGGAAAGTTAGGTGTATGGGAATGTCAGACTGCAGTGTGAGAAGAAGAGGTCTACAGTCATCCAAGCATAGACTGAGACACAGCATATACTTGATCACTAGGTTCCTGTCTCTCCTTCCCACCTCAGGGCCATGCCTCCAGTAGAGATTCAGAGAAGGCCATTCTTCAAAGGGGAAAGTTCCTCCTCAGCACTCTGGAGGGATTTAGAAGTGCCTGCAGGTGAGGGGCCCTCTGAGGTATGAAGTAATAGCATGGAAGGTAGGGGTGGAAGGGATTCAGACAATGGGTGAAGTTCTAGAGGCAACACTTGATTTCTGATACTCTGCTGTATGGCAAAGAGGACTTTGGCTGGGGTAGGGGTTGGGGGTGTGTGGAGGAGGCTTGAGGACAGGCAGCTAGGGGTAGGACCTTTCTAAAGATTCCTTCCTCATGGAGTTTTTGCTACTGTGCCATGAGGTTGTGTCTTATTCACCTTCGTTCCCCACCACCCCCCAACTAGCCTAGCACTACAGGTATTCACTGAATGGTTGCTAAATTAATTCAGTTTACATTAACAAATGTTTGTTGTATCTACTGTGTGCCATGCCTGATGCTAGACAGTGAGGCTAGAAAGAAAAGTCAGAATGGCTCCTGCCCTCAAGGAGCTCACAGTCTCTTGGGGAAGAGATGCTTTTTGGTATATATGTGGGATTTGTTGGGTTTTCAAGAATCCGGGGAAGGTATTCCAGATAGAGAGAGCAGCATATTTAAAGGCAAATGAATGGGAAATAGCAAATAGCATGGCATATTCGGGGAAATACACACAATGGGGTAGAAGTACACATAGTTGGGGGAGGGGGTAGGGAGCAAGAATCTGGAGAGATAGCCAGGGATCAAGTCCTCTCCTCATTGTGGTCTATTGAATTTTCTCCCAGTCTGATAATAGAGATACTTTCCCTGGACCCTGAGCACAGGCACTCCCCGCCACCCCCCAGGAAGCTGTTTGTAACCTTTAGGTTGCATAGGTGGTAGTGGATATACTCACACATTGATTTCTTAGGTTGGCTATAGAATTCCAGAGTGAGCCTTCAGCCCAGGAGAATCCATTCACAGCTCCCAGCGCCAAGAAGGAAGACACCTTGGAGGCCTTCTCAGAATTTCTTCTCAGTGCCTGTGACTCGCTGTGTATCCCCATGGTGATGGTGGGTTCTCCTGAGCCACGGGCAACATGAAGCTTGGGGAAGAGAAGAATGTGCAGGCGAGCCAGGCTCAGAGGCATAAGGCAGTGACTGCTCAAAGGAACTCTCTGGGGGCCTCAGCAGTGCAATTCTTGCTGCTACCTTTCCTTTGTTCTAAAAATAAAATGTAGTGTTTGATTATGAAACTAACAGGTTCATCTTAAGAAAAAATAGAAAGCAGTAATAATAAAATAATAAGTGGGTAAGTTTATGGAGTGGAAAGTGCCTAATATTCACTATCTGATTTAGTTCTCCCAATGACCCTGGGAGATGGATGCTATAATTTGCCCTAATTTACAGATAAGTTTGTCATATTTCTGTAGTTATAAAGCAAGCCCATAACGTGCTGAGATTGAACCTATGACTTCAGGTCCCCTAGCTTTTCTTGTGTCTTTAATAATGAGCAGCAGTGAATGTCTGTGATCCAGGTGTTAACAAGGAACATGTATGTGTGTTCTGTAAAATGAGAGATGGCCACTCTGAAGAGAGACTTGATCCTTGATCCTGAAGAGCTTCATTTTGAGCTGACTTGAGGTTGAGATGGTGGGAAGAGCAGGGCCAAGAGCTGCTGACTCTGGGTAACCTTGGATGAGTAACCTCCTGCTTGAGGTTTGGGCATCCTATGAGCCTGTGAGGAGTCCCTGTTAGTCGGGAAAGGGCAACTCCTAACCATTTACTGGGAACAGTAGGTGGCAGCAGGGAGGCACCTCTGGCTCTGCACCAGCGAGGCTCTCTTCCTTGAAGAAGCCATTGAGCTGGAGTCTGCAGGAGGTAGTGGTCAGGAACCCTGGACTGTGGCCCTGACTTAACCCACTAACAGTAAGACTTGGGCAACTCATCGCAGTTTACTCACCTGCCCTGCCTTCCTCCTAGATTTTTGAAGTGTTAGAGCTAAATCTAGAAGTAGATCATAGAATTATTGTATTAGTCCTTCTTTCTACTTTTCTGTATTTTACACATTTTCTTTAATGAGCATATATTACTTTTATAATAATAATAATAATAAAACAACCAAACTTGCTCTAAAAATGAAAGGAAAGGTGTCAACAAGAACAGTGCCTCTGAGGACCCAGCTGTTTACAGAAAGGGAACTGAGACTCAGGGAAGGGAGAAGGTGACTACCCAAGGGCACACTGTGGTGGCTATGTACAGAGCCTGAACTAGAACCCTGTTTCTTTTTTTTTTTTTTTAATTCAGAGCTGTGTTTACCACATAAGACTGCCTCATGACTCTTGAAGAATTACCTGAAGGCTGGTCTGAGTGCAATGGTATTTACAACTAATTGATCACAACCAGTTACAGATTTATTTGTTTCTTCTCCATTCCCCCTGCTTTACTTGACCAGCCTTAATAATAACGGGCCGGGTGCGGTGGCTCACACCTGTAATTCCAGCACTTTGGGAGGCTGAGGCAGGTGGATCACTTGAGATCAGGAGTTTAAGACCAGCCTGGCCAACATGGCGAAACCCCGTCTCTACTAAAAATACAAAAATTAGCCGGGCGTGATGGCGCATGACTGTAATCCCAGCTACCTGGGAGGATGAGGCAGGAGTATCGCTTGAACCCGAGAGGCAGAGGTTTCAATGAGCCGAGATCGCACCACTGATCGCCAGCCTGGGTGACAGAGCAAGACTCCGTCTCAAAGAATAAAAAAAACCCCACCCCCACCCCCCCAAAAAAAACAAATATGAAGGCAGTTTATAAACTATATTATTATTATTACTATCGTAATAGAAACATGAGAGTCACTCTGCATTATGGTTTAGAAAGCAGTTTTTACACACCAGACCACATTTGTTTCTGGAAGGGATATCTTGTTATTCCCACTTTAGTCTTGGGAACAGAAGCCCAAAGAGATAAAGTATCTAGTACAATCTATCAGGTGATCCAAGCCTTAGATGTAGGTTTGGACTTTAAGTTCCCTAGCTTTTGTTGTGTCTTTCAAGTGAAAGGAGTTGCTAGATTTGATGTGAGTTTTCTCTGATGCCTTTTCTTCAGAGGCTCAGTCCCCGTGGGCTGTGTTCTCTCTCCTGGTTCTTTGCAGAGACACTTGGAGCAGACCACCCACCCAGCTTTGATGGAAGTTTTCCTCTCAATTCTACATAACCTCTTTGTCATCGTTCCCCACATGAAGGAGAAGTTTTCCAAGAAGCTTGGTAGGCAGCAGGCAAATGTGGAGGTTGGGAGGGAGGCAAGCACCTTAGGCAATGCTCAGAGAGTATTCAAAGAGAGGATAAGTTGTGGGTGCACATTTACTAATTCATTCAGAATCTGTATCTATTCTTTGTCCAGTGATGAGTGAAAGGAAGTGTCAGGCAGCAATCAAAAGTCATTAAAGGGGCTGGGCGTGGTAGCTCATGCCTGTAATCCTAGTGCTTTGGGAGACCAAGATGGGAGGATCACCTGAGGCTAGGAGTTTGAGACCAGCTTGGACAATACAGTGAGACCCCATCTCTAAAAAAAGATTAAAGAAAAATTAGCTGAGAGTTTTCAGTAACATTAGCGACTAATTATTAATAATAACTAACATTTAAGTTCTTACAGTGTGTGAGACTGTTTTAAGTGCTTTGCATGTATGGACTCATTTAGTCCTCAGAAAAACCCTAGGAATTGTCTATTATGATTGTACTCATTCCACTGATGAGCAAACTGAATCTCAGAGAGGTTAAGTAACTTGCCTAAGGTCACACTATAAGTGGTATGCCCAGGATTCAAATCCAGGGAATCTGACTGTAGAACATGCTTTTTTTTTTTTGTCTGAGATTGAGTCTCGCCCTGTTGCCCAGGCTGGAGTGCAGTGGTACGAACTTGGCTCACTGCCAGCTTCGCCTCCCAGGTCATGCCATTCTCCTGTTTCAGCGTCCTGATTAGCTGGGACTACAGGCGCCCGCCACCACGCCCGGCTAATTTTTTTGTATTTTTTAGTAGAGACGGGGTTTCACCGTGTTAGCCAGGATGGTCTCGATCTCCTGACCTCGTGATCTGCCCGCCTCGGCCTCCCAAAGTGCTGGGATTACAGGCGTGAGCGACCGCCCAGAACATGCTTTCTTAATCTCTGTGCTATATTTGGCTCTTATCATTATAATTTAATGTTTTTTCTTTTATTCTTGTCACATGGCATGCAACAAATGTTGTGCAACAAGTCTACTGTGGAGAGGCAGCCAGGGCTCAGCCATGTAGGCCCTTGTTGGCCATGTGAGGAATTTGGATTTTTTTCTTTTTTTTTTTTTGAGACAGAGTTTAGCTCTTGTTGCCCGGGCTAGAGTGCAATGGCACGATCTCGGCTCACCGCAACCTCCGCCTCCCGGGTTCAAGTGATTCTCCTGAGTCAGCCTTCCAAGTAGCTGAGATTACAGGCATGTGCCACCATGCCCGGCTAATTTTGTATTTTTAGTAGAGATGGGGTTTCTCCATGTTGGCCAGGCTGGTCTCAAACTCCCCACTTCAGGTGATCTGGCCACCTTGACCTCCCAAAGTGCTGGGGTTACAGACGTGAGCCACCACGCCTGGCCTGGAATTTGGATTTTATCCTAGGAGTTTTGTTGAGTTTTAAAGAAGTGGAGTAACATGTTCAGATTTCTGTTTCAGAAAGATCTTTCTTGGAGCAGTGTGGACTATGAGTTAGAGGGAGGCAGATTGGAGGCATGTATCTCAGCCTCTTGCATTAACTCAGGTTGGTGGTAGGAACTAAGGTAGTGTTGGGGCATGGAATAGCTGGATGTAGGGCTTGAAAGAGAGGGAACAGTTCAAGGTAATGCCTGGCTTCTGGCTGGCTTCTATGTGGATGGTGGTGTGTTTAACTGAGAGAAGGCTCACTGGGGGAGGATCTGGTTTGGGGGGGTCAGTAGAGGGTATGGTCAGTTTGGGTCAGGGTGAAAGTGAGATGTTCCAGTGAAGATGTTAGGTGGGTAATTGACTGTGTCTGAAGACAAGGGAGAGATCTGGGATTTAGATATAGGTATAGAAATCTTCAGCATCCAGCCTTTCATTCATTCAACAAATATTGGGCACCTACTGCATGCAAGATATAGGCTAGGGCTGGAGATCTAGCAGTGAACAAAACAGACCCCTGTCCTTGTGAGGCTGACTCCTCAGTGGGGATCAGGTGAGATTCTTCAAAGTTGAGGGTGTAAAATGAAATGATGAAAGAAGCCAAGACAAAATTGAGCATTTAATGGTCAGGAGGAGGAGAGGTACGAGCATTTGGAGAGGTAGGAAGGAAACCAGAAGGGTACGATATTAAGGAAGCCAAATGAAGAGAGTTTTGTGGATTGGGGAGTAGTCAGGAGTGTGAAAGGCATCCCAGAAGTCAAGTAAGATGAAGATTGAAAAATGTCCATTGGACTTGGCTTCATGGCAGCTTTTGGCCACATTGGCCGGAGCAGCTTCTGTGGGAGTGGTTGGAATGGAAGCCAGACCAGAGTGAGTTAAGGAATGAGTGCAAGATGAGGCAGTAGAGACAGGATACACAACTATTTTAACAAGTTTGGTGTGTGGGGAAGGTGAGAAATGGGGGTGTGAGTAGAGGGGAACATGGAATCAGGAAGGATTTTTTCTACCCCCTAAGATTGGAAACACTTACCTGATTAGCTGCTGATAGGAAGGAGCAGTAGAGAGACTGGTTGTTAGCCCATGTGAGTTGGAATTCTTCTCACCTCTCTTACTTGTTTATTGAGATTGTACAAATTAATTTTCTTATCTCCAGTGTCCTTAGCTAGAACATGGTGATAATAGTGAGAATTAAACAAGATGATGCATATAGATTTCCTGAAGACTGCATCCCTCAGCCATTGTGATAACTGATACACACTTCTTTCCTTCCTTCTAACATTCTTCCTGCCTGCCATACTTCCGGACCCAAGAGGATCTAGTCTTGGGGCGCTGGATGGGAGGCAAGTGTAGATCTCTTGGGGGCAGTGGTGGGGAATAGGGGATGTAGAAAAAGGCTGTGAGATCTGTAGGGAGATCTGTGTAGCATGAAGCCAGGTAGCACAGGATCAGAGGCTCAACCTGCAAGAGGGAGGAGGGAAGCAGGCACTGCCAGCCAGGAATGGTATGGAGACTTGGAGTAGGAGGGTGGAGAAACTCTGGATCCCTGAGAGATTGGGCCAAGAGGAGCCCATCTGGAAGGGAAGCTTGGTGCCCCTTCCTGGGAAAGTCATGGGTTAAATTGTTGCCCCAGAGAGTTGCTGTGAAACCCTGAGGGATTCCCTGTCAGCTGCTTTAGCCCCAGGATAAAATACAGATTATTCCCAACCCAGGGGCTGGTGAAGTGGGAGCTTCTGATGTCGTCTTTATCTAGGATTCTGCTTTTACAGTGGCCCAGGGAAGGCAGAACAGAGGTTAGTATTGACTGAAAGCCTTACTGGGGAGACTGGGAGGAGCCAGCAGCACAAAGGCCTGGGCCAGGGTCAACAGCTAAGGCAGAAACTGCTGGCTGGGTGCAGTGGCTCACGCCTGTAATCCCAGCACTTTGGGAGGCCAAGGTGGGCGGATCACCTGAGGTCCGATACCAGCCTGACCAACATATAGAAACCCTGTCTCTACTAAAAATACAAAATTAGCTGGGCGTGGTGGCGCGTGGCTGTAATCCCAGCTACTCAGGAGGCTGAGGCAGGAGACTCGCTTGAACCTGCGAGGCGGAGGTTACAGTGAGCCAAGATCGTGCCATTGCACTCTAGTCTGGGCAACAAGCGTGAAACTCCATCTTAAAAAAAAAAAAAAAAAGGCCAGGCGCAGTGGGTCACACCTGTAATCCCAGCACTTTGGGAGGCCGAGGTGGGTGGATCATGAGGTCAAGAGATCAAGACCATCCTGGCCAACATGGTGAAACCCCATCTCTACTAAAAATACAAAAATTAGCTGGGTATGGTGGTGCGTACCTGTAGTCCCAGTTACTCAGGAGGCTGAGGCAGGAGAATCACTTGAACCCGGGAGGTGGAGGTTGCAGTGAGCTGAGATCATGCCACTGCACTCCAGCCTGGCGACAGAGTGAGGCTCCGTCTCAGGAAAAAAAAAAAAAGAAAAGAAACTGTTATTGGACCTCTGTTCTGAGAATCAATTGCTTTCAACAGACAATTCAGAGATGAGAATAAAATAGTAACTACTGTTCTTTCTGCATCTGAAACTGGATTGTTTTCTATAAAACTGAAAGAAGGGATAGAAGGAGCAGATGTGCCCTTCCTAGGTCCTTGTCAAATGTACCAAATTGTAGTGGAGGATCATTCAGAATGGAAGAAAATGAACACTTATTGCAGCACTTACTTTGAGCCAAGTATTTGTTAGATGTTCTCCATACATTTATCTTACTTAGCTTTACAACACCCTGTGAGGTACAAATATCAAAACTGAGTCTCAGAGAAGTTAAAAAACTTTTCCGGAGTGAAACTACTAGACAGTGGTGGAGTACATTTTGAACCAAGTCTGTGTAACTCTGAAACCAGAGCTTTTTGATACCACCCAGGCTTGGGACTCTCTGTGACAAGTCTGGTTTAAACTGCTCTCTGCTTTATTCCCACTTCTCTGAAGCTTCCTCATCCTTCATACGACTGACCCTGGAGCTGAAGGCCAGGTTTTGCAGTGGTCTGAGGTATGTGTGGTCCCAGGCAAGATTGAGTGGCCAAGGGGCCAATGTCCCTCTTGATGGGACAAGTGGGAATTGTTGGCTGGTGTGTTTTAGTCATGGGCTCATGGTGGTGTTGACATAGTGTCAGCATTGCTCAGCATCTGGTGCAATAAGCTGGTCATGCTTCTGTAGGTTGTATTGAATCTAACGTGGTAAGGATCTTATTCCTGGTGATACTTGGATGGGTACCTGTCACATCAAAACTGGGAGAGGCCTGGTGCAGTGGCTCATGGCTGTAATCCCAGCACTTTGGGAGGCCAAGATGGGAGGATTGCTTGAAGCCAGCAGTTCAAGATCAACTTGGGCAGCATAGCAAGACCCTGGTCTCTACAATTTTTTTTTTTTTTTTGAGATGGAGTCTTGCTCTGTCACCCAGGCTGGAGTGCAGTGGTACAATCTTGGCTCACTGCAACAACCGCCTCCTGGGTTCAAGCAATTCTCCTGCCTCAGCACCTGAATAGCTGGGATTACAGGTGCTTGCCACCATTCCTGGCTAATTTTTGTGTTTTTAGTAGAGATGGCCAGACTGGTCTCAAACTCCTGACTTGAGGTGATCCGCCCGCCTTGGCCTCCCAGAGTGCTGGGATTACAGGCGTGAGCCACCGTGGCTGGCCACAAAAGTTTTGTGTTGTTTTTTTTTTAATTAGCCAGACCTGGTGGTAACACACCTTTAGTCCCAGATACTCAGGAGGCTGAGGCGAGAGGATCCTTGAGCTTATGAGGTCAAAGCAGCAGTGAGCTATGATCGCATCCCACTCTAGCCTGGACGACAGAGTGAGACCTTGTTTCTAAAAAAACACAAAAAGCCCCAAAAAACGCTTTCAGAGATCATTTGTTTAACCTCTTATTTAAATGAGGAAACTGGCCGGGTTTCCTCCGCCTTCTGAGTTCAAGTGATTCTCCTGCCTCAGCTTCCTGAGTAGCTAGGATTACAGGTGTGTGCCACCACGCCAGGCTAATTTTGTATTTTTAGTAGAGACAGGGTTTCACCATGTTGGTCAGGCTGGTCTAGAACTCCTGACCTCAGGTGATCCACCAGCCTCAGCCTCCCAAAGTGCTAGAATTACAGGCATAAGCCACTGTGCCCAGCCCCATATTTACTTTTCATAGCCACCTTAAGACCTCCTCTGCCACGGCCATGGCTAGAATTTCACTAGCCTCTGGCACAAAGCAGTGGTGCCCAGGCATATGGCAGGGATAATGCTCTCCCAGCCAAAGTAGCAATGTCATCTCTTCTATTCTTTCTTCTTCTCCCTCTAAGTCACTCAGCCCTAAACCAGGTGTGTTCCAATTTCCTCTACTATATGTGCCTCAACCTTCTCTCAGCTCCAGAGAAGACAGGACCACCTTCCAAAGAAGGTAAGATGCTACAATTTGACCACTCATGTGGCCTGTGCTGGTCTTTAGAGTCTGGGTGCCTTGCTGATTGACTAGATAGTGAGTTAGTACAGCCACGAGATTTCTTTGCCTGAGGCTGCCCAGAGGAATCGGAGTGATGCAATTATAGGTTGATTCCTAGGGATATGAAGTAATAGAACTGGAAAATGATGGAACCCAAGGCTCCTGGCACCTTAGAGTTGAGAAGGATCCTAATGTTCATCAAGTCCAGTTCCTTCTTCCTGACAGTCTCCTCTGCAACATCCCCATACCATAGGCCTCAGGAGTCCAGTGTTCACTATAGCATTAATAGTGTGTTCTATTTCTTCATTCATTCAAGTAGTGTTTCTTTTTTCTTTTTCTTTTTCTTTTTGTTTTTCTTTTATTTTAAGACAGTCTCGCTCTGTTGCCCAGGCTGGAGTGCAGTGGCATGATCTCAGCTCACTGCAACCTCTGCCTTCCAGGTTCAAGTGAGTCTCCTGCCTCAGCCTCCCAAGTAGCTGGGATTACAGGCTCCTGCCACCACGCCTGGCTAATTTTTGCATTTTTAGTAGAGACGGGCCTTCACCATGTTGGCCATGCTGGTTTCAAACTCCTGACCTCAGGTAATCTGCCTCGGCCTCCCAAAGTGCTGAGATTACAGATGTGAGCTACCGTGCCCAGCCAAGAGGTGTTTCTTGAGCACCTGTTGTGTGTCAGACTCCATTCCAGGTGCTGGTGAAAGAGCCAGGGATACAAAGCCCTGCTGTCATAAATTGAAACAGGCAGGCAATAAGCAAATGCATACTATGTCAGAGATCCATAGGCACTATGAAGAAAATAAAACTGGGCAAAAGGATAGAGAGTGATAGAAGGAGGAGAGAGACATGTTAGATAGGGTGGTCAGGGAAGGCCTCCATGTGGAAGTGGTATGTGAGCAGAGGTCTGAGTCAAGTAAAGGAAAGCCATGCAGAATCTAGGCAGGAGGAACAGCAGCTGCAGGGCTGAGAGCTGGAAGTTTTTCCTCTTGTTGAACATTCATTGAGCTTCTGCTACCTGCCAGGGGAGGCCTAGGTACTGCTGTGGATAGAGCGATTATAACAGTATGTTATTTGCCCTGAGGGGTTCCTCTATCTTAGACCTGTCTCCTGATATAATAGAAAACAGTTTAATAATTGTTTCATCATTCATTCAACAAATATACCTCTGTGGGTAAGACCTAGTTCTGGCTCTTTTCCCCCTTATTATATTTGTGAAGATTCTGTGTCCTCTCCCCCACTCTCTACACCTGCTGCTCTCTTTTATCTTTCCCAGACATCATGCTGAGAGGGAGCAAAGCCCAGGTGAGCATTTTTATTGCTTCCAACATAGCTTGGCTACTGGTTCTCTCACTATGCTGGCTACTCCTTTCTGCAATCTCCCTGTTAAGGCATGATCTGGCCTGCAGAGAGAATAGCATGATTTCTGCCATGTAGCCTAAGACTATTGGCAGTCACATCACCATCACCTCTCATGCTCATAAGTGCCTGCTCCACTGCTTCTGGCAGTTCCCTTGCTTGTCAAACCAAGGGGAGCCCCACACATCTCCTGCCTTAAACACTGGGGCTTCTTAAATCTCATTGTGCCAGGAAATGCAGCACATCTCTCATAACATTCAGACTGCTTTCTTTTATATATCAGGAGAAAGGCAGGTGGATGTGTGTGGCTGAAGGATATTTGTTTCATTATTATTATATTGATGAGAGCATGCTTTGGTGGACAAGCACTGAACTTGGAATTAGGAGAGCTGACCTGGCTCTGCTACCAAATTGCTGTGGGACATGCGCTATCCTCACCCTCTGCTTGCCCAGGACTTGGCCCTGGCAGGATGGATTCTTTCGGTTGACCTTCAACTGAGGTCCTGTCTTTCAATCTCTCATCCACTCACTGCTGGAAGGATTATCTGAAAACAAAGTCTTAACATCTTAACTCCCCTGGCTTTCAGCTGTGGTCTCCACACATCAGTCTGTGGAGTAGTGTCAAATAGTGATGAAGTTTTCTCTGGTCCATGGTGAAATGTGGAACATAAGGATAAAGTTGACTTTATTTAGGTTTTTTTGTTTGTTTTGTTTTTTGAGGCAGAGTCTCAGTCTGTTGCCCAGGCTGGAGTTGAGTGATGTCAGCTCACTGCAACCTCCACCTCCCAGATTCAAGTGATTCTTGTGTCTCAGCCTCACGAATAGCTGGGACTACAAGCATATGTCACCATGCCCAGGTGATTTTTTTGTATTTTTAGTAGAGATGGGGTTTTGCCATGTTGGCCAGGCTGGTCTTGAACTCCTGGCCTCAAACAATCTACCTGCCTTGGACTCCAAAGTGCTAGGATTACAGGTGTGAGCCACCGCACCTGGCCTTTATTCAAATTTTAAACTCTGAAGTCAGTCTTTTTCTTTCCTTTTTTTTTGTTTTGGGACAGCGTCTTGTTCTGTTGCCCAGGCTGGAGTGCAGTGGCGTGATCTCGGCTCATTGCAACCTCCACCTCCCGGGTTCAAGCAATTCTCCTGCGTCAGCTTCCTGAGTAGCTAGGACTACAGGCACTTGCCACCACGCTTGTCTAATTTTTGTATTTTTAATAGAGACAGGGTTTTGCCATGTTGGCCAGGCTGGTCTCGAACTCCTGACCTCAGGTGATCCACCTGCCTTGGTTTCCCAAAGTGCTGGCATTACCGGCTTGAGCCACCACGCCTATCCTTCTTTCCTGTTCTTTTGGTATTAAAATATTCTTTCTTTTATGAAACCGTTTTCGTAAGAAATCTAGAAGTCTCTGCCCTCAGGATGAAGTCCCAATTCCTTAAGTGGCATTTGCTTAAAGGTCTTTCACAGTCCAACTGCAGATTACATCACATAGTTCCCCAGCTTCTGACACCCCACATCTATTCACTGACTATCCAGTGACACTGAATGGAAACATGGCATGTCTTCTCATGCCTTCAGGCCTCTGAACACCTTGCTTCCTTTTCTCTTTTCTCCTGTCGCTGCCTCTTTTCTCCTCACCCTCCACAGTTTGTTTCTTTCTTTCTTTCTTTTTTTGAGACGGAGTCTCGCTCTGTCGCCCATGCTGGAGTGCAGTGACATGATCTCGGCTCACTGCAGGCTCCGCCTTCTGGGTTCACGCCATTCTCCTGCCTCAGCCTCCCAAGTAGCTGGGACTACAGGGGCCCGCCACCTCGCCTGGCTATTTTTTTGTATTTTTAGTAGAGACGGGTTTTCACCGTGTTAGCCAGGATGGTCTTGATCTCGTGACCTCGTGATCCGCCAGCCTCGGCCTCCCAAAGCTTGCTTTCTTTTTTCTGAGATGGAGTTTCGCGCTTGTCATTCAGGCTGGAGTGCAATGGTGCCATCTCAGCTCACTGCAACCTCTGCCTCCCAGGTTCAAGCGATTCTCCCACCTCAGCCTCCCAAGTAGCTGGGATTACAGGCGCCCGCCATCATAGCCGGCTAATTTTTGTATTTTTGTAGGGACGGGGTTTCACTATGTTGGCCAAGCTGGTCTTGAACTCCTGACCTCAGGTGATATACCCTCCTCAGCCTCCCAAAGTGCTGGGATTACAGCCTGGCCCACAGTTTCTTCCTCTTTGACCTTTCCTTCCCCATGCCAGGCAGCCTGAGTCACTCCCTCCTCAATATAGCGCTGATCACATGTCCTGCAATTGCCTGTCTCATTATGTGTCTCTTCCCATCAGCTGCCAGTTCCTGGAGGTAGGGCCTGGGTCTCACAGCCTGTCCTGAGTAGTAGCCACTCAATGAACATATGTCAAATGAATGAAAGAATGAATGTTTTTGGGAGGCCAAGGTGGGTGAATCACCTGAGGTCAGGAGTTTGAGACCAGCCTGGCCAACATGGCAAAACCCTGCCTCTACTAAAAATACAAAAAATTAGCTGGGCGTGGTGGTGGGTGCCTGTAATCACAGCTACTTGGGAGGCTGAGGCAGGAGAATTGCTTGAACCCAGAACGGGGAGGTTGCAGTGAGCCGAGATCATGCCATTGCACTCCAGCATGGGCAACAGAGCGAGACTCTGTCAAAAGAAAAACAAAACAAAAAAGGAATGAACGTTAATTTTTGAGACATATCCATGTCCTTCTGCTTGTGAAGTTTAGTCTTTCCCGGTAGGTTGAACCTTGCTCAAAGGAAGAGGAGCCTCTGATTTCCTTATTTCCCACTATACTGCATTTACCCTTGCTGCCCTGTGCAGTACTCTGCATGTAGTAGGTACTAATGTGCTGATTACCTGTTCTTCTATGTTCTCTGTGTGGCTTTCCTCTACTTATTCCCTCCCTAGAACTCTCTGCAGTGTCTGAGCTCCTGCAGCATGGGCTGCCCCAGATAAGCAGCAGGAGCCCTGAAAGCCTTGCCTTCCTGTCTGATCGCCAGTACATGGAGGGAGCTGCTCGCCAGAGACAGTACTGCATCCTGCTCCTCTTCTACTTGGCCTACATCCATGAAGACAGGTCAGTGCACAGAGGTGGGTGGCTGGTGGTGGGTCTTGGGACCTTCATCAGCAGTTCAGTTCAATAAATAAGGGCATCTCTCCAAGCCTGATGCTGGGCACTGGGGACACGGGGATAAGTAAGAAATGGGTTGTGTCCCTGAGAGGCTCATATCTTAGAAGTGGGTTAGAACAGGTGGGTAGACACTGTGCTGAGAGACAGAGGCCTAGAAAGCCAGTGAGTATTCCTTGCTATCCTTGAGGGTGTTGTTTGTCCACAGAAAAAAACTTCAGTAGGTTACTTTGGTTTTAATCATTACTGTTCAATTTATTACATTTTTAAAATCATGGCTGGGCATGGTGGCTCACGCCTGTAATCCCAATGCTTTGGGAGGCCAAGGTGGGCTGATCAGTTGAGGTCAGGAGTTCGAGACCAGCCTGGCCAACATGGCGAAACCCTGTCTCCACAAAACATACAAAAATTAGCCGGGCATGGTGTTGCACACCTGTAATCCCAGCTACTCTGGAGGCTGAGACAGGAGAATTGCTTGAACCCAGGAGACAGAGGTTGCAGTGAGCCAAGATTGTGCCACTGCACTCCAGCCTGGGTGACAGAGTGAGTGAGACTCCATTTCAAAAAGGATATAAAAATAAAAATAAAAGGGCTGTTCTTTCTTAAGCTGTAAGAAATAATTTGTTGGGCCGGGTGCAGTGGCTCACACCTGTAATCCCAGCACTTTGGGAGGCCGAGGCGGGTGGATCACCTGAGGTCAGGAGTTTGAGACCAGCCTGACCAACAAGGTGAAACCCTGTCTCTACTAAAAATACAAAAATCAGGCCGGGCGCGGTGGCTTACTCCTGTAATCCCAGCTCTTTGGGAGGCCGAGATGGGCAGATCACGAGGTCAGGAGATCGAGACCATCATGGCTAACAAGGTAAAACCCCGTCTCTACTAAAAATACAAAAAAATTAGCTGGGCATGGTGGTGGGTGCCTGTAGTCCCAGCTACTCGGGAGGCTGAGGCAGGAGAATGGTGTGAACCCGGGAGGCAGAGCTCTCAGTGAGCCGAGATCGTGCCACTGCACTCCAGCCTGGGCGACAGAGCGAGACTCCGTCTCAAAAAATAAATAAATAAATAAATAAATAAATAAAAATAAAAATACAAAAATCAGCCGGGCATGGTGGCAGGCGCCTGTAGTCCCAGCTACTCGGGAGGCTGAGACAGGAGAATTGCTTGAACCCAGGAGGTGGAGGTTGGAGTGAGCCAAGCTCATGCCACTGCACTCCAGCCTGGGTGTCAGAGTGAGTGAGACTCCATCTCAAAAAGGATATAAAAATAAAAGGACTGTTCTTTCTTAAGCCGTAAGAAATAATTTATTGGGCCGGGTACGGTGGCTCACATCTGTAATCCCAGCACTTTGGGAGGCCGAGGCGGGTGGATCACCTGAGGTCAGGAGTTTGAGACCAGCCTGACCAACAAGGTGAAACCCCATCTCTACTAAAAATACAAAAATCAGGCCGGGTGCAGTGGCTCACTCCTGTAATCCCAGCTCTTTGGGAGGCCGAGATGGGTGGATTACGAGGTCAGGAGATCGAGACCATCATGGCTAACACGGTGAAACCCCGTCTCTACTAAAAATACAAAAAAATTAGCCGGGCGTGGTGGTGGGTGCCTGTAGTCCCAGCTACTCGGGAGGCTGAGGCAGGAGAATGGCGTGAACCTGGGAGGCAGAGCTTGCAGTGAGCTGAGATCGCGCCACTGCACTCCAGCCTGGGCGACAGAGAGAGACTCTGTCTCAAAAAAAAATAAAAAAAAGAATAAAAAAAATAAAAATGAAAATACAAAAATCATCCGGGCGTGGTGGCAGGCGCCTGTAGTCCCAGCTACTGGGGAGGCTTAGACAGGAGAATTGCTTGAACCCGGGAGGCGGAGGTTGCAGTGAGCTGAGATCGTGCCACTGCACTCCAGCCTCGGTGACGGAGTGATACTCTGTCTCAAAAAATAAATAATTAATTAATAATAATAATTTATTGGCTGGGTGTAGTAGGACGAGCCGTAGACAGAACCTCTCAGACACCGAATTGTAGAAGGAAGGGCTTTATTCAGCTGGGAGCATTGGCAAGCTACTGCCTTAAAATCTGAGCTCTCCAAGTGCACAATTTCTGTCCCTTTCAAGGGCTCACAGCACTAAAGATTTCACATGAAAGGGTCGTGATTGATTTGAGCAAGCAAGGGGTACGTGGCAGGGGCTGCATGCACCGGCGGTCAGAGTGAAACAGAACAGAGCAGGGAGTTTCACAGTGTTCTTCCATACAATGCCTGAAATATATGTGTAACATCGGGTTCTAAGTCATGAGTTGATTTTTAACCGCTAGGTTTAAGCCAGGCAGGCCCAGGCCTGGTTTTGGGCCTGGCGCCGGGCTGCCTGGCTTTGATTTCACTTCTTTGTTTTTTTTCTTAAAACAGGTACTGAGTAGAAAACAATATAAAACAATATGAGAGGGTCTGTCTCTTCCCTCACGGGTGCGGTGGCTTACACCTGTAATCTCAGCACTTTGGAAGGCTGAGGTAGGTGGATCACCTGAGTTCAGGAGTTCAAGACCAACATGACCAACATGGTGAAACCCAGTCTCTACTAAAAATACAAAATTAGCTGAGTGTGGTGGCGAGCGTCTGTAATCCCAGCTACTGGGGAGGCTGAGGCAGGAGAATCACTTGAACTTGGAAGGCAGAGGTTGCAATGAGCTGATATTGTGCCATTGCACTCCAGCTTGGGCGACAGAGTGAGACTCAGTGTTTTTTTTTTGTTTTTTTTTTTTTGAGACGGAGACTCACTCTGTCGCCCAGGCTGGAGTGCAGTGGCCCAATCTCGGCTCACTGCAAGCTCTGCCTCCCGGGTTCACGCCATTCTCCTGCCTCAGCCTCCTGAGTAGCTGGAAATTCAGGTGCCCGCTACCACGCCCGGCTAATTTTTTGTATTTTTAGTATAGACGGAGTTTCACTGTGTTAGCCAGGATGGTCTGGATCTCCTGACCTCGTGATCTGCCCGCCTCGGCCTCCCAAAGTGCTGGGATTACAGGCGTGAGCCACTGCGCCCGGCCGACTCAGTCTTAAAAGAAAAAAAAAATTATTAAGGTAAAATTTACACAACATAAGCTTGACCATTTTAAAGTGAACAATTCAGTGGTATTTAATAGTACCTTTAAAATGCACAACCACCACCTTCATCTAGTTCTAGAACATTTCCATCACTGCAAAGCTGTCACTTCCGTTCCTCCTCCCCAGCTCCTGGCAATCAACAATCTGTTCTGTCTCTTTGGAGTTACCTATTCTGAATATTTCACATAGATGGAATCATACAGTGTGTGACTTTTTGTGTCTGGCTTCTTCCACTTAGCATATCATTTTAGAAGTCCATCCAGTGAGCATAATGTTTGTACCGTGTATCAGTACTTCATTCCTTTTATGGCTGATTAATATACCTTTGTATGTATACACCATAATTTGCTTTTATTCACCTATTGGTGGACATTTGGGCCTATCCACCTTTTGGCTATTGTGAATAGTGCTGTTGTAAACATGTGTGTACATGTATTTGTTTGAGTAGTGTTTTTAATTCTTTTTGGGTATATTCTCAATCCTCTCACCTTGGCCTCCTCAAATGCTACCATTACAGGCGTGAGCCACTGCACCTGGCCTCCTGTTTGCTGTCTTTTCGCTTTCTTTTCTTTCTTTCTTCCTTTCCTTTCCATTCCTGTCCTGTCCTATCCTGTCCTTTCCTCTTTTCCCTCCCCTCCCTTCACCTCCCTTCCTCTTACTTCCCCTCCCCTACTCTACCCTCCCTTTTTCCTTACCTTCCCCTTCCCCCTTCCTCTCCTTTCCTTTTGTATCTTGCTCTCTTACCCAGGCTGAATTGCAGTAGCACAATCATGGCTCGCTGCAGCCTCAACCTCCTGGGCTCCAGCGATCCTCCCATCTCAGCCTCCCATGTAGCTGGGACTATAGGCATGCGTCTACACAACCAGCTAATTTAACTGATTTTTTTTTTTTTTTTTGTAGAGAAGAGGTCTGACTATGTTGCCTAGGCTGGTCTCGAACTCCTGGCCTCAAGCAGTTCTCCCACCACAGCCTCCCAGAGTGCTGGGACTCTAGGCATGAGCCATCACACCTGGCCGTTTTCACTTTCTTAGTGGTATCTTTTAAGCACAAATGTTTTTAATTTTGATGACCTCTAATTTATCCATTTTTTTCTTTTGTCATTTATGCTTTTGGTGTTATATCTGTTAAATACACCACTGTTTAATGATAAATACAAGAAGAGAGGGGTGGAGCAGCTGCCAGAGCAGGGCCTTCTGAACCCCAGCAGTAGCACCCTTCTCTTTAACACTGCTGGTCCAGCTGGCAGATAGCTCACCTCCCAAGTGTGAATGAGGAGTATTTGGCCCCTAACTGAGCCTTGCACAAGGCACAGAACAATGTGATGTATATATATGGCAGTGCTTTGTAAGTATGTATAGCACACTGTTTGTCTAAGATGTCATTAGGCTGTGGGCATATTGGGGCAGGACAGTGGGCTGAGGAAGGATGCGGCCAGGCAGAATAGAAGAGCCCAGTGGCCTGCCAACTCTGCCTTTCTCACTCAGGCTTTTCTTGGTTGACAGGTTTGTCTCAGAGGCAGAGTTATTTGAGGCTGTGCAAAGCTTCCTCCTGTCGCTGCAGGACCAGGGCGAGCGCCCCCCACTGGTGGTCTTCAAAGCCTCCATCTATCTGCTTGCAATCTGCCAGGACAAAGACAATACACTACGTGAGGTATGGACCACAATGCCTGGGCTCCTTGTCCTTCTGTACCTCTTTACATTAGTGTTCCCTGGGAGACCATGATGATGATAGTGTATAGACAAGCGGGTGGTAGAGAGAGACAAAGCGGAGGTGTTAGGAGTGTGGAGAGGAGTAGGATGCAGACTCATACAGAGCCTGTATAATTTACCTAATTATCTCAGCCTTCCTGGGAGGAAGAGATTATTTGCATTCTACAGATAAGAAAATCGGGACTGAGGCTGGGCACGGTGGCTCACGTCTATAATCCCAGCACTTTGGGAGGCTGAGGTGGGCGGATCACTTGAGTTCGGGAGTGCAATGGTGTGATTTCGGCTCACTGCAACCTCCACCTTCTGGGTTCAAGCGATTCTCCTGCCTCAGCCAGGAGTTCAAGACCAGCCTGGGCAACATAGTAAGACCTTGTCTCTACAAAATATTAAAAATTAAAAAAAAACAACAACTCTTTGGTCACCTTTGGAGGATGCTATGCAACAAACTCATGTTTTTGAAAACTGGTAACCACAGGAAAAGAATCAAGCACTTAACCTATGTTTCCTATGTAATCTAATCTAACCCTTCAGAGTAACTGAATAGTTAATGAGGGGAAGTTTCCTTTTTTTTTTTTTTTTTTTTTGAGACGGAGTCTCGCTCTGTCACCCAGGCTGGAGTGCAGTGGCAGGATCGCTGTGGCAGGATCGCTGCTGACCACAACCTCCACCTCCTGGGTTCACGCCATTCTCCTGCCTCAGCCTCCTGAATAGCTGGGACTACTGGCGCCCGCCACCACACCCGGCTAATTTTTTGTATTTTTAGTAGAGACGGGGTTTCATCCTGTTAGCCAGGATGGTCTCAATCTCCTGACCTCGTGATCTGCCCGCCTCGGCCTCCCAAAGTGCTGGGATTACAGGCGTGAGCCACCGTGCCCGGCTGGAAGTTTCCTTTTATACAAGTATTTAAGTTAATAAACAGATAATGACAGAACTAGAATATTATTGTTTTGTAATCCCTAATTAATTAGTGGATCTAGGCAATGATCACCAGTGGCTGCTACTAGCACAAAGAGAGAGACAACAGGACATTGTGTGCCCAGGTGTGTCTTACTTGAAAACCCATTCACTTCCACTATGCCTTTCTGTTTCCACTCAAATTAAACCAGGTCTACTCTCATCACATTTGCCTCAACAGTAATCAAAAAGAGGCAAAATTAATAGTCAATGGAGGAAGAGTGCCTTTAGCTTTAGACTGAAGGGTCCACACTAAGGAACAGAAGCAATATTCTATGAAATAGGTGAGAGGTTCAGTGATGAATCAGACGTGGTCCTTGATTCCAGGAGTTTATAAGGAAGCTGGAGAGAGAAAACTTGTCCACACACAACCACCACGAAAGTGATCCAATAGCCTAATTAACAATGATCTGAGTCCCAGCAATCCACTTTCTTTAATAAACTGTTACCAGAAGAAGATACCAATACCTTAGAGCTCTTTGCTCCTGTACCAACCAGAGGTGGTACTAAGGAATGAGCCTTAGGAGTCAGTCAAGTCTGAGCTGGAGTCCGACTCCCGCATCAGTTAACTGTGTGACCTAGAGAAAGTTACTTGAACTTCAGTCTTGATTTTTTTTTTCAGAATACTAATAATGTTCATGACCTGAGAAGCCTTTGCTTCAAAATGAAAAGTTCTAATAATTGAACAACCAAGAGTCTTGCTCTTGTTTCCCAGGCTGGAGTGCAATGGCGCCATCTTGGCTCACTGTAACCTCCGCTTCCCAGGTTCAAGCAATTCTCCTGCCTCAGCCTCCCGAGTAGCTGGGATTACAGTGGGATTATAGGCATGTGCCACCACGCCCAGCTAATTATTGTATTTTTAGTAGAGACGGGTTTTCAACATGTTGGTCAGGCTGGTCTCTAACTCCTGACCTCAGGCGATCCACCCACCTCAGCCTTTCAAAGTGCTGGGATTACAGGCATGAGCCACCGTGCCCAGCCAGAAAATTTTTAAAAATTGGCCAGGTATGGTGGTGCGCACCTGTGGTCCCAGCTACTGGGAAGGCTGAGGTGGGAGGATTACTTGAGCGCAAGAGGTCGAGGCTGCAGTGAGCCATGTTCATGCCACCGCACTCCAGCCTGGGTGACAGAGTAAGACGTTGTCTCAAAAAATAAGATAAAATTTAGTATAAATATATAAAGGGCAACATACAATCACAACTTGATTTTTCTACTCAATTTTATTTTGATATTATTTCATCTTACAAAAAAATTTCAAGAACAGTTCAAAGACACCGATTAGCCAGATTCACCAATTTTTATTTTTATCTCATTTGCATTCTCTCTCTTCCCATCCCCACCCCCTTATTCTTTTTTTCTGAACCACTTGAAAATAATTTTCAGAGAGTCATTTTATTCATAAATACTTCAATTTGTATTTCCTAAGAATTAGGACTTTCTCTGTTACATAATCAGTGTACAGTGATCAAAATCAAGAAATTTAACATTG
Source organism: Homo sapiens (assembly GCF_000001405.40). Lineage (NCBI taxonomy): Eukaryota > Metazoa > Chordata > Mammalia > Primates > Hominidae > Homo > Homo sapiens. The sequence goes on from NC_000022.11 coordinate 41,765,824, forward strand.
TATATAATATTGTGTAATCCTTAGTCATCAATAGTCAAATTTCACTATACCAAAATGTTCTTTTTTTTTTTTTTTTTTTTTTTTTAGACGGAGTCTTGCTCTGTCGCCAGGCTAGAGAGTGCAGTGGCGTGATCTCGGCTCACTGCAACCTCCGCCTCCCGGGTTCATACCATTCTCCTGCCTCAGCCTCCTGAGTAGCTGGGATTACAGGCACCCGCCACCATGCCTGACTAATTTTTTGTATTTCTTAGTAGAGACGGGGTTTCACCGTATTAGCCAGGATGGTCTTGATCTGCCCGCCTCGGCCTCCCAAAGTGCTGGGATTACAGGCATGAGCCACCGTGCCGGCCATACGGTTTTTGTTTTTTGAGACAGAGTTTTGCTCTGTCGCCCAAGCTGGAGTGCAGTGGCGCGATCTCTGCTCACTGCAACCTCTGCCTCGGGTTCAAGCAATTATCCTGCCTCAGTGCCCCAAGTAGCTGGGATTACAGGTGCGTGCCACCATGCCTGGCTAATTTTTGTGTTCTTAGTAGAGACAGGGTTTCACCATGTTGGCCAGGCTGGTCTCGAACTCCTGACCTTCTGATCCACCCGCCTCAGCCTTCCAAAGTGCTGGGATTACAGGTGTGAGCCACCGTGCCTGGCTTACAATTCCTTCTATATTTTTTAGTTGGAATTCTACTGTATGGACGTTTTCTTTCTTTTTATTATTCATTTTACTCAATATTATTATTATTTTTCGAGACAGGGTCTTGCTCTGTCACCCAGACTGGAGTGCAGTGGTGTGATCACAACTCCCTGCAGGCTTGACCTCCTGAGCTCAAGCAATATTCCCACCTCAGCTTCCTGAGTAGCTGGTACCACAGGCATGCACCACTGCATATGCCTGGCTAATTATTTTTATTTCCTGTAGAGACGGACTGGTCTCAAACTCCTGGGCTCAGGCAATCCCCCTGCCTTAGCCTCCCAAAGTGCTAGGATTACAGGTGTGAGCCACTGCTCCTGTCTCCAGTATTATTTTTGAGAATTACTCGTGTAGATTCACGTTGCCCTAGTTTATCAGGAAGTTGTTCTGATTAGAGTGAAAAGAAAGGTTAGAAGGGAGGTGAAAGAGTTTAGAAGGCAGAACAGGGACCATCAAGCTACTGGAGGCAGGGAAGCTCTTTGTTCTGGGCAGCTGGTTGGGCTAAAGAGGTGTGGGTAGAGGAGCACCCTCCATGGTCACTGAGGTCCTTGGTGAGCAATGGGACTGCCTAGATGAGGTAGTGCTGCAAGGGGCACCTTCAGGAGGCTCGTGGACGTCTTCCCCATAAAATTTGCCTGCTAGCTCCCAGGCCTTTCCTTGGCTTCTGTCTCTGATGTCACCTTCTTTATGTGGTATCTTTATGAAAAGGCTTCCTTGGTACCATTTACCTGTGAATGCCCTTTATGTAGAAGCAGGGTAACCTTGTATACATGCATTGTGCAGAAAGGCAGGACTCCTGGGTCCACATTCTCGTTCTGTTGCTAATGTTCTGGGCCTTCCTGGCGAGATCTCCTTCCCTTTCTGGGCCTTGGGCAGAGTTATCTCTGAGATCCTTTCTGATTCTCATGGTCTTTGAGCCTTTGTGGAAGCAGTGGAGGAGATACACACTGATGTGTGTTAAGGTATGTGTCTGAGGATCCCCAATAGCCAGAGTGTGGGTGTCTCTGTGGGGATGGATATTTCAGAGTGTCAGGCCTTACTTATGCCTGGAAACTCTTCCTTTTCAGCAACTTCATTGCAGTTTGATCAGCATTTCCTAAGCTGTTGAACACAACTCTATGCCGATGATTTTTTATTTGCTTCTCAACATTTCAGCTACTCAACCAATGTGGATTGACCACTTGACATGAGCTAGGTACCATGTGGGGCCCTGTCAGGTCTGAAATGAATCAAACAAGTTCCTTGCCCTCAGAGAACACAAGTTTGTCAGGAGAGACAAAAAGATCTCCTATGGGTCAGGCAGCTACAGTAATGAGTGCTCTCCTGGAGCTGGGGGACTGGTCAAGAACCAGCAAAGCATTATATAGCATCAGGAGAGGCTTTGTGGAGGAGATGGAGGAGGTGAAGGGAGAACTTTGAAGCTGAGAGCAGAGTATGATTTAATGTACAGAAGTGGGAAGATGCCCAATCTATCCATTCAAGGAAGGAAGCCTAGCTTAATGTGCCTTAGCTAAGTCATATGGGAGGTAGAATAGAGAGGAGCTGAAAAGGTAGACTTAAGTCTTTATTAACATGCTTGAAAATGAAATTAGGCCGGGCGCAGTTGCTCACGCCTGTAATCCTAGCACTTTGGGAGGCCGAGGCGGGCGGATTGACTGAGCTCAGGAGTTTGAGAGCAGCCTGGGCAACATGGTGAAACCCTGTCTCTACTAAAATACAAAAAATTAGCTGGGCGTGGCGGCATGCGCCTGTAGTCCCAGCTACTCGGGAGGCTGAGGCAGGAGAATTGCTTGAATCCTGGAGGCGGAGGTTGCAGTGAGCTGTGAGCTGAGATTGCGCCACTGCATTCCAGTCTGGGTGACATAGTGAGACCCTGTCTCCCAAAAAAAAAAAAAAAATGAAATTAAGGGAACAATTCCATTTACAATAGCATCAAGAAATTAAATACTTGGGAATATAACTTAACAAAGTATAAGGACTTTGTGTTAGTCAGTTCTCGCATTCTTATAAAGAACTACCAGAGACTGAGTAATTTATAAAGACAAGAGATTTATGTGACTCACAGTTTCACAGGCTATACAGGAAGCATGGCTGAGGAGGTCTCAGGAATCTTACAGTCATGGCAGAAAGCAAAGGGGAAGCTGGCATATCTTATATGGCTGGAGAAGGAGGAAGAGAGTGAAAAGGGAGGTGCTACAAACTTTAAAACAACCAGAGCTCATGAGAATTCACTCAGTATCACAAGAACAGCAACGGGGAGGTCCACCCCCATGATCCAGTCACCTCCCACCAGGCTCCTCCTCCAACACTGAGGATTATAATTTGGACATGAGATTTGGGCGGGGACACAAATCCAAATCATATCAACTTATATAGTGAAAATTTCAAAACATTACTGTTTTTCTCTAGTTTTTTTCTTAATTAAAAATCTAAATTAACAGACTGCATTCATGAATTGGAAGACTTAATAGTTTAAGATGGCAGTGCTCTCCAAATTGATCGGTAGATTCAATGCAATCTGTATCAAAATCCCAATTGTACTTTTTTGCAAAAATGAATAAGCTGAACCTAAAATTCATATGGAAATGCAAAATAGTCAAAACAATCTTGAAAAAAAAGAACAAAGTTGGAAGACTCATACCTTTTTTATTTTGGAACTTAGCAAAAAACTATAGTAATCAGGATAGTGTGGTACTGACATAGGAGTAGACATATAGATCAATGAAATAGAATTGAGAGTCCAGAAGTAAACCCATACATTTATGGTCAATTTTTGATGAGGATGCCAAGATAATTCAATGGGGGAAGATTTGTCTTTTCAGAAAATTTTCAGGAACAACTAGATATACACATGCAAAAGAATGAAGTTGGACTCTTAACTCATATCATACACAAAAATGAACTCACAATGAGTGAAAGACCTAAATGAGCCAAAACTGTAAAACCCATATAATAGCATATTAAGGAATTTTTTTTTTTTTGAGATGGAGTTTCACTCTTGTTACCCAGGCTAGAGTGCAATGGCGTGATCTTGGCTCACCACAACCTCTGCCTCCCGGGTTCAAGTGAGTCTCCTGCCTCAGCCTCCCAAGTAGCTGGGATTACAGGCATGTGCCATTATGCCCGGCAAATTTTTTATTTTTAGTAGAGACGGAGTTTCTCCATGTTGGCCAGGCTGGTCTCAAACTCCCGACCTCAGGTGATCCGCCCACCTCAGCCTCCCAAAGTGCTGGGATTACAGGCATGAGCCCCCACGCCCAGCCTCATACTAAGAAATTTGAACATTGTTATGGGAATGCAATGGGAAGAGGTAGGTTTGTGAGGAGTAAGAAATTATTCAACAAGGCCGGGCACGGTGGCTCACACCTGTAATCCCAGCACTTTAGGAGGCCAAGGCGGGCAGATCACCTGAGGTCAGGGGTTTGAAACCAGCCTGACCAACATGGAGGAACTCCGTCTCTACTAAAAATACAAAATTAGCCGGGCATGGTGGCACATGCCTGTAATCCCAGCTACTCAGGAGGCTGAGGCAGGAGAATCACTTGAACCCGGGAGGCAGAGGTTGCGGTGAGCCGAGATCATGCCATTGCACTCCAGCCTGGGCAACAGGAGCGAAACTCTGTCTCAGAAAAAAAAAAAGAAATTATTCAACATATCTCCCCTTCACCCCTTCTGTGCCAGGCCCTATGCTAAGTGCACAGATTAATCTGCCACAGTCCCTACCCTCAAGCAGCTTTCAGTCTAGTGTGGGAAGTAGACATGCACACTGACAATTACAACCCACTGTGGTACCATCATCAAGCTGGGTTTCTTGACCTCGGCACTATTAATATTTTGCACCAGATCATTCTTGTGTGATAAGCTTTGTAGGATATTTAGCAGCATCCCCACTCTCTCCCTACTAGATCCCAATAGCATTCCCCCAATCAAGATAGTAAAAAATGTCTCCAGACTTTACCAAATGTCCCATGGGGACAAAATCACCCCTAGTTGATAACTTCTGTTATAAGGTAAGTACAGTGGTATTTTCTCACTAAAGTGCCTTGGGATGAGCTAGCCAAGGTGTCCTGGAATACTGAGATGACAGTACATTTTTCCTAGTCATCTCTTGGCCATGTTGGGGTCTCTTGGGTCCTCTGCAAGGTGTATTTACCTCCTTTCTTTGTTTTGCCTCCAGACTATGGTCAGTGCAATCAGAAAATTCCTAGAAGGCATCCCAGACCTGCAGCTAGTCTATACTCACCATCCGCTCCTGCTCAGGTTCTTTCTGTTGTATCCAGAGCTCATGAGTAGGTATGGGCACCGTGTCCTGGAACTTTGGTTCTTCTGGGAAGAGAGCAGCTATGAGGAACTGGATGATGTCACCTCTGCTGGGCAGCCCGCCCTTCCTGCCAGCTTAGTAGTCCTGTTCCAGTTGCTCAGAAGCATCCCCAGCATCCTGCTCATCTTGCTGGTAGGCAACCACTCATTCATTTCTACATTCAGAAATCGTGGGCCTTCTCTCTCTGAGAGCCGGTTTACTGAGGTCAGGAGGCACCCACATCTGCTTCAGCCCACCTCCAGACTTATCACTGTCTGCATGTGAGTTGGAGGGGTGGTGGTCTCTTCTACTTGTAGGTGCCTAGTTTCTGTAAATCCATACTCTTTCCTAAGTCTAATGGAAGTCTACCAACTGAGAGATGTGTGCCTCTCTTCCCCCCAGGGGATGACACTATGAAATGCAGATCTTAGTCACCATCCCCTCTCACCTCCCTGTCATCTCTCAAGCAGATTCTGCTGACACAGGTTTAATGTTAAAGGAAGCCCATGGGGCATGTAGATGGACATTTCTGATGGCAGAGGGACTCCTCCTCTTTTTTGCCATGACTTACATGATAATATTATATGTACATTACTTGCTCAGGCATACCTAGAATTGTCAGATGCCCCAGTACTTTTTTTTCTGGAGACACAGTCTCACACTGTTGCCCAGGGTGCAGTGCCGTGGCATGATCTGGGCTCACTGCAACCTCCACCTCCCGGGTTCACGCAATTCTCCTGCCTCAGCCTCCCGAGTAGCTGGGACTACAGGTGCACGCCACCACACCCAACTAATTTTTTACTTTTTTTTTTAAGAGATGGGGTTTCACCAGGTTGCCCAGGCTGTCAATACTTTTTGGTGAAGTACGTTACTGAAATTCCCATCAGGAATTAGATGGGCTAATTAGATTAGATAAGGTAAACTGCCTAGTGGCTGGCTTTAACTCCACTTTTTTTCCTTCCACTCAAGAAGGCAAATTGAACAACAAATTAGATACCAAGGAGAGTAGCAGGGGACAGAACTAAGATACTAGGTTTTCTTCACCAGATGAAATATTCGGGGTCAGTTCTTCACACATAGTAGGTACTTATAAATTATGACCCATTGAATTATGGGTCTAGACCAATCTAAGTCTGTCCAGGGATAGTAGTGACAATACAGTCATGCATTGCTTAATGATGGGGATACATTTTTAGAAACACAGTGTTAGGTGATTTTGTCATACCAACATCATGGAGTATACTTACAGACATCTAGATGGTCTAGCCTACTACACACCTAGGTATATGGGATGACCTGTTACTCCTAGGCTACAAACCTGTACAGCATGTTACTGTACTGAATATTGTAGACAAATGTAACACAGTGACATTTGTATATCTAAACATAGAAAAGATACAGCATGACTATATCTTATTTATTTTTATTTTTTTTCTTTTTTCTTGCTCTGTTGCCCAGGCTAGAGTGCAGTGGCAGGATCATGGCTCACTGCAGCGTCAATCTTCTGGGCTCAAGTGATCCTCCTGCCTTAGCCTCCCAAGTAACTAGAATTGGCTGGGCGTGGCAGCTCATGCCTATAATCCCAGTACTTTGGGAGGCCGAGCCAGGTGAATCACCTGAGGTCAGGAGTTCAAGACCAAGTAGCTGGAACTACAAGCATGTGCTACTGTGTCTGGCTAATTTTTATATTTTTTGTAGAGACAGTGTTTTATCATGTTGCCCAAGCTGGTCTCAAATTCCTGGGCTCCAGCGATCCTCCCACCATGGCCTCCCAAAGTGTTGGGATTATAGGCATAAACGACTGTACCTGCCATTTTTTCTTTTTAAATACATGAAACATAGGCTTAGAGAGATTTGCCCATGGTCACAAGAGTTGGAAATCAAAATATTAAAACCCAGATTTGACTCCCTATCTATCAGTTGTTCTGTCTGAGGCTCTCTTTTTACTCAGTCTGTTTATTCTTCCTGGGTTATCTCATTCACACCCATGGCTTTGTTTGCCTCCTGGCTGTATGGTGATGACTCAAATCCCTGCACCACCCCTGACCTCTCTCCTGAGCTCATACCCATGAAGTCAACCATCTATTTGACATTTCTGCCTAAAATGGAGCTCATTATCTCCTCTCCCAAATTCCCTTTCTCAGCCTGGGTCTTCCTAGAATGGAGAGGTCCCTCACTAACTGAAGGCTGTGCTAGGCCACTAACTTCACAGGATGTAAATATTAAAAGAAGCAAACCAAACAGAAATTGAATCTCAGGAGACCAAATACTTAGAGTCTACATCCCAGGGAAGCTGGAGTGGATGCCCCACCATTTATCCTGGTGACCCAGTCCTTGTCCTTGAATGTGCACCATCCTTATCACCTCTCCTTTCTGGAGGTGGTGGAGGTCAGGGCAGAGAGGAGTCTTGTGTTTCACTTGGCATAGAGCTTAACAGAAAGGAGCTGCCTTCAAGATGAGTTGTTGCATAGAGGACTAGGAAGATAGAGGCTAATCTGAACTTCAGTTTTCTCCCACAGAAAATGGAGAAAACATGAGGGTAGATGAGATAGTATGTAGGAACACTCTTGGTTTGCTTCACATAGTGGGCTGTCATTCACTAATCATTGACTGCCTCTGAACCAGATAAAGTTCATCTCAGAGAAGCTAATTGAATTGCCCAAGGTCATATAGTTAATAAGGGTCATGGCTATGACTAGAGCCCAAAGTGAGTAAGTTTTTCACTAACTTAGATCCTAGAGACATCAATGGTAAAAAAAAAAAAAAAAAAAAAGAACAGCAAGGAGGCCGGGCGCGGTGGCTCACGCCTGTAATCCCAGCGCTTTGGGAGGCTGAGGCGGGTGGGTCACAAGGTCAGGAGTTCGAGACCAGCCTGGTCAACATGGTGAAACCCTGTCTCTACTAAAAATACAAAAAATTAGCCGGGCATGGTGGCACGTGCCTGTAGTCCCAGCCACTCAGGAGGCTGAGACAGAAGAATCGCTTGAACCCAGGAGGCGGAGGTTGCAGTGAGCCAAGATCGAGCCACTGCACTCCAGCCTGGGCGACAGAGCTAGACTTCGTCTCAAAAACACAAAACAAAACAAAAGAACAGCAAGGAACAACTTTATTGTCTGTTCATATATATAATTCTTACCATTTCTCCCCAGCTTCTAGCCAGAGGAAGGAAAAAGAGTCTAAAAATTTTGTGTTGATACCAATTTCTGTTTTTTATATGGGTAATTAACAGCTGAAAACAAAGCTGTTAATTGCCACTCTTATCAATGGGTGGTCTTTCATGTAGGTTTTTTAGATGTGAAGGGACAATGACATCACAGAAACTCTGTTTGTTTCCTCTTTGGCCAAGTTACGCTGGTCTGTCAAGACCCAGAGAGTTCTGGACAGCAGAGACTACAGATTGGGTCATAGTTTTGCCCAGAGCCTTCCCACTGATCCATATGGTGGGGTCCTCACGTTCCTCTTCCTCCAGCATTCACCATAGCCACACAAAGCTGAGTAGCCCCTTCCTTTTATACCTTTAACATTCATTAACTCAGACTTCTGAGGGACCACCTCTGTGGCAGTGGGGCAGTGATGTGTTGGTGAAGGCACAAGACCAGGAAACTGGTTTGACTCTGGGATCTATGACCTTGGGCAAATCATGCCCCTCCCTTCCCGTCGGGCTTCAGCCTCATACTCTGTAAAGTAAAGGTATTGGAAAAAATTATCTAGATTCTCTCTAGCCCTCCCATTCTGTGACCTTTTTCTTTTCAGAGATGTTTTCTGAGTCTCTACAAGGTGACAAAGATGAAGTAGACCTCATCCCTTCCCTTCATTAACTCACAGTGCAGTTTAATTTACAACTTTATTACTTTCTTGATATGCAAACTGATTAACCTGCCCCAGTTTTCTCATTTGAAAAATTGGGGTGACACCTATATGGAAGAGTTATTGTAGAGGTATAAATAATGTATAAACAAATATACAGCTACTGTATAAACACAACATAGTACCTGACATTATTAGGCCCTGAGTGGTTGTTATTGATATATAGTTGTTTTTCCAGCAACTGCGGAGGTTTCTGAGAGCCAAACTTAGACATCCCTGTGACCCCATCCCTCTCCTTCTGCCCAGTGATCAGCACACCTGGGTTTGTCTGGCCAGATGCATTGTAGCCATATCTCTCTGTGTGTCAGTAGCTGTCCTCCCTGGAGAGGGAGTCTGTGTGACCTTGGATTCATAACCCTCAGTCCTAACTGGCCCAGCGCATTAGCCTGTCCAAAGGAATTGGCTTCTTTGAGCTAGCAGGTGCCAGGAGCTATCAGTAGGGTAGCCTCTGGTGCAGCTTTCTGACTGGCTTTGTCTTTAACATATACTCACTAAAATAACTCTGAAAGCAAAATAAAAAGCATCTTCCCATCTTCCGAGCCTAAGACCTTTATAGCTTGGGGCAGAGATAACCAGATGCCTTGGTAGAGAACGGGCCTGACCTGGTCCTCACTTGCCTTTCTGTGCACTGAATCTGTCCTAATTTATCCTCTGCCTGCCCAGTGACATCATTTCTCTTTCCTTCTTCTCTTCTTTAAGGCACACTCAGGTTCCCTGTCTTGAAAACAACCTCTTGACCCTAATCCTACCATTTGCAGGAGGGAGGCATCCTGGAAAATAGAGCTTTGGGCTTGGAGTTAGGAGACTTGCATTCAAATTCTGTCTGTGCCACTGGCTTATATGACCTTTAGCAAGTCATGTAATCTCTCTGAGCCTGTTTTCTCCTGTTTAGGATGGATTTAATAGGATGGACCTATTCTTTTTTTTTTTTTTTTTGAGACAGAGTTTTGCTCTGTCACCCAGTCTAGAGTGCAGTAGTGCGATCTCGGCTCACTGCAAGCCCCGCCTCCCGGGTTCATGCCATCCTCCTGTCTCAGCCTCCGGAGTAGCTGGGACTACAGGCACTTGCCACCACGCCCAGCTAATTTTTTTGTATTTTTAGTAAAGACGGGGTTTCACCGTGTTAGCCAGGATGGTCTCAATCTCCTGACCTCGTGATCCACCCGCCTTGGCCTCCCAAAGTGCTGGGATTACATGCGTGAGCCACCATGCACGGCCTAGGATGGACCTATTCTAAGGGATGGTTTTGAGGCGTCAGTGCACCTAGAAGAGCCTTTGGTACATAATAGGTGCTGAGTAAGTGACAGATTACCCAGTTTTTGTGACATCATAATTATGGGCCCTTTTCCTGCCCCTCTATTCCTCATTGTCACTTTTCCCCAACTGCAGTACCCTCTGATCTCTGGCTTTCTTCTCTCCTGCTCAGGACCTCATCTATTCCAGCCCAGTGGACACAGCTCACAAGGTACTGATTAGCCTGAGGACCTTCCTGAGGAGGAATGAGGATATCCAAGTGGGCGGTCTTATCCGAGGCCACTTCCTGCTGATCCTGCAGCGTCTGCTAGTGGAGCATGGGGCATCCCCATCAGGAGGTCAGTCTGCAGGTGCTGTGGGCACACTTTGACCTGAAAGCCAGTCGAGAATGGGCATCTCTACCCTTGTTAGGTCTGCTCCAGGAGAGAGAATCAGGGTTTTATCTGAAAAAGAAAGCCAGGCCATTGTGGCATCAAGCTAAACTTCACCTCCTTTCTCTCACTGCAGAGTGGGCGTACAACATGCTTGGTTTGCTGTGTGTGTGTTTAACATGAGTGGATGTGTTTGATGTGTGCATGCATATCCCCACCCTGTGCAGCATGTGCTCAGTGTTGTTTGTCACAAGCATGGCAGCCCCCTGTGGGAAGAAGAAAGTGAGAAATCTGGAGGAGGATGGAGGCAGCAGCAGTCCGCAGGGGCTGGGGAGGGAGGTGGATCTGTGATGTGTTGGAAGCTCCTAGTGAGATCCGGGGGATTAGTTTCCAAATCTGGAATGGTACTCACTGGAGTCAAGGAAGCTTGATGTTTGGTACAGTATGGAGACACTGAAAATTTGGATTGGTTTATTTTATTGTATTTATTTATTTTATATTTTATGTATTTATTTTATTATTATTTTATTTTTGAGACAGTCTCACTCTGTCACCCACGCTGGAGTGCAGTGGCAAGATCTCTGCTCACTGCAACCTCTACTTTCCAGGTTCAAGCAATTCTTGTGCCTCAGCCTCCCAAGTAGCTGGGACTTACAGGTGTGTGCCACGACACCCAGCTAATTTTTTTGTATTTTCAGGAGAGACGGGGTTTCACCATGTTGCCCAGGGTGGTCTCAAACCCCTGAGCTCAAGTGATCCGCCCACCTCAGCCTCCCAAAGTGGTTGGATTACAGGGGTGAGCCACTGCGCCCAGCTTAGTTTTTTTCTATTTTTAGAGAAGCTGAATTTTAAAAATAATTTTTTTTTTTTTTTGAGAGAGGGTCTCACTCTGTCGTTCAGGCTGGTGTGCAGTGGCGTGATCTCGGCTCACTGCAACCTTCACGTCCTGGGTTCAAGTGATTCTTCTGCCTCAGCCTCCATAGTAGCTGGAATTACAGGCATGCGCCACTGCACCTGGCTAATTTTTTGTATTTTTATTAGAGGTGGGTTTCACTATATTGGCCAGGCTGGTCTCGAACTCCTGACCTCAAGTGATCCGCCCGCCTCAGCCTCCCAAAGTGCTTGGATTACAGGTGTGAGCTACCACACTCGGCCTAAAATTATATTTCTAAGCAAAGCGAAAGGCAATCTGTGGCTACCTGACAGAGGACTGAGGGTTTGGAAGTAGATTTAAAGGTGTCAAGAGGAGATGAGTTATTTCTTTTCAGGGAAGGACAAGCCATGTTTAGCTGATAATACTGGTTAAGAACCTTAAGATGTAGTGGAAACATAGTGGGAAGGCCATGGGCATTGGATTCAGATTTGGGTCTATTTGGGCCATAGACTGGGTGACTTATAAACAACAGGAATTTATTTCTCCCAGTTTTGGGGGCTGGGAAATCCAAAATCAAGGTACTGAAAGATTCAGTGTCTGGTGAAGGCCTACTTCCTGGTTCATAAATGGCTGTCTTCTTTCCTTCCTTCCCTCCTTCCTTCCTTCATTCCTTCCCTGCTTCCTTCCTTCCTTCCTTCGTTCCTTCCTTCCATCCATCCTTCTTTCTCCTTCATCTTCTTCTTTCTTCTTCTTCTTTTCTTCTTCTCCTCTTGTTCTTCTTCCTCTTTTCCTCCTCTTTCCCCTCCTTCTCCCCTCCCTCCTCCTCCTTCCTTCCTTCTCCTCCTTTCTTCCTTCTCCTCCTTTCTTCCTCCTCCTTCTCCCCTGCCCCCCACAGCCTTGACCTCCTAGGCTCAAGCAATCCCCCAACCTCAGACTCCTGAGTAGCTGGGGTTATAGGCATGTGCCAGCATGATGACTTGTCTTCTTACTGTGTCCTCACATGACAGAAGGGGTGAGGGAGGGAGCTCCTCGCAGTTTCTTTCAAAAGGCCACTCATCCCATTCATGAAGATTCTACCCTCATGATTCAGTCATCTACCAAAGGCCTCACTTCCTAATACTATTACATTGGGGGTTAAGATTTCAACATGAATTTTGGAGGAACACAAACATTCAGACCACAGCATCCTGCCACTTTCTGGCTGTGGGACCTTGGAGAAGTCACTCAGCCTCTCTGAGCCTCAATTTTGTAAGTGCAAAATAGGAATAACAATCCATGCTTCACATTTTGTTTAGTGGGATTAAATGAAATAATGAATTCCTGGTACCAACCTATGTCTGGCACTTAGTATATCAGTTACGCCTGTTCTAAATGAAGAAAGAAATAGGAGTAAATCCCAACAAAACACCTCACCCCTTAGGAAACAAAAAACTTTGAACCTGTTATTAAGGGCCATTGAAGCAGGGCAGGGTGTCTGACCTTCAGGTGATCTGAGCATCAGGCTTCTTGCCCAGTCCTCCTTGTTCTTCACAGCCTCGGGGAACCTACCATTGCTGCTGAGCCTCCTCTCCCTGATGCAGCTCAGGAATGTGTCAGAGCAAGAACTGGACAGCGTGGCCATGAAGCTCCTTCACCAAGGTGCCCTGGCTGCTTGGGATAGCGCCCAAGGGCCCAGGGCTGGACGTGCAGTGGGTGCTCACTAAGTAGGCTGGTGTTCTTCTTTCTTCTACTCTTTCATCCCTTTGGAAGAAGCTAGTAGGTCAGTCTGTCCCTAGGGTTTTCTTGCTAAAGGACCTCTCAGGGCTTTCTCTGCTTGTTCTCTGGGAATGTTTGGGAGACACCCTACCTCTGCAAAAAATCAGCATTATGAGGCCAGGGGGGTGCTCATGCCTGTAATCCCAGCACTTTGGGTGTTTGAGGCCGGAGGATTGTTTGAAGCCAGGAGTTCAAGACCAGCCTGGGCAACATAGCAAGATCCTGCCTCTACAAACTGCCAGGCCTAGTGGCTCACGCCTATAATCCTAGCACTTTGGGAGGCTGAGGCAGCATGTCGTTTGAGCTCAGGAGTTCAAGACCAGCCTTGGCAACATGGTGAAACCCTGTCTCTACAAAAAAAATACAAATAATTAGCTGTGTGTCGTGATGCAGACCTATATATAGTCCCAGCAACTTGGGAAGGCCGAGGCGGGAGGATTGCTTGAGCCCAGGACGTCAAGGCTGCAGTGAGCTATGATCTCACCACTGCACCCAGCCTGGGCAATGGAGTGAGACCTCGTCCCTAAAACAAACAAATCTGTATGACAGGCACAAGCTCTAGAGTCAGGAAGGCCTGGGTTTGAATCTCAGCTTAGTCACTAGCAATCATCTAGTCTCTGTGAGTCTTAGGTTCCTCATAGGTAAAGTAGTAGTACTTTCCTAAACTAGGGTTAAGATACGGAATACTTATCTAGTTGTTAAGATAAGGAATACTTATCTAGTTAGATAGAGAATGTCACACAGTGCTTGACACACAGTAGACCTTCAACAGATCCTATTCATGCAGATTCCTTTTTTCCTGGCACAAGGTCAGCTCTCCAGCTCATCCTACAATTGACTCAGATCTGATGATCCAGTTCACAGTTCTCCAGGCTTTTTTCTTACCCACACCCCAAACCTCCTCGGTTTCTCAACTCATGATGCTGCCATCACTTCACAGGCAGCACCTGCAGGAAGATTTGCTGAGGGAAGGTTGAAATGAATAGGAAAAATGACATGTCTTCAGTGTTTGTGGACCCCCCAGCTCCTGTAGCCACAGGTGAAGATGGGGCATCTTCCCTGCCTGGAGCCCAGTCCACCTCATGAGAACATCAGTGTCAGATTCAAAAAAAGGCCACTGGGGACGCATTGCAGATGGCCTCAGCCTGGTGCCAGTCATCACCAGCCTGTCTGTGAGATCAAGGCTGACACTAAGCTAGGAGGGGGATCTGTGTGTGACAAACTCAGCCTTCAGAAGAGCCTCTGACAGGGAGTAACAGGCTGAAACCCACACATGAAATGTAATAGGACATTTACATATAATCCTTGAGCACTTCTATATGACAGCAGAGAGTAGAGGACTGTGGTTCGGGGTGGAGGTACTGGTGTGGGAGGGAGCTGAGACCTGCTTGTCTGGGTGAGCACCGAAGTCAGGGTGTGATGTGGCTGCCAAAAAGTGAATGGAGCTGTAGGTAGGTTTCATATTAGGATGGGGATAGGGAGATGGGAAGTGGGAGTTCCCAAGAGTAAAGGGATATGTTCTATAGATATCTACAGTGTAATGTTGCACTGATGAGGCCTGGGAGAATGCAGAAGCACATCTAATCTTGCCTTGAGAGGTTAAGGAAGGCTTCAAGGGGGAGATGAACTTTGAGCTGAATTTTTTTCTTTTCTTTTTTTTTTTTTTTTTGAGACAGGGTCTCACTCTGTCACCCAGGTTGAAGTATAATAGCATGATAACTGCTCACTGCAGCCTCTACCTCTCGGGCTCAGGCGATCCTTCCACCTCAGCCTCTCGAGTAGCTGGGACTACCAGTGTGTGCCACCATGCCCAGCTAATTTTTTGTATTTTTTTGTGGAGAGACGGGGTCTCACCACATTGCCCAGGTTGGTCTTGAACTCCTGGGCTCAAGCAATCTGCCTGCCTCTGCCTCCCAAAGTGTTGGGATTACAGGCGTAAGCCACTGCGGAGGCCTGAGCTGAATCTTGATTGCTGACGGGGACAAGAGGAGTTAGCTAAATGAAGTGATGTGAGAGAGGGGATGTGGCAAGTGCAGGGAACTGCACTTCATTCGACTGTTAAAGTTCCCTTGGGAAGGTGGTGACGATGTTCACAGGATGGATCCCTTTGAAATCCTAAAGTCTTTCTGTGATGTGCAGCTGTAGGCTGCTTGCCTGATGTTTGTCTAGATGGAGGGTGTGAATGTGCCTTAAGGTTTGTCACTGTGTTTCTTTCCATTGGTTGTAATATCAGGGATACTTAGTTTGTGCTTGCTCCCCAAGACTGACATCTGAAATAGCCAGTCGCAGGCTACCACCTATGACAAGTGTGAGTGTTTTGCGACAGGCCGACTGGGGACTTTCATCTCTTGCAGTAAGCAAGCTGTGTGGGAAGTGCAGCCCCACTGACGTGGACATCCTGCAGCCCTCCTTCAACTTCCTGTATTGGAGCCTTCATCAGACCACACCCAGCAGTCAGAAAAGAGGTGCAGGGGCCCGGGCTGGGACAGTGAAGAGTGCTGGGCAGTCTGTGGTCCTCTGTATCTCAACTTTTTCATCTTAAAAAAACAAATAGGGTTGTGTGTGTGGCTGGTGGTCATAAGGTCCTTTCTGGCTCTAATAACCTGAGCTTCTGTTATGAAGCTGGGACCCTTAGAGCCTCAGGATGATCCTCTGTTTGTTTGTGAAGCCCCAATCAGGTGCTAAGCACCATAGTGGCACTTAGCTGAAGCTCCTCTGTAACTCCTGTGGGCCCTGCCTTGCCCACCCCCGACAGCTGCTGCAGTGCTCCTGAGCAGCACAGGCCTGATGGAGCTTCTGGAGAAGATGCTGGCCCTCACCTTGGCAAAGGCAGATTCTCCCAGGACTGCACTCCTCTGCTCTGCCTGGCTGCTCACTGCCTCCTTCTCTGCCCAGCAGCACAAGGGCAGTTTGCAGGTTAGTCTTTAACTCCTGTGGCTTTGAGGCATGGGGTGGCACTCAAAGGAGTGTTGAAGATCCTGAGTTCTGGTCCCAGCTCTGGGGGCTTATTAGCTGTGTGACCTTGGCAAGGTATTTACCCTTTCTGAGCTCAGTTTCCTTTCCTACAAAATGGGGAAAACATCTCAGGATTGTTGT
The DNA here is from genome assembly GCF_000001405.40 of Homo sapiens. Taxonomy (NCBI): domain Eukaryota; kingdom Metazoa; phylum Chordata; class Mammalia; order Primates; family Hominidae; genus Homo; species Homo sapiens. Next base: position 41,782,026 of record NC_000022.11, read on the forward strand.
GAGGTTGTTTCATATTAATCCACTTAACACATAAGGTTTACCTACACTCCAGGCTCTATTCTTGGCACAGAGGAATAAAAAATGAATATAGCATGTGTCCTACCCTTAGGGAACTTGTAGTCTTTAAGGATAAGATTGTACTCAGCAAAGATAGTGGGAGAAGGCATTCCAAGTAGAGAGAACAATATGAGCAAAGGCATGAAGCTGCACAAATTCAGGACATGCTCTGTATATTTGGGGAGTGGTGAGGTGCTCTGTGTGATGAGAAGGTGGGGAATGAATGGAGCAGAAAAGACCAGACGGGGAGGCAGAAGCCAGCCTGCGACCTTAAAGTGCAGCATGGCAAGCCGTGGAATGCCACACATGGTTAACTGTCATTATTACTGTTCGAGAAGGTGATGCAGGGAAGAGGAGAGCAGTGGACTTATCCACAGAGCACCTCCTTCCCCTCAGCCCCTCCCTCTTGTAGGGCCTTGTCATCACAGTGCCCTGCGTGAGCTCCTCTGTGGGCTACTTCTCATGGAAACCATCTGCTAGCCTCTGTGGTATCCTCACACTGCGCCCAATACTGTGCCAATCTAGTGATGGGCACACAGAAGTGACATGAGTTTTAAACTTTGGCCTCTAGAGGGGCAACAAGCTGTGGCAAATCTATGCTCTGGCAAATCCTGCAGGTTGTTGCCTGTGGTTGGTTTAGGACAGAAACCTTTCCTAATTTTCCGTGTGAGGCTGCTGGGCTCATCCAGCTGTCTGCAGTCACCTGCCTAGGAGAAAACTTGCATTTTGTCCTTGGCTCTGCCCTGGCCCTCAGCTCACACCTAGGCAATTACCTGCTCCTAGCTACCTCCAGTGCCCTAACTCAGGCCTGATCATTCGTCCTCCCCACTAATGTGACCTAGTTACAGTCTCCTGGCCACCCGCCTCTTCCCTCCTCTGCATGTCCTATCATTGCAGCCACAGTCTGTCCTCACACCCCTTCTGCCCAAGCTCCTTCAGCAGCCTTTTTGTCCTCCTCTAGGCCTGGCCCTCTGCAGCCTTACTTTCTGCCATTCCCACCCACCTTCCCTGTCCTCTGGCCAGGCATTTGTGCTTCTCCCAGTCAGCTATGCTCCTTCACATTGCCATACCTTTTTTTTGTCTGTTTTGTTTATTATTAATAGACTTCATTTTTAGGACAGTTTTAGATTTATAGAAAAATGGTGCAGGTAGTACAGAGAGTTCCCATATAACACCCCCCCTCACCCCCGACACACATACACAGAGTTCCCTGTTATTTTATTTTTTCAGACAAAGTTTTGCTCTAGTTGCCCAGGCTGGAGTGCAATGGTGTGATCTCGGCTCACCGCAACCTCTGCCTCCTGGGTTCAAGCGATTCTCTTGCCTCAGCCTCCCTAGTAGCTGGGATTACAGGCATCTGCCACCACACCCAGCTAATTTTGTATTTTTAGTAGAGACGGGGTTTCTCCAAGTTGGTCAGGCTGGTCTTGAACTCCTCACCTCAGGTGATCCACCCACCTCAGCATCCCGAAGTGCTGGGATTATAGGCGTGAGCCACTGTGCCCGGCTTGTCTTAATTTCATAGATGAAGAAAGTCAGGCATGCTGAGAGAGGTGCAGTAACTTGCCCAAGGCCATACAGCTGACAGGTAGCAAAGCCAGGATTTTATTTTATTTTTTAAAGAAATGGAATCTGTCGTCCAGGCTGGAGTGCAGTGGCAGTATCCCAGCTCACTGCAGCCTTGGCCTCCCAGCTCAAGTGATTATCTCACCTCAGCCTCCTGAGTAGCAAGAACTACAGACACATGCTACCATGCCCAGATAATGTTTTTGTATTTTCTTGTAGAGATGGGTCTTCGCCATGTTGTCCAGGCTGGTCTTGAACTCCTGGGCTCAACGAATCCTCTCACCTCAGCCACCCAAAGTGCTGGGATTACAGGTGTAAGCCACTGTACCTGACTTGAGAGCCAGGATTTTGATTTGGCCTGTCTGACTCCAGATCTTCTGAGTTAGGTGTATAGTGAACAGAGCCAGAGACTGAACCACAGATGAGGCCAGAGAAGGCTGTCTGATGGAGGAGGCCAGTGAGGATGGGGGAGATTTGGAAGAAAAAGAGTTCTCCAGGTTCGGACTTGATTCTCCGCATGCTCCTGAAGCCAGGGCTGGTGCAGCTTGGAGGACTCTGTGTGGCCTCCTCCGTCCCCTTTTGATGCAGTGGATATGTGGGGGGAGGTGATAGAAGAGATTTTCAGGCAGGTTATTTTCTGCCCAGGCTTCCAGAACATGGGGGTTAGCCCTTTACCCTGTGCCCTGCCAGGTTCACCAGACACTCTCTGTGGAAATGGACCAAGTATTGAAGGCTCTCAGCTTTCCAAAGAAAAAGGCTGCACTACTCTCAGGTATGGGTCCACAAGTCTCCAGCAGAAGAAAAGCTTTTTCCCTAGGTTTTCAGATAAGACCAGCACCCTGACCAGCCAATGGTCACTCCATAATTGTCTCATCTTCATTGTCTCCCATCCTGTGACAGAGCTGGGTGGGAGGTGGGAAGGAGACAGGAATTGGGTGTAAGGAATCTCCTGCTTCCAGCTGCCATCTTATGCTTCCTGCGGACAGCCCTGCGACAAAGCTTTTCCTCTGCCCTGGTAGCCCTGGTGCCCTCAGGGGCCCAGCCACTGCCAGCCACCAAGGACACTGTCCTAGCTCCACTGCGAATGTCGCAAGTCCGGTCCCTGGTCATTGGGCTGCAGAACCTCCTGGTGCAGGTAAGGCCCTTGCTGAGTGGGGCTTGCTTCTCCCAGGACAACAGCAGGAAGGGGTGGCTGCCTGTCGAGAGCCTGATACTCCTACCAGGGCTTGGAGGGTGGATTAAGACTTTTTTAAAAAAATTATTTCTATTATTTTTATTTTATTTATTTATTTATTTATTTATTTAGAGACAGAGTTTCGCTCTTGTTGCCCAGGCTGGAGTGCAGTGGCGCAATCTTGGCTCACTGCAACCTCCGCCTCCCGGGTTCAAGCAATTCTCCTGCCTTAGCCTCCCGGGTAGCTGGGACTACAGGTGCCTGCCACCACACCTGGCTAATTTTTGTATTTTTAGTAGAGACGGGGTTTCACCATGTTGGCCAGGATGGTCTGAATCTCTTGACCTCGTGATCCGCCTGCCTCCGCCTCCCAAAGTGCTGGGATTACAGACGTGAGCCACCGCGCCTGGCATTTTTATTTTATTTATTTATTTATTTATTTATTTTTATTATTTTTTTAGACGGAGTCTAGCTCTGTCGCCCAGGCTGGTGTGTGGTGGCGTGATCTCGACTCACTGCAAGCTCTGCCTCCCGGGTTCACGCCATTCTCCTGCCTCAGCCTCCCGAGTAGCTGGGACTACAGGCAGCCACCACCACGCCCGGCTAATTTTTTGTATTTTTAGTAGAGAAAGGTTTTCACTGTGTTAGCCAGGATGGTCTTGATCTCCTGATTTCATGATCCTCCCGCCTCGGCCTCCCAAAGTGCTGGGATTACAGGTGTGAGCCACTGCACCTGGCCTATTTATTTATTTGTTTTTGAGACAGAGTTTGGCTCTTGTTGCCCAGGCTGGAGTGCAATGGTGCAATCTTGGCTCACTGCAACCTCCGCCTCCCAGGTTCAAGTGATTCTCCTGTCTCAGCCTCCCGAGTAGCTGGGATTACAGGTGCATGCCACCATGCCCGGCTAATTTTTGTATTTTTAGTAGAGACGGGGTTTCCGCATATTGGTCAGGCTGGTCTCGAACTCCTGACCTCAGGTGATCCACCCGCTTCAGCCTCTCAAAGTGCTGGGATTACAGGAATGAGCCACCACACCCGGCCTATTTTTATTTTTTTATTTTTTTATTTTTTTATTTTTTTATTTTTTATTTTATTTTTTTTTTTTTGAGACGGAGTCTCGCTCTGTCGCCCAGGCTGGAGTGCAGTGGCGCGATCTCGGCTCACTGCAAGCTCCGCCTCCCGGGTTCACGCCATTCTCCTGCCTCAGCCTCCCGAGTAGCTGGGACTACAGGCGCCCGCTACCACGCCCGGCTAATTTTTTGTATTTTTAGTAGAGACGGGGTTTCACCGTGTTAGCCAGGATGGTCTCGATCTCCTGACCTCGTGATCCGCCCGCCTCGGCCTCCCAAAGTGCTGGGATTACAGGCGTGAGCCACCGCGCCCGGCCCCTATTTTTATTTTTTAAATACAGATGGGGTCTTGCTATATTTCCAGGCTGGTCTCGAACTCCTGGCCTCAAGTGATCCTCTTACCTTGGCCTCCAGAAGTGCTAGGATTACAGGCATAAGCCACTATTCCCTGCCTGGGTGAGACTTTTAAAGCTACAGTGACAGAAACAAAACTCAATTTGGCTTATAACTGAGAAGTCCTGGGGTCAATACTGGCTTCAGGCACAGCTGGATCCCAGAAGCTCAGAGAAGGTCATCAGACTCTTTCCATCTATTGGCTTTGCATTCCTCACTGTCAGCTTTATTTTTATGAGATAGTAGGATGACCAGCAGTAGCTCCTAGCTTATATCCTCTATGGAAAAAAGATTTCTCTTTCCTCATAGTTCCCAGAATTGAGTCTCATTAGGCTGGCTTGGGTAATATGCCAGTCACCATGGCTGGGGCATGGGATGCCCTGATTGGCCTGGCTTGGGTCAGTGCCCTCTCCTGGAGGCCAGAGCATGTGGTCAACTCTCCATAGCCCAGGTGGACTGGTCCTAAGAGAGGGATGGTTCCCCATGGGAAAACTGCTACCAGAAGAAGGAGGGGATCCAGAGCAAGCAAAAGCATGTCTACCTCCAAGGGGTTTGTGTTTTATGGCTTAGGAGACACTTGTAGATCAGTGTTTATGTAGCCATCATATCCCGAGCCCTGACCCAATGTCATGGCCTATGAAGGATACTGGGGGCCCCAGGAAGATGTCCCAGGAGTGGGCCCTATGCTGAGTTAGCGGTTGTTGAGTCTTGTCCTGTGGCACATCCTTGCACAAGGCTCTGTGCTCTTTAGGGATCAAACATCTATCCTATTATAGCACTTAGCTCTCTGTTTCAAGTTTCCATTTTCATATCACTATTCCCCCAACCAGGCTGTGATATACTCAAGGGCAGAGTCTGGGTCTGGTTAATCTTTGTGTGTCCTTCCCCTTGTGGGTTTAAAGCTAATTTAGAATGCAGGAATCAGATGAGAACCAAAACATAAGCTTTATTGCTGGTAAACATCATAGTAGAATATTGGCTGGGACTCTGGAACAGAATGGGCTTTTTTTTTCCTGCAGTTTTTCAAACATACAGCAATGAGAGAGTTTTACAGTGAACATTCATACACCCAACACCTAGATTCTACTAATAACATTTTATTATACTTGCTTAATCATATCTGTCCAAAATGAGCTTTTTAAAACACCCTCCTTCTTGCCAGACCAGGGGTCCACAGGCGGGAAAAACTGTGTTTGCATTATGGACACTTAGCCAGCTGGCCAGGATCTTAAGAGTTTAAGTTCATGGGAGCATAATCTTTAATACCTTAATCCTGCCCTGATGGCACAGTAGATCTTAAGCTAGTATCTTGCCTGCTAGATAAAACCTTCCTTGGGTGAGGAGGGCCAGTTAGGGAAATGCTTTCTCCCTAATGTTTCTAAAAGCGCTGATGTTCCTGTTTTAAGATTCAGAACAGGAGGTGTGGGGGGAATGATTTCCCAATACCCAGCACAGAGCTTGGCACAAAGTTGGCATCTGGGAATGTTTGTTGAATGGATGAAAACCACAGAAATTAACATTACATGATCCCAGCCATTTAGGCACTCACAGATTATAGGAAACACAAATAACTACATCTAATACCAAAATGACCTATTAGCAGTTGAGCATTCCTAATACAAAAGTCCAAAATCCGAAATGCCCAATGAGCATCTGCTTTGAGCATCATGTTGGTGCTCAAAAGTTTTGGATATGGGGATATTTCAGATTTCAAATTTTTAATTACAGATACTCAACCAGTATTTGTTTTTTTGTTTGTTTTTGAGATGGAGTCTCGCTCTGTCACCCAGGCTGGAGTGCAGTGGTGCAATCCCAGCTCACTGCAACCTCTGCCTCCTGAGTTAAGTGATTCTCCTGCCTCAGCCTCCCAAGTACCTGGGACTACAGGTACGCACCACAATGCCTGGCTAATTTTGTATTTTTAGTAGACATGAGGTTTCACCATGTTGGCCAGGCTGGTCTCGAACTCGTGACCTCAAGTGATCCACCTGCCTCGGCATCCCAAAGTGCTGGGATTACAGGCGTGCCCAGCCTCAACCTGTATTGGAAGGCTGCACAGGAGAGGTAGCATTTGAACTGGGCCTTGAGTGATGAAAAAGCCTTCTTCAAACCAATAGCCTAAACACTAGGGTGGGGTGCCAGTGAGGTTTGTGGGTTTTGTTTTGTTTTTTTTGAGACATAGTCTTGCTCTGTCACCCAGGCTGCAGTGCAGTGGTATGATCCCAGCTCACTGCAACCTCCACCTCCTGGGTTTAAGCGATTCTTCTGCCTCAGCTTCCTGAGTAGTTGGGATTACAGGTGTGTGCCACCATGCCTGGCTAATTTTTGTATTTTTAGTAGAGACAGGGTTTCACCATGTTGGCCAGGCTGGTCTCAAACTCCCAACCTTAGGTGATCTGCCCACCTCGGCCTCCCAAAGTGCTGGGATTACAGGTGTGAGCCAACGTGCCCAGCCACCAGTGAAGTATTGTATAGCACTTTCACCATTCGCCTCTCATGCCCAAGAGCCTAGGTGTCTCCCTGGCCTGTGACATTCAACTCTGCCTCTGGCAACTGTTTATTTTTATTTTTGAGATAGGGTCTTGCTGTCGCCCAAGCTAGAGTACAGTGGCATGATCATGGCTCACTGCCACCTTAACCTGCTGAGCTTAAGTGATCCTCCCATCTCAACCTCCTGAATAGCTGGGACTACGGGTATACACCACCATGCCCAGCTAATTTTAAAATACTTTTGTATTGGTAGTAAGGCCAGGCGCAGTGGCTCATGCCTGTAATCTCAGCACTTTGGGAGCCAAGACGGGCGGATCACTTGTCAGGAATTTGAGGCCAGCCTGGCCAACAGGGTGAAACCTCATCTCTACTAAAAATACAAAAAAATTAGCCGGGCGTGGTGGCGCGCACCTGTAATCCCAGCTACTTGGGAGGCCAAGGCAGGAGAATCACTTGAACCCGGGAGGTGGAGGTTGCAGTGAGCCAAGATCATGCCAGTGCACTCCAGCCTGGGTGACAGAGCAAGACTCCATCTCAAAAAATAAATAAATAAAAAATAAAATACTTTCGTAGAGATGATATCTCACTATGTTGTCCAGGCTGGTCTTGACCTCCTGGGCTCAAGCAATCCTCTGGCTTTGGCCTCACAAAGTGCTAGGATTACAGGTGTGAGTCACTGCACCTGGCCTTGTTTTAATTGTAGTAAACTATATATAACATACAATTTAGTATTTTAATCATTTTAAGTATATGGGTCAGTGGCATTAAGTACATTCACATTGTTGTGCAACTTTCACCATCATCCATCTCTAGATCTTTTCATCTTCCCAAACTGAAACTCTGTACCCATTAAACAATTCCCCAGTCCCCTCCCCCAGCCCCTGGCATCTACCATTTTACTTGCTATCTCTATGAATTTGACTACTGTAGGGACCTCATGTAAGTGGAATCCTGTATTTGTCTCTCTGGTAGTTTTTGACTGTCTGTCCTCAACAGTCCCTGGGAAGGGGAACCCAACCTGAGAAGCTCATGACTCCCCCTGTAGAAGGTGCTGGGCCTACCCTGCTTATGGGAGGGTATTGCTGAGGAGCCTGTCTTAGCCTCACAGTGACTGCCCTATAATTGCCTAGTGAACAGGACCAAGTAGGCTTTTCCTCTTTTCTCTCACTGTCACACTCTCGAGAAATTTCCTGGCCTTCTTTGTTCAGCCACAATGTCCCCTCTGTCACTGCCCAGGACCTCATGGCTATAGCTAAGCCTCCTTCATTCCCTTCAACCAGTTTGTTGTTTAAAACTAGTTTGTTTGTTTTTTTGTTTTGTTTTTTGAGACAGACTCTCATTCTGTTGTCCAGGCTGGAGTGCAGTGGCGTGATCTTGGCTCACTGCAACCTCTGCCTTCCAGTTGCAAGAGATTCTCGTGCCTCAGCCTACCAAGTAGCTGGGATTACAGGCACTTGCCACCATACCTGGCTAATTTTTTGTATGTTTAGTAGAGACAGGGTTTCGCCATGTTGGCCAGGTTGGTCTCAAAACTCCTGGCCTCAAGTGATCTGCCTGCCTTGGCATCCCAAAGTTCTGGGATTACAGGTGTGAGCCACCGCACCCGGTCTTAAAACTCGCTTTTTATTCATTTCTTCATTCATTTGTTCAATGATTCATACATTCAGCAAATATTTATTCCACAGTAACCCAGCAATAGAGGAAATCCCTCTCCCTTGAGCTCCCAGAATGGTTCATTCAGCTGTGAATTGAGTATCACATTATCATATTTTATTATATGATAGTGGTTTACATTATCTTCTTCCACTGAACTTCTTTTTTTCTTTTTTTTTTCTGAGACAGAGTCTCACTCTGTCACCCAGGCTGGAGTGCAATGGCGCGATCTCGGCTCACTTACAACCTCTGCCTCCTGGGTTCAAGTGATTCTCCTGCCTCACCCTCCTGAGCAGCTGGGACTACAGGCTCCCGCCACCATGTCTGGCTAATTTTGTATTTTTAGTAGAGACAAGGTTTCACCATATTGGCCAGGTTGGTCTCGAACTCCTGACCTTGTGATCCGCCCACCTCAGCCCCGAAGTGCTGGGATTACAGGCGTGAGCCACCACACCTGGTCTGAAAACTTCTTTTAGGCAAAAATGCCCCGTGTGGGAAGTCAGAGGAGGCTTCACAGAGAAGGTGACATTTGAACTCAGCCTTGAAGGGTGTCTAGGCAGAGGTATAGAGGGAAGGGCATTCCGGCAGGACAACAGCATGTATAAAATCACATATTCTGAAAGTGCATGCTGGGGTGTGGGGTGTGATGAAGCAGAAAATGAGACAAAAAGCTGGGCAGAGCCAAACTGAGCCATGCCTCATACATTAGGCTAAGAATCACTGTGCGAACTGTGGAAGGACATCTATCAGACTGTGTGTTTGAAAGCTCTCTCTCGGGCTGGGTACTATGGCTCATGCTTGTAATCCTAGCACTCAGGGAGGCCAAGGTGGGTGGATTGCTTGAGTCTACGAGTTCCAGACCAGCCTGGGCAACACAGCACAACCCTATCTCTATAAAAAATACAAAAAATTAGCTGGACGTGGTGGCACATGCCTGTAGTTCCATCTACTCAGGAGGCTGAGATGGGAGGATCACCTAAGCCCAGGAGGTTGAAGCCAAAGTGAGCTGTCATGATGCCACTGAGCTGCAGCCTGGGTGACAGAGTGAGACCTGTCTCAAAAGAAAAAAAGCAAGTTCCCTCTCAGCCACAGTGGGAAAGATGGGGGCAAGGAGAGTGCCTGGAGGTAAGGCAACTGGTGAACAAGAGGCTGTACATGCAGATGACAGCTAGGCCATCCTCATACCCATGAGGGTGGCTAAAATAAGAACACAGATAATAGCAAGTGTTGACAGGAGGTGGAGAATGTCCACACAAAACCTTGTATCTGAATGTCCATAGCAGCACTATTCATAATGATGAAAAAGTGGAAACAACCCCAATGTCCATCAACTGATGAATGGACAAATTGTATATCCATACAATGAAATACTATTTGACCATACAAAGGAATGAAGTACTGACACATGCTACAACATGGATGAACCTTGAGAACATTAAGTGAAAGAAGTCAGATACAAAAGAGCACATATTATGATTCTGCTTATGAGAAATGTCTGGAAAAGGCAAATTCATGGAGACAGAAAGTAGATTAGTAGTTGCCTAGGGCTGAGTGGAGAGATGGGGGAATGAAGAGTGACTGCTGAGTATGGGGTTTCTTTTTAGGGGTGATGAAAATATTCTTGAATTACATTGCTGTGCAACTCTATGGATATAATTTTAAAAAACTACTGAATTATATCCTTTAAAGGATGAGTATTATGGTTTGTGAATTATATCTCGATAAAACTATACTTTTAAAAACTGGTGTCAAGGGAGAAAAATGACAGTGAAGCCTAAGCTAGGGCTCTGGGTGCTGGTCCTCCTTGACACCTCTGGGCCAAAGCAGCCTGGTGGCACCAGCACTACAAACTGAGTGCTGATCAGCTATGCAGAATCTTCAGCAGTTGGGTGGCCCAGTGCAGTGCAGTGGAAGGTACAGTATCTAGAGTCACAGGAATCTGTGTCAAAGCCCCTGCCCAGCCTCTGACTTGAAAATGTTTAGCAAGTCACTTTTTACTAATCTTTATGTTCTCCATCTGCAAAATAAAAGGCTGACATGAGAACAGCCTCTATTCCCCCAGGAATGGAGCACGGTGGAGGAAAGTGTTAGTTGAAATAAGAGTAGAGAGAGTGTCCAGGGTCCACCATCCTGGGTCACATGGGGTGAAGGGGCAGGTCAGTGGCAGCAGAGGGCTGTGAAGAAGGGCTGTGGGCACTGGAGTGATAAGGGTGGTTATGGGGGTGATAAGTGTATGTTTAACTTTATAAGAAGCCATCAAATTGTTTCCCAAAGTGGCTGCACCATTTTATCTTCCCACCAGCAATGTATGAGTGCCAGCTTCTCCACATTCTCCTCAACACTTGGTGTTGTCAGTCTTTTTAACTTTAGCTATTGGTAGATGTACAGGGGTACCTAGTAGTTTTAATTTGCATTTCCCTAATGACTAATGATAAATATTTTCATGTGCTTATTAGAGCATACAATTTTGATGAAAGATCCTGTTGCTTTAAAAAAAAAAAAAAAGGTTGAAACCCACTGGCTTAAGTAAACTGTGAGGCTCTGTAATCTATAAATCTTTTAGTGTGGCCCAGGGTCCATCTTCTTTTCTGAAACAAAGCATTCTTTTTTTTTTTTTTTTTTTTTTTTTTTTTTTCAGATAGAGTCTTGCTCTGTTGCCCAGGCTGGAGTGCAGTGGCATGATCGTGGCTCATTCTGCTCCCGGGTTCAAGCAATTATCTGCCTCAGCCGCCCAAGTAGCTGGGATTACAGGCGCCCACCACCACGCCCAGCTAATTTTTTGTATTTTTAGTAGAGATGGGGTTTCATCATCTTGGCCAGGCTGAACTCCTGACCTCGTGATCCACCCGCTCAGCCTCCCAAAGTGCTGGGATTACAGGTGTGAGCCACCACGATGGAGTTTCGCTCTGTCGCTCAGGCTGGAGTGCAAGTGGTGCAATCTCAGCTCACCGCAACCTCCGCCTCCCGGGTTCAATCGATTCTCCTGCCTCAACCTCCTCAGTAGCTGGGACTACAGGTGTGCACCAACACACCTAGCTAATTTTTGTATATTTAGTAGAGATGGGGTTTCACCATGTTGACCAGGCTGGTCTCAAACTCCCGACCTCAGGTGATCCAGACGCTTTGGCCTCCCAAAGTGCTGGGATTACAGGCGTGAGCCACTGTGCCTAGCCCAAAGCACTCTCCTGAATGTAGGTAAATCACACAGTATAAGCACTGTGCTCTGTATGAGGGTGAGAGATGAAGCCAATAAACATTTCTTGATTATCTACAGGGCTATAATCCCAAATCTGAAATTCTGAAATCCAAGTAACTCTGAAAACCAAATGTTTTTTCTTGGTTGGCACCAAAAGCCATTGGTAGCAAAACCTGACCTGATTTTTTTTTTTTTTTTCTGCAGAAGGACCCTCTATTGTCCCAGGCCTGTGTTGGCTGCCTGGAGGCCTTGCTTGACTACCTGGATGCCCGGAGCCCAGACATTGGTAGAAACTCTCCACATTATCTGATGTTCCCATGAGAGAGATTAGAGGGAGCAACACCCTTCCACCCTCCTGCTCCAGCCTTCCATTCCCTTGTGTGACTCATACTTGTTTTGTTTAATTCTTTTAGCAGCACTGCAAGGGCAGTCATGCCCATTATACAGATGGGATCAATAAGGTTCAGATAGGTCAAATGATGTGCCCAACCAAGGTCACAATGCTCTTAAGTGGCAGAGCCCTTCTTACTGCCTGCCTTCCACAATCATGGCGTATATAGTTTCACCGAGCCAGTCAACATAAGTGGATTAGAAGCCCAGGGAAGAAAGAACCCTCCTTGGGTCAGCTTGTTCAGTGCCCTGTCTCTAACTGGGTAGCCCCTTTTTAAGCCAATAGGAGAAGGTCCTCTTGAGCAATGTCCCAAGGCAAGGTCTTGGAAGCATTAACAACCCAGTGTTTCTTGAAGCTCTCCACGTGGCCTCCCAGCCTTGGAATCGGTTTTTGCTGTTTACCCTCTTGGATGCTGGAGAGAATTCCTTCCTCAGACCTGAGATTTTGAGGCTCATGACCCTGGTAAGTGCAGAAAGGATATCTTGTGGTCTGAGGAGTGTCATGAGCTGGGTGGTGCTGAAGAGGCCAGGGTCTCCTTACTTTAGGTAACCCTAATCCTTAAAGAAGGTGGAAGGGCTCGGCAGGCCTTCACCCTACAAGAGACTTGCTGAAAGAATTCCTCTGAATGCCCATATCTCCTCACTCCAGGGGACTCCGACACCCTTTCCCCTATTTCTCTCATGACATGTTGACCAGGGCCTGTCTACCACATGCCAGGTCTGCTAGATACTAAGGATATCAATGAACCAGATACTCTGCCTTTAGGGTCCCTCAGTCTAAAGAGGACGACAGACAAGTAAACTAGTAATGTAAATATGATGCTACAAGTGGTAGAGTAGAGGAGATGCTAACTGTGGGGCACACAGTAAGTGCCCCTTGAATAAATAACAAAGCAGCAGGCCTAAGAATGACAGCGAAGTGGATCATCAACAAGTACATCAGTGGTTGGTGTAGGAACAAAGAGGAAAGAGTAATTGCTTCTCAGCAGTGAAGGTAACATTTTAGCTGTGGCTTGAGAGATTAATAGGCAGAGAGGAGGAAAGGTATTCCAGGTAGTGAAGTACAAACAACAGGTACAAGAGCACATGGTGGTATGTCAGGGGAGCCACACGTAGTTCATTTTGGCCATGAGTGTTCAGTGCAAGGTTGGGTAGGAGGGAGCCAAGGCCAAAGGGGTCAGGAGGGCCAGCTCTCTCAGGATCTCACAGGTTGCCTTACTTACCCCACTTCCCCATGACACAGTCCCACCTCTGCCCACTAACTCTGAGCTCCTTGAAGGCAGGCAGGTTCTGTGGGCTTCAGGACAGTGTCTCCTAAAGTTGGGGCACAGCAGTTGTCTATGATGAAGGAGATGCCAAATCACTGGGTGTTTGGGGGTTTCTCTTCCTGGGCCAGTTTATGCGGTACCGGAGTAGCAGTGTCCTCTCTCATGAAGAGGTGGGTGATGTTCTGCAAGGTGTGGCTTTGGCTGACCTGTCTACCCTCTCGAACACCACACTCCAGGCCCTGCATGGCTTCTTCCAGCAGGTGGGTGGGAAGGGGAGGCCATGCAGCCACTGTAAAGCTAGACCCTCAACACCATCTTCTCTTGGAGGGTGGGAGCTCTGGCCACAGCAACCAAGGAATGGGAGGAGGGAAGTACAGAGGATGGAGGCAGTTAGGGCCTGTGTGGAATGGGCACTGAGGAGGCCTGTCTTCCCTGCCCTCTTCTCCCTGCAGCTCCAGAGCATGGGACACCTGGCTGACCACAGCATGGCCCAGACCCTGCAGGCCTCCTTGGAGGGCCTTCCCCCTAGCACCTCCTCAGGCCAGCCACCCCTGCAGGACATGCTGTATCCTTTCTTGCATCTATGATGAAGGAGATGCCAAATCACTGGGTGTTTGGGGCTTCTCTTCCTGGGCCAGTTTATGCGGTACCGGAGTAGCAGTGTCCTCTCTCATGAAGAGGTGGGTGATGTTCTGCAAGGTGTGGCTTTGGCTGACCTGTCTTGGCCTGGGCAAGCTCTCCCAGGCCATAAGAAGCTGTGGCATCATGCTTCAGGACCTAGGTGCACTAGTCTTCTAAAGTAAGCAGGGGTCAATTAACAGTGTTGACAACAACAATGCCGTGTCCTGTTAATATTAAGTTCCTACAGAAAGCAGGCACATTACATGCATTTTACATATATATATATTTATTTATTCATTTTTGAGATGGAGTCTTGCTCCGTCGCCCAGGCTGGAGTGCAGTGGCACGATCTTGGCTCACTGTAACCTCCGCCTCCCAGGCTCAAGCGATTCTCCTGCCTCAGCCTCCCGAGTAGCTGGGACTACAGGTGCCTGCCACCACGCCCAGGTTTTTTTTTTTTTTTTCTATTTTTAGTAGAGACAGGGTTTCACCATATTGGACAGGCTGGTCTCGAACTCCTGACCTTGCGATCTGCCCCCCTCGGCCTCCCAAAGTGCTGGGATTACAGGCATGAGCCACCATGCCCGGCTACATGCATTATATTTAATCCTCACATCAGCTAGGAGTGTTAAGGTACTTGTAGTACAGGTTGAGCATCCCTAATACAAAAATTAGAAATCCAAAGTGCTCCAAAATCTGAAACTTTTTGAGTGCTGATGTGATGCTACAGGTGGAAAATTCCATACCTGACTTCACATGATGAGTTGCAGTCAAAATGTAGCCAAAACTTTGTTTCATGAATAGGCCAAGTGCGGTGGCTCACGCCTGAGGCCAGGAGTTTGAGACCAGTCTGGCCAACATGGTGAAACCTCATCTCTATGAAAAATACCAAAATTAGCTGGGTGTGGTGGCATGTGCCTGTAGTCCTAGCTACTCGGGAGGCTGAGGCACAAGAATCGCTTGAATCGGGGATGCGGAGGGCAGTGAGCCAAGATCACACCACTGTACTGCACCCTGGGCGACAAAACATGACTCTGTCCCAGAAAAAAAACAAAAAATTTTGTTTCATGAATAAAATTATATTTTTTACATTCTTTTTATTTATTTTTTTTAAGACAGTGTCTTGCTTTGTCACCCAGGCTGGAGTGCACTGGTGTGAACATAGCTCACTGTAGCCTTCACCTCCTGGGCCCAAGGGATCCTCCCGCCTCAGCCCTCCGAGTAGCTGAGACTACAGGTGCACACCAGCATGCCTGGCTAATTTTTGTAGATACAGGGTTTCACCATGTTGCCCAGGCTTGTCTCAAACTCCTGAGCTCAGGTGATCTGCCTGCCTTGGCCTCCCAAGTGCTGGGATTACAGGCATGAGCCACTGTGCCTGGCCCATGAACAAAATTATTTAAAACTGCATAAAATTACCTTCAGGTGGCCAGACGCGTGGCTCACGCCTGTAATCCTAGCACTTTGGGAGGCCAAGGTGGGTGGATCATCTGAGGTCAGGAGTTCAAGACCAGCCTGGCCAACATGGTGAAACCCTGTCTCTACTAAAAATACAAAAATTAGTCGGCTGTGGTGGCACACGTCTGTGATCCCAGCTACTTAGGAGGTTGAGACAGGAGAACTGCTTGAACTTGGGCGGCAGAGGTTGCAGTCAGCTAAGATTGCACCACTGCACTCCAGCCAGGGCGACAGAGCAAGACTCCGTCTCAAAAAAATAAAAAATTACCTTCTGGCTATGTGTACAAGGTGTATATAAAACAAATGAATTTTGTGTTTAGACTTGGGTCCCATCCCCAACATATCTCATTATTATAGGCAAATATTACAAAATTCGAAAAAAAATCTGAAATACAAAACACTTCTGGTCCCAAGAATTTTGGATAAGGGATACTCAACCTGTACCTACCTCCTAGGGTTGTAGCAAGGACTTAAATGAGTTAATATATGTAAAGCACCAAAAACAGCTCCTGGCTTGGTGTGAATGTTATATTGGTGTCTGTTATTATTCCTACTCCCTTTCCAAATAACGAAACTGAGGCCAGAGACATTCAGTCGTGCCCAGAATCACAGAGCTAGTGATACAATCAGGATTTGACCTCAGATTTGCCTGTCTCCAAAGCTACATCACCGAACTCAGAAAGGAGCTAGTCCTTCCCCCATGAGCTTTGGAGACAGTTGTCCAAGCGCAGTTGGTTCAAGTGATCCTCAGCCCAACACACACACACACACACACACACACACACACACACACACACACACACACACACATAGTGTGTGTCTCTGTGACTGCCATGTTCTTAAGAAAGCTTGGATGGCCAGGTGCACACACACACACACACACACAATGTGTGTGTGTCTGTGTGACTTCCATGTTCTTAAGAAAGCTTGGATGGCCGGGTGCAGTGGCTCACGCCTGTAATCCCAGCACTTTGGGAGGCCAAGGTGGGCAGATCACCTGAGCTCAGGAGTTTGAGACCAGCCTGGCCAACATGGTGAAACCCCATCTCTACTAAAAAATACAAAAATTAGCTGGGCGTGGTAGCATGAGCCTGTAATCCCAGCTACCCAGGAGGCTGAGGCAGGAGAATCACTGGAACCTGGGAGGCAGAGGCTGCAGTGAGCCAAGATCGCGCCACTGTACTCCAGCCTGGGCAACAGACCAAGACTCCGTCTCAAAAAAAAAGAAAGCTTGGGGGCCGGGCGCAGTGGCTCACACTGTAATCCCAGCCAAGGTGAGTGGATCACTTGAGGTCAGGAGTTCTGAGACGAGCCTGGCCTACATGGTAAAACCCCATCTCTACTAAAAATACAAAAATTAGCCGGGCATGGTGGTGCATGCCTGTAATCCAAGCTACTTGGGAGGATGAGGCAGGACAATCACTTGAACCTGGGAGGTGGAGATTGCAGTGACCAGAGAGCCGAGATTGTGCCACTGCACACTCCAGCCTGGGTGGCAGAGTGAGACTATGTCTCAAAAAAAAAAAAAAAAAGCAAGCTTGGGGCTGTGGCAGTGGTCAGAGACCCTCTGGTAGGTGGCTGGTTGCACCCAGAGACACTGCAGTCCAGAGATACTGCAGTCCAGAGGTGTGTGTGAGGGTAGTTTGCTTCCTCTGCACCCCTCTGGCTGCCTCCCTGGCTCTCTTCCTTGCCCCTTCCGTGCAATAGTTCCCTGTTGAATAGCAACTACCTAGCCCAGGTGTTCAGGACCCAATTTCAGAATCCATCCCACTATTCTCAGGAGCACTTCTGTTCTTGCCTGACCATTCTTGACTGTTTTGGGCTCTGGAAGTGTGATGCCCCCATGGTTGGCCCCACTTCTCTGCTGTTTTCCTCTCATGTTTTGCTGCCAGCTGCCTGGGAGGGGTGGCTGTATCCCTGTCCCACATCAGAAACTGATCCTCAGGACTTGAAGGCCCAGAAGTGGAGAGAGAATGAGACCTGGAGACAAAGGGCATAATTGTTGGGGAAATGGATGACAGCTGAAGCTATTCATATGGAGCCATATACTCTATTGTTGAAATAGAATAAGGAAATAAAATGATACACTCACATACCTGCGCGAGCTCTCCAAAAACACTGTACTACCTTGTCTACCAGGAGCTGGTTTCTCAGCCAGTTGGATAAGGGATTGTTTCAGCAAGGAGACTGATGGCCTCCTCAGGGAAGGAGGGACGGGACAGGATTTGTTCTTGTAACAGCATTCAAGGAGTCAGCTGGGTGCCTCAGCTGTACTCAGAGAACACCAGTCAGGCCATCCTGGGGCTGGCAGGGCAGAGAAAGGCCTAGGGGTTGGGGCTGCTGCGATTCAACAGCTCCCAGAGGCACTTGACCTGCTCCCTCGCCTCACGTGGAGGTGGATAGAGGTAAACTTTCCAGGCAAGGAGGGTCAAATTCTCAGCTTTCCTATCAGAACGAAACTGTCCCAGCCTCAGCCCTTGTCTGGCTAAAGTAGGTCACCTCTGTCCCTTCCCGTACAGCCGTCATCAGAACTGGTGTTTATGCACCCTCGTGGGTAGATCCTGGGAATGCATGTCCAGCTTGGTCCCCGGCATGAGGTCTGCGCTCGACAGTGCCTGCCCTGCGCCTGTTCTGGGGAGCTCAGCCCAGACCGGGCCTCCAGCTCCCTTCCCGCCCGGCAGGGGCCCCGGGCCCGGAGATGGCCACGCCACGCTGCCTTCTCGGGTCTGACTGTCCTGATCCTGCGCAAAAGTGGGGCTGCACTCGGCCTAACGAACGGACGAGGAAGCCCCCGCCGCACTTGGCTTATTAGTTGGTGGACCGGAGGGGCAAGGAGGGGATGCCCGAATCCTGCACTGAGTCTCTGAGGTCCTTAAAGAAGAACAAAAGTGCTAGTCACCGCCCACTAAACTCACGTTGCGATCTAAAGTTTAAAAACTCGGCCACAGACGACGACACAGTTTCAGGGAGGGCGCGCAGAAGGTCGCCCGGCCGACAGGAGCTGGGACCCCAGTTTGCTGATTCACGCCTTAAATTGGGCACAGACCCCACCCACAGATTTAACTTCCTCCAACACAAGCTAAATCCAGGGCCACGTACCCAGGGCCCGCAGGAGGGACAGGACGAGGATGGTGCCCACAGCGCGCTGGAGGCACGCCAGAGCCTGGAGGGGCAGGCAGGGGCGGTGGAGCGGGGCCGGAAGTGAGGCTAGCGGAGCCCCGCAGTGGCGGCTCGCGCTCATTGGCCGGGAGCAGCGCGGTGGGCGGGACGGAGCTCGGCGGTCTGCGCTCGGTTGCTAGCCGTTTGCTCCCGCTTTCAGTTGCTTTGCTGTTAGCCTGTTGGACCTTCGAGCCTAGCTGCTCGCACAGGACTCGGCCACCTGCCCTTCCTGCACCGACTGGCCAGGTAGGTGGCTGTAGGGGCCGCGGGCTGCAGGTTCCCGGGAAGGATAATGAGAGAACCGAGGGCCTCGAACCGGCTGCAGGTGGTGGGGAGGGAGTTTCGTGGACCTGGACGCCTCTGTTCCTTGAGAAGGCTCGCTCCCTCCTCCGGGAGCTCCGAAGGCTCGGGGTCAACCACCTGGGCCCCCGACCCCGGTAGCTGGCTCAAGGCCCGCCACTACCTGGTACCTCTGCAGGAGTTCAGAGCCTCATGCTGAGCCAGGAGGAGCTCCGGGTGACGCATACGGCAGGATCGGGATTGAGAGGCTGAAAAAGTGAGTTTAACAGTAGAGAAAGCAGGACCTGTCCCGCAGGCTGCTGTTCTGGCTTTTCTTTCCCACTACCTGCTTCAGTCATTGCCAGCTGTCTGGTATTCTCCTTGGCCCCTAAAGTTTTGCCCTAGCCTGGTTCTGGTTCCCTTGAGTTTGGAGCAGGAGGTGGAATGTGGAGGGTCCTGGGTGAACTTGGACTATTCCTTCTCTAGGTTTCACTTATCTCGTCTGCTTGGGGGTAGGGGGTTCTCCGGATGATCTCTGCAGCCCCTCACTGTCTGTAACTGAGCATCTCTCCCCTGGGGCAGGTGTCCTGGTAGTTCAGTAGCCAGCTCTGATCTCAGGTAGCCTGTGCTCATTTACAAAGAGTCAGAAGACAGAGCACTGGACTTAGAGCCAAACAGACACTTGGTTCAGCCTGGGAATAGCTGTGTGACTTTGGGCAGTCACCTCATTTTTCTGTGCCTTGATTTCACATTGGTAACATTGGGGAGTTGTAATCTGAGTGTGAGACCTCTCCTGACCACTTTATGTAATCTTGTACCTGACCGACACCCTCTCATCCCTCTGTGCTTATTTTACAAGTTTATTGATCAACTCTTATCCCTACTAGAGACAAGTACCATGAGTGCAGAGATTTTTGCTTATTTATTGCTGTATTCCCGCCTCTAGAACAGTGCCTAGAGTGTGGTAGGTACTGTCAACCTAAATAGCAGAGTGAGAGACTCTAAAAAAATGATGTTTACTTGGGAATAGACATTGTAGTGACAATATGTGTGCCATAGTAACCTGTGTACGTATTTGGGGAGGTAAAGGAAGACAAAGGTTTTGAAAAGGAAAAATGAGGATTACATGATTATTTTGAGATAGTTATCCTTGGCTACAAGGATGAATAGCAAGAGTGGTGCTAGTCTGAGGTTGGACAGGCAGTTGCAGGGCAGATGTCCTCACAGAAAGATTTTTCTGTGTAAGTTTGCAGTGGCCTTTGTGCAGGGTTGTGGTTTTTGCATTTTTTGTGATCTTGTTATCAGTCATTTGTGCATAAGAACCCTCTTTTCACAACCTTCCTCGGTTTTATTTGTCAGAGTTGTTGTTCTTGTTTTTTCCCATTGGAGAATCATGCTTTAAATTTGTCAGAGTTTTTAACACAAACGACTCTGTTTTGATTCTAACAACTTTCATATTTCCCCCTTTTGGTCAAGATCTTTCTCCAAAAACTTTACTGATCAGTCATCCTGTAGTTAGGTCCCTCAGTGCTGGGACGGACCTATCTTGGGTTGTTGGTCTCTTGCCATGTTGGAGACTAGGAGTCTCCAGTTGGAGACTGGTGACTAGGAGTCAGTGTCAAAACCCTTGTAGTGGTTGGGAGCAGGGGCTCACGTCTGTAATCCCAGTACTTTGGGAGGTCAAGGAGGGAGTATCACTTGAGTCCAGAAGTTCAAGACCAGCCTGGGCAACCGCCAAGGCGGGCGGATCACCTGAGGTTGAGAGTTCGAGACCAGCCTGACCAACATGAAGAAACCCGTCTCTACTAAAATACAAAAATATATATAAATAACATCCGGGCGCGGTGGCTCACACCTGTAATCCCAGCGCTTTGGGAGGCCGAGGCAGGCGGATCATGAGGTGAGGAGATCGAGACCATCCTGGCTAACACGGTGAAACCCCATCTCAACTAAAAATACAAAAAATTAGCCGGGCGTGGTGGCAGGTGCCTGTAGTCCCAGCTACTTGGGAGGCTGAGGCAGGAGAATGGCGTGAACCCAGGAGGCAGAGCTTGCAGTGAACCGAGATCGCACCACTGCACTCCAGCCTGGGCGACAGAGCAAGACTCTGTCTCAAAAAAATAAAAAATAAAAAAATAAAAAATAAATAAAATAAAATACAAAAATTAGCCGGGCGTGGTGGCACATGCCTGTAATCCCAGCTACTAGGGAGGCTGAGGCAGGAGAATCGCTTGAACCTGGGAAGTGGAGGTTGCGGTGAGCCGAGATCGCACCATTGCACTCCAGCCTGGGCAACAAGAGCGAAACTCCGTCTCAAAAAAAAAAAGTTATCTGGGCATTGGTTGGGGAGTGTGCGGGAGTCAGTTGGGTAGAGGATCACTTAAGCCCAGGAGTTTCAGGTTATAGGGAGCTATGATTGTACCGCTGCACTCCAGCGTGGGTGACAGAGCGAGACCCTGCCTCAAAAAACCCCAAATACCTTTTAGCCACATTTGAGCAGCAAGGGAGGTTTGGAAGGAGTGGCTCTCAAGGTATGTCTACCTGGAGTTCATTGTTAAGTTCAATTTTGGCTGTTCCATAGGCATTTGCTGTCATTGCAAACTTCTGGGCCAGCATTATTCTGTCAGGAGTGATACTTCAACAAAAATTTAAAAAGTAATAGGTATAAAGTTTAAAAAGAAAATAGGGCTGGGCACGATAGCTCACCCCTGTAATCCTGGCACTTTGGGAGGCCAAGATGGCCAGATTGCTTGAACCCAGGAGTTCGAGACCAGCCTGGCCAAGATCATGAAACCTCGTCTCTACAAAAAATACAAAAATTAGCCAGGCATGGTGATGCACACCTGTAATCCCAGCTACTCGGGAGGCTGAGGCAGGAGAATCACTTGAACCCGGGAGGCAGAGGTTACAGTGAGCCAAGATGGTGCCACTGCACTCCAGCTCGGGCTACAGAGTGAGACTCTGTCTCCAAAAATAATGTAAAATAAATAAATAGGAAAATAGGAAGTAATAGCAATGTGATAATCTCAGTTTGCATAATAGTTCTGAGAGGCCCACCGTGGTGGCTCACGCCTGTAATCCCAGCACTTTGGGAGGCTGAGACGGGCGGATCACGAGGGCAGGAGATGGAGACCATCCTGGCTAACATGGTGAAACCCCGTCTCTACAAAAAATACAAAAAAAATTACCCGGGCGTGGTGGCGGGCACCTGTAGTCCTAGTTACTCGGGAGGCTGAGGCAGGAAAATGGCGTGAACCTGGAAGGTGGAGCTTTCATTGAGCCGAGATTGCACCACTGCACTCCAGCCTGGACGACAGAGCCAGACTCCTACTCAAAAAAAAAGAAACGAGTAAGAGTCTCAAAATGATATGGAATCTTGTTCCAGTGTCTTCGGAAAAGCTATCTACAGTATGAAACCATCAACTTCTTATCCTGGTTTGCAGTTTGAATGTCTCTGGTTATGGCATTGGGATGTTTGGTGAACTTCCTGTGTGACCCATACATTAGGCACAAGGCTTGTACCTTAAAGTTCATCTAGTTTCAACTTACAGGGCTTCAGGAACAGAGCAGTGCCAATTTTTAATAATTTCATGAAAGAAAGTTAGATTGGAGGAATCTAGAATTCAGGAGCTAGTCCAGTATACAAGTAGATAATGAGAACTCAAAAACAATGCACAGGGCTGCAGTCTAATAACAGATGTACTATAGCTTTTTTTAGAAACAAAATTTTCTCTTTACAGTGATCACATAGGAATAACAGATTTAAAAACCATTTAAGGCTAGGAAGCAAAACCAAGGCAGACTTTAGATTTTACTTAACAGTCTTAAGGTTCCTGGGCCTGCCAGGAAGTGACAGATTTTACTCATTCACTGTAAGGCTGGGAATCTTTGAAGGCAGGCTTTCTATGTACATTCTCAAGTATGATATTCTAGTTAAAGCCCTGGTAATATAAGCAATATTTGTTGTATTCTGTTATAAGAGAGAACAGGCTGGGCACAGTGGCTCACGCCTGTAATCTCAGTACATTGGGAGCCCAAAGTGGGCAGATCGCTTAAGGCCAGGAGTTCGAGACCAGCCTGGCCAACATGGTGAAACGCTGTCTCTACTAAAAATACAAAAATTAGTCAGACATGGTAGTGCTCGCCTGTGATCCCAGTTACTGGGGAGGCTGAGGCGCAAGAATCACTTGAACCTGGGAGGTGGAGGTTGCAAGATCTGAGATCGTGCCACTGCACTCCAGCCTGAGCAACAGAGTGAGACTCTGTCTCAAAATAAAAAAAAAAGAGAGAGAGCAAAGTCTTACTGGACTTTTGCAAATAACCACATTGCCGTAAGAATACTCATGAATAGACCAGCATGGTGGCTCACGCCTGTAATCCTTTCACTGTGGGAGGCCATGGCAGCCTGATCACTTGAACCCAGGAGTTCAAGATCAACCTGGGAAACATGCCCAAACCCCATCTCTACTAAAAAATACAAAAATTAGCTGGGTGTGGTGGTGCATGCCTGTACTCCCAGGCCCTTGGGAGACTGAGGAAGGAGAATTGATTGAGCCTGGGAGGTCAAGGCTACAGTGAGCCATGATTATACCACTGTACTCCAGAGGGAGACCCTGTCTAAAAAATAAAAAATAAAATAAAAAAAAGAATACTTTTCTTGAATAGTTTTCAAATTTTAGATGGGTTAAATAGGGAGAAAAAGTAAATGTTTCCACCTCTCTTTACAAAAGTATTTCTTATGGAATTGCTGTAAACTATAGATAGCTTAAGAGAAAAAGTTTCCTTAAATTTAGAAAACAAAACAAGTAAAGAACCAATAATATTCCAAATATATGTCATAAACACATTACTCTGGCAGGGTGGCTCATGCCTGTAATCTCAGCACTTTGGGAGGCCAAGGCAGGAGGATTGCTTGAGCTCAGGAGTTTGAGACCAGCCTAGGCAATATAGCAAGATCCTACCTCTACAAAAAGATTTTAAAAATTATAATAGCTGGGCATGGTGACATGTGCTGGTAGTCTCAGCTACACAGGATGTTGAGGTAGGAGGCTTGTTTAAGCCCAAGAGGTTGAGGCTGCAGTGAGCCTGGATGACAGAGTGAGACCCTGTCTCAAAAATAAATAAATAAATACAGAAAAGAAAAGAAAATTATCTTCATCAGTTTTTAATTGAGTTCTGTTTGATTTTGATTAGAGATTTCAGGAATTCATCAGTTTCTTCATTAGAGTTCTGAAAATTCTTTATTTAGTCCATAGATCTTAAAGTTTTTAAGTTTTTAGAAACTTGTATTTAAGATTACTTGTTAGAGTCTTCTTATGAATCTGATTGCAAATGCTCTTAGAGAAGAATCAGAACCACAGATGACAAAGACTTGGAACAACCATGGTTGAAAATCTTTTTTTTTTAGGCGACTAATTTTTTTTTTTTTTTTTTTTTTGATTCGCAGTCTCGCTCTGTTGCCCAGGCTGGAGTGCAGTGGTGCGATCTCGGCTCACTGCAACCTCTGCCTCCTGGGTACAAGCGATTCTCCTGCCTCAGCCTCCCAAGTAGCTGAGATTACAGGCACATGCCTCCACGCCCGGCTAATTTTTTTTGTATTTTTAGTAGAGACGGGGTTTCACTGTGTTAGCCAGGATGGTCTTGATCTCCTGACCTTGTGATCCGCCCACCTCGGCCTCCCAAAGTGCTGGGATTACAGGCATGAGCCACCATGCCTGTCCCCATGGTTAAAAATCTAATGGAAGTTCATTATAATCAGCAGTGGACAAGGAAATTTGTCAATTTGTTATTTATGTGTCGCAAGCAATACAGAAGGTTACCAGGGTGTAAAAACAAAAAAATCTTAACCCTTTCATAGCTCAGGTTTTATGAAAAAGTTGTGAATTTCATCAGACACAGGCAGAGTGTGTCCAAGGTTATGAGTTTCCATCATATTATAGTGGAATGTAAACAAGAAAACTAGTACCAGCCAGGCACGGTGGCTCACGACTGTAATCCCAGCACTTTGGGAGGCTGAGGCGGTGGATCACCTAAGGTCAGTAGTTCAAGACCAGCCTGGCCAACATGGCAAAACCCCGTTGCTACTAAAAATACAAAAATTAGCTGTGTGTGGTGGCAGGCAACTGTAATCCCAGCTACTCGGGAGGCTGAGGCAGGGAGAATCGCTTGAACCCAGGAAGCGGAGGTTGCAGTGAGCCGAGATCGTGCCATTGCTCTCCAGACTGGGCAACAGAGCAAGACTCCGTCTCAAAAAAACAAAACAAAACAAAAACTAGTGCCTTCAACTGGGGAATACCTGGCTCTTAGTTAAAAGCATGAGAAATTTCCTGGTTAAATGGAACAATTCAGACACATCAAGAAAAGCCCGAAGTACAGAATCAAGTTATACTAGAGGAAAACATTGTTTTTCTAGGCCCTCAAGACAGAATATTTGAGTGTCAGGCCGTAACAGCAGAGTTAGAACCAGAGAAAAAAGCTATAGTAGCCGGGTGCAGTGACTCACACCTGTATCCCAGTACTTTGGGAGGCCAAGATGGGTGGATCACTTGAGCCCAGGAGTTCAAGACTAGCCTGGGCAATGTAGCAAAACCCACGTCTAAGAAAAATACAAAAAATAGCCGTGCATGGCGGCATGCACCTGTAGTGCCAGCTATTCAGGAGGCTGAGGTGGGAGGATGGCTTGAGCCTGGGAAGTGGAGGCTGCAATGAGCCATGACTGTGCCACTGCACTCCAGCCTGGGCAGCAGAGCAGGACCCTGTCTCAAAAAAAAAAAAAAAAATTACAGGAACTAACAAAAAACATTTAAGAGAATTACCACCCCAGCCAAGTGAAAAGATGCATCCTTTCAAGGGGAGAAAGAGGAAGGGTGGAAGGCAGCAATGTATGTCCTGGGAATCACCAGGAAAGTGAACTTCACAGTGCTCAATAAATAATTGTGTTGGCTGGGCATAGTGGCTCACGCCTGTAATCCCAGTATTTGGGAGGCTGGGGCGAGAGGATCTCTTGAGCTCAGGAGTTGGAGACCAGCCTGGGCAATATAGCAAGACCTCATCTCTACTAAGGAAAAAATAAATAAAAAGGGCCGGGCGCGGTGGCTCACATCTGAATCCCAGCACTTTGGGAGGACAAGGCAGGCGGATCACCTGAGGTTGGGAGTTCGAGACCAGCCTGGCCAATATGGAGAAACCCCGTCTCTACTGAAAATACAGAATTAGCTGGGCATGGTGGCGCATGCGTGTAATCCCAGCTACTCAGGAGGCCGAGGCAGGAGAATCGCTTGAACCCGGGAGGTGGAGGTTGCAGTGAGCCGAGATTGCGCCATTCCACTCCAGCCTGAGCAACAAGAGTGAAACTCCATCTTAAAAAAAAAAAATTAAATTAAAATAAATAAATAATTGTTGCATGTTGCCTGAATATGAACAGGTATTCTATGTAGTACCTATGGTTCCAAAGTGAGTGAGTAGCAAGCCCCCTTACCCCGAGACTGCCCTGCCTTCCTCCCTGCCCTTTGTCCCTTCTTACTTTCTGATGACAAAAGTCAAGGAAGGAGGAAAACTCCAGAAGTTTCATATCTTCTCTGCCTGGGCTTCCTTGACCAGATGCTTTCCTGGGAGACCAGGATAGGGGATGTGGAAGGAATACTGTTGACGAGCCCCTCCTCCCCAGGCACAGTGCCTCACCCAGACCTCCCTCCCTGCAGCAGGGAGGTGACCTCCTTATCCCTGTTCTACAGCTGAGAAGGCTGAGGCTCAGAAAGGCTGGGCAAGCTGCTCGAGGTCCCAGAGACGGGCGGGGGCAGGGCTCCAGCCTAGAGCTCTAGCCACTGACCCTGTGCTCTAAGTGTTCCTGTGTTACACACACTTATCTTTCTCCCCACCTCCTAGCATCCCACGGCTCTGTATTGTGTGCCTGCTGGCCCTGGGATAAGAGCTGCAGCTTCAGGGCTCCCCAAAGCTGGGTTCTTGGTATACAGAGGCTGCACTATGTCGGGGGAAGCTGCTGTTCACCTGTGCACTCTATTTTATGTAACACCGATCTCTGAGTCTCACTCTCTTTCTTTGGGTTATTCTTCCAGCTCAAGAGGTTTGGATATGGACCTTCTTCAATTCCTGGCCTTCCTCTTTGTCCTGCTTTTGTCTGGGATGGGAGCCACAGGCACCTTGAGGACCTCCCTGGACCCAAGCCTGGAGATCTGTATCCTTTGGGGTTGTAGTTAATGAGCTGTCTTTGAGAGGTCTATAAATGAGGTTCTTCTACTCAGGGATTCCAGGGATAAGCAGGCCCAGCTGGCGGGAACAGGGAGAAAAGGTGAGGTGCTCTAGCCAGACCTTGAGCAAGTCAGGTCTCTCCGGAGCTTCAGCTTCCGCGTATGGTAAATGGAGATGACAAGGCCCATCTCTAGACTGCAAAGGCTCAGTGAGGACTGTGCATGGCCTGGCACCTTGTGGGCAAGATCCTGGGTGGAGACTCAGGAATTCTGGATTACTGGCCCATCTGGACCCTGGTGAACTGGGCCACCTGCTCCAGGCCAGGCCTCAAGGACACGAAGATGAATTACAACAAGTCCCCTGGCTTTGAGGTGTCCATAAGCCCAGGGGGAGAAAGTATCCAAACAAATGATCATGTTACTCTGTGACCAGTGCTCTGATGGGCACAGGAGGGGTCAGGGAGAAACACTGTGTGATGGTTTTTGAGCCAGGCCTTGAAAGGAAAGAAACTCCTAGAGGAGGGTGAGGGGCATCCTGGGCAGAGAGGGTGCAGCGCGAGCAGAGAGGTGGAGGCTCTGGAACAGTAGAATGCTTGTGGAGACGGCAGGAAGACCACAGCAAAGGGAAGGCAGGAGCCAGGTCTGGAGGCTTGGTTTCAGGCTTCTGGGTGTGGAGCGCCATGGGAACTGGATGAATAGTGCGTTGCAGGTCCATGCACTTGTCAGTTTGTTCATTTCCTGGAGGCTTCTAGCCCTGGGTGTCCATGGCCCTTGCAGATACTTGCTGGTCAGGAATGAGCCTTCTGAGGCAAGACTGCTGGATTGTCCAGGCAGGGCTATTGATGCCAGCCCCTTAACTTAATTCTGCCCAGACAAGAAGATGTTTGAGGTGAAGCGGCGGGAGCAGCTGTTGGCACTGAAGAACCTGGCACAGCTGAACGACATCCACCAGCAGTACAAGATCCTTGATGTCATGCTCAAGGGGCTCTTTAAGGTGTGTGCAGGCAGGGGGCAGCTCATGGCAGGTCCAGTCTTTGATCTAGGCACTGATGGGTAAACAGGAGTTCCCTAACGGGTTGGTGTTCAGGGACAGGGGAACTGCGCACACGTAAGACTTGAAGTGGGGTTTAAATAAATGGGGATGGGAGCAGTCTGTGATGGGCACTGCGAAGCCACTCAGCCCTGGCGGGATTCCCTCAGGTGCTGGAGGACTCCCGGACAGTGCTCACCGCTGCTGATGTGCTCCCAGATGGGCCCTTCCCCCAGGACGAGAAGCTGAAGGATGGTATGGTCTGCCCTGCCCCGCCCTGTCCTCCGCACCACCCGATCTTCTCTAGCTGCTCCTTCTCTCCTGTTCTTGTCACTCTTTTTTTCTCCCCGGAAGTGCCCTCTTGTGGCACCTTCTAAGTGGTCCCCTTGGGCAGATGGGCGTTTCGTGAGTGGCCTCCCTAATTAACTGGCTACTTTTTAGCAATAGCATTTCTTTTTTTTTTTTTTTTTTTTTTTTTGAGACAGAGTCTCACTCTGTCGCCAGGCTGGAGTACAGTGGTGTGATCTCGGCTCACTGCAACCTCCACTTCCCGCGTACAAGTGATTCTCCTGCCTCAGCCTCCCAAGTAGCTGGGACTACAGGCACATGCCGCCACACCCAGCTAGTTTTTGTATTCTTAATAGAGACGAGGTTTCACCATGTTGGCCAGGATGGTCTCGATCTCTTGACCTCATGATCCGCCCACCTCGGCCTCCCAAAGCGCTGGGATTACAGGCGAGAGCCACTGCACCCGGCCACAATAGCATTTCTTAGATTACACTGAGAGGATGCGGACAGCTCTTATATATTAAATAGTAGATACTTTACAACCATGAACTCAAATCTCCACCATAACTCTGGGGGAAGACACTGTTCTCTCTACTTTCTATATGAAAGAGGACAAGTGATTTGCCTTGGCTCTTCCCTCTGAATCAGGCTGACTTCCTGAGTTCTTTGAGGTTCAAGATTATTCTGAAGCCCCGGGGTCCCTGCCTGACATGTCTCAGACCCACCCTGGCATATCTTTGGAGTCTACTTATCTTTCTGCGTGGCCTCTTAGTGCTGGTGAGGGCTGCCTGGGCCCTTTCTGACAGGCTGGCTCCAATAGGGACTGCTTAGACCTGTTTACACAGTTACACTTTTGGCTAACCTGGATCTGGGGGACTTGCTACCATGATGGACACATGTTCCTTGGTGAGCAGGTCTGTGCAAACCTACCCTCCAAGGCCAAGGGAGCTGAGAGCGCCAGTTTCTCAGAAAGAAACATTTATTAGGGACTTCTGAACAGAACCATGTCTCAGGCAGAAATGAGATGGTGGTCTCTACACCCAACCTCCAGAAAGTATTCTTTACTTGTTGTTTTGCAGACGACAATGCTTGTACAGAAACTATTCTTTTCTTTTTTTTCTTTTGAGACAGTCTTACTCCATCACCCAGGCTGGAGTGCAGTGACACAATCTCAGTTCACTGCAACCTCTGCCTCCCAGGTTCAAGTGATTCTTGTGCCTCAGCCTCCCGAGTAGCTGGAATTAGAGACATGCGCCCCCAGGCCCGGCTAATTTTTGTATTTTTAGTAGAGATGGGGTTTTGCCATGTTGGCCGGGCTGGTCTCGAACTTTTGATGTCAAGTGATCTACCCGCCATGTGGACTCCCAAAGTGCTGGGATTACAGGGGTGAGTTACCACACCCGGCCAAAAGTATTGTTTATACAGCAAGCTTTTAGGTTAAAACATGCAGCTGGTGACATCTCAGGCTTTCGTGTGAAACTTGTGACCACTGGGGAAGTTAAATAATCATCTTTTTGAGGGGTTATCTATGCTACCGGCATTGTTTAAAGACCTTGCTGCAGAATACCTTGGTGTGCACGGGTCAAACCTCAGCCATTATGGCTTCAAGATGGTGCCACGCTTGTCTTGCAGCAGGCTGTTTTCCTACAGCACACTAACAAAGCTCAGTCTAAATTGACCTGTTGACCAGTAGAAGCACATTAGTAGGAAAACAGAAAATTCAAATTAAGTCTGTTAGGTTAGTTGGTAGTATTGTATTGCTGTTAATTTCCTGGTTTAGATAGTTGTATGTTGGTTATATAAGATGACAACACTAGGCCAAGCAGGTGGCTTACTCCTGTAATCCCAGCACTTTGGGAAGCCGAGGCAGGCGGATTACTTGAGTTCGAGTTTGAGACCAGCCTGGCCAAACACGGTGAAACCCCATCTCTACCAAAAATATAAAAAAGTAGCCGGGTGTGGTGGCATGCACCTGTAATCCCAGCTACTCGGGAGGCTGAGGCAGGAGAATCACTTGAACCCGCGAGGCGGAGGTTGCAGTGAGCCAAAATCATGCCACTGCACTCCAGCCTGGACAAGAAAGCGAGACTCCGTCTCCAAAAAAAAAAAAAAAAAAAAAAGGATGGTAACATTAGAGGAAGCCAAGTGAATGAATTTTATGTTATGTTATGTTAAGTCCAAGATAATTTCAGGCCGAGTGCAGTGGCTCATGCCTATAATCCCAGAGCTTTAGAAGGCCGAGGTAGGAGGATCACTTGAGGCCAGGAGTTTGAGATCAGCCTGGGCAACAAAGTGAGACCTCACCTCTAAAGTAATTAATTAATTAATTAAATATATTCATTCATTCATTCAAAATAAGAACTTAAGCACTTAAAATGAAATAAAATGGAAAGAATATTAAAAAAGAAAAATGCTGGCCTGTTGTGTGGCCATCCTAAGATACCTGAGGTCTCACAGACACTCTAGTTGTGTTAACACCAGGGCCAGCACTGGACATTTGGATAACATGTCGGTGGGGGGGTCAAGCCCAGTAAAGTCTCATGTGATACATCAGCATCTGTGTGCAGAACAACACTCACTTCTCTGGTCCCCACAGCAAATGTGTCTTCTAAGCAGCAAGATGTGCCTTTGGGCTGACGGACCTGGGTTTGCAGCCCAGATTTGCTACTCACTAGCTGCTGAGCCTCAGTTTCCCATCTGTAAAATGGGAACAGCAGCCACATCTCCCTCTAAAAGTGGTTATGAGGACTCAGTGAGCTGGTGGATGTAAGGCCCTAGTTCGCACTGTACATGTGATTGGCAGCCTGTGGTCAGTAGGCACTGTTCCTTCCTTGCTTGGTGGGTTTGGTGGATGTCTCTGTTCTCTAGAGGATGCCAGGGGCCAGTGAGGCAGCCAGGAGAGCATCTGCCCTGGCCACTCATCAGGGTCCTCTCGCCAGCTTTCTCCCACGTGGTGGAGAACACGGCCTTCTTCGGCGATGTGGTGCTGCGCTTCCCGAGGATTGTGCACTATTACTTTGACCACAACTCCAACTGGAACCTCCTCATCCGCTGGGGTATCAGTTTCTGCAACCAGACAGGCGTCTTCAACCAGGGGCCCCACTCGCCCATCCTCAGCCTGGTAAGGACTGGGGTGGAGGTGGCCCGGGAGCCCTCTGTCGGGTAGTGGACTAGGATCCTCACATCTGCCTTCAGTTGGGCCTGAACGTCAGTGCTTGGTTACATTTTCTTTGTGGAGCTTCAGGGTATCTTGGGCCACAGAGGCCCCATTTCAAGGGATTCTGTGCTGACCCAGTTCCCATGGGATCATCATGTGGCCCACATCTGCCCAAGTCAGGAGTCTGGGTCCCAGCATGGAAGGAATGACTCTCTGGTGAGCAGGACTCAGGAGAAGGCAGATGATGACTAGTGTTTCTTCATCTGCAGATGGCCCAGGAGCTGGGGATCAGTGAGAAAGACTCCAACTTCCAGAACCCATTTAAAATCGACCGCACAGAGGTGAGCTGCCAGGGCCTATGCCTGTGTCTGCTTTGCCTCTGCTGGGCCATAGGACACCGAGGCCTGCAGGGGCTGGGGACCTTGGGTGGCTTTGGACTTGGAGCCAGGCAGCCTGGGCCTGGGTCCAGAAGATATCACTGACTCATTGGAGCCTGTGGGCAAGTCATTGCTCCCCTCTTAGCCTCAGGCTCCCTGTCTGTTCACAGCATGTGAACTCCAGTTATGGGGGGTAGTTAGGAGGCTATGAACAAACCCATCCCAGCACAAAATAGGCATCCCACTTCAGGTGGATATCAGGGTAGCTAGGGAGATCAGGCCATGCTCTTCCCTGCCTTTGAACCTCTGAGCACCAACTGGGCTTCCATCCCGCACTCCTGTACATGCTCTCATTCCAGGGGTTCCAGGGGGCTGAGGTGGGCTTTGAGAGCTGGAGACCAAGTTTGGGATAAAAGATGAGGACAGGCCGGGCACGGTGGCTCACATCTGTAATTCCAGCACTTTGGGAGGCCGAGGCGGGTGGATCACCTGAGGTCAGGAGTTCGAGACTAGCCTGGCCAATATGGTGAAACTCTGTCTTTACTAAAAATACAAAAAACTGGCCAGGCGTGGTGGTGCATGCCTGTAATCCTAGCTATTCAGGAGACTGAGGCAGGAGAATCGCTTGAACCCGGAAAGTGGAGGTTGCAGTGAGCTGAGATCGTGCCATTGCACTCCAGCCTGGGCAACATGAGTGAAACTCCGTATCAAAAAAAAAAAAGGGGGGACAGATACGATAGATGGAGGAAGGGATTGGAAGTGACAGGGCTAGGAGGGGCAGGAAGGAAGGGCTGTGGTGGCTGGAGGACTGGACTTGTCAAACCCTGGTGTCGGGAGGGGTGTTGGGTGTCTCAAGGGTCTAGGATTTAATTCTGCCTCCAGGCCAACAAGCTAGCCTGCTACTGTTTCATGGACACTGATAGGTCAGAGACATTGGACTGTATTACAGCAAAGGCACTAGCTAGACTGTTGGCCTGGTTGTGTTGGTTCATCTTGTTCCCTAACTCCCACGGAGGTGACACAGAGGGGCCAGGTGGGCGCTGTGCATGCAGGGGGTGTGCATCATAGCTGAGAACTGCCAAGCTGGAGAAATTCATGATTTTTATAGTGAACCGCAGCAAATGTGCTCTTTGGGAAGAGACATCACCACACCGTTCGAGGTTGCTCTCTGCAAACACAATCCTAAGACATGGCCCAGGTAAAGAGTGGTTAGGGCTTTGTATCTTTGGTGTGCCCTGCAAGAATATGCAGGGATGCTCAGGGCCATGATGGATTGCCACCCCAACAGTCTGCCCCAAGCCCAAGCCCTCCATGGCTTGGTTTAACTCAAATTTTCTTTTCTTTTCTTTTTTTTTTTTTTTTTTTGAGATGTAGTCTCGTTCTGTCGCCCAGGCTGGAGTACAGTGGCGCGATCTCGGCTCACTGCAAGTTCTGCCTCCTGGGTTCACGCCATTCTCCTGCCTCAGCCTCCCCAGTAGCTGGGACTACAGGCGCCCGCCACCACACCTGGCTAATTTTTTGTATTTTTAGTAGAGACGGGGTTTCACCATGTTAGCCAGGATGGTCTTGATCTCCTGACCGCGTGATCCACCCGCCTCGGCCTCCCAAAGTGCTTGGATTACAAGCGTGAGCCACCGCACCCGGCCTAACTCAAATTTTCACACGAATGTGCTATTCAGTCTGATTGATCTGACTGATAGAGGCTAGGACCAAATCTGTCAATTAGTCTCATACTTCATTTAATTAAGATTACTATCAACTATATTCTGAATAGCAGGGTAAGGCCAACCTACATTATTATTATTTTTTTTATAGACAGGGTCTTGCTCTGTCACCCAAGCTCTGTCACCCACCTAGCTTACTGTAACCTTGAACTCCTGGGCTCAAACAGACCTCCCACCTCAGCCTCCTGAGTAGCTGGGACGACAGGCCTGTGCGACACCATTCCTGGCTAATTAATTTATTATTTTTTTCAGAGACAGGTTCTTGCTGTGCTGCCTAGGGTGATCTCAAACTCCTGGGCTCAAGCCATCTTCCTGTCTCAGCCTCCCAAAGTGTTGGGATTATAGGTGTGAGTCACTGTGTCTGGCCCCTAACCTGCAATATTGAACAGGGTCCTGGACTCAACCAGCTGTGAAGGTCCTGGAGGACCAGTAAGTCTCATTTTGGATAATCAGGATATTGTCTAAGACCAATCTGTTATCCACGACCACCCACATAAGAGAGTTTAGATTGACCTGCCAATCTTTGATGTTACTGCCAATAAGTACAGGGGGCAATAGATGGACCCAAGCAACCCTCATGCCCCCATAAGGAGACATTCCATGACCCATTCTCTCCCACATGTTACGCTTGATTTGAGTCACCAGAACAATGTTTAGTTGAGCCTGAGGGCAGTGTCACTGTGGAGCTTCAGCCTCAGTTGCCTACATGGTATAATCCAAGGCTACTCAGACATCAGGAAAAGCAGATGAATTTGTATCTGTCAGGTTGAAACAAAATTGTGCTGGCTGGTGTGTCTGCACAAGGTCACTGTTGAGAACTACCTTTGATGGCATTAGACACAGCAGAATAGCTCAGTACTGACGTGTCCATGTGAGTTTTCCTATCATGTGGATGGAAATGAGACACCCAACAGTTGGCCATATTGACAGCTGCAGCTGCCACTGGGCTTGGGCAGACCCTAGGATTGTTTTGCCAGGTGGCAGTGATGGATCTAAGGGATAAAGAGAACATTAATTGTTCCCTGCACTTTCTGGGATCTAAGGTATATCCTCCCCAGGTGGCAGGATTATTGCTATAAAATCCATGTGTCCTTGGGAGACCGAGGTGGGCGGATCATGAGGTCAGGAAAATCAAGACTATCCTGGCCAACATGGTGAAACCCCGTCTCTACTAAAAATACAAAAATTATCCGGGTGTGGTGGCGCATGCCTGGAGTCCTGGCTACTCAGGAGGCTGAGGCAGGAGAATTGCTTGAACCCAGGAGGCGGAGACTGCAGTGAGCCAAGATCGCACCACTGCACTCCAGCCTGGCGACTGAGTGAGACTGTCTCACAAAAACAAAACAAAACAAAAAGCATATGTCCTATGCCAGCATCTATAGTTTCACTTTTTCTCCAGTTGTTGCCTACTATCACTTAGATCTTTCATTCAGAAATGTCAGGTATGAATGGGACCAGGGCATTTTTACAGATGTATAGAGACCTGTTATATCTCTTCTCTTTACCCACATGGGCCACTGCAGGGAAATCAGCAAGCAGGATACTCAGCCAAGTGGTCACAATCCTAACAATCTCAGGCTGTACCATTCCAACCAGAGACTCAGGTAGTTGAACCAGAAATATACAGTCCTCTGTTTTGTGCCACTCCTTGGTAGTGGGTATGTTACCATGCCAAGTAGAATGATATGTTTAGGTGGCAGTGGCAGTGATCTGGATGAAGTAGGCTTGATCAGCAGTTTGACTCCATTTGGTCTTTTCAGAGATTGAGCTTTATGATGGGCATCTAAACGAGTGAGCCAGGCTGTCTAGTTTGTCACCACAATTTGTTTCCATAGTCTGTGGCCCTAAAGAGGGGTGAGGGGTAGGTATCGCCAGGCATGGTGGCTCACACCTGTAATCCCAGCACTTAGGGACCGAGGCAGGCGGATTGCCTGAGGTCAGAAATTTGAGACCATCCTGGCCAACATGGTGAAACCCTGTCTCTACTAAAAATACAAAAATTAGCCGGGCGAGGTGACGCATGCCTGTAGTCCCAGCTACTCGGGAGGCTGAGGCAGGAGAATCGCTTGAACCCGGGAGGCAGAGGTTGCAGTGAGGTGAGATTGCACCACTGCACTCCAGCCTGGGCAACAGAGCAAGACTCTGTCTTAAATAAATAAATAAATAAATAAATAAATAAATAAATAAAAAGAGAGGGGTAGGTATCTTTGATCTGCCAGTTTGTAATCTCCAGATGACCAGGACACTGACAATAGTCAGTAAGAATATAACATGCATGGCTGTTAGGAAGGAGTGTCATCCAAGCAAGGGTGATACCTTTTAATTCAGGCCATTGTCTGACTGGCCTTTATGGCAGTTAATCAGCCAGCATTGTTACTGGGGCTGGCTGACTGTTGCTGCCCATGGACACCTGTGTCAGGTTCCCAGAACCACTCCCAGGCTTGATGGTTCAATAGGAGGATTCACAGGACTCAGCATATGGTCATATTCATGGCCACGATTTACTACAGAGAAAAGATACAAAGCAAAATCAGCAAAGGGAAAAGGTGCATCAGGCAAAGTCCAGGGGAAATAGGCTCAGCTTCCAGAGTCCCCTCCAAGTAGAGTCAAACAGGATGTGCTTCATTCCTCCCGCAATTAGTTGTAACAACGTGTTTAAAATGTTTTCTACCAGGAAACTTAATGAGGGACCTAGTGCCTGGGTTTTTACTGGGAGCTAGTCATGTGGGTACTTTTTGCCTAACATATCAAAATGGCAAACTCCCCGGAGCAAAGTATGTATTCAGCAGAAACCATATTGTTTGCACAAACAGTTTAGGCACAGCGAACCACAGTTAGCAGTTAAGGTGGTGGGGACCCTCCTGAAATGCAAGTTCCCAGATGTCTGCTAAGGGCTAACCTTGGAAGCAGGCCTTTCAAAGGTTAGGAGTCAGGCCAGCTGTGTTGACTCTTTTCTGTACAACACTATTAGCTTTTATATTAGCTGAATTACAGTGGGCTAGGCCTGAGTACTTGGGGGAACCTGTGAATCGAGGGTCCTGTTGAGCCAGTGGCTTTGCTTTATGTGGCAGAGTCGGGGATGCTGTTTCCTCAGTGGGGTAGCTGCCACCCCTGCATGCCCAGCTGAAATGACGCATACCCCAAGGTTGCATGCTGCAATCATTACCCTGATAAATGGCCCAGATCAAGAACAGCCACGGCCTTCCGTTCTTGGTTTATGCAGCAAGAAAACATGTGTGGACACTCAAGGCCATGGCAGATTGCCTTTCCCAGCAAGGGGTTACCCATGGAGATGCTTTATTGCTGTGATGCCAGTTCTTCTTGCTATGCAGGTCATAGATGCCTCACTTAAACGCAGGAGGAGGGTGACAGCATAGGCCACAGAGAGAATGGGTGCCAGGATAAGTTGAGTCCAGCTTTATCATAACGTATTCTACTTGGACATAACCACAGCAGCAACATACTTTCCTTACATGCTGGATGGGGACAGTTCTGAGATTTTCCTCACTTTTTGATATCCTGCGTGGACTTGTCTCTCGCAGGAGCCCCAGATTTGCTTGGCTCCCCTCACATACTCCCTCCATGCTGGTGAGAGTTCTGAGTTCTCCTGCTTCTTATGTACCCATCACTAGAGTCAACTCGTATCAGGCTGTGTGCCAGCCACTGTCCCTGTCCAGGGGGCTGGCCCTGTCGCAGCTCCTCAGATGCTCACAGTCTGATGGGGAAGGCAGCAGGGAAATAGTTCTAATCCGGTGTAACTGTTATACTGGTAAGAAGCATAATTCTCTGAGGCGAGCCTGACCCAGCCTTGGCAGGGAGGTGGGATGAGTTATTTGCTGGGTGGACCAGCTGAGGCAGGGCCTTCAGGGCAGAGGGACGAACTTATGCAAAGGCTCAGATGCATCCCACATTCATTCATTCAGCATCAAGTGAGTATCTATTGCATCCTGCCCCTTGGGGAAGCAGGCTAGCCCTGTTCTCCTGGGAGTGGCATTCTAGTTGGGGAAGACAGGCAGTCAACTTAAAAATATATAATGTGGTAGGTGGTGACAAGGGCTGTGGAGAAAAAAGGCAGGGGAATGTGGTTAAGGAATGCCCGGGGTAAGGTGGGGGTGCAGTTGCTATTTCACATGGCCTGGGTACTGTCTTACTGAATTATCTGAAGGAGATGAGGAGTCATCTGTGTATCCCAAGGAAGAACATTCCAGGCTGAAGGAGCAGCAAGTGCAAAGGCTGTGAGTTGGAAGCATATTTTGGGGCTGGGGAGTGTCAGGAGATGGGGTCAGAGTTGTAGGCCTGATCCTGAGACCCTCAGAGGTCTTCACAAGGGCTTTGGCACCTACCCTGAGGGACCTGGAGAGCAGGCTGTGACTTACCACTTTATATATATATATATATATATATATATATATATATAATTTTTTTTTTTTGAGACGGAGTCTCACTCTGTCCACGCAGGCTGGAGTGCAGTGGCGCGATCTTGGCTCACTGCAAGCTCTGCCTCCCAGGTTCACGCCATTCTCCTGCCTCAGCCTCCTCAGTAGCTGGGACTACAGGCACCCACCACCACGCCCGGCTAATTTTTTTGTATTTTTAATATAGACGGGGTTTCACCATATTAGCCAGGATCGTCTCGATCTTCTGACCTCGTGATCCGCCCACCTCGGCCTCCCAAAGTGCTGGGATTACAGGTGTGAGCCACCGCTCCCAGCCGTTATTTATATATATATTTTTAAGACAGATTTTTGCTCTTGTTGCCCAGGCTGGAGTGCAATGGTGCGATCTTGGCTCACCACAACCTCCGCCTCCCAGATTCAAGCGATTCTCCTGCCTCAGCCTCCTGAGTAGCTAGGATTACAGGCGCAGACTTACCACTTTAAAGAGGTCATCTGGCTGCTGTGTGGAGCATGGTCGGGGACCAGAAGCAGGGACACAGGTGTGGAGGCTGCTGTGCTCATCTGTGTGGCAGTTGATAGTGGCTTGAACCAGACGATGACAGTGGAGCTGCTGAGAAATGGTCAGGTTCTGCTTCTCTTTTGGAAGTAGAGCCAGTGGGATTTGCTGAGGAAGCATATGTGGTGAGAGAGAGAGGAGCGTTAAGCATGACTAGAAGACTTTTGGCCTGAGTGTCTGGAAGAATGGGACTCATTTTTTCAAATGCTTGGAGAGGGAGGGTAGTAAGAGTTTTTTTCTGCACCTGGTGAACATCGGAGTAAAGATGTCAAGGAGGTAGCTGGATATTTGACTCGAGACTTCAGGGAGGAAGGAGAAGCTGGACTTATAAATGTGAGAGCCATGCCTATGTAGAAGGCACCAAAAGCCGTGAGACAGGACACAGTCATCTGGGGCATCGGGCAGGTAGAGAAGCAGTCTGAGGACTGAGGCCTGGGATGGGGCTGGAGATAGAGGTTGAAGGACTGAGGAGGAAGCAGCGAGAACCCGCAGAAGGAGCAGTCAGCATGATGGTGGCCGACCCAAGAGTTTCCCAGAGGCCACATGAGGAAAGCGTTAGAAGTAGGGAGGGAGCGATCGGTGTGTCAGACGCTGCTGGGAGGTAAGGAAGGCGAGGACTGAGAATCGACTGCTGGACTGAGTAATGTTGAGGCCGCTGGTGGTCTTGATAAAAGCTGCTTTGAGGGGGTCCTGGGAACAAAAGATTGGATTTCCAGAGAATGAGAGGAAAGGAAGTGGATGTGGCAAGTATAGACAGCCCTTTCGAAAAGTTTTCCTTTCTTTTTTTTTTTATTATTATTATACTTTAAGTTTTAGGGTACATGTGCACAATGTGCAGGTTAGTTACATATGTATACATGTGCCATGCTGGTGTGCTGCACCCATTAACTTGTCATTTAGCATTAGGCATATCTCCTAATGCTATCCCTCCCCCCTCCCCCCACCAGTCCCCAGAGTGTGATGTTCCCCTTCCTGTGTCCATGTGTTCTCATTGTTCAATTCCCATCTATGAGTGAGAACATGCGGTGTTTGGTTTTTTGTCCTTAATGGGAGAATAGCTGGAGGACAATGTGGTTTC
The DNA here is from genome assembly GCF_000001405.40 of Homo sapiens. Classification (NCBI taxonomy): domain Eukaryota; kingdom Metazoa; phylum Chordata; class Mammalia; order Primates; family Hominidae; genus Homo; species Homo sapiens. Next base: position 41,821,614 of record NC_000022.11, read on the forward strand.
CAATGTTAGTCCCTTGGGAGAGACCACAGCAGGCTTGCACTATGTGGATGGGACTGATCCATTAGAGAGGGAGGACGTGATGAGGCCAGGGGCTAGGTTGCTGGAGCCTCATCTGGAGGAGGTGAGGAGGGGTGAGTTGTAGTGCTGGGGGAAGGCTTGGCCTTGTACAGAAGAGCAGGTCCTTAACCTTGAACAGGAGGGCGGGCAGAGCATGTGGGCACAGAAGCAAATGGGTTGGTGGGTGTGGTGGTCGAGCTGTGGGGGTTGTCTCCTGCTACTTTCATCCTCTCTGTGAGATAGAAAGCAAGGTCATGGTCTGGGAGTGAGGGGAGCACGGAGGCTTGAGGAGAAGGTATGTGCAGGAGAGCAGGAGGATGAGCGGACCAGGGAATGAGGCTGGATTGCCGGCAGCACGGAGGGCCTGCTCGTGGTTATTGTAGGGCTAAGGAGTTAGAGAAGGTAGAAGGCGGTGGCCAGAGTGGCATGCTTGAGGCTATGGAGGATGTGGTTGTTGTCAGGGACAGGCAGAGCAGGGTAGCTTGAAGACAGGAGGAGATAAGGCTGGAGACGTAGCATGGGGTCCGGGCCTTTGAACAACAAGCTTAGGAGTTTGGGGCTCTATCCTGGAGCCAGATGCATTTTTGCAGAGCAGGCAATGAAGAGTGAATTTGGAATAGAGAGGAAATAAATTGATGACTAACCTAACAGTGAAGACAGCGGAGGCACAGGGAGGTACAGTAATCAACCTGAGGTCTCACAGCCAGTAAGTGATGGAGTGAAGGTTCAAATACATGTGGTCTGCCTCTTGAACCATGCTCTTAACCACAGTGCTGTGTTGGCCATCAGCCTGCTGACCTGACCCAGGCTGGTCAGGTACAATCAGGGGTGGCCAGGGAAGATTCCTGGGGAGACATCTAAAGATAGATTCAAAAGATGACTAGGCACTGCCAGGCCTAGGTGGGGAAGGGAACAGGGAAAGGATGGGTGTGTTTCTCTTCTGACCCGGCTAGGTTAGGCTGAGCCTGCTGAGGCTGAAGGGGCTAAGATCTCTTGACTTGCCCTTGCCCAGCCAGAGTCAGAGAGGAATGGGGTCTCTGTGGCCTAAGGGGTCTCCCAGCTCCCCGTCTTAAGTGGATCAGGATTCACTCACAGAGACAGGAGCAGAGTGTGGTAGGGAAGTACTAGGCAGGGAAGTGTGCAGCCTGCAAGGCTAGTCCTAGTTGGGCCTACCACATGCTATGTGACTCACTTACCTTCTCTGGGCTACACTTCTGTGAATCCCCCCATCTTCCAAAGTCATGACTCAATCTAACCTGGTAGGCAGATTATTCCACAAGGTGGAGCCATTTGTTTGTTTTTAGTATCTACTTTGATCAGATCAAACATTTGTCACAATTGCCCTAGGAACAAATAAAAGGGTGTGTTTTACAGCACAGCTACCTGAGTTGTAGGCATAGTAAATCTTCACCTAACATCATCCATAGGTTCTTGGAAACTGTGACTTTAAGTGAATCTATGTATTACAAACCAATTTACCATAGGGTAATAGATATAAATAAGAGTTAAGTTACTACAGCATATTTCTGGTCAAAAAACCATTACCAGAATTTTTTTTTTTTTTTTTTTTTTGAGACAAAGTCTCGCTCTGTTGCCCAGACTGGAGTGCAGTGGTACAATCTCAGCTCACTGCAACCCCCGCCTCCTGGGTTCAGGTGATTCTCCTGTCTCAGCCTCCAAAGTAGCCGGGAATACAGGCGCCCATCACCACACCTGACTAATTTTTGTATTTTTCAGTAGAGACAAGGTTTCGCTATGTTGACCAGGCTGGTCTTGAACTCCTGACCTCAAGTGATCTGCCCACCTCAGTTTCCCAAAATGCTGGGATTATAGGCATGAGCCACGGCGCCCAACTCCAGTCTTCAAAATAAAAACCAAAACACTCTTAATATGAAACATTGAAATAAATGTGAACTATACATACATTTAAGAAAGATTCATCAAAACAAGTAAAATAATTATTTATCCATTTAGTCCCGTTCAGGGTCCAGCCTCTCCCAGCAACTCAGAGCATAAGGGAGGAACCAACCCTGGACAGGACGCCCTCCCATCACAGGGCACACTCACACATGCCTCCACAGTCAGACTGAGACAGTGTAGACATACCAGTGAACCCAACATGCACATCTTTGGGATGTGGGAAGAAATTGGAGTACCCAGAGAAAACCCACCAGAACACGGGGAGAATGTGTGGACTCCACACAGACAGTGGCCCTGGCCAGGAATCGATTGTTTTTTTTCTCATCCACATTATAATGACACGACCTTGAACTAAACCACTTTATTCGAGGACCTGCTGTGCTATTGTATTTCCTATTCTAACGTGGCTTGCTCATTCATTGAAAAAACACATATTGAATGCTCTTGAAAAGCCAGGAAGACTCTGTGCTAAGGCCTTGTGGCAGAGGACACTATCCTCCTACCCTCATGGAATGTGCTGTCTGGGAGGGCGATGGGCACAAGAAAGAAGGAATCAGCACAAAGTTGAAGGGAGCACACCACCAGGAGCAGCCCCTCAGGGAGTCAGGGCAGGTCTAGAGGGCAGTGAGTCAGCTGAGCCCGAGCTAATGTGGCAGAGGGGTGGGTGTTGGAAAGAGCGTTCTGGGCCTCAGCCACAGCACATGCAAAGGCCTGGAAGTGAGAGGGTACAGGGAATCCAAGAACATAAAGGTGGGGGATATGAGGGTAGGAACAGAGAGGCGGGCGGGGTGGACCTGCAGATACACCATGTGGAACTTTGTCTTGAGAGTCATGGAGAGCCATGGAAGCTGGAATGTGACATGCACAGATTTACATTTTGAAAAGATCCATCCGGCGCAGTGGCTCATGCCTGTAATCCCAACACTTTGGGAGGCTGAGGCGGATGGATCACGTGAAGTCAAGGTTTGAGACTAGCCTGGCCAACATAGCGCAACCCTGGCTCTACTAAAAATACAAAAATTAGCCAGGTGTGGTGGTGGGCGCTTGTAATCCCAGCTACTTGGGAGGCTGAGGCAGGAGAATCGGTTGAACCCGGGAGGTGGAGGTGGCAGTGAGCCAAGATTTCACCACTGCACTCCAGCCTGAGCGACAGAGCAAGACCTCTGTCTAAAAAGAAGAAAAGAAAAGAAAAGATCCAACTGCAGTGAGGAGAATGACTTGAGAGGGACCAAAGGGGATGTGGAAAGCCCTTGGGAGGCCCCTAGAGTCATCCAGCAGAGAGATGGGGGTGGTGATGGGGGCAGCAATAGTAGAGACAGAGAAGTGGATGGGTTTGAGAGAGATTTAGGGCTTGAAAGTAGCCAGGCCTTGGTGATGGACCCGAGGAGGGAGAGGGAATGCCGGGTGCAGGTGGGGCTCCTCGGTTTCTGCCCTGCTGCTCATCAGAACAGGGACTCTGGGGAGAGGGAACCATACTGAGTCTAGGGTGCATTTGGGACATCCTAAAGGAGGTCTCAGACAGGCATTTGGAAATGGAGATGCAAGTTTGAGGGGTAACTAACCACACAGGCCAACAGAAGCTATGAGTTAGACGAGACAATCTGGAGAGAGAGGAGGGAGGACAGCCAAGGGCCTGGGTTGCAGTTGAAGAATGCCCCCACGCCACCCCCTACCGCCAATGAAGTCCTCATCCTCCACCCCCCCACTTGCCTTGTCATCTGTGACTCTGGCTGACCTCCCTCCTCTCCTCCTGAAGGGTGCAGCAGGTGTGGGGCTCCCGGGTCTGTGGTGGTCTCAGCCACTCTACTCCCTCACCCTGGAGGAGTCTGTGTGTTGTTTCTCAGATGCCCCATGTAGGTTCCCACCTCAGCATCCGTCCCTCCACCTAGAATACCCTTCCCTTTCCTCATGCCGTTGGTTTGGCAAACTCCTGCTTATCTTCCAACACCCACTCAGCAGTTCTCCCAAACCCATTTCCTGTCTCCGTGTCTGGGGCAGGGCCTGTGTCCAGGGAACCTTCCTATTCCCACACCCCGCTGGTGGCCTAGCTCAGAGCAGGCTCTTTGCTGCCACAGACTAAATCAGACTGCTCTTCTCTTCCCTTCAGTTCATTCCCAGCACTGACCCTTTCCAGAAGGCCCTGAGAGAAGAAGAGAAACGCCGAAAGAAAGAGGAGAAGCGGAAGGAGATCCGAAAAGGCCCAAGGATCTCCAGATCCCAGTCTGAGTTATAGCCCTGGAGCAGCTCAGGGCTCAGGGGGCCACAAGGAGGCAGGTCGGGAGGAAGAAGAGGTGGAGGTGTGGTTGTGGTGGAGAGCACCAGCTAGCCCCTTCCAGAAGGGGAGGCCACATTTGCCCGGCCCCCTGGAGCTGGGTCTGAGCCCCAGCTGAAGGGACTGAGCCTCAGATGGCTGGATTTTCTCTCAGGGGCCTCCTGCTGAAGGGGCCTTCAGAGGATTTTATGCTGGAAATATGACCCTGTGCAGACTGCTGGGGGAGGCAGGAGGATGCCTGCCTGGACCCTGTTGGTGGCTGAAGACCTCTGGCCAGCTGGCTTCCGCCCTTGGTGGGGAAGCAGCAGAACTAGGTTCTGAGCCACGGGTCAGGGTGCCACCCTGCTGCTGGCCCCACTGTGTCACAGAGCTGCCTGGCACAGGTCCCAGCCCCTCTGCAGAGACACAATAAAAGCCAGCAGACCCTTTGGACCGACCAAGGCTGGTGGGGACACTGTGAGGGGACCAGGGCCCCTCAGGGATGTAGAAACAGCTTGGAGGATGCCTCTGCCCCACCAGGAGGGGCCCCAGGCCCTGGCAGGGCAGAGAAGGAAGGGGCTTGGCTTGGGCCTCCTGGTCCTACGCCATCACTGCCCTTGACAAATGATTGGTGTTGGGAAAGGACCTGGAAGTGCCCTGGGACCTGGGAAACATTTAGCTCAAGAAGACCTTGGAGCAACATGATCCCTGTCCTCAGATGTCTGGGGACAGTCATTGAGCAAGCACAGGGAAGTCAGCTTGTTCTCTCTGGCAGCGCTGGAAGACAGTCAACCTGTGGGTGGGGGGCTGCAGGGGGACAGGCCGCAGCCCTGCAGGAGGCCGTGCTCCGCAATGGCTGCCCTAAGCTGCATGGGTCAGACAGCTTCCCGTCTCGGGAGGCCACAGGGCAGGGAAGCTGCAGAGGGCATGTGGCCCTGGGTAGGGCAGCTGCCCTTCACTCATGCCCCTCCCAAGCAGAGGAGGGAAGGGCTTTAGTGAGAATTCTAGCTCTGCCTCTTTGACCTTGCCAAGTCAGGATCTGCCTCTTAAAGGAGCAGAGAAAACCATCCCAGATCCCCTCGACACCCAGCCCCCTACCACTGACAGAGCACAAGTGAGATCTGAGTGTTAGCCCTTCAGATTTGCTGACTGGCCTTGGCCCACCCCTCCCTGTGCTGCAGCTTCATTGGCAAAATGAATTTGATGGTATCTGTATCCCCTGCCCAGCCCTAACCTGTTTCTCTGAGGCTGGCCTCCCTACGGGGCTGCAGCAGCAAAGGGAAGCCAAGCCTTAGAGAAGCCTCATGGAAGGGCCCAGAACATCCTGCACCCATCAGTTACTCGGAAGTAAGGGGACAAGAAGCAGCTGGAAGAGAGCTGGGTGTGGGGGCTGGGAGGAGTGCTGGAGAAATTTCCCCATCAGAAGGCCCCTCACTGGGCAGTGGAGGCAGGGCAGTGTGGTGGGACTGACTCAACAGACATAGTTTCATCTCCACCCTGCCCTTCTCAGGTTGTGTGACCCCAGCCACATGGACACCCGAGTCTGTGAACTAAAGGGCTGGTCCATGGCATTAACAGTGGAGGGTGTCCAGGTTCTTGATGTCTTGAACAAAGAATTGGGCAAAATGCACAAAGCAAGGAAGGAATGAAGGGTTTTACTGAGAATGAAAGTATACTCCACAGCATGGGAGAGGGCCTGAGCATAGGGACTCAAGGGGCCCGTTACAGAATTTTTGGGAGTAAATACCCACTAGAGGATTCCATTGGTTACTTGAGGTACACCCTATGTAAATGGAAAGGATGAAGTAAATTTACAAATTCATTTACAGCATATACCCTATGGGGAGGATATTCCCTGTTATAGCTGAAGCGTGAATTGGCCTTATGTTCCCTGCCTCCAGACCCTATTTTCCTGCATCAACGGGAAAGGGTCAGATTCACTGGCTCAGCTGTTTAACCTGTCCTGGTGCCAGCAGCTGGAGCTGGGTGTCAGGACCAGCCCGCAAGCTCTTCCCTGCCGGAAGGACCAGGCCAGTCGCTGTCCTTTTCATGCTAGAGAGTGGTTGTGGTTGCTGACTTAGCAGAGAAGGTGCTTGGCTTTCCCCTTAACTGGAGAAAAAACTTTCTAAGAACCAGGCCTGGTTGGCAGCAGACCTAGCTTTCTTGGGGTGGCAGGGAGGCTAAAGCATACCTCAGGACAGTCAGTGGTGGGTCCAGCTTCGGCTGGAGGTTCTTTCTACTGAATAACTTCTACGGGCTCTGTCATTAGCAGGATTTGTATAATTTGAAGCAGAGCTGGGCAACTGCAGAGCAATGGGGAAGCCAGCCCAGTGTGGTGGCAAGACCTGGGCAACTTGGGACCAGCCTGGGCTGTCTCTTGCCAGCTGTTGTTATCAGAACCAGGCTCTTCACACTCAGATCCTTGGGCCCCCCATCTCAGAATGCCCAGTGGTTGAAAGGATGAAACCTGGAATTTAAGTGACTTCTCAGTGATGTGTGCCCTTCTCTGACGGTTCCTTGTTCATCCCATGTATTTACTGACTGCCTGCTATATATGCAGAGCCAAAGAGTGGGGCCTGGTCTTGAACTATCTCCTCATCTGCCCCTTCTGGCACCTCCTTCCTCCTGGGCTCTTTCCTCTAATACCGTCATCCTCTCTCCAACCTGGTTAATCCTGTCCTTTCTGCCCTCAAATGGGCACCTTCAAAGAAACAAATAGAACTACTCCACTCGCTCCCTCTCTCCCTCCCTTTACTGCCACTATTGATTGTTATAGTCACTTGCTCCAGGAAGTCCACTTGCTGAGTCTTACTGCAGACAGAGCCCACCCCCTGAGCTGTAAAGGCCCTAGGGCACATGTTTGTCCAGCTGCCTCTTGCAGCTGGGATTGTTAGGTCACTATAGCGCTACCAACTGCATATACCACTGTGGGAGTCGTGCTGGTGGCGGTAGTGGTCACAGGTACCAGGGGCAGCAGTGAAGGGGTGGCTCTAATGCCAAGTCCAGTGACCAGTGCCAGGGTGCCCAGTGGTGGCAACAGTGGTGTTTTCAGTGTGATCTTGGACATTGCTCCTGTCTACTCAGCTGCTAGTCTGTGAGCTCCCTGATATCCTTTAAGACAGCGTTTTCCAGCAGCGGCACTATTAACGTTTGGGGCTAGGTAATCGTTGGGTGTGTGAGTGTGAAGAGGGCTGTCCTGTGTGTTGTAGGCTATTTTAGCAGCATCCCGGCCTCTCCCTGCCAGGTGCCTGTAGCAGTCCCCCAGTTACGACAACCAAAAATGTGTCCAGACATTGCCAGATGTCCACTGGGAGGGAAAACCTCTCTGGTCCACAGCCCTTCTCCTTATTCCAGTCCCACATCTTCCTCCCCTTCCCCATCACTGTCCTCAGAGAGATGCTGTTGACAGCTCCTTGAGGTGATTCTCTCAGGCTTGTTGTTGTAGTTCTCTGCTGTCAAGTCTGAGCTGACTCTCTCTTCCGGATTCTTCTTTCCTCACCTGCCCCCGTTTGCATGAAGTTTTTTATGGAGCTGTTTCTATTTTCTTTTTGGGCAGCCATACTCTCTAAGACCTAAAAGCTGAATACTCGCCCGGTTACTACCTGATAATTCTCATCGCTTATGTTTCCAAAACCAAACTGGTTATTTCCCTCTCTAACCCCATCTCTGTGTCAAACAGTGGAGTACATGCTTTTGGTTAATCCAATTGGAAGGCTTCCTAGAGGAAGTAATATCTGAACTGAATCCTGAAAGATTAGGGGAAGAGGAAGAAAAGGACAGGTGCTGTGGGAAAAAGGGGAAAGTGTCAGAGGAAGTAAATGAAAAACCATATACAAAATTATCTTCTGTGACCCGTAGCACATGCCCAATCCATGGTAGATATCGAAACATAGTGGTTACCCAGTCTAATCCATCCCTTTTCTTTCTTTCTTTCTTTTTTTTCTTTTTTTTTGAGACAAGTCTCACTTTGTTGCCTGCCTGGAGTGCAGTGGTGCGATCTCGGCTCACTGCAACCCCCGCCTCCCGGGTTCAAGTGATTCTTCTGCCTCAGCCTCCTGAGTAGCTAGGACTACAGGTGCTTGCCACCATGACCAGCTAATTTTTGTATTTTCAGTAGAGATGGGTTTCACCATATTGGCCAGGATGGTCTCGATCTCTTGACTTCGTGATCTGCCTGCCTCGGCCTCCTAAAGTGCTGGGATTACAGGCGTAAGCAACCGTGCCCGGCTGTCCATCTCTTTTCAGATGAAGAGCTCAGGTTCTGAGGAGTGACTTGTCAAAAGCTGTTCTACCTCTCAGAGCCAGCCCTTGTCCTCCTGCTAGCCAGAGCAAGGTACCACCTGGAAGAGATGTTCAGTTACATGGGATCCAGGGCCAGAGGGAAAATATCAGTGCTTCCTGAGGTTCGGGTCCAGCCACCCTTCTTCCACCATTTCTACTGAGCCTTCAGTTGTACCCCTTCAGTCCACTTGGCGAGGCATCACGCCCTCTGGGCAGGCTCAGTGGGGAACTATGGGAGCAGGTGCTGTGTGCCACCTCTGGAGGGGGTCACTGAGGTTCTGGGTTGTGGGGGGTGCCCTGGGCCAGAGTGAGTTGTATGGGAGTTGTTGCTGAATCCCCCCAGAGTACCAGTCACACACCAGTGTGAGGGGCCTTGCAAGAGCCACTGGGCAGCACAGTTGAAGGTGGCACCTTCCTGCTCAGTGCTGTGTCCAGAGCAGGGTTTAGTTTTCTGTGTCTTTCAGGGTGAGACTGGTGTATTCTATACCAGCCTCCCTGTGTGTGAACAATGACGAGAACAATGTTGTCTTGCTTTCCCAAAAAATAAGACACTATCTATTTCTCATTAGTTATACACGTTCATTATAAAACGTAATTTAAGCAATACTGAAATGCCAAAAAGAAAGTAAAATTCACTCCAAAAGTAAAATTCACCCCAAATCTCACTACTCCTGTAACTATGTCTGACAGCCAGCTGTTGGGTCTTCCATCGTTTTTAACCTTCAGGTGAGCACACAGATCCTTATTTTTTCTTTTCTTTTCTTTTTTTTTTTTTTTTTTTTTTGAGACGCAGTCTCCTGTTGCCCAGGCTGGAGTGCAATGGCGCGATCTCTGCTCACCGTAACTTCTGCCTCCCGGGTTCAAGCAAGTCTCCTGCCTCAGCTTCCTGAGTAGCTGGGATTACAGGCATGCACCATCACGCCTGGCTAATTTTTGTATTTTTAGTAGAGACGGGGTTTCACCAAGCTGGCCAAGCTGGTCTCGAACTCCCGACCTCAGGCAATCCGCCCACCTCAGCCTCCCAAAGTGCTGGGATTACAGGCGTGAGCCACCTTGCCCGGACTCTCTTTGTATTTTTTCTTTCTTTTTTTTGAGACAGAGTCTTGCTCTGTCTCCCAGGCTGGAGTGCAGCGACATGATCTCAGCTCACTGCAGCCTCTATCTCCCAGGTTCCGGCAGTTCTCCTACCGGTTAGCTGGGATTACAGGCATGCGCCACCACACCCGGCTAATTTTTGTATTTTTAGTAGAGACGGGGTTTCACCATGTTGGTCAGGCTGGTCTCCAACTCCTGACCTCAAATGATCTGCACACCTCGGCCTCCTAAAGTGCTGGAATTACCGGTGTGAGCCACCGCGCCTGGCCAGATCCTTATTTTTTCAATTGCAATACAGCAGTATGCAAGGCACTTACTGTATGCCAAAGCTTATGCCGAGAGCTGGCTGCCAGCAGCTCCTCCTGCCTCGAGGCCTTTGTCCATGTCATCATTTCCCCTTTGGCTGTAACAGCTGCAGTTCTCTCATAATTTTAGGTTTCATCTTAAATGTCACTTCTTCAGAGGCTTCTTGACAGCACAAGTCAGGGCCCTTGTTAGTTTCATCACATCCATTACCTTTCCTTGATCACTTGTACCATCATCTGTAATTTATTTTTATGTTTAATACGGGTGTGGGATTTCTGATTTTTTTTTTTGCTAGACTGGAAGCTCTCAGAGGGCAGGAACCATTTGTTTCCCTGCCACAGAGATGTTCAATAAATATTGTCAATTGAATGTGCAAATAATCTCACTTAACCACAGCTATGAGGGATGCTATTTTATCCCCATTTTAGAGATGACTAAACTGAGGCTTAGAACAATTAACCCAAGGTCACAGTGAATTAGTGGATCCATGTGTCTGCCTCCACACAGCCTGTGTGTTCTTAATTATTGATCACTAAGCAACAGCTGCCTCTCACAAACTGGCAGGAAACTTCAACTTTTCCCTTTTATCAATATATTGTGAACGCCTTTTCTTGCTAATAAATATACATTTGTGTGCGTAATTTTTAATGATCCCATGGTATTCCATCGTGTGGATGTAATTTACATATTCATTTCCTTATTCTCACTTCTTCCTAGTTACAGCACTTCTTTAAGCACTTGTAATTTTTATTCCTTTGGATAAATTCCTAGAAGTTTACAACACGACCAGCTGCAAGATGGGGCAGTGAGGTGCTTGAAGGAGTGGGTGGGCTGCACTTCAGAATCCCGGTGGAACTTTTTCAAAAAACTCGTGCCCGGGGCCCCCCTCTCAGGAGGCCGTCGGTGGGCCTGGGCACTGGCGTGGTTTTCAGGTCCTCAGTGGTTCCGAGGTGCCAGAGATTGAGGACCACTGGAGTAAGCGCGAGGTCACGGCGGGTGCAAAGCAGAAGACGTAAAATCCTGACCGCCCTGGGACAATCTGCAACCTTGTCAAGCCTCCGTGCCCGCCTTTGTAAGGAGGCTGGGAGAAGCGGGACTTGGATGACCCGGACTCCCGTCCCGAGCGCTGGGGTCCAGGTTTGACTCCGCTGGCTTTCTCAGGCGGGCAGGGCGGGGGTAGGCAGCTGGGAAGATGACGTAATGTGCTCCCAGCCAGGCCTGGAGGCGGCCAGCGGTCGCAGGTGGAGGGTGGCCTGTTAACCCTTCACTCCCAGGCCAGTGGACGGACTTGCGTGTGGCGCAGATCCAACGGAGAAGGCAGCGGCTCCTTTAAACAAGGCGGAGAAGGTTAAGATGATGACCGGACGGCTACTCCAGGCATTCGCTCCGAGGCCGCGGGGGGAGGGACCTCACTATGCAAATCTGAGCTGCTGATCGATGACGCGCCATCACCCCACGCACCGCTTCGCTCGCCCATTGGCTGAGATGAGCCTGGTCCCATTGACAACAAACAGGGGGGCGCGCGGCCTGGAGGCGGGGCCGCAGGGGGCGCGGGCTGGGGCGGGGGAATCCCGCCCCGCCCTTTCTGTGCGGCGCCCGGGCGCAACGCAAACATGGCGGCGGGTGGCACCCGTCGGTGAGGCGGTGCCGGGCGGGGGTTGTCGGGTGTCATGGGCGGTGGCGACGGCACCGCCCCCGCGTCTCCCTGAGCGGGACGGCAGGGGGGGCTTCTGCGCTGAGCCGGGCGATGGACGACAGCGGCGAGCTGGGTGGTCTGGAGACCATGGAGACCCTCACGGAGCTGGGCGACGAGCTGACCCTGGGAGACATCGACGGTGAGTGGTGGGTGGGTGGGAGTGCGGGGGCCGCGCGGGGAGGAAGGGGTTACGGCGGCGCGCCCGGGTGCGCGTGCGCCCACCCCCCGACAGCCCCGGTTCGCGCGGGAAGAACCCCGTGCGCACGGTGCCCCCGGCGGTCCTCAACCCTTCCGGCGCTGCGAGCGTGAGCCCGACCCAGCTGCGCCGCTCCGGGAGGCCGTGGGATCTGGGGCGCCGCGGGGCCGAAAGCGGCGCGAGGGTCGCGGGTTCCAGAGCGCGGGGCTAGGGACGTCGCGGGGGCGTCTCAGGGAGCGGCCTAAGGAGAGCGCGTGGCCGCCGCCTCCCTCGCGCGCCCACACGCGGTTTCCGTGGTCCGCTCTCCCGCCGCCCGCGACCGCGCGTCGCACCTGTCACTCCCTTCCTGGCCGCGGGGACGTCTTTGGGATTCCCGGGGCCCAGCCCCCAGTCTCCGCGCCCCGAATCCCTGGGCTTCTCAGGATTGACCGACGGCCAGGTCGCCGGGTGCTCCGCGAAACTTTGGGCAGCGACTGCAGAAGCAAGTTGCTGATGAAGAGAGCAGTGGCGGCGGAGTGTGGACACATCTCTCCGGGATGGAGACCCGGGCGCTCCTGCTGTCACGCTGCAAGGGGAATTGAGCAGAAGAAATTTTGAGTTGTGGCCCCTCGGGTACGGGCTGGGGAGCGGGTGGCCTTTGTTCCAGCGCCTTAACAGCGGAGTGGAAGAGCTGGTAGGAGCCCAGGGATCCACTCTTAAAATACTAATTTTGCGACCACGGGAACAACGATTTGGAGAGGGTCAGCGGCTTGCTCAAGGTCACCCAGCTGGTTAGAGCCTAGTTCTTGCAGTTCCTTGGCCAGTATTGGTTTTTTTATACCCCTCCTTTCAAGAAAGAGTCCAGTTGACTAGGCTAGTAATCTTATTAACTGGATAGTTGCACTCTTATGTTTAGGCCCCAAAATGCTTTGTATTATTTCACTTCTTCCTCACAACAATCCTGTGAGATACTCTTATTACCTCTATTTTAATACGGTAATTAAAGAAGCCGAGGCCAGGAGATGTTGACTTATCTAAGGCCACTCACCTTAGAGAGCTTAGGCAGAAACACAGGTGCATTGTACTTTTCAGTTTTCAGAATGCTTTCATGTCCAGGATCTCACTACAGCCTTGCAGGCATGTATGATGGCTACATCCCCGTTGTGCAGATGAAGAAGCAGAAGCAGCAGAAGATTCTCTTTTGGGGGAAGAGATAAATGCAGCAGCTAATTGAAAAGGATCTGTTTGCCATTTTCCCATTTTGCTTTTGTAATATTTCTCCCCTTGGTTTGTCCTTGATTTCCATTTTGGTCATGTGGGCAGTGTGATAAGACCCTTAATTGAAGCCCCAGTTCTAACCACAGACTCTTTGCTAAGTGCTTCTAAATACAGAAATGGGTTAACAAATGGGGGATGGGGTAGGTGGGGGTTGGGAACATAGCAAGGGCAGCTAACATGTTTTGAGAACTTCTGTGCCAGACGGTGTTAAACAGTTATACACGTTAATGTTCTCAATCTTCCTAACAACCCTGTCAGGTAGAGAGAACTGTTATACTTGTCATCTCCCTCTCACTGATCCTGAAAGTGAGGCCCAGGGTGGTTCATTAATTTACTGAAGATTACACAGCCAGTAGAAAGTACTGTATGTCTATAGCTGCCTACCTGCAAGGGCACAGAAAGAAATTCATGTGCATTTTGCATTCCTATTCCATGATCAATTCCTATTTGTCTTATTTTGTTTATCTGATTTTTAAATTTAAATTTTTATTTATTTAGTTATTTTTTGAGACAGGGTCTCATTCTGTCACCCAGGCTGGAATGCAGTGGCACAATCATAGCACAAACTCTTAGGCTCAAATGATCCTCCTGCCTTGGCCTCCCAAAGTGCTAGGATTACAGGTGTGAGCCACCTAAATTTTTTTTTTTTTTTTTTGAGATGGAGTTTCGCTATTGTTGCCCAGGCTGGAGTGCAATGGCGCGATCTCGGCTCACCGCAACCTCCACCTCCCGAGTTCAGGCGATTCTCCTGTCTCAGCCTCCCGAGTAGCTGGGATTACAGGCATGCGCCACCACGCCCGGCTAATTTTGTATTTTTAGTAGAGACAGGGTTTCTCCATGTTGGTCGGGCTGGTCTCCAACTCCCAACCTCAGGTGATCCGCCCACCTTGGCCTCCTAAAGTGCTGAGATTACAGGCATGAGCCACTGTACCTGGCCGAGCCACCGTGCCTGGCCGAGCCACCTAATTTTTTTTAGAGACAGTGTCTGGCTGTTGCCCAGGCTGGAGTGCAGTGGCACAATCATAGCTCACTGCAGCCTTGAACTCTTGGGCTTAAGCAATCCTCCCAGCTCAGCTTCCCGAGTAGTTAGGACTAAGGCATGTGCCACCACACCTAGCTAATTTATATATATATGGTAGAGCCAGTCTCACTGTGTTGCCCAGGCTAGTCTTCAACTTCCAGGCACATGCAGTCCTCCTGTCTTGGCCTCCCAAAGTGCTGGGATTACTGGCATGAGCCACTGTACCCGACCCTGTCTTAATTTGTAATGAGTTTAAATTACCTAGTGGTTAATACTGTCTTTATCCCCACAGATTTCTGAATAAAATGGAAACTACCACCCTCTGGAAACTACCACAGTGGTTCAGTGGCTTCATAGGTCCATTAGGTTTGATCCCAGTGGAAGAAGATTCCATTTCTCTGTCCTTCCAGAAGACCTGGTTTATAACAGTGCATAAGGCTTTTTCTCAAAATAGTTATATACCGCACAAGGAAGAGGTGTGGCTGTTGTGTCACAGGAGACCTAGGGGCCAGGTTTGGGAAAAGTGGTTCCATGTCTTCAGTTGATCAACAAGTATTCAAGTGCTGGCTGTGGTTTCTGAGCTGTAAGGAATCGTGAAAGATAGCATAGAATTTTATGGCTTCATGGAGCTTGAGATGAGAAACTCTAGTGCCAGTATGGAACAGCTTAAAATTGCACAGCACAACAAGTAAAAGTCAGCAGTGAGGGTAGCTTGGTAAAGGCTGGCTTAGCAGGAAGACCACACCAAAGAGGTGGCTCTTGACCTGGGCCTTGGAGGACAAAAAGAGTTGGGCATGCTGAAGGTCAGTGGTCTGAAGATAAAATTATCCCTTGATTCTCACCCCTGTGTTCCCATTACTGAATGTTAGCTCCTTGAGGCAGAGACCTTCGTTTCATTCCCACTAAATTCTTTGAACCTAGAACAGTGCCTGGCACAGTGAGAGTGCCCATTAAATATTTGTGGAATGCCTGAGTGATCCAGTGATCTTGGGCTGGGCAGGATACTAATTGTCTTGGACATGGTTTGGAGTTGGATTAGATCAAGGAAATAGCCAGCCTGGATGCTTCTAGGAGCCGGTCAGGTGAGGAAGGGGAGAGGCAGGCAGGGTGAGTACATTTACTTCCTTTGTATGTGTATGGTGGGGATAAGGGGTGGATGCAACCTAGAGAGCCTCCAGGAGGTGCAGGCAGGCAAGGATCCATTCATTCCACAATGTCTGCTGTGTTCCAGTCCATTGGTACCCTTCAAGGATATGGGCTCAGGGAGGCCACATTCATTTACTCATTGAATGGCTTCTAAGTATTCATGATGGACAAAGGATAACTTGAGCGCGACAGATCATGTGTCTTCTCTCTCACGAAGCTTACATTCTTGATGGAGGAAATACAAGTTGAGTAAAATAAATGAACAGTTTAGGCAGGGCACTGTGAGCAAAATAAAATTGGGCCATATTATAGAGTGTGACTGGGCTAGCCTACTTAGATTCGGAAGTCCAGGGAGGCTTCTTGGAAGAGAGGTATCAGTGTCTGTTTTTCAAGAGATGCCGAAGTCTGGATTTTTATTTGAAATACCCAGATTTTTGGCCGGGCACAGTGGCTCATGCCTGTAATCCCAGCACTTTGGGAGGCCGAGGTGGGCGGATCACCTGAGGTCAGGAGTTCAAGACCAGCCTAGCCAATATGGTGAAACCCCATCTCTACTAAAAATACAAAAATTAGCCGGGCATGGTGGTACACGCCTATAGTCCCAGCAACCCAGGAGGCAGAGACAGGAGAATCACTTGAACCTGGGAGGCAGAGGTTGCAGTAAGCTGAGATCATGCCACTGCACTCCAGCCTAGGCAACAGAATGAGACTCTGTCTAAAAAAAAAAAAAAAAAAAATGCTGGACACGGTGGCTCACACCTATAATCCCAGCACTTTGGGAGGCCGAGGCGGGTGGATCACCTGAGGTTGGGAGTTTGAGACCAGCCTGACCAACATGGAGAAACCCCGTCTCTACTAAAAATACAAAATTAGCCGGGCGTCGTGGCACATGCCTGTAATCCCAGCTACTCAGGAGGCTAAGGCAGGAGAATTGCTTGAACCCGGGAGGCAGAGGTTGCAGTGAGCCGAGATCGCGCCATTGCACTCCAGCCTGGGCAACAAGAGCAAGACTCTGTCTCAAAAAAAAAAAAAAAAAGAAAGAAAGAAAGAAATACCCAGATTTTTATATGTTGGCTCATTTAAAAAAAAAGTACTATAGGCACCCAATAAAGCATGTGTGCTAGTTGATCTCTGGGGTCTTGTACTACTGCAGAACGTCCTGTTGTCCCAGGCCCCCAGGTTTCCCATAATAGAGTAAGTCTACCATTTCATTTTGTGTTATATATCTCTATTTTGAGAAAGGGCCTCATGTGCCATTACACACCAGGTCTTCTGGAAGGGCAGCAAGGTGGGATCCTCTTCCACTGGGATCAGGAAAGAAACAGTCATGGAGGTGACCTTTTTGCTGGGTCCAAATAGATGGGTGGCAGGAGCAGCCTGACAAGTATGTGGGAGGAGTTAGAACAAGCTGCCTTTGGAAATGAAAGTTTACTAGAGATTTCTTGGAATATAGTGTGTGTGAGGAAACAGTAGAAGATGAGGTCTGAGAGGTGAGGTGGAGCTAAATTGTACTGTAGATGCAAGGTGTTTTATGGAAGATAGGGAATTGTTGAAGATTTTCAAGTAGGGGGTGACATATTAATCATGGGTTTTTAAGAAAATTGAATTGTGGGCTGGGCTCAGTGGCTCATGCCTGTAATCCTAGCATTTTGGTAGGCCGAGGAGGGTGGATCACCCGAGGTCAGGAGTTCGAGACCAGCTTGGCCAACATGGTGAAACCCCATTTCTACTAAAGATGCAAAAATTAGCCGGGCATGATGGTGGGCACCTGTAACCCCAGCTACCTGGGAAGCTGAGGCAGGAGAATCGCTTGAACCTGGGAGGCGGAGGTTGCAGTGAACCCAGATTGTGCCACTGTACTCCAGCCTAGGTGACAGAGCAAGACCTTGTCTCAAAAAAATAAAAGAGAAAGAAAAGAAAATTGAACGGTGGTGATAGGCAAGGAAGATTGGAGGCAGGGAGGCCAATTAGGAAACTGTAGCCATCCAGGTGTGAGGTGATGAAGGGTGACAAATTTGGATGGGAAGTGGCCCTCATTCAAATACCTTTCCATGGCACTGACTTGGGCCTCTGCTTGCTTCTCCCTGCAGAAACCCAGTTTGACAGAGTACCCTGCAGTACCTGGCACTGACTAGGTGTTCTGTAAAGGTGTGTCTGATGAGGAAAGGAAAGCACCTCAAGTTCAGTCTGAGTGTTCACACCATTGGGAAGGTTGGAGTGGCCAACTGGGTGAGCAAGGAGTGAGTGTTGGGGATGTGACAGGACATGTCCTCACTGAAGGCTTGTCCCTGAAGGCAGAGCAGAGGGAGAATTCTAAGATCCCATTAAGACTTTGAGCCTGGAGCACTGGGGGAGTTAGGAGTCAGCAGAAAGAGCTGGTTAGGGGAAATGATGAAAATTTATCTTAATTGTGCTGAAATTGGGGTGCCTGGGGGTCATCCATTAGGAAATGAGATGTAGATACTTAGGAGAAGGTAAAACTGGGATGGAGATTGAAGAGAGTCACTGCTGAGTCAAGAGGAGAGAACTGGGAGATTAGAGGTTAGGAAAGTGTTAGCTTTTCAAGGAGTAGTCTGTAGATGGTGGAGACAATGCCACAGAGAACAACAAGGATGACAAGGCCATGCAAGGAGTCGTGGGACTTGGTATTAGGAGGCCAAACCTTGCCAGAACAGTCAGATGAGGGAATCCAAGGCAGAAAGGAAGCAGGGGTGAGTGGGAGATGGGCAGGTGGAAGCAAGTAGTTCTCTTTGGAGAAAGTAGAATAATTTTTTCAATGAGCTGATCTACTTTCTGTCTTGATGAGTTTGCCTGTTCTGGACAACTCATAAATGGAATCAGACAGGTAGCATAATATTGCTTAGGTTCATCATGTTGCAGTGTAGTGTTCCATTGCATGGACACACCGCATTCTGTTTTATCTACTCTTCAGTTGGTGGACATTTGGGCCGTTTCCACTCTGGCTACATTATGAATGAAGCTGCTACAAACTTGTGTACAAGTTGCTGTGTGGACATATATGTTCATTTCTCTTGGGTAGATCTTCTACATTTTTTGTTGTTTATGTTTTCCAAGAGCTTATAATAAATAGTCCCATTTATTCACATGCTTAGTTTCTTTTTTTTTTTTTTTTTTTTTGAGACGGAGTCTCACTCTGTCGCCCAGGCTGAAGTGCAGTGGCGCGGTCTCAGCTCACTGCAGCCTCTGCCTCCTGGGTTCAGGCAGTTCTCTGCCTCAGCCTCCCAAGTAGCTGGGATTATAGGCACCCACCTCCACACCCAGCTAATTTTTTGTATTTTTAGTAGAGACGGGGTTTCACCATCTTGGCCAGGCTGGTCTTGAACTCCTGTCCTTGTGATCCACCCGACTCGGTCTCCCAAAGTGCTGGGATTACAGACGTGAGCCACCGCGCCCGGCCCACATGCTTAGTTTCTATGTTCCTGTAACTAATTTGCCCTAAATCTTGTGACAGAAACTTGCAATGTGGTGGTCAGTTCCTTTCTTTCCTGTCCCATCTGATGGCTATGGTTTAGGTCTGCTCTCCCTTCACTTATCTTGGGACAACCCCTAACCATCACCCTTGGGGGCAATGTTGAAGCTCTTCTTTCCCAGTTCTTGATTTTTACTCACTTATTTTAGTGGAGCACATCCTCCAGTGGCTTCCTGAGAAAGAGTACATTTAGGTAACTCTTCGAGGCCTTGCCTGTCTAAAAACATCTTTCTACCAACCTCATTCCACTTTGGTAGTTTGGCTGAGTTTAGAATTTTAGGTTGGACAGAGTTTTATGTCAGAATTTTGAAGGCATTGTCTGATTATCTTCTTGCTTCTAGTAGAGAAATCTGATGCCATTTCCATTCTTGATCCTTTGTGTGACCTGTTTTCTTCTCTGGAAGCTTTTGGGATCCTGTCTTTATGTTCTGAATTCCATGACAACGTGCCTTGATGTGACTGGGCCGACAGTCACTGTCCCAACTTGTTGGGGCTCTGGAGAGCTGTGTCTGATACCTGAATTCATGCAGTCCCCCTGCCATCAGCCTCCTTGTCACCTGAGCCTGCAGAGGAACTTCCAGTACCTGAGCCTTTCCATGGCACTGATTTGGGCCTCTGCTTGCTTCTCTCTGCAGACACCCAGTTTCATCTTTGGCAGAGTATCCTGCATGCAGTACCTGGCACTGAATAGGCACTCTGTAAAGGTGTGTCTAATGAGGGAAGGAAAGCACCTCAAGTTCAGTCTGGGTGTTCACACCATTGGGAAAGTTGGAGTGGCCAACTGGCTGAGCTAGGAGTGAGTGTTGGGGATGGTTGTGGTCAGCACACCCCTAGGAGGTGGAGGTGGGAGAAGAGTGGAAACTGACTTCACATTTCTCCAGGGAGGGATGCTTTGGAAAAACTGCTCAGTGAGATGAAGCACAGATCTGCTTTTCATCCCTTTTGTACCTTTTTAAAGACATAAGGTATGTTTTGACACTGGAGTATATATGAGGGTTGCTAACGTTTGGGTTGAAAGAGCTGCTGTTGTCCACAGCTTATTTATTTTCCACCCATTTTTGTCTCCTGGTCTCATCCAGTTACATTTCCTGGGATATGTTTTTGGAGGTTGCTCAGATCACGGCACTAGAGTCCCTTTGGGTTTCTCCTCCCTCCTCTGTCTATTTGGCCTCGCCCTTGACAAACATTCCCCACATTCACACCCAGGCCTTTGGCCTAATGTTCTTGAATGCTGCTTGCCTCTCATTGAATAGGCTTTTATGTAGCTCTCATATTCAGTTCATATTTTGGCATTTTAAAAAATATATATTTTTGCTTCTTTCTCAACTAGATCATTTCACTCCTCAAATTTGTAATTAAAAAAAGGAAATTCTCAAGCAGTTTTATTCAATTAGAACTTTGCAAATATCAAATTGTCCGTATCCTTCTGGATTCTCGTCTGAACATTGCTTATCTGCGTACATATCACAGTGTTTTCACATAGGGATTGCTGTATGTTGAAGTAGTTGAGGTGTAATAGCCATATAATCTAATGTGATCCATCTGAATAGGCAAACCCTTGCACACCTGTGTACCTGTTGAACATTTTCATCATTTGCAGTTTTTTCTTAACATAAGCACTGTTCTGAATACTTGTGAACAAGTCACTTGGGAGTTTGTTCATGGGCGTGTATCTTCCAAAGAGGAGTCTTCAAGTTCAGCTGGGTAACACACTATCAGCTGTAGCCCTTTCATTTTAAAAACATTTCCAGTGCTGCAAATTACTATGGTGATTGGGAATTACAACTTGGAAATATTTTTATTTTTTTAAAAGATAGTACATTCATATGAATCAAAATAAAATACATAAAAAGGTACTATGAAAAGTCTTGCTCCCGGCCCTACCCACTATCTGCGTAGTCCCACCGCTCCCTCACAAGTAATTAAATTTTTAGTTTCTTTTACCTGCTTCAAAATGTATTTGTTATTACAAAAGAAGCTAATAACAAATATTGATTTTAGTTTTTGCTTTGCTTTCCTTTTTGACTGAAAAAGTTAGCATGCTATAAGCCCTGTTCTTCTGTGCCTTGCCTTTTCCTTTCTGCTTACCAATGTATCTTATAGATCATCCCAGACTTTTTCACTGCTGCATGGTTTTCCATTTGATGATGCCCTGTAATTTATTCATCCAGTCCTTTTTTGATGGACATCTGAAGGTATTTTCAGTCTTCTGCTATTAAAAACAATGCTGCGAATAGCTTTGTAAATTCTTCCTTTCACACATGTGCAAGTCTAGAGGCAGGAGCGGTTACCAGAAGTGGGATTGTTGGATCAAAGCCAGGGTGGTGCTGTCTCCGACATAGTTGTCGCAAGAATCCAGTTAGGTAAAACATAAGAGGGGCTGGTCACAGTGGCTCATGCCTATAATCCCAGCACTTGGGGAGGCCGAGCCGGGTGAATCATGGGGTCAGGAGATCAAGACCATCCTGGCTAACATGGTGAAACCCTGTCTCGACTAAAAAATACAAAAAATTAGCCGGGCGTGGTGGCATGAGCCTGTAATCCCAGCTACGTGGGAGGCTGAGGCAGGAGAATCGCTTGAATCCAGGAGGTGGAGGTTGCAGTGAGCTGAAATCGCACCACTGTATTCTAGCTGGGACACCAGAGCGAGACGTCCGTCTCAAAAAAAAAAAAAAGATTATAATGGAGCTATTGCCATACCATCTAGGTGTGTGTAAGTATACTCTGTGATGTTTGCACAATGAAGCAGTTGCCTAATGACACATTTCTCAGAATGAATCCTGTTGTCAAGTGACACATGACTTTATTTGATAATGAATACAAGACCATTTCATCTTGATCCCAGATAGATACATTGAGATGCATTGATGTTCTCTAAGTGAACGTGACTCATCCTGTTCTTTATTAGTTATTGACTGTTTCCGTAGTCACCTCTACTTTTTGATCGTTCACCAGGTTTTGAAATCACTGTGTAGGCAGCACCCACTATGCAGTTCAAAACTTTATGTAGGCCTGTTTTGTACTGGGCTCCAGGTTCAGTGCTGGCAAATAAACAAGTTCCTTGTTCTCACAGAATGTGTATGGCCTTGGGTGCCAGGCACCGTTCCATGCCTTAACCTACATTCGTCTCATAATACGTTTTTGCATGCAATCTTTTCTTCAATTCTGTGGTATGCTGCAGGTGAAGAAACTGAGGCATAGATCACGTAGCTTGTAAGTGATGGAACAGTGGCCTAAATCCAACATGTGCAACTTTAGAACCCATGTATTTTTCCTCTGTCCCATGCCCTGTCTGATGTAAGCAGGCTTCTAAGTTGCAAATACCAGGTGGTGTGGTGTGCTTTGAAGCTATTTATTCAACATGTGTTTATCAAGAAGTGTCTGTCCAGGCGCAGTAGCTCATACCTGTAATCCTAGCACTTTGGGAGGCCAAGATGAGAGGATCCCTTGAGCCCAGGAGTTTGAGACTAGCCTGGGCAACATACCTGGACAACATAGTGAGACCCCATTTCTGTAAAAAAAAAAAAAATACAAAAATTAGCCAGGCTTGGTGGCACCAGCCTGTAGTCCCAACTACTTGGGAGGCTGAGGTGGGAGGATCACTTGAGCCTAAGAGGCTGAAGATACAGTGAGTCAAGATCACACCACTGCACTTCAGCCTCGTCAACAGAGCGAGACCCTGTCTCAAAAAAAAAAAAATACATACACACACACACACACACACACACACACACACGTATATGTATATATATTTTTTAAATTAAGAAAAAATGTCTGCTCTATGCTGGACACTTAAAGTGACTTCCCCTGGGTCCTAGGGTACTTTCTGAGCCTTAATTTCCTCTGTAAGGTGGGGGTTGGGTACCTTAGCTCACTTAGTTCTTGCAGCACCTATGATGTAGCTAAGGTACAAAAAAGGAAGAGGACAGGACCTAACCTCTTTTGGCTCTATTTAAAAATGAATGAGGAACTGAATGAACTTCAGTTTGCACATTGATGTAGGACTAGGGGACCTGTTTTTAGAATATGTTTGGAAATGTTTATTTTTTCCTTTTGAAATGGCTTTTGTAGGTGTGGTAGTGGGACACAGAGGAGCAGTCACAGAGTGTGGTGCAAGTGACCACAAAATTAAGGGTTAAACTTTGTTGACATGATGGAATTTTTTAGAGTAGCAGAATCCCAGAGCCTGTGCCTTAAGGTAAGGCTCCCTGGGGAACTTTGTTTAGAAATGAATCCTAAACTATCGAAGGGCTTGCAAACTAGAAAATTTCTGCATATCTCAGGCCTTGAGAATTGCTAATGGATATGTATCTAAATGTCCCTTACAAGCTTGCTCCTCCACGTGGCCCTGTGGAACAGGTCTGTTGGGTTCAGGATCTAGTTTGGAACAGTGATGAAATTTCGAGCTGCTGAACCAGATATGGAACTGCTTTGCTAACCTGGTGTCTGCCCAGCTTAAGCCCCCTCCATCCCACAGCTGTGAAAGGAAATCATGCTTCTTCCCAAGTGCTAACATTCCTGTGAGGCCTTACACTTTACCCAAGTCCTCCTGATACATTTGTCTTCCTAATAAGTGCTATAAAATTGAGGCTTGATTTCCACCCCCACCCCCCACCCCCACAAGAGTCCTGCTCTGTCGCCCAGGCTAGGGTGCAGTGGCACGATCTCTGCTCACTGCGACCTCTGCCTCCTGGGTTCAAGCAATTCTCCTGTCTCCTGTAATCCCGAGTAGCTGGGATTACAGGTGTGTGCCACTATGCCAGGCTAATTTTTGTATTTTTAGTAAAGATGAGGTTTCAACATGTTGGCCATGCTGGTCTTGAACTCCTTACCTCGTGATCCACCTGCCTTGGCCTCCCAAAGTGCTGCGATTACAGGTGTGAGCCACTGCGCCTGCCCATGGCTTGATTTTTATGCCCATTTTCCATGGACATAGATGAAGGCACTGAGACAGAGAAATTAGATGATTTGCCAATGCTTCCTATGCTGATGACGGGGAATGAACTTGGATTTTCTGATGTGGGATTCCATATTCTTCGCTGTCCTATGAAAATGAGGTGGGAGATGCCTTGATTCAGGAAGCCTGTCTGTCTAGGAGCCCCTTCTCTGGTCAAAAGTTGTTTTTAAAAAATCCTTGCTGCATTTCAACGTGAATGAGTATCCACTGTATTCATAGCACAGTGCTAGAAGCTGTTAGAGTTGAATGAAATGGCCTCTGCTTTCAGGGAGCTAACATGTAAACATCCAGTCATAATACATGGGAAAATACAACAGAGGCTATAACAGAGGAACAACTCTAAATCTTTGGAGGACTGAGGAAGGGAATTAGAAAAATCTTCACAAGGACTTTGGCATTTGGGCTGAATTGTGAAGGGTGAGTAAATAGGATTTTAGAAGGTAAAGGAGCAGGCATGGTGTTTATTTAGATAGATTTAGACAAAGTTGGGAATAATTTGGCATGCTCTAGGAATATGTGTGTCAGAGTACTGCATAGGACAGAGGTTCTCAAACTTGAATGTGTCTATGAACTCCCAGGGTATACCCCCAAAGATCTGAATGTGGAAGGTCTGGGATGTTGTCCAACAGGAACACCTAACTAGTGGAGGGGGCAGGATCAGAGGAGCCTTCTCAGGGATAAGCTGAGGTCTTAAAGGGGTGGAAGGAGAGAGCAGCTGTGTTCCAGGCTGAGTGAACAGCCATTTTGAAGGGCTTGACCAGTGCTGGTGCTCGAGTGTCTGGGTTTTGTGTAGACCACACTCTTGATAACTGTGCTGTTCGTTATCTTCCACAAACAGGGTTTTGGTCAGGTGCCTCCTTGCTTCAGTGTGTTCTTTATCAGTCAGGATTCTTGGTGATAAGCAGCAGAAACCGCTTCTATCTAGCTTGAACAGAAAAGGATTTGTTAGAAGGGTGGTTCTTGGAGTGACTAGAAAAGCTGGAGAGCCAATTTGGAAAATGGGCCAGAACCAAGGAGGCTCCTGCTTAGTACTCCTCCGCCTTCATGATCTGTATATTGTCTCTGCTTTCCTGGGTCATTCCCTCAAGGGTCGCACTCCTGGTGGGAGGATGCATTAATCAGAGCTGACTGGCAGGAAACCTTCCCTCACATGAGGACTGCCCAATGGGGATTCTCCAAAGGAAGATCAGGGTGCTAATGGGAGGGTCGGGTCTGATGATGGACAAATGGAACAAAAGTGGCAAATGCCCACCATGTATTCTGTGCCTTTCCTTGCCTCTGAAATAAAAGCAGTTTCTGCCGCCAAATATACATGGTAGCATTAAGTCAGGCCTTTCACAGGCAGCTCCATCTCTCCATTTTGCACCGTGCTGTCTCTACTTCAGCAGCTGGCAGGACATTTCCTGATACTGTGGTTTTGCTCAAACTATTTCCTTTGCCTGGAATACCCTTCCCTCTCTCTAATTTATAAACCCTTTTCATCCGTTAAGCTCGGTTTTCACTGCCTGCCAGGATGGATCAGTCCTTTCTCTGCTCTCTGACAGCCCTTTCTTTGTGAGGCACTTGTCTGTTCTTGCCCTTGTCGCAGTTTATGGAGTTGGTTAGGTTTCTCTTTCTTCTCTGTGAGCATGGGAGATGGGAAGAAAACGAATACTTTTCAGTCTTTGCCCTGTGCGGAGTTCCACACAAGGCACATAGGATCCTCCAGCTCCCAGCCCAGAGTACATAGTGTATGCAAATTTGAGTGGATGTTTGTATTTGTAGCGTGATTTGATAACCTGCTTTGCAAGTATTCTTTTTCTCTTTAGTTTTAGGGAGATTTGGGGGCATGGTAATGGATGGAAGGGTAAGATGGTGGGATGTTGGGGTCTTTCATTTTTGCCTGAATGGTTTAAGGGCTGAAAAAGGTTGAGATCTCTTGCTTTGTAGACTCTGCCCCCAGGAGGAGGACAGTTCAGGTGAAGTGGCTTGTGCCTGATTTTGTTGGCAGTGGGTCACCTGAAATGTGAAATGTGAGGGCCTCCTTTTGCAGAACAGGGTCATGCAGGATCAGTTCCTTGGAGTCTCACTCTGCATCTCACTCAATTTTGTAGTCTCCTGCTAAAAGAGAGTGAAAGAGGGAACAGTATGATGCCAGGGCAGCAGCAGGTGAAGAGCTGGGAGATACAGGAAAGACCTGGGATGACACATCCTTCTCTGTCTGAGCTTGGGGCATTCACTCTACTCATTCGTGAATGAAGCACTTACTGAGCACCTGTCCAGTGTCAGGCTGTCTTTGGTGATATCCGTATGATGATAGAACCAAAGCATCTGCATTATGTGGTAGCTAAGAGCTTGACTTTAAATCCCAGCTCCACCACCTGCTGACTGGGTGACATTAGACAAGTTACTTAGCCTCTGAGTGCCTCATTTTCCTTACCTGTAAAGTGGAGATGATAATGGCATCTACCTCAAAGTGTCATTGAGATTAAACGAAATTTGTGTAAAGTGTTTAATTGCTGATACATAGTAAGAGCTCAGCAAATGTTAATTCCTGTACTTTTTAAAAATTATTACTACTAATTTGCTCAGTTTTTCTTCTTGATTGTTGTTCTCAAAGTCTGTTTCTTTTATTTATTTTCATTATTATTATTATTTTTTTTTTTTTGAGACGGAGTCTCGCTCTGTCGCCCAGGCTGGAGTGCAGTGGCGCAAACTCGGCTCAGTGCAAGCTCCGCCTCCCGGGTTCATGGCATTCTCCTGCCTCAGCTTCCCGAGTAGCTGGGACTACAGGCGCCCGCCACCACGCCCAGCTAATTTTTTTTTGTATTTTTATTTATTTATTATTATTATACTTTGAGTTTTAGGGTACATGTGCACAATGTGCAGGTTAGTTACATATGTATACATGTGCAGTGCTGGTGCGCTGTACCCACTAACTCGTCATCTAGCATTAGGTATATCTCCCAATGCTATCCCTCCCTCCTCCCCCTGTATTTTTTTAGTAGAGACGGAGTTTCACCGTGTTAGCCAGGATGATCTCAATCTCCTGACCTCATGATCCGCCCACCGTGGCCTCCCAAAGTGCTGGGATTACAGGCGTGAGCCACCGCGCCTGGCCTTCAAAGTCTGTTTTTAATAGAGCAGTCATTTAAAAATAATAAGTGGGATAAGAGAGACAGCCTTTCAAACATGGGATGACAAGAATCTGATGTCTGTGTTTTAGCATTAGGCAAGGATTGGAGTCCCTGGCTGCAGCAAGGGTGGGGCTCTTGCATGGGTCGGGACTCTGGTTGATTGCAGCATCGTAGAGCCTAACTGCTGGGAGGTGGGGCAACCCCAGCGAGAAACTCCTAGGAGGAAGCACCTCCCTGTGGTGGTTGGGGCAACTTGTGGAGCAGGGTGCTTGAGAAAAGAGCACAGGGCTTAGAGGAAGGAGTAAGGCTCCTATCTCTGTCTGCTACTCGCTCCCCACCTGCCTGAGATGGTGTGCAGGTCACCCCCTCTTTGGACTTGGACTTTTCTTCCTGTGTAAAAACCACCACCAAGACCGCTTTTCAAGCACTTACTGCCAGGCACTCACTATCCCAGGTGATTTACATATATTAACTCACTTAAAACAGTGCTTGAAATGGCTACCTCACAGGGTGATTTTGAAGATTATATAACACAGTGTGTGAAAGTAGAAGTGTTAAAAGGAAAAATAAGGGAGCCACAGTGTTAATGAAGTTATTTTCCAGTAAAAAAAATCATGTTTAAACTTTGTATATGAATATATACATACGTATATATACACTGAAGTAAATAGTACTGAAAACAGCAACAACAGCTTTTTAAGCAACATTCCAGCAGGTTCCTCTTGTACCATGTATCCCTTTTTATCCTAACACTTTGCATGCAGTCCTGGCAGATTTATTATTTATTTATTTATTTATTTATTTTTTGGAGATGGGGTCTCACTGTGTTGCCCAGGCTGGAGTGCAATGGCGCGATCTCAGCTACTGCAAACTCTGCCTTCCAGATTCAAGCGATTCTCCTGCCTCAGCCTCCCAAGTAGCTGGGATTACAGGTGCTTGCCGCCACGCCCGGCTAACTTTTGTATTTTTAGAGAAATGGGGTTTCACCATGTTACCAGGCCAGGCTGGTCTTGAACTCCTGACTTCAGGTGATCCTCCCGCCTTAGCCTCCCAAAGTGCTGGGATTACAGGTGTGAGCCACCGCACCCGCCCCAACAGATGTTTTTACAGAGGTTTTCTACCATAACATGTGCCTCTTGAAGGCATTTATTTTTGTATCTGGCACATAGTAGGATCTCAGTTAATGTTTCTTGAATGCGTGTCTTAAGGGATGTATCTTTTATTAAAATGTATACTTAAAAAGAGAGAGATTGTTCTAGAAAACAGCATCTTGTCAAGGCATATGGTCTCATTTGAAGAATAATTTAATAATTTGGATAGGAAGGTATACTTGTAAAATACAGCCAGTCAAAAATACCTTTTCCCCATTCCCCTTGATGCGTCCATTACATACATGTTCACCCTGAGATTGATCTTCCATCAGCATTGAAATGAACATTGAAAGTAATAAGATGGGCCGGGCTTGGTGACTCACGCCTGTAATCCCAGCACTTTGGGAGGCGGAGGTGGGTGGATCACGAGGTCAGGAGATCGAGACCATCCTGACTAACATGGTGAAACCCCATCTCTGTTAAAAAAATACAAAAAATTAGCCGGGCGTAGTGGCACACACCTGTAGTCCCAGCTACTCGGGAGGCTGAGGCGAGAGAATCGCTTTAACCTGGGAGGCGGAGTTTGCAGTGAGCCGAGATTACCCCACTGCACTCTAGCCTGGGTGACAGAGTGAGACTCCGTCTCAAAAGAAAAAAAGAAAGTAATG
Organism: Homo sapiens; assembly: GCF_000001405.40. Taxonomy (NCBI): domain Eukaryota; kingdom Metazoa; phylum Chordata; class Mammalia; order Primates; family Hominidae; genus Homo; species Homo sapiens. Next base: position 41,850,162 of record NC_000022.11, read on the forward strand.
AGATGGGGCTGGGCGCCGTGGCTTACGCCTGTAATCCCAGCACTTTGGGAGGCCGAGGCAGGTGGATCACAAGGGCAGGAGATCAAGACCATCCTGGCTAACATGGTGAAACCCTGTCTCTACTAAAAATACCAAAAATTAGCCAGGTGTGGTGGCGGGCACCTGTAGTCCCAGCTACTCAGGAGGGTGAGGCAGGAGAATCACTTCAGAACCAGGGAGGCGGAGGCTGCAGTGAGCCGAGATGGTGCCACTGCACTCCAGCCTGGCAACAGAGCGAGACTCCATCTCAAAAAAAAAAAAAAAGTAATGACATGATTACCTAAGTGCCCCTCCACACAGCCCCAAATCTCCTTTGTTGTCACTCCGAGTCTGTCTTACAGCTTTTCCCCAAGTTGTGATGAGCATAAATGTAAAATCCAAGAAATGTTTATTTTGTAAGGGGAAAAAAGTGTGGGTAGAGGAGAGACTCAGACAAACCTAAATATAGATATAAATTCAAATCTCAGTTCAGCCACTTTGTAGCTTATGTAGGGGGCTTTGGCAAATTATCTAATTTCTTTGAATCTTAGATTCCTCACTTTTTTCTTTCTTTTTGTTTTTTTTGAGATAGCCTCTGTCCCCTGGGCTGGAGTACAGTGGAGAGATCTTGGCTCACTGCAACCTCTGCCTCCAGGGTTCAAGTGATTCTCCTGCCTCAGCCTCCCGAGTAGCTCGGATTACAGGTGCCCACCACCACGCCCAGCTAATTTTTGTATTTTTGGTAGAGATGGGGTTTCACCATGTTGGCCAGGCTGGTCTTGAACTCCTGACCTCAAGTGATCCGCCCACCTCGGCCTCCCAAAGTGCTGGGATTACAGGCGTGAGCCACCAAGCCCGGCCAGTTTCCTCACTTTTAAAACATAATAATATTGGTCTCAGGGTTGATATAACGTACTAAGTGGGTATCAGTGGTAGCTACTTTTATGTTGTCCTCATGGAGGACATGAATGAATTTAATTTCAGTAATATTACCTTCTGTACTGGTAATATTTATTCTGTAAATAAAATATAAATATGCTTTCTACCCAGAAAATAAGTTTATTAGCTTTGTCACTTCATTGGTTTTGTTCTTAAATATCAATAGTGCAACCACTGGCTTTTATTCAAAGGTTTAATTGGAATCTAACCTGGGGATTTTCCCCTTTTTAAATTTATGTTTAAAAAAAAAAACTATGGAAAGTCGGCATGGTCTGGGCTGCTTGGGAGCCTGAGGCAGGAGGATCACTTGAGTCCAGGAATTTGAGACTCTCCTGGGCAACATAGTAAGGCCCTGCTTCTTTTAGTCTTTTTGTTTGTTTGTTTGTTTTTTTGAGATGAAGTCTTGCTCTTGTCCCCCAGTCTGGAGTGCAATGGCGCGATCTCGCCTCACTGCAACCTCCACCTCCCGGGTTCAAGCGATTCTCCTGCCTCAGCCTTCCAAGTAGCTGGGATTACAGGTGCGTACCACCACGCCCAGCTGATTTTTTGTATTTTAAGTAGAGAGAGGGTTTCACCCTGTTGGCCAGGCTGATCTTGAACTCCTGACTGCAGGTGATCCACCCGCCTCGGCCTCCCAAAGTGCTGGTATTACAGGCATGAGCCACCGCACCCAGCCAATAAGGCCTTGCTTCTAAAGACACTTTAAAAAAAAAACAAAGCGGCCGGGCGCGGTGGCTCACGCCTGTAATCCCAGCACTTTGTGGGGCCAAGGGGGGTGGATCACAAGGTCAGGAGATCAAGACCATCCTGGCTAACACGGTGAAACCCCGTCTCTACTAAAAAATACGAAAAATTAGCCGGGCATGGTAGCGGATGCCTGTAGTCTCAGCTACTTGGGAGGCTGAGGCAGGAGAATGGTGTGAACCCGGGAGGTGGAGCTTGCAGTGAGCAGAGATTGTGCCACTGCACTCCAGCCTGGGCGATAGAGAGAGACTCCATCTCAAACAAACAAACAAACAAAAGGCAAACCTATGGGGACCTGGCCTGGGAGTGAAGGAGGGAGGGAGGCAGGGAGGGAGGAAGGAAAAAACCAGAAAAAAAAAGTGAAAAAATTAAATACATTTTATTATGTGCTTGATGTATTTTTCTGTGTATTGATATATATCCATCAGTTTGGATTATTCCCATATTTACAATTAAGTAACTGAGTCTCAAGGAAATTAATTAATTTTTCAAAGATAGCACAGTGATTACATTATTGGAGTCACAGCCACTTCTCTTTGAATTTAATCGTGACATCTCCATTCAGTTTGGCCTTGCAAAACGGGCCTTGGTTTAGCTTTTTGACATCTTGCCTTTCTCCTTAAATCTGATCCCTTGTCACTCTTTTTTTATTTTTTTGTTTTTTCCTCTCCTGACTTTCATCTGAAACCCTGAACCCTACAGGCCATGGGAGATGACCTGTTTCCCAGTTTTGGTCACTTTTTGGGCCATATTTATAACCAAAACTCTTATTTAACCAGTTTTCAGAAAATTCTCAGCTTCTTCATCAATTGATGAAGTTATCTGACTGACTTTTTATTCCAGCCATTCTCATACTCTCAGAATGATTTTTTTTTTTTTTTTTTTTTTTTTTTTTTTGTGGTAGATGGAGTTTTGCTCTTTTTGCTCTTTTTGCCTAGGCTGGAGTGCAGTGGCACAGTCTCAGCTCACTGCACCCTCCACCTCCTGGGTTCAGGTGATTCTTCTGCCTCAGCCTCCCAAGTAGCTGCAGGCATGTGCCACCATGCCCAGCTAATTTTTTTATTTTTAGTAGAGACGGGGTTTCACCATGTTGGCCAGGCTTGTCTCGAACTCCTGACCTCAAGTGATCCACCCGCCTTGGCGTCCCAAAGTGCTGGGATTACAGGCATGAGCCACTGTGCCCGGCCAGTGATTCTTAATTAGTTCATGATATTTTGGAGTTCTAGGCAGGACAGCAGCCTCTGCCTCCTCAACCCCATGTAAACCAGAATGAGCAACTGCTGGGCTGGAGGAGCTCTCCTTCTTAGAGCATTGTGGGACAACTTGCTATGAGTTCTCCTTCATTTTTTCATTTCACCACCATGAGTTGTAGGGCCCTTTGTGCTTTGGCCCCTAACAACTTGCCCAGTATGGTGCCCTGCCCATCACCCATTGTCTTCAACAACCTATCATGCAGCTCCATGTCTCCCTGCCTTGGCTCTTGAGGTTCCCTGGCCTAGACTGTACTTTGCATCCTGATCAGCCTTCAATCCAACTCCTTCAGGGAACTATTGACTTGCTGGATTCTGTGATTTTGTCATGTTCCCTGTGTCTCTTTGGTGTCTTGCAGATGCACATCTCTGCTGTGACAATCTTCACAAACCATATTGTGATCCTTTCACTAACTCTTTGAGGTCAAGGACTAATTTATTATCTCTGTGCCTGGTACACAGTGGATGCTTAACCCGTTGAAATCCTTCTGTATTTACATACTTACCTCCCTAAAAGTGAAAGCTTTGCAGAAATTACATAGATCTGTCCAGATTTTCCAGGCTAGTCTAACTTTTAAAAATATCTTATTCCATTATGAGGTGAAACATCCCTTCTAGTTTCTGGTTCAGAAAGCATGATCGGTCAGGTGCAGTGGCTCACGCCTGTAATCCCAGCACTTTGGGAGGCCGCGGCAGGTGGATCACAAGGTCAGGAGATCAAGACCATCCTGGCTAACACGGTGAAACCCCGTCTCTACTAAAAATACAAAAAATTAGCTGGGCGTGGTGGCGGGCGCCTGTAGTCCCAGCTACTCGGGAGGCTGAGGCAGGAGAATGGCGTGAACCCGGGAGGCGGAGCTTGCAGTGAGCTGAGATCACGCCACTGCACTCCATCCTGGGCGACAGAGCGAGACTCCATCTCAAAAAAAAAAAAAAAAGAAGAAAGCATGATCACCATTTTTATAAGTTGCATGAAAGTTGCTATTGAGAGCATTTCAGTGAGTCAGTGCCAGTTTTTTTGTTGTTGTTGTTTTGTGTTTTGTGTTTTTTTGTTTTTGTTTTTGTTTTGAGATGGCGTTTCACTCTTGCCACCCAGGCTGGAGTGCAGTGGCGCGATCTCGACTCACTGCAACCCCTGCCTCCCAGGTTCAAGTGATAACTGCCTCAGCCTTCCGAGTAGCTGGGATTACAGGCACCCACCCCCACACTCAGATAATTTTTATATTTTTAGTAGAGATGGGGTTTCACCATGTTGGCCAGGCTAGTCTCGAACTCCTGACCTCAGGTGATCCACCCGCCTCGGCCTCCCAAAGTGCTGAGATTGCAGGGGTGAACCACCATGCCCGGCCTGGCTTTTGTTTTTTAATACCAGTATGCTTGGTGCTTGAAGCGGTACAGGGAAAGGAACATTTTCTCCATGCACTCATAGAACACAAGACATAAGAAAAACATCTTTAAGATTTATTTATTTAGAATCCGGGGGTGGTGGCTCATTCCTATAATCCCAGCACTTTGGGAGGCTGAGGCGGGCAGATCACTTGAGGCCAGGAGTTCAAGACCAGCCTGGCCAACATGGTGAAACCCGGTCTCAACTGAAAATACAAAAATTAGCCGGGTTTGGTGGTACGTGCCTGTAATGCCAGCTACTCAGGAGCCTGAGGCTTGAGAATTGCTTGAACGTGGGAGGCGGAGGTGGAGCCAGAGGCTGCAGTGAGCTGAGATCACACCACTGCACTCCAGCCTGGGCGACAGAGTGAGACTCTGTCTCAAAAAATAATAAAATAAAATTTATTTATTTAGTGACCTTGTCTCACTTTGTTGCCTAGGCCGACCTTGAATTCCTAGGTTCAAGCGATCCTCCCATCTTAGCCTCCCGTGTAGCTGGACCAACAGGCATGTGCAGCATTAAAAAAAAAAAAAAAACTTACTATGTGTAATATAGCAAAGTTTTTTAAAAGTTAAAAACATAGCCTTGAACTAAAACATCATGAGCACATGTCAGAAATTTATTAACATTGTTAATGAAGATAACAGGATGACAAATGGATCAAAGGAGACTGCAAGAAACTGATATTTACATAGAAAAAAGAATGCAGGAATAAGATTGCAAATTTAAATACAAAACTAGGGCCAGATTCCGTGGTTCATGCCTGTAATCTCAGGACTTTGGGAGACTGAGGCGAGTGGATCACTTGAGGTCAGGAGCTGAAGACCAGCCTAGCCAACATGGTTAAATTAAACTTCGTCTACTAAAAATACAAAAATTAGCTGGGTGTGGTGGCGGGCACCTGTAGTCCCAGCTACTTGGGAGACTGAGGCGGGAGAATTGAAACTGGGAAGTGGAGGTTGCAGTGAGCCAAGATTGTGCCACTGCACTCCAGCCTGGGTGACAGAGCGAGACTCTGGCTCAAAAAAAACGCAAAACTAGTTAATGTCCTACAGTGCAATGAAAACAAAAGCTTAAAGGTTTTCTTTTCTACCAGACAGAAATGATTTTAACTTAACAATTTTCTGCAGGCTAACATCTAACTTTACAGAATGGGAGCCTTAATCGGTAGTAAATAGAAAGTCAAACAAGGTGATGGTTCCATAGAGCATCAGATAACTTTTAGGCAGGCAGCTTAGACAGTGCTGTAGTATAACTTTTTTTTTTTTTTTTTGAGTCAGGGGTCTTGCTCTGTTGTTCCAGGCTTGAGTACAGTGGTACAGTCGTGGCTCACTGCAGCCTTGAACTCTGGCCTCAAGTGATCCTCCCACCTCAGCCTCCCAAGTAGCTGGGACTACAGGCATGTGCCACGAGGCCTGACCAAGTTTTTTTATTTTTTAGAGAGATGGGGTCTCACTATTTTGTCCAGGCTGGAATGCAGTAGCATGATCATGCCTCACTGCAGCCTCAAACTCCTGGCCTTAAGTGATCCTCCTGCCTTAGCCTCCTGAGTAACTGGAATTTTAGTATAACTTTAAAGAGGCATATAACGTTTTTTTTTGGTCTTATTTCCAAGTTTTAGTTAATTTTTCTTTCCTGTTTTCTTGAGACATGGTCTTGGTCTGTCACCCAGGTTGGAGTACAGTGGCACAAACTCTGCTCACTGCAACCTTCACCTCCCAGGCTTAAGCAATCCTCCCACCTCAGCCTGCCGAGTAGCTGGGCCTACAGGTGCGTGCCACCATGCCCCCTGCTAAAGTTTGTATTTTTTGTAGAGATGGAGTCTCGCTATGTTGCCCAAGCTGGTCTCAAACTCCTGAACTTGAGCGATCTGGCCACCTCAGCCTCTCAAAGTGCTGGGATTACAGGCATGTGCCACCACACCTGGCCAATAATTTTCTTTAACAAAATAAATCACAATTGAGTTCAAGAACTAAAAGATGACTAGATCATCTGAGGTGGAAAAGAGTCCCTGGTAAAAGTAATTTTAAATAGTTTTGAAGTAGAATTGTGAAATTCAGAGTTTGGAGAAAGGAAGAGGGTGGTCACAAGTAGAAAAGAGAAGACATGGCACTTACATTCAAAGAAAGATTGCCCTACCCCACCCCTCAAAGGCATGTGCAGAAGAGGGAGTGAGTACTTTTCCAGGGTGGATGATGAACTAAAGTGGGTGGGAAGTGAAAACCTTTGGAACAGAAGGGAGCAGTTCATAGGAAGCTTGGAAGCTTGTGTTAAAGAATTTGATTTGATTAAGGGCCGGGCACGGTGGCTTATGCCTATAATCCCAGCACTTTGGGAGGCTGAGGCAGGTGGATCACCTAAGGTCAGGAGTTCAAGACCAGCCTGGCCAACACGAAGTCTCTACTAAAAATACAAAAATTAGCTGGGCGTGGTGGCAGGCGGCTGTAATCCCGGCTACATGGGAGGCTGAGACAGGAGAGTTGCTTGAACCTGGGAGACAGAAGTTGCAGTGAGCTGAGATCATGCCACTGCACTCCAGCCTGGGCAACAGAGCAAGACTCTGTCTCAAAAAAAAAAAAAAAAGAATTTGATTTGATTTAAAAGGCTGTTGGATGAACAAGATACTCAAAGAAGATGTTCGTCACTGGGTAGGAGGCTATGGTTGAAATTAAGGCAGAGTGTGGACGGGAGTGAAGAGGTAAATCCATGATGCTAAGGAAGGAGACTTGAGTGAACTTAAGGCAGGAGGAAAAAGAAAGAGCAATGGAAAGTGGAGCTGCAGATCCCTCTCCTGTTCAAACTATGAGAGCTGGCTCAGGTCCCCTGCTATAGTGGGCCAGAAAAGCCTGGACTTCCACTGCTTTTTCCTGCAGAGCTGAGTCCCTCCAGGGCTGCCATGAGAGGCGGGGAGAGAGAGCACTAGACAGAGAAGACCAGAAGACCATTTGAGAATTCCTTTGGGTTTCCTTCATGATTCCTTTTTCTTCTCATTCTGAATTGTTTTATTTTATTATGTAATATTCGGTATATGCAAAGGAATATATGACACCTTTGTGTGTATTACAAAACAAGCATTTGAGAATCCGCACCTCTCCACCCAATTTTTCTTTGTGGTTTCTTTGCCAGTAAAAGAGTTCACTCATCTGTTGCTTAAAATATAGGATGCTTGAGTCACCAGCTTGCCATCCTGTGTCATTCAACACCTCCTCCAGACTCTTCGCAGGAAGGTGACCCAGAAACCCCTTGAAGGACATGATACCGTCCCTGTGCTCTGATGTGCCCCCTGGTGTTTGAGTGGAGTGATTTTTAGATAGCGGTTTGCCTGTTAAAACCTTCCCTTTGTTCCCTATATTATTGCTTGCATTTTAGGGCTTCTCAGTTGAAGGATGTGGTTGAAAGAGCCCAGTTCCTCAGCTGCTCCTCTGGGTGACTAGAGTGTGGGTAACTGATGTTTTAGGTCCTGGAGAAAGCAGTGATGATCACAAATAGTAGAATGGAGAAATGGTTATCTCATATTGATCTTCAGGTTTGTTACTAGTCTACATTTGGTTTTTTAAATAATTATTAGAAAAAAACATTGTGGGTGGGGAGATAGGATCATTATGATGAAACAGTTCTGTACATTCAATCAGGATACTTGTTGGGAATTAGATTTTGCATTTACCTCCCTCACTGGTGTGGTCCATCTCATTTTCAGTGGCCTACACACATCACACACCATTATTATTTCCATGTTCTTGTACTTGTTGGGCAGCTCTAATATGAAAGATAAAATGAACGAAAAGTACAAATGAAGAAAGTTTAGGTGACTATTCCTCTGATCTTGAGGATGAGGGTTTTTCTTAAGCGTTACACAGAAGCCATGTAATTTCACTATACAATGTAAAAATGGTGTATAGTCAGTTCTGCTATAGTTCATCATGTGCATTTCTAAAAATCATGCCATGCGAAATCATGCAGTAAAAAACACGGAGTGGGCATGTTGGCTCATGCTTGTAATCAGGAGGCTAAGGTGGGAGGATCGCATGAGGCAGGGAGTTCAAGACCAGCCTGGGCAACAAAGCAAGACCCAGTCTCTCTTACAAATAAAAAATAAAAATTATCTGGACATGGTGGTGTGTGCCTGTACTCCCAGCTACCCAAGAGGCTGCAGTGGAGGATCCCTTAAGCCCAGGAGGTAGAGGCCACAGTGAGCTATGATCACATCACTGCACTCCAGCCTGGGTGACAGAGTAAGACCCTGTCTCTAAAACAGAAACCCAGAACTTACTGTGAAATGGAGGGTTAAGGATCACAACAATAAAAAATCTCATAGGTGACCAAAAAAAGGAAAAGATTTATTTTTTAAAAAAGATAGGGACCTGCCGGGCACAGTGGCTCACACCTGTAATCCCAGCACTTTGGAAGGCTGAGGCGGGTGGATCACGAGGTCAGGGGTTCGAGACCAGCCTGACCAACATGGTGAAACCCCGTCTCTACTGGGCGTGGTGGCGGGCGCCTGTAATCCCAGCTACTCAGGAGGCTGAGGCAGGAGAAGTGCTTGAACCCAGGAGGTGGAGGTTGCAGTGAGCCGAGATCCCGCCACTGCACTCCAGCCTGGGCGACAGAGCAAGACTCCGTCTCAAAAAAAAAAAAAAAAGTGGGGGGACCTAATAAAACAGTCACACAGTTTTATAGACCAGAAAAACTAAGAAATATATAAATACCACAATGAAAAGGCACTTTGGCTTGAAAAACACCTGAGGTTTGCTTGTGGGAAGTAAGTGTCATTAGGTTACAGCTTGGGAGTTATCAGGAAGTGGTGGAAGGAGGGCTGTCTGAAGTCCAATGGAAAGTTCTGACATCAATGTGATGAATGTGATTCATAACACATGCAGTGACCTGATGAAGCTGGTAGATGTTTAAGGTGCCTGTGTATGTGTGTGCACATTTTGTGCATTCCTGCATGGCTCATTTCAGCCGAATATGGTTTTCTGCACTTCCTAGTGTTTTTCTCATGCATAAGCAAATGCAAAATTTATATTATGCTCAGATTGTTTCTGGATGTATCTGATGCATTTGAACAAATTCACATTTTCAAAGTAAGAGTTAAAGCAAAAGTGTCAAAAAAAAAAAACCCACTATGAATAATGTGTACTAGCTAATACTAAGTGCCAGGCATGGTGCCATAGATTCCACATGAGTTATCTCATCAATCCGTGAGTTAGCTGTAATTGTTAGCCACAATGTACAGTTGAGAAAAACTGCAGCTGAAAGAGGTAAAACTTGCCCCAGGTTCCAAGGCTAGGATATGGTGATTCTTTTTTTTTTTTTTTTTTTTTTTTTTTTTGAGACGGAGTCTCGCTCTGTCACCCAGGCTGGAGTGCAGTGGCGCAATCTCGGTGCAAGCTCCGCCTCCCAGGTTCTCGCCATTCTCCTGCCTCAACCGCCCAAGTAGCTGGGACTACAGGCGCCCGCCACCACGCCCAGCTAATTTTTTATATTTTTAGTAGAGACGGGGTTTCACCGTGTTAGCCAGGATGGTCTCGATCTCCTGACCTCATGATCCGCCCGCCTCGGCCTCCCAAAGTGCTGGGATTACAGGTGTGAGCCACCGCGCCAGGCCGACATGGTGATTCTTAATTGCTATGTCATTCTTTTTTTCTGAACATATTAAAAGAGAAATAACAAAGTGGGGGAAGTACTTGCAGACATTTAAGAAGAATAAGTATCTATAATATCTGGAAGTTTTTTAAATCAGTGAAAAAAAAAAAAAGACAAAATAGCCTGATAGCAAAAATGGACGAAGGTCAAGAGCAGGCGGTTTACAAAGGAAGAAATGCAAATGCTCAATAAAATTGGGACTTTAGAAAAAAAAAAGACTTTCAGCCTCAGTTAGTACTCAGTCATGCAAGACAAAACAATTCCATGTTGGTTTTTTCCACTATCAGATTGACAGAAATGGCTGTGAGGAAACACTAGCAGGAGCATAGATTTTTGAAACCTTTCCAAAGCATGTATAGTGGTCCTTTGACCCAGCCATCTAACTTCTAGGAATTTATCCTAAGAAAATAGAGAAGTGGGGGAACAAAAGAGTTGTTAATAATGCCGAATAACTTGCTGGGTGTGGTGGCACACGCCTGTAATCCCAGCACTTTGGGAGGCCAAGTCAAGAGGATCGCTTGAGCCCAGGAGTTTGAGACCAGCTTAGACAACATAGGGAGACTCTGTCTCCACAAAAAAAAGATTTCTTTAAAGTTAGCCAGGTTTGGTGATGCATGCTTGTAGTCCCAGCTACTCAGGAGTCTGAGGTGGGAGGATTGCTTAAGCACAGGAGGTAGAGGCTGCATTGAGCCCCACCACTGCCTTCCAGCCTGGGCAAGAGAGCAAGACCCTGTCTCAAAAAAATAAAAAAAAAAGATAAGGCTGAAAAATTTAAAGCAATTTTTCATCATTAAGTTAAACAAATTTTAATACACTGGTACAGTACAATGGCACACAGAATGATACCGTGGGACTCTGAAAAGGATGATGTTACGTCTGTAATGGTTGACACTGAATGTTCTTCATATTTATTAACCAAAGGGAACAGGGTGCAAAGTAGCATGTTCAGTGTGATCTCATTTTTGTAAAACAATTTGCATGCATGTGCATGCTTAAGTGTGCAAGCAAGCCTTGTAGAGGAAGAAATCTGGAAGGGCACACATTAAAACATTGACAATGGGCCGGGCGCTGTGGCTCACGCCTGTAATCCCAGCACTTTGGGAGGCCGAGGCAGGTGGATCACAAGGTCAGCAGTTCGAGACGAGCCTGTCCATTGTGGTGAAACCCCCTCTCTACTAAAAATACAAAAATTAGCTGGGCATGGTGGCACGCACCTGTAATCCCACCTACTCAGTGGGATTACACCGGGAGGCTGAGGCAGGAGAATTGCTTGAACCTGGGATGTGGAGGTTGTGGTGAGCCAAGATCATGCCACTGCACTCTAGCCTGGGCAACTGAGTAAGACTCCATTTAAAAAAAAAAAAATTGACAATGGATGACTCAAGAATAGTGGAACTGCTGGATGATTTTTATTTTTGTTCTTTTCATTTATATGCTTTCTAAATTTTTCTTTAGTGAATATATTACTTTTATGATTTTAACAAATTATTAAAAACAGGGCCAGGCGCAGTGGCTCACACCTGTAATCCTAGCACTTTGAGAGGCCGAGGTAGGCGGATCATCTGAGGTCAGGAGTTCGAGACCAGCCTGGCCAACATGGTGAAACCCTGTCTCTACTAAAAATACAAAAATTAGCAGGGCGTGGTGGTGTGTGCCTGTAGCCCCAGCTACTTGGGAGGCTGAGGCAGAAGAATCACTTGAACCCAGGAGGTGGAGGTTGCAGTGAGCCGAGATTGCACCACTGCACGCCTGGGCAACAGAGCGAGACTTTGTCTCAAAAAAAAAAAAAATTATTAAAAACATTGTCTAACACAAGGTGCATAATAAATACAAAATATAAGAATAAATGACCTTTGTAAACTAGGTTTCCCAGCCCCTAATAGGGCTGGGTAACAAATACCTGTTAAAGGATTATTGACTGAATCTGTAATTTGGAGAAACTGTAACCCTATTTGGAGGCTTCACATTCTTTATTCTTGACCAGAATTAATTTAACCAGATTTCAGGTTACCTCATTCTCAGGTAGATGCTGAAGGCTGAGCTGAGCAAAGTGATATTTATGTTACCTCCAAGCCACAAGCTCCATAAAGTTCATGTGAACTCAGGGTCTCTTTGTGAGTCATGGGGCTGCTTGCAATGCACGGATGATAACAGGAACCTCTAATTTTGGTTATTTGCTTTTAGAGACCAGAACCCAGATACAGTTTCCTGGGGCCTCACCTACTTTGTTAAGCAACTTAGCTATAAGTTTACAAAGCAGCTAAAAACAGGAGCAGGGGAGTGAGATGAGCTTGAGCGTGCCAGCCTAGCTCGTGGGAGGCCTGTCTCTGGCCCTGAGCTTTGTGGCCTGCCGTAGGAACTGGAGCTTCATTTTCAAAGCTCCATAAAACTCGCCTTCTCCCGGGCCTCCCTTTTCTGAGTTTCATGGCTCTCTGTGGAAATGACAGCCTGTGTAATCACAGAATGTGAATGATCAGAGCAGGGAACAGTGAGGAGCCATTAGGACATTCCCATGGGTGTAGCTCACAGTTACAAAGCACAACTACACCCTGGTTCTCCAGGCCTCCTCTTTCCTGGCACCGCAGACCAGATGGGGTCCTGGAGAGGCTCTGCGTGCCCTTCTGGAGCTTCCCATCACTCCTTTCTGCAGATGTTCATCTTAACAGCCCCTCTGTGCCACTCAGCCCAGTACCCGGCTGCCCGGCTGACTGGAGATGGCTCCACTGGAGCTTTTTGTGTGTGGGTTGAAAGGGACTTTTTTATTTTAATTTAAGTAGTCTCATTCCATCTGCCTACACACTCTTACGCTTCGTGAACTAAGCTTTCTGACCTGTGTAGGTTACTTCACCACACCAGCCCATATCTTTCCCACAAAAGGGTTTCAAGAGTACTTGACAAAATGAGATCAGTGCACCCACATGCCTGTGTAGTGGGTGCTCTGGAAGTACCGCCAACATTGACCTGCATAAGGGTCTACCCTTCACCAAGCACTTCGGATAAATTATCTTATTAATCCTCAGGGCAAAGAGGCCAAGTGTGTATTTTCAAAGCAGCCTTTTGTAGTGAGGAAACCAAGGCTTAAAGAGAAGTATCTTGCCCACGCTCACACCACTGATTAGGTGGGCCTCCAGAGACTCACACCTAGGCCTGACTACCACCAAAGCCTGTGCGCATCTATGAGGCCACCCTGGCCTTCTGCCCTCCTTAGCTTTCCATGGATGGAAACTGTCGGCCAGTGTGTGATATTCTTCTGGCTCTGTGTTACAGCCCTCTGTATTGATTTCTTACAGAGTTGGGATTTTGGGGGAATTCTAAAAGGTTCAACAAATTCTTAGATTTCTCTTAGTCATTTTCTTAAAGCATTTTATAATCTTGTACTTGGAGTGTGTCAGCACTAAATTATGTTTTGTTTAAATGTACTGAATTTGAGGACATTTCTCAGTTTAATCATGTCACGGAATTGGAATTGGTTAGTACAAGCTGCAATATCTGTAGCAATCTGCCCATTTCTCCCTCGCACAAGGCTGAGTGAGGACAGAGCTTAGTGTCAAGATGTTGGTAAATAATACCACTATGTAGGAATGTAGTCTGGTGAGATGCTGTTTTTCCCAGCAGGTTTAACTGACTGAATACTTAAGGTGCCCAGATTGAAATGCAAAGCTCCAGTTATCCCATATGGAGACTACACTAGAAAGCCCCAGCAGCTTTATTTATTTACATTTATTTATTTATCTATCTATTTATTTATTTATTTTTTGGGACGGAGTCTTGCTCTGTTCCCTAGGCTGGAGTACAGTGACGCAGTCATCTCGGCTTACTGCAACCTCTGCCTCCTGGGTTCAAGCGATTCTCCTGCCTCAGCCTCCCGAGTAGCTGGGATTACAGGCACCCACCACCATGCCTGGCTAATTTTTGTAGTAGACAGGGGTTTTCACCATGTTTGTCAGGCTGGTCTCGAACTCCTGACTTCAGGTGATCCACCTGCCTTGGCCTCCCAAAGTGCTGGGATTACAAGCATAAGCCACCACCCCTGGCCTATTTACATTTAATTATGATTTATTTTTCCTATCCTTCTGCAAGCATATATATATATATATATATATATATATATATATATATACACACACACACACACACACACAAAATATCAAAATATATATATATATGTATATATATATATATTTTTTTTTTTTTTTGAGACTGAGTCTCGCTCTGTTGCCCAGGCTGGAGTGCAGTGGCACGATCTCTGCTCACTGCAAGCTCTGCCTCCCGGGTTCACTCCATTCTCCTGACTCAGCCTCCCGAGTAGCTTGGACTACAGGCGCCCACCACCACGCCCAGCTAATTTTTTGTATTTTTAGTAGAGACGGGGTTTCACCGTGTTAGCCAGGATGGTCTCGATCTCCTGACCTTGTGATCCGCACGCCTTGGCCTCCCAAAGTGCTGGGATTATAGGCGTGAGTCACCGCGCCCGGCCCAAAAAATCTTTGTGTTTTTTTGTTTGTTTGTTTTGTGTTCAGAGAAGGGATCTGGCTAGGTGCCCTGGCTCATGCCTGTAGTCCCAGCACTTTGGGAGGCCAAACCGAGAGGTTGCTTTTCAGGAGTTTGAGACCAGCCTGGGCAACATGGTGAAATCTCGTCTCTACAGAAAATACAAAAATTAGCCGGGCATGGTTGGCGCACACCTGTGGTCCCAGCTACTCAGGAGGCTGATGTGGAAGGATCGCTTGAGCCTGGGAGGTGGAGGCTGCAGTGAGCTGAAATTGCAACACTGCACTCCAACCTGGGTGACAGAGCAATACCCTATCTCAAAAAAAAGAGAGACAGAGTCTCGCTGTGTTGCCCAGGCTGTTCTCAAACTCCTGACCTCAAGTGACCCTCCCACCTTGGCCTCACAATGCACTGGGATTACAGGCATGAGCCACCACAACCGGTCTCAGCAGCTTTCTGTTTGTCAGATATACAAATATACCCCAGGCTCCAGGCCCCCACATCCCCCAAAAAACACACACACACACACACACACAGCATCAGAGACCTGAGAAGGACATCTTGGTGGAGGTTTGGGGGAATGGAGATGGTTCCTTTTATTTTTTTATAGTGGTGGTGTGGTGGTTTTTGTTGTTTTGGTGTCTAAATCAGAGCATCACATGGCCTTGAAGGTTTGGAAAGGAGGGGCCATAGTTCAAGAACAAGCAGTAGCTTCTTGGGAACGTATTGGAGAGAGAAAAGAGAAAAGAATATGGACAATGTAGAGAATTGTAGGTCTGAAACTATCTGGGACAAAGCTGAGGCTCCTGACTTCTATAGGGACCAGTCATATGAAAAAGAAGGGAGTCGTGAGAGATGATGGGGTAGTTGTGGGTTAAGTTGGGTTTTGGAAAGCCTTTGGGAAGATTGACCAGGGAAGAGGCCCTGGAAGTAGGCTTGAGACCCTTTGGGCTGGGAATTTAAGGGTCCCAGCTACTTGGAACATGATCTAGAAAGGGAAGCGAGGTCTCCAGGTGGACAAATCCCTTTGGACCCAAGACTCCTTGCCCAGAGAAAAGGGGCACAACCAGACAAGGGC
The DNA here is from genome assembly GCF_000001405.40 of Homo sapiens. Lineage (NCBI taxonomy): Eukaryota > Metazoa > Chordata > Mammalia > Primates > Hominidae > Homo > Homo sapiens. Next base: position 41,865,712 of record NC_000022.11, read on the forward strand.
TAGCATGGGCCCTGGGAAGCACGGAGTTCAGGGTGGGGCAGGCTTGCTGTGTCCTGGCCTGGCAACATACCTGCACTGTGTTGTGGTAGAAGAACACAAAGCTGGGAGGCAGAGAACTGGTTCTAATCCTAGCTGTACCCTGACAAGCTGTGTGACCTTGGCCAAGTTACTTTCCTCTCCTGGACTTCATATATGGTTTTTCCATTCTTTGCATCCCTGAAGCTCCATGACTTAGGGGCCATCAACTTGGTTGTCCCTGAGTGTTTCCAAGAATACCAACAGTGCCCAGGGTTTTACTCAGCTTGGAGAGGAGGCCTAGAGCCTCCCTGTGGTGAGGAGGAAAGAGGTTAGAGCAAGTTTGGGTCTGCAGTGCTAGGATTAGAGGTGGCCTCACAAGCCAAAACCGCTATACTCACAGCCTTAGGACAGTGACTCCCTACTCGCTGCCTCAGTGTTTCCAGCTGTAAAAAAGGACCCTTGGTACCTTCGACAGAACAGCACCCATCTAGTACAAAGGTAGTTCCTTTTATGATCAAAACAATCAGGAAAAAGAGAGAGGCTGGGTGCGGTGGCTCACACCTGTAATCCCAGCACTTTGGGAGGCTGAGGTGGGTGGATCACCTAAGGTCAGGAGTTCGAGACCCACCTATCAATATGGTGAAACCCTGTCTCTACTAAAATTACAAAAATTAGCCGGGCATGGTGCCGTGCACCTATAGTCCCAGCTACTCAGGAGGCTGAGGCGGGAGAATCGCTTGAACCCAGGAGGCAGAGGTTGAAGTAAGACAAGTTCGCGCCACTGCACTCCATCCAGCGTGGGCGATAGAGGAAGACTCCGTCTCAAAAAGAAAAAAGAAAGAAAATGAGAGAAAGGGCCTGGAGGTGAGTGTGAGGAGGGAAAAGAACATCAAACAGATAAAGTCCTGTCCTGTTGTCCTGGGACCTTGGGCAGCCATCTTGGCCCAGATGATCCCCACAAGAAAGAGGTAAGGGTTTCCTGACCCATTTCTGCCATGGTCTTAGGAAAGTCATTGAGTTTTCATGCCTTAGTTTCTTAAGCAAGTTTGAAAGTTCACTTTTTGGATAGCAATAAAATTACTCCTTTTCTTTTGTTCACAGAGATGCTGCAATTTGTCAGTAATCAAGTGGGAGAGTTCCCTGACTTGTTTTCAGAACAGCTGTGTAGCTCCTTTCCTGGCAGTGGTGGTAGTGGTAGCAGCAGCGGCAGCAGTGGCAGCAGCAGCAGCAGCAGCAATGGCAGGGGCAGCAGCAGCGGAGCTGTGGACCCTTCAGTGCAACGGTCATTCACCCAGGTCACATTACCTTCCTTCTCTCCCTCGGCGGCCTCCCCACAGGCTCCAACTCTGCAAGTCAAGGTTTCTCCCACCTCAGTTCCCACCACACCCAGGGCAACTCCTATTCTTCAGCCCCGCCCCCAGCCCCAGCCTCAACCTCAAACTCAGCTGCAACAACAGACGGTAATGATCACGCCAACATTCAGCACCACTCCGCAGACGAGGATCATCCAGCAGCCTTTGATATACCAGAATGCAGCTACTAGCTTTCAAGGTGATTCAGAAGTTAGAATGGTAGTGGTTGGTTGGTTCCAATGTTTATGTGCCAGTTTGCAGACACTGTAAATATTTCTGTCGTCTTCAGGAATGGCAGGTATATCAATATGGTCCTGTCTGAATGAGGTTCTGGTAACTGGCAATAAGAACTGGTACAGGAGCATGTCACATTCTGCAGCTTCAAATACCTTAATATCTATTGCGCCTAATTCAAAAATACTTGGTTAAAAAATCCAGCAAGCGGCCGGGCGCGGTGGCTCACGCCTGTAATCCCAGCACTTTGGGAGGCCAAGGCGGGCGGATCACGAGGTCAGGAGATTGAGACCATCCTGGCTAACTCAGTGAAACCCCATCTCTACTAAAAAATAGAAAAAATTAGCCGGGCATGGTGGCGGGCGCCTGTAGTCCCAGCTACTCGGGAGGCTGAGGCAGGAGAATGGCGTGAACCCGGGAGGCAGAGCTTGCAGTGAGCAGAGATCGTGCCACTGCACTCCAGCCTAGGCAACAGAGCGAGACTCCCATCTTAAAAAGAAAAAAAAAAATCCAGCAAGCATAGTAGACACAGGGCCATTCTGATAACTAGTGGTGGAGACTTGAATAAGGCTTGAAATTGGCTAGGCGGCAGCCAGATCTCAGCTGCCACAGTTGAGAACTATTCATTCAGCAAACATCTGAGCATCCACTATGGTGATGAATATGACTTTTAATATAGGTGCAGCAGCTTCAAGTAGCAAGCCTCATGCTGGGCCCTTAGTATGTGTTGAGGGAATGGATGACTGAAAGGGGCCTGTTCTTTCTGTGATGTGCTGCATCCCAGTGCCTTTTCATCATATTTCCCTCTGACTCTGTGGGGAGCCCAGGGTAAGATTAGTATTGCTTTGAATTTCAAAGAATCTTATAGTTCTTCAATGGAGTTCAAGAATTGGGACAGGTGGGGGAATGTAAAGGCAAAAAGCTGAGACAGTCCTCCCAAAGTGCACTTGCCGTCCAGAAAGGATGGAAGAAAATGAAGCCCCAGGGAGTTGTTGATTCTCAACATCTGTTAACTCCCTTGCTGGGTGCAGTCATTTGCTGATTAGCTTCCCTTTCCCCCACCCTGGCACCCAGAGTAATAAAACAATTTGTACTCGTTCCCTCAGAAATTGATGCAGCCCTTATGGGATGTTCTTGTTGTCTAAGCCACCTTGTAAATGGCTGTGCACATCATCTTCAGCAGTAGGTGGGGAGTTGGAATCATTATGAGATACTCCATCCTCAGGTTTCTGCTGCAGCTGCAGTGACAGAATGCATTCCTCATCTCTGTGCCTTCTTTCTCCTCTTCTCCCAAGTCCTTCAGCCTCAAGTCCAAAGCCTGGTGACATCCTCCCAGGTACAGCCGGTCACCATTCAGCAGCAGGTGCAGACAGTACAGGCCCAGCGGGTGCTGACACAAACGGCCAATGGCACGCTGCAGACCCTTGCCCCGGCTACGGTGCAGACAGTTGCTGCGCCACAGGTGCAGCAGGTCCCGGTAAGTGGCTGGAAAGGATTCAGGGAGGCACTGGTTGGGGCTGTTAACTGGTCCTTGGTTGAAGATGTGGTCTACATACTAAGAAGGACCAACCAGAGTGTACACAAAGCAGCTTGTAGGGCGCCAGGATGCACCTGTGAGCAGCGTATAGTGACCTGGCTGAGTCCATATCTGTAGATAGACACTGGCACTCAGGAAAGGCTGGTGCAGTCACTTACGTACACATGTAATGGGCATAAAACTGGAAAGAAATGTGCTAAATTGGTATTTCCCAGATAATTTTCTTTTTCATAGTTTTGTGTTGTGTTTTTTTGTTGTTGTTGTTGTTTTGAGACGGAGTCTCATTCTGTTGCCCAAGCTGGAGTGGAGTGGTGTGGTCTCAGCTCACTATAACCTCCGCCTCCCGGGTTCAAGCAGTTCTGCTGCTTCAGCCTCCCGAGTAGCTGGGACTACAGGCATGTGCCACCACACCCGGCTAATTTTTATATTTTTAGTAGAGACGGGATGTTGGCCAGGCTGGCTTGAACTTCTGACCTTGTGATCCACCCGCCTCGGCCTCCCAAAGTGCTGGGATTACAGACGTGAGCCACTGCCCTTGGCTTTCATAGTTTTCTGTTCTCCATATTTTCTGCTGTGGATCCTGAACATATATTGGGTTGGGGGGAGGGGGGGCATGTATTATTAATCTTTTTTTTAATTTTTTTTTTTTGGAGACAGTTTTGCTCTTGTTGCCCAGGTTGGAGTGCAGTGGCGTGATCTTGGCTCCCTGCAACCCCCGCCTACCAGGTTCAAGCGATTCTCCTGCCTCAGCCTCCCAAGTAGCTGGGATTACAAGCACCTGCCACTGCACCTGGCTAGTTTTTTGTATTTTTAGTAGAGATGGGGTTTCTCCAGGTTGGCCAGGCTGGTTTTGAACTCCTGGCCTCAAACAGTGCATCGATCTCGGCCTCCCAAAGTGCTGAGACTACAGGTGGGAGCCACTGTGCCCAGCTGGGGGACGTGTATTATTTTTATAATCACAAAAAACGTCTTTATGTTATATATCATCGTGGACTATATCCTCTTTTTTCTTTTTTTTTTTTTGAGAGTCTTGCTCTGTCGCCCAGGCTGGAGTGCAGTGGCACGATCTCGGCTCACTGTGCAACCTCAGCCTCCTGGGTTCAAGCAATTCTCCTGCCTCGGCCTCCCGAGTAGCTGGGATTCCAGGCACGCGCCATCACGCCCAGCTAATTTTTGTATTTTTAGTAGAGACAGGGTTTCACCATGTTGGTTAGGCTGGTCTCAAACTCCTGACCTCATGATCCACCTGCCTTGGTCTCCCAAAGTGCTGGGATTACAAGCATGAGCCACCACATCTGGCCTATATTTTCTTACTAACAATTTATCTTAAAAAAATCAGGTTTATTATTTTTGCTTCTCAGCCATGTGTCTGGCTTTCCTGAGTCTTTTCTCTCCTCTCTGCCATCCACCCTACCCATCTCTGCTCTGCTCCTGCTGGGCCACTGGCACCACCCTCTTGAAAGTCTTTCAACCTAAAAACCCATGACCTGGCTGAGCACCATGGCTCACGCCTGTAATCTCAGCACTTTGGGAGGCTGAGGCAGGTGGATTTCTTGAACCCAAAAGTTCAGGACCAGCCTGGGCAACATGGTGAAACCCTGTCTCTACAAAAAAATACAAACAATTAGCCAGGCATGGTGGCACACACCTGTAGTCCCAGCTACTCAGGAGGCTGAGGCAGCAGGATCACTTGAGCCCGGGAGGTCAAGGCTGCAGTGAGCTGAGATTGCACCACTGCACTCCAGCCTGGGCAACAGAGAGCAACCCTGTCTCAGCAAAAAAAAAAAAAAAAAAAAAAAGCCAGGACCCTCATTAGCTAGCCCCTCTTTCTCCACCTGAACCCGGTATTCAGGCTGTACAAAATAGCCGGCTTTTGAAATGGCCTCTATGAAATTTCCTGTTCATTTTTTTATTCTCAATTTCATAAAAATTATATCATTTCTCATTCTTTCTTGGAAGGTCTATGCAGTAAGAAAGGAATGCATAACAGAAGGATAATGCTATCATCCTTTTACTTTTCTTCCTTCTTCATCCAGGTCCTGGTCCAGCCTCAGATCATCAAGACAGATTCCCTTGTTTTGACCACACTGAAGACAGATGGCAGCCCTGTTATGGCTGCGGTCCAGAACCCGGCCCTCACCGCCCTCACCACCCCTATCCAGACGGCTGCCCTTCAAGTACCAGTAAGAGCTGCCTTCTCCCCCACCCTCCTCCCTCCCCCTTTATTCCTGGAGGTGTTAGTCTTCAGAGATGTTAAATCTCTATATGCTGAGTAGGTATGGGAGGGTCTATAGCACAAATCAGTCAAATTGTAAATGTCACCCCTCTTAGTTGTTTTTCGCTCGAAAAAGTATTAGCAATGTGTGTTCGATGTGGGAGTACTGGAGTCTACAAGGAGGTAGAAAAGAATAGCAGAAGGACCCTCTATTCTTGGCTAATAGCTCCACACAAGACCATTCACCTCTTAGATCCTGCTGATGACTTCTGAAGGACCCTAGGGCCACCAGGCAGGGAAGGGCTCCAAGGTGAAGAACATGGAAGGTACCCCATCCTTCAGTTGTAGGTTCTTAGCCACTTTCAGCATCCTATAGCATGAGAATCTGATAGAGTAAATGGTGATTAAAATTTAGAAGCACTAGCTTTATTCATAAAATCCAAGAACTGGAAGCAACTCAAATGTCCATCCACAGGAAAATAAGCACATTGTGATATATTCATACAATGAAATTATGCCTAGCAATTAAAAAACAGAACTGCTGACAGGCACGGTGGCTCACGCCTGTAATCTCAGCACTTTGGGAGGCCAAGAGGGGTGGATCACCTGAGGTCAGGAGTTTGAGACCAGCCTGGCCAACACGGTGAAACCCCATTTCTACTAAAAATACAAAAATTAGCTGGGTATGGTGGTGCATGGTGCATGCCTGTAATCCCAGCTACTCAGGAGGCTGAGGCAGGAGAATTGCTTGAACCTGAGAGGTGGAAGCTGCAGTGAGCCGAGATCGCACCACTGCACTCCAGCCTGGATGACAGAACGAGACTGACTCTCAAAAAAAAAAAAAAAAGCTACTGATGCATGAAACAACATGGGGCTGTCCCTCAGAAATAGTGTGTCAAGCCACCGGGCGCAGTGGCTCACACCTGTAATCCCAGCACTTTGGGAGGCCGAGGTGGGTAGATCATGAGGTCAGGAGATCGAGACCATCCTGGCTACCATGGTGAAACCCCGTCTCTGCTAAAAATACAAAAAATTAGCCGGGCATGGTGGCGGGCACCTGTAGTCCTAGCTACTCGGGAGGCCGAGGTAGGAGAATGTCGTGAACCTGGGAGGTGGAGCTTGCAGTGAGCCAAGATTGCGCCACTGCACTCCAGCCCGGGCGACAGAGCAAATCTCCGTCTCAAAAAAAAAAAAAAAGAAATAGTGTGTCAAGCCAAAGGAGTTCATGCTAATGAGTCCATTTATATGAAGTTTAAAAAGAGGCAAAATGAAGCTATGGTGCTGGAATTCAGAGCGGTGGTGACAAGGAGGGGAGGGGCATGCGGGGACTTTCTGAGCTGGTAGAAATGGGCTATATCTTGGTCTGGGTGGTTATATACATTGTGTACATATGTAAAATTCATCAAGCTATAAACTTAAGATTTGTGGTTTTTATTGTGCATGACGTACTTATTGGCAACTAATGAAATTGGGCACCTTTTTATTTATTTATTGGCTGATTAGATATTGAGGCCATTATTTAAGAAATTAAACTAAAATTGGTCCAGGCCCAGTGGCTCACGCCTGTATTCCCAGCATTTTGGGAGGCTGAGGTGGGCAGATCACCTGAGGTCAGTAGTTTGAGATCAGCCTGGCCAACATGATGAAATCCCATCTCTACTAAAAATACAAAAATGAGCCAGGTGTGGTGGTGGGTGCCTGTATTCCCAGCTACTCAGGAGGCTGAGGCAGGAGAATCACTTGAACCAGGGGGGTGCAGGTTGTAGTAAGCTGTGATCACGCCACTGCACTCCAGCTTTTGGGCAACAGAGTGAGACTTTGTCTCAAAAAAAAAAACAAAAACAAAAAAACAGGACGTGGTGGCTCACGCCTGTAATCCCAGCACTTTGGGAGGCCAAGGCGGGTGGATCACCTGAGGTCAGCAGTTTGAGACCAGCCTGACCAACATGGAGAAACCCCGTCTCTACTAAAAATACAAAATTAGCCAGGCATGGTGGCGCATGCCTGTAATCCAAGCTACTCGGGAGGCTGAGGCAGCAGAATCACTTGAAGCTGGGAGGCAGAGTTTGTGGTGAGCCGAGATCACACCATTGCATTCCAGCCTGGGCAACAAGAGCGAAACTCCGTCTCAAAAAAAATAAAATAAAATAAAATAAAGTTAGAAAAAATAAGAGGAGAAAACAGAGATGAAGAATAAAAAGGGGAGACCTCCATGGTTGGCCTATTTACTTAATCAAATGGCTCTTATTGAGAGTGTCACTTCTGCCCTTGAGCTTTTTGATGGCAAAATTGTATAAAGAAATGCAGTAATTTGCTTAATTGTCATTTGAGAGGAAAAAATGTGTCATACACTAGGAGAAAGTTTTCTCTGGTGCCAACTCGTGGTTCACCGTGTACAACTTTAGAAGTGGTTAACAGTTTGACAGCAAAGCAGAAATCATATGACTTGTTTCTGGCATACGTAGATCAAAACTTAAAACATATTTAGCCATGTTAATCCTCTTGTGGTGTAGTTTATCAGCAGTGATTCTTGAAGGGAGGTAGTAACCAAGGTTCCGTGGCTCCTGAGACTTCTTGGGGCCTGATTTGATTAACCCAGGAAGAGTCTCAGACCTCATGAAGTACTGCCAGGTCTGGCAGCACTTGGCCAAAGCGGGCAGGTCTGTGTTGAGGTTGCTTTATGCAGACTAACAAAGGGATCATTCTGCTGTGTACCTGTCCCTATTCTAGACCCTGGTGGGCAGCAGTGGGACCATTCTGACCACAATGCCTGTAATGATGGGGCAAGAGAAAGTGCCCATTAAGCAGGTACCTGGGGGAGTCAAGCAGCTTGAGCCCCCCAAAGAAGGAGAAAGGCGGACAACCCATAATATCATTGAGAAACGATATCGCTCCTCCATCAATGACAAAATCATCGAATTGAAAGACCTGGTCATGGGGACAGACGCCAAGGTGGGTGCCAAGCAAAATTGTGTTTTATGTTCCACCATCTCCCCTCTACCTGTTTTTGCCTCAGGAGCCTAGAGAAGTCCCAGGCTCAAGGTAAGTGAATACAAGACCGAGTTAGAGGTGCTTTTTTATTAAAGCATCTTGGTGTCATGTCAAGATTATAAAATATTAAAAAACATAAGGGACTGGTGAGGGTTGATAAGGCAGTGACCCGCTGAGACCTTTGACTCCTTTGGCTATGCTCTGCAGTGATGGGGACTCCACTGTCAGAGGCAGAGAAAGATGCCTGCCACTCAGTAGTTCCAGATACAGGACTGTGTGTACCTTGGAGTCAGCTGATGGCATAGTTTTAGCTGTGTTTAGGGGTTACCTTTTAAGGAAAAGAAAGAAAAAAGAGGTTGAGTCTTTGACCAGCAACACATAGAGGAAACTGATGTTCCAAATGTTTCTGGTGTTTCAGTGTATGTGTCTTCTAGAAAGTAGGAGATTTTATTTTTAAAACCTATCTATGTTTAAACCCTATTTTGAAAGAAAATTTCATTTTCCTTGCCTACAAATCTGAAAGCTGTACATCCTAAGTAAAAATCTATGCCTTAAGATAACTGTCCAGGCTAGGCACTGTGGCTTACGCCTGTAATCCCAGCACTTTGGGAGGCTGAGGCGGGTGGATCACGAGGCCAGGAGTTCAAGACCAGCCTGGCCAACATGGTGAAACCCCGTCTCTACTAAAAATACAAAAAATTAGCCGGGCGTGCTGGCAGGTGCCTGTAATCCCAGCTACTTGGAAGGCTGAGGCAGGAGAATTGTTTGAACCTGGGAGGCAGAGGTTGCAGTGATCTGAGATCGCGCCATTGCACTCCATCCTGGGCAACAAGAGTGAAACTCTGTCTTGGAAAAAAGAAAAAAAAAAAGATAACTGTCCAACAATGCTGTGGTTGTTTTTTTCATTTGTTTTCGTTAAAGTTTGTTATGGTGCTAGGATTATTATAAGAAGTGGGAACAATAGCTAATATTTATTGAGTGTCAACTATTTGCCAGGCTCAGGGCTAAGCCCTTTACACTCATTATCTCATTTAGCCCTGCTGCAAGCCTGTGATTCACGCGCTTTCATTATCTCTGTGCTAATGAGGAGGAAAGTGAGGTTCTGAGGTATGGAATAACTTCTCCCGAGTGGCACAGCTAATCATTGGGAGGACCAGCATCTGAACTTGGTTTCTCCTCTCACAGAGCCATGCTGTCATCCCAAGTGCTAGGGCTCTGCTCTTTTCACACTGTAGCCTGCACTGGTCTCACTGTGTTTTCACTCATCTTCCTACCCAGATGCACAAGTCTGGCGTTCTGAGGAAGGCCATTGATTACATCAAATACTTGCAGCAGGTCAATCATAAACTGCGCCAGGAGAACATGGTGCTGAAGCTGGCAAATCAAAAGAACAGTAAGTGTGCTGAGAAAAGGCTTGTCAGCCCTGGCCCAGGTGGGGCTTTGTAAAAGCAGATCATTTTCACCAGGTGGGGTTTTCTTTGCAGAGCTTCTAAAGGGCATCGACCTAGGCAGTCTGGTGGACAATGAGGTGGACCTGAAGATCGAGGACTTTAATCAGAATGTCCTTCTGATGTCCCCCCCAGCCTCTGACTCAGGGTCCCAGGCTGGCTTCTCTCCCTACTCCATTGACTCTGAGCCAGGAAGCCCTCTATTGGATGATGCAAAGGTACAGACTTTTGAAATCTCCTGATCCCTGGAATCTTTCCCATTTCCCCTAAGAAGATAGCTGGGAGGTCACAGTTATGAGGCCAGGCCGCATGTTAAGAGGGCCTAGCCTGGAGAAAAACAGGAATTCTGTGAAATTAGCCAGGTCCTGGAGAATAAAGAAAGAAAAAACTGACTCCGGGGGGAAACAGTCCCTCAGGTTTAACTGGTCCTTGCCGATAGGCCCCGTCAGAGAGGAATGAGTGCCAGATCCAGAACGAGAATGCAGAGTAGCTGTTGTGGGGGCGTTGGGAGCTGCTGGAGGCACCTCATTGCTTCACTCTGCCTTTAATGGGCCTGGCAAGACCACTTTGGGAGGCTGATCAGTTGGTTTAGGATGAGGCTGCCTCTGGGTCCTCTTTTCAGAAATGATTACAATTTGCAGTCTAACAGATAACATTTTACCTATGGGCCTTTAATCGTCAAAGCCCCTGGCAATGGTAGTTTAATGGAATTACTTAAGAGACGCTCTGAGCCTAATGATCTTCCTGGGAACCTGTAGAGACCACTGGGTTTTGTACTGTATTTTGACTTCGGCAGTTTCTGACTCTGAAAGCACAAAGTTCCCTCCTAGTGTTTGTTTTTGACTAAGCTGTTTATTGTATCATATACTTAATTTTACTAAGGAAGCTCCATTTTTGAAATATTCTTATAAATGTGGTTCTGTTTGGCAACAACAGGCTGTTTGACATATAAATTGAATTAGCTGGGCTTCTGAGTCATCAGAAGAAAATCTTAAATGGTTTTAAAATATTGAAAAGAAATGACATGCTATATACACATTGGGGCGCAGGGGAGATCTGGCTTCAGCCCTCCTGCTGTAAAATGGAGAGTGGGGTGGGTGTAGACAATGATACAGTTTTAGAACAGGTAAAATCCTTTAGATAGATTCACACTAAATACGGTCTTTGATCAACTTCATTGAGGTGTAATTTAAATGCAATAAAATATACCTACTTTAAAAGTACAGTACCAAGAGTTTTAACATAATGTACAGTGCTATGTAACTGTCACTGTAATCAAGATATAGAACATTTCCATCACCCCAAAAAGCTCTTTTGTACACCTTTGCAGGTAGTTTCCCACACCCCTCTCCAGCCTCAGACAATGACTGATTCATTGGTTTCCTGTTACTTTAGATTCATTTTGCCTGTTCTGGAATTATACAGAAACAGAATCATACAGTGTGTTCTCTTTTGTGGTAGATTTCTATTTTAAAAGAAAATCTCTTCTACCTTTGTTCTTTGGAACATGTACTTTTCTCAGTTAGCAAGCAGGTGAATGTGCCAATGTTTGAGCAGCAGTTAGTGAATTATAGGCTTCTCAGTTCCCATCTGGCCTTAGTCCTGAGTTAATCGACTTGAATTTAAACCTCATAACCATTTCTCAATATATATATATGTATTTATAAAGTGCTGTAAAAACCTATGCAGTATTTATTCCAACCTCGAGGCCTTGTTTTGAAGGTCAAAGATGAGCCAGACTCTCCTCCTGTGGCGCTGGGCATGGTAGACCGCTCACGGATTCTTCTGTGTGTCCTCACCTTCCTGTGCCTCTCCTTTAACCCCCTGACTTCCCTGCTGCAGTGGGGAGGGGCCCACGACTCTGACCAGCACCCACACTCAGGCTCTGGCCGCAGTGTCCTGTCATTCGAGTCAGGTAGGTGGAGGCCCCTTGCCCCACCTGGGCATGGCTGGACCACTATGGCAGGAGAAGGACCCTGTGTACAAACTTCTTGGCTTGGCTACCAGGTCCCAAAGGGCTTTTATAGTGGGCCCCCACCTGCTTGCTTCTGATAGGGACTGGCATAAGTTCCATTTTAGAAGTAACAAGGCAAGCCCAAGTTCAGTCAGAATGAGCAAAACAAATCAGGGACCCACACTACTCTAAATACCCTGGGGTGGAGGGGTGGTACCTATTTGAAGGAGGATATCGTGTTTTTTATCTGAGGTTGCAAAACCAATGCCTCAACCCTTTCAAAACAAAGATTTTTATGGCACTCAGCTCCATAATGAGAAGGGCTACAGTCATTAGCCCTGTTTAGATTATAGAATTATTTGCCCTTTCTTCTGAAAATGAGGTAGAAGACTCTTTCCTGTGATAGTGCTGGGGTCTGTCAGGTGCCTGGCTGCTCCGCAAGGCCTTTCCTAGCAGACTCTGCTGAGACGCTCCTTCTTAGGTTCTGGGGGCTGGTTTGACTGGATGATGCCTACTCTTCTCTTATGGCTGGTAAATGGTGTGATTGTCCTGAGCGTCTTTGTGAAGCTGCTGGTTCATGGGGAGCCAGTGATCCGGCCACACTCGCGCTCCTCGGTCACCTTCTGGAGGCACCGGAAACAGGCAGATCTGGATCTCGCCAGAGTGAGTTCTGTGTCCGCCCTTCCCCATCCTCCCCCAGACTTGACAAATAATTCAGCAACTCGTGTCAAAGAAAGTCCTATGATAGATGCTTGTGGTGAGAGGAAAAAGGGACCCTGCTGCTGAATAGTCACAGGGCAGTGGAGTGGGCGCCTCTGCATAGATAATTAATTCCAGGGACATGAGATGATCTATGTCTCCGGTATGACAGGAATAATGAAGTTGAGTTCTGAGGGAGGGGTTCTAGGGCTTGAGCGGGGCTGCCAAGAGTAGGAAGGAAGGGCAGAGGTGGCAGAAGGACCTTCCAACCCGAACACATGAATGGACAGGCTGTTTGGAGACTGGCAGGTTCCAGGGTGTGTTGAGTGTAGGTTATGTCAGAGAGAGTTGAAGGCAAAGGCTGGTAGTGTGTCTAGGCCCAAATTGGAGAGGGCTTTCACTAGGAACTGATTTGGGGCTTTATTCCCAATTCTCTATAGAACCAGGAAAGGTTTTTGAGCAGGAAAACTAGCTGAAAGTTTTCATTTGAAATCAACAGGGAGTTTACGGAAAAAAATCTGGGGCAACTCACAGCATTGAGGAAGAGTTAAACATCCACATTTCAAGAGGAACAAGAACCAGAACACTCCTCAGCAGCAGTGAGCCATGGGCCTGCCCTCCCCACCTCTGCAAGCTGCAGGGCCATTAGTGAGAATCTGATTGGCCATCCTGGATCTGTCAGCCTTGCTGGGGCTATGGGTCTCAGAATATAGATGTGATTTTGAGAGGCCTGTTCCTTGAGTATAACATCCCAAGATGTATATCCTAGAGGCAGGTTCAGGTGTGTGTTTTACAAGCATCATTATGGTGGCTGTGAAGGATAGGTAGGAGGGAGATGTGAAATGCATGGAACATGGCAACAAGTTAGGGTGCTCTTTTTTAAGTAAAGACAAGGTCTCACTGTGTTGCCTGGCTGGTCCTGAACTCCTAGGCTCAAGTGATCCTCTCACCTTGACGTCCCAAAGTGTTAGGATTACAGGCATGAGCCACCACGCCTGGCTGAGTCAGGGGGCTCTATGAAATAGACTGAGTAAGAGATGATGGCAAGGACCTGGAATTAAAAGGAAAGGTTTGAACTGAATAAGTATTTGAAATGTAATATTTGGAAGGGAAGTGATTAGTGACGTTGACTCAAGGATAAGAGAGGCTCCAAGATGGAGTGGACTCCATCTAGGCCATGTTGCCTGGAAAAGCTGGAAGAGGCCCCTGTAGAGTGAGCAGTGATTGAGAGGCAGGCCATGGGGACTGAGCAGGGGCGGGGCCAGAGTGTTTGGGAAGCATGTCTGTCAGCAGAGGGTTCTTAGGGAGAATTGGACTGGGGAGTCAGGAGGGGTAAGAGCCAAAGACTGGGACTTGGGAATAGCCCATCTTTGAGGGAAAGGCAGGGGAGGAGCCAGGGAACACCTGCCTCCTTTGGAATCTGCAAATGCAGGTCCTTCTGGCTGGAAAGATAGAGGCACCTTAGAGACTGTTGCTGTGAGGACATCTTTTCTTTTCCCTTGTCCAGTCCTGTAATGATGTGGGAAACAAAGCACAGATAGTGTACCAGCTGCCCAATAGAGGAAAATAGGAGAATTTACTTTCATTTCCCAAGACTATATAGCCTGTCCTCTAGTTTCCAGCAGTGAGAGAGAGAAAGCGAGCGGTCTCCAGTACAGTGCCGTAGACTCTCCATTAGACCCTCTCAGGTTGACAAAGATTAGTTCATCTGAATCCTAGAGTAGGGTAGTTTAGCTGTGAGTTTGCCTAAAACCATGGTTCTCAAACTTCAGCAGGCATGAAGCCGGGTGCTGTGGCTCACACTGAGGTGGGGGGATTGCTTGAGCCCAGGAGTTCAAGACCAGCCTGGGCAACATAGCAAAACCCCCATCTCTAAAAATGAAAAGAAACGCTTTAGCAGACATGGCATGAGAATCACCTAGAGGGCTGCAATACCAGAGATTCTGATTCAGTAGCCCTGGGGTAAGGTCCAAGTGCTTGCATTTCTAACAAGCTCCTAAGAGCTGATGCTACTGGCCTCTGGGGGCCACACTTTGAGACCCTGAAAGCCTAAAGGATCATGCAGTTCATCTAAATCTGTGTCACCACCTTATGTCTAAAAGCTACTGCTGGCCGGGCATGGTGGCTCACGCCTGTAATCCCAACACTTTGGAAGGCCGAGGCAGGTAGATCACTTGAGGTCAGGAGTTCGAGACCAGCCTGACCAACATGGTGAAACCCTGTCTCTACTAAAAATACAAAAAAAAAAAAAAAAAAAGTGCTACTCTGAGGGAACTCTGACCAGCATTTGCTCATAGAACAAACGCACGCAGTACAATCTCAATCGAGTAAAAAGTCTGTAAGGAAATACCTCAGAATGTCAGCAGGGATTCTTCCTGGGGGATGAGATTATAGGTGGTTTTGTTTTACTTTCTTGTAGCTTTCTGAAGTTTCCCTCGTTTTTATGAGTGTGCACTAATTCCTCTGATAATTGGGGGCAGGGGGAGTAGAAGTCTATATCAAAACAAAAAGCCGGAGCAAGGCCAGTGACCATTAACACCTTTTGATACTTTGTAGGGAGATTTTGCAGCTGCTGCCGGCAACCTACAAACCTGCCTGGCAGTTTTGGGCCGGGCACTGCCCACCTCCCGCCTGGACCTGGCCTGCAGCCTCTCCTGGAACGTGATCCGCTACAGCCTGCAGAAGCTACGCCTGGTGCGCTGGCTGCTCAAGAAAGTCTTCCAGTGCCGGCGGGCCACGCCAGCCACTGAGGCAGGCTTTGAAGACGAAGCTAAGACCAGCGCCCGGGATGCGGCTCTGGCCTATCACCGGCTGCACCAGCTGCACATCACAGGTGAGGGGGCAGCTGCTGCTGCCTGGCTTGCTGCAAGGCATCTCATGCTACCTCTCCTCCTTAGCTTGATTTGCCAGTTCTGCACCCTAGCTGAAGTCCCTTTAACGCTACTCTTTTAGAGTGGCTAGACCAAGCTTCTACCTGTTTTCACAGCTGTAAGGTTGGCTCTTTGCTTTAGCTCATCAGTTCTCAGATGCACATGTTTTCACAATAACATCACTATACTCAGGATGTGTCCTATAAACAGTGGCACATTGTAGATAAGTTGGCAGTGTTTTTCTTTAGTGATACTTAAATTAATGGTGAGACTTAAAATTGCTGACATCTTAGAGTCAATGAAATATGATCATCTGTTTCATTCAGTAAGCTCCTGCTATAATAGGCAGAGAGGTCAACAAATGAATGACAGTTCAGCGTGAGTATGTTAGACTTAGCAGAAGGAACATGTTTTCGTTGGGAGGGAGTGGGTACCCGTTTGGAGGGTTTCAAGAAAGGTTTTCTGGGGAAGTAGAGTCTTGGCTTTGCATGGAAGGATGCATAGAGGTCACCAGCTCTGCAGGAGATGAGCCTCTGGGCAGAGGGATGTTCCCAAGGAGGAGCCCCACCTGGGGTGGCTCTTGAGAATAAGCCTTCAGTGGTCCTAGAGGGAGCCAGGGCACAAAGGCAGTACTCAGACCATGAAGGATTTGGATGCCAGGCTGAGGATCTTGTAGTGTATCAGTAGGATTCAGTGAAGAGCATTAGGAAAATAGTGATATGATCAGGTTTGTGCTTCTCAAGTTTAGAAGAGTCAGGCTGGGCATGGTAGCTGGCTCACACCTGTAGTCCCAGCACTTTGGGAGACTGAGGCAGGAGGATCACTTGCACTCAGGAGTTCGAGACCAGCCTGGACAACGTGGCAAAACCCCATTTCTACAAAAAATACAAAAATTAGCCAGGCTTGGTGATGCACACCTGTAATCCCAGCTACCCAGGAGGCTGATGTGGGAGAATCACTGGAGCCTGGGAGATCAAGGCTCCAGTGAGCCAAGATTGCACCATAGCACTCCAAAAAAAAAAGTTTAGAAGATTCACTCTGATGGCAGATAAGGAGTGGATCCCAGAGGATCAAGGCTAGAGCTAGAGAGGCCAAATAGAAGCTGATGCAGATTAAAGATGAGAGTTGCTGAAAGGACAGATGAGAGGAAATTAGAAGGTGGAATTGACTGGACTGGGGACTCATTGGACTGATGGATGGGGACAGTAGTCAGCTAAGACGGTTCCCTGGTTCTTCCTTGGGAGTTTGGGTGAGCGATGGTGCCACCAACAAAGGTAAAGAAAATAGAAGGAAGAGCAACTTTCCAGGAAAAGGGTGGTGAGTTCCCTTTTGGACACTTGCCTGTGAGATGTGGAGGTGAGCTGGACATGCAGGATCTACAGCCCAAAGAAGACTACAGGTGAGAGTGAAAAGCAAGGGAGCCTATGAGAGTGGATAGGTGAAAAGGAGACCCTCAGGGCCATTCAGAAGAACACCCTCATCTAAAGAACAGATAGGCCATCGCGGTGGCTCACACCTGTAATCCCAGCACTTTGGGAGGCCAAGGCAGGTGGATCACCTGAGGTCAGGAGTTCGAGACCTGCCTGGCCAACATGGCAAAACCCTGTCTCTACTAAAAATACAAAAATTAGCCGGGTGTGGTGGCACGTGCCTATAATCCCAGTTACTCGAGAGGCTAAGGCAGGAGAATCACTTGAACCCAGGAGGTGGAGGTTGCAGTGAGCCAAGATGGCACCACTGCATTCCAGCCTGGGCAACAAGAGCAAAACTCCATCTCAAAAAGAAAGGATAAAGGCTGGCACAGCAGTTCACATCTGTAATCTCAGAACTTTGGGAGGTCAAGGAAGGAAGGTCGCTTGAGCCCAGGAGTTTCCCATCAGCCTGGGAAACACGGGGAGACTCCATCTCTCCAAAAAAAATTCAAAAAATTAGCTGGTTTTTGTGGTGTGTGTCTGTGGTTCCAGCTACTTGAGAGGCCAAGGTGGGAGGATCACTTGAGCCTGGGAGGTAGATCGAGGCTGCAGCGAGCTGTGATTGTGCCACTGCACATGCATGCAGAGATGAACAGATAGAGGATGGGGAGTCAGGGGCAGAGGCTGCCTGAGAGGAGCAGTTGGAGAGGTCTGAGGAGACACTGAGATGCTAAGTGTTGGAGGAGCAAGGTCAGAGAGTTGAGGAGGGGAGATTGTTGCTGGGACACCCAGTAAGATGAGGGCCAGGAATAACAGTAGGATGTGGTAACTGGAAGGTGTTAGATACCTTGATGGCAGTAAGGAGCTTCAGCCAAAAGTGGAACAGAGCCAGGCAAGTGATGTAGGAGTGACCAGGAGATGAGACAGTGGGGCCATTGTGCAGCTTTAATATGTGGGCTCATGGTAGAATTTTAGCAGAAGGTCCCTATCTGCAAATTTGCCCCGCTGTTATCTTGTCTGTTCCTCAGTGTGCCCTTGGGACAGAATAAGCCCATACTCAGGTCTCTGATCAGGCTGTGTCCTCCTTGCTGCCAAATTCTGGAGAATTCCAGCTGAGAAGCTTTACGTCACTCATTCCTTCCATACTCACTGGCATTCCCTGTGTGAGGCACTGAGGGGACAGAGGTAACTACAGTATGGTTGCCACACTGCCCTCTCACCTCCCTTCCTGTGTCTCCTGCAGGAGGAACACCTGAGGCCAGTACAGAATGGAGTGTGGAGGCTGAGATCTCCCTAGGCTGATAAAAAGACAGGGAGGCAAGGCAGCCCAGGAGGGGGAACACAGGGCTGGATGAGCACGGGAAGCCTGGCTTTGCCACTGTCTGCACCTTGACATGGGCACTTCCTCCCCTGAGGCAAGGAGACTGCTTGCCCTTGTAGTGAGGACCAAAGCCAGCAACAGTATGAAAGCCTCACGAGAGCTGTGATGGGCCCTTGTGCCTGTGCAAGGATACTTTGTTCCCTGATTAGGGGATCAGCCCCAGATGGGCCACTGTGCACCTCTCATAGGGGAGGGTGTGGTAAGCCTTCCTGGCCTCCCACCCACTAACCCAACATGTGTTCAGCTGTCCTTGCTCAGTTTACGTCACTTCCCCCTCAAACGGGTATGTGTTTGTGTATTGTGAAGGCGGGTTTTTTTTTGGCTTTTTTGGGGGACAGAGTCTCGCTCTGTTGCCCAGGCTGGAGTGCAGTGGTGCGATCTCAGCTCACTGCAACCTCCGCATCGCAGGCTCAAGCAATTCTTCTGCCTCAGCCTTCCAAGTAGCTGCAATTACAGGCGTGTGCCACCACGTCCAGCTAATTTTTTCTATTTTTAGTAGAGATGGGGTTTCACTGTGTTTGCCAGGCTGGTCTCGAACTCCTGATCTTAAGTGATCCGCCGGCCTTGGCCTCCCAAAGTGCTGGGATTACAGGTGTGAGCCACTGGCACCCAGCCACATTGTGAAGGTTTTTTAATGAAAATAAATTCAAATCAGTTCATCTAAAAAAAATTTCATTACCTCTGTTGAATGTTTGGAAACACACAGTGTGGCTGTGCTGCTGACATTGTTATGTTGCACTGTGCGCCTCTGAGTCCTATACAACAACCTGCAATTGTGACAGCTCTGGGTGTGACAGAAATGGGTGCCATGTTCCCAGCTACCCTGTGAGGTAGACAGGAACACACAGCCAGTATATCACAGAGCCTGGCATCCCATCCTGTGATCAGGCCTGTCTGATCACAAAGTTCACCTCGCTTCTCCCCTGGTTCCTCTCTTACTTTGATCGTGCTGGAGAGAGCAGGAAAAAGTTTGGTTTTGGGGCTCCATCAACAATAGTGTCTGTTTCTGCCCACCCTAGGGAAGCTTCCTGCAGGATCCGCCTGTTCCGATGTACACATGGCGTTGTGTGCCGTGAACCTGGCTGAATGTGCAGAGGAGAAGATCCCACCGAGCACACTGGTTGAGATCCATCTGACTGCTGCCATGGGGCTCAAGACCCGGTGTGGAGGCAAGCTGGGCTTCCTGGCCGTGAGTACCCTTCGGTTCCCTTCTGTAAACCTCCCCTGAGCACTTACCTAGCCAGGAGTTAAGATGCAGAAGCAGTTATGAACCCCCTTCCCCATCAGGTGCTGCCCACCTGGAGGGGTAGGCAGGCATTCATTCAGTCGCTCATTTCACCAGGACTCCCAGCAACCGATAAAACAGACCAAAATTCCTCCCCTTGTGGCCTTAATACCATAAGCCTTGTAGGCAGGACATTTTGGTCCCCTGAGGTAATATGAGGTAATATGAAGATTGGTTCAGCAATAGCAGAGCTACTGTACTTGGGGGTTAATATGCAACTTTTCTGTTCTTCAAGTGGTCATAAAAATTCTTAGAATCCCCTGGTTATGTCTCATGGTTCTTTCATTTACTCAGAAGGTATTTATTGGGCATCTTGTATTGATCACAGCACTGTGAATCCAGAAATAAAAGCCAGTGCCTTTGCCAAGCTACAGAGTTAAAGAAAAGAAAAATGAAATGAATAAAAGTAA
Source organism: Homo sapiens (assembly GCF_000001405.40). Classification (NCBI taxonomy): domain Eukaryota; kingdom Metazoa; phylum Chordata; class Mammalia; order Primates; family Hominidae; genus Homo; species Homo sapiens. The sequence goes on from NC_000022.11 coordinate 41,885,518, forward strand.
AAGAAAACCTGTGCCTGTCTACAAGGAGCTCAGGTCAGACGAGGGCAGGGATTGTGGCTATCAAGCACCTCCCATATGCCTAGCTAGGAGCCAGGCTTGGGAACTCTCAAATGGGTAATTCCCGGTCCTTGTTATCAGCTAGCTCACAACATGCTGACCTCAGGCTTTCTCTTACTCTAGCAGAAACAGGTATGTTTTACTTTGTGTCCCACTATGGATAGACTGCTGAATACATCAGGTATGTTCAAGCATTACCACATCTCTATTTGTTTCCGTATCTCAGTAACAGCAGAGATGAGCTGAGAATGAATCAGAACGTGCCCTGTAGTGACATTGATATATTTCCTGAGGTACATCACGATAGTCTAGGGGACAAAGGGCGCAGGGAAGCCCAGTGTACTCTTTATGTCTACACTTGATCTTAGCCAGAAGGCTGAGAAGTGATACTTTTTATGTCTTACCTCTGTTTCTGGTGACTACAGATAAGAGACTCATCCCTTGATTCACTCATTCAGCAAATATGACTGAGCACCGTCTCTAAGCAGGACATTTGCCTTGTCCTCAGGGAGCATAGTTGGCAAGGAATCTAGACAGCAGCCCTTCTTGAGCTTGACATTGATCTTCTCATGAGGAGGACTGGGCTCCAGGTGGGGAAAGAACCCCATCCTCACTTGTGGGCTAGACGACCTGGGAGTCCACAGACACTGAAGACACATCATTCTTCCTATTCATTTCAACCTTCCCTCGACAGATCTTCCTGGGACCAGGTCTTCAGGACAGTGTGAGCTAGGGTGAGCTCCTGAGCTGGTCTTGGGGGAAGTCAGGGTGGGCTTTCTGGGGAAGGTGAATCTAGGCTGACAGCAGGAGGCATTGATGAGATCTCTCTCCTTTTCAGTTTATTGAAGTGCTCTGGGCTGATGTCATTACATTTGTAACTTCCATGCCCCCCAAAAATGTTTTGAAGACATTCATTTTATCAAAATACAACATACATGCAGAAAAATGCCCACATTTTAACTTACGGCTTGAAGTGAAGTTACCCATGCAACACCCACCCACATCAAGAAGTAGAACATTCCCAGCACCCCCAGAAGCCTTCTTGAGGCCCTCCCTGCTCTTCCTGCCCCAACCAAGGTAACCACTCTTCTGAATTCTGTCACTGGAGTTTAATCTGTCTATTGTTCATCATTTCAGTAAACTTATCAAAGTACATGCTTAGAAGTCTGGCTGGGAGGGCCGGGCACGGTGGCTTACCCCTGTAATCCCGGCACTTTGGGAGGCCAAGGCGAGCAGATCACCTGAGGTCAGGAGTTCAAGACCAGCCTGACCAATATGATGAAACCCTGTCTCTACTAAAAATACAAAAATTAGCCAGGCGTGGTGGCATGTGCCTATAATCTCAGCTACTTGGGAGGCTGAGACAGGAGAATCACTTGAACCCAGGAGGTGGAGGGTGCATTGAGCGGAGATCACGCCATTGCACTCCAGCCTGGGCAACAGAGCAAGACTCCATCTCAAAATAAATACATACGTACATACAAACAAAAATTAGCTGGATGTGGTGGTGCACACCTGTAATCCCAGCTACTTGGGAGGCTGAGGCAGGAGAATCGCCTGAACCTGGGAAGTGGAGGTTGTAATGAGCCAAGATTGCACCACTGCACTCCAGCCTGGGTGACAGAGTGAGTGAGACTCCGTCTCAAGAAAAAAAAAAAAGATTACAATATGCATGTCAAAAAGTATACAAATCATAAATACACAGTTCAGTGACTCCACAGAGTAAACACACCCTTATAGCCAGCAGACAGATCAAAGTACAGAACCAAGACCCCAGAAACTTCTCTTGGGCCCTTTGCAATCACTAACCTGCCCCTTCCCCCAAGCCTTCCAGCCTTCCAAGGGTAACCACCATCCTAGTCACCTCAGATGCTTTGCCTCTGTTTAAACTATATTAATATAAGGAGAGTCTTGCAGTATACACTGTTTTGTGTCTGACTTATTTTGCTCAATATCATGTGTAAGAATCATTATGTTGTTATGTAGAATTATAGATTGTTCGTTCTCATATTTATAGTGTTCCATTGTATGACTAGATTATTGCAGATGAACTTTTTAGTTGTTTTCTGGCTTTGGTTATTATGAAGGGTGCTGCTGTGAACCTCCTTGTACACACATCTTTCAGGAAACGTGACTGCATTTTTAGGAATGGCATCGCTGGGTCAGAGGTTGTGCGTATTTCCAAATTGTTGGCCATTCTCCACTCCATCAGCAGTGAACAAGACTTCTAGTTCTACATCCTTACCGAACACATATAATGTCAATTTTTTTAAGCCCTTCTAGTGTATCTCATTGTAGTTTTCATTTGTACTTCCCAGGTGATTAATGAGATTGAGCACCTCTTCTTACATTTATTGGCAATTTGGATAGTCTGTTTCGTTACATTCAATTCAAGTCTTACCTCTTTTTCATTTGGACTATCTGTCGTCTCATTGATTAGAGGAATTCTTTATTCTGGAGATTACCCCTTTATTGGATATATGCTTTTCAGATACCTTCTCCCACTCTGGGGCTTGCCTGTTCTGTCTTAATGGTGTCTAGTGAGAGCACAAGCTCTTAATTTCAGTGAAATCCAGATTATTAGTCTTTTCCTTTACAGTTAGACATTTTAAGTCCTGTTCAATAAATCTTTGTCCTACCTCAAAGTCATGAAGATATTCTCCTATGTTGTCTGCTAGACGCTTTATTTTTTACTCTTTACACATATGTACCTAATCCACCTGGAATTAATTTTTATAAGAGTTGGAGGTAGGAGTGCAAGATCTGTTTTTCTCCATAAGGATATCTACCTGACGCAGAACCTGTTATTTTAAAAACTATCCTTCCCCTGCTGCACCAAGTGGCACCTTTTTTTCATAAATCAAGGATCCGTGTACCGTGGGTCTGCCTCCAGATCTAGTCTGTTCCACTGCACCATCACCACCCAACCCTAACGGCTGAGTTTTCTCTTACGTCTTGATGTCTGGAAGTGTTGGTCTTCCAGATTTAGTGACTAACGATGAATCTTGGGTGTTTCTTTGTAGCCTCTTCATTCTACAGAGGTACTTGATGCTGCTGATGGACATTTGGGTTGTTTCCAGTATTTGCCGTTATAAACAGTGCTTTAGGGAACATTTTTGTCCATTGTCTTCATGCACCTCCATAAGAGTTTCCTCAGACCAAATCTGTAGAGATGGTGATGCTGTGTCAAAGGATATAAATATTTGAAACTTAATAGTATTACCAAATTTGCATATTCAGTAAGATGGAAAAAGGAGAACTGTCATCTTTAAAGTAACTGCTCTTCTCTGTTTACTTCTCTTGAGAGAGGATAAAGAGACTCAGACAGTACTTTCTTATAAAGGAAGAAGCTTTGAATTTGGTGAGATATATTTAGCTACAAATGAGCCAGTTGTTGGGGGCAAGTGGAGGGCTGGCCTCTGTGAAAATGGTTTAGACTAGAGGTTCCCAAACTTGCTCAACTCATGACTCAAGATTCCCAAACATTCTCTACTCACTATGTCTCAGTAAATTTTTCATGGCATCCCTTAGCCAAAAGAAATACCTAACGGTTCTGGTTTTCGTTTTTTGAAACAGTGTCTTGCTCTGTTGCCCAGGCTGGAGTGCAGTGGTGCAATCACGGCACACTCTAGCCTCAACCTCTCTGGGCTCAAGTGATCATCCCACCTCACCCTCCCGAGTAGCTGGGACTGCAGGTATACACCACCACACCGAGCTTATTTTTGTATTTTTTGTAAAGTCAGGGTTTTGCTATGTTGCTCAGGCTGGTCTCGAACTCCTGGGCTTAAGCGATCTGCCCACCTCAGCCTCTCAAAGTGCTGGGATTATAGGCATGCACCACCGCGCCTGGCCTCTGTTAAGTAGTTAAGTTTGAACATCCTAATAGGTATTTAAATTGTCTTAACAGCTTAGTGGTCATTTGAAAAAATCATATGTCAAGTTGAAAGAAGAAATAATATTTTTTGCTAGGAGTGGTAGCACACACCTGTGGTCCCAGCTCCTCAGGAGACTGAGGTAGGAGAATCTCCTGAAACCACGAGTTTGAGGCTGCAGTTAGCTATGGTCACACCTGTGAATAGAGCCACTCCACTCCAGCCTGGACAACATAGTGAGACCATGTCTCTATTAAAAAAAAAAAAAAAGAGGTTGGGCACGGTGGCTCATACCTGTAATCCCAGCACTTAAGGAGGCTGAGGCGGGTGGATCACCTAAGGTCAGGAGTTTGAGACCAGCCTGGCCAACATGATGAAACTCCGTGTCTACTAAAAATACAAAAATTAGCCAGGGATCGTAGCACGCACCTGTAATCCCAGCTACTCGGAAGGCTGAGACAGAATCACTTGAACCCAGGAGTCAGAGGTTGCCGTGAGCCGAGATTGTGCCACTGCACTCTGGGTGACAGAGCAAGACTCTGTCTCAAAAGAAAGAAAGAGAGAGAATATTTTGGATTCTTAATAATTTCTTAGAAATCATGGTTATTAAGAATCCAAAATATTCTTTTATTTATTTATTTATTTTTTGAGATACAGCCTCACTCTGTTGCCCAGGCTGGAGTGGAATGGCTCTTCACAAGCATGGTGTCACTGTTTCTTACCAATACATGAACCTGTCAAGCACTGCACACCTCAAGCTTTGGAATCAGACTAGCAACCATCACTCTCTCTCTTTTCCACATTGATTTTCACACAGTACTATGACAGATATCACATCTCCAAAGGAAGCTAGTGTGGTCTCAATGCTGAGGCTGCATGCTCTCCCCATCTAGTCACTTACAGTGCCCAGCTGATGTTGAGCATCACTGTTTTCCTCGAAAGTTTAAAATAGCCAGTGGCTCCCTTGATCACTTGCTGTGGCACCTCAGACTGCCTTGGCACACGATTTGAGAGCCATGGGGTTAGACCGATGTTAGGGGACACAACCTGGGGTTGGGACTGGCCCAGGGATACTGAGTGGCTCTCAGGATCTAAACAGTTGTGGGGTTCTTGCCACAGCCTCTTTCACATCAGGCAATTAGCAGATGAGTTACAGGGGGAGGCTCCTAGGCCCCAGTTGGGGAAGATTCTGGTGTCTATAAAATTTAGGAAAACTTAAAAAAAAATTTTTTTTTTTTTGGCTTGGGATTACAAGCCAAGCCACCAGCGTGGCCAAGATGGTGAAACCCTGTCTCTACTAAAAATATAAAAATTAGCTGGGTGCGGTGGCGGGTGCCTATAATCCCAGCTACTTGGGAGGCTGAGGCAGGAGAATTGCTAGAACCCAGGAGGCGGAGGTTGCAGTGAGCCAAGATCACACCACTGCACTCCAGCCTGGGTGACAGAGCAAGACTCTGTCTTTAAAAAAAAAAAGAAAAGAAAAGAATTAAGCTTAAAATACATTTTTACTTAGTGATTTCCACATTTGCCTTTCTGGTTCCTCTTGCCGTATGACCTGGACTAGGCTTTGCTTCTACTTGTAACATTTGGGCCCTCGTGAGGGACCAGTTGGTCCTCAGTTTCTCCTGGAGCAGCCACCAGGCTCCCTTGCTGATTGGACATGTGGAATTGGCTGTTCTTGGAAAGAGAGTTGGAGTCAACCGTTCAAATGTTCTGGGACCTCCGAAGCCCAGGAATCACGCCACCACCCCCCAATCTCCCTCCCTGCTCAGCTCCTCAACTGCTATTCTCCCACCATTGCAGTTATCAGCTCAGATTCAGTGAGTGCTTTGTGGAAGGTTGGCAGAGGGTCGCGAGGGTCCTCTACATTTGTTCTCCAGTATCCAGTATCAACACTGGTTACCAAAGAGGAAGGACGGACTATTGGTGCCCCTGGTCCCAGTGATTAGAAATGTAAGTGAAACACCCCACCTCATCTCATAAGCTGCTTTGAGATTATGAGTATGTGTCTATAGAACAGGTTGTTTTCTCTCAGACTCAGGCAGTGTCTCCAGGTTCCCCCTGGAGAGAGATAGTCTTCTCTGTCTGTGTCCTCGAGTGGCACTCTGACAGTGCTATTTCTGACCCTGGCATTCAAGTCTTCTGAAGCCGTTACATTCGCTGATGGCTACTTAGAGCCCAGTAAAGGTCAGAACCATCAGACTGAACCAGACCATGAAACAGCGCTGCTCCTGTGGGGGCGAGGGCTGGGGTGTGGAAGCGATGTCTGCGGGCCTCGGCCTGGCAGCCCCGCCCCTGGGCTCCCTGGGCTTTCTATCTTATGCTTCTCCCTCCCTCCTGTCTTCTGTCCTCAGTTCCTCACTCACCCTGGCCTGTTTCGGGGAGTGGTTATGGGTTGGAAGTCATGGGTGTTAGTGTGAAAATACCCTCACTCAAAAAGTGACAGAACTGAAAACGTGGTAGATGGTATTGTCCCTGCAGTTCTTGTCAGTGGGGTCCTGGAATGATGTTATCCCGGCAAGTGGAGGAGGGGCCCAGTGACCGGGGCCCTGGCTCTTTGAATTGTCCCACAAAGAGGCTTTCCAGGTTCCCCCTCTGTTCTTTCTCGCAGGCTGGTGTTCACATCAGGGGCTCATGCAGGGGTGCCATGGGGTTTCTGTAGGGGGCCGCCCTTGCAGGGCCAGCTTTGTGGGGGGAGTCTCTCAACCACCTGCACACAGATACTTGCCTGTACAGGGCCTGGGCTGTCCTCCCAGCTGCCCCTTCACTCCAGTGCCATCTGATGTGACCCTGACGGCTGGCCATGTGCCGAGCACTGTTCTAAACTTTACACGCAAAGTAAAAGTAAAAGAAAAATTAGTCAAAGCAGAATAATTTTGCCTAAAATAGTCTAAAAGATATGTAATTAAAATGACATGATGGGCCAGGCACGGTGGCTCACGCCTGTAATCCCAGCACTTTGGGAGGCCGAGACGGGCGGATCACGAGGTCAAGAGATCGAGACCATCCTGGCTAACACGGTGAAACCCCGTCTCTACTAAAAATACAAAAATTAGCCGGGCATGGTGGCGCGCGCCTGTAGTCCCAGCTACACGGGAGGCTGAGGCAGGAGAATGGCGTGAACCCGGGAGGCAGAGCTTGCAGTGAGTCGAGATCGCGCCACTGCACTCCAGCCTGGGCGACAGAGCGAAACTCCGTCTCAAAAAAAAAAAAAAAAAAAAATGACATGATAAAAAGTCCCAGGATAGAAGGGGCTGCCTGGCTTGGCACTCTCGGGGCCGAGGGGAAAGTACAGCAGCCAGGGGGCCCCTGAGACCCCTCCTTGGGAAACCGCCTTCCTAGTTTACCCTGCAGGTTGAATGCCAGTAGGATCAGGCAGCCCCAGCAGGACAGGATGCAGCAGGGGCCCCACGCGTGCCTTGTGGCTGCTCCCTGCCCTCCTGCTGGGATGTGGACCTAGTCAGCAAGTCCAGCACACTCTACTGGTGGGCTTGCCCTAGTTTCCATGGTGGGCTTTACTTTCAGGTACCTGTGGGAGTCCTATCCCTGTGCTGATCTTTCCCAGTCTCCCCCAAAGCCCACCTCCACCATGGTGCTTTCTGCACCCCACAGTGGCTGCAGCCAGCATTCTGCCACCTTGGTGTTACCCCTGGTCCTTGTCCTTCCACAGAGCTACTTCCTCAGCCGAGCCCAGAGCCTGTGTGGCCCCGAGCACAGTGCTGTTCCTGACTCCCTGCGCTGGCTCTGCCACCCCCTGGGCCAGAAGTTTTTCATGGAGCGGAGCTGGTCTGTGAAGTCAGCTGCCAAGGAGAGTCTATACTGTGCCCAGAGGAACCCAGGTGAGAATACCTTGGAGCCATTCAGAATTGGAGAAAGCCATGCAAACCGCCGGTACTACAGAGTCACTGCACCAGACACGCGGAGACACGGGTTGTCTCTTAATCTTGTTGAGTCCGTTTGTTTGTTTGTTTGTTTGTTTGTTTGAACCAAAGCTCAGGGAGGTTGAGTAACTTGCTTAAGGTCACAAGCCTGATCAGAAATTGTCAGTGGCTAAGCTGGGTGTGCAGCTCTGCTCTCTCTAACATTCAGAGCCCATGGTCCTTACATCACACAGCAATAAATTGTGATTAAGCTCCAAGGGTACTCTTAGCCCTTGTTTTGGGCACTTTGGAGACACAAAGGATGTGTGAGGCTTGCTTTCCCTGGCCTCCAGGTCTCTCCCATTGGGAGAGCAGACAGACATAAATGGAGAGTTTGGGAACAATAGGTGGCAGGCAGTCATCAACTGCTCAGAGTGGTGACAGGGACGAGGCTTCAGGCATTGGAAGGAGGTGCTGGCTTTCTGTCCCTGGCATTTGATAGTGATTGGAGTTGACTCGCCCGGCCTTGGAGCAGTAGAGGCTGGTCAGGATTGACTTAGACCTTGAGTGCTCAGTGGCTGTCTGCTTTCTGCTGTACTTTTCCTCCCCTCTCAGAATTGGAGTCTGTGGGGAGAGTAAGGTTCTACAGGTATAGGGGTGTGTGTCACACATTGGGGGAGTTCACTGTCCTTTTCTTTTTTAAATAATAACTGTATTGCTCAACGTGAGAATTGTGTGCAACACCAAAATATAAAGGATGAAAGCAAAAGCAATCCTAAATCTTTCTACCCCACCCCTGCTGGCTAAACATGGACTTCTCAGTGGCTTTGTCATCTCTGGCAGTCTCTGGCTCCAGGCCTTGTTACTTGGAATGTGTTCATAAGTGTCCCTCCTCCTGGTCATTAGATCGAGGCCCACATATCTGCCACATGTGAGGAGAGAGAAGGGGCTGGTGATTTGAGGCCTGCCAGTAAAGAAACTTGCTGGTGACAGTCAGCTATCCAAGCATTGCAAGGCCCCGTGTCTAGCCAGTTCAGACAGGTCACTGCTGATGGCACGTTCCATGACAAGGCTCTGGAAAAACCGGAGCATGTTCTTCGTTGTCATGAGCGTGGCAGCAGCTACCACCTTTTTTTCCTTGCCTGGTGGTTCTCCTTAGCCACATGGAGAAGAGAAATCCTCTGAGACATTCCATTTTCTGTTTTCTGATCCAACTCCACCTGACAGCTCCCAACCTTAGAGTACTGAGCACTGTGCCAGGAGACACAGCACCCTCCCCCACACCCCCTCCCCACCGGAGCTCATCCAGAACTAGTCTTGAGCTCTTCAGGCTGGGAGTGAACACTCTCCCCCATCCTCCAACTGTTTAGCACAGTAGTTCTGGGCTTTGGTGGAGAAGGGGCATCTGATCCCCATTCACAAGGCATGGCTGTGTTTGGAGTTTCTCTCCGTAAAGACAAAGTGGGCTCATAAATGAGCTCCATTTAACCCCCCTTGCCTGTCTCTTTTCCAGCTGACCCCATTGCGCAGGTCCACCAGGCCTTCTGCAAGAACCTGCTGGAGCGAGCTATAGAGTCCTTGGTGAAACCTCAGGCCAAGAAGAAGGCTGGAGACCAGGAAGAAGAGAGCTGGTAAAGTCCCCAGACCAGTCCCCCTGCCTTAGGACCTGTCCACGCAGGCAACTCCAGGACAGCCTGAAGGCCTGCACTCCTGGAGGGAAACAAGCCTGGCATCGGGTTGGCAGGGCAATCAAATGGTTCCTTTGTATTTAATTTCTCAAAAATGAGAGCCCTATGTTAACTCTGACCTGGCCTTTCCTCCTAGACCAAGTGCGTTTTTTTTTTTTTTTTGGAGACGGAGTCTCGCTCTGTCACTCAGGTTGGAGTGCAGTGGCGCAATCTTGGCACACTGCAAGCTCTGCCTCCTGGGTTCACGCCATTCTTCTGTGTCAGCCTCCTGAGTAGCTGGGACTACAGGCGCCTGCCACCATGCCCGGCTAATTTTTTGTATTTTTAGTAGAGACGAGGTTTCACCATGTTAGCCAGGATGGTCTCGACCTCGTGATCCGCCTGCCTCAGCCTCCCAAAGTGCTGGGATTACAGGCGTGAGCCACCATGCCCAGGCCTTTTTTTTTTTTTTTTTTTTTGAGATGGAGTTTCGCTCTTGTTGCCCAGGCTGGAGTGCAATGGACCAGTCTCAGCTCACTGCAACCTCTGCCTCCCGGGTTCAAGTGATTCTTCTGCCTTAGCCTCCCAAGTAGCTGGGATTACAGGCGCCCACCACCATGCCTGGCTAATTTTTGTACTTTTAGTAGAGATGAGGTTTCACCATGTCATTCAGGCTGGTCTTGAACTCCTGATCTCGGGCAATCCGCCTGCCTCGGCCTCCCAAAGTGCTGGGATTACAGGCATGAGCCACCACGCCTGGCAGGTGCACCCATTTTTATGTATCCCTTTACCAAGCGGAGTCAGTACTTGGACCAAGTCAGGGATTTCATTAGCTTGCTCTGCTTTTTGGGGTAGGGAGCAGGGGCCTGTTGAAAGGGGATGGGGGCTGGGTGCAGTGGCTCACGTCTGTAATCCCAGCACTTTGGGTGGGAGGCCAAGGTGGGCAGATCACGAGGTCAGGAGATCGAGACCATCCTGGCTAACACGGTGAAACCCCGTCTACTAAAAATACAAAAAATTAGCCAGGCGTGGTGGCGGGCGCCTGTGGTCCCAGCTATTCCGGAGGCTGAGGCAGGAGAATGGCATGAATCCGGGAGGCGGAGCTTGCAGTGAGCCAAGATTGCGCCACTGCACTCCAGCCTGGGTGACAGAGCTAGACTCTGTCTCAAAAAAAAAAAAAGAAAGGGGATGGGAATGAAATGTGACGAGCTCAGCAGAAGGCAGACACATCTGGCCTGGACATCTTGGGGACCCAGCCCCTCATGGAATGTGCCGGGCAATTTTTCTCTCTGACATACTTACTGAGCACAGTCCTTCTTTCACAGAGTAAGACCTGAGAGGCAGATAGGTGCCAAAGTCACTTTTGTTTTTTGTTATTTTTGTTTGTTTTTTGGGGGGTTTTTTGAGACAGTGTCTCACTCTGTCACCCAGGCTGGAATGTAGTGGTACAGTCTTGGCTCACTGCAACCTCTGCCTCCTGGGTTCAAGCGGTTCTCCTGCCTCAGCCTCCCAAGTAGCTGGAATTACAGGCACGCGCCACCATGCCCGACTCATTTTTGTATTTCTTGGTAGAGGCAGAGTTTCACCATTGGTCAGGCTGGTCTGGAACTCCTGACCTCAAGTGATCTGCCTGCCTTGGCCTCCCAAAGTGCTGGGATTACAGGCGTGAGCCACCGTGCCCGGCCCCAAAGTCACTTTCCTACAAGGCCCAGATCCTGATTAGGGTGCACCTGAGGAGAGGGGGAGGGGGCAGTTCTGCCTGGGAGATAAGAAAACTTTTGGGAGGAGATGACACTGGACTTGGGGCTTAAGGAGAGGAGTGAGGGTAGGCTGTGGGGGATGCTAGGGAAAGGCCCCCAGTAGAGGGAAGAGTGTCAGTGACAGCCCAGAGACACGGAGGAAGGATGCCTGAGGAATACAAAGGGTACACATAGACAGCGCTTGCGTGTGCCTGGGATGACAGGAAAGGGACAGAAATGGCCATTGGGTCTTAGAGCTGGAGAGCTGAACAGCTAGGCCATGAGGTGGGCCTTGTGTATATGTTTTGATGTACATGGGACCCTTTCTTTTCTTCCTAGTGAATTCTCCAGTGCTCTGGAGTACTTGAAATTACTTCATTCTTTTGTGGACTCTGTGGGGGTTATGAGCCCCCCACTCTCCAGGAGCTCCGTGCTCAAGTCCGCCCTGGGTAAGCACCTGCGGGTGGCCCACAGTCTCAGGGTGCTCAGTTCAGGTCTTCACAGTGCTTTTGCCCCAGGGGTCCAGGGCGTTAGGAGTGTAGATGCCAGCATCTTCTCTGGATCCCAGGTTCATACCTGTGGCTCCAGTTCACAGTCACCCCCTCCCAAACAGCACTCAGAGGCAGGAAACTATGGTTTTCAGAGAAGTAGGGCAATGAGTAATTGAATGTCTTCCTCAAGCCCTAGCTGTGTGACCCAGGTGAGGACCCTTCTTAATGCCCAGAAGAACAAGCAATGAGTGGCCCAGGCACCAGGGATGGTGGGGAGTCACCTTTCAGATGCACAGTGGCCCCTGAGGCAGCTCTTGGGCCTTATGCTCTTTGCTGAAGAGACTTTTCATCTGGGCCTCTCTACCACTCCTCAGCCCCTCATCACATCAGTGTCACAGCACAGCCCACTGACTGGATTGACATCATGACATTTCTTTGCTTCTGTCCCTAAACTGCCATCAGGATGATAGCACATCAGCTGCCAACTCTTGGGCTTCTGTGGCCACCCTGGAAGATGGGGGTACCAAGCTACCGCTGGTCACTCTCCCTAGGGAGGGAGGGATCCCAGAAAATCAGCCACCCTATCATGATCCCTGACCTGTGGCCTCTGTTTTCAAGTTTAGGGAAGCATGACCATCCCCGCTGGTTTTGTGGGATCACTACTGTCATCATTTTGCAGTTGAGAAAACTAAGGCTGAGAGAGGAGAAGACTTAAAATATTCTAACAGGAGCCTGTTCCAGATACTTTGAAGATACCATTCTTTATGGCTATTGAAAGCTTAGGTTGTATCCATCTTTTTATTTAAAAACAACACTGCAGTCAAATATGTGTTAAACTTTTTTCTCTCTAAGCCAGTTTCATTATGACAGACTGCCAAAAATGGGATTACTAGCTTAACGGGAGTGAACTTTTTTATTTTTTTTGAGACGGAGTCTTACTCTTGTTGCCCAGGCTGGAGTGCAATGGCACGATCTCGGCTCACTGCAACCTCCGCCCGCACCGAGGTTCAAGCGATTCTCTTGCCTCAGCCTCCCTAGTAGCTGGGATTACAGTCACCCGCCACCATGCCCAGCTAATTTTTTTGTGTATTTTTAGTAGAGAGGGGGTTTCACCATGTTGGCCAGGCTGGTCTCAAACTCCTGACCTCAGGTGATCCACCTGCCTCAGCCTCCCAAAATGCTGGGATTACAGGCGTGAGCCACCGCGGCCAACCAGGAATGAACATTTTTAAGGCTCTTGATATATATTGCCAAACACTTTCCAAGATTGTGCTGGTCTATTCCCCTCCCCCAGAATCCTGGGTGTGGGAGCCCAGAGGCTGCTGGCCCGTTCCCAGCAGGCAAAGATGTTACCCATCTCCTAGGAAGGAAGTGTAGCAGCCTCTGAGCGCCACAGGTCTCGTTTCTGTGGGTGCTGGAGTGCGTTTGGTGCTGTTCTCCTCTAGGTCCAGACATCATCTGTCGGTGGTGGACGTCTGCAATCACTGTGGCCATCAGCTGGCTCCAGGGAGACGATGCAGCTGTGCGCTCTCATTTTACCAAAGTGGAACGCATCCCCAAGGCCCTGGAAGTGACAGAGTGCGTAACCCTCCTTGGCCACTCACTTGCTTCTCTCCAGGGGAATCTTGTTTGAGTTAGCAGGAGCAAACTGGACTGGGTGGGCGTGTTGGGGTGAAGGGTCAGGACTGCATGACAGGTGGGCGGCTAGAAAAGTCGGGGGTGAGGGCACCATGGAGAACTCAAGTTGGGCCAGCAGGTCCTCTGTGCAAGTGTCCTGCTCTGCACAACACGACAGTTGTCCCAGCAGCTGTCAGCACTGTGTCCGGGTCCTCCTCCCTGCAGCCTTCATGGCGCCACAGGCTGAAAAGAAGAGACGAGAGCAGTGTGGCCCCCAGCATCTTCAGAAGCTTTGTGGTGGAGGCAGGCACTGGTGGTTCACAATCAGTGCAGAGAGGCCACTGTTGCCCCCAAAACTCATGTGCACTGGAGCATCTTGCCCCTGTGTGCTAGCATTTTATCCACTTTCCTTCCAGCCACCTCCACCCCCACCATCAACCCTGGCAACTTTGTCCTGTAACTAAAATAGCCTTTAGCACATGGCATAACCGGAGAGCTTTTGACATTCCTCTTTGGAGATTCATGTCTGCGTCTTGGGGGCATTCGGCACTAGTGATGGGCAGCCCTGCCTGCTGACTCCCCGGCTGTTTCTAATTGGATCTGAGTATTCTAAGAGAAACTGTAAAATGCTCCAAGACAGAAAGGCCCCACGAGGTCCTATCCTTAGAGCCAAGGCTGTAGCATTTCCTATCAAGCAGACCCTTAACCGGCGCACAGGAAGGAGCTGAGAAGAGTGAGTATACACAGGCTTGAAGTCCTTTGTTCCCTGAAGTAGATGTGACACCCTAATTTCATTGAAGTAGCCCCATTTGTAAGCACTCTGACTAGGTAAGCACCCAGCCCGGTATAGCATTCCACCTGTATGTGTGTCTCCCCCAGTCGATGTGCCTGAGGACACTGAGACTCAGCAGGTAAGTTGTCCAAAGTCACCTCGCTCCAGAGCAGCAGAGCTTCCATGGACAGCCAAGACACCCCTGCAGGCACTGCTGCCTGCTGGATTCACTTACCCCTGGGTCCCTCTGCTTTTCAGGGACTAGGATGCTATGAGAACCCTCCCCCATCCCTAGCCTCCCCTTCCACTCCCAGTCTCCTCTACAGAAAGAAGCTAACTAAGTATCTCCAGAGAGTTTAATACCACATCTCTGGGGGGGTGGTCCCTTAAAGAACGGGTACAACACCTTATTGTGGCCACTTTATAGGTAAGGAAACTGAGGCACACGTTGGAATGACTATCTTGGGTGGCTTCTTAGCAGCAGACGTGATGGTGAAGCCTGTGTCTCTGACTTCCAGCATTGAATGAAGGTGCTAAAGGGTGGGGCGCTAACCCTAGCTCAGGGCTGGCATTTCAGATCTGGAGCTGGTGGCATGGTGCCATAGTGGCAGCATTGGAGTCAACAGATGCACATGTCATATCAGTGTGGGGCGTGGCAGTCACTGGCTTGGGCCCCTCTGCCTGTCACGCAGGTGACACATAGTGACCTGCCTCTCGACTCCCTGTCACTGCTGCAGGAGCCCCCTGGTGAAGGCCATCTTCCATGCCTGCAGAGCCATGCATGCCTCACTCCCTGGGAAAGCAGATGGGCAGCAGAGTTCCTTCTGCCATTGCGAGAGGGCCAGTGGCCACCTATGGAGCAGCCTCAACGTCAGTGGGGCCACCTCTGACCCTGCCCTCAACCACGTGAGTGGGAGCTGAGTTGGCCCCTGGGGGAGGTGCTCTGCACTGGTTTACGAGAACACTCCCACTCACCTCATGCTGACCCTGCGGGTGGGGCCATCCGAAAGACAGAGAAACCAGGACAGCAGCCCCCTTTCAAAAAAGTTACGGCTTATTGGCCTAGGTGGACTCCTTTTTCATCCCTTTTCAGCCTCTGAGGCAAGTGTGTTTCTACCTGCACCTTTCTTAGGCTCCCAGAGTCCCAGGTCCTGCTGGCCCATAGCCTCTGTAAGCCCAGGTGCACCCCAGCTGGCCAGGGGTTCACCTGCATTTGCTCCAGCGGTTTGCGTGACTTCCCAGGCCTCTGCAGGCAGCCTTGGAGTGGGTTCCTGCCCCCTCGGGCACACAAACAGAGCTGAAGACCACCCTGGGCACCTCCTTGGCTGGCCGCATACCTCCTGGCGGGCAGCTGTGGTGCATTGTAGTTGCATTGCATGTTCTGGTGGTACCCATGCAATGTTTCCACAGTGCATCACAGAGGCCTGCCTGGCCCTCGAGAGACTGCCCTGACTGAAGGCCCTATCAGGTGGGGGAGGGGATCCTGATAGAGGGCACTGCTGCCACTGTTGGGGCCCAAGTCACAGCCATCCCAGGAAACAGGAGGGCACCCAGCTGAAAGTGGAGCATCACCTGGTCTACGGGGAACATGTCCTTAGCTCCAGAGTGGGAGGGACCGGGAGAGTCCTGGAGATTCAGATTCTCAGCCACTCCCTGGGGCTTGGTCTTAGCTGGCTAGGCTAGTACTTCAAGCTAGATATTGTCAGTGGACCTGGGCACTGGGATGAACCCAGGACAGCGTGGCAGCCCCTACAGGGACAGGCAATGTGCAGAAAAGGCCCAAACTGGCTGGACGCGGTGGCTCACACCTGTAATCCCAGCACTTTGGGAAGCTGAGGTGGGCAGATCACCTGAGGTCAGGAGTTCGAGACCAGCCTGACCAACATGGTGAAACCCCGTTTGTACTAAAAATACAAAAATAAGCCAGGTGTGGTGGCATGTATCTGTAATCCCAGCTACTCAGGAGGCTGAGGCAGAAGAATCACTTGAACCCAGGAGGTAGAGGTTGCAGTGAGTCGAGATTGCACCACTGCACTCCAGCCTGGGCAACAGAGCGAGACTCCATCTTTAAAAAAAAGCTGGTGGGGGTGCCCAAATGCCCTGGGCTGCCAAGACCAAAGGCAGATGGTGAGCCACATTTCACCTTCTCTTTTGGGCTTTCCATTAGTCTCTTCCGTATTTGTCTTCATGAGAGAACCAAACAGTACAGGCTCAGTTTGGGGAATGAGAGGCTTGCAGCCACCCTTTGGACTGGGGTTCCTTGGTAGCAGCTCTGTGGTAGGAAAGTGAGCCTAGAAGACAACGCCATGCAGCCTGATGGCCCTCGGAGGGCAGAATCCAGACATAGGCCTGCTGCCTCCATGCCCACAGGTGCTTCTGCAGCATGCACAGCTTAGAAGTGCCAGGTTTTGAGGAGAGGGATCCTTTTCCACATCCCCTTGAAGCACACAACAGCCAGAAAACAGTGTAGGCAAGGATCAAGGCCTTGTGCAGGGACAGGGCAGGGTCTTCCTCAGGCCCAGTGTCCTGGGAAGGAGGAAAGCCAGGGCTGGGTGAGATGAGGCTCAGCCTGAGGGAGTTCATCAGGACCGGAGGGCTGCTTGCGGCCCATCTCAACAAGGACTCCTCACTGCTCGGTGTCGTGCAGGTGTGCCACTGCGAGCCGGGTGGGCAGCCCAGCCCCATAGGTCGTAGGCAGAGAGTATGCATGGCCCACATGCAGTACCTTCTCATATGATACAACAGCCCTGTGATGGTGCCATTTACATTTTTTTGAATGAAGAAACTGAGGCTCAGAGAGACTAAGTCCTATGCCAGGGTCATGTAGCTAGTAAGTGGCAAAGCCGGGTCAGTAGGCCTAGTCCCCAAGCACTAAGGCACTCTGTGGTTCTGTCTTCTGAGACACCTGTCTCCCTCTCCCACTCCTCCTCCTCCTTCCCCCAGCCCCATCGACAGGCTCTGCTGCCACTTCAGGCTTTTCCTTGGTACCTTGTGGGTATCTCAGCCTCCTAGCCAGCCATGGTGGGACTCCCATGGGGTGGAAGAACCTGCGCCTTCAACCCACAAGGGTTTTATTTCTGCCCCTGCCACCTGCCTGTGCTGTATTCCCTATACAAGCTGCTGTCCCTGTCAGAGCCTTGCTTTCTCACCTGCAGAATGGGGAGGGCTTGTCTCCCACCTCCTGGGGCCATGGAAGGAACTGGTTCTCCCCTGAGCTGTTCCCTCACGTCCTGCGGAGTTCACCAGACTCTGGGGCTCTCCACTTCCTCCCAGAGCTGCTGAGTGTTGGTCTGGGGAGAGGCCTGGTAGGTGCTAGGATCCTTGCCTCAGGGATGGGCCAGTCACCTGTCTCCCCTCTCTCGTGGCTGACCCCACAGGTGGTCCAGCTGCTCACCTGTGACCTGCTACTGTCGCTACGGACAGCGCTCTGGCAAAAACAGGCCAGTGCCAGCCAGGCTGTGGGGGAGACCTACCACGCGTCAGGCGCTGAACTGGCGGGCTTCCAACGGGACCTGGGCAGCCTGCGCAGGCTGGCACACAGCTTCCGCCCAGCATACCGCAAGGTGAGGCCCAGCTGGCTGGTGGGGCAGGGCAGATTGGAGCCTGTGGGGCCTGAGCCCAGAACCCAGCATGGGCACCAGCATGTGGTTGTGGAGTTGGCCCTCTGAGGTCAGCCTGGTGACCTGTCGAGCACCTGCTTGGCTCGTGCCCAACACTGGGCTAGGCGCCATGTGTCCCTGTGTTCAGCACACATTGGTTGAGTGCCTGCTGTATGCCTGGCCCTGGAGCTCAGCAGGGAGCAGGCCACACTTTGCTGCCACAGACAGGGGCCAGCAGGGAGCTGTGCCTCCCCAGGCACATGCTGGGTGGGAGGGCTCTGAGGGCAATGGTGGCAAGTCAGGGCTCCTGGCCTGGTCCCGAGCTCCACGTTGACTTTCATTCTTTTTCACAGTAGCTAGAGGCTTCGGTTCTGCTGCTGGGTAACATCCCCTTGGCAGTGGCCACGTGATCTGAACTAAGTCACGGAGGAAAGTTCTATGACTGGGCTTGCCAGGCTCCAGCTATTTCCTTTTTTGTTTATTTGTATTGCTATATAATGTATTCAACATATTTGTACCTGTATTTTTTTCTAAAAATTTGAGTGAGATGACTCAAGTGTCATTGAGGGGGCACGGGCTGGGCTGGAAGAAGGCCTCAGAGCGAGGCTGCTGCCGTGGAGCTTGGGATTCAGCCCCCACACCCATCACCCTGAGGTGCTGCGGGGCCCACCCAGGGTTGCACTGTGGCCACTGTGTGCAGCAAGCCAAGACAGACACAACAGACAGTATCATCGGAGAGCCATTCCTTACTGTGGAGAAGAGGGCATGTACCCCAGGCCTGGAGCGGCACCCCTGCCTCCTGGAGCCCACTCTGGTCAGCTCTCTGGTCTGCTCACAGCATGGCTGGCATCAGTGGCCTTTTTTTCATAATAGATGGGGTCTTGCTATGTGGCCCAGGCTGGTCTCAAACCCCTAGCCTCAAGCTGTCCTCCTGCCTCGGCCTCCCAAAGTGCTGGGATTACAGGTGTGAGCCACCTCGCCTGGTCCAAAGGCCTCCTCTTAAATACCATTTCCATTCTGCTGCTCCCTGCTGAGAGCCCATCAGCGGCTCCCCATTGCCTACCAGGACCAGAATCCACTTGGCAGCACTGAAGACCCTCCCTGAAGACTGAGATATAAAGGCATCAAAAAGAGCTTGAGATTTTAAGAAATGACAGACCTCAGCCTTGCCCTTCACCCACCAGTGGCTCATACCTAAGCGCTGCAGACTTTACCCGCACACCTCTAGACTCTCTTCCTTTCTAAAGATACGGAAAGAGGATACCAAACCTCTCTGGTACCAGCCCAACTGTCCCTCCTCACCCCTCTGTCCCTGTCACACCTGTCCTTTTGTCAAACTGCAGGCAGCCTCCAGGGCCTTGGGGCTTCACCCAGGGCACTTGTCTACCAGCCCCACGAGGTGCGTCCAGGGCTTTCTTGTCACCAGTTGGGAAAAGCAGGCCTTTTGCCTCTCTCTCCTCTCATCCTGCTCCTGCTGTTCAGCCAGGTTTCCTGCCTGGCTCAGGGTCAGAGTACGGGACAACAGAGGTTGCTTTTCAGGGGTGAGCAAGGCAGGGTGGTGTGGGAAGGGATGTCATGAGGTGGCAGGCGAGATGGCTCAGGGAGAGCTACCCTGGGCATAGATGGGTGGGGACCAGGGGTGTGATGGATGTCACCCCGGCACCTCCCCAGGTGTTCCTGCATGAAGCCACCGTGCGCCTGATGGCAGGAGCCAGCCCCACCCGCACCCACCAGCTGCTGGAACACAGCCTGCGGCGGCGCACCACGCAGAGCACCAAGCACGGTGAGTCCACCCCTCCCCAGCTCACAGGCTGGGCCAGGCCCTGCGCCCTAGGAAGAGAGGAGAAGAGGGGCCAGCCCAGCTCCCACATCTGGCATTGGTGCCCAGCACACCTCTCGCCTCTCTGAGAATGAAAGAAGCCCGAGGCCGCCCTTGGTGGGTTGCAGGGGTTGGGGTGGTCATGGGTCATGCTGTGATCAGGGAAGGAGGGTTGGGGTGGCGTCCCAGCACAGGTGCAGGCATAGAAGCAGAAGCTCGAGCCAGGTCATGTGGGCCCATCTCAGCCCCACCACGGGCTGGCCGTGAGAGGCTGGACAAGTTCACTTCTTTTCCGTGGATTGGGTGGGGCAGCAGACCCCACCTCCCAGGATGGATGTGAGCGTTCAGTGAATGAGTCCAGGTAACGCCAAGGAACTGCACCAACTTCATGGTAGATTCTCGGTTGTGACACACATCTCCTTCCCACAGGAGAGGTGGATGCCTGGCCCGGCCAGCGAGAGCGGGCCACCGCCATCCTGCTGGCCTGCCGCCACCTGCCCCTCTCCTTCCTCTCCTCCCCGGGCCAGCGGGCAGTGCTGCTGGCCGAAGCTGCCCGCACCCTGGAGAAGGTGGGCGACCGGCGCTCCTGCAACGACTGCCAGCAGATGATTGTTAAGCTGGGTGGTGGCACTGCCATTGCCGCCTCCTGACCACCAGGCTCAGCCCACCCCTCCACCTCTCTCTCGATTTCTCTCTCTCCCCCTCAGCATCTTCCCGCTGAGAGTGGTGGGGAAGAGCCTTGTCTTCTTAGCTGTCACCTGCCGAGGCTTCTGGGCCACTCAGGCCAGTGCACCCCTGGGCAGAGCCCCTTAAAGCTGCTGTCACTAGATGCCCATGGTCCAGGGCCTGGTGGGCGTGAGAGGATAGGTGGCAGGGCAGAAACTGGGCAGCCCTGACTTGATAGCAGCAGGGGGAGCTCCCAAGCTGCCAAGCCCCTGCCTCCAGCCTTCCTGAGTTTCTCTCTCCTGAACCCTACTCTCTCCTTTTTGCTTCCTCAGTTTTTATCAGGCTTTCTCTGGGGGACAGCAGTCTCTGAGCACCAGGGAGCAGTTGCCCTCAGGCCTGTGCCCAGCATGCCCTCCCCTTTTTATACGAATGTTTTCTACCAGTGTGCTTGGGTTTGCCATGATGCGAGGCTGAGTTGCTGTAGCGTCTTGATTCTCTCCCTGGGTCTGCGTTCCCTCCCCTGGGCCTGACTGAGCCTGCTCATTGTTTTTCCCTTTATTACACAGGACAGCCAGGGGAGGAGGGGGGCCCAGCCCTGGGAGGCTGGTGGGAGGCAGGGGGCAGGCCTGCGGATGCATGAAATAATGTTGGCATTATTTTTTAATTTTTTAAAAAATAAATGGTATCTTATTTAATTGTCCTGTTCCTTCCCACTCCCCGCCTCCTAGGATGTTAGCCCAAGCTCAGGGTAGGCCCAGGGGGCTGGGAGAAATGAAGCCACCCATGGGGACTGGGGACCAGGGGCCTTCAGCATGGCTTCTAGGTTCCCTCCTCCCCCTACCCCATCTCCTACCTCCACAGTACAGACTGTCCCCAACTTAACAGTGGTTCAACTTAAACCATGTTTCAACTTTACAATTGGTCTGTTGGGGTATTAAATGAATTTGTGACTTAGGATATTTTCATTTATGATGGGTTTATCAGGAAGTAACCCCATGGTAAGTTGAGGCATATCTGTATATATTTAAACCTAATTAATTCTTGAGCTGAAAATAAATAAACCAGGATGGCAGGGACCAACCCCTAATCCCTCCCCAGCGGCAAGCCCCTCTTTTCAGAGTGGGCAGAGGGTTGCCTATGGTGGGCACTAGGAATGAGGTCCCCTGCCTCGATGCGGGTCCTAGGAGAAAAAGTCCTACTTTTCTGGGTCCCCAGGTGCAGCACCTCCCGGAGACTGTTTCTCCCATGGCCTCCTGAGTGATGGGCCCTGCCTCCCTGTGCCTCATCCTCAGGCTGGTTGGAGCAGAGGGTGGGCAGGAGCCCCAGCACAGACTGGGGGGTGCTCACAGCAGGGCCACCTTGATGCAGGCTGGAATGTTATCCCTGGGGTGTGCTTGGACCCCACCTGCTTTCTTTCTCTCCTGCCCCTCCCCTACTCTCACTGTAATTTATGGACCCTGCCCGCCTGCGTGTTGTGTGTATGTCCTGTGCCTTTTCTCACTATTGTTTGGGTGTGGGAGGGGGTGGTTTTTCACTGAAAAGGGGGGTACACCTATAGCTTTCTTGATGTTCAATCAATCAGTCACTGTGTCCCAGACATATTCAATAAACACAGATTGGTACCACCCAGCACGAGGTGTGTGAGGGTCTGTAGTGCGACTGCTGTGGTGCCCAGCCAAGGGGCTGCGTGACTTGGCAGGCAATGGGCCAGGGACTGAGGGCAGCCCCCCAACTGCTGAGAGGGCCCCTGGCTTCAGTCTAATGGGCCTCCCTTGTCCACCTTCCTTCCGGTGCCTGGCGCACCCTCCAGCCTGGGATAAAAGGGCTGTGGGTGGCACTTTGGGGGTCAGAGGTCACTGTATCCAGGTTCCAGCTTGTTCCCTGGATGTAATGCAGGCTGGCTGACAGATTTGGGGTGCTGACCCTCTCCCCCACTGGGTAAACTGCTCCTTAGTTTCTCCCTCCCTGAAGTCAGTGATCCTCTGAGCCAGGAGGCTCACTGGCCCACAAGTCAGATCCAAGTCCAGGTCCTGTGCTTCCCAGCTGGGTCACCTGGGGTGGGACCTGGCCTCAGTCTCCACTTCCACGTGTGCAGAATTGGGAAGCTAAGCTCAGCCATGAACTGCAGCTCCAAAGGCTTGTCTGCCAGGACTGAGTGATGGGATGCAAGTTTACAGCGAGTGCCTTGTGTGGCTGGTGAGGCCAGGCTTGGCGTAAGACACACCAGGGGACAGGACCACAGACTGGGATGGGAGTGCTGGGCCTCGTCGCAAGAGGAGTCAGGATGTGACTGAGCATGTGGCTGAATCCCTCAGCTATGAGCCACATCCTTCTCTGAAGGGTAGTCACAGCAGGCTACCCTGAGACCAGAGCAGCCCGGTGAGGCCCAATTGCAGCTGGTCCCGTGCACAGCTCCATCATTTTCAGGGATGGCCACTGCCCACAGCCTCAGCCTGGCTCCACTGGGATGGAGATCCAGGGCCCTTGGAACTGAGAATGAGCAGGGGGAATTGCCCACTCTTGGCACAGCCCAGCAGGGGGTGGGAGGTGGGGTGAGAAGCAACCAGATTCCTTTGTGAGTCTGTGTAGGCTCCATGCCTCAGCCCCCACCCTCCTCCAGCTCTGCACAGCTGTGGGACAGGGGCAGGACCGTGGGCCCAGAGCTCTGTCCTGGTGCTTCTAGGCCTTGGTTTCCTTAACAGCCTAAAGGGACAGGGAGGTGGACCCTTTGTGGCAGGAGCGGAGACCGGGCCTGGTGGGTTCTGGGGCCTCAGGGCAGCCCAACCAGCAGAAGGAAAGCTCCAGACTGTTTATATATACCCTGGGAACAGGGACCCCTCCCTACCAACCCTCAGAACCCTCCCTCCCAGCCAAACTGCCTGTTGCTTGCCATTCCAGCCGATTCACAGCAATTCGGGAGAGTCCTAACCTGGGAGTCTGCTGGGTGACCTTGGGCAAGCTACTTAGGTTTCAAAACCCAAATTTCCTCCTCTGTAAAGACACACCCACTTGAGGCGCTTGTGGATTTCCTGAGAAAGGCCAACAAATGGTGGCCATTGTTCTTAAAACAGTACACCACACTTCAGGTACTCAGGAGGGAAACAGACCCACCTGGGTGGCTTTGCTGAGGTCACACACCTCAACCAGCCACAGCCCTGGCCCCTAGCCTCCCCACATCACACACCTCAACCAGCCACAGCCCTGGCCCCTAGCCTCCCCACATCACACACCTCAACCAGCCACAGCCCTGACCCCTAGCCTCCCCAGTGTTACCTGGCGGAGAGGAACTCTGTGGAAGATGCACGCAGACTGCTAGCAGTGCTCTGGACCACAGCCAGGTGCAGGAAGCCCTCCCGGAGGGACACTGCCAGGGACCCTGCTCCAGCTTTTCCCCCATTTCCTTCAGAGAAGCTCCTGGGAGGAGGCGCCCCCATCCGGAGCACCAGATGTCCACACGGCCCACACCCATTAAGGGGGGTAGCCCGGGGCCAATCTGGCCAAGCGACCTGCAGGCCAGGGGCTGGCCCACAGCCAGTGGTCAGTGAGCATCAGCCAGGTTCAGCCAACTCAAGCTGCAGAGTGGCGGCTGGAGGGGGCTCACCTTCAGTACAGGGCATGGACCCCCCACTGGGCCTTGGACCCAACAGCCCTCTCTCCTGTGCCCGGGCCTTTCTATGGCTGAAGTCTAACTGTTCCCTCTCTCCCAGGGCTCCCACGGGGGTGGGCATTAACCCTGACATTCAACCCTGGCCCCCCTCTCCAGCCACTTCCCCCTGGCTCTGGCCGGTGCACTGGAGCAGTCCTCCAACCTTGCACTCGCCGTGCCCTCTGCCTGCACTGCCATCTGTACAGTCAGTGACCAATGGTGCCTCGCAGCCACGCTGGGGCTTCTTTATTCTCAGGGGCAGGAACCACATAAAAGGGCTTATTTACAAGACGAACCCGCGGCCTGCAGGCTCCAAGACACCACTGCCGTTGAGGCAGACAGAAGAGCTGGCCTTACGGCAGGCGCTCCTCTCCCTGTGGCCTGAGGCTCCGACGGGCAGACAGGACCCCAGCCCATGCCTCGAGGGCACCGCGGCCCCGCTTCACACGGTGACCTCGGTCTTGCTATTGGTCCTTAGGTACCGGGACCCGCGGCCCGCGCTGCCGTAAAGGCCGGGGAGCTGCGGGTTGAAGGTCTCAGGCATCTTCACACTGAACTGGCGCCGGGCCGCGTGCCCGGGTCGCCGGGGTACCTGGAAGGCCCGAGCCGTCGGGTGGCTGAGCGGGGCGGGCCGGGCCGGGCGACTGGAGGTCCAGGCGGCATAGGGGCCCGGCGCGGCAGGGGGCGCGTAGACCGGCGGGGCCCAGGGGCAGGCGTCCAGCGGCGCAGGCAAGTCCGGGGATGGTCGCGGAGCCCGCGCCGGGGGTTGCCGCGGGGACGGCTCGAGGGCGGGGAAACGCTGACAGAAGTCCCGCGGGGCGGCCTCTGCGGGGACAGGGCAGGGAAGAGTGACGCCGCGCCGAGCACCCAAGCTCAGGACTGGACAAGGGGTCCCGGCCGGGGACTGGGACGGGGACCGGGCCGGGGCGGGCCGGGGGCGGGGCCCGCTGGGGCGAGGGAGCCGATTGGCCGAGCGGCGGGCGCGCGGAACTGGGAATTTGGCGCTTGGAGCTGCGGCCCCGCGCTTCGCAGTCCGGGAGCTCGTGCGCCCAGGTGCCCTGACGCTGCCCGCACCCGCCACTCACCTGCGGCCTTGAGCGCGGCGGCCTTGAACGTGGCGTACTTGGCGTAGTCTGGCTGCAGCGTCAGGCTGCCGCCGCCCTGCAGCCGCGGGCCGCGCGGGGGCCCCGGGGCGGCCGACCCCCGGGGCGCGTTGTTGAGGCGCTTCTTGTCTGGAGCGAGGAGTGAGACGCGGCTCGGTCCGATGCCCCGGTTCACTCCGCCCTCGCTGTCACCTCTCCGTAGTCCTCTCCCCGAGGCCGTTCGGTGAGAACCTGGGGGACCGTTCTCCGGGCGAGGCTGCGAGCCAAGCCTGTCTTCGCCGCAGCCTCCAGCGCCTGGAACAGGGCCTGGCTCCGAGTCACGCGCAGCGGCGGCGGCAGCCAGCCCGGGGGGTGCCACCCTCATGAACGGCTCGCCCGGAGGCGACGCTCGAGCCAGGCGCGGAGTCCTGGGACCTGCTCCCGCCGAGACGGGGGATGTCTGAGGAACAGAACCCAGACGGGGCGTGGGGGCTGCCAAGCCTGCCTGCCTCTCGAGAGACCCAGGGGGAGGCTCTGGAGCCCGAGCCTCAGATCACAGCCCCGGCCAGCAAATCCTGCATCTGGAACCTTCCTCACACATCACAGCCCCCCAGACTCGAGGCCGCAGGACCCGTGGGGGGTCCCTTTCCACCCTGGCGAGCTGGCTGGCCGGTCGGGCCCCTCACCCGCAGAGGCCGCGGCTCATTTCCACCGGGGAAGCCTCTATGCCCCAGCCGAGGGACCGCCTCTCGGCCTCTCACGCCCCTCCGCGTGCTCCGCCGCCGCTCAGCCCCGCCCGCCACCGACTCACCTGCGCTGTTGTGGGGGGAGCCCCGGGGGAGGCCGTCCCCCATCTGCACCTGGACACAGCCACCCAGGGGTGGGCCCAGGGTGGGAGGCAGTGGCTCCTGGGGGCCCGGCTGCTTCAGAAGCTCTGTCAGCGCCCTGCGGGGACAGCAGTCAGGGGTGGCCCTCTGTCTCCCACCTCATCAAAAGCCAGCCCCGGCCACCACCGTCTCACCGTGTGGCCCTGGGCAGTTCTTTCGGCCTCTCCAGGCCGTCCTCTCCGGTGCTCGAAATCACGCACGAGTTTCCCCTCCCAGGCAGTATCTGCCAGCCTCACCTGTGGCCCCAAGACAGCTGCTTCCCAGAGCAGGTCAGGAAACTCTAATGAGGCTCCCCTTCCCTCCCCTCCCCTCCCTGGAGCCCACTCTCAGGGACCTTCCCCAGGTGAGCCTCCCCTCCCAATGCGAGCTTTCTCTGCTTTCCTGCCTCTTCTCCCAAAAAACTGCTACTCATTCTTCAGACCCCATCAGCGGCCTCCTCCAGGAATCCTTTTTTTTAATTTTTTTATCTTTTGAAGCAGAGTCTCGCTCTGTTGTCCAGGCTGGAGTGCAATGGCGCAATCTTGGCTCACTGCAACCTCCACCTCCCCGGTTCAAGTGATTCTCCAGCCTCAGCTTCCCTAGTAGCTGGGATTATAAGGTGCCTGCCACCACACCTAGCTAATTTTTGTATTTTTAGTAGAGACGGGGTTTCACCATGTTGGCCAGGCTGGTCTCCAACTCCGCCGGTCTCGGCCTCCCAAAGTGCTGAGATGACAGGTGTGAGCCACCGCGCCCGGCCCAGGATGCCTTATTTACCTGCCTGCCTAACTGCCCCTGCAGCCGCGGCTTCTGCTGGGACCTGGGATAAAGCTGCCATCACGGGCATGAAGGACAGATGGGTGACGGAATGGGGATGTTGGGAGACCCCCTGGTGGCAGCCCAGGACCCACAGGCTGTGTGACCTTGGACAGCCACCTCCTTGGACCCAACACCCAGCCCCCACCCAGCTGTGATGTGACAGTGTCTGCAGCCCAGCTGCCTTCAGAACCCGGAACCCATGATTTTCTCCCACTCAGCCTGACCCTCCTTCCGGGGCTAGAGCCTCAAATGGCTGATTCGTGAAGGTCATTCAGGAGGCAGGACACCAGGGATGGCCGAGGTTTGGCTTCAGGTTTGGTGGCAGGGTCTGAAACCATCCTAGTACCTGCCTGGGCTGACCTTCCTGCCCTGCCCTCTCCCCAGAGGCTCACCTCTGTGGCCTCATCTCTGGGCAAGCACCTCAAGCTCCTGTCTCCCTGACAGCTGAGTAACCACCACGCCTCTGGGCCTTTGCACAAACTCTTTCCAGATGCCCCGCCCAAGCCCTCTGAGAAGCCTTCCCTGGCCTTCAACCCCAACACAGCAGAATGAAGGGTGAGACTCGAGGGGAGGACAGGGACTCAGGACACACCCACACACAAGCCTACGTCCCATTCCAGGTCTCCCCAGCAGAGAAAAGGGAGTTGGGGCCATGGGAGCCTGAAGCCCAGAAAGGAGAAGGGACTGGCCTACACCACACAGCACAGCAAGGGTGGGCATGGCTTTCCTGCGGCATCACCAAACCTGCTGCCCCATCCCCAGCAGGTGCAGGGAGTTCAGGATGAACATGTCAGCTGGGCTGCTGCAGCCACCCCTCACCATCGCAGCCCTAAGTTCCTTTTTCCCCGCCCCTGTCAAAGACATATCCAGGCCTCTTCCAAGCTACCCTCACCCATCATGGGGGACCCCCAAATTTGGGCAGCCCAGCCCCTACCCCTGCAGCATCCAGAAGCCAGGCCAGGAGGCTCCACCTCCTGAAGGCAGTGCAGAAGCTGAGGGTGGAGGCCAGGGTGCCAGCCCGGGCTTCCCTTAGAGCTCCCTGGGAGAAAGTGGGCTACGTGGTTTCGGGAGCGAGGGGTGCTGAAGTGCCAAGGAAGCCCTCACCCCCTGCCTCTGAGGCCCAGGAGGGGGAAGTGTCCACATCTGGCCTGCCAGGGTATGAAGGCTTCTCTATGGTCACTTTTAAATACCAGCCTGTCACATTCGGTGTCAGCAGCCCACAGGCCCAAAGGGTGCTGGGACCGGGTGGATGAGGAGGGCACAGGCCCCAGGGCATGGGGGTTGCTGGGGGCATGTGAGTGCCACGTGTGGCATGTGGGTGGGAGTTCCAGGGTCAGGACACATAGAGTCCTAGAGTCCTCGTTCCAACCGAGGAAGGGGACCTGGACCCTGTAGTGCCCACTTCACACCAAGCTCAGAATGCAACAAGCACCTGTCCTGGCCTCAGCAACACACGACTGTGTTCCAGAGTCCCCTTTCTACGCAGAGGGAGCCCTGACCTTCACCTGGGAGCTGTGGCATGGGGTGAGTGGGGGGAGGCCTTTGAAACCCAAGGAGGGAAGGGCAGCCTTGAGTCACAGCTGTGGGGGCAGGGGAGAGGCAGGAGGTGGAAGAGGGGAGGGAGGAGTGGGGAGAAGCAGGAGATGGGCACCCAGAGAACCAAGCGCCCCTTCCTTTCCCGTGCCCAAGACGCCCGGTCACCTCCCTGGCCAGCGGCGCCCCTTACCCTGGACAGTGACCCGGTGCCCTCTGTGCAAGGCTACCTGTCCCCCTCCCAGCCCGCCCCCACCCCCCTGCCCTCCAGAGGAGACTCGAGCAGGGAAAGGCGGTGCGGCGCCCAGCACGGGCAGAAGGTCAAAGGGAGTCAGGGCGGTGTCAGGTGTCTCCCTGATGAAGTGTTGGGGGGGCGGCGGGGGGAGAAGGAGACAGGAAAACCCAGAGAAGGGGCCTGCTGGGAGAACCAGCGCTTCGAGAGCGGCGGGAAGGATCAGCGGGCAGGGAGAGCAGTCCGAGGAGCAGGCGGGGGTCCCTGGGCGGCGCGTGCTCACCTGGTCACTGTGCGCCGCGCGCGCGGGCTGTGCGCCCTCTCCAGTCCCAGGCGCGCCCCGATGCCGGCCAGCACCAGCAGCGCTGCGACGCCGCACACAGCGTAGACGGCCGTATGGCTGCGCTCGCGGCCGGGGTCCCGGGGCGCTGCGGTGTCGCGGGCGCGGGCGGGCGGCCGGCCTGTCTGGACCCAGGCCGGCGTGTCGTAGTTGGAACAGCGGCTCTGGTCGAGGCGCCGCGGCCCGTCGTGGCAGCAGAAGCGGTAGCCGCACGTGCCGCAGCAGAAGCTGTAGGCTCCGGAGCTGCAGTTGAAGGGCGGGTCCCACTGGCCCATCACGTCGTAGTAGCCGCGGCAGCGGTCGCCCCCCTCCGGGGCTGTCGTGCCGGGCGCCGCGGGACCCTGCGCCTCGGGGGCTCCCGCGCGGCCCGACGGCGGCCGCGCCAGCAGCAACGCGAGCCGAAGCGCGAGCGCGAGCCGGAGGCCGGGAGGACGGCGGCCGCCGAGCAGTCCCCGCGCCCCGGCCCGCGCCATCGGGCCCGCGCCTCCCGCTACTGCGCCCGGTGCATGGCCGGGCGCCGCGGCTCCCTCCGGCTCGGCTCCTCCGCTCCCGCAGGGATCGCGCTGGCTCCCGGCGCACGCCGCCTCGGCCGTCGGCCTCCTCTGGGGACCCCAGCCCCGAGTGGGCTGGGTCTGGAGCTCCGAGGCCGCACCTCCGGTGGGCGCGTCCTCCGCCCGGGCTCACCTCGGACCCGAGCTGCCCGGTCCGCGTCCTGAGATCTTCCCCGGGCCGGGCGGCGGGTCCTCGCCTGCGCGCGGCCCCCGGCTTCTCCCCGGCCCGGCAGGTGTGCGGGTCTTGGCCCTAGCGGAGGCCGCGCCGGGGCCGCGGGCCGCCCGACTGCGCTACCTTCCCGCCGCGCTCTCAGTACAGCCCGCGCTCTGGCTCCGGCTCCGGCTCCGGCTCCCGCTCGGGCTCGGCGCGGGCTCGGGCGGGCGGGGGAGGGAGAGAGGAGGGAGGGCGGAAGGGAGGCAGAGCCGGGGGAGGAGCGCGGCTGCCGCGAGGGGCGAGAGGAGGCAGCAGGCCCCGCGGAGCCGGGAGGCCCCACAGGGAACCCCCCTCCACAAAGACTGCCCCGAAACATTCATCGGAACTGGGCGCTCGAAGGGGATCAGTTCTAGGGCCCGCGACTAGAGCGTCCCTGTCTTACAGGTGCGGGGACCTGTACCTTACAGGCGCGGAGGTCAAAGCAGCCCGGAATTGCCCCGGGACGGGCAGGGCCACCCTCTCACCTCCTTCCCGTCCCCTCTGTCCGTTCTGATCATAACATAAGGAGGGCCCCTTCCCCTCTCGGCGCCTCGATTTTCCCACCTGTCAAATGGGAAGGACTTCCCCTGGCAGCGCCGCTTCAGAGGGCCAAGGATTTACCCCACGGCGCGAGCCCAGTTCCAGAACCCCTCGAACGCTGGGCTGGGGTCCAGGGATGTCCCCATCCCTGCGTCGATGGGCACGGCTTGGCTGACGCACTTCCGCGATCTGCTCCCTCCCCAGGTGTGAGGAGAGGGGGACTGGGCTCGCCCCTGCCCTGGAAAAGGAAAGCCTGGAAAAGGAAGACCTCCGCCCTGCGCCCACCCGCAGGTCCTTTCACAAACCGAGGGGTAGGGTGTGGGGGCCCTAAGGAGCCCGGACCCGGTCCCAGCACGGCCCAGTGGTGTTTTCGGGGTTGAGTTGAACTGGAGAAGGTCCTGGTGCTTGGCTTCTCCCTGCCTCAGTATCTCATCTTAACATCAAAGACTCTTCCTGGAGGGCAGACTCATAATCTGCCCCTTCCAGGAGATAGGGGTCGATATGGAACCTCCCTCTGTCCAGACGGAAACAGCAGGAGGGCAAGGACTGGGCGTGCAATTCACCCAGTGTGCAGCTCAGGCCTCTGTCGGCATTTGCTGAATGAATAAATGAATGAAAGGACTCCAGCGCCTAGTTTCTGTGAGATGAAACATTTGGGGCTCCCTAGGGTCCCTCCTGGTCCCCTTTCCATCCGTCCTTCTCTCAGCAACTGGGACCAGCTTATGAAAGTGGAGAAGGTGGGGGAGAAGAAGAGGAAGGATTTACATTTTAAGGAGGATCAAGTCTGTTGCCTGACATGAGGGGCTGACAGACTAATTTCAGGTATTAATGGGTTCAGACAGGAAGAGGAGGTGACCTCCCCACTCAGAGCTTCTCCTTGTGCCCTGGCCAAAGACAGCCTGCTCCCTCCACCTACACACACACATGTGCACACACATGTACACACACTTCCCATCCAGCCCCGAAAACCCACCCTCATTAAAGGACCCCTTATTACCAGTTTAGAAGAAAAAACACAGATGAACAAAGGAATTAAATGAAATTGCTTTAATCCCATGTCCAGAGACAACCACACTAAAATATGCCACATTTACATGCTGGATTGTAACTAGTTTGTGGTTTACTTTTTGCCATCCTTAAACTTTTCGTTTGGCTGGGGGCAGTGGCTCACGCCTGTAATCCCAACACTTTGGGAGGCTGAGGCAGGTGGATCACAAGGTCAGGAGTTGGAGACTAGGCTGACCAACATGGTGAAACCCCACCTCTACTAAAAATACAAAAATTAGCTGGGCATGGTGGCATATGCCTGTAATCCCAGCTACTCGGAAGGCTGAGGCCAGAGAATCGCTTGAACCTGGGAGGCAGAGTTTGCAGTGAGCTGAGATCACACCATTGCCCTCCAGCCTGGGAAACAGATTGAGACTCCGTCTTAAAAAAACAAACAAACAAACAAAAAAAAAAAAACAAAAAAAAACCTTCTCATTTGTGATTCTTCTCAGAGCTTCTGAGCTCTACTTTCTGGAGCGTCCTTTCCTGCTTCCTTTCCTTAGGGCCATTCCTAGAAATGGAATCCGTGGCACAACCCGTATCACTGGTATTGAAGTCCCCACCGCCCTCTGCCCACTGCCCTGGAGGCTGCAGGAGCTCTGAGGGGGGCCTCTTCTCCCACCTTTCCCACCCGTTGCCGGGCACTGGGTTGAAAGAGGCTTGTCTCTGCCCCCTTGGAACTGGGGCCTCTTCCAAGTTAGAGTGAGGGGTCAGAGCAAGTCTCCCAGTGCTCCCCCTTCCTGGACACCCTCCTGCCCCCACCGTCCTGGCACTGGGTGCTTTCCTCATGTTGACCCCATCAGGCCTTCACATACATATACATAGTGACAGCCATTTGTCCAATGAAGGAAGTGGATTCCAGCCCCTCCCAGGGACTGATGTCCAACCCCCAACACCACCCCCCACCCCCCACCACACACACACCTTCCTCCCCGTCTCAATCTGATTCAGTGGTCAGCCAGCAGCCATAGGTAACCATAACTACTGGGTCTGTGCCAGGCACTGGATACCCTCTTCTCTCCATGGGAACACCTGGCCGCGGGGAGTGAGTGGAGCAGGAGAGGGCAGCTGTGAACACAGAGCCCAGCTGACCCTGACTGGCTGAGTCCTGGGATCTGATCGCCCATTCAGCTGACACTGCCCCAGGTGCCTGGCCATGTGCCGGGTGAGGGGATCTGGAGATAGAGCAGCCCGGCCGAGGAGTGACCCCTTTGCCCTGGACCCCGGGGTCTCTCACCCCATCAAGGCTCCAGGGCAGCCACCCCTTATCTCTTCTGCCTGCCCCCCTCCACTACCACTAAGCCTGTGTCACCAAAACTCATCCATTGATCCAGGCTTAAAATAACCCCTGGCATCTGCAGCAAGCCCCGCGGGGCGGGCAGAGGAGCCGAGTCCCTGCTCCTGAAGGGCACCCGCCCCGCCCCCAGCTCCCAATGCTGGCAGCTCGAGTGTGCGGGTGTCTGCGCGTGTTTGGGTGACAGCAAGAGTGTGCATGTCTGGGGCTAGCATGACTATGAGGGCCTTCCCTGCACGGTGGGCATGTGTGTGCACACGTGTTTGTCAGCATACATGCTCCTGTGCACGAACGGCCTTCCTCCATGTCCAGCCCTCACCTGGTGCTCAGTTCTGGCTGGGGAAGGCTGGGGGCCCTGAGAGGTGTGGACATGACAAACAGCCTGTGCTGGGCCTCAGTGTCCCCATTTTAGGTGGTGGGTGACCAGTCTGCCAGCTCTGCTGAGCCCTGGGAAAGGTTTGGGATTTCCTAGAGAGAAACTCAAGACTCAGAGAGAGGAAGTGACTTGCTGTGACTGGCACACAGCCAGGAAGGGCAGGGTCTGGCCTGGAACCTGCACTATGAGTCCCGAATCCACATTCTGGCCAGTTCAGCACACCCGGGAGGCACTCCTACCCCACGACAGGGCCCTTGCCAACACCTGACCCAGGCTCATTTGCCCCCTGTCTGGTCACGCAGGCTGCCCTCTCTTCCTGGAACCCCTTTCCAGCCCCACATGCCCAGAGTTTCTAGGTTTTATTTATTTATTTATGAAACGGAGTCTCTCTGTGTTGCCCAGGCTGGAGTGCAGTGGTGTGATCTCGGCTCACTGCAACCTCTGCCTCCTGGATTCAACCAATTCTCCTGCCTCAGCCTCCCGAGTAGCTGGGATTTATAAGGACCCGCCACCATGCCTGGCTAATTTTTGTTTTGTTTTGTTTTGAGACGGAGTCTCACACTGTCGCCCAGCTGGAGTCCAGTGGCGCGATCTTGGCTCACTCCAACCTCCGCCTCCCAGGTTCAAGCGATTCTCCTGCCTCAGCCTCCGGAGTTGCTGAGATTACAGGTGCACGCCACCACGCCTGGCTAATTTTTGTAATTTTTAGTAGAGACAGGGTTTCACCGTATTGATCAGGCGGGTCGCGAACTCCTGACCTCAGGTGATCCGCCCGCCTCGGCCTCCCAAAATTCTGGGATTACAGGCGTGAGCCACGGGGCCCGGCCTAATTTTTGTATTTTTAGTAGAGACGGGGGTTTCACCATGTTGGCAGGGCTGGTCTCGAACTCCTGACTTCAAGTTATCGGCCCGCTTTGGCTTCCCAAAGTGCTGGGATTACAGGTGCGAGCCACTGCGCCCAGCCTTTATCCTTTATTTTGGAGCCAGGCTGACCGGGTTGGAATTCCTGCTCTTCAGGGCCATTCAACCTTTCTAGGCCTCAGTTTTGTCATCTGCAAGATGGGCTACCAGCATTTCGGCAGGGTTACAGGGAGAAGCAGTGGGCCCCAGAGACACTGAAGCCAGGC
Organism: Homo sapiens; assembly: GCF_000001405.40. Classification (NCBI taxonomy): domain Eukaryota; kingdom Metazoa; phylum Chordata; class Mammalia; order Primates; family Hominidae; genus Homo; species Homo sapiens. The sequence continues at coordinate 41,919,323 of NC_000022.11, forward strand.
TGAGAAGACCGTGACCGCGGATGCCACCCACAAGCCTCCAAGGCCTCATTCCTAAGCTAATTTCACTTCCATTTCCTCAATGATGCAGTTACCCAAGAAGCAGAGGCTCTTGGGGACTCTGGGCTCCCTGCTGGTGCAAATGCCGATACCAGGAGGGGTTCTGGAGGGAGGGCCCACGGCTGTCTTTGTCTCCCGCGAGGCAACTCTGACTCAGGCTCCAGCTGCCCGTGGGAGGGAGGGGGCGCCCGGGCTCCTGAGGTCGCCAGGGAGCGGCGGGACTGGGAGGCTCCAAAGCCCTCAGTGTACGTGCGAATCCGGAGCGGACACCGAGACCTTAGCGCGGGAACCAAGAGAGGACAGAGCTCCACGGAGGCCACAGCGCGTGCACGGGGACAGGTGCGCCCTCCCCGGCAGCCCCCCTGCTCCTCGGTCACAGTTCTGTGCGGAGGCGTCTTGCGCCCTCCCCCCTGAGCCTCGCCCTTGAGTCGGGGCCGTGGGCCGCATCCAGGCCCCCAGGGCTCGGGATGCGCGTGAGGACCCGGACTCCCGAGGGCGCAGAGGTCGGGAGCCCGAAGCAGGCGCCCTTGGCCTTGGTCCCGCCCCTTATCCGGTCCCAAGCTTTTTCCTCGCCCCTTGGCCTTGACTCCACCCCTTAGGCATGCCGCTGGCCCCGCCCCTTTCCGGCCACCTTGAGGCTTGGGGGTCCCTCAGCCCCGCCTCTCTTCTTGACCCCGCCCCTTGGCAGCACCCCCTACCCCCGCCCCACGTCCAAATCTCCCGGGGCCGGTGGTGGCCGGGGCTGACGGCGGAAGCCGCGCAGAGACTCGCTTGCCCCGAAGTCGCTGGATTCGGGCCTGGATCCCAGATTATCCGCAGCCTAGGGGAGTGGAGAGATGCCCAAGGTTCCTCTGGGTCCCGGGACCCCAGTAGCGTCCCTCCCCCCGTCCCCCACGCCAACCACTGAGCGCCCTTCGGAGTCCCGGGAGGAAAGCGTAGGGGCGGGGAACTCTGGCATCTCTCTCCTCCCGGTTGCTCCCCGACTCTGCCCCGCTATTCCGCTATTTGGGGCAGTCGTTTCTACCGCACCCCCATTCTCTCCCCACCCTCGGGTCATGAGGGCAGGACCAGGCCTGCTCACACCTCCCTGCTGGGGGCGTTCCCTGGCTCTAGCAGGGGTCCCTCTGTCCCTACATGCCACAGGACCTCTTCAATCTCCAAGGACAGCTAGGTGGGCCTCAAGAGCCCCATTTTGCAGATGGGAAGAGGGGCCCAGAGAGTTGAGGCCCAGTGAGATGCTACCAGCTTGCAGGGATAGTGCTGTGTTGAGCCATCCCTGCTGAAACGAAAGTGGGGGGTCAGGCCTTCCTCCCTGGCCTCACCAGCTGGGCCTCCACAACCCCTCCTGGAGCCCCCAGCCTCTGGCTACCAGGCAGGAAGTGAAAGGGGCCTGCAGGAAGCCCCAGGAGGAAGCGAGACTTCAGCCAGGCCTGCCCCCACCGGCCAGGGCCCTGGGGACCTGGTGGGAATCAGACCCTCCTTCAGGAAAAGCTGGCCCGAAACACAGGCTCAGAGAGAGGCCTTTTCCCTTCAGTTCCCACCCGCAAAACGGCGCTTCCAGAGTCTGTCTGGGATCCCTCTTATCAAAATGAGAGAACAGTTGGGGAGAAAATCTGAGTAGTGATGAAACCAGGGAGTGGGGCCTGGCATCAGTCCCCGAGTTCTCCGCTCCCAAGGAGGGGGTCCGGGCCAATGACATTCTGCTGGGCAGGCATGGCCGCCAAGCGCAGGAGCCCAGGGTTCGCCCAGCTCCACCACCCACCTGTTGTATCTTGGGCCGGATCCCATTACCTCACAGGGCCTCTCTTTTCCTATCTGCAAACTGGACCATATAATCCCTCCTCATGGATGTGAAATGGTCTAGATTTTCAGGAGAAAATTTGGACCAACAGGGACCTTTAAAAAGGTCAAGGCTGGGCCGGGCACGATGGCTCACGCCTGTAATCCCAGCACTTTGGGAGGCCGAGGTGGACGGATCATGAGGTCAGGAGATCGAGACCATCCTGGCTAATATGGTGAAACCCTGTCTCTACTAAAAATACAAAAAAATTAGCCAGGCGTGGTGGCGGGCGCCTGTAGTCCCAGCTACTCAGGAGGCTGAGGCAGGAGAATGGCGTGAACCCGGGAGGCAGAGTTTGCAGTGAGCCGAGATTGCACCACTGCACCCCAACCTGGGCGACAGAGCGAGACTCCGTCTCAAAAAAAAAAACAAAACAAAAAGGTCAAGGCTGGCTGGGCGCGGTGGCTCATGCCTGTAATCCCAGCACTTTGGGAGGCCAAGGCGGGCAGATCACCTGAGGTCGGGAGTTTGAGACCAGCCTGGCCAACATGGAGAAACCTCATCTCTACTAAAAGTACAAAATTAGCTGAGTGTGGTAGTGCATGCCTGTAATCCCAGCTACTCGGGAGGCTGAGGCAGGAGAATCGCTTGAACCTGGGAGGAGGAGCCTACGGTGAGCCGAGATTGCACCATTGCACTCCAGCCTGGGCAACAAGAGTGAAACTCCATCTCAAAAAAAAAAAAAAAAAGTCAAGGCCTTTGGCGCAACAACTGTGCTGGGAAACAGAGACTCCTGCACAGGCGCATGTGGCCTGTGCCGTCTTGGCCACAACAGCAAAAACCAAAGTATCCAAATGCCCAGGTGGAAAACCTTACCATGTTGAAAACTTTATTGTGGAGTCTCTAAAGAGAGAGAAACTTACCAAATATTAATATGATGGTCAAGACATGAATTTGTATGTATAGAATGATTACAATTATGTAGAAAAATACACCACACACTCGAGGCCTGGGGTTACTGGACACGGGTCATTTCTTCCCTGACTACATCATGGATTCCGGTCCAGAACTTCCAGATTGTCTACAAAATGCCTATCTTCATTTTTTTCACAAAAAAAAATTTAAACAAACACAAACACCCCACCCCCCTCCTCCAGGTGCTCTTATGAAGATCAAATGAGGTATTGATGTGACGGCTCTGGGTCTCAGTTTCCTCGTCTGTTAAATGCATATGAGAATTATCTAAGGTTCCTTCCTGCCCTTCTCTGGGGACCACAGGCCAGGAGGAGAACCTTGCATACAACCCCTCATTTTTCAGAAGAAAAAACTGAGAACTCAGGGGAAACTTCCTACCGGCTGGCGGGGCCAGCTGGGACAGAGAGATGCCCAAGGTTTGCATGTCTGAGCCCCAGAGGGGTTTCACCCACCCTCGGGGTTTTCACCTGCTGAGCTAACCCTGGCTGTAGCAAAAGATGGGGTGGGAGATGGGGGTGTCCAGGAGAAGATGGGGTGGGGGAGATGGGGTGGCCAGGAGAAGATGGGGTGGCCAGGAGAAGATGGGGTGGGAGATGGGGTGGCCAGGAGAAGATGGGGTGGGAGATGGGGTGTCAAGAGAAGATGGGGTGGGAGATGGGGTGGCCAGGAGAAGATGGGGTGGGAGCTGGGGTGGCCAGGAAAAGATGGGGTGGGGCAGATGGGGTGGCCAGGAGCAGCTCAGACTCCCCCAACTCCAGATGGAAGGGGAGTGGATGGCTGGGCCCATGTGGGCCTGACCCCACCAAACCTCTCCCACACCTACTGCTTGTCACTTGACCTCACCCTGTCACCTGGCTCCCTGGGGGCAGGGGCATCTGAGATGGGTTCATGGAGCAAATAGCCAGGCAGAGACCTGGATGTGAGTGGCCACTGTCTTCCAAGCTGGGCACACAACAGGTCCTTGGGACAGGAAGCACTGAGTCCAGAGGCCTGGCAAGGGACAGGAGGGGCAGGAGAAGCAGGGGTCTACAGGTGGCTCTGGTGGCAGCTCAGGGGGAGGCAGGCAGAAAACATCTGATGCACAGAACAGAACATGCCCAGGGCCCAAGAGTGGGAAAACAGCACCCAGAACTCCACCTTCTGACTCCTAGTCCAGTGCTCCCTTCCAAAGATGCTAAGCTGCAACAAGTTCCAAGGAAGCTGCCCAGGGCGAAGTCCAGGTCAGGAGGTTCTGACCCTGTGCAGGAGGGCAGGTAGGAGGCGGCTGACTGAGTGCACAGTGTCGTCCAGGAGTGGAAAGAGATGGTCTTGTCCCCAGACCCCAGAGCAAGGAACACCATTGTAAGAGGAGGGAGCAGCTTCCACTGTGACGGTGGGTGACCAGGGGGCTGGCACAGGATGGCCAAATAAGCCCAGCACTGGGGGGCCAGTGCTTCAGGGGAACAAGCCAGAGAGAGAAGGGAGTTCAAGGGACCTCATGTCCACCTGGTTCAAGGTCACACGCCTGCCCTGGCCTCTACACAAAGGAGCCTCCTGTAGGTCCCAGCCCTTCCATGTTTATGGCTAAATGTGCTGTGTCTTGGAGCAGCTGGAACCCCAGGTGGACCCTGAGAGAGCTACCTGCCAGCATGTTCCTTCAGCTCGAGTTTGGAGTCCAGCCCTGGAGGCTGCGCACCTCCTCCCAAATGCAGGCTTGTGGCTCTGGAAGCTGCCACTGGGGTCAAAATGGCATCTTAGGTTCTGGCAGATTGGGCCAATCTCAGGGTTGACCCTGGGGTACAGATACCTGAGAATCAGCAAAATCCAGCTCAATCTTTTCTCCTTTGTTATTTCTTAAAATAATCTTGTACTAAATCCCAAAGCAAGCGAACCCATGAATTGATTATTCACTGCTGCCATTTGCATCAGTTTAAAAGCAGGACGGCTCTGAGGGCAGGTATTAAAGAAATAGAGGCCAGGCCCGGCGCCTCCTGCCTATAATCCCAGCCCTTCGGGGAGGACTGCCTGAGGCCAGGAGTTTGAGACTGGCCTGGGCAACATACCGAGACCCTGTCTTTAAAAAAAAAAAAAGGCCAGCCACGGTGGCTCACGCCTGTAATCCTAGCACTTTGGGAGGCTGAGGCGGGCGGATCACGAGGTCAGGAGATCGAGACCATCCTGGCTAATACGGTGACACCCCGTCTCTACTAAAAATACAAAAAAAATTAGCCGGGCGTGATGGCGGGCGCCTATAGTCCCAGCTACTCAGGAGGCTCAGGCAGGAGAATGGTGTGAACCCAGGAGGCGGAGCTTGAAGTGAGCCGAAATTGCGTCACTGCACTCCAGCCTAGGCGACAGAGCGAGACTCTGTCTCAAAAAAAAAAAAAAAAAAAAAATTAGCTGGGCAAGGTGGAGCACCTGTAGTCCCACCTACTCAGGAGGCTGAAGCAGAAAGATTGCTTGAGCCCAGGCTGCAATTAGCTGGGGACCCATCGTTGCACTCCAGCCTGCGTGATACAGCAAGACCCTGTCTCAAAAAAAACCAAAACACAAAACAAGGCCGGGCATGGTGGCTCATGCCTGTAATCCCAGCACTTTGGGAGGCCGAGCAGGGCGGATCACGAGGTCAGGAGATCGAGACCATCCTGGCCAACATGGTGAAATCCCGTCTCTACTAAAAATACAAAAATTAGCTGGCTGTGGTGGTGCGTGCCTGTAATCCCAGCTATTCGGGAGGCTGAGGCAGGAGAATCACTTGAACCAAGGAGTCGGAGGTTACAGTGAGGCGAGATCGCGCCACTGTACTCCAGCCTGGCGACAGAGCAAGACTCGTCTCAAAAAAAAAAAAAAAAAAAAAAAAAAAAAATCAAACAAACACAAAAAACCACCCAACTACAAATTAGGCATCCTCCCACTTGGTCTTTTTTCAGATTCATTTTGGCTTAATGGTGCCTTCCCCATTTTAAAAGCGGTCTTTTACTCATAGTGCCCCAGCCTTTTGAAGGCACAGGAACAGGAGCTGGGCTACCACCTTCAAGGGCTGTCAAAGATGGTGAGGTCTGAAGCCAAAGGCAAGCACACCAAACTCCATGGGGGCTGAATGCTGTGGTCTGTAGTGTCTGTGCTTCTGCAGAGTTAGCCTGGTCCCAGAAAGAGGGCATGTGCATGCTGGAGTGAAGAGCTGAATTTGATTTCCAAGCCCCTGGCTGGGGGTCCAGAGGGAGGGCAGGGGCCACCTCCTGCCGGCTCCCTGCTATTGTTGCTCAGGGCCGGCCGTCTTGGTGGTCACCAGTTCAGTGGAGCCCAGCTCTGTGGCTGGCACAGGGACACTGTGGCCAGGTGGGGTGGTTCCTGGGTCTTCCCCAGGAGGAGGCCAGGCAGGAGCTGTGGCATCAGAGATTCCCGGAGACAGAATGATGACCTTGTCCAGGGGCTCTGGGGCTGCAGGCAGAGGGGGTAGAGGCTCCGTACTCAGTCACAGCCTTCCCTCCCTCCCCTAGAAGACTCCTCTGGAGGGGCAGTCCTCCGTCAAATGAAGCCCAATGCAGGGTGGGGAGGGGTGGCACCTGGCTGACCCTGAGTCCAGAGGCCTGGCCAGTGGGGAGCTGGCAGGGCAGGGAGTTGGGGAGCTGGGGCTCAGTCTGGCAAACTCTTCAGGGATTTATGGGGGAACCAAGCTCCGTTAGACTCCCAAAGGGCAGGACAGACTCCTCCCTCAGACGGGGCCCCCTTCCTGCAACCTGTCTCTTCCTCACACTGGGGTCTGTCAGGGCAGAGCTGTTCCTGGCTCCGACCAGGGTCTCAGGGGCAGGACTATGTCTCCCTCCCCAGCCTGAGCTCCTCAGCGCAAACTCTTTTCCACTCTGTCTCCGTTTCCCCTTAAAGCCCTTCTCTCCCCCTCAGGGGCCATGCATCTCCCCCTAGACCGTCCCGACACCCCAGCCCCTGCGCCCCGCTCAGACTGGTTCCCCTACACACGGAACTCACCGTCCTTGTCTCCGTCGGGGGCCTCTGCGGAGGACGCGCCGCGAAGCCGCCGCTGTCGCCGCCTCCAGCTCACCAGACCCACCAGGACCAGCGCCAGGACCAGTGCCAGGCCCAGCAGCGCGGGGGCGCCAAAGAGCAGCCCGGGCAGGGGCAGCGCCGCCTCGCCGGCCCCCGCGCCCACCGACTCCTGCGGCTGCAGCGCCGTCCTGGGCGCAGGGCTGCTGGCCCCGGCTGCTTCGGGAGGGGACAGGGAGGGAGGCCAGGGGGCCGAGGGGAGGGAGGAGCGGGGACGGGGAGGGGCGGAGGGGGGCGAGGCTGGCCGGGGAGGGGAGGGACAGCCGGGGGGCGGTGGACAAGGGGAGGGAGAGAGGCGGCGGTGAGGGCCACGCGGTGATCGCGGGCCCCTCCAGGCCCTGCCCACAGGGTCCTTTCAGCCCTCGGCGCCCCCGGGGGTCGGGGCTCTGCCTGCGCCCTGGCGATCGGGGCCCCGTTCTCCCCGCAGCTGCCGGCGCCGCGCGCCCCGTGGGTCCCCCTTACCCGGTTTCGGCCGCGGCGTGCGCAGGAGCCCGCAGGCCACGCAGTGGCGGACCAGCAGGTCGAAGCACTCGGCCGGGACGCAGGGCGTGGGGGCTGGCGCGTCCCTGCCCCGCAGGCTCCGGGGCCCTCGCCTCATGGTGCCGACGCCGCCGCACAAGCTGCGGGGACTGAGGCTGAGCTGGGCTCCGGGGCCCTCGGGGAGGAAGCGGGGGGCGGGGGGAGCACTCTGCCCTGCCCCGCCCCCGCCTGCTGGGTGGGACCGAGCTCGCCTGGGGCCCCCCTTTCTTTTCTTTTTTTTTTTTTGAGACGGAGTCTCGCTCTGTCGCCCAGGCTGGAGTGCAATGGCGCTATCTCGGCTCACTGCAAGCTCTGCCTCCCGGGTTCAAACAATTCTCTGCCTCAGCCTCCCGAGTAGCTGAGATTGTAGGCGCCCACTGCCACGCCCGGCTAATTTTTGTATTTTTAGTAGAGACGGGGTTTCACCATCTTGGTCAGACTGGTTTTGAACTCCTGACCTCGTGATCCACCTGCCTCGGCCTCCCAAAGTGCTAGGATTACAGGCGTGAGCCACCGCACCCGGCCTGGCCTCTCTTTCTACCTGTGGTTCCCCAATTCAGCCCCTCAACCAGCACCGCCTGGGTGGGCCCTCTGCTGGGTGCTGGGAGGTGTCTGGGGGCAGACCAGAGCCTCCTCTTGGGTAGGGAGGGGGATGGACCCCGCAGCCAGGACACAGACCCTGAGTGGTTCCTCTGCTCCGTCTAGCCAAAGCCTCTCCATGACCCCGAGTGCTCCCCTGCCATCTCCCCCAACCCACCTGTCTCCTCCTCTCTTCCTGCCCTTCCTGGACAGAGCTGGTTGGGGATATCAGACACCTGCTTTTTTTTTTTTTTTTTTTGAAAAAGAGTCTGGCTCTGTGCAGTGGTGCAATCTCGGCTCACTGCAACCTCTGCCTCCCAGATTCAAGCGATTCTCCTGCCTCAGCCTCCCGAGTAACTGGGATTACAGGCATGCACCACCATGCCCGGCTAATTTTTGTATTTTTAGTAGAGGTGGGGTTTCACCATTTGGCCAGGCTGGTCTCGAACTCCTGACCTCAGGTGATCCGCCCTCCTCGGCCTCCCAAAGTGCTGGGATTATAGGTGTGAAGCCACAGTGCCCAGCCTGACATCAGACACTTGTACCAGGCCCAAGTAGCATGTGGGTCTGCCCTGAGGGAATCTCACACTTGTGCTGATGGGGGAAGACAGCCTCGCAGCAAGGGCACCAGCTCACGTCATCCTGGAAGGTGGGCCGGAAGGCTTCATGGAGAGGGCGATGGTGAAGTGTTTGCCAGATGGACTGAGGTCTAGGGAGCAGATGGGGGTGAAGGCCAAAGGGGAGCAAAGGCTTGGAGGCCCAAACAGGAAGTCCAGGGAGTGCTGGGACCGAAAGGCTGGACTGGGGCCTTATCTAGCACATTAGGGAGCTTGGACTGTGGCTGGGGGACACGAGGGAGCCACTGGGGCTTTGTGCAGGGAGGACCCAGGAAGATCTGCCTATGAGTGAGGGAACTGTGACTGCAGTGGAGGGAAGCCCGCCCACACCTGCTCCTTTTCTCCAGGGCTATGTGTCCTCTCCTGCTCACCTCTGTGTCTCACTGCGGGCCCCTCCTGTCTATCTCTGCTCCCCAGTGTTTGGGGTCCCCAACTGTCTGTCACCCGTGTCTCTCTCAGACTGCGTCTCAGAAACACACACAAGCCCCTCCGCCCTCCTGGTCACATGCTACCCCCTCCCCAGGGCCAGGGCTGGAGGGAACTCTGGGAGCTCAGGGCTCAGCAGAGAGCATGGGGTTAAATGCCACACATGCCACCCAGACCCCTAAGCACTCAGGGCTGGGGAAGCACAGTGAGAGGAGAAACTCAGGGGCTGGGGAGGGAGCCTGGGGGCAGAGGGAGACCCTGAGCAGCAGCGAGGGGGAGGCAAACACTCCAGGCGGAGGGCTGCAGGGGCTAAGGCTTGGAGAGATGAAAGGGGAGCCTGAGCTGCTCTGGGGGCAGGCATGGCCACTGCCACAGGGGATGCTGGGAGGGAGGAGGGAGCATCCGGGCTGCGGATGGGCAGGGCACCAGTCCCGGGGCAGTACAGAACCTGGGGGTGTCTGGGTAGGAGGGAGATTCTGAGCTGTACCTGCAAGGGTCCCTCTCTCTGGCACTGTGGCCCACGTCCAGGGCAGGTGGCCCAGGGCAGGGGATGATGCAGCGGCTGGCCATGGAGTGAGGGGAGCAAGGCCGACCCCCAGGTTTCCAGCTTGGGAGACCCTGAAGGTTCACAAAGAACCCCAGTCAGCCAGCCCTGACTGGTGGGCGCTGGCCCACCCTCTCCATCCCCTGTACATGGGCCAGCAGCTCCCAGGCAGGAAGGTGTGGGCGGAGGGGAGCTGCAAAGGAGAAGTGGGGCTGGGGGCAGGTGTGGGTGAGCGTGGGTGTATGGTGATGTGGGGGTGGGGGCAGGTGTGGGTGAGCGTGGGTGTACGGTACAGGGATGGGGGACAGGACCCTGGAGGGGAGCCAGGGCAGGGAAGGCCTCTCTGTGAGGCAGAGAGGTGGGGACAAAGCCAGAAGACTGAGCCATAACCCTGCCACCCACATACACGTCCATCCATGTTGGTGCTGGTATTACCCATTAGTGAGGGCTGCAGAGGCCTGACTGAGTACCAGGCAGCTCATTTAGCCCTTGTGCCAGCCATGTGGGCAGACTGAGGCTTGTGGGAACCCAGGAACGGGGAACCTGTCCCTGGAGAGGGTGGCCCAGTGAGGCCAGAGTCGGGAGAATTTACAGGAGTTAGGAGGAGGGGGTCCGCCTGCCCCAGGTCTGCGTTTCACAGCAGAAGCACTGGCTGCTCTGACCCCCAGCAGAGACTCGAGGAGACTGCTCTCAAGGCCAGAGAGAGTGGGAGGGCTGGAGCCCACTGTCAGAGTTCCAGGGTCCCTTACCTTGGCCAGAGAGGGAGGCCAGCTGCTAAGAGCAGCAGACACAAATGAGACACCCACTCATGTGACACAAATGTTTGCTGGGCGCTCCCTATGTGCTGGGCCAGGTGCCGGGACAAAAGGCCTGCGGGATTCGTGTCTGTGTTGTGTGCAGGTGCCTGGCCTCACATGAACCTTTCCACTTGGGCCTCCTAAATGGGGTGGGGGTGGGGGGCTGCAGCAGGCCCTGTGTCGCTACTTGGATGACAAAACAGTTAAGAAGAATTCACAATCAGACCAATGTGGGGAATGTTAGTTTACTCCTCAATGTATTCTTATTTCCCCGTGGCTTTTTTTTTTTTTTTTTTTTTTTTTTGAGACGGAGTCTCTCTCTGTCGCCCAGGCTGGAGTGCAGTGGCGCAATCTCCGCTCACTGCAAGCTCCGCCTCCCAGGTTCACGCCATTCTCCTGCCTCAGCCTCCCGAGTAGCTGGGACTACAGGCGCCCGCCACCATGCCCGGCAAATTTTTTGTATTTTTAGTAGAGACGGGGTTTCACCGTTAGCCAGGATGGTCTTGATCTCCTCACCTCGAGATCTGCCCGCCTCGCCCTCCCAAAGTGATGGGATTACAGACGTGAGCCACCGCGTCCCTTTTTTTTTTGAGACGGAGTCTGGCTCTGTCACCCAGGCTGGAGTGCAGTGGCGTGATCTCGGCTCACTGCAGCCTCTGCCTCCTGGGTTCAAGCCATTCTCCTGCCTCAGCCTCCCACGTAGCTGGGACTACAGGCACGGGCCACCATGCCTGGCTAAATTTTTTTGTATTTTTAGTAGAAATGGGGTTTCACCATGCTAGCCAGGCTGGTCTTGAACTCCTGACCTCAAGTGATCCACCCACCTTGGCCAACACGCCTGGCCTAATTTCTTTTCTTTTTTTTTGAGATGGAGTTTCACTCTTATCGCCCAGGCTGGAATACAGCAGTGCGATAAGCAACACCCAACTCAGCTCACTGCAACACCCAACTCCCAGGTTCAAGCGATTCTCCTGCCTCAGCCTCCTGAGTACGTGGGATTACAGGCACCTGCCACCAGGCCCGGCTAATTTTTTGTATTTTTAGGAGAGGTGGGGTTTCGCCATGTTGGGGAGGCTAGTCTCAAACTCCTGACCTCAGGTGATCTGCCCACTTTGGCCTCCCAAAGTGCTGGGATTACAGGCATGAGCCACCACTCCTGGCCTAATTTCTTTATTCAAGTCTTTTTTTTTTTTTTTTGAGATGGAGTCTCGCTCTGTTGCCCAGGCTGGAATGCAATGGCACGATCTTGGCTCACTGCAACCTCCACCTCCTGGGTTCAAGCGATTCTCGTGCCTCAGCCACCCCAGTAGCTCGGATAACAGGCACGTGCCACCATGCCCAGCTAACTTTTGCATTTTAGTAGAGACGGGGCTTCACCATGTTGGCCAGGCTGGTCTCGAACTCCTGGTCTCAAGCGACCTGCGCGCCTCGGCCTCCCAAAGTGCTGGGATTACAGGCGTGAGCCACTGCACCCGGCCACCATGCTCTACTTTTAATTCACTGAATACTCTTTTTAAAAAGATAATTTGGGCCTGGTGTGGTGGCTCATGCCTGTAATCCCAACACTTTGGGAGACCGAGGCGGGTGGATCACCAGAAGTCAGGAGTTTGAGACCAGCCTGGCCAACATGGTGAAACCCTCTCTCTATAAGAAATTTAAAAAAAAAAAAAAATTAGCCGGGTGTCGTAGCTGGCGCCTGTAATCCCAGCTACTTGGGAGGCTGAGGCAGGAAGAATTGTTTGAACCCGGAAGCCAGAGGTTACAGTGAGCTGAGGTCGTGCCACTGCACTCCAGCCTGGCTGACAGAGCGAGACCCCATCTCAGAAAAAAAAAAAATAATAATAAAATAACAAGATAGTTTGGGGTCTTCAGAGAGAAGGGGGTTTCTGTCGATTTTTGTGCCCCAATTCTCCTGAAGACACCCTCACAAGGATCTGATGCAGGTACTATTAGGACATTTTCCAGATGAGAAAACAGAGGCTTTAAGGGGCAAGGGCCCTCTCAAGATGAGCCAGCAGATGGGAGGGGCCTGCAGGGGGTCTGTGTCCACCTGACTGTGAAGCGTGGCCTGGGCCCTACATGCTTCAGGGACGGGGTTGGGGAAAGTGAGAGCACTCTGGGGATGGGACAAGCACAGTGTCATGGGGAGCAGTCCTTGGGGACAGAGAGGCCCAGTCCCCCAGATCTGGATGTGAAACTGCTCTGGGGCCTGGGATGCACTCTGTACTTCAAAATCAGTTTTCGTTGTAATTATGCAGTAGTACCTGAACACGTGCTCAGGAAAAACCTGCAAACAATACAGAAGTCTATGAGTGACAAAGGGCGTTTCCCCACGGTCCCCAGAGGGAGTCTCTGTTTTCCCTTGGGAGCCTTTCTTCACTGCCTGGTTCTGTGCCTTTGCCCCCTCGTGTAGGTGTACACACAAACAGCTTTTCCCGTGTTCCAGGAATGGGGTCAGCAGTGGAGATGGCTCTGCTGGCTGGGTTGGGCCTGCAGGGCTTCGAGTCAGCTCTCTTGGCTCCATTTTGTCTCATGACAGCGCCAGGACCACCCCTTGTGGTTATTTCCTTTCCCTTCTCCTGTATTTAAAAGCCCCCACAAACAAGTACAATGCTACAGAGTACCTCTTGCTGGGGCCAGGGGAAAGGATGCAGTGCCGTGGGCCTCGGTTCATTGGGAGAGGGCAGAGTGGCCACGGAATCAGCACAAAGTCCTGGCGAGTCCAGAGCAGTGTGACCCAGAGGCAGAGGCCTGGGAGTCCCCAGATCCCGTTCCTCCCCGAACCCACACCAGGGGAGGGCAGGTCACGCCCTTCCATGAAGCAGTCACAAATCCTTGCCTGGGTCTTCATGGGCTGGAGCTGCCTGTCATCCAGCCCGCCACTCCATGCACACGTGCGCACACACGCGCGCTCCTGCACTCCACAGGGTCTGGCCAGGGCACCCCAGCCACTCTCAGCATGGCCCCGGGATAGAGGACATGGGCCCTCCATGTGAGACTAGAGGGCAGACCACAGCCCTTTAGCCACAGGGAGCAAAGCCCCCACCTCTTGGGGGCCAGGTGTGTGAAGTAGAGGGAGGCTGTAAGGCCAGGGTAGGCAAGGGGGAGAGGAACGGGGGCCCCCAGGGCCAACCTCCCAGGCCTTATTCAGGGTACCACGCAGGAAGGCCCTTGTGAACGCAGAGGCCGACCCCTGCGCGGATGCCTCCCCGTCACTCGCCACTCACTCACTTAGCACCTACCAGGCACCAGGAGCTGTTTTGGGTTCTGGGGAAATAGCAGGGAAGCAGAGAGGAAACCCAAATGGGACACAACGTAGTGGGTGGGGAGGTAAGGAGTGCTGGGGAGAAAAAGTCAGAAGGGCAGGGTGCTCGAGGGTTATGGGTGCAATTTCAAACAGGGGAGTCAGAGAAGGCCTGGTGGATGGTGACCTCGGAACAGAGGACAGGGTGGAGCGATCCCCAAGGATGTCTGGGGGAAGCAGAGAAGGCCCAGTGACCAGGAAAAGGGCTGTGCGCAAAGCATCTCCCTACCCGGCCGTCTCCTCCCTCAGCCCTGTGTGGGGCTAGCACGACTGGTCCCACTTTACAAAGAGGGAAAGCAGGCTAGAGTAAAGGGGCCCGCCAGGCAGCCCCTGAGCCTGCCACACTACACACATCAGTGGGGTCCTCTTCCCGTGTGCGGACAGCGGCAGGGAGAGGGGGTGGGGGTGGGGGTGAGGCCCAGGGGTCTGTGTCCTCACAGGGAGGCTGGCCAAGCATATTGGAGGAGGAGGGCTGGGGGACCCCTTGGGCCTGGCCAGCTCGCAGGGGCCCCAAGTTCGGCTGGCATACCCTTTGATGGAAGAGGGCGGTCCAGGGAAGGCTGCCTCCTGTGCAGGTCCGGGGCTCTGGGAAGTACCTACCCACTCTCCCCAGGGAGCTGCCCTCAGCAGCCCCCAGTCCACAGCATCCCATACTCAGGTGGGACCCGCAGACTTAGGGTACACAGCCTGGCAGCCCACCCCACTGTCTCCCTCAGCCCCCAAGTGTGAGACATTCTTTCACAGAGACTCTCTGCCTGTGTCCTTCTGACCCCAGGGTACACTGGAGGGGAGGGGCTAAGCCAACAGAACCTTCCAGAAAACGTCCCTTTGTGCTCGAGCCCTGCCAGCAGGCCTGGCCCAGCACCCCTGATGCGTGTGGGTTGGGGGCAACTGTAACAGGGCCTTGTCTCAAGAACCCCACGGCTCTCCTCGCCCACCAGCCTGCCAGCCCGTACCGAGCCACTGTCTGTAGAGGGTGGAAGGGCTGGCATGGAGTCAGGCTCTTCAGTTTCTCTCCAAGCCTCACAAGACCTGAAAAGGGGGGCAGGCAGTGGGGCTTGGAGAGGGAAGTGGGCTGCCCCAAGTCACACTGCAGATCAGCCACAGACCCCAAGTCGGTGGGACTCGGAGGCTGCTCCTGTTCCCACTGCACCACTTCCCCTCTGCAGCTGGGCTGCTCCTGCCTCTGCTCACCGGGGGTGCAGGAGACACGGGGCCCAGGCTGCAGAGCCCCTCCTTGCTAGGAAGGTCCTGCCTCCTTGGTAGGGATGGGAAACACCATCAGATTGAGGCCAGGACACTCGGGCCTGGACCACTGGCCATGGAGAACGTGAACTCCCTGGGGTCCCAAGGACTGCTCACAGCCAGGTGGAATGAGGGGGACAAATGAGTGTGTGACTCCGAGTAAGCTCTACTCCTCTAAGAGTGGGGCCCAAACACCACCTTCCTTCCAGCTTATAAGAGCACGGACGGGGCAGCTTCCAGGCCCAGCTGAAGAGGCGCCGCTTCCAGTAGCCTTCGCCCCCCCATTCCCAGCCTGTAGGCCTAGGGGGTTCTTGCCCGCCTTCAACATCCTGCAATGACCACGTCATGACCATGGCCACCCTGAGGCATCTGACATTTGTTTAAAGCTTTATGTTCAAAATAATGGGCTTGAGGCCAGCAATTTGAGACCAGCCTGGGCAGCATAGCAAGACCCCATCTCTAAATAAATACATAAAATAGTGGCTTCTTCATTGCCAGTCCTCAACTAGCTAGGAAGAAAGGCATCGGTTAGCCTGGCGCCACGCTACAGCTGAGGAACTGAGGCTTGCCGAGGGTGAGTGACCTGCCTGAGGTCACGCCACCAAGCAAGCAGCCAAGCCCAGCCTCTCCCATCTCCCTCCACCTTACCTCAGTACCAAGCCCCAATTCCGGCACACACTGATCTTCCATTACTTCCCTCAGCCAAACTGTCTCCTGGACAATGTCACTGGGTCTCCAGATGGCGTGAAGCAACCCCACTCTCTGGCCACCCATCCCCCGCCTTCCAGGGACAGCAGGTCTGAGGGCACCTGCCTGCCATTTAAGTGTGGCTCAGCTCTGCTGTGAGGCAGGGGCAGGCCAGCCCCCAACTCTAGAGGGGAGGCCTCCTGGTTCCAGGGCCCCTGCCAAGCTCAGCTGGGAGCTGGCGGCAGTGACAGCACTGTGTTCCCCAGTGCTTGGAAGGTTCCCAGACTCTTGGCTGGAGAATGCGATGCCACTTCTCTTGTTAAATGGTACCAGGTGGCAAGGAAAATGTGGCACAGGGACCTGAGAGAGGTGCCCCATGCGGGCATGGGGGGGAGGGGGTGTGGGGGAAGGCCTCTCCTCCTGGTCGCCAGCAAAAAGTGACATCCCAGATCAGGCAGGCTGCATCCACACCGCCTTCCTCCCCTGCTTGGACACCCATTCCATCAGCCCCGCCAAAGACCTACTCTACCCTCCAGTTACCCTGCAAAGACACGCATTCTGGCCAAGGACAGAAGGGCCAAAGACAAGGTCACTCTCTGGGAAGGCTGGCCTTCCGGGCTCTGCTGCTACTGCCCATCCCTTCAGGGACCAAAGTGAAGGTTCACCTCCAGCCTCTTCCTTCTGCCCTGGAGCCTCCCCTCCTCAAGCAGAGGCTGGCTTCCCCGACCAAGTGCCCGAGGGGCTTTTTGCTGCGGGCGAAGGCCTGCTCAGGCCCAGAGCCTGCACCACTCTGCTCCCACGCTAAGGGCCTCTGCCCTCGGGCCTATCCTGCCACCCCCTGCCCTCTCGCGATGCTGTGTTCTAGTGGTCCCATCCTGAGGCAGGAACCATGGCTTGCAGACTGCTGCTTTCTGGAGCACACGGGCTGTCTCCACCTTCTGTATTCCAGCTCAGGGCCTGGCCAGTGGAGATGCCCAAATCTTTTTTTTTTTTTTTTGAGATGGAGTCTCTCTGTCACCCAGGCTGGAGTGCAGTGGTGCAATCTCAGCTCACTGCAACCTCTGCCTCCTGGTTTCAAGTGATTCTCCTGCCTCAGCCTCCCAAGTAGCTGGGATTACAGGCGCATGGCACCATGCTCGGCTAATTTTGTATTTTTAGTAAAGGCGGGGTTTCACCGTGTTACTCAGGCTGGTCTCGAACTCCTGACCTCAAGTGATCTGCCCACCGTGGCCTCCCAAAGTGTTGGGATTACAGGCGTGAGCCACTGCGCCTGGCCTCCAAACCTTTCTTCAAGGATTAGGCAGGCACACAGAAAAACTGGAGAGAAGCAGAGTGGGGCTGGCTCTGCTGCCAGTTAGCTGTGTGACTGTGACACACCTCCCATGACAACGGTCTGTTTCATGAACTGTGAATTGGGGAAACATCATCTACCTCACAGGTCTGCTGTGTGAGAAGAGCTCTGTGAAGCATGACGTGCCTGCAAATGTCGGGTGACATGTGGGGCCTCGACCGGAATCTACGTGGCTGAAGTCCTCAGCGGAGCCCAAGGGACTGCCAGGAAGTCAGCCAGGTGTCTACAAACCCTTACTGAGCACTAGGGGTGGGGCCTGAGCTAAGTTCCAGAAGGAACCTACAGAAAGGGGCAGATAGGGCCGCATCCCCGACACCTACAAGGAGTTAGAAGGCGGCCCACCCCTCAGTGAAGGGCATGGGCCCAGCTGCGATGGTGACATCAAAGCAGAGAGGCCTTAGGCCGGCCGCGGTGACTCTCACACCTGTAATCCCAGCACTTTGGGAGGCCAAGGGTGGCAGATCACGTGAGGTCAGGAGTTTGAGACCAGCCTGGCCAACATGGCGAAACCTGTGTCTACTAAAAATACAAAAATTAGCTGGGCATGGTGGCGTGCACCTGTAATCTCAGCTGCTCGGGAGGCTGAGGCAGGAGAATCACTTGAACCAGGGAGCAGAGGCTGCAGTGAGTTGAGATCACGCCACTGCACTCCAGCCTGGGCGACAGAGCAAGACTCCACACCCCACCAACCAAAAAAAAAGAAAAAAGCAGACAGGCCCCGAGGTGCTGGTGCAGTGCTGCCCAGGGCTTCAACTGGGGTCCATCCTGAGGCCTGAGGCTGGTGGGCATGCCCTGGCACATGCAGGGTGAATGTGGGGAGGGCACTGTCATGTTCCAAGGGAGTCAGGACCTGGCTCTCTATGGGATTTCTAGAGTCCACTTCTGATGCCTCTACAATCTCCAATTAGACCCAAGGGAGAAGGAAAGCAACTGGCACTGTACAATCTCTCGCCATCAACCCCAAAATGAGACCTCCAGCCAGCTTTTCTCACTTCTTGCAAACTTCTGACAGTGGTGTAATTCCTAATTTGCACCAGTTTTTGAACTCCGCTGTGTGATTTCTTTTTTGGAGATAGAGTCTCGCTCCGCTGCCTGGGCTGAAGTGCAGTGGTACGATCTCAGCTCACTGCAACCTCCGCCTCCTGGGTTCAAGCAATTTTCCTGCCTCAGCCTCCCAAGTAGCTGGGACTATAGGCACAGACTGCCATGCCCGGCTAATTTTCTGTATTTTAGTGGAGACGGGGTTTCACCGTGTTGCCAGGCCAGCCACAAACTCCTGAGCTCAGGCAATCCGCCCGCCTCGGCTTTCCATGTGATTTCAAATAGTTACTGTTCACTGAGTGCCTACCTAGCAAGGTGCAAGGCATTAACACATGTTATGAACACAGCAACCTACTCGCAGGCATGGGGGGTCACACAGTCCCAGGCATGTCCATCGTCTCATTCAATCCTCCCAACGTGACAAGGTGAGCAGAACCTCATCTCCATTCACATCTGAGAAAACAAGCTCCAAGAGGCAACAACCAGGTTCTATAATAGCAGGGCCAGGATGTGGAGTCTGACTGGCATAACGAGTCCAAGCTCCCCTTACCCCGCCCCACTCCTTTTTTTTTCTTTGAGACAGAGTCTCGCTCTGTCGCCCAGGCTGGAGTGCAGTGGCGCGATCTCAGCTTACTGCAAGCTCCGCCTCCCAGGTTCATGCCGGTCTTCTGCCTCAGCCTCCCAAGTAGCTAGGACTACAGATGCCCGCCACCATGCCTGGCTAATTTGTTTGTATTTTTAGTAGAGGCAGAGTTTCACTGTTAGCCAGGATGGTCTCGATCTCCTGACCTTGTGATCTGCCCGCCTCGGCCTCCCAAAGTGCTGGAATTATAGGTGGGAACCACCGCGCCCAGCATTTTTTTTTTTTTTTTTTGAGACGGAGTCTCGCTCTGTTGCCCAGGCTGGAGTGCAGTGGTGTAATCTCGGTTCAACACCACCTCCGCCTCCCAGGTTCAAGTGATTCTCCTGCTTCAGCCTCCCGAGTAGTTGAGACTACAGGCCTGCATCACCATGCCTGGCTAATTTTTGTATTTTTAGTAGAGACAGGGTTTCACTATGTTGGCCAGGCTGGTCTCGCTTTTTTTTTTTTTTTTTTTTGAGGTGGAGTCTCACTGTGTTGCCCAGGCTGGAGTGCAGTGGCACAGTCTCAGCTCACTGCAACCTCCGCCTCCCGGGTTCAAGTGATTCTCCTGCCTCAGCCTCCTGAGTAGCTGGGACTACAGGCGCCCACCACCACATCTGGCTAATTTTTGTATTTTTGTAGAGACAGGGATACACCATGTTGGCCAGGATGGTCTCGAATTCCTGACTTCAAGTGATCCACCCACCTCGGCCTCCCAAAGTGCTGGGATTACAGGCGTGAGCCTCTGCACCTGGCCCACCCTGCCCTACTCTTAATTGTTCTGAGTCAGTTTCCTCATCTACAAAGTCAAAGTGGTGAATGAGACCAGTGATTTTTAAACTTTTTTTAGCCACAGACCTTTTGTTCAAAGGAAACCTTAAATGGAGATGTAACACGCCAGCTGCTTAAAGACACAGGCTCTGCAAGAGTGAGTGTGGGAGTGGGAGGGGGCTACAGTCTCGCCAGCTGGGCCCCCTCGCTGCTTCTGCCCAGCTCTCCCTGCTGCAGCACTGGCACTGCAGGGAACCTTCCCAGCCACGGCGGGCTGAGCCTGGGCCTGTCAAGCCCTGACTGGACATCCTCAACAGAGAATGTTTATGGAGTCAGCACGAAGCCATGAGAAGGGGCAGCCCAGGGGCCAGCCACCCTCACAGGTCCTCCAGGGAGGGGCCCTCAGAGCTTCTCAGCAGGGACAGCAGGTTCAGAGCTGAGACACCGGGCACGTGGCCAGCACAGATCTGCAGCACGCGCACCAGGCGCTGCGCCATGGTGGCCCTAAAGCCTTCCACCTGCGGGGAGAGCAGAGAACAGCAGTGAGATAGAATGCTGGCCCTGCTCCCTTACCCAGAGCAGCTGCAGGGGCTGCCAGAGCAGGGCTGGGGGCGGATACTTGGGGGTAGCTCAGGTCACCACTGCCCACCACAGCCACGCCCTCATTCATGCCACACCTCAGAGTAGCTTCCAACTGCCTCAGCTTGCCCAATCCTTCAAACAACCTCCGGAGACATCCAGAGCCTGACCTCCTGCTCAAGAGGAAATGAAGGCTTAACAAGGCTGGCTAGGTCGAACAAACTGTCTAGGGTCACCCAGCTAGTGACTCCAGAGCTGAGCTCTGAATCAGGGCTACTTCCAACCAATGCCCAGGCAGCTCGGGCCCCAGATGCTCAAGACCAGGGAGCAGAAGATACAGGGATAGGAAGGAGGGAGGGGCAGCGGGTGGCCCTCACCACAGATAAGAAGGTGCCATCAAAAAGGAATGGGCCCAGGGGAGCTGTGGGGCCAGAGAGGGACAAGACTGCTCTAGGCCCGGGCACAGATGTTCTAGACACGTCCGCTGGAAGAACACGATGCTGCCCAGTGTCTGTCTCAAAAAAGAAAGAAAAAGAAAGAAAAAGAAAGAAAAAGAAAGAAAAAGAAAGAAAGAAAGAAAGAAAAAGAAAGAAAGAAAGAAAGAAAGAAAGAAAGAAAGAAAAAGAAAGAAAGAAAGAAAGAAAGAAAGAGCCTCCAGACCTGTCTCTCTATTTCTGCCCTAGTTTCCCTTCAGTCCACTCTCCTCCCGGCAGCCAGAGGGGTCCATTTAAAACCCAAGTCAGGCCACATCCCTCCCTGGCCCCAAGCCCTCCAGCAGCTCCCCACCAGGCTCCACTGATCCAGCCCCACCATTCCTGATTTCTCCACCCCAACCCGCCCTTTGCTATTGTGCTGCAGCCACCCAGGCCTGCCTGCCAGACCTTGAGCACACCAGGCAAGTCCCACACTCGGCCCATGCACTTGCTGTTCCTCCTTCCACGAGGTATCTCCGTGGCCTGCCTGCCTACTTCCTTCAGGTCTTTATTTATTTAGAAGTCCTGTTTGCAGGGGCGTTCCCTGGTTACCCTGCCTAACTCTTGCCTGTTTACCACCACCTGACACGCCACGCCTCCACTTTCCAGCACGTCATTTACCCCATTTGTTTCCTTGACTAGAACAAAGCTGGGGCTTTTTTTGTTTTGTTTTGAGACAGAGTCTCGCTTTGTCACCCAGGCTGGAGTGCAGTGGCACCATCTTGGCTCACTGCAATCTCTGCCTCCCAGGTTCAAGCGATTCTTGTGCTTCAGCCCCCTGAGTAGCTGGGATTACAGGTGTGTGCCACCATGCCCAGCTAATTTCTGTATTTTTAGTAAAGACTGGGTTTCACCATGTTGGCCAGGCTGGTCTCAAACTCCTGACCTCAGGTGATCCTTCCACCTCGGCCTCCCTAGGATTACAGGTGTGAGCTACCGTGCCCAGCAGGAAGCTGGGGTTTTTGACTCTTTTGTTCTGTGCTGTGTCCCTGGAGCCTAGAACAGTGGTCGGTACCACAGAAACTCAGGAAGTATTTTTTTAATAAGTCCTCTAAGTTTGGTGGCCTTTGTTCCTGAAATCTATCTCTAGGCTGCTGAGGCTTGGGTTCCACAACCTGCCTCCTGCAGCAGCCTCGACCCAGCCTCCTGCCTCTGGCCAGGCTTCCTCCAATCCACATCACTCCAGAGACGTGACCCAAATGCCCAGGTCTGACCACAATCATGACTTTGCTCATGACATCCAAGAAGAAATGACCTAATTCTACCACCAGGCTCCCAGAGCTCAGCAAATCCTTCTGCTGTTGCTTATGTTACATGTCTGCTTATTTCATGAGATTCTGAGAGGGCAGGGCCAATATCTGACTCATTTGTGTTCCCAGGGCCCAGCACAGAGCCCTACCAGCAGACCTAGGCAATTATTTCACTGGGCCAATCACATACCTTCCTGTGTTTCCTCATCAATGGAACGGGGCCGGTAATTCCTGCCACGCAAAGGCCTCAAGATATATGGTGGGGCTTAAACTCAATTATGCAGAAGAGTGTTCTGAAGAGGACAACACCAGCATGAAGAAGGAGGCCAGTTCAAACCCTGGGTGCTCCATCTGAGGGATGCAGGCCTATGTCCTGAGCAGGCATTTCTGCAGCTCCTGCTGCGGCGGGAACCAGGCTGGGACCTCCTGCTTCCTGCCCAGGCCAAGAGAGAACCCAGGACCTGGCCTGGCCTGCCACCTCATGGCCACAGACAGAATTACACCACTTGTCACAGGGTGAGTAGGCACCACTGTCCCCCACCAGCACCTGAACTATGGAGCAAAGATCGTGACTCCCCTTTAGAGATGCTTCGTGGCAGACAAAGTGACCTATTCAAAGTCACACGGTCAGCAGGCTAGGACAGCAGAACAGCTGGCTCTACCCCTCACTCACGAGCTGTCTGACCCTGAGCAAGTCGCCTGTTCTCTCTGGGAGGAAAGCCTGGCGGGGCAGGCACTTCAGGTGTGCCCAGGCCTCAGGGTCCCATCTGTGAGATCAGAGTGCTGATCTGGTCAGGGGCTCAAAAAGTAGTCATCAACTAGGAAATCAAATGCGTGATAGAGTCAAGTGTGTATCATGATCGATGCATCGAGCAAGGGGCAGGCCTAATGGCTGCTGCCACATGAGACAGTGATGAGACCTGCCCAATCCTAATGTGATATGAAAACATCCCCATTTCTACTGGCGACAGCCACAGACTGCTATCCTCTGAATTCTGCCCTTAGACCAGAGGAGTGCCCTGACACCAGGATAAGGGACCCTGGTCTAGACAGTGGTGATGGATTGGTGGTCACAGATCATGTGCTGACTCGGTTCTCCCTGCATTTCATCACTTTGCTTTCGGTAACAGGCACAAGACCCAGAACAGAGCAGAAACACAACTCTTCGAAATGTATCTCAAAACCAATAAACAGGTTTCCAAAGGAATGGAGCAGGCCTGGCACATGGGTGTGGCAGTGCGGGCCCTGGGACCCCTCAGTAGACCCATCGCGGGGAGCACATCAACTCCTGCTGAGGCCTCTTTAGCAAAAAGTCATCAGGATTTATCCTGCATAAAAAGCGGCTAAAGGCCAGGCTCCGTGGCTCGCTCCTGTAATCCCAGCACTTTGGGAGGCTAAAGTGGGAGGATCGCTTGAGGCCAGGAGTTCAAAACCAGTGTGGGGAACACAGCAAGACCTCATCGCTATATTAAAAAGTAAATAAACAGTGGCCGGGTGCAGTGGCTCATGCCTGTAATCCCAGCACTTTGGGAAGCCGAGGCGGGCGGATCACGAGGTCAGGAGATTGAGACCATCCTGGCTAACACGGTGAAACCCCGTCTCTACTAAAAAATACAAAAAATTAGCTGGGCGTGGTGGTGGGTGCCGGTAGTCCCAGCTACTTGGGAGGCTGAGGCAGGAGAATGGCGTGAACTCGGGAGGCAGAGCTTGCAGTGAGCCGAGATCGCGCCACTGCATTCCAGCCTGGACAACAGAGCAAGACTCCATCTCAAAAAAAAAAAAAAAGTAAATAAATAAATAAATACTTAGCTAGGTGCGGTGGTGCATGCTTGTAGTCCTAGTTACTCAGTAGGCTGAGGTGGGAGGTTCACTTGAGCCCAGGAGCTCAAGTCTGCAGTGAGCCATGAGTACACCACTGCAATCCAGCCTGGGCAACAGAGCAAGACCTTATCTAAAACAATAACGACAACAACAACAACAACAAAAAGGCTACTTTCCTACCCCTCGTGGTTAGTTTCACCTTGTGAGAAACACCAACAGGATCCAGTTGGGGCAGAATTCCCTACATATGCATCCAACCATCTACCCACCTACCCAACAAACATCCCTATTGCCTGCTGGGTACCCTAGCTTGGGGTGGGACGAGACAAGATCTGAAATCAGAGAGTTAAGGGGAAATCAGGCATTCTGACTCCCAGAGGACACAAGGATGCACCAGTTAAAGAGACGGACATACGCTTGGCCTCACAATCACTTACACCCCAGCAGGAGAGTGGACTCACAAATACATACACATAAGACTTAGTTATAACTGAGTATGCAGAAACTCAGCAAAAGCAAAAGCAGGGCAGCACGTGCTAGAGCCTGGCATATAAGATGCACTCCAGATGAAAGCACATCATCCTCACTTCACACCTGTGTACCCCAAGGCTCAGGGTGACCTGCCCAGGTCATAGCCAGTGAGTAGAAAAGCCACTCAAACCAGGATCCTGTGTCTCCCTCCCCTTCAGGAGCTGCCTCGCTCGGATACTAAGTCCTTCGATAAGCATTCCCAATGTGCCCACTGTGTGCTGACCACCCTTTCCCCGCACCCGAGTATAGTGTTGGTCTCTGTGATCAGCATGCTCACCTCCAGGTCACAGTAGAGCAGGGGGCTTTGATAGGTGTGGGCCAGCTTCACCACGGTGTGCCGGTGAATGCTGCAGTGGCTCTCCCGCCCAGCTGGAAAGAAGCCATGAGTGCTATAGCTGCAATCTCTACCTTCCTGGCTGGAATTCAGGAAGTGCTGGGCAGAGTCACTCACTTCCCCACTCTGGGGCTCAGTTTCTTTCTAGTCGCGAGGGTGACAGTCCTATTCTACTTTCTTTTCTAGGTAGTCAAGAATATCAAATTAGACAATGAAGATAATAATAGCTCCTACCCCACTGAGTCACTCTAGAGTCAGTGAGTTGACATCTAGAAATTACTTGGCCTGCATTTGCTCACCAATGCTTCTTGAGAATTATCTGTGCCAGGCACTCTGCTCAAGGAGCTAACAGTTCAGCTGGGAAGGCAGACAGGTCAGACACCTCATGCATGCCGGAGTGACACTGGGGCTGAGTTTTGAGGTATTTGTAGGGGTTAGCAAGACAAAGAAGAGGAAATGTATTTGACAGAAGCCTAGAGTAAACAAAAAGAGGACGGCCGGGTGCGGTGGCTCAGGCCTGTAATCCCAGCACTATCTGAGGCAGGCGGATACCTGAGGTCAGGAGTTCAAGACCAGCCTGGCCAACATGGTGAAACCCCATCTCTACTAAAATACAAAAATTAGCTGGGCATGATGGCGGGTGCCTGTAATCCCAGCTACTCGGGAGGCTGAGATGGGAGAATTGCTTGAACCAGGGAGACGGTGGTTGCGGTGAGCTGAGATCACGCCATAGCACTCCAGCCTGGGCGGCTGAGCGAGACTCCGTCTCAAAAAAAAAAAAAAAAAAAAGGGACGGGCCCTGTAACAGGACTTACCTAGGTGTAAACCTTGGCTCTACCACTTTTCATCTAGGGGCCTGGGGCAACTTAACCTCATGACTGTAAAACAGAGGTAATAACACCTACCTCCAATAGGAATATGAAAACAAAGCAATTACCGTGTCTGCCTCACAGTGACAGCTCAAAAGATGTCAGCCATTATTATTTTCACTGTTAATATTACAAAGTCTCAGGAACAGCAGGACTTTTTCAGAGAACGATAAGCTGACCCAGAGAAGGAGAGTCACCGGAGATGAGACTAGCTCAGAAGGCAGAGGCCAAACTGCAAAGTGTTTTATGTCTTTAGAGTTTGGATTTTACCGAAAGCCACAGGCAACCACTAGGCAACTCCAAGTAATGGCAGAGTTATCTGCTCATATTCACTCTTAGAAAGGCTGACAACAGGTCAGATTCCAAAGTATGTGTATATGTGTTCTTTCGGTTTTTAAATTTAACTTTTATTTTAAGTTCAGGGGTACATGTGCAGATTTGTTATGTAGTTAAAACTTGTGTCATGGGGTTTGTTGTACAGATCATTGTCACCCAGGTATTAAGCCTAGTACCCATTAGTTATTTTTCCAGATCTTCTCCTTCTTCCTGCCCTCCACCCTCCGATAGGCCCCAGTGTGTGTAAAATACATGCTCTTTCCATCACCCAGGGTGCCTCAGCAAGAAGCCTACGGCCGCCCCAGCTTTCCCTTGGCTGGGGGTGGGCAGTAACAGGCGAGGAACGTACTTACCACCTGTGGCGAGGAAACACACCTTCCCCAAGAAGAAGCTGGCATCCACATGGCGCAGGGACTCCTCTGTGTTCTGGAGACTGGGGTGGCCAGGCCAGGGTGAGAAAACAAACCAGAGAACAAAACTTTACAACGGAGAAAGCAGAAGTCCTTGCTTCTCTGATCCTAGAGGCCAGAGAATGACAAGAGGGTGACTTTCTCTGGAGAAATATTTGTCCTTTAATTTTTTTTTTTTTTTTTTTTTTAGATGGAGTTTCACTTTGTTGCCCAGGCTGGAGTGCAGTAGCGCGATCTTGGCTCACTGCAACCTCTGCCTCCTGGGTTCAAATGATTCTCCTGCCTCAGCCTCCCGAGTAGCTGGGACTACAGGTACATGCCACCACGCCTGGCTAATTTTTGTATTTTAGTAGAGACGGGGTTTCACCATGTTGCCCAGGCTGGTCTCGGGCAATCTGCCCACCTTGGCCTCCCAAAGTGCTGGGATTACAGGTGTGAGCCATTGTGCCCGGCCGTTGTGTATTTTAAACATTGTGCACTGACCACTGGCTCCTCTCTCCTCACCTTACAGATTGACCTCAGCCAGCCTCTCCCATCCTCACCACTTCCCATCACAAGTTAGGTCACCGTCTCAGCACAGTCCTGAGCCAGGCCTGCCTGAGCCCTGACTGCCCCTTCCTCTGGCTCTCACCTGTATTTGCTGTGAAGATTAACCACAAACACGATCAGGTCAATTCGGGGCCGATTCACACTGGAGGGCAAAGGGAGGGACTTTGCCAAGTGGCTGAAAAACAGGAAATTGCAGGACTCAAGATATCCGTACCCCCCTCATAGCGACCGTTTAAATGCTGCCCTTCATGTGGAAAGAGGCCGTCAAGGGCTCCCCACCTCATCCTAGCCACCCGAGGCTCTTGTGGCCACGACTCCTTGGGCCAGCACAGAGGCAGGACAGGTCCGGTCCTATTCAGATTACTCCTGTCTGATTCCCTCTGCCAGAAACGGGCTCTGTTTAGTCACCACCTCGGCAAGGGGAGGTTGGGATATAAGACGGCATGGGACTAGCCAGCTACGCTGCATGCTGGGAGAAGGACCAGCCTCAGAGGAGGGGGCGCTGGGCTTCGGAGTTTAGCAGCTAGGACCGAATCCCTCTGGAGTGAGAGACACGTGGGCCCAGGCCACAGCCGCGGCTACTTACACCTTCAGCTCGGAGGCGCAGTCCTCTTTGAGCATCGAGTCCGCCAGCTGCTGCAGAAGAGCATCCTCCGTGCCCACCAGCTGCGCAGGGAGAGAGAGCGGACAGTCGAGCCCTAGGCACAGCACCCCCTGGGGAGGGCCTGGCCCTTCGACCCACTCCCGGGGGGATCGGGACACCGCCAGCAGGCGGCTCGGAGGACATTTCCCGAGAAGTGGACCCCGCGAAGCGGCACGGGCTGGGGGCCTGAGGTTTGGACCCGCTGCAGGCCTGTGGGCACCGCACTCTCTACTACCCGACCCTCGCTCCCACCGCCGGCCTCTCCAGGAGGCCAGACCCCCAGACGCGGGAAAACCAATTCCAGGCGCGGGAACTCGCCAATCAGAAGCTGGGAAAGGGTCCGCCGAGCACCTATTGGTGGGTGCGTCCCTCAACCTCAGAGAGCGGCTACTCCAATTGGTTCAGAGCATGGCTCTCCGCCTATTCCCCGCCCCCGCCACGGTAGCGCGCGCTGGCTTGGCGCCTCAGAGAGCTCAGTTGACCTAGTGGCTGAAGCACCGCCCAGGAGGAAAAACCGGCGGGGGAAGCAGGGCCGCCTGCACCTACCAAGATGGTGGCCGTGTTCAGGCCGGGCAGCTTGTCCAGGGGCCTCAACACCGACATCACAGCCGCAGGACCAACCGTTGCTCCTGCGGTGCGCGCCGATCTTTCAAACCGCCCTGAGTCCAGCCCCTAGAGCGCGGCCTGGGGGCACGTGCCTCCTTATAGGCGGGGCTTCGCGGGACGGGACGGGGCCTCTTAAAGGAACCGAACCTTTATCTCCTTTTCTGAGGGGCGTTCCAGCGCTACCCGTGGAACACGTGGTGGACAGGCCTTTGGTTCCACGCTCCACAGTAAGCAGGTTTTTAGTGATTCCTTTGTTCACTTTCATTCATTCATGCTCATACACAGTACTTTTTTTTTTTTTTTTTGAGACAGAGTCTCGCTTTGTGGCCCAGGCTGGAGTGCAATGCGCGCAATCTCGGCTCACTGCAACTTCTGCCTCCCGAGTTTAAGCGATTCTCCTGCCTCAGCCTCCCAAGGAGCTGGGACTACGGGCGCGCGTCACCACGCCCGACTTATTTTTTTATTTTTAGTAGAGACGGGGTTTCTCCAAGTTGCCCAGGCCGGTCTCAAACTCCTGGCCTCAAGTGATCCCGCCTCGGCCTCCCAAAGTGAGTGCTGAGATTACAGACGTGAGCCACCGTGCCTGGCCCTTTTTTTTTTTTTTTTTTTGGAGCGTCACTTTGTTGCCCAGGCTGGACTATAGTGACACGATCATAGCTCACTACAGCTTCAAACTCCTGGGCTCAAGTCATCTTCCTGGCTTAGCCTCCTGAGTAGCTGGAACTACAGGCAAGTGCCACCATGGGGATCTGGCCATGTTGCCCAGGTGGGTCGTAAACTCCTGGCCTCAAGCAGCCCTCCTGCTTCAGCCTCCTGAGTAGCTGGGACTACCGCTGCACACCAGCAGGCCCTGCCAATTGACTGCTTTTACAGTGAGTGGTAAGCATGCTGTTCTTTGTCCAATGGGAGACTTTACCTCATCTTTCAAGGTTCCTTGCTGCAAACACAGCCTGAGTACAGAGCTGTCAGGGTCTTGCTTTCTTGACATACCCAGCAAGAACATGCAGGGACGCTCAGGGCCCATAGCAAACTGGTTCTGCCAACAGTTATATAATAACTTGTTCACTGTCTCTACATCTAAAATGTAAGAAACAAGAGGTTAGAGACTTTGTCACTTTGTATGTCCAGCACTCTAAAAGTCCCTGGTACATCGTAGTTAATAAATATTTGTTGAGTGAATGGATGGATTACATTCATCCATTCATTCTCAGCAGTCATTCATTCATCATTTCCTATGCCCAGACCCAATGCCCTACCCTAGGAAGTCAGTTGAATCAGACATTATTGATTAACTTAGTTTGATGGGGGTGGGATAGACAATGATAACAGTGTGTTCATTGTTGTAATAACTGGGAGAGCAGAGACACTGTCTAGCCTAAATCCTTCTTACTGCAGACTAAACTAACTGTGTCTTGCTCAGAAAGATCAGGACGTAAATGGCCCC
Source organism: Homo sapiens (assembly GCF_000001405.40). Lineage (NCBI taxonomy): Eukaryota > Metazoa > Chordata > Mammalia > Primates > Hominidae > Homo > Homo sapiens. The sequence continues at coordinate 41,948,524 of NC_000022.11, forward strand.
ATAGAGCCACTGCCCTCAGCACAGATACGGCTTTCATTCCTCATGGCATGGGGTGTGGAGAGGACTTCCTGAAAGTCAAGCAGTAGTAGGCACTATGACAAGAAAATAAAGTAAGCTGAACGCCGTGGCTCATGCCTATAACCCAGCACTTTGGGAGACCGAGGCGGGTGAATCACTTGAGGCCGGGAGTTTGAGGCCAGCCTAGGCAATATAGTGAGACCTCATCTCTACAAAAAAATTTTTAAATTAGCTGAGCAGGGTGGGCATGGTGGTTCACGCATGTAATCCCAGCATTTTGGGAGGCCGAGGCGGGCGGATCACCTGACATCAGGAGTTTGAGACCAGCCTGACCAGCATGGAGAAACCCTGTCTGTACTACTAAAAATACAAAATTAGCTGGGCGTGGTGGTGCATGCCTGTAATCCCAGCTACTTGGGAGGCTGTGGTAGGAGAATCGCTTGAACTTGGGAGGCAGAGGTTGCAGTGAGCTGAGATTATGCCAGTGTACTCTGGCCTGGGCAACAAGAGCGAAACTCCATCACAAAAACAAAAAACAAACAAACAAATTAGCCAGGTATGGTGGCGGTGGCGGGCGCCTGTAATACCACCTACTCGGGAGGCTGAGGCAGGAGAATCACTTGAACCTGGGAGGCGGAGGTTGCAGTGAGCTGAGATCGCACCACTGCACTCCAGCCTGGGTGACATGTGAGACTCCATCTCAAAAAAAAAAAAATGAAAGATAAACTAAAGCTGTCTGGCAGAAGAGATGGATGGGAGGAGGCTACTTTAGAGCAGGGAGGCCTCCCTAAGGTGACATTTGAGCAGATGCTTGAATTCAGTGAGAGAGGGGCCCCTTAAGTATGATGAAGAAGAGGCCTCAGGCAGAAGGCAGTGCAAGTGGAAAGCCCCTGAGTGGGAAGCACTCCTGGCACTTCCGAGGCGTAGCAAGGAGGCCAGTGGCTGTGGCAGATGGAGTAAGAAGAACAGGGGAGGAGGTGAGGCCACGGAGGTGATTGAGCTCCCAGAGACTGAGGCCCTTAGAGAGTGGTGGGCTGGGAAAAGACTTTGGACTCTGGTGGGGACTTTCCAGGAGGGGCCGGGCTGAGACCCATTGGGTCAGCATGTGCTGAGTGCCTGCCCTGGGGACCCTGGTCCCAGAGGGGCCAAACTGCTTCAGGGAGTTACCACTTGTAACAAGAGACAAGGCACTGCAGTTGGGGAGGCCATCGGGGAGCAGCCAGGAGCAGCAGGAACCCAGGGGAAGCTGCTCTGTGTCCCTGGGGAGCCTGCACTCCACTTCACCGGGGCGGTGATCATTGGCTGAACAGAAAGTAGTTGTGTTTAAGATCCATACATGATGAAGGGTAGGGATGGGGAGGAGGCCAGATAGAGGCCTGGAGGTTCTTACATCCTGAACACCCAAGCTGGCAGGGTCATCAGAGTCCTCTGGGCCAGCATTTTTCAAATCGGCTTCTGTGGAGCCCTGGGGAGATGACTTGGGGTCCTGTGAGAGACGGGGGATTCCGAGTGGGTGGGGTCCAGAACCCCCACCCCCACCCAACCATTGAACCGAAGCAACCTCCACTTTATCTCTGTTATGTATTGAGCTTCCCATAAGCTTTTGTATGAATAAGGAATCAGTGGCTAAAACAATGCCGACAGGCCATGGATCACATACTTTACAGATTTATTGAGGCATAAGGGACACGTATAATCAACTACACTTATTTCAAGGGTACAATTTGATAAGTTTGACATATGTATATACTTAAGAAGCCACCATCACCATTAAGAGCCTGAACATACCTTCACCCCAAAAAGTTTACTCCTGCCCCTTTGTGATTCTTCCCCCAACTCCTCTGCTCTCCCACCCCAAAATGTTAAAAAGCACTTTGGCCAGGTGGTGGCTCACGCCTGTAATCCCAGTACTTTGGGAGGCTGAGGCAGGAGGATAGCTTGAGGCCAGAAGTTCAAGACCGGCTTGGGCAATATGGCAAAATCTTGTCTCTACAAAAAGTACAAAAATCAGCTGGGCATAGTGGCATGCATTTGTGGTCCAAGCTACTCGGGAGGCTGAGGTGGGAGGATCACCTGAGCCCAGGAGGCAGAGGTTGCAGTGAGCCATGATCACACCACTGTGCTCCAGCCTGAGTGAAAGAGCAAGACCTTGTCTTAAAAAACAAAGCAAAAGGCCAGGCGCAGTGGCTCACGCCTGTAATCCCAGCACTTTGGGAGGCCGAGGTGGGCAGATCATGAGGTCAGTAGATCGAGACCATCCTGGCCAATATCGTAAACCCGCCTCTACTAAAATACAAAAAATTAGCCGGGCATGGTGGTGCCCACCTGTAGTCCCAGCTCCTCGGAAGGCTGAGGCAGGGGAATCGCTTGAACCCGGGAGGTAGAGGTTGCAGTGAGCCGAGATTGCGCCACTGCACTCCAGCCTGGCGAACACAGCGAGACTCCGTCTCAAAAAAAACAAACCCTCTGTGAACTCACAGTCACCCCCCAGTCCCACATATGCTGGAAAGGACCTGTCATACCTGAAGAGCCCCTAGATGGCGCAGAGGTGTCTGTGGTGGGGGACCTAGGTCCTGAAGCCACCTCACCCAGAGGCTTTCCCCCTGCCCATCCCCAGGTTTCTGGGAACGGATTCCCTAGGGAGGTGGTTCCTGGAAGCCTTTTCCCAGCCACGCCCCGTGGGCCCTAGGGGGCTGCTCTCTCCCTCCTGAGAATAGCCCTCAACACGTGGCAGATACCTTGTCTATGGCATAGGGGGAGGGGGAGGATCCATGCTTGGGAAGGTGGACCCCACCCCCAACGTCAGCTCTTGGCTTTGAATTCCAGCTCAGTCACTGAGAAGCTGAGGGCTCTGGGAGAAGGAGAAGGCCAGCAGCATCACCTCTCTGCCTCATCCCAAAATGGGGTCTCAACACCAATCCAGCTGGGAGGACTGCAGGAAGTGATGTTGGGGCCAGCTGGAAGATGGGAGTGCTCAATGCCTGTGCTGGCTGTACACCAGCCAGGGGTGCTGTGGGGTAGATGAGGCAGAATGGGGAGGGGGAGCCATTTGCAAGGGTCCTGAAAGCCAGGCTAGGGCTCTGACCCTGGCATTGCTACTTTCTTGCTGTGTGACCATGAATAAGAATTAATTGAGTTAATATAATCAAAGCGTTGAAAACAGTGTCTGGTGCATAGGAAATGTTACATTGAGCCAATGTGTCTGAACTCTCAGACTCAGTCTTGGTTTTTCCTTGTATAACATATGACCCCCTTGAGCTCTACTGGTCACTGATTCTCTGTCCCCACCCGCTTGCCATTTACCCCAGCATCTCCCTGCTCCCCAAATGGCAGACCATCAAACCTTAGAGTTATCAGCCACGGTCCTCTCCTCTCTAGGCCCACCAGGCTTGGGGTCCTGCAGCCTGCTGGGTGATTCCCCCTCCCCGCACTCCCCCAATCCTGCCGCTCTGTCATCTGCTGTACCACGTGCACAGTACCAGGGATCCAGAAGAGAAGGCTGGTTGCCAGGGCAACGGAAGATAAAGCCCTTGCTCTGCCAGGCTGCTGATTGGCTGAGACAGGTCCCACCTCCTGCCATCCTGAGAGTGGGGGCTAGGGGGAAGGGTCTCTGATGGGCAGGGAGAGATACCAGGGTGCTGAGCCAGTCCAGGACTGCCCCCTCCTGGCCCACTCAGAGCCCCTGGGTGTGAGAAGCTCGTCTCCCGTGGGTTGCATTGGCTCTGCCCTATCTCTGCCTCCAGCACCCAGGGCGGCCGCAGATGGCAGTGTCTCTGGGGACAGCAGCTGCGAATGAGTCCACGGGCCAATGCTGAGCTGCTCAGGCTGAGGCGGTGTGCTCAGCACAGAGCCCCCGGAACTGGCATCTGCAGGGCGTGAGGTGGGTCTTTGGGCACACGGAGGGCACCGAGTGGTGCCAATGGCTTGGGAGGTAGGGAGAGGGGCTCTGCAAACTCACACTGTCTCAGGCAGCACATTGGCTGAAATGAGGCTGGAAAATTCCATATAGATCATCTGGTAACCCCATCCCCACCCTGTCACCGTGCACAGGGGACCGTGAGGCCCAGAGAGGGTGAAGAAGGGGCCAAGATAACACAGGAGGCCAGTGAGTGTGTTGCTTTTCCACCTAGGTCAGTTCCCTGAGAAATCAGGAAGAGACCACGGGGTCCTCAGTCAGCCTCAGAATGCCTGGGATTTTGTGCACAGGGCTGGAGAGGTTGGGGGACCTTGATCTCTATTCCACATCCCCCAGCATTGCAGCTGAAATGGCTTCTGTTCTGCCCCAGCCCTCCATTCGCATGTTTAAGCTGGAAGGAAACTGGGGGCCTGGCTGGGCCTGGATAGGGGGCATGAGTCACCTTGGACACAGTTAAGTCACACAGGGAGCAGCCTCCCTGCCTGAGGTGCTCCTTCCCTACCTTCACCAACCCTGGCAGCACCAGACAATCCTGCACTCTCTCCAGCTCCCCAGAAAGGCAGCTGGTTAAAAGGTGCTGGGTCCTACACGCTCCCCTGCCCTGGCTGCACTAGTCACTTTGGATAATCAGTGCACTCTTCATTTTATTCCTTCACAAATAGGGCACTTTAATACAATGTCGGTGCCTCAGAACAGCCAGTGAGGACCTTTGGGGTAGGAGAGGGGCTCCGGATGGATGCAGGACCAGGAAACAGCATCTTTCCCTCCCCTGGGGCCACAGCTTCCCTCACAGGCCCACCTGGGAGTAGAGAGACAAGAGGAGCTGGAGTTTGGAGACGGAGGTCAGAAGAGTGAGGGCTTCTCTCCGACCTACCTGGAGTTCTTTCCATCCATCCCCCTGCTTTCCTCCCCAGAAGCAAGGTGGGCATCTGCTCATTTCATCCTGCTCAGGTGCCTTTCCCTCCCCTGGAGGACGCAAGCCTCAGGGCATCGCTGGGGTTTGGCGTCTAGCTCTGCCACTTTCCAGTTGGGTAAGCCAAGGCAAGTTAGTGAGCCTGTCTGGGCCTCAGTTTCTTCATCTGTAAAATGTGGATAGTGACACTTGCCCCATAGGCCTGTTGTGAAGTTTGTGGAGGAAGTCAAAACAGTGCTCTACCTGCCGGGCAGGCAGAGGTGGGCTCCTCACGTCACCCCTTTCTTATAACTAGGGAAGGTTGGGGGTGGGTTCAATAGGCCCTGCATCATCCTGTCCCTGGAGGAGATGATCTGTGATCTGTGATCTGTTTTTTTTTTTTTTTTTTTTTTTTTTTTGAGATGGAGTCTCGCTCTGTTGCCCAGGCTGGAGTGCAGTGGCGCCGTCTCGGCTCACTGCAAGCTCTGCCTCCGGGGTTCACGCCATTCTCCTGCCTCAGCCTCCCAAGTAGCTGGGACTACAGGCACCTGCCACCACGCCTGGCTAATTTTTTGTATTTTTAATAGAGACGGGGTTTCACCGTGTTAGCCAGGATGGTCTTGATCTCCTGATCAAGTCTCAAAAAAAAAAAAAAATAGAGAATGGTAACAAGTACCCAGGTGATAGAGCTTTTGTGTCTGCTGAATGAGTTAATTTATGTAAAATATTCAGAACCAGTGCCTGGCACATAACAAGTGCTACATAGTAAGTTTGTTCTTATTCTCTGAGCCTCAGTTTCCTTATCTGTAAAATGGGGATAGGAATAGCACCCACGTCCTAAGGGTACTTTGAATTTTTTTTTTTTTTTTTTTTTTGAGATGGAGTCTTGCTCTGTCACCCAGGCTGGAGTGCAGTGGCACCATCTCGGCTCACTGCAAACTCCGCCTCCCAGGCTCAAGCGATTTTCCTGCCTCAGCCTGTTGAGTAGCTGGGATTACAGGTGCCTGCCACCACCCCTGGCTAATTTTTGTACTTTTAGAAGAGACGGGGTTTCTCCATGTTGGCCAGGCTGGTCTTGAACTCCTGGCCTCAAGTGATCCACTGCCTTGGCCTCCCAAAATGCTGGAATTACAGGCGTGACCCACCACAGCCAGACAGTGATCTGGCTTTTGAAGTATGAGTAGGAATTTGCCAAGTGAACAAGAATGCATATGCAAAATGAAAGCATATGCAAAGATGAGGACTGCATAATGTGCAGGCGCATGTAGGTGACGGACAGGCAGTTCCATGTGACCGCACATAGTGTGCCATGTGAGGAGGGGGAGGTTGGCAGGGAGCAGATGGGCACCTTTGGGCCATTCTAAAGAGTCTGGGTGGGCCGAGCACGGTGGCTCATGCCTGTAATCCCAGCACTTTGGGAGTCCGAGGTTAGGATCACTTGAGGTCAGGAGTTTGAGACCAGCCTGGCCAACATGGCAAAACCCCGTCTCTACTAAAAAATACAAAAACTACCTGGGCATGGTGGCAGATGCCTGTAATCCCAGCTACTCACAAGGGAGGCTGAGGCAGGAGAATCGCTTGAAGGTGGAGCTTGCGGTGAGCCGAGATCATGCCATTGCACTCCAGCCTGGGCAACAGAATGAGACTCTGTCTCAAAAACAAAAACAATAAAAAAGAGTCTGGGTGTATATAAGGTTTGTGACGCACCTTACACCTGCTACCTTCCACTTTCCTGCCTTCTCCGCCTCTCGCTCAGTGGAAATAACAATAGCTGATATTGACCAAGTGCTGATTCTGTGCCAGGCAGAATGGTGCAAAATGCTTTTTTATTTTAATTTTTTTTTTTTTGAGACAGAGTTTCACTCTTGTTGCCCAGGCTGGAGTGCAGTGGCACAGTCGTGGCTCACTGGAACTCCACCTCCTGGGTTCAAGCAACTCTCCTGCCTCAGCCTGCCGAGTAGTTGGGATTACAAGCATGTGCCACCACACCTGGCTAATTTTGTACTTTTAGTAGAGACAGGGTTTCACCATGTTGGTCAGGCTGGTCTTGAATTCCTGACCTCAGGTGACCCATCCTCCTTGGCCTCCCAAAGTGCTGGGATCATAGGCATGAGCCATTGGCCTGGTTGCAAAATGCTCTTTAGGCATTGTCTTGTTAAAACTGCAAAGTACCCAGGCTGCATGCGGTGGCTCACGCCTGTAATCCCAGCACTTTGGGAGGCCGAGGTGGGCGGATCACGAGGTCAGGAGATCAAGACCATCCTGGCTAACACGGTGAAACCCCGTCTCTACTAAAAATACAAAAAATTAGCTGGGTGCAGTGGCGGTCACCTGCAGTCCCAGCTACTCAGGAGGCTGAGGCAGGAGAATGGTGTGAACCTGGGAGGCGGAGCTTGCAGTGAGCCGAGATGGCGCCACTGCATTCCAGCCTGGGTGACAGAGCAAGACTCCGTCTCAAAAAAAAAAAAAAAAAAAATTCAAAGTACCCTTAGGACGTGGGTGCTATTTCTATCCCCATTTTACAGATAAGGAAACTGAGGCTCAGAGAATAAGAACAAACTTACTATGTAGCACTTGTTATGTGCCAGGCACTGGTTCTGAATATTTTACATAAATTAACTCATTCAGCAGACACAAAAGCTCTATCACCTGGGTACTTGTTACCATTCCCTTTTTTTTTTTTTTGAGACTGGATCTTGCTCCAGGCTGGAGTGCAGTGGCGGGATCACAGCTCACTGCAGCCTCCATCTCCCAGACTTAGGTGATCCTTCCACCTCAGCCTCCCGGGTAACTGGGATTACAGGTATGTGCCACCATGCCCAGCTAATTTTTTGAGTTTTTAGTAGAGACGGGGTTTTGCCATGTTGCCCAGGCTGGTCTCGAAGTCCTGGGCTCAAGCAATCCACCCGCTTTGGCCTCCCAAAATGCTTGGATTACAGGCATGAGCCACCACGTCCAGCCCCATTCCCATTTTATAGATGTAGAAACCAAAGGTCTGAATATCTTGCCCAAGTGTTTTGGTGCTAGGGGCCTTGTCCTTACAACTATGAAACTGGGCTTGTGTAGACTCCATTGATATCAACCAGGTCTCCTTCAATGGGTGTTTGTTCACTACACTTTCACCAGGCCACACTTGGCTAGGGCGTGCAGGTGGCTGGGAGACCTACTCATCTCAGGGGCAGGTGCTGGCAACTGGCAGCCATGGCAGCTGCAGTCAGGGCTGGGCCCCGGGGCTCAGGGGCACAAGGAGACCAGAGGAGGCATCGCCCAACCTGTCCTTTACCGAGTGCCCTGCACAGGCCCCATCCAGGGATCAGTCACCCCACTGAATCCTCACTAGGACCAGTGTAGAGGTGTTGCCCCTTTCCCCTTCCATAGGGGAGGAAGCTGAGGCCCTGCGAGGTTAGGCAACTTGCCCAAGGGCACACATCCTGGCAAGAGACTGAACCAGAACTGCTCATGGTTAAGTCGCTCTGTTGCCCAGGCTGGAGCACAGTGGCGCGATCTTGGCTCACTGCAACCTCCACCTCCCAGGTTCAAACGATTCTCCTGTCTCAAGTAGCTAGGATTACAGGTGCGTGCCATCATGCCCGGCTAATTTTTGTATTTTTAGTAGAGATGGGGTTTCACCATATTGGCCAGGCTGGTCTTGAACTCCTGACCTCAGGTGATCTGCCCACCTCGGCCTCCCAAAGTGCTGGGATTACAGGTGTGAGCCACTGTGCCCAGCCTAAGACTCCTTAAAGGGTGAATAGGAGCTGGGTGTCCCCATGGCGTGGGGATAGCTCTGTGCTTGCCCACGAGGCCTGGGCGGCTGAGTCACCACGTGGTCTTTTTTTTTTTTTTTTTTTTTTTTTTTCCTGAGACGGAGTATCGCTCTGTCACCCAGGCTGGAGTGCAGTGGCACGATCTTGGCCCACTGCAAGCTCTGCTTCCCAGGTTCACGACATTCTCCTGCGTCAGCCTCCGGAGTAGCTGGGACTACAGGCATGCGCCACCACGCCCGGCTAATTTTTTTTTTTTTTTGTATTTTTAATGGAGACGGGGTTTCACCATGTTAGCCAGGATGGTCTTGATCTCCTGACCTCGTGATCCGCCCACTTCGGCCTCCAAAGTGCTGGGATTACAGGCGTGAGCCACCGCGCCCGGCCTACCACGTGGTCTTGATCAGCCGCTTCCCCGCCCTTGCTCTCCTGGACCTCAGTCTCCCCATTTGTAAAGTGATGCTTGGGCCTCGGGCTCTGTGAAGCCTGAAGGTCTCCCTCTGGGTGGGCGGGACAGGGAGCACCTCTGCTGGCCCTCACCACGCTGTGTCTCCGCAGCCAAGGCCGCCGCGATGCCGCACTTCCTGGACTGGTTCGTGCCGGTCTACTTGGTCATCTCGGTCCTCATTCTGGTGGGCTTCGGCGCCTGCATCTACTACTTCGAGCCGGGCCTGCAGGAGGCGCACAAGTGGCGCATGCAGCGCCCCCTGGTGGACCGCGACCTCCGCAAGACGCTAATGGTGCGCGACAACCTGGCCTTCGGCGGCCCGGAGGTCTGAGCCGACTTGCAAAGGGGATAGGCGGGCGGCACCGGGCGCCCTCCCCCAGCCCGCCCCGCCCGCCCAGCCCGGAGACCCCCAAGGCAGAGGGAGGCCGGCCTGTTGGCCCTCCACGCTATCCCTCTGCAGCCTGGGCCCTCCCGACAGAGGCCCCAGGTGCGCTGGCAGTGGAGGTGGGGCACTTAGGTGCCTGGCTGGCCCAGGGCTTGCTCTCCGTGTCAAGCCGACTCACCCAGAGCCCACCCTCCCAAGCTCAGGGGCATCCTCCGCTGGGCCCCAGTGCCTTTGCGCTGCGCAGCACTCTGCCCTCCACTGGACTCAGGCATGTCTATGGCTGCCTGTCCTGAGGCTCCGGAGCCCTCATTTCTTCGTGAAGTCCCCAGCTCCCCTGCCTCCACTCAATGGCACCGGCCCTGCAACTTTAGGCAGGTCGAAGCCAACCCAAGGAAAGAACCTAAGAACCTCGTTTGGAGGGATGTCAGCTTGGGCCAGACCAGCCGCACCCCGCGGGGCTCAGGCTTGGAACTGGTGAGGGTGTGTGGTGGGGGTATGCAGAGGGATAAGACCGTGGTAGAGGAGAGGGTTGGTGAGGAGAGAGAGAGAGAGAGAGAGAGAGTCTGGGGGGAGCGGGCAAGCATGGGGAGATGAGATGTGTATATGTGAGAGAGAGTGTGGGGGCCCCAGGCAGGGCAGGAGGTGGTGGAAACGGGGTGAACTCCGTGGGCTGTGTGAGGACTGTCCATAGTGGGTCCCAACCCCCTCCCTCTGCTGGAGTTTCCTAGCCCTTCCCCCTCCCCAAGACTGTGGCAGCAGGCAGGAGCCCCTGCCCTCCCTCCCTGTCCTGTGCCACACTTCTGGGGCCAAACCCAGCCCCCTTGAGCCAGGCCCTGCCAGACTCCAAGCCCACCCTAGAACCCTCCTCCTGTGTGGAGACTCTGTTGCCCCACTTTGGACACAGATTGGCAACCTGCCTCACCCCGCCCCCCTTCGCTGGGGCTTCCATCTTAATTTATTCTCAATAATAAAGACTTCATGATGATCTCTGCAGGACCCTGTCTTTTCCTGAAATGAGGATCATGTCTGTCAACTCACTGGGTCCTCATGAAAAATATGACAGCTCCATAGTCCCCATTTTAGGGATGGGAACACTAAATCTCAGGGAAGGTAGGCCAGGGCTTCCCAAGAGCTGCAGTACTGACATTTTGGACTCGATCACTCTTGGTTGTAGGGGGTTGTCCTGCCCATTGTAGGATGTTTAGCAACCCTGGTTTCTCCCCAGTAGATGCCAGTTGCAATTGCCCCCTCTCCTGTTAGGACAATCAAAAATGTTAACTGGGCTGGGCTCAGTGGCTCATGCCTGTAATCCCAGCACTTTGGGAGGCTGAGGTGGGCGGATCACCTGAGGTCAGGAGTTTGAGACCAGCCTGGCCAACATGGTGAAACCTCGTCTCTACTAAAAATACAAAAATTAGCCAGGTGTGGTGGCACATGCCTGTAATCCCAGCTACTGCGGAGGCCAAAGTGGGAGAATTGCTTGAATCTGGGAGGTGGAGGTGGCAGTGAGCCAAGATCCTGCCATTGTACTCCAGCCTGGGCAAAAAGAGTGAAACTCTGTCTCAAACAAAACAAAACAAAACAAAACACCCCAAAAATGTTAACTGGAACTCCTGGGGTAGATTACCAGTTAGGATACAAATTCAGACACAACCAAGATGCAAAACAACAGAGCCTTACACTGTCAACAAAAAGAGTCCAACTCTTTTCGGCTGGAGCACAGTGGCACGATCTCAGCCCACTGCAACCTCTGCCTCCCAGGTTCAAGCGATTCTCCTGCCTCAGCTTCCTGAGTAGCTGGGATTACAGGCGGCCGTCACCACGCCCAGCTAATTTTTGTATTTTTAGTAGAGACAGGGTTTCAATATATTGGCCAGGCTGGTCTCGAACTCCTGACCTCAAGTGATCCACCCACTTCAGCCTCCCAAAGTGCTGGGATTATAGATAAGAGCCACTGCGCCCAGCCAAACTGCCTTAGTTTCTCAGAGAGTTAGGGGTGTGAGGCTGGGATTAGAAGCTCAGTGCAGCCCCTGTTCATCCAGAAAACTCTTTCCCAGCCATGGTCAGAGGCAGGACTGAAAAGGGCCCAGGCCAATCCAGTTAGGAGTGATCATTGCAAGGGACAGAAACTTGACTGTCCTAGCTTGGCCAAGACGGCCAGATACCATGAGGACACTGCGGTATTCTGTCCCTTTAGGACAGGAAAGTAGTGGGCTTAGGACAACTAGAGCCAGGCATGCAGACCCCCTTAGGATTCTTTTTCTTGTTAGTCGCCACTCTCACACCCTCAGCATGGAAAACACAGCAGTCAGCTGCTGGCAATTTCTGTATCTCACAGCTCCAGCCCCTGGAGCTACCAGTCCTTGCTCTGCCCCCAGTGCAAATATCTCTGGGGTGGGATTCGTTGCCTCATTTTAGGTCAAGTGTCCATGTTAAGCCAGTCACCCAAGGCTGGGGCAGTGTCCTGTGGGTGGTTCAGCGTGGGTCATCTCAGAACAAGGCAGATCCCTTGGGATGTAGGGAGAGGAAAAGGCAGGTTTCAGGAAAAATGATGTAAACTCCCCCATCCCCACCTCGACCACAACAGACTCTTTTGGAGGTAGATTAGGCTTGACTGGCTGAGCGAGGGAGGGCCTCCAGGCATGATCTGGCCTGCAGCCAAGTTTGATTTGTCCCACATAGTGTTTTGAAAAAATGCAAATTAGTTGCCAACATTCACCAGTCAGGAGATTTCACACTAGAATCTTTTTCTGACTCCTCCTTAAAAATAAAAATTCTAGCCACATAGAGTCTGAAGTGTAAATGTGTTCATGGTCACGAGCTTCACAGCCTGGGCAGGGAGGGTGCTGACTGTGACCCTGCCGGAGGCCTTAAGGTGGCCAGTCCTCCTCTCAGGAGGGCTGCCTCCATTCAACGGCTGTAGCAAGATTTCTCATCCTAGGCTGCCATCAAAGGAAGGCTGAGAGATTCATCCAAGCCCTCTGCTCTTCAACCTGGATCCTTTCCCAGACTTCTCCCCTGGGCTCATTGCATAAATGTTTATTTACACCTGTTCTTCCCCTAAAAGATTCAAGAAGGTTTCAGTTGAAGGAGCCACATAACATGGGTGTAAGGAGGAAATATTTTAATTCTGACTGCTACTGTAATGCTGTTATTATTACTTGTCTCTAAGCCTCCTGGCAGCCAGAGGGAAAGGAGAAACACAAAGAGGGCTTTATTTTATTTATTTATTTATTTATTTATTTATTTATTTATTTTTGAGACAGAGTTTTTGCTCTTGTTGCCCAGGCTGGAATGCAATGGTGCTCACTGCAACCTCCGCCTCCCGGGTTCAAGCAATTCTCCTGCCTCAGCCTCCCAAGTAGCTGGGATTACAGGCATGCACCACCACGCCCAGCTAATTTTGTATTTTTAGTAGAGACAGGGTTTCTCTATGTTGGTCGGGCTGGTCTCGAACGCCTGACCTCAGGCAATCCACCAGCCTCAGGCTCCCAAAGTGCTGGGATTACAGGCGTGAGCCACTGCGCCCGGCTTTTTTTTTTTTTTCTTTTTTAGAAATGGGGTCTTGCTATGTTGCCCAGGCTGGTCTTGAACTCCTGGGCTCAAGCAATCCTCCCACCTCCCAAAGTGTTGGGATTACAGGCGTGAGCCACCACACCTGGCCCATCTTTTTATTGTTATGTGATAGAAGGGAGAGATTCACTCTTCATGAAAGACAATTTTTTTTCTGTTTTTTGTTTTTTTTTTTTTTTTTGAGACAGAGTTTCGCTCTTGTTGCCCAGGCTTGGCTCACTGCAACCTCCGCCTCCCAGGTTCAAGTGATTCTCCTGCCAGTAGCTGGGATTACAGGCATGCGCCACCATGCTCAGCTAATTTTGTATTTTTAGTAGAGATGGTGTTTCGCCATGTTAGTCAGGCTGGTCTTGAATTCGTGACCTCAAGTGGTCCGCCCGCCTTGGCTTCCCAAACTGCTGGGATTCCAGGAGTGAGCCATGGCACCTGACCTTTTTCTGGTTCTAAATATGAAAAAGAAATGCCTCAGATGGTATAGTAAAAGCAACACAGTGGAGGGGAGGGAAGGTTTGACCCAGATGGCAGAGCCTACAGAAACAGGCCATTGCCCGTGGAGGCAGGATGTTTTTTCCATCTGCGAGGGGATGCCAGAGGACTGGACTAGGAGCGATTCGAGGTCAAGACCTGATAATAGTTAATCCTATAAAACCATTGATTTAAATTGCACATCCTTGGGCAAGTTTCCTGAGCTCTCAGAAACACAACCAAACATTTTTGTGTCAGGCACTGAGAATCACAGATGATTAAAGCTCAAAAAAATGTCCCCTGCCAGTGTCTGGCATTGTGCTCAGCTCCTGTCAGGTTCTCCGTATAGCCCTGTTCATTTCTTTTTTTTTTTTTTCTTTTTTCTTTTCCTTTTTTTTTTTTTTTTTTTTTTGAGACAGAGTCTCGCTCTGTCGCCAGGCTGGAGTGCAGTGGTGCGATCTTGGCTCACTGCAACCTCCGCCTCCCAGGTTGGAGCAATTTTCCTGCCTCAGCCTCCCGAGTAGCTGGGACTACGCACCACCACACCCAGCTAATTTTTGCATTTTTAGTAGAGAGAGGGTTTCACCATGTTGGCCAGGATGGTCTCGATCTCTTGACCTCGTGATCTGCCCACCTCGGCTTCCTAAAGTGCTGGGATTACAGGCATGAGCCACTGTGCCCATCCAAGCCCTGTTCATTTTCATATCACTCCTGCCCTACCTCCCTCACCGGGTGATGGCAAATGTCAGAGATAGTGGGGAAGAAAGCACTGTATAAACGCCATGTATCACATAGCTATCCTCTTTTTTTTTTTTTTTTGAGATGGAGTCTTGCTCTGTCACCAGGCTGGAGTGCAGTGGCACAGTCTTGGCTCACTGCAACCTCTGCCTCCTGGGTTCAAGCGATTCTCCTGCCTCAGCCTCCCAAATAGCTGGGATTATGGGCATGCGCCACCATGCCCAGCTAATTTTGTATTTTTAGTGGAGATGGGGGTTTCACCATGTTGGCCAGGCTGGTCTTGAACCCTTGACCTCGTGATCTGCCCGCCTCGGCCTCCCAACGTGCTGGGATTACAGGCATGAGCCACTGCGCCCGGCCCACAGCTATCCTCTTGAACTCTACAGAGGCATGTCACATACCTAGGCCTGGCACCAAGAATGTAATGGAAAAGAGGATGTCCCTGCATCAGAAGAGCTCACAAACTGGGGTTACAGAAGTATAAACAGACAAACTATTATTATTAGTAGTAGTATTTTTTGAGAGGGAGTGTTACTCTGTTGCCCAGGCTGGAGTGCAGTGGTGTGATCTCAGCTTACTGCAACCTCCGCCTCCCAGGTTCAAGCGATCCTCCTGCCTCAGCCTCCCGTGTCTGGGACTACAGGTGCGCGTCACCATGCCAGGGTAATTTTTGTATTTTTAGTAGAGACTGGGTTTTGTCATGTTGGTCAGGCTGGTCTCGAACTCCTGACCTCAAGTGATCCGCCCACCTTGGCCTCCCAAAGTAGTGGGATTACATTGTGCCTGGCCAACAGACAAATTATAAAACTGTACCTGCAGCAAGAGAAGTATGTGTGCAGAACTGGAAACGGAACCGAAGAAGTGCCTAGTTTTTGGGGAAGGGGGTTGTCAAGGAAGGCTTCCCGGAGGACATGACTATTAATCTGGGTTCTGGAGGTGGAATAAGAGTTTTCCCTGCAAAGGGAAAGAAGGCTGCAAGTGTTAAGCCATGGACTCTGGAGAGAACCTAGTCCTTTTTGAGGACTGTGAGTGGTGTGGCCAAAAGACAGAATGCAAGTGAGCCAGTGGCAGGAGGGCAGGCGGATTAAGCAACCAGAAAGTGGCTTTTCAAGGAAGGCTTAGACCCAGACTGAGAACCCGATGACCTTCCTATTACCACCTACTCGAGGAAGCCTTCCCTGGCCCCCCCAGCAGCTTTCCCCATTACAATGCTAATCTTGTGTTGCGATTTTGTTCACGTCAGTGGGGAGCAGTGACCACATCTTCTCATCTTGGCTTGCAGCCTTACTGGCACTGGTCAGGGCCTCCTTAAAAGCTTGCTTGTTGCAAGAATGGGGCTAGTTTCTTTGGAAGTCCTGCCAGGAGTTGCCTGTTTGCTTAGAAACCAAGATTTCAGAAAGGCTTGGAGGTTTCCTGGGCATCAAGCTGTGTGCAGATTTTTAAAATGCTTTGAGAGGTTTTGCAGAGTCCTGGGAGCTTTCCCAACATCTGAGAGCTGTCAGGATGGGGAAGGGCAGGTGTGTCAGGGTTCGGCCCAGAACAGGAGGACAGGAGGCGGGAATGTACAGGGTCCCTGAGTAAGAATGGCTGCAATGTTCGGATTCCAGCCCTGGAGGGTGGCACAGGCTCCTCATTGTTCCGCCCCCTCAGTTCTTCACACTGGCTGAGAAGGAAGGGCTCGGGAAGGCTGAGAGACCAGCTTTGGGAGAAGGGCAAAGACTGCAGGCTCCCTCAAAAGACTATCACAGTCTCAGTCAACCACCCTTACAGAGAACCCCTGGCAGGCAGAGCTTTTTTCTCCCTCCCTCATAAGGTATGACGGGCTCAGTATTTGGAGCCTGGAGACCTAGGTGTCCAGCTACTGATTCACTGTGTGAACCTTGGCAGGTCCATTTCCCTCTATTTCTGCAGCTGTAAACAGCTGGAACTGATGAGAAAGTCAGAGGAAATCATGGAAGATACATAAAAAAGGAAATCAGAGTGCCAAGGCAACAATTTGAATGGCTAACATGGACTGAGCTCATGGACTAGCAATTGCCCATTGCATTTGTTTGTTTGTTTGTTTTGAGGCAGAGTTTTGCTCTTTCGCCTGGACTGGAGTGAAGTGGTGTGATCTCGGCTCATTGCAACCTCTGCTCCTTGGGTTCAAGTGATTCTCCTGCCTCAGCCTCCCAAGTAGCTGCGATCATAGGCGCCCGCCACCAGGCCCAGCTAATTTTTGTATTTTTAGTTGAGATGGGGTTTTGCCATGTTGGCTAGGCTGGTCTTGAACTCCTGACCTCAGGTGATCTGCCTGCCTCAGCCTCCCAAAGTCCTGGGATTACAGGTGTGAGCCACCGCGCCTGGCCCCCATTGCTTTTTTTTTTTTTTTTTTTTTGTGAGACAGAGTTTCGCTCTTGTTGCCCAGCTGGAGTGCAATGGTGTGATCTCGGCTCACTGCAACCTTTGCCTCCCGGGTTTGAACGATTCTCCTGCCTCAGCCTCCCAAAGTAGCTGGGATTACAGGCACGCGCCACCACACCCAGCTAAGTTTTTTGTATTTTTAGTAGAGACAGGGTT
This sequence comes from Homo sapiens, assembly GCF_000001405.40. Lineage (NCBI taxonomy): Eukaryota > Metazoa > Chordata > Mammalia > Primates > Hominidae > Homo > Homo sapiens. The sequence goes on from NC_000022.11 coordinate 41,965,282, forward strand.
TCACCATGTTGGCCAGGCTTGTCTTGAACTCCTGACCTCGTGATCCGTCCGCCTAGGCCTCCCAAAGTGCTGGGATTATAGGCTTGAGCCACCGCGCCCGGCCCCCCATTGCATTCTTATGGCAACCATGCAAGTGGGTCCTCACTGCTGTTCACCAAAGGTTTCTGACTCTCCAGCTATCAGCACACGGTAGGATTAAACTTCCCTGCCTCCTTGTGATGGGTGGGGCCATAAGACTAGTTCTGGCCAATTAGTTGTAATTAGAAGTGAGTACAGGCCGAATGGCTGATGGACTAATGGCTAGTCCACAATTTGTCACTCCCTCCTTCCCTCTGCCACATGACTAGCAATGCACTAGAAGGCAGCCTGGGTCCCAGAGGGAAGAGGGCACAGAGCAGAGCCTTAGTGGACCCAAATTACTGTGGACATGAGACATGGATGAGAAATCAATGTATCATTGCGGCCAGGTGTGGTGGCTCAGGCCTATAATCCCAGTACTTTGGGAGGCTGAAGTAGGAGGATCGCTTGAGGCCAGGGGTTTTAGACCAGCCTGGGCAACATGGCAAAACCCTGTCTCTACAAAAATTAGAAAAATTAGGCTGGACGCAGCTCACGCCTGTAATCCCAGCACTTTGGGAGGCTGAGAAGGGTGGATCACTTGAGGTCAGAAGTTTGAGACCAGCCTAATCAACATGGTGAAACCCTGCCTCTACTAAAAATACAAAATTAGTTGGGTGTGGTGGCACACACCTGTAATCCCAGCTACTTAGGACGCTAAGGCAGGAGAATTGCTTGAAACTGGGAGGCAGAGTTTGCAGTGAGCTGAGATCATGCCATTGCACTCCATCCTGGGCAATAAGAGCAAAACTCCATCTCAAGAAAAAAAAAAAGAAGAAATATTAGCTGGGCGTGGTGGCACATGCCTGTAGTCCCAGCTACTCAGGAGGCTGAGGTGGGAGGATCACCTGAGCCTGGGTAGGTCGAGGCTACAGTGAGCTGTGATAGTGCCACTGCGCTCCAGCTTGGGCAACAGAGTGAGACCCTGTCTCAAAAAAAAAAAAAAAAAAAAAAATCAGCATGTTGTTATCAGCCACTGGGATTTGGGAATGGTTGTTACTGCAGCATAATTTAACTCATTCTGACTGATATAATCTCCATTTTACAGATGAGAGGGGAGCTCAGGGGGATTGACTTGTTTGAAAATCACATAGTTGTAACAAACCCAGGCTTGAAGGACTCCAGAGCCTATGACACTTGTCTGGGAGGCCACCACAATGGTTTTGTGGTTGAGTGGAGGCCTCTGTTCTCTGAGGCCACTTCCAGGCCTATGGATCTTTCCTTTGATGGGAAAGCACCATATGTATAGATAGGAGAGGGCCATTGTCACTTTGGGCCCCTAGAGGGCAGCTGAAACTTGGCCTGTAATTACTGGGCAGGAAGTGTCCTCTAAGCCTCTAAGCAGGGCAGATGGGCAGGAGGATGCGGAGATGAACATGACTCAGGCCTTGCTCTCAAGGCCCTAACAGCCTGGCAGGGAGCGAGATGGAGGAATTGTAGATCTTGAAGTAGAAGAGACCGACCACATGAGGGCATCTGATCCCTATTTTAAAAGGCAACTGAGTCCCAGAAGCACAAGTTAATCTGATAGACGTTGCCTGGTGAATCGTTGGCCAAAGTGGGGAGAGAACCCAGGGCCACTGATTTCAGCCCAAGGCTGCTTATCTCACAGAGATCATGTAATCCAATGGGGCTGGGCCCAGGAAAGTCTCCCTTGCTCCAATCCGTCCAGGCAGAGCTGTGCCTCTCCTTCCCAGCACCCTCTGTTCTTCCTTAAGTCAGGCCAGTTCTCAGGGCCTCAAAGCATGGAAGCGCCAGATAGCTGCCCTCCCCCATCCACTGGGATCCCAGCACGTTGCCCTGGTAACCAGAGCCCAGCCAAGTTTGAGAACCTAAAGCTGTAAGGGGAGAGAAAGGATAAGAAGAGGGATAGGGGCTGGGCACGGTGGCTCATGCCTGTAATCCCAGCACTTTGGGAGGCCGAGGCAGGCGGATCACAAGGACAGGAGATCAAGACCATCCTGGCTAACACTGCGAAACCCCATCTCTACTAAAAATACAAAAAATTTAGGTGGGCGTGGTGGCGGGTGCTTGTAGTCCCAGCTACTCGGGAGGCTGAGGCAGGAGAATGGTGTGATGGTGTGAACCCGAGAGGCGGAGCTTGCAGTGAGTCGAGATGGCGTCACTGCACTCCAGCCTGGGTGACAGAGCGAGACTCTGTCTCAAAAAAAAAAAAAAAAAAAGAAGAGGGATGGGTGCTAGGCCCACACAATCACCATTCAATCATTCATTCATTCATTATTTCTTTCTAAAGAAATTTACCGGTTGGGCACGGTGGCTCATGCATGTAATCTCAGCACTTTGGGAGGCTGAGGCAGATGCATTACTTGAGGTCAGAAGTTTGAGACCAGCCTGGCCAACATGGTGAAACCCCGTCTCTACTAAAAATACAAAAATTAGCCAGGCGTGGTGGCACACACCTGTAATCCCAGCTACTTGGGAGGCTGAGGCAGGAGAATCCTGAGGCTTGAACCCGGGAGGCGGAGTTGCAGTGAGCTGAGATCCCGCCACTGCAGTCCAGCCTGGGTGACAGAGTGAGACTCTCAAGAAAAAGAAACTTACTGAAGCCAATTTTTGCCAGACCCTGGGGCCCAGAGAAGAAGATCCAGGACCTTCATAACTGAGCTTTCCACCCAGGCATGGTGGCTCACGACCGTAATCCCAGCACTTTGGGAGGTGGAGGTAGGAGTATTGCTTGAGCTCAGAAGTTCGAGACCAGCCTGAGCTACATAGGGAGACCCCCGTCTCTACAAAAAATAAAAACTTAGCTGGGCGTGGTGGTGCATGCCTGTGGTCCCAGCTACTCTGGAGGCAGAAGTGGGAGGATCACTTGTGCCCAAGAGGCTGCAGTGAGCCATGATGGCGCCACTGTCTTCCAGCCTGGGCGACAGAGTGAAACCCTGTTCAAAAAAACTAATAACAACAACAGCAACAACAAACGAAACAGAGCTGAGCTAATATGGTAGCCACAGATTAAAATAAACTAAAAAATCCAGTTCCTTGGTCACTGTAGACACATTTTAAGTGATCGGTAGCCATCTGTGGCTAGTGGCTACTGTACTGGACAGCACAGACATAGAACATTTCCATTATCACTGAAAGTTGTATTGCCCAGCGCAGCTCCAGAAGCTCACTCGCTAAAGAGAGAGACACACAGGAGAGCAGACCAGACAACACAGTGTTGTGTGGGCTGCAATGTCCTCCTCGGTAAAAAGCAGGTGATGAGGCGGAGATTAAAGGAGATGCCAGGAGAATGCTTAGCCTAGTTCCTGACTCAGGGTGAGTGCTCGGAGGACATCTGCCATCACCGTACAGGACAGTACTATAGGATCTGTTTACATACCTATCTTCCTAGCAGACTGTGAGCTCCGCCCAGCCCTGGCATGGTGCCGGGCACAGAGCAAGTGCTCAGGAAATAGTAGCTGTTATCAGCACCATTGTTATTATCACCACTGCTATGACAGAGGCAGCCGAGGGCTGTGGGAACACAGAAGAGGGCTCCCATCCCAGCCCCAGGGCCAGGGGCTGCTGAGAGTCGGCATTGCCAGAGCCAGGCTGGGTGGCTTTGTGGTCCCCTCAGGGGCAGGCCTAGGGCGGGGTCCTCTTCACACCCTTAGGGTCTGGGTACAGGGTCCAGCTGGAGCAAGCTGGGGCTCAGGGAATAGTTGTGGAAGGAGCTCTAGCCTCCAGGAACTCCAGCCCCCTTGAGGAAAGACCAGGTGAGTGGGCAAGATGGTCTGAGGGTTGCAGAGCTGAACAGGGCATGAAGGGCACAGAGGCAGAGCCAGAGGGAGACTCGCGCTGGGACTACCAGAGTGCAGCCATATTTGGAGTACCCCTGTTTTTACTGCAGACTCCCCAGGCATCAAAGTCTGTGGGAGACAGAGCAGATTTGGGGAGGGCAGGCTGCAGGGAACCTCCCTGCAGGTGGCCGTGAGTGCCAGCCTGGCCGTTACCAGCCTCCCATGGCTCTTCAGGATTCCAGAGGCTCAGAGCAGCCATTCACAGCCGCCCACTCCTAGGAAGCCAGCCCCTCCCTGCACCAGAGCCCAGCCCAGCACGGTCTCCGGGGATGTAGCTGGTGGGACAGTGAGCAGAGGGCTGGGCCCTGTGCCTGGGGACTGTGGCCTGGAGGCTGAGCAGGAGCTGAGGAGGGGACCAGAGGGACAAGGCCCCTAAGCTGGCCACCATGGCCAGACTCTGAGTGCAGGGGAGGTGAGGGGCCTGCGTGTGCCTTATCTTCCCAGACACACTGGATCCTTCTTGTCCTCTGATCAAGGTAGGTGTGTAGGGGGGTGGAAGGGTGTGGGGGTTTGTGGGGGTGGGAGGGTGGTGGGGGTGGGGTGGGGAAGGACCAAGCAATCCATGGAAGATGGGAGTGCAGTGAGGGGATGGGGAGTCGGGTGATGCCCTCGGACACCCTGTCCTCTGGCCTGCTCTGTGTGTGGGTGTGCACACTGAGGGGAGCTGTTTGTGGCTAAGTGCAGGGTAAACGTGTGTGCCCAAGTGGATGTGGCTGTGCAGGAGGGGGCAGAAGTTCAGGGCTGCAGTGATAGGCCAGGTGGGAAAGGGTTGGAGGCCAGGACAGTCTTGGATACAAATATATGGCTGGAGAGGGATGAGGGGCTGGGGGCACCATTGTGAGGGGTGATGCCTTCCCTGTCCGGTGCCCTGCCTTCCCCGTCCCTGCTGCAGACCTCAAGGACCTGGCTACATGATCACTCCCCTCCCCATGAGCCCTCTGGAACTGACTCCTCCCACCAGCCCTGGCCTTGTCCCCCAGCTGCAGGTCCCAGCCTGCTGTGTTAAAAGCAACCAAACCAACTTTTTTCTAGAGGGTGAGTTACTTGGAGTCCAGAGTAGCAGGGAGTGGCCCATCTACTAAGACCACAGCCAGAGTCCTGAGCTTCATCCTCGACACCTCTTTGTGCCCACTCCCTACCCTGGGCAGTCCCGCCACTTCTACCCCTGTGCAATGCAGCCTCCTCCAGCCCCAGCCCTAGCTCTGCCCCTTGCACAGCCCACGGAGCAGAGAGTTTCAACTATGTCCTCATGGGATCCTGGCTTCAATTCTGTTCCCATCTGATCCCTCTGTCACACTGCCCGAGTGGCCGTTCCCACCTACAGATCGGAATGGGTCACATTCCCTGGCCTAAACTTTGCTGTAGCCTGGCCTGGACCCCAGCTCACCTGCAGCCTTGGCTCTCCCCTCCCTGCTACATACAGCCTAGGAGCCCCATGTTGGATTTTCAGAAAGATGCCACACTTTCTCACCTTTGGGCCTTCTGTAGGAACAGCCCCAGCTCAGGTCTAGCCTCCCGCCTTTCTACCCCTAATGCTTAGCTTGGTGGAGCCCTGCCTACTTCCTTGCCTGGCATCCCTGGGCATGGCAGCCTCTTCAAGGGCGGGGACCATGGCTTGTTCACCAGATAAGCTCCTTCTGTGAACACTCACTGCCTCTCCATTTCCCATCCTCACCTTCTCCAGGGCTGGCTCTGTTTCTGACTCCAGCACTAGGCCAGCTCAGGGCTCTTTCTTGGTTCTGGGGCTCTAAGCCAAATTGGTCCTCTCTCATCCTGCCACCTGGACACCTGAGCTCCTATGTTGGCTGCTGTGGGTGGGAACCCACAGCCCTTTGGTTCTTTCTGGAAGAGAAAGGGAGAGACGTCTCCAGTAAGCACTGCCCTCCTCTGGAGTCCCTGAACATGTATGTGACCTCCATAGAGCTGTCCACAGAGACAGGGGCCACACTCAGGCCCAGGCAAAGGGAGACGTAAGCCCAGCCTGAGATGCCCCATGCTGGAGGCAGACTGCTCACTGGACGTGCCCACCCCACTGTGTGGTGGCTGGCCGGGGTGGGGTAGGTATGAGGTACAGATCAGTCTGCAGCAGGTAGGAGCCGTAGGAGGACAGGAGGAAGTTACATGCATCCTCCACTAAGGACTGGACAGTCCCCAGAACCAGGCCCCTTCAGACCCGGCATGCTCAGCTGCTGGTCAGGAAGGGGAGAGCTGAGACCTCCAGGCCTGAGCTCCTCACCCCTGCCTGGCCTCTTCTCTCTGTTGATTGCCTCAGGGAAAGACAAACGACCTGGATGGACCACAACTTTGCTCCTGCTCCTCCAGAGATGCAGTCGCATGGAGCTCCAGGCCCGGGAACCTCCTTCTCCCATAGCCATGTGCTGGGGCGCCCTATCCGCCCCTCGAGACTCCCTGGAGGAGGGTCCCCCCTCACCCCCGTCCTCAGGAAGACCATCCATCTGGATACCTTCCCCCAAAGCCATATCCCACAGACCTCCAGCCGGCTGGGCCTTGGAGCCAGGACCCGGAGTGTGCCCCCACAGGAGACGGGCATCGCTCTGGGGGCTTCCTTGAGCCCCCTGCCCACCAGCAGCCTTGTACCCAGGAAGCTCAGCTCCATCTCCTTGACTCTCCATCAGAACAGCCAGGCACGGTCCCTGGATCGCCCACTTTCTCACTGGGAAGAGTTGCCTACCCCAGGAAAGAAGGCTGCTCCCCATGAAGGAGGGAGGGTGTCCTCGCCAGGCTCGCCACCTGTGACCCTAGTGCCAGGGGGCAGGGTCCACTCTGAGGGCCCAGGGAACCCAGGTCTGACCAAATCCAACAGGATGCTTGCCACGGAGAAGCCCCTGGTGAGTTCCTACCTAGCCTTACCTTTCCAATCCCGGTTAGCCCAGAGTGCACCAGTCCTTGCAGAGCCAGGCTCGTTGGGCCAGGGGCACCTTGTCTCAGTGACTGACCACATGCCTACCAGAGCTTCTCCAGGAAAAGGCAAGCCCCGGGCCAGGGGGATCCCCAGACCCCGGGGGCGTCTCCAAAGGGCCAACACGACTGTGAATTTGACTGCTATGGACACAAGGACAGACGCAGCCAGACATTTAGCCACAATGGCCACCAACAGACCTAGCTTGGCTATCAATTTAGCCACACCAAACACATCCCAACTGGACACAGGCACAGAGTTCCCTGCCCTGGATATCAAGCTGGGCACAGCCAGAGACTTGTCTTCGGTAGGGACAGTCAAGTCAGGCAAAACCGTGAACTTGGCTACAGCAGGCACAATCAAGCCGGGCACAGCCATGAATCTGACTACAGTTGGGACAACCAAGCCAGGGATGGTCATGGATTTGATAGCCTCAGAACCAGACAAGCTGGGCAAAGCCATGGCTACAAGAAGCACAGCCAAACCAGATATGACCACAGAGGGTATAGCCATGGATTCAGCAACATCAGACCCAGTCAAGCCGGACACAATCACAGCTACAGTGGGCACCAGTAGGTTGGAAACAGCCATGGCTTTGGCCAGAGTGAACAGAGCCAAGCTGGGCACGGCTAAGAATTCTCTTGCTTTGGACACAAGCAGGATGGGCACAGCTGTGGGTTCAGTTGTGCCAGTAACCCCAGACCCAGCCACTGGGAAGACCACACTGGGCAGTGTTAATAACCTAACCATATCAGACGTTGCTACATGCCTGCTAATGCCAAGCAGATCCACAGACCTAGCCCTGGACAACACTAATGCTGCCATGGACAGAGCCACAGAGCCTGCCTCACTGGACCTGGCCACAGAATACAAAGGTAAATGCAGAAACTTGGTTGGGGATGGACTAGGCTGCCGGGAGGGGGAGGTGTGTGAGCTTGGAGATGGATCATGCTTGCATGGGTTGAGAAACGGAGGAAGGACTCTAAGGTCAGGGTTGAATGGGTTGGGAGAAAAGGAAATGGGGGTTGTAGGGCCAGACATAGGGACTGTACCCTGAGCTGGGTTCTAACCTGCCAGTCTGAGGTCAGGCTGAGGGAAACTATCAGAAAGAAGGTTTTGGCCAGGTGTGGTGGCTCATACCTGTAATCCCAGCACTCTGGGAGGCTGAGATGGGAGGATTGCTTGAGTGCAGGAGTTCAAGACCAGCCTGAGAAAAATGGTGAGACTGTCTCTACAAAAAATAAAAAATAAGGGGCTGGGCACGGTGGCTCACGCCTGTAATCCCAGCACTTTGGGATCTGCCCAAGGCGGGCAGATCACAAGGTCAGGAGATCGAGACCATCCTGGCTAACACGGTGAAACCCCGTCTCTACTAAAAGTACAAAAAAAAAAAAAAAAAAAATTAGCCGGACGTGGTGGCGGGTGCCTGTAGTTCCAGCTACTTGGGAGGCTGAGGCAGGAGAATGGCGTGAACCCGGGAGGTGGAGCTTGCAATGAGCCGAGATCATGCCACTGCACTCCAGCCTGGGCGACAGAGCGAGACTCCGTCTCAAAAAAATAAAAAAATAAAAAATAAGGGTTGGGCACAGTGGCGCACACCTGTAATCCCAACATTTTGGGAGGCCAAGGCGGGTGGATCACTTGCGGTCAGGAGTTCAAGACTAGCCTGGCCAACATGGTGATACCCCGTCTCTACTAAAAATACAAAAGTTAGCCAGGTGTGGTGGCACATGCCTGTAGTCCCAGCTACTTGGGAGGCTGAGGCACGAGAAGCACTTGAACCTGGGAGGCAGAGGCTGCAGTGAGCCAAGATCGTGCCACTGCACTCCAGCCTGGTGACAGAGTAAGACTCTGTCTCAAAAAATAAAATAAGATAAAATAAAATAAAAAATTAGCAGGGCATGGTGGCATGCATCTGTGGTCCCAGCTACTGGGGAGGCTGAGGTGGGAGAATTGCTTGAGCCCAGGAGGTCGAGGCTGCAGTGAACCATGATTGTGCGACAGAGCAAGACCCTGTCTCAAAAAAAAAAAAAAAGAAAAGAAAAAGAAAGGTTAACAGGGGTAACTTGTGGAGGAGCAATTATGGTGAGTCCTCCTTTCAGCATCTCCCGGGATTGTTTGTTTCCTGAAGACCTGGAATAATCAGGTGATCAATAGGTGTGTCCACCTTTAAAAGCAGTGGCTCACACCTGTAATCCCAGCACTCTGGGAGGCTAAGGCGGGTGGATCACGAGGTGAGTTGTTCAAGACTAGCCTGGCCAGGCCAGGCGTGGTGGCTCACACCTATAATCCCAGAACTTTGGGAGGCCGAGACAGGTGGATCACGAGGTCAGGAGATCAAGACCATCCTGGCTAACAAGGTGAAACCCCGTCTCTACTAAAAATACAAACATTAGCCGGGTGTGGTGGTGGGTGCCTGTAGTCCCAGCTACTTGGGAGGCTGAGGCAGGAGAATGGCGTGAACCCAGGAGGCAGAGCTTGCAGTGAGCCGAGATTGCGCCACTGCAATCCAGCCTGGGTGACAGAGTGAGACTCCGTCTCAAAAAAAAAAAAAAAGAAAAAAAACTAGCCTGGCCAACATGATGAAACCCCGTCTCTACTAAAAAATACAAAAAATTAGCCAGGTGTGTAGGCTGAGACAGAGAATTGCTTGAACCCGGGAGGCGGAGGTTGCAGTGAGCTGAGATTGCGTCACTGCACTCCAGCCTGAGCGACAGAGCGAGACTCTGTCTCAAAAAGAAAAAAAAAAAAAAAAAAAAAAAAAAAAGCAAGCCTCCTACCTCCTACGTGAAAATACTGACTAGCGCTTTAGGAAGTTGTGATTTGTCTAATAGGTAGTCTCTGCAGCCTCCTCTGGATGTGAGATAATGACCTCACTCGAGACTTTCCAAATCCATTTACGCTCAGCCTTTTAGGAAGGTATCTGTTGCTTAAAAGTTGTCTTACCTGAATGTCTCTTTCTTGGTCCCCCACCCCCAGCCCTTTAATCCTGAAAGGTAAGTTGGAGCCTTGTATATATGGAAGTCCTACACAGAACTCTAAAATAGGGCAACACAAGGGCTGGACATTCATTTGGTCTTAGAAAGCCTGTGACATGCCTAAAGTCACACCAAAGCTGGCTGGTGGCAGTAAGCTGATTGGAATCCAGATTGTTAAAATCTCTACTTTGGGCAGCCTCATTCCCAACATTTCAAGGGCTCAGAGTTTTTGGGTCTGGAAAGGTGCCTAGAAGGCATCCAGTCTAATGCCTTAATTGAGTCGTTAGATTGTCAGACCCCTTTCCCTCCACCCCACACACTCAGTCTGGGCACCTCACCTAAATTCTGGTCTTCACTTCTCCCTACGAGATCTCAGCTCTCCCTCCATCTGCAGCCCAGCCCTGTCTCCTGAAGTGCAGATGTGGGCAGCCAGCAGCCTGCTAGGCTTATCTACCCGGATGTCTCCCGGGCATGTCCAGAGGTAGCCCTTTTCTTCTTGAACTGACTCCTGCCTCCCTGATCTCACTCTCTCAGCTGTAGGCATTGCCTACCTTTTATTAGGTGCCTAGAAACCCGGGTATCCTCTTCTTCCTCATCTCTCTCTTGCCATCTCATCCAGTCTACTTCCCACCTTGTTGGTTTACCTCCTCAGTACTCAACTATCTGGCTGGCTGTCCCCTCCTCTCCATCCTTCTGCCCCTGTGAGGCCACCTCCCACCCACCAGCTTGTTCCCTGTCCACACACAACTGCTGCAACGACTCCCACATTGAATGGCAGCACTTTCGGCTTAATATTCGTCAGTGACTCACCATTACCTTCCATTAAAATCCAGCTTCCAAGGCTGCGTGCGGACTTCTCCAGCCTCTTATTTAGCTCTACACACCTGTCTGGAATTTTCTCTGCTTCAGCGACACCAAGGACTCTGGGCTGTCCACCAGCACCACGCAGCTCTCACCTCTGGAGACCCTCACCTCTGCTGTCCTCTCTTTGCAGAATACCTCTCCCTTTCCATTCTTCCCTTCCACTCCCATTTGCCTTTCCATCTGGCCCTCATCTCCTCCAAGAAGTCTTCCAAGCCCCCTCTCCCCAGGGTGCCCACCTGCCTGCACCCTCAGTTCCCTGTGTGCACCCCGGCCCCTGCATTAGGACATTCCATCTTCCTGTCTCCTCCACTAGACCCAGAACCTTCGAGGGGAGGGATGGTTGTCCTCACCCCTGTGAGGCAATATGCTGTCCATTAGTATCCACTGAATGCGTGAAATTTTTTTCTAATGGGCAAACTGAGGCTCAGAGAAGTTCCTGTCTGGCTCAAGGTTATTGGTTCATCATTCTGGAGCAGGGCCTGGAACCCGGGCCCCTGACTCGGCTCTACAGGCACCCGCGCAACACCCCAGCCCCCGCGTGACTCACGCGCGCTCACGGCCGCCCGCAGCTGCCACTGGTCCCCTGCGCCCCTCCGCCCGTCCCCGCCGCAGCCCAGTGGGTAAGGGGCGGGGAGCAGGTCCAGCGGGGAGAGACGGGACTGGGATGCAGGCACCTTTCCGGGCCTGGCACCTGGAGCCCGCGGGGGCGGCTCCTGGACCGCCCGCAGCGTGGACCCGGGACCAGTTCCCGCTTGCGGGCGCGGGCGCCGCGGGAAGGGGAGGGGCCCTCGGCGGGGCCGACGGGCGCGCGGTCACGTGGTGCGGGTGGCAGCGGCGGCGGCTGGCGGCGGCGGCAACGGTGCGCGCGGACAGGGGCGGCGCGGCGCCGAGCGAGCCGAGGCGAGGTCCCGGGGAGGGCGCGGCGGCGCGGGGCGCAGGGGCGGCGCGGCGGGGCCGCGGGCCGGGCGGGTGGGAGGAGAGCGCGAAGGGGCGAGGCCCGTTTGCAGGGGCCGCTCGGCCCGGGGAAGCCCGCGCCCCGCTCAGCCTTGCAGCCCCGCGCCCGGAGCATCTCCCTGGAGGAACGGAGACAAAGGAGGATTCATGTCCAAAGGTAGGGCGGCCGGCCAGGCCACCGGCACCCGCCAGGAGGAGGCTGCGGCCCCGGCCAGCGCGGCTGGAGGCGCTCCTGGGGGAGGGTTTCCGCGCCGAGGAGCCCACGCGCGGTGACAGATGCGCGGACACACGCACACACGGTGGCACCCACCTCGAGAGAGACAATCTTGGAGAGAGGCAGACATAGGACGCGGGGAGACGCAGGGACCCACGGACACGCAAGCAGGGACCCAGATGCGCACAGAAAGCCCCATGCTGGAGTACACCAAGACACGCACACACACACACACCACGCACAGGTGCCAGGGCCATGCCAGCCGGATGAGAGACCTGTGCACTGATACATACGTCCCCTCCCCCGCAACCCCTACAGGCACACGCTGAGACAGGCACCAGCTGGTGGTCTCCAAGGGAACCCGTTGGCCTCCAGAGGACTGGGATGGGGGAACGGGTGTCCCAGGGCCCTCTGCTCCTGCGAATGGGAAAGGACCGAGAGAGCTTTCGTGATTCCTTTTCCCAGAGCCTAGGGCTGGAACTGGGGTGGGCTGGAATTGCCTTTGTGGGGGGCGGTGGGGTCCTGAAGGCTGCGGGGGGCTGAGGAAGATCCATCTTCAGGGTGGAAGGAAGAGGGGGGGCCTGCACTAAGCAGGTGCTATTTTGGAAAAGTACCCTCCCCCAGCTGCTACCTTCCTAACACAGGGGTGGGGTCCCTGGGCCAGACAAAGCCAAAGCCATTCATTTGCCTGTAAAAGGAAGTGCCAGGGTCTTTGCTTAGCATGGGAATGGAGGGGCTGTTTCTTGGCTGCAACCGAGTCAGGTGGATGGTGCCTCTCCCTGGAGCACTGATGGGGCAGGTAGCTTCTGGCAGAGGGTGCTGCAGGCAGATCCCCCTTCTCCAGGGGCCCTAGGAGAGCCAGGAGCTGAGGGGGGCCCCAAGGACCATCTAGCCAGGATGGCAGACTTGAGCTGCACCCTGCTGTGACCCGAGCTCTTCCCCACCCTTGGGGAGCCCCCCTCCAATCCTTGTTGCAGAGGAAGGAGGAGGTCTCAACAATTCTACTCCCTTGACTGTGGCGGAGACAACAGCCATTGCTCACTGGGGGGTCAGCTGCTCTGCATGGGGAGAAGCATCTGAGGGAAGAGAAAGGTGATGTGTCTGATACCTGCCTCACTCTGAAGTTCTCATTCACTCATCATTCATTCATTCACTTATTGAGGAGTGCCTGTGGTATGCTGGGTAGACTGGGGCACAGAGATCAATAAGACACGGCCCCGCCCTAAAGAAGGGTGAGAACTAGTACGTATTTGTGCCAGATAATTTACATTCTTCATTCTGTATAACCTTCATAGAAACCCAGCAAGGTAGGTTCTATCCCCAGTTGTCTGAGCAGAAAATGAGGCTCATAAGGGTCACCCAGCCAGGATTCAAGCCTGGGTCACCTGCCCATCTGACGTTGACATGGTGGGACCAGGGGAGTTGTAGGGACAGAGGATGGAACTACAGAATCCAGCTCCAGAGCAGCATTGGTTCTGTGCCCCAGAGGTCTTTGTTTATTTGTCAGGCACCCTTACCAGACAGGGGGCCCTCAAGGGCAACAACCTTGTCTGGGGTACATAAGTGTCCTTGGAATTTCGCCTAGGGCTTGGCTGGTGTAGACCCCCATTTGACAGCATATGAAATGGCCTAGATGGGATGGAATGAATGAATGAGTGAATGTGATGAGTACCAGAAAATGTGCAGTGGGCACAGAAGAGGGCCATCCACATCAGAAGGCAAAGCAGAGGCTTTCCTGGGAGTAGCAGTGGGGCTGAATGCTGGAGGAGGAGGAGGAGGAGGAGGAGGAGGAGGAGGAGGGAGCCAGGGGTTGGAGGGGGAACAGGATCTTCCAGCAAAGCTTGTGGCACAGTGACCTGCACACATTTACTGTACTTGGGGCTGGTGGGTGGCTTGTTAGCATGTGACTGGCATGTCACTGGCATGTGGTGGGGAGGCTGACTTGCCAGCAGGCGCTGTGTACAGTGCACACAGTGGGTGCTCATATGTGCTTGTTGGAGGAATGAAAGTGAGATCTACCAGGTCCTGGTCCTGTAGTGGGCCTGTGGTAGCCCCTAGATGCTGCTTGGGGATCTGGTAGGACCCTCTCTCCATCAGGGTCTATCTTTTGGGCGTGCTCTTTTAGGATGCTGCAGTTGACAGGCCAGGGCGGAGCAGGCCATGGTGAGAGCACACACTTTATAGGAATCTTTACACAACCTCTCATAAGTAAATACAAGGCATACTTTCCAAGTCTGTAAAATGGGGATAAGACCACCCCCCCAAACCATGTGGCTCTATCTTATAACACAGGTTGAGACCAAATGGGCTCAGCTGCAGAGGCATAAGGGGCAATGGAAAGGCCCAGCTTGTGTGAGCAGCTGGGCAGGAAAAATGGGGCATTGGTCCCAGTGCAGGTGTGCTGAGTGGGGCCTGTGAGCCACGTGCAAGAGTGGAGGAGCAGGGCCAGGCTGCTGAGAGTCAGCTGCTGCAGGGCTGGGCCAATCTTGCTGCCATGCGGAGCTGCCTGGCTGGGAACAGCTTCCTGGGAAGCAAGAGAGAGCCATGCCAGGCCCTGGGGAGGTCCTGAGGCTTTGGCAGATTTGGCTGTGCCTGGGAGTGACAGAAGAAAGAACAGTTTCCCATTGGGAGAGAGGGTCTTACCAGTACCGGTGGAAGGACCAGGTGGAGGGAGATGAGAGTAGGCTCCTGGCTGGGTTTAGGGGTGGGAAGGGAATACTTCTGTCCCCTCTCCCTCCCGCCCATCTGCTGCTCCATCAGGCCTCCCTGTAAGGTTGAGACTCTGCAGGGTGTTAGTCATGAAACATAGGATTCTAGAACGGCAGAGCTGGAAGGTGTCCTCAAGAGCACATGGAGTCCAACAACCATGCTTGTGTAACTGGCATCTGGGGACACCTTCCTTTAACCAATGCTTTCACATGTACTGTTTCATTTCCCCTACAGACCTGAAAGGGGCTGGGGCAAAAGGGTCTGGGACTGTAAGATATTGCTCAGTGCCTTTTTTTTTTTTTTTTTTTTTTTTTTGGAGACAGAGTTTGACTCTTTTGCTCAGGCTAGAGTGCAGTGGCACGATCTCGGCTCACTGCAACTCCGCCTTCCGATTTCAAGCAATTCTCCTGCCTCAGCCTCCTGAGTAGCTAGGATTACAGGCGCCTGCCACCATGCCTGGCTAATTTTTGTATTTTTAATAGAGACAGGGTTTCACTATGTTGATCAGGCTGGTCTCGAACTCCTGACCTCATGATCCGCCTGCCTTGGCCTCCCAAAGTGCTGGGATTACAGGCGTGAGCCACCGCGCCCGGCCATTGCTCAGTGCTTCTAAGCATCATGTCTCATGAAAGCTCACCACAGTCTTAGTGATGATCTTTCCATTTTATAGAGAGGGATGCAGGCTCATAGTGGGGAGGTGGTCTTCCCAAGTCCACAAAGCTGAGAAGTAGCAGAGCCAGGCTCTTTCCACTTCACCCCATACCCCAATTGTATGGATGGGGAAATGGAGGTGCTCTATTCTGGAACCTGCCCTGGTGGACAGTGGCCTGATAAGGAAACCCACAGATTTCTCCTGTGTATGAACACACCCATGATCCACTAAACCCAGGGGGACGTTTGCCCTTCCTCACTAGGGAGGGGCTGGTTCCTCAGCCTTCTCTTTCATCTGCTATCCACCACTCCAAGAGCACACTGTGTCGTCTTAGGCAAGTGACTGCCCTCATCTGGTTCTCATCCCCTCCCCACTGGTTCCACAGATTCAGAACAATGGCTGGGAGGGTGTCTGGGCTCCTTCAGGTACAGACACCCCTACTCTGCAGTGGTGCTCATGGTACAGAGGGGACATCGAGGCTGGGAGACGAGAGTGATAGCCACTCTCCAGAGAAGGGTAGCCCTGTTTGCTTCTAAAAGATGAAGCAGCCGAGGTCAGTGACAGTTAATAGATGTTAGTGCAGGATCCTAAAAAGTCTTTGCCCTTTATTCGGGGAGGGAGGCATGACTCAGGTCTGAACAACCCCAGACATTTCTTAGACCAGTGGTTCTCAGCCAGGGCAATGGTGCTTCCCAGGGGACATTTGGTACCATCTAGAGACATTTTGGGTTGTCACAGCCTGGGGGGCTACTAAGATCAGGGGTGCCACTAATCATCCTGTAATGCATGTGACAGCCTCCCACAATAATTACTCAAATGTCATTAGTGCCAAGATGGAGCAGCCCCTGGGTTAGATGCACAGATGTGGGCTTCAGAGCAGTGAGGTGCATTTGAAAGTGCCCAGCAACCAGAGAACCTGGCACTGGCCCAGATTTTACCTCTGACCTGCTCTGTGTTCTTAGTTGAGTTCTTTCTCCTCCAGGCCTCAGTCTCTTTGTCTATGAAATGAGGGACCTGGACTGGATGATACTAAGATCCCTTCCAGGCCCAACTTTGTATGATTCTGTAGCAAGAGAAAAATACCATGGTTTCCATGTGACCTCTGCCGTCCTCCTGATCACCCCTCCGACCCCTCCCACCTTGGCTCTGCAGGGCTCCCAGAGACCAGGACGGACGCAGCCATGTCAGAGCTGGTGCCTGAGCCCAGGCCTAAGCCAGCGGTGCCCATGAAGCCCATGAGCATCAACTCCAACCTGCTGGGCTACATCGGCATCGACACCATCATCGAGCAGATGCGCAAGAAGACCATGAAGACCGGTTTCGACTTCAACATCATGGTCGTTGGTACGGAAGGCTGTGGGGCTGCTGCAGGCCTGGTGGCGGGCAGCACCAAGGATCCCATTTCTTTCCCCCAAATGGCTGTGACCCTGGCTCTTCTAAGATGAGCTGTTTGTAGAAGGGAGAATTTCACCATGCTGATCACAAAGGCCTGACCCCTGTCTCCCCTTAAGACTAGCTGACCCAGGGGTAGGAGCTTCAGGTGGATGCCAGCCCAGCCCCCCATCACCAGCTCGGTGTACACAGGCAGCCCCTTCACCACTCTGATCCTGCTTTTGGGTTTGTGACATGAGAGAATCAGCAATGTTCTTCCTTACCTCTGAGAGCTGGTGGAAGGATTGGATGAAGGGTGGTCTTATTTCTACTCTTTTGTAGTGCTTTAAAACTTTGAGAGAAGGCCGGGTGTGGTGGCTCACACCTGTAATCCCAGCACTTTGGGAGGCTGAGGTGGGCAGATCACCTGAGGTCGGGAGTTTGAGACCAGCCTGACCAACATGGAGAAACCCCATCTCTGCTAAAAATACAAAATCAGCCAGGTGTGATGGCGCATGCCTGTAATCGCAGCTACTCGGGAGGCTGAAGCAGGAGAATCGCTCGAACCCGGGAGGTGGAGGTTGCAGTGAGCTGAGATCACGCCATTGCACTCCAGCCTGGGCAACAAGAGTGAAACTCCGCCTCAAAACAAAAAACAAAAAACAAAAAAGATTTTGAGAGAATTTCCAGGGATTTGGTCACTGAGTAGCATCACTGCGTCACAGAATGTAAGAGTAGGAAGGGGCTGGGCATGGTGGCTCACGCCTGTAATCCCAGCACTTTGGGAGGCCGAGGTGGGTGGATCACCTGAGGACAGGAGTTTGAGACTAGCCTGACCAACATGGTGAAACCCTGTCTCTATTAAAAATACAAAAAAATTAGCTGGGCATGATGGCACATGCTTGTAATCCCAGCTACTCTGGAGGCTGAGGCAGGAGAATCACTTGAACCTGGGAGGTGGAGGTTGCAGTGAGCTGAGACTGCACCATTGGACCCCAGCCTGGGCAACAAGAGTGAAACTCCATCTCAAAAAAAAAAGAAGAAAAAAAAAAGAGTAGGAAGGGACCTTTGCCCCGTCTCAGTGAGATGTCCAGTCAGTGCTGAAAAAGGAATCTGGCGTCATCCTTCTGTCCTCTTCCTCCTTCATCCCCCAATCAGTCATCCAGTCCTGTCCATTTTACCTCATACGTATCTCTTACGTCTGCCCACTTCTCTCCTCTCTCTTGCTGCCACCCTATACTGACTTTCTCTCACCTGGCTTGCCGTGGCCACCTGACTCTGTGCTGTCAAAGTGCTGACCTGCAGCAAGATAAGCTCAGCTGGGGCTTGGGCCAGAGTATAAATCATCTGGAAAATCTTGCTATAAAAAACCTCCACTGAGCTAAACAGTGTGCTCAGTGACAAGGTAGATTTCTCTCCTGAGGCAGACTTCTTATCTCAAGAACCAGTAGCAAATGGGTCAGGGACCCTGGTAGCTGGGCCCCTATGGGCCACACTCGGAGTGGCACCAACCCTCCTAGCTCTCTGTCTCCTTTCCTCTCCAATCCCTTGTCCACCAGTGACCAAATAATCTTCCCACCTTGCAAAACTTATCGAGTCACCCAACTTACTTAAAACTCTGTAACAAACTCTCCTTTAACCTCAGGGTAAGTTTAAACTCGTAGACTGTCCTGATTGTACCTCTTCAGCTCATCTCTGACCACTTCCCATCTAGCATTGTACTCCTCACTCAGAAGAGGCAGTGCTCGTCCACATGCCATGCTCTCTCCTACCCTAGAGCTTTTGCATCTGCTGTTCCCTCTGGCTAGAACTCATGACTCTTTTGAAATCAACCTTCCGGTTTCAGCTTAGTTGCATTTCTCCAGAAGTCTTCCTTAGTCCCAGAGAGACTGGGTTGGATTCCCTTGGCAATGCTGTTTCAATACCCTGTGGCTATTCTCTTTCACAGTGGTTATTGCAACATACTATAATTGTCTGCTTATGTTTTGGTCACTCTCACACTAAGCAGCTCCTTGAGGGTAAGGATCATGTTTTGTTCACGATAGTACCTCCAAATTTTAGGACAACACTTGGCACCTAAGAATAATTAATGAATGAATGCTCTTAGAAAACATCTCAGAGCAAGCATGGCAAATCCAACACCCGTGAGCCACTTCTCTCCCCAGTGGTGTGCATGGCAGACTGCTAGTCAGTCATGGCACGTGTTCAGTGCTGAGCCCAGATGTAGCCTTTTTAACATAATGGTCTAGGTGACTACTACCAGATAATCAGCAGGAATGAGAAATGCACCTTATTTACCATCCCTGGTCTTGTCCAATTTCCTCTCTCCTCACCATCCTATCAGTAAAGAAACCAAGGCATGACTAATCCAAAGGCATTCAGGGAAAACAATGCAGGTGGGTCTGGAACTCTAGGCCCTTGTCCCCCAGCATGGTTCTTTTTCTAATATAATCACAAGAATTCACCAGCCCAGTATTTCTTAGATCTTATTGTCCATAGGACTCTTCTGGAAGCCCAGTTAAAATGCAGATTCAGAATCATAGGTCTGGGGTGGGGCCTGAGATTCTGCATTTCCTACTAGTGTCCGGGCAATGCCGAGGCTGCTTGTCAATTGCAAGTCTTTCTTGTGGGATTCTTGTACGTGTTGAAGTTTGAGAAGCTCTGCTCAGACCAGTGGGTTTGTTTCTTTTGAGACAGAGTCTCGCTGTGTTGCCCAGGCTGGAGTACAGTTGCGTGATCCCGGCTCACTACAGCCTCTGCCTCCTGGGTTCAAACGATCCGCAGCCTCCTGAGTAGCTAGGACTACAGGCATGTGCCACCATGCCCGGCTAATTTTTGTATTTTTAGTGGAGACAGGGTTTCACCATGTTGGCCAGGCTGGTCTCGAACTCCTGGCCTCAAGTGATCTGCCCGCCTTGGCCTTCCAAAGTGCTGGGATTACAGGCATGAGCCACTGCACCTGGCCTGACCAGTGGTTTTCCCTTTTTTTTTTTTTTTTTTTTTTTTTGAGACGGAGTCTCGCTCTGTCGCCCAGGCTGGAGCGCAGTGGCGCGATCTCAGCTCACTGCAAGCTCTGCCTCCCAGGTTCATGCCATTCTCCTGCCTCAGCCTCCTGAGTAGCTGGGACTACAGGCGCCTGCCACCACGCCGGGCTAATTTTTTGTATTTTTTTTAGAAGAGACGGTGTTTCACCGTGTTAGCCAGGATGGACTCGATCTCCTCCTGACCTCATGATCCGCCTGTCTCGGCCTCCCAAAGTGCTGGGATTACAGGTGTGAGCCACGGCAAACGGCCTGACCAGTGGTTTTCAAATGTTCTTTAGCTGTGAAACTTTTCCTTGAAATGAAATCTTCTGCAGATATGCATCTGGAAAACAGGTGAAAGGGAGCCATAGCGAAGGAAGTGGATGCAGGGGCCCTGCCTGCCCAGCCTCCTCCTCCTCTCACAGTGCCCTCTCTGGCATGTATCTTCACAGGACACTAAGGCTTCTGGGAGCACAATCTAAAAACCACTACACTAGAAGAAAGAGTGGATATAGAGCCAAGATGTTATTAGGGTTTGAGTTCCTGGTCTTGCATGTATTAGTTATGTTGCTCTGCACATATTTTGTTAGAAGAGGATTCATCTCTCTAGGACCATCTCAACTGAGGATAAAGATAGTTCTGCTTCAGGATCCACAGGGCTGATATAAAAATGAATTTGGCTAACAAATGTGAATGTACAATATGCACTGTGAGGCAGTATCAGGATGCAAAGTCATTCTATTTTTCCTTTTAGTATCATTAAAAAGTGAAAACCTAAGCAAAAAATGGAATCACGAGAAAACAGAAAACCACGACACTAGACATATGCAGAGGTTGTCCCTTTTCCCAGTGGTCCTGTGGCTCTGGGAAGGAGAGAATATGGAATCCAAGTGATGTTTCCCCAAGGCCCTCTGCAGTAAGCAGGAAGCCATTCCCACCTGCCTGCAATCCCCACTCAGCCTGGCCATCCCCCAGTGAGTGGTCAGACAAGGTGTGGCCTGGATCATGGCTCTAGAATTCTGTAAGCTTATGGAGAAATATTAGGCTCAGGAGGTGGATGCAGAGTCTCCCTACCTCCTCCTCCTGCTTTGCTGTAGGCCAGAGTGGACTGGGCAAATCAACGCTGGTCAACACGCTCTTCAAATCCCAAGTGAGCCGCAAGGCCTCCAGCTGGAACCGGGAGGAGAAGATCCCCAAGACAGTGGAGATCAAAGCTATCGGGCATGGTGAGGACCAGGCAGGGACCCCTATGGGCTTTGTTCAGTGAGTGCCTCTGCTGGAAAGGGGAAAGAATGGGGCTTATTGAAGAATAAGATCAATAAAAGGCAACCTTAAGACAAAACAGACGTGAGCACTTCACTCTGAAGCAAACTCCTTAGACTGCAGGTTCAGGGAAGAGAGAGCAGGGAGCTCGAATGGAAGGAGGTGAGATTTGAGGTGGATGATAAAGTACAGGATTTAGACAGGTAGAAAGAGGTAAGGAGTGGGCAGGTACGGTGGCTCATGCCTGTAATCCCAGCACTTCGGGAGGCCAAAGTGGGAGGATCGCTTGAGTCATGGAGTTCGAGACCATCTTGGTCAACACAGTGAAACCCTGTCTCTTTTTTTGTTTGTTTGTTGTTTGTTTTTTTGAGACGGAGTCTTGCTTTGTCGCCCAGGCTGGAGTGCAGTGGTGCGATCTCGGCTCACTGCAAGCTCCACCTCCCGGGTTCACGCCATTCTCCTGCCTCAGCCTCCTGAGTAGCTGGGACTACAGGCACCCGCCACCACGCCCGGCTAATTTTTTTTGTATTTTTAGTAGAGATGGGGTTTCACTGTGTTAGCCAGGATGGTCTTGATCTCCTGAGCTCGTGATCCGCCTGCCTTGGCCTCCCAAACTGCTGGGATAACAGGCGTGAGCAACCACGCCCGGCCCGAAACCCTGTCTCTTAAAAAAAAAATTAGCTGGGTATGATGGTGCATATCTGTAGTCCTAGCTATTGGGGAGGCTGAGGCGACAGCATCACTTGAGCTGGGGAGTTCGAGGCTACAGTGAGCTGTGATTGCACCACTGCACTCTAGCCTGGGTGACAGAGTGAGACCCTGTCTCTTAAAAAAAATAAAAGAAGAAGAAAAAGAAATGAGTAGAGAGGGTATTCCAGATTCCAGGTACAGGGAACAGCATAAGCCATGATATCGAGATGGAAAAGACCCTAAATTTGACTTTTCCAATAACTGATCCTGAAGACAAGGCCTGGGTCTCCCTGGCTAGTAGGCTGCCAGGTACCTGGGGTCAGCTGTAGGACTGACCTCTCTGGTACATTTTCTTTTCACCCCCAGTGATAGAGGAAGGCGGTGTCAAAATGAAGCTGACCGTCATCGACACCCCAGGCTTTGGAGACCAAATCAACAATGAAAACTGGTATCTGTCTGCCTCTGAGATCTTTGCCCTAAAGACTCTGCTGGGAAGATACTTACTATGGTGCAGATTCATTCACGTTGAGAACCATCTGCACCCTCCATGCTCTGTAGTTCCCGACAGCCCAGGCCAGGGCCCCTGGGGAGCTCCACCCCTGCTAACTAACCATCCAGGAAAGCCATCGGTGCGGGGGCTGAGGGGGAATCTGGCAGCAGGTATCCTAGGCCCACCAACCAGGGAATGACATGAATGTAAGGAGATTGCTACCAGATCATGCCTAAGCTGAGCCCTAGGTCTTGTTCTTCTGATGCATCTATCTACTTTCCCTCCCCATCAGCTGGGAGCCCATTGAGAAGTACATCAATGAGCAGTACGAGAAGTTCCTGAAGGAGGAGGTCAACATCGCCAGGAAGAAACGCATCCCTGACACTCGTGTCCACTGCTGCCTTTACTTCATCTCTCCCACAGGACACTCGTATGTACCAACCCTACCCCTATTGTCAGGCCTGGTCTGGTTTGTATCATCTGTGCCCATCTGGATTGGATGATCCATACGTTGACTCAGCTAGGCCTCCCTAGCTGAGTCCTAGCCCTTCCAGCCAGATGGGTTGGTACATAGTCATGGCCCATGACCTTGGGATTCCCTAGACTTTCCACGAGGAAGTTTGACTTTCTTGCTAGGAGGTTAAAGCTGTCCAACATCAGCCACCAATATCTGCCCACTGGTGTCCCAGCAGCATGGCACAACTGTATCAGCAAAGAGGACTTGGTGAATGTGAGCAGAGGGCACTTCATTTATTCACCAAATACCTGCTTTGGAAAATAATTGGAGTCGGAGGGAGCAGCAAGAAGGGTGAAATAGGGCAGTGCAGGGCTCCTGGATTGGGGCTGGTGTTTGGAGGGTAGGGACCCAGTTGTAGGCATTTAGAAGGTACCAGCCTGGAGTGAGGCATTGTGTGTTCAGAGATGAAGGCCAACCATTGTCATGAAGTACTATCTGATAGGCAGAATAAGACACACACAAGCATGTTGGGAACTCTGATTGTGAGTGACAGGTGGGCCCCATGAAGGAAGTGCTGGGAACAGGCAGAGGATGGAGATCCTAGGGGGCAGGCCAGAAACCTTCCTGCAGAGACCGGGGGAGGGGGGTCCCATAACATTACTAAGCCCAGCTGCTGGGCCAGAGTTAAGCTCTTCAGAGGATGGCACAAGCAAGGTAAGCCCCAAATTTTCTAGGAACCAGGCAGTGATGGTAGGGGGAGAAGAGAGATGAAACAAGACCCCTGGGCTAGACCCAGGAACTCAACAGAAGGCTGGTTTTATCCCTCCCTAGGCTTCGACCCCCTGGTCAGAATGAACCATCAGACAGACTGACTTAGTGAGTCCCTGAGATTGCAAAATAGAGCCAAGTTGGGGTCTCAGAGCCTGAGGTAGGATGGGGGCATAGACTGTCAGATTGTGGGAAGGGCAAGGCCTCCAGTTTGGCCCTGCAGGACTAACTCTGGGGGCTAGGAGGAGACCTGTCAAGAAGTAGTCTGATAGGCAGAACAAGATGTACACACTAGGCACGGTGGCTCTCGCCTATAATCCCAGCACTTTGGGAAGCCGAGGCAGGAAGATTGCTTGAGTCCAGGAGTTCAAGACCAGCGTGGGCAACATGGCAAGACATTGTCTCTACACAAAATTTAAAAATTAGCCAGACATGGTAGTGCGCAACTGTGGTCCCAGCTCCTCTGGAGGCTGAGGTGGGAGGATTGCTTGAGCCCTGGAGGTCAAGGCTGCAGTGAGCCAATGACCATATCACTGCACTCCAGCCTGGGTGACAAAGTGAGACCCTGTCTCAAAAAAAAAAAAAAAAAAAAAGACACACACAGTGTTGTTTTTTTTTGGTTGTTGTTGTTTGTTTTTTGTTTTTGAGACAGACAAAAAAGGAAAAAAGACACACACGCACAAGGACATATGAGTAGAGACAGTAGTCCACAGATGCTCCCAGGAGAAAGAAATCCCTGAGTCAGAAAAGATGTCCTGAAGTGGTGGTTTGAGGGGGGCTTAAAGAGAGGCAGAATCTGCAAGGGGACTGAAAAAGAAAAAGGCAGGTGTTGAGGCTGCTCTACAGACGGCAAGGCAGTGGGGCTGTGTCGGAGACGAGAGGTAGCAGCCTCTTGGCCTCAGCCAGATGCCCAGCCCAGTCCTCTTCTCCTGTGGGTGTCCTGGAGTGGTGGTGGTGGCTGAGTTGGGGAGGGCAAGGTGGCTCTGATGATTCTGCCTTTTCTGTGCCCCAGCTTGCGACCTCTGGATCTTGAGTTCATGAAACACCTCAGCAAGGTTGTGAACATCATCCCTGTCATTGCTAAGGCTGACACCATGACCCTGGAGGAGAAGTCTGAATTCAAGCAAAGGGTGAGAAGGCCCCCTGTCTTCTTTTCCTGTTCCCATCCCCTCCTTTCTCTCCGCTGGGTTCAGGCCATCTCCTAGCCCTCATCATTCTGCCTTCACCCCCACCCTCAACCCTCCCCCAATTCTCCACCCCAGCCCCCTTCTTAACCATTCAAGAGGCTGAGGTTGGTGGTATCTGGGGACTATGATGAAGAAAAGATGGCACAGCTCTGGGCTGCCTTCTTCCCACCCTCCAAACCTACCTGTGAAGACCACTGAATACATGTATCACTGTGTACATAAGAAATCACTCCTCCAACGTTAGCCTAATTGAAGGGCTAGACTAATTAGTGAGTCAACTGGCCACTAGTCCTCACTGGCATCTTCTCTTTGTTTTTTTTTTGGAGTCTCTCTCTGTCGCCCAGGCTGGAGTGCAGTGGCGTGATCTCGGCTCACTGCAAGCTCCGCCTTACGGGTTCACGCCATTCTCCTGCCTCAGCCTCCTGAGTAGCTAGGACTACAGGCACCCACCACCACGCCTGGCTAATTTTGTTTTTCTCTTTTTAGTAGAGATGGGGTTTCACTGTGTTAGCCAGGATGGTCTCGGCTAGTCTTGATCTCCTGACCTCGTGATCTGCCCGCCTCGGCCTCCCAAAGTGCTGGGATTACAGGCGTGAGCCACCGTGCCCAGCCCTCACTGGCATGTTCTATAAGCTCAGCCCTGTGCTGGATGTACAGGGTTGGGGAGGGGCGATTTGAGAGAAATGAAAAGACAATTGCTGCCTTTAAGAAATTTACAATCCAGTTGGGCGTGGTGGCTCATGCCTGTAATCCCAGCACTTTGGGAGGCAGAGGCGGGTGAATCACGAAGTCAGGAGATCAAGACCATCCTGGCTAACACGGTGAAACCCCGTCTCTACTAAAAATACAAAAAAATTAGCCGGGTGTGGTGGCGGGTGCCTGTAGTCCCAGCTACTCAGGAGGCTGAGGCAGGAGAATGGCATGAACCCGAGAGGCGGCGCTTGCAGTGAGCTGAGATCGTGCTACTGTACTCCAGCCTGGGCGACAAAGTGACACTCTATCTCAAAAAAAAAAAAAAAAAAAAAAAGAAACTTACAATTGGCTGGGGGCGGTGGCTCACGCCTGTAATCCCAGCACTTTGGGAGGCCAAGGCGGGTGGATCACCTAAGGTCAGGAGTTCGAGACCAGCCTGGCCAACATGGTGAAACCCCATTTCTACTAAAAATACAAAAATTAGCTGGGCGTGGTGGCATATGCCTGTAAGCCCAGCTACTAGGGAGGCTGAGGCAGGAGAATCACTGGAACCCGGGAGGTGGAGGTTGTAGTGAGCCAAGATCGCACCACGGTACTCCAGCCTGGGCAACAGAGCAAGACTCGGTCTCAAACAAACAAACAAACAACAAACAAACAAAACTTATAATCAAATAGAAAATGAAGAGGTCCTGGATGGTTTCCTGGAGAAGGCAAGACTTAAGTCGACCTTGAAAGAGGGCAAACAGTCTCGGAGTAGGGGGAGCCTCACCTTTCTTCCTTCCAATCAGGAATATAACATGCAGGGGTCTGAGCACTCCCCAGTGGGCTCACCTGTGCTGCTTGTGTAAATCCCAGTCTCGCGGACCCTGAGATGAGCAAGCTGGTTGCGAGGCGCCTGGGACCTGAAGTTGCACCTCCTGGCCTCTTCCTCCTCTCAGGCTAGGTTGTAATTGTATAGCTGGGGCTTGCATTTATTCACCATCTTCCTGCTGCTCAGGGTCTCAGAGTTCAGAGATGACTGTGGATTATCCAAGGCTGGATTTGGCTCTCTGACCTCAGCTCACGCACACAGGTGCACACACCCCTCTTTTCCATTACCCTGACACTTGACTACCTTGTTTCTTCTCCTCGCCTCTAGGTTCGCAAGGAGCTTGAAGTAAATGGCATTGAATTCTACCCCCAGAAGGAATTTGATGAGGATTTGGAGGATAAGACGGAGAATGACAAAATCAGGGTGGGTGCCTGGGGCACTGCTCCTCCACTGATGCCCCCTTGCGACCTCTGGGATGTGTATTGTGCACGTCCTCTGTCTGTCTTTTCCCTTTCTGTACTCCCCCCAACCTTGCCTGACCCAGACCAGAAGTGACATAGGGGGATGGGGAGGACTATGGCCCTGGACTGTGAACCCACAGAAGGGCTCCCTGTACCCAGAAAGCCTTCTATCCCCAGACCACATAAAAGCCTCCTTTTCCCCAACAAGGTCTGGCAAAAACAGTATTTGGGGTGATGGGAGGGGCAGCAGGCAGGAAGAGCATCAGGCTGGGGTCCAGGAGGATCTATGCTGTGGTCAGACCCTGCCTTAGTTTCCCCTCTATGAAATGCAGGGGTTAGACTGAGTGGCTTATAGGCTTCCCCCGCTAGAATAACTTAAAAAAATTAAATTGGCTGGGCGTGGTGACTCATGCCTGTATCCCAGCACTTTGGGAGGCCTAGGTGGGAGAATCGCTTGAGCCCAGGAGTTCACGACCAGCCTGGGCAACATGGCAAAAACTTATCTCTACAAAACCTGCAAAAATTAGCCAGGCATGGTGGCGCATGCCTGTAATCCCAGCTACTCGGGAGGCTGAGGCAGGAGAATTGCTTGAAGCCAGGAGGTGGAGGTTGCAGTGAGTTGAAATTGTGCCATTGCACTCCAGCCTGGGCAACAAGAGCGAACTCTGTCTCAAAAAAGAAAGTACAAAGCGCTCTGCAGCTGAAGGAGAGCTGATTCCTGAGGTTAACCAGTGAGGCAGTGGTACAATTGGGACTAGACCCAGGACTCTTCAATCTCAGTCGGGTGCTCTTTTCAAGAGACTGAGCCTTGCCCTTGCCATCAGTAGTATCTCTGAATGAGCATCAGAAGTGTGTGGTTCAAGGCTAGAGGACCATATGCCATCCTGCTCCTGAAAGTCCAGGTTGTTGGAGGATGACGGTGCACATGTGTCTGGTTTGTGTTTCTGCCCCGTGCAGCAGGAGAGCATGCCTTTTGCTGTGGTGGGAAGTGACAAGGAGTACCAAGTGAATGGCAAGAGGGTCCTCGGCCGAAAAACTCCATGGGGGATCATCGAAGGTAATTCACTGCATCTTCTGGAAGAACTGGTTGCTGATCAGTTATCCAGTCACCATTTATTAAGCATCTATAGGTCAAGGCACTGTCTCAGGACATATGAAATGAATGCCAGCCAGATTCTGCCCATAAGGAGCTTACAGTCTCATTGAGAAGACGATGCTCACAGGCAGGAGTAACAAGAGACTGATTTAGCACCTGACTGGGTGGCACTGACTTAGCGCATCAAAGGAGTTCAGAACATGGAGAGATTAGTAAGGCCTGGAAAAACTGGAGAAAGGTTTTCATAGGAAGGGGGATGTGATCTGACAAACTGCCGGAGGGTTGTTCAGGTGTTGCCATTTCCATTTTATTATGAATGGATGTGACCCTGGGCGGGTCTTGATGATTCTGAAAGTGGTCAAAGAATCACTTTAATGATTTCATTCAATATGATAACCCTATGAAGGGAGGAGAGCGGGTGCTCCTGTTCTCAGAGTATAAGCTACCAAAGCACCGGAAGCTCAGGTTAAAAGCCTTGTCCAAAGCACATAACTTGTTAGTGGTGAAACTTGATTTCAGACTCAGATTTTTTTTTTTTTTGAGACGGAGTCTCACTCTGTCATCCAGGCTGGAGTGCAGTGGCGCAATCTCAGCTCACTGCAACCTCTGCCTCCCAGGTTCAAGTAATTCTTCTGCCTTAGTCTCCCAAGTATCTGGGACTACAGGTGCGGACCCCGATTTTTGTATTTTTTATTTATCCCCAAAAATTAGCCCAGCTAATTTTTGTATTTTTCGTAGAGATGGAGTTTTGTCATGTTGGTCAGGCTGGTCTTGAACTCCTGACCTCAGGTGATCCATTTGCCTTGGCCTCCCAAAGTGCTGGGATTACAGATGTGAACCACCATGCCTGGTGATTTTATTTTTATTTTTAATAGAGGTGGGGGTCTCACTGTGTTACCCAGGCTGATCTCAAACTCCTGGGCTCCAGTAATCCTCCTACCTTGGCCTCCCAAAGTGCTGGGATTACAGGCATGAGCCACAGCGCCTGGCCCCATGTCTTAATCCTCATTCTGTTCCAACAGTGCTTGGCCAATGATTTGCAAATACTAGGTATTCAATATATGTTGAATTGGATTTGTCATGTAGTGCATGACCTTTTTAAAATGGCTCAATTATTATTTTCTCTGTGTTACTTCCAACCGGATTATAAGCTTCTGAAGAATGGGAAGTGTATCTTAGGCCTTGGCCAGTTTCTCAGACTTGGTATTAGTTTTCTCTTCTATAAAATGGTAAAAATTATAGTCCCTCTTGGCTATTATGCCACAGCGTCTAGAAGGATGTCGTGCCCATTGTAGCTGCTTAATATTTGTTCAATGAATCAAATCCAGTACACCCAAGTGAGCAAATCTCTGGAAGGGTTACAAAAAATGACCTGTCCCATAGCTTTCTCCTAAATGCCTCCGTGACCCAAACAGAAGCTCACCTCCTGGGTGTTGCTGTATTAATGAACTGACTACCTGTTTTGCTTTGTTTTGTTTTGTTCATAGTGGAAAACCTCAACCACTGTGAGTTTGCCCTGCTTCGAGACTTTGTCATCAGGTAAGATGTCTCCCCTCCAGCTGTCCAGACAGCAGGTTGAATTATTTGGGGTCAGGGTCTATCTGTTCAGATTCACCTCCTGCATCTCCAGGTCTCTCTGACAGAGCTTTCTGCCCCAGTTCCAGCTCCTGTTGCAAAATGGAAGGTGCTGTAGAAGAATCCTTAGCTCCTGGGAGTGGTTCCCATTCACTGGGTCCAGTCCCTCGAAGTGATGTGTGTCACCGCCTCCTCTTCCTGCCCCTAATTGCAGCCCTCTTCTTCTCACCCTGTGTCCTCTAGGACCCACCTCCAGGACCTCAAGGAAGTGACACACAACATCCACTATGAGACTTACAGGGCCAAGCGGCTCAATGACAATGGAGGCCTCCCTCCGGTGAGCGTGGACACAGAGGAAAGCCACGACAGTAACCCATGACGACCACTTCTCTGTGTCATCACACATACCCACTTCACACACACACATCCCAAATACCACCACCAACCACCTTCTTCCTCTCAACTCTGTCCCACAGGCCTGTCTGGTATTTGTGGAGCATCTTGTCTGTGTGTGTGTGTGTGTGTGTGTGTGTGTGTGTGTGTGTGACAGAGAGAGAGCGAGAGAGCCTGTGTGTGTGCATGCAGGGGTGAGGTATTTTCACTGCCCTCCCTGGAGAGTCCCTTGTAAGTTTGGCTCCTCCATGCCTGTCCATTATCTGTCTCCTTTCCTTGTGTCCCAAAACAAAGCTGTTTGCCTCACTCAGGAGATCTGGGGGAGGTTTCATTTAAAAGTGCTGGGAGCAGGTGAGCCACAGGCAACTCTTCTCTCGGAACCTGCACACAAACTGGGGCTATAGAGATTCTCCAAGGACAGATGGCAGTGGAGCTAGACCTGAGTAGGGGGCAGGGAGTTCAGGACAACCCTCCTGTAAGTTGGGGGTGGTCTGGGGGTAAGGCTGGGGCTTCCTGGGAAAAGGAAGGCCATGAGAAGGCAGAGAAGTAGGCCAGAGCTGGGTTCTTGCAGAAAGCATCAGTGCCTACAAATGGAGCTCCACCCTTCAGTCTGTGTCGTGTTCAGTGTCACAAAGCTACCACCTGTCACCAGAGCCTACTGCTGCTCTCCACTCAACTGGCCTCTGCTGCCAGGCCACTGCCTGTCTCTGCTTCCGACTTTGTCTTCTTTCTCCCTTTCCCTCCTTCCCTCATACATTGCTTTCTCTCCCTCTCCTGCGTGTCTCTGACATCTCTCACTTCCTTTTAGATGAATCTACTTTAGGTTCATTCCTATATTTAGCATTTATGCCCAGTCTACTTCCAGAAATGACTTTAGACTGCCTTTCACATAAAATCACAAAACTACAGGACAGTACAAACAGATTGCCAGAGAAATCTGGGTCAAAGAAAGGAATAGGAAAGAAAGTTTCTGTAGTCAAGCACCTGAACAGGCCCTGAGCTCACAGGCAGCCAATGTAAAGAGGGAAACACAGTGAGTTATGCAGTTCCCAGTGTCCAGTTAAAGGAAGCACACATGCTAGTCATGTGAGACAACCTTTTATTGGGACATCAGGTTCTAGAACTAATTCTAAAGAAGTATCAGAAACAATATACATAATTTGTCTTTCTTAGTAATTTGGCTTCAAAGACAAATTTTTGACCACACCTCCGTTTTCTCCGTCAGACTTCTCTCCCTTCTAAGCAGGCTTCTCTGTTGCTCCATTTGCTTCATACATACTTGACCTCTCTTTTCTATTCCCCATCACTTTTGTGCTGAAGCTAATCATATTTATGTCTGTCTTTCTCTACTTTTCCCTAATTCCCTCTCCTCCTGACTCCTGTAGACATTCCCAATGATACCCACCGTCATACATTTAGGCTTTTCTTGCCTTTCCCTGAAGCCCTGTATTTATTAATGCATATATTTCCCCTGCTTGTTGTACAAGTAAGTTACTCTTTTCCTTTAATCTGTAAGATTCATGAAATTCGGGGCCAGGGAAACAGTTTAGCCTTAGGGAAGGGAAAACACTAAGTGAAACTGTTTACAATAACCTCATACAACCTTCTGTCCCATCTCCTGGTTCAGCCTAGGTGTTTCACTGGTCCTCTATGAATCCCAGCACTTATAATCCCAGTCTTTTATCACTCAGGTGCTAGGAAAAAAAACATAGACTCAAGACCCAAGATTCAATGGACCAGGAGAAAGGGGGGCGGTGATCAGGTCACCAGTGACCCCAACCTATGCTCTCGGTCTTTCCTGGAGGCTGCCAACCCAGCCCTCATCCTCCCTTGCTCACAAAGTTACAGGGTAGGCACCTGTCAGGACAGAACAGCAGCAGCGCTACAGCCCAGAGGTTATACATTTCAACAGAACAGGGATCCTTGGCTACTGTAGAAGCAGTCCTGTATGGAGACCTTGGACCAGCAGGGGAAGATCTATGGGCATGGGAGGTGGGCGTTGGAAAGGCTGAGTAGGAATGGTGCCTGGCACCCCTGAACCATGATCTGAGCCTCCCTGGAGAAGGTATTTTATATGTCTGCTGCCAGCTGCTGGTCTCCACACCCTCAACCGTTCTCAACCCCCCTGCAGGGAGAAGGCCTCCTGGGCACTGTCCTTCCACCTGTGCCAGCCACCCCCTGCCCCACTGCTGAATGAAGGCCATTTCAAGCGCTGCTTCTCACTCCATTCCTCTCAGCTGTTATTGCTGCAGGGCCAAGCCCTTTTTAGTGCTGTGCTCGTCCAGCTCACCACCACAGCCCCTCTCAGCCCTCAGTAGGTGGGAGGGGCCAGCTGCCTCTTTAGGCCAGTTGCATCCTCCATTTATCCAAACCACTCCTCTCCTCCCAGTGGAGTGGGGTTCTGCCAGTACAGCCCTACTGCATCATCTGCGTCAGCCGGTCCTAGCCCATCTGCAGGGTGAAAGAACTCATCAAGAGCTCCTTCTGCCCTTGTAAGCCCATCCCAGCTACTTGTAACCATCTCTAAGGGCAATGGCATTGCTCCCTACCCATTCATCTGCATGAGCTACTCTTGGCTTCCTTAAAGGGTCAAGAAAGCAATTTTTCTGCTTACTAGATTCATTGAGATCAGCTGTGTGAGCCCCAAAGTGGGACAAGGGTGTCTCCTTCATTACTTAAAGATATTCATGAGGGTGGGTCACTACAGATGTTGGGGAGCAAGGGCTAGGATCACTTTTTAAAAAATCACCACTTGTGGCTGTCCCAGAGTGCGGTTGTACATCCTCCCCACCTCATAACGCAGCCACTGAGGAAGAGTGGTTTTCCTAAGAAGACATTGCTGGAGTTGACTTTCTTCTGTCCAAACAAACAAACAAAAACTAAACACACACACAAACCCCCAGAAACCCACAATATGTACACGCTAAGGAAAAACTAGCACCCTTCTGTCCACTCAGCAATAAGAGGGATCTCTTCCCACCTACCCTACCTACTCCTACCCCCAACCCCCTTCCCCATTAATGTGAGTAATGAATTAGCCTGACCACAGGTGGTCACTGTAGGCTAATGGAAAATACCCAAGGGAGGGCAAAGCCCCCCATCAGATGCATGAATGTTTGCGAATGTTGACTGCCACTGCCCCACACACTGTGTCTTTATAGAATTCCCCTTTGCCCACCCTCTTCCTGTCTCCACCTGGACACAACTTGCTCAAAGGCTGGTGACTTGTGGGCCATTCATCTACAACCAAGTCCTGATGGAGCAAGAGGCCCACGCCTAGGGGATGCAAGAACAACCCGTTTCTTAAATGTTACCAGTCCCAGCCAATCTTACGGTGACATTACAGTTAAATTTCCCAATTGAAAACAAGCAAACAGACACTCAAACTGGTCCTGTAATTGTTGCTAGACTTTATGTGTTGTACAACTAAACATTGCTGTTTGAACAGTAACTGCCTGGCCTGTCTTATTTGTGCTCCTTGACCAAATCAGCCATTATGTCATCTCACCCATGTGTGGAGGGTGAGACTCTCTTGGTAAGAAATAGCCACAGATATTAGAGATGAAAACACTTTGTGAGGTCAGTTCATCTTCAGTTGGCGTCAGGTCGGGCCTCAGTCATTATTTTCTAGTGTTTCATAACCAAAGTGAGTAATGGATGGGAGGTTGAGGTGGGAAGATGGCTTGAGCATGGGAGGTTGGAGGTGCAGTGAGCTGAGATCATTCCTGACAGGACCAACCCAAGTCCATACCTAAAGGCAGGGGGCTAAGGGGGCAGGTGAGGTCGGGAGGCCACTCACCTATCACTCACCCCTTCGCGCTCGAGCCAATTCTCAGGGCCCGCCTCTTTCTCCCCTTTCTCGGCGGGGGCCTCTACCCTGACTCCGCCCCGCTCCCCGGGCACTGCCCCACCACGTGACCCGGTCTCGCTCCTCCTCCTCCTCCTCCTTACGTCATAATCTCCGCCCTCCCCTTCAGAACCGCGCCCCACAGCTCGGCGCAGGTCCCGCCCCTTTCCATCTACGGGGCGGCAGGAGGCCCGAAGCAAGATGGCGGTGAATCAGAGCCACACCGAGAACCGCCGCGGAGCCCTCATCCCTAACGGTGAAAGGTGCCTGAGGGGAAGCACGGCGTGCTGTCGGAGGAGAGGAGACGAATGAGATAGACATGGCGGCTCGCAAACTCTCAGCGAGTCAGGGACTTTGCCGCCTTTTTTGGGCGCGGCGCTCTTAGCTCCGCCCCCGACCTTTGGGAGCGCGCGCCCCTCACTGGTGTTCCGGCATGTGGAGGTGGCGGAGGCCGGAACGCGTGGCCTCGCGCGTTTGAGGGGTGGGGGTGGGAATGCGCCTTTTCAAGGCGCGGGGCCCAGACGCATGTCTCCTCAGGGCGGGGCGGGGAGGGGGTGCGAGACGCGTGTGTCCTTCGAAGAGAGGCCGGAGCTGACCGGCGGTTGTGAGCAGCCGGGGGCCTTCGGTGGCAGCGTGGCTGCCCTTGGGTGCCTGCGACTTTGTTGGATGAGGACAGGTACTGGGTGTGTATCTCCTCCTACTTCCACGAACAAGGTGTCGCTCTTTGGTAAGAGGGATGAGGAGGTCGAGTGTGGATCATTCTGGAAAGATCTCAAACTGTTGTGGGGCTTCTCCTTGGACCTGGAAACTTTCTAAAGCCATGTTTCCTCCTTGCTCCAACCAGGGAGATGTCTGCTTTTAAAAACAAAATTGAAAAAATTGAGGCCAGGTGCAGTGGCTCATGCCTCTTATCCCAACAGTTTGGGAAGCTGAGGTGGCCCAGGAGTTTGAGACAAGACTGGGCAACATAGTGAGACCCCATCTCTACAAAAAGTAGAAAATTAGTGGGCCATGGTGGTGTGCACCCATAATCCCAGCTGCTTGGGAGGCGATGGTAAGAGGATTGCTTGAACCCAGGAGTTTGGGCTGCAGTGAGCTCAGATTGTACCACTGCACTCCAGCCTGGGTAACAGAGCCAGATCCTGTCTTAAAATAAAAGATGGGACTGAACAGATGCCTGGGCACAACAAAGCACTGTTGGTCGCAGGAAGCTGTGGGGCTTACACCAGTTGCTTTGCTCCTTGCGGTGCCTGCTGCTGGCCCCTGAGCTCTCTACTGGAGCAGACTCAGCCAGAGGGGTGCCCATCTCCACCTTCAAGCACACTTGTTCACTAAGGCCTGACTCCACTGCGCTCACCTCTTTACCCCACACGCCCCCTTTCCCGTTTCCTACACTCAAACTCAGTCTCCCCCGCTGTGCAGTTCTAAATTGCGCTCCTTTCTGGGCTCTGACTTGCCCTCAATTTCCTTTTCTCCCAACCAGCATTGAAACTCAAGCTGGATGATGTGCTTGGGGCCAGCACACTCAGGTCAGTTTGAATGTAGTTGTCAGGAAGATCGAAGTAGACGTTACCAAATGCTGATATCCAGGTCTTTCTTCTATCTTTCCTTCCTCCAGAAAGTTTTCTTGACAGATTTATATGGGCCTTAGAGGTTGTATGTTCTCACCTGCTTCCTACGTACCTCTGCTGCTTTGTTCCATTTTGTGGTAGATGATTGCTCACCACTCTGACAGTGGTGTCCCCGTGAGCACTTACTGAGAGCCATTTGAGCACTTGTCATTCCATGGTGTGAAGCCTTTCTTTTCTTTTCTTTTTTCTTTTCTTAAGATATTTTTATTTCTCCAAATTTGTTATTTATTAGGAGTGACTGAAATAAAAAACATAATTGAGTCCCATCATCATCATCATCATAGAAATGGCTTTAAGAGAAAACTGGTCAGATGACTATTATTGCTTCCCATTTCCAACCAGTGAATAGTTGCCACTGATAAATTGACAGCGAGGAGTCTGTCAAGAATGCTCAAGATAGCCGGGCGCGGTGGCCCACGCCTGTAATCCCAGCACTTTGGGAGGCCCAGGTGGGTGGATCACAAGATCGGGAGTTCAGGAGCAGCCTGGCCAATATGTTGAAACCCCATCTCTACTAAAAATACAAAAAAAAAAAAAACAGCCGGGAGTGGTGGCGGATGTCTGTAGTCCCAGCTACTCAGGAGGTTGAGGCAGGAGAATTGCTTGAACCCAAAAGGTGAATCACCCAAAAGGTGAACCAAAAGGTTGAGGCAGGAGAATTGCTCCACCAAAAGGTGGAGGTTGCAGTGAGCCGAGATTGTGCCACTGCACTCCACCCTGGGCAATAGAGGGAGACTCCGTCTCAAAAAAAAAGAATGCTCAAGATATGTCATATAATACAACATGCCTGTTCAAAGGGGGAAAAATCTTAGGAAATAACTTACATGTACTTCTTGGTTTCATCATACAAGACAAGCACAAAAGCACCACCCATGCCTCTGAGAACACTGGACCATGCACCCTTGAAAACAGCTTTGCTTCCTTCATCATGAGTAATCTTCCTCCAGCAGTCAAATGTGCCTGTGTACATGATGTCAGTTCCTTTGCATCCTGACTGCATCATCATGTAGCAGCAAATGGTGTTAAATGAATAGGAAGTCAACCCAGCAACGGCAGTGACAGTCTGTGCATCATCCAACTGATGACAATGTGAGTGTTCTTGGGATCCGGAAGCATTCCCTTTGCAGTGTCATAGTTACCGAAGTAGGCAGCAGGCAGCTCGGTAGATAATACCCTGCACAGACACGTTAAAGCCTTGGTACAGGCTCTTAATCCCGTCAGATTTGTAGATCTTAACTAGGCAGTCACCGAAACCTCGCAATTCCCTTTCAGCTCCAGCTTTGCCCACATCAGCTGCTACACGAGTATGGGCAAAATCAAGAGGGTACACAAAACACAAGGATGTGGCCCCAGTGGCACCGCCTGATGCCAGATTCCCTGCAAAGTAGCGCCAAAACTGGGATCTCTTGTCCACACCATCCAGGAAGATCTGCTTGTATTTATCTTTGAAGGTGAAGTTAAGAGCCTGGGTGGGGGAAGTATCTGATGACACTGGCCAGGTTACCGCACCAGGACAGGACTCCGTGCTCCTTGGGAATACAGACCATGCAGTCTCTAATGCCCTTGTATTGCTTATCTGCAGTGATCTGCTTGCTGGCATGCTGCACCTGTAGCAGCAGCTTGACCCGCTCGATGGGTGCTACCGCCATCTTGGAGATGGCTGCGGCCACTCCACCTGCCAGGGAGTCCTTGGCGAAGGACACAGCAGCCTCTGTGATGTCGAAAGAGGAGGCAGGCTGCTGTGGGATGGGACTGGTCCGAGAATCGGCTTTGACTCCGGGGCTGATTGTGAAGTCATTTCTAATTTGGTGTTTGGGTGTCTTCTCACTCGGGCTATGGGTGTCTCTCTACTTCACTGCTTGTGTGTTGGAGAAAGGGAAGGAAGCATGTTTTAAAAAACAAAACACAGAAACACTGATTTTTGTGGTCCTTTGAATTACCTTTATGGGATCCATTTTGTGCTCCTGAATACTTAATAGCATTTATCGAACACTATTTCAAGTACTGTTCTTAGTTCTAAGAGCTTTATACTGTAGTTAAAACCACTTTACCAGCCAGGCGTGGTGGCTCACGCCTGTAATCCCAGCACTTTGGGAGGCCAAGGCCAGTGGATTACATGAGATCAGGAGTTCAAGACCAGCCTGGCCAACATGGTGAAACCCCTGTCCCTACTAAAAATACAAAAATTAGCCAGGCATGGTGGTGCACGTCTGTAATCCCAGCGACTCAGGAGGCTGAGGCACGAGAATTGCTTGAGCCTGGGAGGCAGAGGGGAGGTTGTAGTGAGCTGAGATCATGACACTACACTCCAGCCTGGGTAACAGGGTGAGGCTCTGTCTCAAAACAAAACAAAGTAAAAAAACTCAGTCTATCTACAGTGAAGATCAGTACTGTTTTCCCTCATTTCACAGGTGGGAAAACAAAAAGAAGTCATTTGCTTAAAGCGCATGTGGGAGAGCTTGGATTTGGATTTGAACTTAGGTACTGTGCATAAACTCCTGTACTCCAGCTGTCCCTCTAGAAAGAAAAGGACTCTTTCTCTGTTTTCTTCTCACCAAAGAAGATCCTATTAGTACCCTAGCTTCCTGGATAGAAACTACTTTAAAGAACCAGAGATAGTGGTGCACATCTGTAGTCCCACCTATTCGAGAGGCTAAGGTGGGAGGATCACTTGAGGCCAGGAGTTCAAGACCACGCTGAGCAAAATAGTGGGACCTCATCTCACAGAATAAAATTTAAGAAAAGAAAAAAAAGAAACTATAGCCAGGCATGGTGGCACATGCCTGTAATCCCAGCTGCTTGGGAGACTGAGGCAGGAGAATCGCTTGAACCCAAGGAGGCAGAGGTTACAGTGAACAGAGATCACGCCATTGCACTCCAGCCTGGGCAACAAGAGTGAAACTCCATCTCAAAAAAAAAAAAAAAGTGCCAGCTTATGAGGTAATTACATTGGTTCTCTCCAGAGGGGTAACCTGCCAAGAAGAGATGCTATAGATGTTACTCTTATACTGTAAAACATTGTGAAATCAGATTGCTTAAAAATGATGTATTACAAAGTTATGGAAAAAAGCAGTTGTGACTATGGAAGCCCAAGGCTTATATCCTAGCTCTGTCTTACACTAAATGTGGGTACAGTGTTTCCACTTTTTGTAAAATGGGAGCTAATATCCTCCAACCTGTGTGCCTGACATGGTGATTAAAAGGATTAATCGAAACAACAGTTTGTAATTTATTCTGTCAGAGCAAACTGCTGATAAATAAAAGGGAGTAAGTTGACTAAAAATAAATTTTTTTTAAAAAAAGAAAAATCCGAATAAAGCAAGTTTGTACTTTGTATACAAATAAAAGATGTTATTAAAAAAAAGAAACTAAAAAAACTTGAGCAGGAGAAGATTGATTCTATGAGGAGTCTTCAAAAAGATCATGGAAAATATGGGTTGCGAAAAAACTATGCATGGATTCCAGATTATTTTTCCACCAAAATTAACTCATACTAACTTGTTATAACATGACTGAACAGGATTTAGTTTGAGGCACTAAGAAAGATAAGATATCAATTTGAAAAAGGGCTCCTATCAGAGCAACATAAATACTGCTTAAATTGAAGGAAGAACAAACATCAAATTTATGGTAAACCTTGGGTGGAAGAATGGTGAAACCATTGATGCTTTAGGAAAAGTTTATGGGGAAATGGCCCAAATAAATCAGCAGTTTACAAATGGATAATAAGAAGG
Organism: Homo sapiens; assembly: GCF_000001405.40. Taxonomy (NCBI): domain Eukaryota; kingdom Metazoa; phylum Chordata; class Mammalia; order Primates; family Hominidae; genus Homo; species Homo sapiens. The sequence continues at coordinate 42,003,983 of NC_000022.11, forward strand.
GACAAGAGGCCAGTCGCGATGGCTCACGCCTGCAGTCCCAGTACTTTGGGAGGCCGAGGCAGGTGGGTCACTTGAGGTCAGGAGTTTGAGACCAGCTGGCCAACGTGGTGAAACCCTGTCTCTACTAAGAATATGTAAAATTTGCCAGGCGTGGTGGCACATGCCTGTAATCCCAGCTATTTGGGAGGCTAAGGCAGGAGAATTGTGGGAACCCAGGAGGTGGAGGTTGCAGTGAGCTGAGATCACGTGACTGCACTCCAGCCTGGGCATCACAGCAAGACTCCATATCAAAATAAGTAAATAAATAAAATTTAAAAAGAAGGAACAAGGGCTGGGTGCAGTGGCTGATGCCTGTAATCCCAGAACTTTGGGAGGCTGAGGTCGGTGGATCACTTGAGTCCAGGAGTTTAAGACCAGCCTGGGCAACATAGTAAAACCCTATCTCTACTAAAAATACAAAAAATAGTTGGATGTGGTGGCATGTGCCTGTAGTCCTAGCTATTTGGGAGGCTGAGGTGGGAGAATCACTTGAACCTGGGAGGTGGAGGTTACAGTGAGCTGAGATTGTGCCACTGCACTCCAGCCTCCAGCCTGGGTGACAGAGTGAGACCCTGTCTCAAAAAAGAGAAGGGACAAGATGATGTTAAAGACGAAGCCTGGGCAGGGCACAGTGGCTCACGGTTGTAATCCCAGCACTTTGGGAGGCCAAAGTGGGTGTATTGCTTGAGGTCAGGAGTTCCAGACCAGCTTGGCCAACATGAGGAAACCCCATCTCTACTAAAAATACAAAAAATTAGCTGGGTGTGGTGGTGATACCTGTAATCCCAACTACTCGGGAGGCCGAAGCAGGAGAATCGCTTGAACCTGAGAGGCTGAGGTTGCAATGAGCCAAGATCACACCATTGCATTCCAGCCTGGTCAACAAGAGCAAAACTCTGTCTCAAAAAATAAATAGGCTGGGCATGGTGGCTCATGCCTGTCATCCCAGCACTTTGGGAGGCCAAGGTGGGCAGATCACAAAGTCAGGAGTTCGAGACCAGCCTGACCAACATGATGAAACCCCGTCTCTACTAAAAATAAAAAAATTAGCCAGGCGTGGTGGTGCGTGCCTGTAATCCCGGCTACTCAGGAGGCTGAGGCAGGAGAATCACTTGAACCCAGGAGGCGGAGGTTGCAATGAGCCAAGATCATGCCACTGCATTTCAGCCTGGGTGACAGAGTGTAAGACTCTGTCTGAAATAAATAAATAGGCCGGGCATGGTGGCTCACGCCTGTAATCCCAGCACTTTGGGAGGCTGAGGCAGGTGGATCACCTGAGGTCAGGAGTTTGAGACCAGCCTGGCCAAAATGATGAAACCCCATCTCTACTAAAAATACAAAAATTAGTTGGGGGTGGTGGTGGGTTCCTGTAATCCCAGCTACTTGGGAGGCTGAGGCAGGAGAATTGCTTGAACTCAGGAGGTGGAGGTTGCAGTGAGTGGAGATCTCGCTACTGCATTCCAGCCTGGGTGACACTCCTGAGTGAGACTCTGTCTCAAAAATAAATAAATAAATAGATGAAGCCTGTGGTGGCAGACCATCCACATTAATTTGTGAGGAAAAAATTCATCTTGTTCATGCCCTAATTGAAGAGAATTCATGATTGACAGCAGAAACAATAACCAATACAGTACACATATCATTTGGTTCAGTTTACAGAATTAAAGTTGAGCAAACTTTCCATTCAATGGGAGCCAAAAGTGTAGTGCCCAGATCAGCTGCAGGCAAGAGCAGAACTTGCAGTGGAAAATTTAAATATGTGGGATCAAGATCCTGAAGCATTTCTTCAAAGAATTGTAACAGGAAATGAAACATGGCTTTACCAGTATGATCCTGAAGATAAAGCACAATCAAAACGGTGGCTACAAAGATGTGGAAGTGGTCCACTCAAAGCAAAAGTGAACAGACAGGTCAAGAGCAAATGTCATGGCAACAGTTTTTTGAGATGCTCAAGGCATTTTCTTTATTGACTTTCTGGAAGGTCAAAGAATGGTAACATCTGCTTTGTTTTAAGAAAATTAGGCAAAGCTTTAGCAGAAAAACACCCAAGAAAGCTTTACTAGAGAGTTCTTCTCCACCATGACAATGCTCCTGTTCATCGTTCTCATCAAACAAAGGCAATTTTGCAAGGGTTTTGATGGGAAATCATTAGGCATTCATGGATCATTAGGCTCCTTCTAATTTATTTTGTTTCCCAATCTTTTTTTTTTTTTTTTCGAGACGGAGTCTCGCTCTGTCACCCAGGCTGGAGTGCAGTGGCACGATCTCCGCTCACTGCAAGCTCTGCCTCCCGGGTTCACGCCATTCTCCTGCCTCAGCCTCCCAAGTAGCTGGGACTGCAGGCACCCGCCACCACACTCGGCTAATTTTTTGTATTTTTAGTAGAGACTAAACCCACTGATGGGGTTTCACTGTGTTAGCCAGGATGGTCTCGATCGCCTGACCTCGTGATCCGCCCACCTCAGCCTCCCAAAGTGCTGGCATTACAGGCGTGAGCCACCGCTCCCAGCCGGCTTTGTTTCCTAATCTTAAAAATCCTGATTGGGCACCCATTTTTCTTCTGTTAAAAATGTAAAAAAGACTGCCTTGGCATGATTACATTTCCAGGACCCTCAGTTCTTTAGGGATGGACTAAATGGCTTGTGTCATAGCTTACTAAAGTGTCTTGAACTTGTTGGAACTTATGTTGAGAAATAAGGTTTATGTTTTTATCTTTTAATTCCATGAACTGTTCGGAGTTCCCATTATATTTTGACTCCTCTTGCCTATTCACAATACACAGTTGAGAAATTGATCACAGCTTGCTGTGTTTTGTAGAGATTTTTTCTGACCCCAGCTGAGAAGTCATGAACATATGGGACAGACTCTACTGTAAAATGGGAATCATTGAGTTGTTTTATTTTATGCATTGTTAAAACGTGTGCTGGAAACCTGTCATTATAGAAAAATCAGAAGAAAAAATCTGTTATCCCAAATTTTTACCAGTAATGTTTGCATTTTGGTATATGTCCTTCTGTACTTTTCCACATGGAAATAAACAGTTTTTTTCTCCAACTGCTTTATAACTTATTTTCCTCATTTGCCAGTATATTGGGAATGTTTTCTAGTGTATCTACATCATTATTTTCAATGGCTGGTATTCCAGTGTGCATAAATCTTTACTCAACCCCTAATCTGGAATAGTCTGGGTTTTTGTTTTGTTTTTTGTTTGTTTGTGGTTTTTTTGGTCATTACTATAAACATTCCTGCAATGAACATTTTTGAAAACATAATTTTGCCTACCTGTCAAAATGTTTCTTTGGGATAGGGGAATTGTGAGGTCAGAGGATTAGACTTTTAAAAAGAGATTAAAAATATTTATTGAAAATATAAAAATCATTGTTCAAAATATTAAAGTATACATGACTTTACATTAAAATACACTTATTGCAGAATTGCCCTACAGAATTATATCAATTTACATTCCTCTCAGTACTCTGAGTGCCCACTTCACCATACTTTTCCCAACAATTCTGTTCCCATTAAACAATTCCCTCTATCCCTCTCCCCATGACACCTAGTAACAACCATTCTACTTTCTGTTTCTATGAATTTGACTACTTCAGATACCTCATGTAAGTGTAATGACAATATTTGTCTTTTTGTGGCTGGTTTATTTAACTTAGCGTAACATCCTCAAGGTTCGTCCATGTTACAGCATGTGACAGGATTTCCTTCTTTTAAGGTTGAAAAATATTCCATTGTATGTATGTGCCACATTTTGTTTATCCATTCATGCACTGATGGACATTTAGGTTGCTTCCACCTCCTGGTTATTGTGAATAGTGCTGCTATCAACATAAGTATTCAAATATCTATTTGAGACACTGCTGGCAATTCTTTTGGATGTATACCCAGAAGCAGGATTGCTAGCTTGTACGGTAGTTCTATTTTTAATTTTTTTTGAGGAGCCTCCGGACTGTTTTCCATAGCAGCTACTCATTTTACATTTCTAGCAACAGTGCACAAGAGTTCCGGTTTCTCCACATCCTCACCAACACTTGTTTTTCTTCTCTTCTCTTCTCCTCTTCCTTTCCTTTCCTTTCCTTTCCTTTCCTTTGCTTTCCTTTCCTTTCCTTTCCTTTCCTTTCCTTTCCTTTCCTTTCCTTTCTCCCTCCCTTCCCTCTCCCTCCCCCTCCCCCTCTCCTCCCCTCCCTTCCCTTTTTTTGACAGAGTCTCACTCTGTCACTCAGGCTGTAGTGTAGCAGCAGGATCTTGGCTCATTGCAGCCTTAGCTTCCGGGGTTCAAGTGATTCACATGCCCTCAGCCTCCTGAGTAGCCAGGATTACAAGCATATGCCACTACACCCAGTTTTTTGTATTTTTAGTAGAGACGGGGTTTCGCTGTGTTGGCCAGGCTGGTCTCAAACTCTTAGCATCAAGTGATCCACTCACCTTGGCCTCCCAAAGTGCTGGGATTACAGGCATGAGCCACCATGCCTGGACCTGTTGGTTTTTTAAATATTAACCATCCTAATGGGTATAAAGTGATGTCTCATTGTGGTTTTGATTTGTATTTCTCTGATGATTAGTAATGACAATCTTTTTATATGCTCATTGGCCATTTGTGTATTATTGCTCTTGTTGCCCAGGCTGGAGTGCAATGGTGCGATCTCAGCTCACTGCAACCTCTGCCTCCCAGGTTCAAGTGATTCTCCTGCCTCAGCCTCCTGAGTAGCTGGGATTACAGGTGCCCACCACCACACCTGGCTAATTTTTTTTATTATTTTTTTTCTAAGATGGAGTCTCGCTCTGTTGCCCAGGCTGGAGTGCAGTGGCACGATCTTGGCTGACTGCAAGCTCCGCCTCCCAGGTTCACACCATTCTCCTGCCTCAGCCTCCTGAGTAGCTGGGACTACAGGTGTCCACCACCACGCCCGGCTAATTTTTTCTATTTTTTAGTAGAGACGGGGTTTCACCGTGTTAGCCAGGATGGTCTCGATCTCCTGATCTTGTGATCCACCCGCCTCAGCCTCCCAAAGTGCTGGGATTACAGGCGTGAGCCACTGGGCCTGGCCAATTTTTTTGTATTTTTAGTAGAGACAGGGTTTCACCATGTTGGGCTGGCTGGTCTTGAACTACTGACCTCAGTTGATCCACCCACCTTGGCCTTGTGCTGGGATTACAGGGAGCTCTTTACATACTCTAGATATTAAGCCCTTATCATAAATACAATTTGAAATATTTTCTCCCATTCCATAGGTTGCTGTTTCATTCTGGTGATTGTGTCCTTTGATACACAATTTTTAAGTTTGATATAGTCCAATTTATTTATTTGTTCTTTTGTTGCCGGTGCTTTTGTTTTTTTATCCAAGAAGTCATTGACAAGTCCAATGTCACGAAGATTTTCAGTATGTTTTTTTCTAGGAGTTTTATAGTTTTGGGTCTTATGTTTAAGTCTTTAATCCATTTTGAGTTAATTTTTGCATACTATGTAAGATAAAGGTATGACTTCATTCTTTTGCATGTGGATATCCAGTTTTCTAAAAGGACATCATTTGTTAAATAGATTGTCTTTTCCTCACTGAGTCATCTTAGTACCTTTGTTGAAGATTATTTGATCAATTCTCACATATATGTGAAGATTTGTTTCTATTCTAGTCCATTGGTTTGTTTATCTTTAATGCCAGTATCATGCTGTTTTGGTTACTGTAGCTTTGTAATATACTTTGAAATCAGGAAGTGTGAATCCTCTTTGTTCTTCTTTTTAAAAATTATTTGGCTTTTTGGGGTCCCTTGAGATTCTATATGAATTTTATGATGTCGCTTTCTGTTTGTGCAAAAAGTGTTGTTGAGATTTGGTAGGGATTGTGTTGAATCTCTGAATCACTTGAGTAGCCTGGACGTCTTAGCCTTATTAAGTTTTCAAATCCATGAACATGGGATATCTTTCCATTTATTTATGTCTTCAATATTTTTCACTAATGTTTTATAGTTTTCAGTGTACAAACCTTTCACCTCCTTGGTGAGGTTTATTCCTAAGTATTTTATTCTTTTTGATGCTATTGTAAATGGAATTATTTCCTTAATCTCCTTTTTGGATCATTCATAATTAGTGTATAGAAATGCAACTATATTTGTGGGTTGATTTTATATGCTGCTACTTTACTGAATTCACTTATTTTGACAGCTTTTTGGTGGACTCTTTAAGTTTATTTACATATAAGATCACGCCATCTGTGAACGGAGTTAATTTTACTTCTTCCTTCCAAATTTGAATACCATTTATTTATTTATTTTATTTTTTGCCTAATTGCTCTGGCTAGGACTTCCAATACTATGTCGAATAGAAGTGGTGAAAGCAGGCATCCTTGCCTTGTTTCTAATCTTAGAGGGGAAGCTTTCAGTCTTTTGCCATTCAGTATGCTGTTAGCTGCAGGCTTTTCATATATGGCTTTTATTATGTTGAGGTAGCTTCCTTCTACTTTTAGTTTGTTGAGTGTTTTTATCATGAAAATATATTGAACCTTTTCTTTTCTTTTTTTTCTTTTTTTTTGAGACGGAGTCTCGCTCTGTTGCCCAGGCTGGAGTGCAGTGGCGCAATCTCGGCTCACTGCCAGCTCTGCCTCCAAGGTTCACGCCATTCTCCTGCCTCAGCCTCCTGAGTAGCTGGGACTACAGGCGCCCACCACCACACCCGGCTAATTTTTTGTATTTTTAGTAGAGATGGGGTTTCACCGTGTTAGCCAGGATGATCTCGATCTCCTGACCTCGTGATCCGCCCGCCTTGGCCTCCCAAAGAGCTGGGATTACAGGCGTGAGCCACCACGCCTGGCCAAAAATATACTGAATCTTTTCATATGCTTTTTCTGCATCGATTGTGATGATCGCATGGTTTTTTCCCTTCATTTTGTTCATATGGTGTGTTACATTGATTCATTTTCCTATGCTGAACCATCCTTGCATTCTAGGAGTAAACCCCATTTGGTCATAGTGTATAGTCCTTTTAATGTGCTGCTGAATTTGGTTTGCTAGTATTTTGTTGAGGATTTTTTACATCAATATTCATCAGAGATACTGACCTGCAATTTTATTTTATTGTAGTTTCTTTGTCTGGCTTCGGTATCAGGGTAATGCTGGCCTCATAAAGTAAGCCTAGAAGTGTTTCTTCCTCTTTAATTTTGGGGAAGAGTTTCAGAAAGATTAGTTAATTCTTTAAACGTTTTGTATAATAGAATTTGTTGAGAGGTTTTTTTTTCTCTTTTTGAGACAGGTTCTCACTCTGTCACCCTGTCTGGAGTGCAGTGATGTGACATGATCACAGCTTACTGCTGCCTCAATCTCCGAGGCTCAAGTGATCCTCCCACCTCAGCCTCCCGAGTAGCTGGGACTACAGATGTGTGCCACCACACCCAACTTTTTTTTTATATATTTTGTAGAGATGAGGTTTTCAAGTTGCCTAGGCTGGTCGGAAACTCCTGGCCTCGAGCAATCCTCCTGTCTCAGCCTCCCAAAGTGCTGGGATTAAAGGCATGAGCCACCACACCTAGCTGAGAGGTTTTTGGTTACTGATTCAATTTCCTTACTAGTTAATTGGTCTGTTTATATTTTATGTTTGTTCATGATTCAGTGTGGTAGGTTGTGTTTTTCTAGGGATTTATCCATTTCTTCTAGGTTATCCAACTTGACATACAATTGTCCTTGGTTTTCTCTTTAATCCTTGTAACTCCTTGGCATCAGTTTTTTTTTTGGTTGTTGTTGTTGTTGTTTTTCTTGTTGTTGTTGTTTTGGAGACAGAGTCTTACTCTGTCGCCCAGGCTGGAGTGCAGTCGTGCAATATTGGCTCGCTGCAACCTTTGCCTCCTGGGTTAAAGTGATTCTCCTGCCTCAGCCTCCCTTGTAGCTGGGATTACAGGTGCCCACCACCATGCCTGGCTAATTTTTTTGAATGTTTATACTAGAGATGGGGTTTCGCCATGTTGGCCAGGCTGGTCTCAAACTCCTGGCCTCAAGTAATCCACCTGCCTTGGCCTCCCAAAGTGCTGGGATTACAGGCTGAGCCACCATGCCTGGCTGGCATCAGTTTTAATATCCTCTTTTTCATTTCTGATTTTAGTTGAGACTTCTCTCTTTTTCTTAATCTAGCTAAGAGTTTGTCAAGTTTGTTGAACTTAAATTTTTTTTCTTATTTTTTTCTATTCTCGCTTTTATTTATCTCTGTTCTAATCTTTATTATTTTCTTCTTTCTGCTAGCTTTGGGCTTCATTTGTTTTTCTTTAGTTCCTTGAGGCATAAAGTTAGGTTGTCGATTTGAGATCTTTCTTCTTTATTAAAGTACACATCTGCAGCTATAAACATCTTAGCACTGCATTTACAGCAACCCATAAGCTTTGGTATGTTGTGTTTTCATGTTCATTTTTCTCTAGGTACTTTCTAATTTCCCTCTGATTTCTTCTTTGACTCATTTATTTAATAGTGTATTGTTTAATTTCCACATATTTGTGGCAGTTTTCCTTGTGCTGTTGATTTCTAGTTTCTTTCCATTGTAATCAGAAAACATATTATAAAATATAGCGTTTCTTGTATTTCAAATCTACTAGTAAAGAGCTTTCATTTTTTGTTTATTTGGTAATGTCTTAATTTCTCTTTAATTTTTGAAGGATAGTTTTGCCACTCATAGAATTCTTGGTTAAGAGTTTTTTGTTTTTAGGGCTGGGCACGGTGGCTCTCGCCTGTAATCACAGCACTTTGGGAGGCCGAGGCAGGTGGATCACGAGGTCAGAAGATGGAGACCATTCTGGCTAACATGGTGAAACCCCATCTCTACTAAAAATGCAAAAAATTAGTTGGGCGTGGTGGCACGCACCTGTAGTCCCAGCTACTCAGGAGGCTGAGGCAGGAGAATCACTTGAACTCAGGAGGTGGAGGTTGCAGTGAGCCAAGATCATGCCACTGCACTCCAGTTTGGGCAATGGAGCATGACTCTGTCTCAAAAAAAAAAAACAACGGAGTGTTTTTTTACTTTTAGCAGTTTGAATATGTCATCACATTTCCTTTTGGCCTCCATGATTTCAATAAGAAATCGCTGCTGGCCGGGCGTGGTGGCTTATGCCTGTAATCCCAGCACTTTGGGAGCCCGAGGTGAGCAGATCACCTGAGGCCGGGAGTTCGAGACCAGCCTGACCAACATGGAGAAACCCCATCTCTACTAAAAATACAAAATTAGCTGGGTGTGGTGGTGCATGCCTGTAATCCCAGCTATATAATCCAAGCTACTCGGGAGGCTGAGGCAGGAGAATCACTTGAACCTGGGAGGTGGAGGTTGTGGTGAGCCAAGATTGTGCCATTGCACTCTAGCCTGGGCAACAAAAGTGAAACTCCATCTCAAAAAAAAAAAAAAGAAAAAGAAAAAGAAAAAGAAATCAGCTGCTAGTCTGAGGATTCCTTGTGCGTGATGAGTCACTTATCTTGTTAATTTCAAGATTCCTTGTATTTGGCTTTCAATAATTTGATTATAATGCATGTCAGTGTGGAACTGAGTTTATTCTACTTGGAGTTTGTTGCACTTGGATGTGTAGATTCATGTATTTCATTAAATTTGGGAAGGTTTTGGCCATTATTTATTTATTTTGAGATAGGGTCTCTATCACGTAGGCTGGAGTGCAGTGGCACGATCACAGCTCACTGCAGCCTCGACATCCCAGGCTCAAGTGATTCTCTTGCCTCAGCCTCCTGAGTAGCTGGGGCTACTGATGCATGCCACCACACCTGACTAAATTTTTAATTTTTTTTTTTTTTGAGAGAGAGTCTCACTCTGTTGCCCAGACTGGAGTGCATTGGTGCGATCTCAGTTCACTGTAACCTCTGCCTCCTGGGTTCACGCAATTCTCCGGCCTCAGCCTCCGGAGTAGCTGGGATTATAGGCATGCACCACCCACGCCTGGCTATTTTTTGTATTTTTAGTAGAGATGGGGTCTCACCATGTTGGTCAGGCTGGGCTCGAATTCCTGACTTCAGGTGATCCATCTGCCTCTGCCTTTCAAAGTACTGGGATTACAGGCATGAGCCACCGCACCCCACCGGCAAATTTTTAAATTTTTAGTAGAGGTGAGGTTTCACTATGTTGCCCAAGCTGGTTTCAAACTCCTGAGCTCAAGCAGTCCTCCCGCCTCAGCCTCCCAAACTGCTGGGATTACAGGCATGAGCCACTGTTTCCGGCTCAGATATTCTTTTTTCTTATTTTGAGACAGGGTCTCCCTCTGTCACCCAGGCTGGAGTGCAGTGGTACAGTCGTGGCTCACTACAGCCTTGACCTCCCAGGCTGAAGCAATCCTCCCACCTCAGTGTCTTGGATAGGTGGGACTGTAGGTGCACTCCACCATGCTTGGCTAATTTTTTGTATTCTTTGTAGAGATAGGGTTTCACCATGTTGCCCTTGCTGGTGTTGAACACCTGTGCTCACGCATTCTGCCCACTGTGGCCTCCCAAAGTGCTAGGATTACAGGCATGAGCCACCGCGCCTGGCCCCAAATGTTCTTTATTCCCCTTTCTCTCTCTCCTCTCCTTCTTGAATTCCCATTCTAGATATATTGGTATGTTTGATGGTGTCCCACAGATTTCTTAGACTTCGTTCATTTTTTCTTCGTTTTTTCCCATTTGTGTTACTCAGGTAGTAACCGTTATTCCCATTGACCTACTTCAAGTTCAATAATTCTCTCTTCTGCCTGCCAAAATTGGCTGTTGAGCCCCAGTGATTAAATTGTTCATTTCAGTTGTAGTCTTCAACTCTAGAATTTCTGTTTGGTTCCTTTTAATAATTTCTGCCTCTTTATTGATATTCTCTACTTCCTGAGACTTTGTTTGTATTCTTTCTTTTAGTTATTTGGACATCATTTCCTTTAACTCTTTGAGTATATTTACAATAGTTTATTTAAAGTGTTGTCTGATAAATCCAATGTATGGGCTTCCTCAGGGACAGTTTTTATTAATTTATTTTGTTCCTGTGTATTCCCATACTTTCTTGTTCCTTTGCATGCCTAGTGATTTTTGTTGTTGTTGAAAACTGGACATTTTGAATATTTTAATGTAGTAACTCTGGAAAGTAGAATCTCCCTCTTCTTCAGGGTATATTTTTGTTGCTTGTTATTTGTTTGTACAGTGACTTTTCTGTACTAATTTTGTAAAGTCTGTATTCTTTGTTATTTGTGGCCACTGGAATCTCAGTTCTGTTACCTCAGTGGCCAGCTAGTGATTTGACAGAAATTTTCTTCTATGTCTGGAACAACAACAACAAAATCTCCCAGCCCTTGCAGATGGGCTTTGTGTGTGTTGGAGCATGAGCGTGCCTTTCTTACTCAGCCAGGCAGTTTACAACTCTGCCTTCACCTTCACTTCTTTTTGCATCATTTCCTTTTTTTTTTGAGACAGAGTCTTGCTCTGTTGCCCAGGCTGGAGTGCAATGGCATGATCTTGGCTCACTGCAACCTCTGCCTCCCGGGTTCAAGCAATTCTCCTGCCTCAGCCTCCTGAGTAGCTGGGATTATAGGCGCCCACCACTACGCCCAGCTAATTTTTGTATTTTTAATAAAGATGGGATTTTGCCATGTTGGCCAGGCTGGTCTTGAACTCCTGACCTCAGGTGATCTGCCTGCCTCAGCCTTCCGAAGTGCTAGATTACAGGCGTGAGCCACCGCACCGAGGCCTTTTTGCATCACTTCTAATTGTCAATCAGAGGTGAAAGCTTAGTGCCTCTTCAGTGTGTGTGTGTGTTTCATTTTTTGTTTGTTTTTAGTATGAATCTAGCCCTGGACATGTATGTGTATGGCTTTCTTGTTTCTCAGGAATATGTGTGAGCTTTTCGAAGCCTTTATTCCTCAAAGCATCTCATTGCTCATCCTTTCCTTTAGCTTTTCAATTTGTCTGTTTTTTTGCCCCAGTTGTCATCCCTTTCGCTAGGTAGCAGCAACTAATACATTGGCTTGGAAATTTTTTTTTTCTTGAGATGAAATTTCGCTCTTGTTCCCCAGGCTGGAGTGCAATGGGAAGATCTTGGCTCACTGCAAACTCTGCCTCCCGGGTTCAAGCAATTCTCCTGCCTCAGCCTCCCGAGTAGCTGGGATTACAGACACATGCCACCAGGCCCAGCTAATTTTGCATTTTTAGTAGAGACGGGGTTTCTCCATGTTGGTCATGCTGGTCTTGAACTCCCGACCTCTGGTAATCCTCCCGCCTCAGCCTCCCAAAGTGCTGAGATTACAGGTATGAACCACCGGACCCGGCCGGAAATGTTTTTGACAAATGCCTCCCGGTAGCCTCATCAGTCCCGGGAAAATTACAAATTAAATACATGCCCTTTGAGCCGGTCCTTCAAGGAGCCACCAGACAAGTCAAACTACAATTTTTAAAAATAAGTGTGTTCTGCTCCCTCCAGTACTTCGTATCTATCATGGGAATATAGATTGTTGTCTTCAAAGCTGCTGCCAAGCTAGTAGTGGGGGATGATACCAGGGTAGGTTAAAATGTCATAAAGCTTACTTACTGAGATTTGGCTTTTTAAAAAAATTACTTAAGCATTCCCCTAGTTACCATAAGCTTTTGATTAGATTCTAGAGTTCTGAAAAAGTTGATTCTGACAGGTTTTCTTTTGCTTTATTTATTGCTTTTATGGCTAGACTGACATTTAAAGATTCCCATTCCACAGTTTTTTGCTAATGTCCTGTATTTTCATAGTCTTTTAAAAATCCTCCCCTTTTAATCTGCACATTACCACCCTAGTTCCAGTTTTTACCTTGCATCAGGACTATTTTAGGAATTCTTAAACTGATCCCTCTGATACACTACCTTCTTGATTATGTGACTTTCCTGTTGAGAAATCTGAAGCTCACAGTTTCTCCTTGCCTATCAAATGATGTCTTTAAGCTGTAGTTCCAGCATAGCTTTCCAACTTTGTTTCACTGTTTCTCCTAACCTCACTTCCACACTGTGTTTTGATGAAGCCATACCACTAGGCTTCTCCCAAGTATGCAGTTTGCTTTCCATATCTGCTCCTGCACCTCCATGAATGCTGTTTGCTTCCCATCTGGATTGTCCTCTACCTTCACCTCTACCTACTGAATGCTACCCATCTCTCTCTCTCTCTTTTTTTTGAAACAGGGTCATACTCTGTTGCCCAGGGTGGAGTGCAGTGGATCACTGCAATCTGTGCCCCATGGCTCAAGCAATCTTCCCACCTCAGCCTTCCGAGTAGCTGAGATTACAGGCATGTACCACCATGCCTGGATACTTTTTGTATTTTAGTAGAGATGGGGTTTCACCATGTTGGTCAAGCTGGTCTCTAACTCCCCAAATGATCCGCCAGCCTCGGCCTCCCAAAGTGCTGGGATTACAGGCGTGAGCCACTGTGCCCAGCCAGAATACTACCCATCTCTTAATCAGCTCAAATTGCAGTCTTTCTATTAGGTCATTCCTAATTACTTCAACTAAAACGAATCTCTTCTTTCACTAAATTGCTATGACAGTTTGTTACTAATAAATGTATGACATACATTTATATTATGTATGTCATATATTGTTTGCATTATGATCTGTATTCATGCTTTCATTCATTCTTTTAATAACTATTTAGAGCACCCACTGTTTGCTAGGGCTAGAGTAGCAAAGAAGGCAGACATTGTACCTAATGATCATTATACATTGGTTACATATATCATTAAGAAAGAAAAGGCTGGGGGACTGGGTATGGTGGCGCATTCCTGTAGTCCTAGCACATTGGGAGGCTAAAGCAGGCAGATCTCTTGAGCCCAGGAGTTTGAGACCATCCTGGGCAACATGGTGAAACCTCATCTCTACTAAAAATACAAAAAAATTGGCCGGGTGCAGTGGCTCACGCCTGTAATCCCAGCACTTTGGGAGGTCGAGGCGGGCGGATCACCTGAGGTCAGGAGTTCCAGACCAGCCTGGCCAACATGGTGAAACCCCGTCTCTACCAAAAAATACAAAAATTAGCCTGGCATGGTGGCAGGCGACTTAATCCCAGCTATTTGGGAGGCAGAGGCAGGAGAATCGTTTGAACCCGGGAGGCGGAGGTTGCAGTGAGCCGAGATCGAGCCATTGCACTCAAACCTGGGGGACAAGAGCAAGACTTCTCTCAAAAAAAAAAAAAAAAAATTAGCCAGGCGTGGTGGTGCTTGCCTACGGTCCCAGCTACTCAGGAGGCTGAATGGGAGGATCACCTGAGCCCAGGAGGTGGAGGTTGGTGAGCAGAGATTATGCCACTGCACTCCAGCCTGGGCAACAGAGTGAGACCCTGTCTCAAAAAAAAAAAAAAAAAAGACAGAAGAAAGAGAGAGAGAGAAAAGAAAGGAAGGGAAGGGAAGAAGGAAATGGAAGGAAAGAAGGGAAGGGAAGAAGGGAAGGAAAGTCAAAAGGAAAGGAAAGAAAGAAGTGAGGGAAGGAGGGAGGGAGAAAGAGAAAGAAGAAATAAGAAAAAGAGAAAGAAAGAAAAGAAAGAAAGATAAAGTAAGAAAAAAAAGAACCCAGCAGGATTTGATGAGTGACAGTAAGGTGAGTCCAAGTTTTCCAGGTTAACAGTAAGGAGAGAGCACGACAGGCTGAGGGAACATGTCAGAGGGGGCTGGGGCAGTCTGCTGCCTTACTTTCTTTACCAGCGTCAAAGAACCATTTCTATTAGCACAGTGCTTTACACTTACCGCACAAGAAGTATAAGAATTAATGAACACACATTGAGAATAGGAGTAGGTTTGACAAGAAAAAGAATCCAATGATGAAGAGGGAGAAGAATAAGAGTAAATTGTCAGAGAATAAGATCATTTGAATTCCTTTTTATTTCAATAAAATAGTAGTAGTAGTAATAGTAGCAGTAGCAGCAGCTAATGTTTATTGAGTGCTTACTCTGGAAAAAAAAAAAAAAAAACTACATTAAGGGCCGGGCACGGTGGCATGCCTGTAATCCCAGCACTTTGGGAGGCTGAGGCGGGCGGATCACAAGGTCAGGAGATCGAGACCATCCTGGCTAACAGTGAAACCCCCATCTCTACAAAAATACAAAAAAATTAGGCAGGCATGGTGGCGGGCGCCTGTAGTCCCAGCTATTTGGGAGGCTGAGGCAGGAGAATGGTGTGAACCCGGGAGGCGGAGCTTGCAGTGAGGTGAAATCGTGCCACTGCACTCCCGCCTGGGCAACAGAGTAAGACTCTGTCTCAAAAAAAAAAAAAAATTGCGTTAAGAACTTTATGTGTGTCATTTTACATACATTCTTTATTGTGTGCCGTCTGTTCCTCATTTTCTACAGTCTCTTGAAGCGGTCTCCGAATGTGGAGCTCTCCTTCCCACAGCGATCAGAAGGCTCAAATGTCTTTAGTGGTAGAAAGACAGGAACATTGTTTCTCACTTCATACCGGGTAATTTCTACTTCTACTTTAATCTGCTGATTAACTCTACATTTGTTTTCCTTGAAATGAAGAAAACTTAAACATTGACTTTTGAAGTGTTTTTAAACGTGCGCTTTGGGATTTTCCACACTGAAGGGTGGTGGAAGAAAAGATGATGTTTCTCAGTTAGACCAGAATGCACCTTGCTCTTGTAAGTCTCAATCCATGGACAAATTCTGCATTCCTTTTCCAAAGTTTCTGTCCTTGCGTAGGTGATTTTCATAACTTCATGCTCCATCAGTGATCCCATGTTGTCTTTTATGATGCCATTTGATCTGATGACGAACCTCACTGTTGAACAACCAGTATTTGCTGCAAACTTCATTAAGGGAACTATTCAGGCAGCTCCATATGGTAAGTGTTCCCTCAGAAGTGTGTATTTTTTTTTCCCTCAAAATCTTCTAAAAGGTTTAAGATTCAAACTTGGCTCATGTTGAAATTCAAACAAAAGCTGCCCTACTTTGTCAGGTAGTGCTTCCCTTGGTGTTTGTGGCAGTCTTTCTGTTGTCAGCTATGCCAGTTTCTTGGTGAGTGTGTGCCATTTCTTCCCCCAGGTGGCTGGGAAGGACAAGCTACTTTTAAATTAGTCTTCAGAAATGGAGATGCCATTGAATTTGCCCAGTTGATGGTGAAAGCTGCCTCTGCTGGTAAGTGATGCTGATAAAGATATTAAGCACTTTGGGGTTTTTTGTTTGTTTGTTTGGGTTTTTTGTTGTTGTTGTTGCTGTTGTTGTTGTTTTGTTGTTTTTGAGACAGGGATTTTTGTATTTTTGTAAGTCGGGGTTTCACCATGTTGCCCAGGCTGGTCTCGAACTCCTGAACTCAAATGATCCTCTTGCCTCAGCCTCCCGAAGTGCTGGGGTTACAGGTATGAGCCACCATGCCCAGCCCACTTTGGGGTTTTAAGGCTTGTGGAATTAAAGCAGGACTTCTACTCAGCCAAGATTTGCTGGCCTTTGTGGCCAGGCAGTTGGTATTCGCACACATATTCAGCAGGCATTTCCTGGGCCTACCTACAATTGTCAAGTACCATGTTACAGGGTAGGAACACAAAGATTATTCAGTCCCTTCCTATCCTGAAGGAGCTTGCAATCTAGTGGGAGCTTACAGCCAGACACCCAGGTGACTAATTATACCTGATAGTCTTTTGTCCATTTAAACACTGACCTCAGATATCTACTGAGCGTCTCTTCCTTGGGTCAGGGAGCCCTTAGTTATTCTTTCTTTGGTGTGGCTTTTTAGTTTTTCTTCTCTCTGGACTTGCCTTTGCTTTTCTCAGGTTTAGTCCCCATCTTACATGAGAGGGGAGTAGAGGTACTGTCAAGACTTATAGCACTGATCTAATGGATGTACCACAGAACTCTTTCAAACTGTGACTACAAATAATTTTTTTATCTCATATATGTGTGTGTGTGTGTGTATATATATATATATATATATATATATATATATATATATATTTTTTTTTTTTTTTTTTTTTTTTTTTTTGAGACAGTGTCTTGCTTTGTCACCCAGGCTGGAGTGCAATCATGCAATCTTGGCTCACTGCAACCTCCACCTCCCGGGTTCAAGTGATTCTCCTCCCTCAGCCTCCCAAGTAGCTGGGATTACAAGTGTCCACCACCAAGCCCAGCTAATTTTTGTATTTTTAGTAGAGACGGGGTTTCACCATGTTGGTCAGGCTGGTCTCGAACTCCTGACCTCAGGAGATCCACCTGCCTCAGCCTCCCAAAGTGCTGGGATCACAGGCGTGAGCCAGCACGCCTGGCCGGTCCTTGCGATCTTTAACCCATGGCTTCCATGGCCTCTTTGTACAGCCAGCAGAGAAGGAAATAAAGATCTCCCCTGGGAAATTTTTATGGGCCAGGCCTGGAAACTGTCTACATTACATCTGGTCACATGCCATAGGCAAAACTCAGTGTGGTAGGCTGATAATGGATCCCCAGATATATCCCCATCCCAATCCTCAGAATCTGTGACTGTTACGTTATTTGTAAAAAGGGTGTTTGTAGACGTAATTAATTTAAGGATCTTGAGATGACAAGATTACCCTAGATTATTTAGGTGGCCTCTAAATGCCATCACAAGTGTTCTTATAAGAGAGATGCAGAGGGGAGACAAGACAAAAGTGTTTTCTTCGGTACCACACTTCCTCACATTGGTCTTTAATGGATATATCTTACCAACTTGGTAGAATCCTCACTTAGAAGTTTTTTCTGAATATCTGTTATGATTAGGTGCTATGCTAGGCCTGGAATAAGCACAGGCAAATGAGATACAATCTCTGCCCTTAAGACACGTGCCATTCAGGACAAGGGTCATATTTCTTTTCTTTCTTTCTTTTTTTTTTTTTTTTTTGAGACAAGGTCTTACTCTGTCACCCAGGCTGGAGGCTCCAGTGCAGTGGCACAGATAAGGCTCACTGCAGCCTCAAATTTCCAGGCTCAAGCAATCCTCCTGCCTCAGCTTCCTGAGTAGCTAGGACCACAGGCATGCACCACCATGCCTGGCTAATTTTTAAAAAATTTTTTGTAGAGATAGGGTCTTGCCATGTTGCCCAGGCTGGTCTTGAACTCCTGGGGTCAAGCAATCCTCCCATCTTGGCCTCCTAAAATGTTGGGATTACAGGTGTGAGCCACTTCACCCAGCCCATGTTTCTTTTTTATCTTGTGTCTCAAGAGCATTGTTGGAAACACATGTAAGGTGGTGATTAAATACTCTGTTAATTGTTTAGTTGATATCTGCTATATATCTGACTTAATTAAAAGAGTTCCTATTTTGCCAAATTTGTCTTTCCAGCTGCCCGAGGATTTCCACTTAGAACCTTAAATGACTGGTTCAGCTCTATGGGAATTTATGTAATTACTGGGGAAGGGAATATGTGCACTCCACAGATGCCTTGTTCAGGTAAGGTATGGCAGAGAGGTTCTTCCTGGAAGGTGGAAAATTATGCCAGAGGCTCAAAGATCTATCCCTTGCAGGCTTGCTCCCTGCAGGAGCAGCAGCAGAGCTTTAGGGGCTTGGAAAATGGTCACATCTGTGACTTTGTTTCCAGACTGAAACCCAGTGGCAAAGTCAGCAAGTGACTGGGCTTTGGTTTCAGGCTTACTTTTAATGATATATACAAACCTGGAACATACTTGGCAATCCTGTTAGTGGGAAGGGTCACTTCCTGTTTATAGCCTGAGCAGAAAATATATGCTCTTGCCCACTTCCTTGTTTCCATTTCACATAGCATAGTCATCATACCTGTGCCACACCCTTCAACCTTACTGAGGACTCGAGCCCTGGGTCCTTTAACAGTTTGTGTTGTTAAAGTCCACTGCTACTGAATGGGGTTTCTGGAAAGTAATTCTCAAACATGGTCCACTGCCTACTGGTGGGCCACCAAGGGTCTCCTAATGCTGCCAACACACACAAAAATATGGGACTTTTCTTGAGTTCTCCTTGGAACTTGATATGCATGTCCATGGGCCTTTAGTTTTGTATGTAACTTAAAGGCTACTTATTTGTAACCTTAATAGGTACCTTGGTTTTTAAAGGTTATTACAGTCTAATATTCAGAATCTAAAGTAATTGTTGCTAGGGTTTAACATTTTTTCAGTTGGTGAAATTCACATAACATATAATTAACATTTTAATGTGTACAATTCAGTGGTATTTAGTGTAAAATTTAGCAGTATTTGACGTATTCACAATATTATACATCCACCAGCTGTCTCTAGTTTCAAAAAGTGGTGTTTTTTTTTTTTGGAGACAGAGTCTCACTTTGTCACCCAGGCTGTAGTGCAGTGGCACTATCATGGCCCCCTGCAGCCTCGACCCCCTGGGCTCAAGCGATCCTCTTACCTCAGTACCCCCCAACCAGAGTAGGCTAGGACCACAGGCGCAATCCACCATGCCCGGCTAATTTTTATGTGTTTTTGTAGAGACAGAAATCTCCCTATGTTGTCCAGGCTGGTTCTGAACTCCTGGCCTCCAGCCATCTGCCCGCCTTGCCCTCCCGAGGTGCTGGGATTATAGGCATGAGCCATCTCTGGCAGCCTTTTTTGTTTTTGTTTTTGTTTTTTTGAGAGGGAGTCTTGCTCTGTCGCCCAGGCTGGAGTGCAGTGGCGCGATGCAAGCTCCACCTCCCGGGTTCACGCCATTCTCCTGCCTCAGCCTCCTGAGTAGCTGGGACTACCGGCGCCCGCCACCACGCCCGGCTAATTTTTTTTTTGTATTTTTAGTAGAGACGGGATTTCACTGTGTTAGCCAGGATGGTCTCGATCTCCTGACCTTGTGATCCGCCCGCCTCAGCCTCCCAAAGTGCTGGGATTACAGGCTTGAGCCACCACACCCAGCCCCTGCCAGCCTTTTTTTTTAAAAAAATTTTGTAGATACAGGGTCTCACTGTGTTGCTTAGGCTGGTCTCACACTCCTGGGCTCAAGCAAGTCTATTGCCTTGGCTTCCCAAAGTGCTGGGATTACAGGTGTAAGCCACAGCATCTGGTCTGGTTTCAAAACTTTTTATCACCTAATAGCCACTAAGAAGTTATTCCCCATTGTCCCCTCTCTGATCCCCTGGTATCCTCTAATCTGCTTTCTGTCTTTATTGATTCACCTATTGTGAATATATCACATAAAAGAAATCATACAATATGTGACCTTTTGTGTTTGGCTTATCTCACTCAAGATAACGTTTTTGAGGTTCCTCCAAGTTGTAGCATGTAGCAATACTTCATTTCTTTTCCTGGCTGAATAATACTCCATTGTACATATATACCACAATTTGTGTATTCATTCCTCCATTGATGGACATTTGTCTTGTTTCCACCTTTTGGCTATTACGAATACTAGCTGCTATGAGCATTTGTATATAATTTTCTACGTAGACATATGTTTTCATTTCTCCTGGATATGCATCTTGGAGTGGAATTTCTGGGTCATATGTAAATTCTCTAACTTTTTGAGGAACCACCAACTATTTTCCAGTGCTGCACTATTTTACATTCCTGTGTAAATGTAAGTGTTCCTATTTCTACACATCCTCAGCAACACTTATCTTCCTTTTTTTAAAAAAAAAAATCTATATTAAAGCCATTCTAGTGGGTATGAAGTGGTATCTCATTGTGGTTTTAATTTGCATTTCCTTAATGACTAATGATGTTGAACATCTTTTAATGTGCTTTTTATATACCTTAATTGGAGAACTGTCCAAGTCTTTTGCCTATTTTTTTTATTATTTAAATCGGATTGCTTGTCTTTTTGTTGTTGAGTTGTAAGCATTCTTTATATAGTCTGGATATGAAATCCTTGTCAGATATATTATTTGTAAATATTTTTAGGTTTTCTTTCACATTCTTGATAATGACTTTTTTTTTTTTTTTTTGAGACAAAGTCTCCCTCTGTCACCCAGGCTGGAGTGCAGTGGCGCCATCTTGGCTCACTGCAATCTCTGCCTCCCGGGTTTAAGTGATTCTTGTGCCTCAGCCTCCTGAATAGCTGGGACTGCGGGTGTGTGCCACCCTGCACAGCTAATCTTTGTATTTTTAGTAGAGATGTAGTTTCACCATGTTGTTCAGACTCATCTAGAACTCCTGAGCTCAAATGATCTGCCTGCCTCGGCCAGTGGGTTACAGGTGTGAACAACTGTGCCCAGGCAAAAATGGCTTTTAATGCACAAAGGTTTTTAATTTTTATCAGATTTCTCTTTTTTCCTCTTGTTGCTCATGCTTTTGATGTAAAATGTGAGAATTCGTTGCCAAATCCAATGTCATGAAGATTTATCCCTGTTTTCTTCTAAGCATTTTATAGTTTTAGCTCTTATATCAAGCTTGTCCAACCCATGGCCCAGGATGGCTTTGAATGCAGCCCAACACAAATTCATAAACTTTCTTCAAATGTTATGAGATTTTTAAAAATAGCTCATCAGCTATCGTTAGTGTTAGTATATTTTATATGTGGCCCAAGACAATTCTTCACCAATGTGGCCCAGGGAAGCCAAAAGATTGGCCACCTCTGTTTTATATTAAGGCCATTGATTCACTACAAGTTAATTTTTATCTGTAGAGTGAAGTGAGGGAAGAACCTCATTCTTTTACGTGCAGATATCCAGTTGTCCCAGAATCATTTTTTGAAGAGACTGTTTTTTTCCCATTGAATGGTCTTGGCATTCTGTCAAAAATCAACTGTTCATAGATGCTTGGGTTTATTTCTGGACTCTTAATTCATTCCATTGGTCTCTAAGTCTGTCCTTGTGCCAGTAAAACACTGTCTTGATTACAGTAGTTTTGTAATAAATTTTGGATTAAAGCAAAATAACTTTACAGCTGTCCATTCACTTTATCCAGTTAAATCACTTTGGGGAATGTAACCCAAGGTAATAAGTAAAACTCATGTTTATTGTAAGGTTAATTGGAAAGTCAGAAACAACAAAAAGAGTCATCTATCCATATGATGAAATATTATCCAGCTTTGAATTTATGAAGTAAATTAACAATATGAAGACATTTCTTATAATATTAAGTAAAAGAGCCAGATTTAAAAAATCATATGGCTGGCCGGGCGCAGTGGCTCACGCCTGTAATCCCAGCACTTTGGGAGGCCGAGGCGGGTGGATCATGAGGTCAGGAGATCGAGACCATCCTGGCTAACATGGTGAAACCCTGTCTCTACTAAAAATACAAAAAAATTAGCTGGGCATGGTGGCGGGTGCTTGTAGTCCCAGCTACTCGGGAGGCTGAGGTGGGAGAATGGCATGAACCCAGGAGGCAGAGCTTGCAGTGAGCCAAGATCGCGCCACTGCACTCCAGCCTGGGCAACAGAGCGAGACCCCCTCTCAAAATAATAATAATAATAATAATAATAATAATAATAATAATAATAATATGGCTGATATGATCATGATTATATAAAGAATATTCACAGAGATTCTACAAAGAAATACACCAAAATAGTAAGTGTTCAATGGTAGAATTATAGATGGCTTTTTTCCATTCCTCTTTTCTCTATTTTCCAAACGCATATTCCTCATTAAGCATGTATTACTTTTTTTCATAATCAAACTTTATTAAGTAAAACACATATCTGTGCAAGAGTATAAGTAACGCACCGATCTATTGATAGGGTTGTTTTCATGTTGATTTGAATCCCTGCACAACAGGAAGTGATATGCCTTCAATTGGTGATAGCTAGAGGAAATAGCTTTAGCATTATTCTGCCTGACTTCTCTTCTTGCGTCAGTTTGCTTCAGCATTATTTTTTAAGTTCTTCCTTCTCACATATTCCTTGACTTAAAGGTAACTGAATTTTTTTCCTTCCATTATAATTCCCAGTTATTGTCTATGGAGCCCCACCTGCAGGATATGGAGCCCCACCTCCCGGATACGGAGCCCCACCTGCAGGATATGGAGCCCAACCCGTAGGAAATGAAGGCCCGCCTGTGGGATACAGAGCCTCACCTGTGCGATATGGAGCCCCACCTCTTGGATACGGAGCCCCACCTGCAGGATATGGAGCCCCACCTCTAGGATATGGAGCCCCACCTCTTGGATATGGAACCCCACCTCTCGGATATGGAGCCCCACCTCTCGGATATGGAGCCCCACCTGCAGGAAATGAAGGCCCGCCTGCGGGATACAGAGCCTCACCTGCTGGATCAGGAGCCAGGCCTCAGGAATCTACAGCAGCCCAGGCTCCTGAAAACGAGGCTTCTCTTCCCTCTGCCTCCTCTTCTCAGGTCCATTCTTAACCTTCTAAGATGTAAACCTTGAAGACTCACCAAGCAAAGAGGTACCCTAAAATTGAAGTCAGGATAAGGAGGACGACTCAGGTATGTGATCACAGGCTTCTCGCAGGTAGTTGTTCCACCCTTTGGAAGGGCAATCTTATGGGGGAAGGTGAAACTTTACTTCTGTGCCTAGATTTTAGAAGCAGAATCAACTCTTAAATAGCTGGCTAAAGGAAGAATACCATTGTGGGGCTAATTCCCCAGTAATTTGGTTGACATTGGGTTGCATTTTTAAACATAACTTTTTCCACACTCGCATTCAAGGTTCCTGTCTTCCCATCCTCATTCAAGAAACATTTATTATGCTCCGTTTGCTAGGCACTAAGATGCGTGCTAAAAACGTCATGTTGAACACTTAGTTGTTTGAGAAAGCTAAATTTTCAATAGTAAGAGTGTTATAAATTACGGTGGATCCACAAAATGGAGTATTATACACCTGTTGAAAACTATGTCTAGAGGTAGAGAAAGCCTTCTTTGAGGAGA
The DNA here is from genome assembly GCF_000001405.40 of Homo sapiens. Lineage (NCBI taxonomy): Eukaryota > Metazoa > Chordata > Mammalia > Primates > Hominidae > Homo > Homo sapiens. Next base: position 42,027,704 of record NC_000022.11, read on the forward strand.
CCAAAACCAACAAATAAAAGCATGATAAATTGACTATATCAAAATTTAAAACTTCTCTATGACAGAAGTTAAAAGATAGGCAACAGAATAGGAAAAAGTGATTTTCAACATATATATTAATTTATAGTCAGAATACGTGAATAACTACAAATCAATTCTCCCCAAAATGACAGAAATATGAATTGCCGAATAACCAAGGCAATAGCATGGCCAGAAAACGTTTGAAAAGATGTTCAGCTTGACTAGTGTTAGGGAAATGCAACCTGAGATGAGAAAACATTTTTATCTCCAAAGATTTACAAATATTAAAACTCTTGATATGGCACTTTCACATTTTAAAATATGCCTGCGAGAAAACTTGCATGTGTGCACAAAGATGCATGTGGGAAGATTTCATTATATTCATTGTTTCTAACAGCACAAAATTAGAAATAACCTATATGTCCATTAATAGGAAATATATGAATAGGCTATGGTATGCCCATACTACGTATGCAGAAATTTCTAAGACTTGTTGATAAGGAGAAAAGCAAGTTGTAGGGAGCATATACTATAGTGATTTTCAGCCTCATCAGACTGAATGCCCCATTTTATAACAAATATTTATATTTTATAACAAACGTTTATATTTGTATATTTATAACAAATATTTTGTAATGTCTCCTTCACTTCAATGAAGTTTGTAGATAATTGCATATGATTCCACACCATTTCAACCAAAATTAATAGGCCATAAATGTGATAGAGGAAATAAAAGGAGTTTGTAGTAAAATTTTAAGTGTTTTAATATATAAATGCTCAGATTCTACCACACTAGAAGACATACTGAAGTAATCAAGGGTTCACTCCCATATACATAGTCAGCATAGGTATAAAGATTAGAAGTGCTAACTGATATGAATATGTTGCTTTGGTGACTTGAATACCATTGCTATTGGCAATATTGTTCTCCAAAATGGTGAACAACCTTTGAAAATTTTCCAAATAAAACAAAGTTTAGTCTTCCCTTGATTTACACAGTGGTTGAATTCCTGAAAATTTCTGTATATATTAAAGTCATATAAAACAGAGTTAGGCTGTAGGCTCAAATGATTATAAACATGCTTCACCTACATCACTGGCTGGAGAGCCATTTGAAAGTCAGGAGACATAGGACAATTAAGGTACTGCCCTGTACGTTTCAGGATGTCTTGCATCTTCGACTCCTCACCCATTAAGTGCCAATAATGGCCTCCAATTGGGATAACCAAAAATGCTCCCACTTATTTCCTAATTGCTCCCTGGGGGGCAGTACCATCCCTGCTGAGGACCACTATTCTAGACTGTTTCAAGGCTTTCAGCCCCTTCAGAGCTCACCATTCTCCCACTCTGGCAAGGCAGGCAAAGTTCTTAATTTCATTGGCCTTTCCTTATCTTATTGTAGGCTCATCAAGCCACCTAAAAGGGAGGCCTTAAAAATACATTAGTAGCCAGGTGTGGTGGCACATGCCTGTAATCCCAGCACTTTGCACTTTGATAGGATAAGGTGGGAGAATCACTTGAGGCCAGTTCAAGACCAGCTTGGGCAATATAGCGAGACCCTGTGTCTAGGAAAAAAAAAAAAAAAAAAAAAAAGCCAGGTGTTGTGGTGTGCACTTGACCCAGAAGACATTTAAATCAATATATTTTCTATGCATTTTTTTTTTTGAGACAGAGTCTTGCTTTATCACCCAGGCTGGAGTGCAGTGGCACAATCTTGGCTCACTGCAACCTCCACCTCCCAGGTTCAGGCAATTCTCGTGCCTCAACCTCCTGAGTAGCTGGGATTACAGGCAGGTAAAACCATGCCCAGCTAATTTTTTTTATTTTTATAGAGATGGGGTCTGGCCATGTTGGCCATGCTGGTCTTGAACTCCTGGCCTCAAGCAATCCTCCTGTCTCAGCCTCCTGAAGTGCTGGGATTACAGGCATGAGCCACTGCGCCTGGCCTTCTATGCATATTTCTTATATGTAGTTGAAATCATGCTATATAATGTTTCACCAGATATTTTACATTTTCATAGGTTTTGAAGAAATGCTTGTAAATATTGTTAGTGACCACATAATATTCTGTGACACAGTTACACCATAACGTATTTTCTCAGTCCCTCTTTTAAGGTATTTGAATTGTTTCCAGGTTTTTGTTATTACAACTTCATGATTAACTTCTTTGTATATGGAGCTTTTTAAAAGTTTTAAATGCTTTCCTTAACACAGCTTAGAGTCATTGATTGATCTGCATTGTGAAAATTAGGAAACCAGATGCTCCCATGTTCTCAAGGACAGCCTTTCTTAAGGAAGTCAGGTAGATATTAATGGGTTTTATGTGAAATGGAGTAACTGGGTTAAATATAATTGAAAAAGACAAGAAAACTGGTTTCTTTACTACTTCTTAGAGCCTTGACTATACTAATGGACATAATCTCCAAGAAGGAGAGATTTTCAAAATTTACAGTTTTTTCAAAATTATTTGATTTTAGAATATTCAGTAAACATTTTGTTCAGTGGAAGAAACTGAGAAACACTTTCTGGAATTATGGGATATTAGAATTAGAATGGACTTCAGGTATCTGGAGTATGCTAGACCTTAAAGCTCTTTCCAAAAATGAAGACAAGTCAAAAGACCATTCTTCCTTCCATTCCAAATAAAAGAGCTTTATATCCAATTTACAGAAAGCAGGGTGGGACATCTTGAAGATAAAATATATAGAAAGTAGCTGCTGCTTCCTCTCAGAAATTACTGGGATAGAGTTATGGGTCTAGGAAGCTGGAATGTCAAAACACAGGGACAGCCACTTTGCCCAGGCAACTGGCATGAAGGGAAGAAGTGAAAAGGGAAAGTGTGGCTGTAAACCTCTCTAAAGTTTCCAAACAGGGAATCCAGGCAATATTGGATCTTAAACATGGGTCATAGGATCTGGCGCTTTTATCCCTAAAATTTTTGGAGGAAAATAACGAGATATTTTAAGTTTCTTCTTTTCTTACTTCCAAACTACAGTACGTGGGCAACAGTGATGAGAGGAAGAGAGGAGAGACTCAACCAACTAGAGCAGGGATAAGGTTTCCCTTGTTCAGCTTTTCAGTGTCTGCTGGAATGTGATGGTAAGTTGAGAACAGGGTGAATGGGTGAGGCCTTTTTTATATCAGAAAGTTTTCCGAGTAACTGATCTCTGGCAAATATTTGGGGATTAGAATTCTAAAAGAATACAAACTAGACTTCTCTTCTGCTCTTCATGTTAGTTATACTTGTACCAGGTAGATTTGAGGTGGGGTCCAGTTACCTGAAAAGCGTAGCAGGTTCGAGTTTCTTAAAGGTGGAATTCCACCATGTTCTCCTGTGCAAAGGGTACCTGTTTACCTGGTCCACCAAACTGCCCCAGTACAACCAAAGGCTGTGACTGTGTAAGGATAGAACCAAGTGGAGCCACAGTTTGGACCCACGTGGTGCTGCGTGGCACACCTACTGTTAGTTAGCTCCCACTGTCTGGTACAGTTGTTTCCCCCAAAGGCTCAGTCCAATTTGTTCTATAAGAAGAGCTTTGTGTCCTGTATATTCAAAGGACCCTGGTTTTTGCTTTGCTGAGGACAAATCCAGTCAGAATTCAGCTGAGCCTTCTGCATGCTGAGAGCACTCATGTGCTGAGTTCCTCAGCTCCTCACTGACGTTTTGAGTACTTTCTTTCTGACTCACTCACTGTGCTGGTGGATTCCGCTCTTCCTGTCTCTTCCCCAGCTGCAATACAGAAACTATACTCTGTTGTCTACTCTTTCATTTCCTATTAGAAATATAAAGGGATAGAAATAAGAAGACCTTTTAGTCCTGGACTATCTGGTATTGGCCCCTAAAATGAGCCTCCAAATACTCCTTTTCATGGGTAAGTGGATGCTCCCCAGCCTGCTGGAGCAGAACCTTCCTGGCTCAGCTACCCTGAGATATCAGGACAAAAACATATAGTTGGTGTGATTTTCCTCTTTTTGTTTTTTTTTTTTTCAAGATAGAATCTGGCTCTGTCCCCCAGGCTGGAGTGCAGTGGCGCGATCTCGGCTCACTGCAACCTTTGCCCCACAGGTTTAAGCGATTCTCCTGCTTCAGCCTCCTGAATAGCTTGGATGACAGGTGCCTGCCACCATGCTCGGCTAATTTTTGTGTTTTTAGTGGAGACAGGGTTTCACCATGTTGGCCAGGCTGGTTTCGAACTCCTGACCTCAAGTGATCCACCCGCCTCGGCCTCCCAAAGTGCTGGGATTACAGGCATCGGCCTGTGCCTGGCCGATTTTTCAATCCATAGATTAATATGTTCAAGAAATATTGCATGTCTTTGTTTTCTGTAAATTTATTTCTGTTACCAAGATCCCCACCACCATCTGCTTTGTTGGTGGGCTTCTCACAAATCCTAAGATTATGCAAAGGTATCCAGATTTTATTTGGCACCAAGATGCTGAGAAGTTTCTTCTGGTCATCAGACTGCTTCTGAAACAGCCACTATCCAGTCCTGGCAGTCCCGTCAAGTCTAAAAGCTTGTTGCCTTGGGACCCCAGAATCTTAGGTAGGGCTTAGAACCAGGGTGTCAGAGATCCAACTCTGTGTACCATATTGCTCCTTAGAACTGGGGAGTAGGACCCCAAAGGCCTCCTTATCCTTGAGAGTCTGACAATTCCTTAAACTTCCAGATTCTGCCCTCTCAGCTGTGCTGTTGGTCTGCATCACCTCTATCTCTTAAGCATCTATCCTAATCCAAATCTCAGGATTTGGGTTTACCCAAAAGGTAATAGAAAGCCTTTGCCTTCATGTTGACTTGGCTTTCCTTGCCTAGCACTTGGTTGCTTGCTTGAAAATCATGTATGTATATATATAAAATGTAGAAGCCCAATTCAAATTAATAATGTAAAAATTTATTCTGTTACACAGATTACCTCATTGTCAGGTAGGAAGTGAAACGTATGATATTCTTCCTGGCCTTTGCCTTGAGAGTCTTCTGGAGCCTGAAGAGGGTGGGGCAGACAACCATGGACTGCTAGAGAATAAACTTTCTTTGAAGCTTCCTAAATGGATTAGAAAGAAGGGGTTCTGTCAAAGGGAAAGGGTCTATACAGATGTGACCAGCAGTTTGATTAGTTTAGATGTATGATTTAGTAGCCAATATAAGAAACTTGTAATTTTTAGTAATTAGAATTTATTATAAATAATAAAACAGGGTATTAATTATTAATATTATGGTATCTTTGGGGTGTCACTTTTCTGGCCAGAAACCTCTGTGGACAAGTGGCACCTCTGCCCAAGTATTGCTTGGGCCCACTGGGCTCATTCCACCCACCCGGCCTGACAGGCTGCACTTGGCTCATGCTACTGGCCTGGATCCCATGCCTGCCAAGGGAGATTGCATGGAGTGACAAGGGGTGTGTGGGGAAGTGTGGGGTCTGGCTATTTTTCAGTCAGATGTGCCAGCTGCTGCAGTGGGGTGGTCAGCTCCAGGTACCAGCATGGGCACCAGCTCTCCACGAGGCTGCAGCTGGACCAGTCGCACTCCAAGCAGCTTCCACAGCTGGCACCAGGGAAAAGGTGGTGCCCAGAAGCTTGGAGATGCCAGGAACCATAGGGCCCCAAAGAGGGAGTCACAGCCCTGGCTTGGAGAGCTCCCAGGTCTGGGCTTCCCAAAGGGCTGCAGCTCTTCTTTTCTTCTCTTTGCCCACAACATGTTGAGCAAGGGGCATGTCTCAACCCTGTTTGTGTTACAGGTCTTTTAGCCTCATTTAGTGGGTCCAAAGTTCTTCAATGAGGTGCACAGACAAGTAGAGGGTGAGCAATGAGAATGAGGTACACAGACAAGTGGAGGGTGAGCAAGACAAACAGGAGCTATTGAGTGACAATAGCTCAGAGGAGGCCTTGGAGTGGGTAGCTCCTATCTGCAGGCAGGTCTTCCTGTCATCTCTGTGGCTCTCAGCAGAGAGGAGGCCCTGGAGTGGGTAGCTCTTCACTGCAGCTCATTGTGCTGATGTCTGCTGCTCTCAACAGAGAGGGGTCCTGGAATGGGTAGCTCCTCTCTGCAGCTGGTCGTCCCAACATCTGCTTAGCTCTGGCTGAGCCCAGGGATTTTATGGGCCTCAGAGGGGAAGAAGTACATATCGATTGGTCCATATGTGGCCATGGGCAGGCCCAGAAAAGCCATCACAAGTTCTCACTCCAGTCCATGGGACTGGCATCCTGGCCCCCAGCTTTCAAGCCCTCCCTGGCCTGAAGGTGTGACGTCACCAGGGACCCATCCCCTTCTACCCAGGAACCTGTCTGCCTCCTTCCGTTGATGGTACCCAGGCTGTAGGTGCCAAGCCAAGCTGCCCTCAGCTCCCCTCAGTTTCCTTCTATGCTCATTGTGCCCAAAATCTGGAGGGGGCCAGGGCGGCAGGGGGCTGGTGTGTCAGCACTGCCCAACTTTGCTCTGAGATCAGAGAAGGCAGGGAGAAGCTAGGCAGTAGGAACAGGCATTTCCATGCCTGCAAGGGCAAGGGGGTATCGGGGGACCTGCCCCAATAATCACGTAGGTTCTTTTCTATTTTCCTAAGCGTCGGCTGACTTGAGAAATAAAAGGACAGAGTACAAAAGAGAGAAATTTTAAAGCTGGGCATCCGGGGGAGACATCACACGTTGGTAGGATCTGTGATGCCCCACAAGCCACAAAAACCAGCAAGTTTTTATTAGGGATTTTCAAAAGGGGAGGGAGTGTGCGAATAGGTGTGGGTGACAGACATCAAGTACTTAACAGGGTAATAGAATATCACAAGGCAAGTGGAGGCAGGGTGAGATCACATTGCTAATGAAGTTTCAGGCACCATTGTCATTGATAACATCTTATCAGGAGACAGGGTTTTGAGATCACCCGGTCTGACCAAAGTTTATTAGGCGGGAATTTCCTCTTCCTAATAAGCCTGGGAGCGCTATGGGAGACTGGAGTTTATTTCACCTCTGCAATCTCGACCATAAGAGACAGGTACGCCCCGGGGGGGCCAGTTCAGAGACCTACCCCTAGGTGCGCATTCTCTTTCTCAGGGACTTTCCATGCTGAGAAAGGAATTCAGTGATATTTCTCCCATTTGCTTTTGAAAGAAGAGAAATATGGCTCTGTTCTGCCCGGCTCACCGGTGGTCAGAGTTTAAGGTTATCTCTCTTATTCCCTGAACAATTGCTGTTATCCTGTTCTTTTTTCAGGGTGCCCACATTTCATATTGCTCAAACACATATGCTGTACAATTTGTGTAGTTAACGCAATTATTACAGGGTCCTGAGACGATACACATCCTTCTCAGCTGACAGGATTAAGAGATTAAAGCAAAGACAGGCATAGGAAATCACAAGGATATTTACTGGGGAAGTGATAAGTGTCCATTAAATCTTTACAATTTATGTTTAGAGACTGCAGTAAAGACAGGCATAAGAAATTACAAAAGTATTAATTTGGGGAACTAATAAATGTCCATAAAATCTTCACAATCCACATTCTTCTGTCATGACTTCAGCCGGTCCCTCCGTTTGGGGTCCCTGACTTCCCGCAACAAGGGGGGCCTTCCTGGGCCCCCAAGAGTGCAAGGATGCCTGGGTCTGCAGCCACGGTTTGGGCAGCTGGAGCTGTGCCTGGGAGGGTGGAGCTCCCACCTGCCCCTCTGGGCCCTGAGAGCACAGGGATGCCTGGGTCTGCAGCCACGGCTTGGGCGGCTGCAGCAGCATCCAGGAAGCTCTCACCCCAACTTGGAAGGGGCGGGTCTCGCGCTTGTCCCTGGCTTTTGCCTTCTCCATGGAGCATGCAGCCCTGGCCATGCCTAGTTGCTGCAGCCAGCGTGATGGCAGCAGCTGCTCCAGATGGCCTGCTGCTGCCATCATTAATATGTAGCTATTAAACACAGTTGGTGAATCACTTTTTTGTCTCTTAAATTATTTTGCAATAATTTAATATTTATGACATACAAAAATTATATATATTTAATGTATACAACTGAATGTTTTTGTGAAACATTGTGAAATGACCATCACATTCCAACTAATTAACATATCTATTACCTGTATATAGTTACCATTTTTATACCCTTTGACCAACATCCTCCATTTCCCCCTCTTCCCAGCCCCTGGCAACCACCATCCTACTTTCTGTTTCTATAGTTTGACTATTTTAGATTCTACATAAAAGGGAGATCATGCAGTATTTCTCTTTCTGTGTCTTGCCTATTTTGTTTAACATAACTTCCTCCAGCTTCATTCATTTTGTTACAAATGGCAGGATTTTCTTTTTTAAAGGCTGAATAATAGTCTGTTTTGTATGTGTGTATAATCACATTTTCTTTATCTGTTCATCACTGAAGGACATTTAGGTTGTTTCCATATCTTGACTGTCGTGCAAAATGCTACAGTGAACAATGGGAGTACAGATATCCCTTTACTATCCTATAGGATTGTTTGATCATATGTTCTATTTTTTTTTTTCTTTGAGACCAAGTCTCGCTCTGTCGCCCAGGTTGGAGTGCAGTGGCGTGATCTGGGCTCACTGCAAGCTCTGCCTCCTGGGTTCACACCATTCTCCTGCCTCAGCCTCCCGAGCAGCTGGGACCACAGGCATCTGCCACCATGCCCGGCTAATTTTTTTTACTTTTAGTAGAGATGGGGTTTCAGCATGTTAGCCAGGATGGTCTTGATCTCTTGGCCTTGTGATCTCCCCGCCTCGGCCTCCCAAAGTGCTGGGATTACGGGCGTGAGCCACCGTGCCCGGCCATGTGTTCTATTTTTAATTTTTTGGGAACCTTCATACTTTTTCCATAATGGCTGTATGAATGTATATTCCTAACAGCAGTGTACAAGGGTTCTCTTTTCTCCACATCCTTGACAACATTTGTTATCTTTTATCTTTTTGATAATAGCCTAAAAGGTGTGAAGTGATATCTCATTATGGTTTTGATCTGCATTTACCTGATGATTACAAATGTTGAACACATTTTCATATGCTTATTGGCCATCTGAATTTCCTTTTTTGAGAAGTGTCTATTTTGGTTCTTGGCCCATTTTTTAATCCAGTTATTTGTATTTTTAGCATTGAGTTGTATGAGTTCCTTATATATTTTGGATATTAATCCCTTATCAGCTATATAGTTTCCAAACATTATTTTCCCATTCTGTAGGTTGCCTTTTCATTTTTTGGATTATTTCTTCTGCTCTGCAGAAGCTTTTTAGTTTGATGTAATCCCACTTGTCTATTTTTTCTTTCATTGCCTGTGCTTTTGGTGTCATATTGAGAAAATTATTACAAGACCAATGTCAAGGTTTTCCCAATGTTTTCTTCGAGGAATTTTGCAGTTTCAAGTTTTACATTTGAGCCTTTTGTCTATTTGAGTTGATTGTTGTGTAGTATGAGATGGGGTCAGATTTCATTTGTGTGTGTGTGTGTGTGTGTGTGTGTGTGTGTGTGTAGATACCCAGTTTTTCCAGTACTGTTTATTGAACAGATTATCCTTTCCCGATTGTGTGTTCTTAGCACCCTTGTCAAAGTAAGTTGTTCATTAATATGTGAGTTTATTTCTGGGTTCTCTGTTCTGTTCCATTTTGTCTGTGTCTGTTTTTATGCCAGCACCATACTATTTTGGTGATAGCTTTGTAAGATAGATAATTTGTAGTCAGGAAGTGTGATGTCTCCAGCTTTTTGTTCTCGTTCAAAATTGCTTTGGCTATTCAGGGTTTTTTGTAGTTCCATATGAATTTTAGGATTTTTTTTTTCTATTTTTATAAAAAGTGCAATTGGGATTTTGATAGGGATTGCATTGAATCTGTAGATTGCTTTAGGTAGTATGGACACTTAGACGATATTAATTCTTCCAATCTGTGAACATGAGATGTCTTTCCACTTATTTGTGTTTTTATTCCATTTATTTGTGTCAGTTATTTTGCTGAGTCCCGTAAATTCCTAAGTATTTTAAAATTTTTGTTGCTAAAGTAAATGAGGTTGCATTCTTAATTTCCCTTTCAGATAGTTCATCTTTGGTATATAGAGATGCTATGGAGTTTTATATGTTGATTTTGTGTCCTGAAACTACGGAATTCATTCATTAGTTCTACCAGTTTCGGGGGGAGGTGCGGGGAGAGAGAGAGAGAGTGAGAGTGTGTGTGTGTGTGTGTGTGTGTGTGTGTGTTTGTAGTCTTTTGAGCTTTTTATGTATATGGTCATGGCATGCAAAAATAATCTTACTTTTTCCTTTCTGACTTGGAAGCCTCTGTTTTTCTTGCCTGATTGCCCTGGCTATGACTTCCAGTACTATGTTGATTAACAGTGATAAGAGTGAGCATCCTTTCCTTGTTCTGTATCTTAGAGGAAAGAAAAGCTTTCAGTCTTTCACCATTGAGTGTGATGTTAGTTGTGGGCATTTCATAAGTGACCTTTATTGCATTGAGGTAAATTTCTTCCATACTTGTTTTGTTGAGTCTTTATCATGAAAGGATGTTGACTTTTGTCAAATGCTTTTTCTAGGTCTACTGATGTGATCATCTGTTTTTTGTGTTTCCTTCCTCTTATTGTGATTTACTACATTGGTTGATTTTCATATGTTAACTGACCTTGTATCCTATGGATAAATCCCACTCTATCATGTTGTATAATCATTTTAATGTGCTGTTGAATTTGGTTTGCTAGTGTTTTATTAACGATTTTTGCATTTATGTTCATCAGGGATATTGCCTGGTAATTTTCTTATGTTATCTTTAGCTTTGGAATCAGGGTGATGCTGACTTTATAAAATGAGTTTGGGAGTGCATTCTCTTTTTTAATTTTTGGAAGAGTTTAAGAAGGCCTAGTGTTCTTTGAATATTTGGTAGAATTAGCATATGAAACCATCCGGTCTTGGGCATTTCTTTGTTGGATTTTTTTTTTGTTTGAGACCAAGTCTCGCTCTGTTGCCCAGATTGGAGTGCAGTGGTGTGATCTTGGCTCACTGCAAGCTCCGTCTCCCGGGTTCACGCCATTCTCCTGCCTCAGCCTCCCGAGTAGCTGGGACTACAGGCACCTGCCATCACGCCCAGCTAATTTTTTGTACTTTTAGTAGAGACGGGGTTTCACCGTGTTAGCCAGGATGGTCTCGATCTCCTGACCTCAGGTGATACACCCACCTCGGCCTCCCAAAGTGCTGGGATTACAGGCGTGAGCCACTGCGTCCAGCTGGATTTTTTTTTTCTTTTTCGAGATAGGGTCTTACTCTGTTGCCTAGGCTGCAGTGCAGTGGTATGATCATTGCTCACTGCAGCCTCAATCTCCTGGGCTCAGGTGATCCTCCTGCCTCAGCCTCTCTTACGTAGCTGGGACTACAGGTGCACACCACCATTCCTGGCTAATTTTTTTTTTTTTTTGAGACAGAGTCTCACCCCGTTGCCCAGGGTGGAGTGCAGTGGCACTGTGTCGGCTCACTGCAATTTCCGTCTCCTGGGTTCAAGCAATTCTCTTGCCTCCATCTCCCAAGTAGCTGGGATTACAGGCGCCCACCACCATGCCTGGCTAATTCTTGTATTTTTTTTTAGTAGAGACAGGGTTTCACCATGTTGGACAGGCTGGTGTCGAACTCCTGACCTCAGGTGATCCACTCGCCTTGGCCTCCCAAAGTGCTGGGATTACAGGCTTTTTTTTTTTTTTTCCAGTATCAGTGAGGTCTTCCTGTGTTGCCTAGGCTGGTCTCAAACTCTAGAGCCCAAGCAATCCTCCTGGCTCAGCGTTCCAAAGTACTGTGATCATAGGTGTGAGCCACTACGCTCAGCCTGGAATGTTTTTGATTACTGATTCAACTCCTTGTTTGTTATTGGTCTGCTCAGACTTTCTGTTTCTTCTTGATTCGGTCTTGGTAGTGTGTGTGTTACTAAGGATTTATCCATTTCTTCTAGGTTATTCCATTTATTGGCATATAGGTTGTCATAATAGTCCCTTATGATCCTTTTTATTTCTGTGTCATCCATTGTAATGTCTCCTCTCTTATTTATGATTTTATTTATTTGAATCTTCTTTTTTAATCTAGCTAAAGGCTTGATGATTTTGTTGATCTTTTTAAAAAGCCAACTTAGTTTTTTCTATTCTCTATTTTGTTTATTTCTGCTCTAATTTTTCTTATTTCTGTCCTTCTGCTAACTTTGGGTCGAGTTTGTTCCTCTTTTTCTAGTTTCTTGATTTGTACAGTTAGGTTTTTTTTTTTTTTTTCCTCGAGATGAAGTCTTGTTTTGTTACCCAGAGCTGGAGTGCAGTGGCTCAACCTCAGCTCACTGCAACCTCCGCCTCCTGGGTTCAAGCGATTCTCCTGCCTCAGCCTCCAGAGTAGCTGGGACTACAGGCAGGCACCACCATACCCGGCTAATTTTTTGTATTTTTAGTAGACATGGGGTTTCACTATGTTGGACAGGCTGGTTTCGAACTCTTGACTTCAAGTGATCCACCCGCCTTGGCCTCCCACCATGCCTTGGCCAATGTTAGGTTCTTTAATTGAGATCTATCTTCTCTCTCTCTCTTTTTTTTTTTTTAGACAGAGTCTTGCTCTGTTGCCTAGGCTGGAGTGCAATGGTGCGATCTCAGCTCACTGCAACCTCCGCCTCCTGGGTTCAAGTAATTCTCCTGCCTCAGCCTCCTGAGTAGCTGGGATTATAGTTGCCTGCCACCACGCCTGGCTAATTTTTTGTATTTTAGTAGAGACGAGGTTTCACCATGTTCGCCAGGCTAGTCTTGAACTCCTGACCTCAAGTGATCTGCCTGCCTCGGCCTCCCAAAGTGCTGGGATAACAGGTGTGTGAGCCACCTCGCCTGACCGAGATCTTTCTTCTTTTTAAACATAGGTGTTTAATGCTATACATTTCCCTTATGGAACTGCTTTTGCTGATTCCTGTAAATTTTAGAAAGTTAGAATTTTATTTTTGTCTCAAGATATTTTAAAATTCTCTCTGGATTTCCTCTTTTATCCAGTTGTTCAAGAGTGTATTGTTTTTATGAATTTGTGAATTTTTCTATTTTCTTTATGTTACCGATTTCTAGTTCTTTCCACTGTGGCCTAAGAAGATACCAGGTATTATTTCAATCTTCTTAAATTTGTTAAAACTTGTTTTGTGACTTAAGATGTGACCTATCCTGGAATATGTTCCATGTATACTTGAGATGAAATTGTATTCTGCTGCTGTTGGCTAAAACGTTCTGTATGTTAGGTCCATTTGGTGTATAGTGTTATTCAAATCAGTTGTTTTTTTATTGGTTGTCTGCCTGAATGTGCTATCCATTATTAAAAGTGGAATATTGAATTCTCCTACTATTAAATTGTTTTTAACCTCTTTCTTCATATCTGTCCATATTTGATTTATATATTTAAGTGCTCTGATGTTCAGTACATACATGTTTATAATTGTTATAGCTTCCTGTTGAATTGAAACTTTTATCATTATATGACTTTCTTTGTCCCTAGTAACAGTTTTGGACTTAAAAGTCTGTTTTGGCTGGGCACAGTGGCACACGCCTGTAATCCCAGCACTTTGGGAGGGGAGGCTGAGACAGGCAGATCACGAGGTCAAGAGAGCGAGACCATCCTGGCCAACATGGTGAAACCCCATCTCTACTAAAAATATATAAATTAGCTGGGCGTGGTGGCACACACCTGTAGTCCCAGCTACTCGGGGGGCTGAGGCAGGAGAATCACTTGAACCCAGGAGGCGGAGGTTACAGTGAGCCGAGATCATGCCACTGCACTCTAGCCTGGCAACAGGGCGAGGTTCTGTCTTTAAAAAAAAAAAAAAAAAAAAAAAGTCTGTTTTGTCTGATAAAAGTATAGCCACTTTTGCTCTCTTTTGGTTACCATTTGCATGGAGTATCTTTTTCTATCCCTTCACCTTTAGTCTGAGTGTCCTTATAGCTAAAGTAAGCCTTTAGCTTACTTCTTTTTATATTGTGACTCTATTACCAAATTTTTTTGGTTATAGTTATTCTTGATATTTTTATTTTTCAACTTTTGTAGTGTTATGGGTAAATTGGGCACCACCATTACAGTGTTATATTATTTTGTATTTGACTATATTTACCTTTGCCTGTGAGATTTATGCTTTCACATTGCTGATTAGGATGTTTTAAATTCCATTTGAAGAAATCCCTTAAGCATTTCTTGTAAGACAGGTGTAATGGTGACAAACTCAGTTTTTGTTTATGTGGGAAAGACTATCTCTCTTTCAGTTTTAAAGGATAGCTTTGCAGGGTATAGTATTCTTGGTTGCCATTTTATGTCAATATTTGGAACATATTATCCCATTCTTTCCTGGCCTACAAAATTTTTGTGGAGAAATCTGCTGATAGTCTCATAGGGATTCCCTTGAATGACAAGTTGCTTTTTTCTTGCATCTTTCAAAAGTTTTTGACTTTGACAGTTTCATTGTGATGTGTCTTGTTGTAGACTTGTGTTCAACCTATTTGGGATCCTATGGGCTTCTTCAGTCTGGACGTCTATTTCTTTCCAAAGATTTGGGAATCTTTTTAGTTACTTCTTCAAATACACTTTCTACTTCCTTTTCTCACTCTTCTTCATCTCATAACCCCATAATGTGTATATTAGTTCACTTGATAGTGTCTCATAAATCCTATAAGCTTTCTTCGTACATTTTAGTTCTTTTTTCTCTTTTCTCCTCCAATTAGATAATTTCAAATAACCTGTTTTTGAGTCTGCAGATTCTTTCTTCTACTTGAGTCATCTTCTGAAGTTCTGTATTGCATTTTGTAGTTCAGTCATTATATTCTTCAGCTCCAGAATGTTTTGTTTTAATTTTTCTCTATCTTTGCTGAACTTCTCATTTCATTCTTGTATTCTTTTCCTGATTTCATTAAATTGTTTATCTGTGTTCTCTTGTAGTTTGTGGAATTTCTCTAAAACAATTATTGTGAATTTTTTATCAGGCGGTTCATGGATATCCATCTCTTTGGATTATTTACTAGAAGCTTATTTTCTTCCTTTGGTGTTGTCATGTTTCCCTGATTCCTTGTGATCCTTCTAGCCTTGCATAGGTGTTTGCACATTTAGAGAAGTAATCATTGGCTGGGTATGGTGGCCCATGCCTGCAACTCCAGCACTTTGGGAGGCCAAGGTGGGCAGATCACTTGAGCCCAGCAGTTCGAGATGACCAGCTTGGGCAACACGGTGAAACCCTGTCTCTACCAAAGAAGATAAAAAAATTAGCCAGGCGTGGTGGTATACACCTGTAGTCCCAGCTACTCAGGAGGCTAAGGTAGGAGGATCCCTTGAGCCCAGGAGACAGAGGTTGCAGTGAGCCAAGAAAAAAAAAAAAAAAAAAAAAAAGGAGAAGAAGCAATCCATCTCTTCTAGGTTTTATAGAGTAGCTTTGGTAAGGAAAGACTTTCACTCCTCAGGAGTGGGTGGGCAGCATGCTGCAGTGTGCCATGGCATTGGTTCTAGTGGTCCTCCACAAAGTGTGGGGGCATGTGGCAGCTCCAGGTTCATGGAGCAGTACAGTGTTTTATTGGCTCAGGGAGCTGGGTCTGTGATGTCAGCAACTGTGTGGTCCTTGGAGACAAGAGGTGTGGGGGCCTACAGTGGCTGCAAGGGCTGTTGAAGTTCTCAGCAATGCTTCCAGGTGCAGCAGCAAGGGACTGGAACAAGTTGTTGGTGTGGGGCTAGGGCTCGTGGTGTGTATATGCTCAGTTGTGGGAGCCAGCTGCTGGCACATGTGTGATGGCAATGGCCAGATGTGGGCATATATTGTGGTGAAGGCGAGGACCAACAGTAGGGGCTGGAGTCAACTCTAGGCACACACACAGTGGCAGTTATGTGTGTGTGTAGCTGTGGTGTTGGTAGTGTGCATCCTTGTGAATTTAAGGGCCAGTTGTAGGCATGTGCATGGAGGGAAGGGCCAGCAACCATTCTGGATCAGCTGCATGCATGTGCACAACTGAGGAGAAGCAAATTGCTTTTAAAGTCCAAATGTTCTTTCAACAATCTTTGACACGCTAGCCAAAACTACTGGAGCTAGATTTTTTTTTTTTTGAGATGGAGTCTTGCTCTGTTGCCCAGGCTAGAGTGCAGTGGCGCGATCTAAGCTCACTGCAACCTCCACCTCCCAGGTTCAAGCGATTCTCCTGCCTCAGTCTCCCAAATAGCTGGGATTATAGGGAACTGCCATCATACCCGGCTAATTTTTTGTATTTTTGTATAGACAGGGTTTCATCATATTGGCCAGGCTGGTCTTGAACTACTGGCCTCAAGTGATCCACCCACCTTGGCCTCCCAAAGTTCTGGGATTACAGGCGTGAGCCACCTCGCCCGCCCTGCAGCTAGAGTTTTAAGTTGTTAACCAAAGAAAAGATTTCCTTCTCTGTTGCCTCAGAGAGGCAATAGTTGTCTTTTCGGTTTGGAGAAGAGTTACCCAAATGAGCCTTGCTCTCCTGTTTCACCAAGTCTGTGCCTAGAATGCTTTCTATCCATCCCTGTCCCTATCCCACCAGGCATGTGCCACTATGTCTGGCTAATTTTTTTTTAAATTTTTTTTTATCTCTACAGACAAGGTCTCATTATGTTGACTAGGCTGGTCTTGAACTCCTGGCCTGAAGCGATCCTCCCACTTCAGCCACCCAAAATGCTGAGATTATAAGCATGTGCCACCGCGACCAGCTGGCCTTACCTTTCAATACAGCCCCACTGGGGATTCAGTTTCAACATGAGTTTCAGAGGGGACAAACATTCAAGCCATAGCAGGAATTAATAGAGAAAATCAACAAAACCAAATTTCGTTCTTTGAAAAGATGAATAAAAATTTTGGTTTTGGCTAGGTACAGTGGCTCATGCCTGTAATCCCAGCATTTTGGGAAGCCAAGGCAGAAGGATTGCTTAAGCCCAGGAGTTCGAGACTAGCCTGGGCAACGAGGGGAGACCCTGTCTCTACAAATAATAAAAAACTTTCACTGGACATGGTGGTGTGTGCCTGTTAGTCCCAGCTACTGGGGAGGCTGAGGCAGGAAGATTGCTTGAACCCAGGAAGTCAAGGCTGCAGTGGGCCATGTTCATGCCACTGCATTCCAGCATGGGTGACAGAGACTGTGTTTCAAAAAATAAATTTTTAAAAATTTATTTTGTAGAGATGGATGTCACTCTGTCACCCAGGCTGGAGTGCAGTGGCTTAATCATAGCTCACTGTAACTAGGAACTCCTGGGCTCAAGTTGATCGTCCTGCCTCAGCCTCCTGAATAGCTGGGACTACAGGCACATGCCACACCTGGCTAATTTTTTTTTCTTTATTTATTTTTTATTTTTTTAAGAGAGATGGGCATCTCACTATGTTGCCCGGTCTGGTCTTGAACTCCTGGCCTTAATCAATCCTCTTGTCTCAGTCTCCCAAAGCACTGTGATTAGAAGCATAAGCCACTATGCCCAGCCTAAAATCAATAAAATTTTAAAACCTCGGCCGGGCGCGGTGGCTCACGCCTGTAATCCCAGCACTTTGGGAGTCCGAGGCGGGCGGATCACGAGGTCAGGAGATCGAGACCATCCTGGCCAACATGGTGAAACCCCGTCTCTACTAAAAAAAATACAAAAAATTAGCCGGGCATGGTGGTGGTCGCCTGTAGTCCCAGCTACTCTGGAGGCTGAGGCAGGAGAATGGCGTGAACCCAGGAGGCGGAGCTTGCAGTGAGCCACTGCACTCCAGCCTGGGCGACAGAGCGAGACTGTCTCAAAAACAAAACAAAAAACAAAACAAACAAACAAAAAACAGCCTCTCGCCAGGCTAACTAAGGAAAAAGGACAAATTTCTGTGAAGTGAAATTTCATAGAAATGAAAGAGAAAAATCACTGTTGATCCCATGGGCATTACAAGGATTATAAGGAATATTGTGAACAGCTCTCTGCCCACAAATTCGATAACCTAGATGAAATGGACTAATTCCTTGAAAGAAACTCACACAAGAAGAAACAGACAATCTCAATAGCCCTATATGTATTTTAAAAATTGAGTCAATAATTAATAAACTTCCAAAAAATAAAGCACCAGGCTCAGGTGAGTTCACTGGTAAATTCAATATGTTCCAGAAAATAGGAGGAGAGACTTGCATGGTTCATTAAAGTTCAAATTATAACTGATTTACATTTTCAACTATATTTACTTTTAAAATGCTTGACTTTCCCATTTTAAAATCTAAACTAGACATCTTAATTGGTGAAAGTTGTTGAAGCTACTTGTTGATAGACACATGCTGTCAAGTGAAGTAGTTTTATAGGTATGGGTTTTTTCTCCTCCTCCACCAGGGTGGGTGGAATAAGTTGATTTGGCCAATGTGTAATATTTAAACTGTTTTGTAAAATAAGTGTCTGGCCATTTGGTAGGATTTCTATGTGTGAAAGGTCCCAGAATCAAAATGGTACATCCATAATCAACCATTTAACCTTCTTTGTTCTAAAACAAACAAAAACCAAAGGGCACTGGTTGGTAGGGTGAGGTGGGGGAGTATTTTAATTTTTGGAATTTGGGAAGCAGACAGCTTTACTTTATAAGGTTGGAACAGCAGCACTATCCATGAAATATAAACCAAAAATCTTTACTGTTTCTAAATTTCCTAGATTGCTATTATTTGGTCCTAAGTTGAGTATTCCACAGAAAGTGGTAATTATCTTTTCTCTCTTCCTCCATTAGAAAATTAGGTTAATAATGGATTCCTATAATGGGAGCATCACCACTTACTAAAACACACATAGAATGATGAATAAAAAAATTTTTCTAGGATTGTCTTTTATTCTGCCACATTTATTGATAAACAGTGAAGAAATTTTTTAAAAAGTTTTATGAATTTTTTGTCACATCATTTTTAGAAATGTTCTACCTGTATATGGTAATGTCCCATTTTAAAAATATTGGACATCTTCAATCTTAAACATTTCTATTTAGCTGATTGGTTCTCACATATACTTCTAAAAGAGAAATTTTATGTTATAAGAGTTACTTTTTTGGATTAGATTTATTAATCTCAGTGATGTACTATTCTGACATTTTAGGAAGGAGGTAATTGTTTTTAATGATGGATAAACTTGCTGGTGTTTTGGATCTTACGATGCTGAGCATGTTCTGCACTGGTGCTAATGTCTAATATAATTTTATATTTACAAACATACGTGCTACCCAGAGATTAATTTAGTCCACAGAAACTATTGACCCCTCTTGAGATGACAACATATACACTCCTAAATCAGTGTGTTTAGACTTTTCAGGTATCTAACTCATTTCCAAACATGCAGCATGTTTATAAACCTCTTGATTTCCAGCAACATACTATAGAAAACACCTGCTATTCAAAACACAACTTCTCAGTGTCATCCATTGCTGTCGTGAGAGACAACATAGCAATATCTGGTATGTTGCAAGCTTTCAAGATAGCCTGAACTTAAAAAGTTGGTCCATTAGTTGTATCTGATGGATATATAAATTTGCCTCCTAGTTCACTTTGTGTCAAGAGCTAAAACTGTGAGCCTAACTTTCTCTTACTGGTGGGTAATAACTGAAAATAAAGATTTATTTTCAAGCTCAAAAAAAAAAAAAAAAAAAAAGAAAATCGGAGCAGAGAGAAACACTTGCTGACTCATTCTCTGAGACCAAAAATATGTAAATACCAGAACCATGGCCAGATGTGGTGGCTCATGCCTCGAGACCAGCCTGGCCAACATGGTGAAACCCTGTCTCTACTAAAAGTACAAAAATTAGCCTGGTGTTGTGTCGGGTGCCTGTAATCCCAGCTACTCGGGAGGCTGAGGCAGGAGAATCGCTTGAACCTGGGCGGCGGAGGTTGCAGTGAGCTGAGATCACGCCACTGCACAGAGCGAGTCTCATCTCAAAAACAACAACAAAAAACCCCCCGCCTCCCAAAAAAAACCAATCAAATTTTTTTTTTTTTTTTTTGAGACAGAGTCTCACTCTGTTGCCCAGGCTGGAGTGCAGTGGCGCCGTCTCAGCTTACTGCAAGCTCCGCCTCCCGGGTTCACGCCATTCTCCTGCCTCAGCCTCCCCAGCAGCTGGGACTATAGGCGCATGCCACCACACCTGGCTAACTTTTTATATTTTTAGAAGAGACGGGGTTTCACCGTGTTAGCCAGGATGGTCTTGATCTCCTGACCTTGTGGTCCGCCCAATCTCGGCCTCCCAAAGTGCTGGGATTATAGGCGTAAGCCACTGCACCCAGCCTAAAACCAGTCAATATATTTTTAGAAAGAAAATCTGCAGACCAGTATCTCTCATAAACATAGATGCAAAAATCCTCAAAACAAAATATTAATAAACGGAATCCAAGAATATATTAAAAATACACCATGACCAAGTAGAATTTATCCAGGTGTGCAGAACAGTTTCAACATTTGAAATTAATATAATCCATCACATCAACAATCTAAAGAAGAAAAATAGGCTGGGTGCGGTGGCTCACACCTGTAATCCCAGCACTTTGGGAGGCCAAGGCGGGCAGATCACAAGGTCAAGAGATCAAGACCATCCTGGCCAACATGGTGAAACCCTGTGTCTATTAAAAGTACAAAAATTAGCCGGGCGTGGTGGTGCACACCTGTAATCCCAGCTACTCGGGAGGCAGAGGTTGCAGTGAGCCGGGATTGCACCACTGCACTCCAGCCTGGCAATAGAGCAAGACTCCATCTCAAAAAAAAAAAAGAAGAAAAATATATCAATAGATACAGAAAAAGCTCTTAAAAAATCTAGCTTCTCTTCATGATAAAAAGCCTCAGCAGGCCGGGCACGGTGGTTCATGCCTGTAATCCCAGCACTCTGGGAGGCTGAGGCAGGTGGATCATGAGGTCAGGAGATCGAGACCATCCTGGCTAACACAGTGAAACCTTGTCTCTACTAAAAATACAAAAAATTAGCCGGGTGTGGTGGCGGGTGCCTGTGGTCCCAGCTACTCTGGAGGCTGAGGCAGGAGAATGGTGTGAACCCAGGAGGCGGAGCTTGCAGTGAGCCAGGATCACGCCACTGTACTCCAGCCTGGGCGACAGAGCGAGACTCGGTCTCAAAAAAAAAAAAAAGAAAAGAAAAAAAAGAAACCCTCAGCAAACTAGGAATAGAGGGGAATATCCTCAGCTTGATAAAAAACATTGTCCAAAAACTAAAAACCCTACAGGTGACATAAAACTCTGTGGTGGCAAATGAGATGCTTTCTTGCTAAGATCAGGAATAAGGCAGTGTCCCCTCTCACTATTCCTATTCTATTGAACCTCCTGTTGGAAGTTCTGGCTAATCCAGTAAGATAAGGAAAGGAAATAAAAGGCATATATATTCAGAATGAAGGAACAACCTACTTTGTTCACAAATGACCAACACAATACTGAAAAGAACAAAGTCAAAGAACTGATCCTTTAAGACTTGCTGTAAAGTTATAGTAATCAAGACAATGTGGTATTAGCAAAGCAGCAGACAAGTAGATTAGTGGAACAGAAGAGTCCAGAATGTACCGCACAAATATAGCCAACATGTTTTACAAAGGGACCCAGGTAATTCAATGGAGAAAGGATAGTCTTCCCAAGTGGTACTAGCGCAATTGGACATTCATATTTCAAAAGAAAAAAAAATCTAGACACAGACTTTACACTTTTCATAAAAATTAACTCAATATAGACCTAATTGTAAAACACTAAGCTATAAAAATTCTAGAAGATAACATAGGAGGCCGGGCACGGTGGCTCATTCCTGTAATCCTAGCACTTTGGGAGGCCAAGGTGGGTGGATCACGAGGTCAGGAGATTGAGACCATCCTGGCTAACACGGTGAAACCCCGTCTCTACTAAAAATACAAAAAATTAGCCGGGCGTGGTGGCGGGCACCTGTAGTCCTAGCTACTCAGGAGGCTGAGGCAGGAGAATGGCATGAACCCAGGAGGCAGAGCTTGCAGTGAGCGGAGATCATGCCACTGCACTCCAGCCTGGGTGACAGAGCGAGACTCCGTCTCCAAAACAAAACAAAACAAAAAAAAAAAAAAAAAAAAAAAAAATAGAACATTTTGGCTTTTCCAGTGAGTCTTTAGAAACAACATCAAAAGCATGAAAAAAGAAAAAAATAATTGATAGGTTGAATACAAATACAAAATTTAGCCAGGCATGGTGGCACATGCCTATAATCCCAGCTACTGGGGAGGCTGAGGCAGGAGAATTGCTTGAACCTGAGAGGCAGAGGTTGCAGTGAGCCAAGATTGTGCCATAGCACTCCGGCCTGGGCAAAGAAGCGAGACTCCGTCTCAAAAAAAAAAAAAAAAAAAAAAAAGTGGCACATTTTGGTGTGGCACATTCTGCCATCTTTTATATCTAAAATTTACAGGTGGCTCATGCCTGTAATCTTTGGGAGGCCGAAGTGGGAAGATTGCTTGAGGCCAGTTTAAGACCAGTCTGGGCAACATAGTGAGACCCTGTCTCTACAAAAAACTACAAAAATTAGCTGGGCATTCCTATAGTCCTAGCTACTCGGGAGGCTTAGGTGGGAGGATTGCTTGAGGCTGCAGTGAACAATGATTGTGCCAGTGTCTTCTAGCCTGGGTGACAGAGGGAGACCCTGTCTCTAAAAACAAACGAAAAATCCAACTCTTACAACTCAATAATTAAAAAAACAAAAAACAAAAAAAACAACCTGGGCCAGGCATGGTGGCTTATGCTTGTAATCCCAGCACTTTGGGAAGCCGAGGCAGGCGGATCACCTGAGGTTAGGAATTTGAGACCAGCCTAGCCAACATGACAAAACCCCGTCTCTACTAAAAATATATAAAAATTAGCTGGGTGTTGTGGCGCTTGCCTGTAATCCCAGCTACTCAGGAGGTTGAGGCAGGAGGATCTCTTGAACCCAGGAGGTGGAGGTTGCAGTGAGCCGAGATCATGCCACTGCACTCCAGTCTGGGCAACAGAGTGAGACTCCATTCCCCCGTCCCCTCCCAAAAAAAAAAACTAATTAAAAAATGGATAAAAGACCCAAACAGACACCTCACCAAAGAAGATAAACAGATGGCAAACACACATATTAGAAGATGCTGAACATCATATATCATTAAGGAATTGCAAATTAAAACAGATACTATTATACACCTATTACAATGGCTAAAATCCAAAATGCTGACAACACCAAATTCTGGTGAGGATGTGGAGCAACAGGAACGTTCATTGCTTCCTGGGAGTACAAAATGGTACACTTTAGTAAGAAACTGCCAAACTGTCTTCCAAACTAAATATACTCTTACCATATGTCCCAGCAATTGTGCTCCTTGGTATTTATCCAAATGAGTTGAAAATCTATGTCCACAAAAATCTGCACTCAAATATTTATAGCAGCTTTATTCATAATTGCTGAAACCTGGAAGCAACAAAGATGTCCTTGAATAGTTGAATGGATAAACAGTGGTATATCTATACAATGGGATATTATTCATTTAAGCACATTGCTTAAAAAGTAATGTACTATCAAACCATGAAAAGATATGGAGGAACCCTAGATTCATATTGCTAAGTGAAAGAAGCCAATCTGAAAGGCTATTTACTGTATGATTCAAACTCTGTGACATTCTGGAAAAGGCAAAACTATGGAGACAGTGAAAAGATCAGTGATGGCCAGGAGTGGGGGAGAGGGAAGGGAGGGAGGGATGAACCAGGTGGAACAAGGATTTTTAGGGCAGTGAAACTATTCTGTATGATACTGTAACAGTGGGTGTGCCTCATGACACATTAGTGAAAACCCAGTGAATGTACAGCATAAAGAGTGAACCCTAATGTAAACCCTAATGTAAATTATGAACGTTTGCTAATAATGTATCAGTACTATCAATTATAACAAATCTGCCACATTAATGCAGGATGTTAACAATAGGGGAAACAGTGAGTGAAGAGAGGGTATATGGGAACTCTGCATTTTCTGCTTAATTGTTCAGGAAACCTAAACCTGGTCTTTAAAAGGCTGGGGTCAGGGGAGGGATGGGAAGCCCATTTAGAGGGAGAGACTGATTTCCCACAGCTTTTTAAATGTCTGAGGGCTCCCAAGCTAGGTGGCAAAAACCACCATGTAGAAAAGCCTGGGCCTGAGTAACTACTTATTCAGGTGCCATTCTCAGTGCTTTACATAAATTAGCTCACTTAATTCCTGAGCGATAATCCCATGAGGTAGGAACTATTATCCCCACTATAAAGGAAGTAGAATATTATAATACATTATCCCCATTATAGAGGAAGTAGAAGCACAGAGAGATTAAGTAGGGTGCTCAAGATTGCACAGCTGTAAGTGGAGCAAGGATTTAAATCTAGGTATTAGGATATACAACTAAATTACCATCTTATTCTCATTCTATAAACCGGTCAGTCTTTTTAGTAAGGAAAATCATCTCAATTTATTATTTTACACACCCCAAGTCAGTGCAGATGGCTTTGTTCCAACCTGGAGAGGTAAAGGGTCTTTGTAGAGGTAAAGGTCTGTCTTTGTAGGCCTTCACATACAGCCTCTCCAGGGACTGTCTTGAGGAATACTTTCTGAGAACTTCTTGAAGCTCTTTAAACAGGAACCAACTTGTATTTTTTTTTCCTCTTTTTTTTGAGATGGAGTCTGGCTCTGTCACCCAGGCTGGAGTACAGTGGTGTGATCCTGGCTCACTGCAACCTCCACCTGGTTCCAGCGATTCTTGTGCCCCAGCCTCTCGAGTAGGTGGGACTACAGGTGTGTACCACCATGCCCAGCTAATTTTTTGTATTTTTAGTAGAGACAGGGTTTCACTATGTTGGCCAGGCTGGTCTCGAACTCCTGACCTCAGGCGATCCACCCACCTTGGCCTCCCAGAGTGCTGGGATTAGAGGCATGAGCCACTGTGCCAGGCCTGGAACCCACTTGTATTTTTTCCTTGGAGTCCAGAAATTCTAGACTGTTGCTGGAAATAAGAGTGGCAAAATAGGTACTTTTCAACAATTTCTAACACTTTTGTCTATTTTTCCAATGTGTCTTTGGCCTGTGCATATTGCCTTGGCAGCCCCTCCCAATGGTCACTGAGTCCTGGAGATCTGGCCAGTCCTTCTTCATCTTCACTGCGATCACCCCTGTCCCAGCCTCCCTGTCTCTCACCTGGATCCTTGAACAGCAGCTAATTGTAGGCTCTCTGTATACCTGAAAGGCTCCAGTCAGGAGGCAAAAGCCATGTGTTATTTGTACAGAAAGATAGGCAACCGTAAGTACTGTAATTCCAGAACATCTTCATTACCTAAAAAGAAACCCCATAACCATTAGCAATCACTTCTCATTTCCTCTTCCCTCCATCCCTTGGCAACCATTTATCTACTTTTTGTCTCTGTAGGTTTGCCTATTCCAGACATTTCTTATAAATGGAATAATACAATGCATGTACTTTTGTGTCTGGCTTTCACTTAGCATAAAGTTTTCAAGGTTCAACCGTGTTGTGGCATGTGTCACTATGGATATACTGTGTGGATTGCATGGATATAACACATTTTGTTTATCCATTCATCAGTTGATAGACGTTTGAGTTGTTTATACTTTTTGGCTATTATGAATAATGCTATGAACATTCACATACAAGTCTTTGTGTAGGCATATTTTTAAATTTCTCTTAGGCATTTACCTAAGAGTGAATTGCTGGATCATATGGTAACTCTGTTTAACATTTTGAGGAACTGCCAGGCAGGTTTCTACAGTGACTGATGACTAACAATGTAACATGGGCATCTTTTTTTTTCCTCTTTTTCTTTTTCTTTTTCTTTTTTTTTTAAGACCAGAGTCACTCTCACCCAGGCTGGAGTGCAGTGGCGCGATCTCAGCTCACCACAACCTCCACCTCCCAGGTTCAAGCAGTTCTCCTGCCTCAGCCTCATAAGTAGCTGGGACTACAGGTGCATGCCACCATGCCTGGCTAATTTTTGTATTTTTAGTAGAGACAGGGTTTTACTATGTTGGCCAGGCTGGTCTCGAACTCCTGACCTCATGATCCACCTGCCTCGGCCTCCCAAAGTGCTGGAATTACAGGCATGAGCCACCACACCTGGCCAATGTTGGGCATCTTTTCATGAGCTTATTAGCCATTTGTATAACTCTTTGGAGATATGTCTATTCAAATTCTTTGTCTATTTTTAATTAAGTCATTTGTCTTTTTATTAAGTTGTATATATCTGGATACTAGACCCTAGTTGGAGTATATGATTTACAAATGCTGCATCCCATCCTGCGAGTTGTCTTTTAACTTTGTTTATTTTTTATTTAAAAAAAAATGAGACAAGGTCTTACTATGTTGCTCAGGCTCTTGAACTCCTGGCCTCAAGTGATCCTCCCATCCCAGCCTCCCAGTGTGCTGGGATTACAAGTGTATGCGACTGTGCGGGGCCTCTTTTAATTTTCTGGATAGTATACTTTGACACAGAAAAGTTTTGAATTTTGATCAAGTCCAACTTATCTATTTTTTTTGATTGCTTCTGATTTAAAAAAAAAATTTTTTTTTTGAGACAGAGTCTCACACTGTCACCCAGGCTAGAGTGCAGTGGCACGATCACTGAAACCTCCACCTCTCAGGTTCAAGCAATTCTCCTGCTTTAGCCTCCTGAGCAGCTGGGATTACAGGCGCATGGCACCATGCCCAGGTAATTTTTTTTTTTTTTTGTATTTTTAGTAGAGATAGGGTTTCACCTTATTGGCCAGGCTGGTCTCAAACTCCTGACCTCAGGTGATCCACCTGCCTTGGCCTCCCAAAGTGCTGGGATTATAAGCATGACCCACCGTACCCAGCCTGTTTCTGATTTTAGTGTCCTATCTAAGAAACTGTGGCATAATCTAAAGTCACTAAGATTTATACTTATGTTTTATTCTAAGAGTTTTATAGTTTTCAGTCTTACATTTAGGTCTTTTAACCATTTTGAGTTACATTCATTTTTTTTTACATGTGGATATCTAGTTGTCCCAGTGCCATTTATTTAAAATACTATTTTCTAATTGAAGGGTCTTAGTACCTTTGTAAAAAAAAAAAAAAAATCAATTAACTGGCTGGATGCAGTGGTTCATGCCTCTGATTCCAGTGCTTTGGGAGGCCAAGGTGGGAGGTTCGCCTGAACCCAGGGGTTTAAGCCTGCACTGAGCTATGTCACACTAGTACACGCCAGCCTGGGCAACAGAGTGAGACCTGGTGTCTAAAAAAGAAAAAAAATCAATTAGCTATAGATGTATGGGTTTATTTCTGGACTCTCAACTGTATGTCTATTGTTATACCAGTACCACACTGTTTTTATTACTGTAGCTTTTTGGTAGATACTGAAATTGAAAGTGTGTGTCCTCTTTTTCTTTCTTTTCTTTTTTTTCTTGAGATGGAGTTTTGCTCTGTCACCCAGGCTGGAGTGCAATGGTGTGATCTCAGCTCACTGCAACCTCTGCCTCCTGAGTTCAAATGATTCTCCTGCATCAACAGGCACCCACCACCATGCCCAGCTAATTTTTTTTTGAGACTGAGTCTCGCTCTGTCGCCCAGGCTGGAGTGCAGTGGCGCGATCTTGGCTCACTACAACCTCCGCCTCAGGGTTCAAGCGATTTTCCGCCTCAGCCTCCAGAGTAGCTGGGATTACAGGCGCCTGCCACCAAGCCTGGCTAATTTTTGTATTTTTAGTAGAGATGGGGTTTCACCATGTTGGTCAGGCTGATCTGGAACTCCCGACCTCAGGTGATCTGCCCGACTTGGCCTCCCAAAGTGCTGGGATTACAGGTGTGAGCCACCGTGCCTGGCAATTTCAGTCTTTTACAATTTAGTGATACTTATTTTATGGCCTAACATATGGTCTGTCCTAGAGAATGTTTCATTTGTACTGAGAAGAATGTATATTCTGCTGCTATTGGGTGGAATGTTCTGTAAATGTCTGTTAGGTCTAATTGGTTTATAATTAGTATTGGTAATATAATTGGTAACATTTATTGTTGAATTATCTATTTCTGTATTCAATTGTGTCTGGTTTTGCTTTATATATTTGGACTCGTTAGGTATGCTAATGTGTAAAATTATATCTTTTTTGGTGGATTGATCTTCTCAATTTTATAAAATCTTTTGGATCTAGTAACAATTTTTGTCTTAAAGTCTTTTTCTGATATTAACATAGACCCTCCCCCCAACCCTAGTACTTTTGCTACCATTTGCTTGGTGTATCTTTTTCTGTCCTTTTACTTCCAACTTATGTCTTTGAGTCTAAAGTGTCTCTTAAACAAAGCACATTTTTGGATTGTGTGTGCACTTGGGTGTGTATCTTTTAAATGCATTCTGTCGATCTATGTTTAATCCATTTACATGTAATTATTGATAAGGTTTATACATTTGTCATTTTACTATTTGTGTGTTATGTCTTAAGTCTCTTTTGTTCCACATTTCTTCCATTACTGCCTTTTTTGTGTTAGACATTTTATTTTGTACCATTTTATCTCTATCATATATTTACTAGATTTTTAAAGTTTTTTTGTGGTTGCCATAGGGATTACCATTAACATCTTATTCTGAACTATCTCATTCTGATTAATACTAATTCATGCCACTTGTATACAAAAATTTTGCTTCTTATATAGCTGTTCCCCTCCTCCTTTATGCTGTTATTGTTACAAATGACATCTTTATACATAGTCTACCCATCTTAGTTTATAATTACTGCATTTAAGTTACCTTTTAAATCAGATGGGGACAAAAAATGAGTTACAAACCAAAATCATTTATATTTACTTATGTAGTTCCATTTACTGGTGCTCTTTATTTCTCCATGTGGATTCAAGTTACTAGTTTCCTTCCATTTTGGCCTGAAGGATGTCCTTTAGTATTTTATGTAGGGCAGGGTGGCTAGAGATGAACTCTGTTTTTGTTTATCTGGGAATGTTTTCATGTTGCCTTCATTTTTGAAAGATAGTTTGGCCAAATAACAAATTTTTTCATAGTCTTTTTCTTTCAACACTTTGAATATGTCAACCCACTGCCTTTTTTTTCATTTTTAATTTTTGTGGCTGCATAGTAGGTGTATATATTTATGGAGTACATGAGATGTTTTGATACAGGCATTGCATTCCTGTAATAATCACATCATGGAAAATGGGGTATCTAGTGCCTCAAGCATTTATCCTTTGTGACAAACAATCCAATTATACTTAGTTATTTTTAAATGTACCCATTGCCTTCTTGTTTCCATGGTTTCTGATGAGAAGTCAGTTGTAAATCTTATTGAGACTCCCTTGTGTGATGAGTTGCTTTTATCTTGCCTCTTTCAAAATTCTGTCTTTTGAGGGTTTGATTATGATATGTCTAGGTATGGAGCTCTTTGAGTTTAACCTACTTGGAGTTCACTGAGCTTCTTGGATAGGTAGATTAATATTTTCCATCAAATGTGAGACATTTTCAACCATTCTTTCTTCCAATATTCTGCCCCTTTCTCTTTTTTTATGTGTATATGGGTACATTTGGTGGTATCCCAAAGGTTTTAGAAGTTTTGCTCATTGTTCTTCATTCTTGTTTCTTTCTTTTTCTCAGAGAGGTTAATTTCAACAGATCTGTCTTCAAGTTTGCTGATTCTTTTTCTGTCAAATCTACTATTATTAAACCTCTTCAGTGAATTCTCATTTCAACTATTGTACTTTCCAACTTCAGAATTTGTGCTTTCTTCCCCACTACAGTTTTATCTCTTCTTTGTTATTCTGTTTGGGCATCATTCTTATTCTTTCCTTTATTTCTTTAGACCCGGCTTCCTTTGGCTCTTTGAACATGTTTAAAATAGCTGATTTAAAATCTGGTAATAAGGTAAAATACCACATAGCTTGCTGTTTCTACTAGAATTCAACTTTTTTTTTTTTCAGTTGAAGTTTTCTGGGTTGCCGCAAGCTTTTGGCTAATTTCCAGAGTTCTGTGAAAGTTGATTTTGATAGTATGTGGCAGGTTTTTCAATGCTTTTATGAAGGGAGCAAACTTTCAGTAGTTCGTACTGGACTATTTTACTGGATCTTGATTTAGACAAACTATAGAGATTTTTGAGACAACTGGCAAAAACTGAACATAGATTGGTTATTAGATTATTTTAAAATTATGTTTTTTTAGATAGGAAAATTGTATTAAGGTCATATATATATATATATATATACACATATATGTGTGTGTGTATGTATATATATATATATATATATATATATATATATTTTTTTTTTTTTTTTTTTTTTTTTTTTTTTTTGAGATGGAGTCTGGCTCTGTCACCCAGGCTGGAGTATGGTGGTGCCATCTCGGCTCACTGCAACCTCCGCCTCCCAGGATCACGCTGTTCTCCTGCCTCAGCCTCCCGAGTGGCTGGGACTACAGGCGCCCACCACCATGCCCGGCTAATTTTTTGTATTTTTAATAGAGATGGGGTTTCACCGTGTTAGCCAGGATGGTCTCAATCTCCTGACCTTGTGATCCGCCTACCTCAGCCTCCCAAAGTGCTGGGATTACAGGCATGAGTCACCGCGCCCGGCTCATATATGTATTTTTAAAGCCCTTATCTGTTAGAGACATAGTGGTTTTTAGGGTTTTCTGAAATTTCCTTTCAGATACTCTAGCTCACACATCAGAAGAGCATGTGCAGGAAGAGAGATGAAATAATGGTACACGTTGATGGTTACTGGAGCTGGATGCTGGGTACATGGAGGTTCACTCTACCATTTTATTTTTGTATTTGAAAGTTTTCATGATAAAAAGTTTTTAAAAAGAGAAAGGGTACCTTGCGTCCAAACAAGTCTGTATTTAACTGAAAAAAAAAAATAATTGCATTCCTAACTGGCCTTGAATAGAAGGGAATAAATGTCCTGGGAGATAGATGGCATGTTTGTTGAAAGAATGAAGGGTGAAGAGATAGGATCAATCAGGCACCCCCAGGACAAAAGGAAAACTTATACAGCAAGTAAAGACATGTAGCTATCTTGGGCTGAAAGGTAAGGGAATTAATTGGTCAAGTCCAGGCTCAACTCTGGCCCCCAACTCCCAAGTCCATGGTCTCAACTCATTTCCCACAAAGCCTTCCTGGAGCTAGCAAGAGAAGGTGTTCCCACCTGAGACTATTCCATTTTGCCTGAACAGCACTATGAACAAGACCCAAAGGCAGAGCTATGCACGGAGGGGCAGGCCTGGGATGAGGTAGGCTTCTGTCCTAAGTTTCTCAACAGCCTCAAGACATCAACTGGGGAAAGGAACTTTCTCTGGTGACCCTATACTTAACCAGTAAAGCTTCAATCATCTTAAATGATGTAACAAAATGTGCATATGTAAGTTTTTACACCATACCCTAAATACAAGGACCTCAGAACCCTGAGGAGTATGGGAGATCCACCCAGAAAATACTCCTTGGGCAGCACAGTGCAAGGCCTGGGGCACTGGGTGCTCCTGCATTCAAAGCCCAAGGAGGACCTAGCTAGGTTGCTCTGCCACTAGCTCTCTCCAAAGGGGAGAGCCACCAGGGAAGACAAGTGCCCTGTAGCCTTGGCTAAAAGAGGAGGGCTTGGGAAATACGGACCAAAGCAAGACAGGCAAGAACCCATCATTCCTTCACTTTGACTGTTACCCCTGTCCTTAGGAAGAGGGACAGGAAATCAATTTTAAGACACAACTCCTGGACAGGTTTGTGGACACATCTGGGGAATATGAACCTCCTTTGCAGCCAGGTTGGGAGAGAAATAAAGGAAAAGAAGTAGGGGTTGGGGTGGAGCCACCAGAGAGAAGAGCAGGCTGAGGTGCTGGGCCAGGGGCACTGCTGGGCAGAGCACAAGCTGCAGGACCTGGGAGCATTGCTACTTGGCCTCATTGTGTTGTCACCATCACCACTGCCAGCATACCAGGCACAGCAGGGGCAGCTCCTGGGTGTGAGGCAAGTCTGGCATCTCTAGGAAGTACAATCTTCTGGTCACTTTGGAAAAGGAGGGGCCAGACGATGCCAGACATCATCCATAGAGGTGAGATTTGAATCCAGCACCCCGTGTAGTGCCACCAGAGTCCCTAACTAAAGGTACCCCAGGTCCATATTACAACTACTTGATTAAAGAACAGGTTTATTGGTGACCTGAGGGAGCCAAGGTCTCCTTTGTGACCCTCACTCCCAGGTGGTATCAGGCTGCAAGGCCCTCTATGGGTAGAAAAGCCAATCACATGATCCATGGGCATTCCTGGCAAGAGGTCAGATCTCTCTACTCCTAATTCGAAAACTTCCAAATCCTGATTTCAGAGTCAACAGCAAGGTCAGAGGCTAGAGTCCTGATGGGCATGGAGCTCAGGAGGCTGGCGAGTTGCTCAGCAACGTCTGTGGGGCTGCGCACATGGAAGTAGAGGCCAGGAAGGCCACAGGAAAATTGCCCCAAAAGAAGTTTCCAAGAGGGTTTACGCTTGGACAGGGCATAGAACCTGGCCGTGAGATTGCACTTTGGGTATGATGGGGTCAGTCACCGAGCAGGCCTGGGGAGCAGAGAACCTCCCCACTTGCCCTGGGCATGCCAAGGCTCCATGGTCTAGGCTCAGTGGTGCCACCACAGCCTGTCACATGTCCCAGCTCCTCACTGCTGGGACATCTCCAGGTTCTTGATGGGATACAGGTACCACATCACTACCCCTGAAGGGTTGATGATCACTGTGAAGTTGGTTTCATCTCGGAGGCCACTGATGATGTCACCTGAGTAGACGTCCTGGGCCTGCAGTGGGGAGGGACATCACCAATGCCACCATGAGAGTGGCGGCACAGAGACCCCCCCCGCTAGAGGATGTAGAAGCCTTCTGCCTGGACTTTGGCCTGTCTGTGCTGGGCTTCCAGTATGCCCTACAGAAGTGGGAGCCCTGAATCCCCATCACTTCTCCACCAGCAAATCCAGCAGGTGCCCAAGCACGGGCAGTGGAGAAAGCCCCAGCCCATGGAAAACTGTGAGGAACGTGCCAGCAAGGGCTGACCCTTGGGAGGAGTACAGCCGTAGAGGCTAATGGGATTCATATTTATATGCAGTAGTTCTGTTTGCATAGGTTGAAAATACTGGTGCAGAGCACGGCACTGGCTGCAGCTCTCAGTGCCTGCAGCTCCCCATGGGCACCTGCCAGAGGCCCTAAGCCCACGGCTCAGGGGAGGCCATATGTGAACAACCACCCCCCATAATACCCTCCCACAGAAATCTGAAGCCCAGGCGGGTGGCTGCAGGCAGCCGGGTGCTCACCTCATATATCACAGACCCGGTGAAGTTCAGCTGGCCAAGGGAGGAGTGGTAGCGATAAGGCATATCGGTCCTGCAGCTGAAGAAGACTAAGGCGCTAGCCTTGTTGGACAGAGGCCGCATGTACACTTCGATGAGAGATTTTTCCTGGGCACAGAAGGTGGCTACTGGCTGGGGTCCCTTGCTCAGACAGGACCTACCATTGCCTCCCTGGCCCTCCCTGAGTTCTGGGTCCCCCAGTTCACAGCTCCATGTCACACAGGTTTAGGGAGGATGCCACGGGCCTCCAGCACCCCAGCTTATCTAACCCTATCTGCCCACCTTCCCTGACTCAGCAGATACTCATCAACACCTACTCTGAGCCCGGCCCCTATGCTAGCACACTGAGACAAGTGCTGCATGAGGCCCTGCCCCAGAAGCTCATAGGACAACGGGAGGGATAAACGCAGAAACAGGGAAGCGCAACAACAGTACAGCGTATGAGTGCTGGCCCCAAACAGCTGCCAGTGCTGGCCTGGAGGGTGCTGTCCAGTGGGAACAGTGAACTCTGTTCCAGGAGGGTGGAGAGTGGAGCTGGATGTGAACTCCCATCCTCCAGAAGGTTTTCCAGGCCCAGCTCCACCATCAGCCCCTCTGGCAGGGAATTGTTACTTCCTCTGGGCATCACCAGTTCTATAGGTGCCTTCCATAGTTCTGTAGGTTTCTTTTTACCAGAATCCAGGATTTGGTAAAGAGCAAAGGCAGACAGGCACAGTGGCTCATGCCTGTAATCCCATTACTTTGTGAGGCCGAGGCCAGTGGATCAGCTGACGTCAGGAGTTTTGAGAGTAGCCTGGCCAACATGGTGAAACCCTGTCTCTACTGAAAAAAATACAAAAAAAATTAGCCGGGTGTGGTGGCGCACACCTGTAATCCCAGCTACCTGGGAGGCTGAGGCAGGAAAATCGCTTGAACCTGGGAGCCAGAGGTTGCAGTGAGCTGAGATGGTGCCACTGCACTCCAGCCTGGGCTACAGAGTGAGACTCCATCTCAAAAAAAAAAAAAAAAAAAAGGCTTTGAGGTGACACTGAAGTCCAGTCTTGTTTGTACCAACTGTGTAGCCTTGGGATAAAGTTACTCAGACTCTCGAAGTTTCATTTTTCTCATTTGTAAAATGGCAAGATAACTACCTTGCTGAGAAAAATTATCTAAAACTCCCAGCACATGGTAGGTACTCAATAAATAGCAGCCACCAGTAGTCGTAGTATTCCTTGGCTATAACAGCTTCTCCTGGCCGAGTGCGGTGGCTCATGCCTGTAATCCCAGCACTTTGGGAGGCTGATACGGGTGGATCACCTGAGGCCAGGAGTTCGAGACAAGCCTGGCCAACATGGTGTCTCTACTAAAAATACAAAAATTAGCTGGGTGTGGTGGCAGGCGCCTGTAGTGCCAGCTACTCAGGAGGCTGAGGCACGAGAATTGCTTGAACCTGGCAGGTAGAGATTGCAGTGAGTCGAAATTGTGCCACTGCACTCCAGCCTGGGTGACAGAGTGAGACCCTGTCTCAAAAACAAACAGACCAGCTCCTCCTGCTCTGGAGGGAAGTCCAAGCTCTCTGCAGGCCATCACGGGTGTATAGAAGCTCTGTGCCTCACCCTTGCTATGTGCACTTATGTGGCTGACACCTCTCATCCCCGACTCCCTTGAGCTGTCCTGCTCAGCCCTGCTCTCACCCAGCAAGAGGAGGACAGTTGGAGCAGCTCCCATCAGAGTCCTCAACCATAAGCAACCAGAAGGGGTAGCCCTGGTTGGGGACTGGGCGACTCCTGTACCTCGCCAGGTGTTGCCCCCAGGGAGGCTGGCAGCCTTTCTCTCAGGAGAACCCAGTTCCTCAGCCCTCCCCTTCCTTCCCTCCACACCCTAGTACCTTGTGAATCCTGCGTCCCTGGATGCCTAAGGGATCCTGGTTGATTTTGATCATGAGTGGATTCTGCAGAATGTCCATGTTCTGGGCGGAGATGGTACGCAGGTCTGTGGACATCAAGAGGGGGGCTGCCAGCACCGTCCACAGGGCCATCTGGGCCCGGGATTGCTCTAAGCTGAGACCAAAGTTCCCAATGAGCAGCTGGGGGCAGAGAAGAGGAGTAGTCAGCTCTCATCTCCTCAAGGAGGTAGACACAGGGACCATCCCCAAACTTGTAGCCGAGGAAGAGCAATTAGGGATTAGGGAAAGATGGCTGTATGTGGAGGAGGCCTGGTTCAGCAAACACCATTCCCTAGCCCTGTGGCCTTGGGGGAGTTAAGTCACCTTCCATCTGAGCTTCAGCTTTTTATTTTCCATCAAGAACAGGAGTCGGCGGTAGGGGGGTGGGCAGATGGCCAGGTGCGGCGGCTCATGCTTGTAAATGCCAGCACTTTGGGAGGCTGAGGTAAGGAAGGAGACCACTACTACTCCTGCTGCCCTCCTCTCCCAACCTTGCCTAGTTCACAAGACAGGAGGAGAGAAAAAGCAAAAAGTTGGAAATAAACAAAAGTAAGATAAATAGCCAGACAACCATGGCACCACCACCTGGCCCTAGGAGTTAAAAAAAAAAGTAATAATAATAACATCAACCCCTGACCTAAACTACTTGTGTTATCTGCAAATTCCAGATACTGTATGAAAAAAGCATTGTAAAACTTTTTGTTCTGTTAGCTGATGCATGTAGCCTCCAGTCACGTTTCCCACGCTTGCGTGATGTATCACGACCCTTTCACATGGACCCCTTAAAGTTGTAAGCCTTTAAAAAGGCCAAGAATTTCTTTTTCAGGGAGCTCGGCTCTTAAGACACGAGTCTGCCGACACTCCCAGCCGAATAAAAACCTCTTCCTTCTTTAATCTGGTGTCTGAGGAGTTTTATCTGCGGCTGGTCCTGCTACAGAGGCAGGTGAATCACTTGAGCCCAGGAGTTAGAGACCATCCTGGCCAACATAGCAAAACCTCATTTCTACTGAAAATATAAAAATTACCCAGGCGTGGTGGTAAACACCTGTAATTCCAGCTACTTGTTCAAGCACGAGAATAACTTGAACCAGAATGTGGAGGTTGCAGTGAGCCGAGATTGCACCACTGCACTCCAGCCTGGGCAACAGAGTGAGACTCTGACTCAAAAAACAAAAGGCCAGGCGCGGTGGCTCACGCCTGTAATCCCAGCACTTTGGGAGGCTGAGGAGGGCAGATCACCTGAGGTCAGGAGTTCGAAACCAGCCTGACCAACACGGAGAAACCCCATCTCTACCAAAAATACAAAATTAGCCAGGCGTGGTGGCGCATGCCTGTAATCCCAGCTACTTGGGAGGCTGAGACAGGAGAATCGCTTGAACCTGGGAGGCGGAGGTTGCGGTGAGCCAAGATCATGCCATTGCACTCCAGCCTGGGCAACAAGAGCAAAACTCAGTCTCTAAATAAATAAATAAATAGGCTGGGCGTGGTGGCTCACACCTGTAATCCCAGCACTTTGGGAGGCTGAGGCGGGCAGATCATGAGGTCAGGAGTTTGAGACCAGTCTGGCCAACATGGTGAAACCCCATCTCTACTAAAAAAAAAAAAAAAAAAATTAGCTGGGTGTCATAGCAGGCGCCTGTAATCCCAGCTACTCGGGCGGTTGAGGCAGGAGAATCGCTTGAACCTGGGAGGTGGAGGTTGCAGTAAGCCGAGATCGCGCCATTGCACTCCAGCCTGGGCGACAGAGCAAGACTCTGTCTCAAAAAATAAATAAATCAATAAAAAACAAAAACCCCATGGGGGTGATGGGGGTGGTAATATGCCCTGGCTACATCACAGGTTGTTCAGATGATCAAATGGGCTCCTGTTGTCAAAAAGCTTATAAACTAGGTCAAGTCAATAAATGTCCCAAGGTGACAGTGGTAAGAAACAGAACGGGACAAAGTCCCTGTACCTACCACTGGCCACACCCACTTGCCCTAGCCACAGCTGAATGGACCAAGGGGGACTCCTGACCCCAGGGCAAGCAATCCATAGTCAGGACACAATTACAGGCTTAGTGACAACAATTTAAGCACTGTGTGCCCATCACTGTGCCAAGCATTTCAGAGTTATTTTAACCCTCAACCCTATAAGGTAGCTACTATTCTTATTTTCCAATTGACAAAACTGAGGCACAGAACAAATTAAGTTACTTGCCCGAGGTAAAGTGGCAGAGCTAGAGCTGGGACTCCACAGCAGGCCAGTTCCTGCTCCTCCAGGTTGCTCCCTCCACCTGGCTTAGCACTTGTAATTCTTATAATCATCATAGGATCAATCAGGTAGTAAATGCTTGTTGACTAACAGATAACTATAAAGCTATAAATTGCAACAACAACAAAATGTCACAGGGCAATGACCGAGATAGAATGGAAGGGCTAGAAGCAGGACTGTGAGGGCCAGTTGTCCCTGTGGAGGATGAGGCAGGAAATTGACAAAAGGATCAGAGGCACACGGGGGAGAGCAGTCCAGGCACTAGGAATAGCAAGGTCGTGATCTTCAACCTGCAGAGCAATAACATCTTATTCCAGGGTCACTACAGACCCAAGTTCTTGAGCTTTCAGAAACATCAGAATTGCCTGGGGAGATGGTTAACAGTGTTCTTCCCCTGAACATTGTGATGCAAAACGTGGGGGATGGGGCCCTGGAAACCAGCTTCTAAGTCAAGTCTAAAGCAACCAGTTCAGGGACACATTTCAGAAGCGCTGACCTAGAACCCGGCAGTGAGCCTCCAAGAAGGAAGAAAGCACAGGGCAGTGGGGAGCAGGGTCGTCACAGATGGTGGGCCTAGGGACATCCCCCTCCATCCTGGTACCATGTCAGGGTCATTCCAGTGCCCAGGGCCGGCCACTGGCTGCAGTATGTCCTGGTGCTCCACGAACCAATTCAGGATGGAGAGCACGCTCCACCAGGAGTCCTGGATGTCATCATAGTTACGCCAGAGGTTGCAGATGTCCGCCAGCAGACTGTAGTTCACCTGGATGTCGAGGGGAAGGCAGAGTCCAGCACCAGAATCACACGCTGCAGCCCAGGGACCCACACAGGAGTTGAGGAGGCTCAGCAGGAGAGACAGAGAGTGGGGAAGAGGGAAGAGAACAGGCCCCACCGGCTTGCTCAGGATGAGGAGGGCCTCAGAGGGTGGCCCTGCTCTGGGGCTACCGGGGTCTCCCTTCTGTGCATGCTGGTGCCAGGAGCCTACCCTGCCTTCTCATGCCAGCTTGGGTCAAACCCAGGGTGTGGGCCCAGGCTGGTGCACCCACAAACAACCCTCCCTGACACCCACCCACCCCCATGTTCTCTCAGTGAGAAACTGCTGTCTGCTTTCTTCTCAGCTCCAGAGGCCTGAGCCCACCCTTTTTGGTGTCAAACATGCTAAGGGAGCCCTCATGAGCCCACAGGCTCCTCTGAGGCTTGGCCCCACCTGCCTGGCCTCCCCAGCCTTCTGGGTCTCCTCGCCTAATGGGCACCTCCTGGAATCCTGGGCACTGTGTGCCAGCACAGATGGCTCTCCTGCCTCTGATGCCAACTCCTTCAGCCCACTTCACAAGGGCCTCTTCTCTAAGGCCCGCCACTCCCTCCAACACACACACCTCTCTGGGCTGGCTGAGCCCACCTGCTCTTTGCGGCTACTTAATGTAGGTCTCTAGACACCTACAAATCACCATATGGGCACCTGTGGTGAGAGCAGCCCTGGCTCTGGAAGGCCCCGTCCCTGAAGCCTGGCACTCAGGAGGTAAGGAGGCCTGGGTGTGGGAAGCGCCATCAGGCAGGGGGCAGAATGGCTTACCCTTGGGGGGAGGCCGCCTTCATAGGCTGGCCAGCTGCAGGAGAAGGCGATGGGGCGGCCTGTGGCATTCAGGGCAGCAGCCATCTTGGGGTACCCTAGAGAAAGCCCAACCTGTTTCAGTCCTGAGGAAGTGCAGGAGGCAGTCTGGGGCCTTAGCCCAGACCTTTTCCCAACAGATGTGAAGAAACAAGCTCCAAACAGTAGGTGCCTCCCCACATACCCAGAGCCTCAAATGCTTCCAGGGTGGGCTATGCTGCCACTCATATTTAGGGAGCCTGGGAGCCACAATCCCCCTAACCCCTGGGTAGGGGGAATTGGGAAGCTCAGCCAGGTGGGCGCTGGGTGGGTCTCCATGGCCACCCTCCCCGTTTGCCTACGTGCCCCAGCCAGCTGCGTAACTCACCCTGGGCCCGCTCCTCGGGGGTGGAGAAGCAGCCATCCAGCTTGAGCATGTCTACCTTCCACTCGGCGAAGGTCTGAGCATCCTGGACCACCTTGTCCAGTGTGGTGCCTGGGTAACCCATGCAGGTGAAGTTGCCCATGTCCGCGTAGATACCCAACTTCAGGCCCAGGGAGTGAACCTGTGGGGGTTTGAGGACACAGTGGGCTCAAGCAGGACCCTCAAGGAGCCTCCTCAAGGCATATCTGACCCCGTCCCATTAAACCTCCAGTGGCTCCCACGGACCAAAGGAGATGGTCCCAGCATGCTGGCCCGGCCTCTGCCCATGATGGCCCACCTCTCCCCCAACACACACCTCCCAGCGGCTGTTTCTTGCCCCTAGGCCTTTGCTCCTGCCATCCTCTCTGCCTCCAATGCCATCTCTCTGGGCTCAGCTCAAGAAATGCCTCCTCCAGGGAACCTTCCTAGAATACCAGGCTGTGTGAGATGCCCTTTCTGGCTCTCACTCAACAGAATAGGCCAAAAGTCGGTGTTCATTTGTCTGTTTCCCCCACTAGACTGTGAGATCTCAATCATGTAAGTGAGCCCTAAGCGAGGTAGGGTGAAAGGAGTGGTCTAGCCCTGAGGCCAAGGGCAGGGCTGGGGTGCGGCTCACGTAGTCAGCCAGGAAAGGAATGCCATGAGGGAAGCGCTTGGGATCCGGCATCAGGCGGCCACTGGCATCGCGACCACCGATCCAGCAGTCATCAATGTTGAGGTATGTGTAGCCCATGTCCCGCCATCCATCCTGTGCCATCCGGTCAGCCATCTCCATGAAGAGCTGTTCACTAGTGAGGGGCAGAGGGATGGGGTAGCTCAGGGACCCAGCCCGGCCCTCACCCACACCCTGCCTCAGCTCTGATTGAATCTGGGCTATAAAAACCATGACCTTGCTGAGCCCTAAGCCAGGTATCAGTGTAAATGACCACCAGAGATTGTGCGATGAGCCATAAGCAAGCTGGCTTGAAAGGAGTGGCTGGCCCCAGGCTAAAAGGCAGGACTGGGTCAGGGGAAGTACAGGGGGCCTGGCCTGACCTTCTAAGAGTTATCTCAGGGGCTGGGTCCATGTAAGGTCCCTGCCTCGTGACCAGGTTGGGGCCTGAGAGTCCCTGCAGAGGCTCCAGACAGGTCATGGGGCTAGGTGTCAGACAGTCCGAGTGACTTCTGGCTGCAGTCTCT
Organism: Homo sapiens; assembly: GCF_000001405.40. Classification (NCBI taxonomy): domain Eukaryota; kingdom Metazoa; phylum Chordata; class Mammalia; order Primates; family Hominidae; genus Homo; species Homo sapiens. The sequence continues at coordinate 42,068,328 of NC_000022.11, forward strand.
GGGATGGAGAACTCTGACCTTGCCCTCTTTTCTAGTGGACTCTCCACTTCCTGCCCCCGAATCTGCAGGGCCCTGGGCAAGGCTCATCAGGTGAGTGTGGACCTTACTCACCTTATGCAGTTCTTTGGGTCCTCATCACAGTTAATGTTGCAGCGGAAGCGTTCCCAGGCCAGCCAGCCCATGGGTGGTGTCTGCAGGAGCCCATTGTCCAGCATCAGCACCTGGGCCACATGTCCCAGCAAGAGCACTAGGGGGCAAGGGAGGAGGGGATGGTGACTATCAGTTGCCCCCACAGCTCCAGCCCTCATCCCACCCCATCTGTATGTTGCTCAGCCCTACAGAGGCTGCCTGCCTATATATAAGGGAAACTGGACTCCTGGGTTTAGGGTAGAATTGGCTCTTCCTGCAATGGCTGGCTCTTGCAAAGCAGTAAGTGGGAGGATGGTGCCTGGGCCAGGCAGTGGCTTGAGGTCTGGCCGTCACCACAGCATTGCTGGAATTAGCAAAACTAACACCTTATGTCCTAACCTTCCTATAACCCCCATCAGCTCCTCCCATCCCATATATAGAACTTAACAGTACAGATGCTCCTAGGCCTACCACGGAACTACGTTCTCATAAGCCCAGTGTAAGTTGAAAATATCACATCAGCCAGATGCAGTGGCTCATGCCTGTAATCCCAACGCTCTGGAAGGCCGAGGCGAGTGGATCACTTGAGGTCAGGCCAACATGGTGAAACCTTGTCTCTACTAAAAATTCAAAAACTTAGCCAGGCGTGGTGGCATGCGCTGTACTCGGGAGGCTGAGGCAAGAGGATCACTTGAACCCCAGAGGCGGAGGCTGCAGTGAGCTGAGATCGTGCCACTGAACTCTAGCCTGGGCTGTGACAGTGCGAGACCCCATCCCAAAATAATAAAAAAGAAAATATTATGTCAAAAATGTACTTAATACACCTAACCTGGCAAACATCATAGCTGAGCCTAGCCTACCTTAAAAATGTGGACAGGCCAGGCACGGTGGCTCACTCCTGTAATTCCAGCACTTTGGGAGGCCGAGGTGGGCGGATCACCGTAAGTCAGGGGTTCAAGACCAGCTTGGGCAATATGGTGAAACCCTGTCTCTACTAAAACTACAAAAAAATACCGGGGTGAGGTGGTGAGTGCCTGTAATCCCAGCTACTTAGGAGGCTGAGCAGGAGACTTGCTTGAACCTGGGAGATGGAGGTTGCAGTGAGCCGAGATCGCGCCACTCTACTCCACTCCAGCCTGGGTGACAGAGTGAGACTCCGTCTCAAAAAAAAAAAAAAAAAAAAAGTGCGACAACGCACATTAGCCTACAGCTGGCCAAAATCATCTAACACAAAGCCTATTTTATAATAAATTGTTGAATATTTCATGCAATTTACTGAATACTGAAACACAGGTTGTATACGTACTGTGGTTTCTACTGAATGTGCGTCGCTTTCACACCACAGTAAAGTTGAAAAATCGTTAAGTCGGGACCATTGGCCAGACTCCAGGTCTCCTGAGCCCCAGTCCAGAGCTCTTTGCTCTCTACCACAGACCCTCAAGAGGCCTCAGAGAGGCTTAAGAAGTAAGCCAGCCAGGATGGGCACCCAATCAGCTCACCTAAGTGAGACCTTTCCCCCTCGGGCCTCAGTTTCCTTATCTGTAATATGGAGTTACTGTAGGGACTGTACAGGCGGTTCTCCGCACATGCTGATATCCATCAGTTAGGGCCTCTGTGCTTGAGGGAGAGGAAGTGAGAAAGGAAGGGCCCCTTTGAAGGAGAAATGATTCCCGTATGGGGAAGCATCTCCTCCCTTCCTGCCCAGCTCTAAGTAAAAGAGAGAGGAACCTGTCTCTCCACATACCCACATTAGGGAAGAAGGGCCAAAGCACTCCTTGTAGCACTCACCCCTACCCTTCCAAGCCACCCCAGCCGGTGTAGGTACCTGTCTTCAGCAGCATCGCTCTGGACTCAGCTTCCGAGGACCTGACCAGATCTGGTCTGCGTGTATCAGCTGTATGTGTTGGGCTCTGGAAGCTAAGAAACGTCTGAAAAGCACTGGGGTCACGGCTGCCTGGCTAGCTCGGCCGCCCTCAACCTTAGGCGTGGATCGTACACTCGGTCCCCAAGTTGCCCGCCCCATCCCCAGCCATCACTTCCCGGAGCTTCAGTTCTTCCTTCAGAAATACGAAACAACGTGTCTTGGATGTCAGACCTCACACCCTCTGCAGTGCTGGGAGTCCCGAGGGCCTACGGGCCGCCTTCGGCCCCGCCCGGGCTCAGAAAAAGGCAGCCACTGGCTTAAGGTCACCAAGAAAGAGCGGAGGGGCGGGGCTGCGGCCAGGCTCCGGACTTCCAGCCGGGTCCGGGTTCCCGCCCTGGGCTCCCCAAAACCGCAGAGCCCCCTCCCACCGCACTTATCCTACCGAAGCGTTCAGACCTGCCGCCGCTTCTGACTCGAATCCGGTAACCTGATAAGTCCGAAGCGTTCCAGTGAGGGCGGGGCCTCACGAAGGCAACCCTTCGCGCAACCTATCAGAATCCCCCCTAGCAACGCTGTGCCCCGCCCATATGGGTCCGGCCTCCCAGCCTCCCTAAGCCCTTCCCCACTGGGCTCCCGCCCTGCGTGCTAGCGAGGCAGGCATTGGCAGAACGGACTCGGGGCTGTCCTTCGTGGCCCGGACCCCGCGAGGCCTGTCCTTCCACCTCTGTGGGGACCAAGAGGGCAAGGATCGTGCCAGGCTCACCGTGGGCGCTCAGTAAGCGGCCGTGCAGAGGACGGTTGAGGGCTTTGTGCAGAGGAAATGAGAGACTGCTCTGAAGCAAGGCCCGCCTAGTGAGCTGCTAGGAAAATGGAAGTCTGGGATTAATCGTCTCTACAAGGAGGGTGCGTGGGAGGCACCAAAGCAGGCGGTCACAGCTCCCGCAAAGGCAGCCGGCTCTCCTTCCCCGCCTGACGCTCAGGGACTACTCGCACAGACTGGGCTACTTCCTTCTTCATTCATTCATCAAGTATTTATTGAGAAACTGCTAAGTGCCAAATGCTTTGTTCTGGGCATTGTAGGGGCAGAAAGGTGTGATATTTTCCCTTACTCATCCCAAAGGTCACAGCGGACACTCCTACAAATAAAATATAGGTTAGCAAGAGAAAAGCATAATAGATTGATTTACTCAATGTTTTATGTGACTTGAGAGCCTTCAGGAATGAAGACACAAATACTCAGGGAAATCTTTATTTTTATGTCTCGGTTTGATGAAGAATGGACAGCCCTGGCCGGGTCTGGTGGCTCATGCCTGTAATCCCAGCACTTTGGAAGGCTGAGGCAGGGGGATCGCTTGAGGCCAGACATTTAAGGACAGTCTGGGCAACATAGTGAGACCCTGTCTCTACAAAAAATTAAAAAGCCAGGCAGGTGCCTGTGGTCCCAGCTACTCGGGAGGCTGAGGTGGGAGGATTGCTTGAGTCCAGGAGGTCGAGGTTGCAGTGAGCTGTGATTGTGTCACTGTACTCCAGCCCGGGCAACAGAAAAAAAAAAAAAGGAATAAGGAATGGACAACTGTGTATAAACGCGATTAGACAAAAGGGAATGATTTAATGTTAATAGCTGAGTGTGGAAACCCAGCAATGTCTGTTCAGATTCGGATTCTTCTTGTTCTCTCTGTGTGGCATTCCCTCCTGCTGGGAGGAGGGCAGGACCCCTTCTGGAATGAGAGTCTTATGACCTAGTATCAGGCAAGGTAGATCAGAGAATTCCTTTATGGCCAGGCCCGACACAGAAAGGTGGGGGATGTTTCCAGTAATATTTGTAGTTACTTTTTTTTCTTTTTTTTTTTCTTTTGAGACAGAGTCTCCCTCTGTCACCAGGCTGGAGTGCAGTGGCGCGATCTCTGCTCACTGCAACCTCCGCCGCCCAGGTTCAAGCGATTCTCCTGCCTCAGCCTCCCAAGTAGTTGGGACTACAGGCGCACGCCACCATGCCCAGCTAATTTTTGTATTTTTAGTAGAGATGGGGTTTCACCATGTTGGCCAGGATGGTCTTGATCTCTTGACCTCGTGATCCGCCCACCTCAGCCTCCCAAAGTGCTGGGATTACAGGCATGAGCCACTGTGCCCAGCCAATATTTGTAGTTGCTATAACTCACCTTAGGGAGGAGGATTTTTAGTTTCTATGGCCTGCCTTGCAGGAGAAAAACAGGAGAAAGAAGGGGGGCAGGAGAAGGTCAGAGAGATACTTTGCTTCTGAGGCTCTTCCAGTGTCCTTTGGTTCAAAGTACTCAGCATGCCCAAGTGCCATATTTTTAGGCATCGCTTTCTGAGCCCCAACAGCACCTTCACTCAGATGGCCACTGGGTGTCTCAAACATAACCCAGACCAAGCACCGGCCACTTTCCACATCTCAGATAATGACAACTCTCCTAGGTGCTCAAGCCAAAACTGTGCAGTCCTGCCTGCTCTTTCCCTCACTCCCCACATCCAACTCCTCAGCAAATCCTGTGTTCTCTACCTTCAACAGCCATTCTAATTCTGGCTGCCTCTCCCTCCCCGCTCTTGCCGCGTTTGTGACATCTCGCCTGGATAGTGGCAGCAGGCTCCTCACTGGTCTCCAGCCTCCACTGACATTGATTCTCACCACAGAAGCCAGAGTATGCCTTGAAATCGCTCAGGTCCCTCCTCACAGCCCTGTCTAGAGTAACAGCCCTCCCAGATTTACAGAGCCCCATCCCACCCCTTCTACCCCCACCTCCTACTGTCTGCCCCTCCCCAGGCCTCCCAGCCTCACTGGCCTTCTTGCAGGTCCTCAAGCACAACAGGCCTGAGGGCCACTGCGCTGACTGTTCCCTCTGCCTGGAATTGGCATGGCTGGCTCCCTCATTTCCTTCAAGTATTTGTCCAATGTTACTTTCTCAGTGAGGCCTACCCTGACCACTCTATTTGCAATTGCAACCTCCCTACTCCCACAATTTCCCATCTCCCTTACCCTCCTCTGTTTTTCCATGCCACTTATTATCTTCTAACACATTTATTATGGTGTACAGTATTAACTGAATAAAATTTAGTAGGGGAGACAGGCAATAAACAAGAAAATAAAAGCATGAGCATAGGAAAGTTTACTCTAGCAGTGAGTGCTCTGATGGAAATAACACCCCAGGGATGGGACAGAGACTGCAGGGCAGGTTGCTTTACAATGGTCCCAGAGGAGACCACTGAGCAGAGACTCAAATCTGTGTCCAGAGGCGTCCTGAGGAGTGGAGCTGCGGTTGGGGGTGGGAAGGAAGGCCATTCTAGGCTGCAGGAACTGCAAGGGCAAAGGCTCTGAGGCGGGAGCCAGGTTCATGGGCAGATGTTTGAGGACACCTCCGGCTTCCAGGGCCTTCCAGAAGTTCCAGTCTCTTGGGTTTGGTTGTGCATTCCTGCGACCTTCACCGCAGGCCTCCTCCTCCACCCACTAGTGCAGAGCCTGGGGGCTGCCGGTGGGTTTCAGGCCAGGGAAGCAGAAATGGGTAATTTCCAGAGGCAGAAATCAGCCGACCCCGGTGGCCCGGTGGGTGGCCAACAAAGCTTGGCTGGCCCTCGCGGGCTGTGTAGGAGCCCACCCTAGGGAGGTACCCAGAGACATCCCTGGTTTGGCTCTGCCGGGAAAGTGGGCCGAGCAGGGAGAGGGGGACCAGAGAGGAAGAGATGGACAGAGTTTTCCGGACGGTGGGCTGGGTCCGAGGCCCGCGGACCGTCCGAGGGGGGCCTCTGGGTTCGAGGCCGCCCGCACCGACCAGTGCTGTGGCTCGGGCAGTTCACCGCCCTCTCGGGCCTCAGTTTCCCGCCCTGGCAGACCTCGAGGCGGCCTCGGAGATCCCGGGCCTGGCGAATACTGGGCGGGGAGGGGCGTTAACTCCAGCCTCCCGGGCGGGGTCTCCCGGCTCCCGCGGCCACGTTGCAGCCCAGGCGGAGGCGCGGGATCTCGAGCTGGGATCGCCCTCTTGGGCTTCGGTGCGATCGGCGGCGGGAGGTGAGAGTGGGCCCGGCGGGCTCCGGGAGGAGGTGGCCCCAGGGAAGGTGTGGCCGCGGGGAAGTGGCGGCGAACAGCCCCGACGCGAGGACGGGGAAACCAAGGCGGCAGCCAGGGAGACCCTGACCGAGGTGACCTCTGTTTAGGGCGACAACCGGGTTGGGGCTCCCCGCAGTGGCCACTGGCCCGGCGGTCCCGCACCCCCAGCCCGCCTCTCCTCCAACAAAAGAATCCAGGAAGACGGTGGGGCGGGCGGGAGGCCCGGTGTGCGGTGGCCTGGCCCCCCTACTGGTGGAGAGGAGGGAGCGCCCTTCCCCAGACGCGGGGGAGGGGAGGGGTCATGGCCCCACGGGCTGCCCACCCCCTCCCTGTGCCCCAGTGCTGGGCCCAGGACCCCCAGTGAGGCCACTCCTCTGGCAAACATCTGTGATCTCTTCCCCCTTCCTGGGCCCCCCCTACTGGAATGGCGTCTCTCCCCATCCAGGGGCCTGGCTTGTTTTTCTCCATAACCCTTAGCATTACCGGTCCTTATGTTATCTCTTATTTCACTAATTATTCTTTCATTAATTTATTAGTATTTATTTTGTTTGCCTACAGTGTGTTTCCCCCTGTGGGAATGTAGGCTCCAGGAGGGCGGGAGACTTCGATTTGTCCACTGATGTATCCCCATTAATTCAACAGATCCCTCCTGAGGGCCTCTCTGAGCCCTGCACGGTGCTGGGTATTGGGGTTCTCCTGGGAACTTAGCTGAGCCCCACCCTAGACATTCTGGGGCTGGGAACAGTGCTGTAAACACATATGACATCGTCGTGGGATGAAGGAAACAAACCAGAAATGGGGGGGTCTACTGGTCAGGTGACCTTAGGTCAGGCCACCTTGGTGGTCAGGGCCACCTTAGATGATATGGTGATCATGGAAGGCCTCCCAGATTAGGTGACTTCAGTTAAAGCCAGGAAGTGCTAGAAGGGAAAAGCTAGGAACCATGAGGGCATGTGTAGCTCTGACCTGGACTCAGGCAGGGAGCTGGGGTCTGAAGAGTAAAGGTCAAGACAAGGGGACCCATCCCCTTAAGCTGCTCAGGGGTTCCTGGCTGGGTGGATGGGTGGGGGGATTCTCAGGGGTCAGGGAAGGCTTCCCGGTGGAGGCTGTGGTTTCATTAGGCCTCGAAGGTGGAGTAGGAGTTCTCATTCTTTGGGATAAGCTGACTGGGCTTGAGAATTGTTTTGCAGGTTCCCTGGGAACCAGGTGGTCGAAGGGCTGAGCTGTGTGGCCAGACAAGAGGTCCCTGCCCTCCCCCAGTGAGCCCTGCTGGTAAGTGGGTACAGTGTGAGGGATTTGGGAGACGAAGCTCTGCGTCTCATTGGCCATGTAACCTTGGGCAAGTTCCCCTCACTGCGCTGGGCCTTGGTTTTCCATGAGTAAGGACAGCTGGACTAAGTGCCGTTCATGATGCTGGGGGCACCCACATTCAATGGCTGTGGTTAGCTCTTCTCAGCTGTACCCTGGGTTTGTGCCACACTCTTGTGTACAGAGTAGCTCCCCATCTGGCCCTGAAGGCTGCAGATTGAGACAGAAAAATAATGTTTTATCTGAGGAATTGGAGCCCCTTTAAATAATCAGGCCCAGACATACTGAAACGCAACAGCTGTCAAGTCTTACTCCTCCCTTGAGCTAAAGAATTATCTCTTTTTCTTTTTTTTTCTTTTCTTTTCTTCATGTCAGATCGGTAATGTGCCTACATGGTAACAAGGTTCGAGGGTGGCACAGCTCACACATGCATGTGAACACCCAATCATCACGCTCATGAACTACAAAAGGATCAAGAATTACCTCTTGAAGCCACTTGCTATGTGGCTCTAGAGTGACACCAAGTAGCCATAAAATGCTGTACACTGGACACCCTATAGTTCATACCCTATAGTTCAACAATGTATAGCCAATCACTAATCAATGTTATTTCTTTTTTTTTTTTTGAGATGGAGTTTCTCTCTTGTCACCCAGGTGGAGTGCAATGGCACAATCTTGGCTCACTGCAACCTCTGCCTCCTGGGATCAAGCAATTCTCCTGCCTCAGCCTCCCGAGTAGCTGGGATTACAGGCACCCACCACCGTGCCTGGCTAATTTTTGTATTTAGAGACGGGGTTTCACCATGTTGGCCAGGCTGGTCTCCAACTCCTGAGCTCAGGTGATCCACCCACCTCGGCCTCCCAAAGTGCTGGGATTACAGATGTGAGCCACCGCACCCCACCAATCAATGTTATTTCTATAAACCAAGGAGAATTCCTGCCAAACAACTTTGTCATCCTTGCCCCCTTCTGCCTATAAAAACCTGTAGGAAAGGCCCAACGCAGCACACCCCACGGCAACTTAGAAGTTTGTTCTGGGCAGTTATCCTTACTCTCGCTCAAGTAAACTCTTTAAAGTTATATTTGTGCCTCAGCTTCTGCCTGTAGGTCAATAAGATTCAACAGCTATATGCAAATAAGAGGCCAGTAGAGGCCCAGGAGGGTCATGGAAACCCTGGAAGCTTGGCCTCAGAGTTGGAGTTGAGAGGACCCCAGATGAGGGGATAGTTTAAGCACAGTGGTTTCGATGGGTCTGGGGTCCATTTCAGCTCAGCTGGGGCCTGTTTCTTTGGATTTTAGAAAGCCGTGCCCAGGTCCTGCCATGCCTCCTGTCTGATGCAATCTCGTTATTCTTTTCTCGAAGTCCGCCAGTGTCCAGTTTTTTTTGCATGATCCTCACGACATCCCTTTGAGAGAAAAGGAAGGAAAGACGAGCCCACTTCTCAGGAGACTTTAGGGACCTTAGGGACACAGCAAGCGAGTAGGAGTCCCAGGGCTGGGGTCCAGGTTGCCTCTGGAGCCGGTGCTGTTCCCCAGGAGGGCACGGAACCACCTCCCTCTCTGATCTGCTGCCATCTCTCTTGCCTCACAGTTCCCGTGGGAGCCATGAAGCTGAACGAGAGGAGTGTAGCCCACTATGCACTCAGCGACTCCCCAGCGGACCACATGGGCTTCCTGCGCACCTGGGGGGGCCCAGGGACCCCACCGACCCCCAGTGGCACTGGCCGAAGATGCTGGTTTGTCCTCAAGGGCAACCTGCTATTCTCCTTTGAGAGTCGCGAGGGCCGGGCCCCACTGAGCCTGGTGGTGCTGGAAGGCTGCACAGTGGAACTGGCCGAGGCTCCCGTGCCCGAGGAGTTTGCCTTTGCCATCTGCTTTGATGCCCCTGGAGTGCGCCCACACCTGCTGGCCGCAGAAGGGCCGGCGGCCCAGGAGGCCTGGGTGAAGGTGCTGTCCCGGGCAAGCTTTGGCTACATGCGCCTGGTGGTACGCGAGTTGGAGAGCCAGTTGCAGGACGCACGCCAGAGCCTGGCTTTGCAACGCCGCTCATCCTGGAAGTCTGTTGCCAGCCGCTGTAAGCCCCAGGCTCCTAACCACCGAGCTGCGGGCCTGGAGAATGGCCACTGCCTCTCCAAGGACAGCAGCCCTGTGGGCTTGGTTGAAGAAGCGGGCAGCAGGTCTGCAGGGTGGGGGTTGGCTGAGTGGGAGCTGCAGGGCCCTGCCAGCCTCCTCCTAGGCAAGGGGCAGAGCCCTGTGTCCCCTGAGACCTCCTGCTTCTCTACCCTGCATGACTGGTATGGCCAGGAGATCGTGGAGCTGCGGCAGTGTTGGCAGAAGAGGGCCCAGGGGAGCCACTCAAAATGTGAGGAACAGGATAGGCCCTAAGTCTGGGCCCTTTGAGTCAGGAAACCAGGGCCAGTTCTTTTTCAGGAGTTAAATGTTTACCCATTTCCAAGGTTGCGTTTTGGGAGGGGACATGGGTTCTCTCCTTCCTGCTATTTAGGCATTCTCCAGGTTCGAGATCCACCCGTGTGTCTGGAAGGGACTGCGGGACCATTCCTTCCATCCTCTTTATTTCCTGAGGTCCAGAGAAGGAAGGAGACTTAGCAGCCACAGAGCAAGACCCCAATCTCCTGACTGCACTGGCCTGACTGCCCCCTCCCAGGGGATGTTAATGAAATGAAGGAAGTGGGGAATGTCACCCGAGACTGTCACAGGCTTGCCATACCTTTGGCCTACACACCGGGCTCTAGAGCCATAATTTCCAACCTGGGGAGTCTCCTGTGCACTTAAATCCGAGGTAGGCTGCAGTATCGGCTTGAAGCTCTGACACTGTCAGAGAAAGTGGATTTATTGTGTCATAGGAGTTTCTGGGACCCAGCTCTTCCTGAGAGGGGTGGGAAGATTGGGGATGGGATCCTCACTCAGCAGTCTGGGTAGGGCCCTTTGAGGCAGAGGGTCTTCGGCCAGTGAAGAGAGATTTATTCTGCTCAGAGTGCTGGGGTCCCATCCTTTCTCCCTGGCTGCCCTGTTAACAGATGGTGCTGGACCTTGCCCCGGAAGGGGCTTGTAGCTTTTTTACGTCAACGAAATGCCCTCCTGTACTCTGTCTTCAGCAGCCAACTCCTGGAGCTGCCAAGTGAGGGGTTAAAGAAGAGGTGGGGAGGCAGTGTGGCTCCCTGGGAAAAGTCTGTTGCTTTGGTTCTCAGTCCTGGGTATTCTAGGAGCTTGGACACGGGATTGCGTTTCCTGTGCTAAAATTCTCTCTCCTGGCTGGGCTCCGGTAAACTGAAGCTGCTCGAGAAATCACCTGGGAACTCTCATAGCCGTTTGTCACCCAGGGTGTACTTGCCAGGACCTCTCCTTGCTACTCTTCCCAAAGTCGGGAGGCAAAGCGGCTGGGTCACCAGAGCCTGACCATACTGACGCTCCAGGGGGAAGACGCAGAGGCCGGGAAGAGACACCCCCTCCCAAACACATAAAACTTGCCCCTTCCTAGCCTCGGCTCCCCTCACTGGGGCCTTGGGCAGGACCGACCCGCATCCAACTAGGCCTAAGGGGTAGGCTCTGAGCCTCTTACCCCTAAGAGGCGGAGATGCGCCCAAGGCGGGCGCCCGGCCTGTTCCCCAGCCCTGCCTGGAAGCCCCGCAGCCACTGCATTTTGTTTAAACACAGATAGCACGGGCCTTTCTCTTATTGCTACAGTGTTTTGTACACGGTTAAAACACTAGTAAAGCTTTTTCGTTATTACTCCTTCCGCTCCCTGGGTTTATTTCCACAACCGGCCGCTGAGGCCTGTTCTGACGGCCGGGCGGACCCAAGACCGCGGCCACGCCCAGCAGGACGCGGACTGAGGGAGCCGGGGCTGCGCCGCCACTCTCGTGACGCCACCATGCCGGCCAGTGACAAACACCTCCCTCCCGCCGCCCCAGGAGCCGCCGGCACTGCGCGAGTGGGAGGGCTGGGCTTCTCGTGTACTCCTCAAACTCTCGCGAGGCTTCGGGCGGCTTTCTTCCCGAGGGCGGCACGAGGGCTGGGCGGTGGGGTGCGGGTGCCCGGGTGAGGGGCGGAGCTGGGGGCATGGCGTCCGGAGCGGCTCGCTGGCTAGTATTGGCACCCGTCAGGTCCGGGGCTCTCCGGAGCGGGCCTAGCTTGAGGAAAGATGGCGATGTCTCCGCCGCATGGAGCGGCTCAGGCCGGAGCCTGGTACCGTCGAGGTCAGTCATCGTTACCCGCAGCGGCGCCATTTTGCCCAAACCGGTGAAAGTGAGTGTCCTCCTGGAGACGGGGCGAAGGGGCTGAGGCCAATCATTGTGGGGAGTGCGTGAGGGCGGCGCTGATTGATAGGAGCCAAGGCCAATCATAACGATTACCGTAGACTGGAAGGCGGACCAAGAATACGCTAATGAGTTGCTAATTTTGACAGGTGTGTAGAAAATGGTAGGTAGACAGAAGATGGGGGGCAAACGCTGAGGAAGTTGGCCTTTTACATTAGCTTGTCCTGAGAGGTGCGGTGCTCTGCTCCTCTGGAGTCAGAAGACTAGGCCGTGTGCTTCTAGCTTAGAGCAGTCCTGTAATCTCTGCCCTGCCTGTCTCCTAGTTTATGGGATGAAATATGAATTTTGAAAGGACTCTGTAAATAAAGGGTACGTGGGACGGGCCTCATCTTTTTATTAGTTGTCACCTAATATTTAATTCATGTGATTTACAGTCCTGATAGATGTGCAGGGAATTATTACAATCACGGGTTTTCAAATGAAGAATCGGGCTAGAGCGGTGAAGCTCGTATCCAAGGCCAGCGCTGAGGACGCAGCATCCGGGTTTCTTCCTGGTACCGTCCCCACCAGGTCCTGTCTTTTTCCAACACTGAACGCTATCACATGCTTGAGTTTTTCTAGGGAAAACGGAAACAGTCCCTTATATCAAGCGAAAGTTTGCTTTACGACTGCAGGGCTGTGTGGTGTGGGAGTTAAAAAAACAAATTCTCTTAAAGCTAGTCTAGCCTATGCTAACTCACACAATTGACTGTAGGTCCATGTTGGGAAAGACCTGCCTTATCAAAACAGTTGAAAAAAAAATTTTTTTAATTCTAGGAATACGAGAGAAATGTTGCTGAGATTTTACTGACATTCTCCCAATCCATCTAAAGTCTTTGAGTGTAAATACATGCCCACTTTCAAATACATCTGTTTCTAAAATTTTTAAATCAAATTTCTCAGGCATCAGGGAACCTGTTACTTAGTGAACTGTGTAGAATATCCCTTCACTGTACATCTTTCTGTCATCGGTTTTCGTGTATTTCGTGTTCAGGCAGAGCTCACCGTAGTCTGGCCCTCCTAGTACTGGTGCACCCGATTGCCTGTAGGGATTTAAAGTAATTAGCAGGCTGTGTCCTAACTTTAGATGTCTAGGGTGCCTTAGACTTTTCTTTCCAGTGGACTTTTCGTCCATTTTGATGGCCATAACAGTCACCTTATCTCCTTTTTTTTTTTTTTGAGACGGAGTCTCACTCTGTCACCCAGGCTGGAGTACAGTGGCACAATCTTGGCTCACTGCAGCCTCCGCCTCCCGGGTTCAAGTGATTCTTCTGCCTCAGCCTTCTGAGTAGCTGGGACTACAGGCATGTACCACCACACCCGGCTAATTTTTTGTATTTTTAGTAGAGACGGGGTTTCACTATGTTAGCCAGGCTGATTTCGAACTTCTGACCTCGTGATCCGCCCGCCTCAGCCTCCCAAAGTGCTGGGATTACAGGTGTGAGCCACTGCGCCCGGCCTTTTGTCTTTTTTTTAGACAGAGCCTCACTCTGTCTCCCAGGCTGGAGTGGAATGGTGCAATCTTGGCTCACTGCAACTTCTGCCTCCTGGATTCAAGCAATTATCCTGCCTCAGCCTCCCGAGTAGCTGGGATTACAGGTGCGCACCACCATGCTGGGTCAATTTTTTGTATTTTTAGTAGAGACGGGATTTCACCATGTTGGCCAGGCTGGTCTCAAGCTCCTGACCTCAGGTGGTCCACCCACCTCAGCCTCCCAAAGTGCTGGGATTAAAGGTGTGAGCCACCCTGCCTGGCCTTCTCCTTTTCTAATTACTTTTCTTGCCCTGAATTTTTCCAAGGACTTTAAAATCAAGTTGCTTATGATGGGTCTGAGGGTATGTCTGTGAGAGGGCCAGGTCTTCTTTGGTCCTGCCAGAGTGGGCTCTGGAGCTCACAGCTGCCACTCTGACCCTCTGCAGATGTCCTTCGGCCTTCTCCGTGTGTTCTCCATTGTGATCCCCTTTCTCTATGTCGGGACACTCATTAGCAAGAACTTTGCTGCTCTACTTGAGGAACATGACATTTTTGTTCCAGAGGATGATGATGATGATGACTAACAGGTAAGACTTGCTTTACCCTAGATGGAGCAGGAAGCAGGGTGGAGCATCTGTCTGTGATGCAGTCTGGCCTGGTAGCAGCATTTGGACACTGGGGGCAGAAGCATTAATGAATTGGCCCACTTGGTGGCTAATGTTTTCGTTTGTTTGTTTTTTGAGACGGAGTTTCGCTCTTGTTGCCCAGGCTGGAGTGCAATGGCATGATCTCGACTCACTGCAACCTCTGCCTTCCAGGTTCAAGCGATTCTCCTGCCTCAGCCTACCGGGTAGCTGGGATTACAGACATGCGCCACTGTGCCTGGCTAATTTTGTATTTTTAGTAGAGACGGGGTTTCTCCATGTTAGCCAGGCTAGTCTCAAACTCCCGACCTCAGGTGATCCACCCACCTTGGCCTCCCAAAGTGCTGTGATTACAGGCGTGAGCCACTGCGCCCAGCCAACTTCATGTGCTCTAATATGTGCTGCATGGCATTCTGTCAAGAGATGAGGACACTCCTGTTCCTTAGCCTGGCATTCAAGGCTTGCCATAATCTGGTCACACCTCTTATTCCAGTCTCATCTTCCATATTTCCAGCCACACACCGATTCCCAGTATTCACCATTTCTTGAGTTTTCACACTCATACCCACCCCCAAACATTGGCTCATTGTTCCTCCCACATGGAAGGCTCCTTCCCAGAGCTCTGGGTCTTAATTCCACCCATTCTACAGTGTCTTTGAAGTCTTCGTTCCTCCTTTCATTTGAAAGTTGACGGCTCCTTCCTCTAAGCAACCAGTACCTCTCTTCAAATACTCGGTATTATGTGGCTAAACACACACAAAGCAAAATTTTACTAGACTCTGAGCTTCTTGCTGGCAGGGGACGTTTTTTATACATTGCGGCCCCCAGTGCCTGGCCTGTGGTGAATGCCCAGTTAACGTGCGCATGAACAACCAAACGTGCTCAAAGCTGCCTTTCTCCTGCCATGTTTGATAGAAGCACTTTGTGGAATTCTTTCAGTCTGCGGATGGAAGACTACGCTGTTGCCCAGTTCACTGCTGCTTTCCTTTCTTACAGGAATTACAGAAAGGAGAAAGCACTAACTGAAGAAATGGTGATGCTCTCAGTTTCTCTGCCTTCCCTATCAGCAGAAAGGCTCGGGGAAGGCCCTCAGCCTCCCAGTCTGGTGAAGCTTCCTGTATGGTCCATGACCGTATTCCACCCCAGGCTCTGGGAGGCTCCCTGAGATGTGCTGTCCACTAAGCACTGCACAAACAAGCAATCAAATTATGAATAAACATAATAAATATCAGCCGTGCGTGACTGAGTGATGGCTGCAGTTTCTCAGTATCCCTAGGTTCTAGTTGGTGCAGTTGTCTCTGCTGTCCTTTATTTATGGGAGAAACATAGGCCCAGGCTATCCAGGCTGCAGTGGAGCCTGGTGAACTATTCTGGGGGCCCTGGGAACTATTTTCATTGTTTACAAAAGCCCAACAGAAACTGTGCATTTTCCCTTAAGAAAGCTTCATGGGCTAACTAAAGCCTCATGCCATTCTGTGTTCAGTGCCAGTCATGACAGCTCTGCTTGTTAGCATACTACTTAAATATAACTAGAATGATTCAAAACTCGGGTTCTGTGATATGAGGATATAGATAGGTTTTCATCTATTTCCTGGCTTATAACTCCCAAAACCCTTGTTTTAGGCTTTTGTTATAATGTTGGGCACTTCGGGCCTCAGAAAACAGCAGGCTGTTTCTCAGATCTTCTCCTGACCTCCTTTCACCTGCTGCTTTTTCTCCCCAAGGCAGGCCATAGAAACTAAAAGTATAATCTTCCTTTGCCCGTCTTCCAGTTGGCCATAAAAAGAATCCTCTGACCTACCTTGTCTGATTTTAGGTCATGAGACCCCCATTTCAGAAGGGATTCTGCCCCATACCTGAGAGGAAGAAATGTAGACAGGCCTTGTTGGACTTCCCCACTCCATCTGTATTAGATTATGCCTCTTTTGTCCAATCCCATTTCTCCAGTGTTGTCCATGCTTCAATCATCCCTATCCAATGAGGTCTCCATAAAAGGCCCAAGAAGACAGGTTTAGAGAGCTTTCGGAGAACAGAACACTTGGCTTTGCAAAGTGGCACGCCTGGAGAGAACTTGGAAGCTCCACGCCCCTTCTATACCTCACCCTATGCATCTCTTCAGCTGTATCTTTTGTGATATCCTTTATAATAAACCAGTAAACGGACCTAAGTGTTCCTCTGAGTTCTGCAAGCTGCTCCAGCAAATTAAAAAGAAGGGGTCAGCCAGGTGCGGTGGCTCACACCTGTAACCCCAGCACTTTGGGAGGCCAAGGCGGGCAGATCACAAGGTCAGGAGAGCGAGACCATCCTGGCTAACACAGTGAAACTCTGTCTCTATTAAAAAATAGAAGAAATTAGCCGGGTGTGGTGGCGGGCACCTGTAGTCCCAGCTACTCGGGAGGCTGAGGCAGGAGAAGAATGGCGTGAACCCGCGAGGCAGAGCTTGCAGTGAGCCGAGATGGCACCACTGCACTCCAGCCTGGGCGACAGAGTGAGACTCCATCTCAAAAAAAAAAAAAAAAAAAGAAGGGGTCATGGGAACTTGAAGCTCAGAAGTTCTGGAGGCTTGGACTTGTGAATGTTGTCTAATGGGGGTGGGAGCAGTCTTGTGGGACTGAGCCCCAAACCTGTGGAATCTGTTGCTATCTCCAGGTAGATAGTGTTCGAAGAGAATTGGAGGACAGGCAGCTGGTGTCTGCTGCAGAACTGACTGCTTGCTTAGTGTGGGGAGAAACCCTCATAACGTTTGATCACAGAAGTCTTATGTGTTTATTGTTATTGAGTGAGAGAACACAAAAACACCTTGAGTTTTTCCCTCAGGTTCCTTACGTGAAAAGATTATAAAGGGATCCTTGGTGCCATAAGGTTTGGGGCCATGCACAATGGCTGATGCCTGTAGTCCCAACACTTTGGGAGGCGGAGGCAGGAGGATCACTTGAGCCCAGGAGTTCAAGACTGGCCTGGGCGCGGTGGCTCACGCCAGCACTTTGGGAGGCCACGGCGGGTGGATTACTTGAGGTCAAGAGTTTGAGACCAGCCTGGCCAACATGGTGAAACTCCGTCTTTTCTAAAAATATAAAACTAGCTGGATGTGGTGGTCCATGCCTGTAATCCCAGCTACTTGGGAGGCTGAGGCAGGGAGAATTACTTGAACCAGGAGGTGGAAGGTGCAGTGAGCCAAGATCACACCAGTGCACTCCAGCCTGGGCAACAACAGCGAGACTCCATCTCAAAAAAAAGAAAAGAAAAAAAGACCAGCCTGGGCAATGGAGAGACGCCATCTCTATTTAAAAAAAAAAAAAAAGTATGGGAGTCCTCAGTGATCATACCTATAGATTCCAAACCCCTTCTCCATCATTTGGATTGCCCTGGGAAGCACAAGAGAAGACCACCATCCAAACAGAGATCAGTTCTTGAACCTGTGTTGATGTTTATTCTGCCACTGAGAGGTACACCAGGGTTTCCAAAGACAGTAGGAATATTTCTGTTCTCTGTGTATATTGAACAGCTGTGCACCTAAGCAGGGTGCCTGAGTAGGAAGTTAATTTCATTTTAAGGGCTGGAGCTTGTTACAAGTAGCGGAGCCAAGCCTTTGCACATCCATTTTCTTCAGAACCCAAGGAAAACTAGCCCATCTTGACAGCTCTACTTTTGCGCCTGTTAGTGCTGCCCTGATCCCTGACAGGAAGAGCTGGCTAATTTTAGATAATCTGTGCCCTGACACTGAAGTGTCTAATCATAGGGGCTATAGAAACAACTACATTAACAAGTCGTCCAGCCTCATGCCCAATGTCACAATTTTTGAACAGATGGCCTCCTTCCTTCCTGTTTACTGACATGCAAGGCTCTGAGAAAAATAATTCAATCCAATTTACAGCAAACACCACATTTCAAGAAAAGGGAAAGAACAGGTGATGTGTATACCAAGGTCCCACTTGCTCAGGCAAAAAGAGGCTGCAGAAAATTGGTTCATCAATGGAATTCTATCACAAAGTGACCATTGTATAGTGAGTTTATTTGTGCTCTAAAATAGTATCAACGTGCATCTTTCCACTGAATGACTTCATGGATCGTGGCCAACATAGAACTTGGATAGGAAATCCTTTGGCCTTGGCGCTTCTGTTTCATGGAAGAACCGCATAACATGTGTCCGCTGCTTCCATACTTTAATTGTTTCTTCCAGTTCGATCTTTCCCTGAACAGTGAGGAGAGAGGTCATCAGTCAAAGTTGTCAAGTTGAAGGCATATGACACTGAAGGCCAGGATTCTATTCTCTGCTCAGCATGGACTTGTTGAATGACCTTGGGCAAGTAACTACTCTGTCTGGGCAAAGTTTCTATGTCTGGACAATGAGGTGGTCAGGGTAAATCATTTCTGACACTTTTCAGATTCTTTAACTCTGTGGTTAACTGGTACCAAGAGGAGAAACATACAGGTTAACAGGCTCCTATCCCATGACTACCTAACCTGACTGGCTTAACTTATGTTTCTGCTTATCATTTCTTCTGTTACTGACTGGTCTATGCTGAAGCTCCCATTGATGCTAACGTGACTGGCCAGGGGGACAGAATCAGCCCCAGGATTTGAGTCCATTTATACAGGACTCATAACCACCCTAACTGCCTCTTCCAGCTGTAAACTGGCATTCAGATGAAGTGGTAACTTCTAGGGATGAGGTTCAAGAAGAGTTCAAACTTTCCTCCCTATATCTTTTTTTATGGTTATAAAATGCAAGTCCCAGTGGATGTTCCCTTGATGAATCTTATCTATTTAACCAGATGATAACCTCCAAGTTCAAGTATTTCTCTGAAACACAGCAATAATCACTGCCGAACCAGTAGCTGCTTTCTAAACTTGGAGACAAAATGTTCATTTGGAAAGACTAAGAAGTAGTGGACAAGTTGGCTGATCTTTTAAATTGGTCAGGGAGGGTCAGTTACCTTAATGACCAGAAGATCAACCACCCTGGGGTCTGTGACATGGGCATTCTTCATAAACATTTCTCGGACTTTATCCCGTCCCATTTTCACAGTGATGTCCAGCTGGAATTGGTGCACTAGAGAGAAAAACATGACTCAGGGTAGAAATTGTATGGTTAAATAAAACCTAGAGTCAAATGATACTCATTGAACACATACAGGTCGCCCATTCATTTCTTCACCAAAAAATTAGCCTGACCCTAGGCTAGGTGCTTGAGGATGAGACATGTGATTCATGGTATTTGCTCTCAAGGAACTTATTATTTGTTTGGGGAAAAAGACCACTGAATTTGAAGAGGCAGTAAAGCATTGTTCAAGAGTTTGAACAACCTGGGTTCAAATCCCAGCTTTTGTTAGCTATATGATCCCGTGTAAGTTAACTTTCTTGTGCCTGAGTGTATTTTTTAAAAAATTATTTTATGGGCTGGGCGCGGTGGCTCACGCCTGTAATCCCAGCACTTTGGGAGGCCGAGGTGGGCGGATCATGAGGTCAGGAGATCGAGACTACCCTGGCTAACACAGTGAAACCCCGTCTCTACTAAAAATACAAAAAATTAGCCGGGTGTGGTGGTGGGTGCCTGTAATTCCAGCTACTCGGGAGGCTGAGGCAGGAGAATGGTGTGAACCCGGGAGGTGGACCTTGCAGTGAGCCGAGGTCGCACCACTGCACTCCAGCCTGGGTGACAGAGCGAGACTCCGTCTCAAAAAAAATAATAATTATTTTATTAGCTGGGCGCGGTGGCTCACGCCTGTAATCCCAGCACTTTGGGAGGCCAAGGCAGGTGGATCACCTGAGGTCAGGAGTTCAAGACCAGCCTGGCCAACATGGTGAAACCCCGTCTCCACTAAAAATACAAACATGAGCCGGGCATGGTGGTGGGTGCCTGTAATCCCAGCTACTCGGGAGACTGAGGCAGGAGAATCACTTGAACCCGGGAGGTGGAGGGTGCAGTGAGCTGAGATGGGCCACTGCATTCCAGCCTGGGTGACAGAGTGAGACTGTGTCTCAAAAAAAAAAAAAAAAAAAGGCTGGGCGCGGTGGCTCACGCCTGTAATCCCAGCACTTTGGGAGGCCGAGGCGGGTGGATCATGAGGTCAGGAGATCGAGACCATCCTGGCTAACAAGGTGAAACCCCGTCTCTACTAAAAATACAAAAAATTAGCCGGGCGCGGTGGCGGGCGCCTGTAGTCCCAGCTACTCAGGAGGCTGAGGCAGGAGAATGGCGTGAACCCGGGAAGCGGAGCTTGCAGTGAGCCGAGATTGCGCCACTGCAGTCCGCAGTCCGGCCTGGGCGACAGAGCGAGACTCCGTCTCAAAAAAAATAATTATTATTTTATTAGCTGGGCGCGGTGGCTCACGCCTGTAATCCCAGCACTTTGGGAGGCCAAGGCAGGTGGATCACCTGAGGTCAGGAGTTCAAGACAGCCTGGCCAACATGGTGAAACCCCGTTTCTACTAAAAATACAAAAGTTAGCCAGGTGTGGTGGCACGCAACTATAATCCCAGCTACTCGGGAGGCTGAGGCATGGGGAAATCACTTGAACCCGGGAGGTGGAGGTTGCAGTGAGCCAAGATCGCGCCATTGCCCTCCAGCCTGGGAGACAAGAGCGAGACTCTGTCTCAAAAAAAAAAAAAAAAAAAAAAGTGAGTTATCATTACTGTTTTTTTCATTAAATACTTAAAATTTTACTTTTGTTTTTTATTAATGCTCAGGCTGTTCTAAGTTCTCAACACTATTACTTATTCCCCTTCCTTGATTTGATTCCTCAGCTGGAGTCCTGATGATGGATACCATAAAACCCGTGTGGCACAGGTTTGAGTAACTGGCCAGCTACAGATCACTGATCTTCCCCATAGGGATGCATACTCCTTGACCCCTTCTTTTCTCTCCTCTTCCCTTGCTTTCTAGGCTCCTGTAGCCCTCTGCCTTCTTTTCCTCCTCTCAAGACCCTTCTGACTTTGGGACTTTCTTCCCAAAACAGAATTTGAGGGAAGGTCTTGGGAGGGGTCGGTTTAGAAAGAGCTGGATCCTCAGAGTCAGGATACCTGGGTTCTGTCTTCTACTTGGCCACTGATTTACCCTTCACAAGCCACCCTTTTTGAATGTGGTCCTCCTTCCCCCAGCACCTTCCTCCTGCAACCAGAGAGGGTTCTGGGTACTCCTAGAAGTATTCTGCCAGGCAAACATTATGTTTTCAAACTGCTGAATTTGAATGCACCACCCCGAAACACACACACACACACACACACACACACTGCTACAGTCACTCCCCACACACATCTTTTATCTGCCTGCCCCTGAAGGCATCTGAATTTGCAGTCCCTGAACCAGCAGATCACTCAAGTTTCTCCTTCTCTAGTATCGCGTGGGTTTAAGTTCTGGTCAGTAGCAATTTTTCCAAAAGTCAGCTTGAAGACAGGGACTCTGTGGAGCAGACACAGTTCTCATATGTCAAAGAACCGGGTTCTGCTTGGAAGCTGCTGCTAAGGAAAGCCCTATAAATAACAAAAATAACAACAAAAACAACGGCAGCAGCTAATATTTAATGAGTTAAATATGCATCAAGTCCTGTTCTAAGCACTCTAGATATTTTAACTTAATACAGTAACCTTCTGAAGAAGGAATTATTATTCCCATTTTAAAGATGAAGAAACTGAGGAATAGATGAAATAACTGGCCCAAGGTCACACAGCTAGTTGAGGGCAGCGCCTGAAGAAAAGTCCGTGCTCCTAACCACCACATTCTACCGCCTTTTCACACACACAAGCAGGGACTCGACAGCCCTGAGGAGTGGCACCGTGCTCCAGCTCACTCAAAAACACCTCTTTCTCGCACTTTGGGAGGCCGAGACGGGCGGATCACGAGGTCAGGAGATCGAGACCATTCTGGCTAACACGGTGAAATCCCGTCTCTACTAAAAATACAAAAAAAAATGGCCGGCGTGGTGGCGGGCGCCTGTAATCCCAGCTATTCGGGAGGCTGAGGCTGAGGCAGGAGAATGACGTGAATCCGGGAGGCGGAGCTTGCAGTGAGCCGAGATCGCACCACTGCACTCCAGCCTGAGCGACACAGCGAGACTCTGTCACAAACAAAAAAATCCAACGGGCATCTATAATTACACTCTGCAACTCTAGACTTTGGGTTCTGGGTACAACAGTGGCTCGGCCTGGGCCCTGGGCACATCACTTCACCTCTCGGTGCCTCCGCTGCCTCACCCACAAAGTGAGTGTGTCACTGACAGTCATCGTCCTCCCGCCAATTGCGAAGGACAAAAGAGACCAAAGCTCCGATAGCACGTACGAATGCTAGGCACGGCCGGTCTGACCACCGCGCCGCCGCCAGGTCCGGCCCATGGTAGGCTCGGGTGACCCTCTTCCCCTGAAGCACCCGCAGTCGCCTCTGCCCAAGTTGGTGACCTCAGCTGGGCCCATGAGAAACCCCGGCCGGGCCGGCTACGACCTTGAGCGGCGGCCTCCGGGTCCCCACGTAAGCCGCTACCTCTCACCAGTGTTCGGCACCTCCCGATACCAGGCGCGGTAGAGCTCGCGCACCCTCCGCTTGGCCTCGTTCATGTCCCGACTGAAAATGGGCTTCACGAAGGTGCTGGCGGTAGAAGTAGCTTGGCGGACGCCGCTCCCCGCCATCTTGCCAAAGCATCCACTCCACAACCCCACCCCTTTGCAAGCAGCGCGTGCGGACCGCGGGCGAATGTCTTTTCCCATTGGCTAAGGAGGAACGCCCCGCCTGTATGCTGGGTGGGCGGGAGGATGACTCTGAGGCTCTCGGATTGGCTGGGAAGCCTCTCTCTGGCTGAGCGAACGGTGGGTGCTGCGCATGCTCATCTACAGAAACGCCGCTTGGCCTTTGGACTACACCATCTGTCGCTCGCTCTAACGAGCCGGCGTTGCCGCCAGGGGACGCTCGGGCCGCAGGAGGTCGCTGGGTCGTGAGCTGGCGCCGGGGACGCCGAGCGACTGCGGGGTTTCCCTCAGCGTCCTGCTATCCGGCTGCCCGCCGCGCTCCTTGGTAGTGTCCGTGGGCGCGCAGGCCTTGAAGAACCTCCTCGTGGCGGGACCCCGAGGTAACTGCTGAGGCAGATAATGGCGCCTGGGCTGCGGTGGGGCTTGTCCTGCCGCCTGGCGGCTTTCTGCAGGGCCAGGATATACTTACTTTTCTGTAAACCAACTCTTCCTTAGCGCAGGAGAGGTGTCAAAGAGCTGGCGCGTCTCCAGAGCCCCGGGAGGAAGGCTGTAACGGCAGCCCCATCGTAGACAGGGACATTCGCATCCCGAGCCCTGGATCTCTGAAAACCAGCCCAGAATTTGGAAGCTGGAAGGAACTTTAGATCGTCCATTCTGAGTGTCTCTCTTCGCTGGCGTTTTCCCACTGAGGTTATGTAAACATGAAGAGGAGCCTACAAGTGTCAAGGAAAAAACGACAGCTAACCACAGGGCAGGCCATGGGCAAGATATCTCAGTGTTCTCCGCTCTCATAGGTCAGGTAGGTACCTCAGCATCCCCATTTTACAGGTGAGGAAACTGAGATGGCCCAGAGTCTAGGTCACCTGACAGATCGCCCCCACCTGCCTGACTGCTGCCTAAGAGGCTCCGTCTTTTTCTGAAGGTGTAGTTGACAGGAGCCTGTGAGTATTGGGGAAGGGCCAGGGGCCGGGGCTGAGCATCTACTCCAAACTTTCCCATTTCGAAGGGTTAAAAAACCAGATATACTTTTTTTCTTCCTTATTATCTTCTAAAATGTATATATATATTCAAGTGAGCTATACAAAAGAAAGCACGTAACATATATAAATTATAAAGCATAATAATAAAATGGAAGCTTTTGAACCTCAGTACTGACTTAAGAAGTTGTAACACAGTTAAGGTTTGTATAAAGTGTCCTTAGATGTCCTTAGTAGCCACTGTTCTCTAGTTCTCTAGGTACATTAACTTGGCTAGGCTTCACAACACACCAGTGAGATTGTGTTGATATACCCTTTTTTTTTTTTTTTTTTGAGACAGAGTGAGACTCACCTAGGCTGGACTGCAATGGTGCAATCTCGGCTCACTGCAACCTCCGCCTCTCATGTTCAAGCCATTCTCCTGCCTCAGCTTTCCGAATCGCTGGGATTACAGGTGCGCACCACCATGCATGGCTAATGCTTGTATTTTAGTAGAGACGGGGTTTTGCTATGTTGGCCAGGCTGGTCTCAAACTCCTGACTTCAGGTGATCCACCCACCTCAGCCTCCCAAAGTGCTGGGATTACAGGTGTGAGCCACTGCCCCCGGCTGATATACTCATTTTATAGATGAGAAAACTGAGGCACAAAGAGACTAAGTTACTTTACAGCATTGGGGTTGAAGCCCAGGCAGCTGGTGCCAGAGTCAGTTTTCTGACTCTCGCAGCACCTATACCATGATATCTACCTGTATGATTCTAACCTTGTGTATACCCCTGCCTCCTTCAGAAGTACCCACTATCATGATAAATTCATTGTGTTCAACATTCAAAAAAAAAATGGGGCGCAGTGGCTCACTCCTGTAATCCCAACACTTTGGGAGGCCAAGGCAGGTGTATCACCTGATGTCAGGAGTTCGAGACCAGCCTGGCCAACATGGTGAAACCCCCGTCTCTACTAAAAATACAAAAATTAGCCGGCATGGTGGTGGGCACCTGTAATCTCAGCTACTCGGGAGGCTGAGGCAGGAGGATCGCTTGAGCCCGCGAGGTGGAGGTTGCGGTGAGCCAAGATTGCGCCGCTGGACTCCAGTCTGGGCGACAGAGTGAGACCCTGTCTCAAAAGGAAAAGAAAAAAAAGACCTCTAAACAACCCACAAACTGGGAGAAAATTTTTGCAAATCACATGTTCCATAAGGGACTTGTATCTAGGATACATAAAATTCTTACAACTCAGTAATGAAAAGACAAATAGCCAAGTTTAGAAATGGGCAAGGGAGACAACACCAAATGCTGGTGAGGATGTGAAGCAACAGGAACTCTCCTTACTGGTAGGAACGCAAAATGGTACAGCAGCTTTGGAAGACAGTTTGGCTTTCTGACAAAACTAAACATACTCCCATCAGAAGATCCAGCCATTGCATTCCTTAGTGTTTACCCAAATGAGCTGAAAACTTATGTCCACACAGAAACCTGCACATGGATGTTTACAGCAGCTTTTGTTTTTGTTTTTGTTTTTGAGATGGAGTCTCGCTCTGTCACCCAGGGTGGAGTGCAGTGGCGCGATCTCGGCTCACTGGAAGCTCTGCCTCCTGGGTTCACGCCATTCTCCTGCCTCAGCCTCCAAGTAGCTGGGACTACAGGCGCCTGCCACGAAGCCCAGCTAATTTTTTGTATTTTAAGTAGAGACGGGGTTTCACCATGTTAGCCAGGATGGTCTCGATCTCCTGACCTCGTGATCTGCCCGCCTTGGCCTCCCAAAGTTCTGGGACTACAGGCGTGAGCCACCGCTCCCGGCCAGCAGCAGCTTTATTTGTAATTGCCAAAACTTGAAAGCAACCAAGATGTCCTTTAGCAGGTAAATGGATAAATAAACCTTGGTATATCCAGACAATGGACTATATTCAGCACTAGAAAGAAATGAGCTATTAAGCCATGAAAAGGCATGGAGAAACCTTAAATGCATATTAGTAAGTGAAAGAAGACAATCTGAAAGAGCTACATACTGTATGATTCCAACTATATTACATCCTGGAAAAGGCAAAACTATGGAGACAATAAAAAAGATGGCAGGGGCTGGGAGTGGGGAGAAATGCACAGAGGTGGTGCACAGAGAATATTTAGGGTAGTGAAATTACTCTGGATGTTATAATGGTGGATACATGTTATTACACATTTGTCAAACCCTACAGGATGTACAACACCAAGAATGAAACCTAATGTAAACTATGGGATATGGGTGATACTGGTGTGTCAATGTAGCTTCATTGCTTATAACAAATATATCCTCTGGTGCCTGATGTTGTTGGTGGGGGGAGGCTATGAGTGTGTGTGGGGTGGGGGAACCCTGTATTTTCTGTTCAGTTTTGCTGTGAACTCGAAACTGCTCTTAAAGATGAAATTTTTATTTTAATGGGTAAAGTATTTGAATAACCATTTCTCCAAAGAGGATATACGGGTGACCAATAAGTACATGAAAAGACATTCAACATCATGAGCCATTAGGGAAATAAAAATCAAAACCCTCGTGAGATACCATTTCTCACCCAGTAGAATGGCTAGAGTGAAAAAGGCAGACACAGCCAGTCACGGTGGCTCACACCTGTAATCCCAGCATTTTGAGAGGCCAAGGCCAGTAGATCACTTGGGTTCAGGAGTTTGAGACCAGCCTGGCCAACGTGGTAAAACCTCCTCTCTACTAAAAATAGGAAAATTAGCTGGGCATGGTAGTGCATGCCTGTAATCCCAGCTACTAGGGAGGCTGAGGCAGGAGAATTGCTT
Source organism: Homo sapiens (assembly GCF_000001405.40). Taxonomy (NCBI): domain Eukaryota; kingdom Metazoa; phylum Chordata; class Mammalia; order Primates; family Hominidae; genus Homo; species Homo sapiens. The sequence continues at coordinate 42,094,557 of NC_000022.11, forward strand.
GACCCGGGAGGTGGAGGTTGCAGTGAGCCCAGATCATGCCATTTCACTCCAGCTTGGGTGACAGAGCAAGACTCCATCTCAAAAAAAAAAAAAAAAAGACAAAAGATAGTGTTGGCAAGGATATAGAGAAATTAGAACTTTCTATACTTTGCTGGTGGGAATGTAAAATGGTGTAGCCATTTGGGAAAACAGTCTGGCAGTTTCTTAAACAGTTAAATATGGCCAGGAGTGGTGGTACTCACTTGTAAGAGGCCGAGGCAGAAGCATTGCTTGAGCTTAGGAGTTTGAGACCAGACTAGGCAAAATAATGAGACCGTATTTAAAAAAAAAAAAAAAAGTTAAACGTGGACTTACTATATGATCCAGCAATTCCAATCCTAGGTATTTACCCTGAAGAAATTTTTTTCCACACAAAGACTTGTATGCAAATGTTCATAGCAGCATTATTCACCATAGCCAAAAACTAAAAACACCCAAATGGCTATCTGTTGATAAGTGGATAAACAGAAGGTGGTCTGTCACCCAGGCATGGTGGCTCATTCCTATAATGTCAGGATTGCTTGAGGCCAGGAGTTTGAGAACAGCTTGGGCAACATAGTGAGACTGCATCTGTTGAGGGAAGTCAGGAACCCCGAACGGAGGGACCGGCTGAAGCCGTGGCAGAAGAACATAAATTGTGAAGATTTCACGGACATTTGTTAGTTCCCCAAATTAATACTTTTATAATTTCTTACACCTGTCTTTACTGCAGTCTCTGAACATAAATTGTGAAGATTTCATGGACACTTATCACTTCCCCAATCAATAGCCTTGTGATTTCCTATTCCTGTCTTTAATCTCTTAATCCCGTCATCTTCGTAAGCTGAGGAGGATGTATGTCGCCTCAGGACCCTGTGATGATTGCATTAACTGCACAAATTGTTTGTAGAGCATGTGTGTTTGAATAATATGAAATCTGGGCACCTTGAAAAAAGAACAGGATAACAGCAACGTTCAGGGAACAAGAGAGATAACCTTAAACTCTTGACTGCCAGTGAGCCGGGCGGAACAGAGCCATATTTCTCTTCTTTCAAAAGCAAATGGGAGAAATATCGCTGAATTCTTTTTCTCAGCAAGGAACGCCCCTGAGAAAGAGAATGCGTCCCTGAGGGTAGGCCTCTGAAATGGCCACTTGGGGGGTGGCTGTATTTTACAGTCACAGCTGTAGGGATGAAATAAGCCCCAGTCTCCTGTAGCGCTCCCAGGCTTATTAGGATGAGGAAATTCCCACCTAATAAATTTTGGTCAGACCGGTTGTCTGCTCTCAAACCCTGTCTCCTGATAAGATGTTATCAGTGACAATGCATGCCCAAAACTTCATTAGCAATTTTAATTTCGCCCCGGTCCTGTGGTCCTGTGAACTCGCCCTGCCTTCATTTACCTTGTGATATCTTATTACCTTGTGAAGCATGTGATCTCTGTGACCCACACCCTATTCGTACACTCTCTTCCCTTTTGAAATCGATAATAAAAACTTGCTGGTTTTATGGCTCAGGGGGCATCACGGAACCTGCTGACATGTGACGTCTCCCCCGGACACCCAGCTTTAAAATTTATCTCTTTTGTACTCTGTCCCTTTATTTCTCAGACCGGCCGACACTTAGGGAAAATAGAAAAGAACCTACGTGAAATATCAGGGGTGAATTTTGCCCGATAGCATCTCTACAAAAATTTGTTTAAAATAGCCAAGCATGGTGGTACGTGTCTATAGTCCCAGCTACTCGAGGGGCTGAGGTAGGAGGATTGCTTGAAGCCAGGAGTTCGAGGCTACCATAAACTATGATCCTACCACTGTACTCCAGCCTGGGTGACAAAAAAACAAACCTAAACAAAACACAAAATATGGTGATACGGTTTGGATATTTGTCCCTTCCAAATCTCGTCAAAATGTCATCCCCAGTGTTGGAGTTGAAGCCTGGTGGAAGGTGAATGGATCATGGAGGCAGATCCCTCATGAACGGCTTAGCACCATCCCCTTGGTGATGAGTGAGTTCATCTGTAATCTGGTTGTTAAAGGTGTGTGGCATCTCCCGCTTTGCTCTCTTGTTCCTGCTGTCACCATGTGACATCCCTGCTCTCCCTTTTCCTTCTGCTGGGATTTGAAGCTTCCTGAGGCCCTCACCAGGAGCAGATGCTGGAGCCATGCTTGCACAGCCTGCAGAACTGAATCAATTAAACCTCTTTTTCCTCTCTCTCTTTTTTTATTTTTATTTTTTTTGATATGGAGTCTCACTCTGTCACCCAGGCTGGAGTGCGATGGCACGATCTCAGCTCACTGTAACCTCCGCCTCCCGGGTTCAAGCGATTCTCCTGCCTCAGCCTTCCAAGTAGCTGGGATTATAGGCGTACGCCACCATGCCCAGGAGGCAGAGGTTGCAGTGAGCCGAGATCACACCACTGCACTCCAGCCTGGGTGACAGAGCAAGACTCCGTCTCAGGGAAAAAAAAAAAAAACTACCAAATTGTTTTCCAGAATAACTGAATCATTTTACATTCTCATTGGCAATTCATGAGTGATCTAGTTTCTCCACATCCTCTTCTACATTTGGTGTAGCAACTGTTTACATTTAGCCATTTGGAATAAGTGTACAGGGATAGCCCATTGTAGTTTTAGTTTGCATTTCCTTAATGGCTAGTGATATTGAACATCCTTTCCCAAGTTTATTTCCAATGTGTATATTCTCTTTACTGAAGTGCTTTTTCATGTCTTTTGCACATTTTTATTTAGATTATTTATTTTTGAGTTTTGGGAGTTCTTTATATATTCTAGATACTAGTCCTTTATCAGATACGTAGTTTGCAAATATTTTCTCCCACTCTATGCCTTTTCATCCTCTGAACAGGGTCTTTCACAGAGTAAAAGTGCTTAATTTTGATGAAATCTATTTTATTATTTTTCCTGTTATGGATTGTGCTTTTAGTGTCAAGACTAAAAATGCCTTGTGTAGCTCTAGGTCCAGAAGATTTTCTCCTAAATGTTTGATGATGTACATTTAAGTCCATGGTTTGGTTTGGTTTTTGTTTTTTGGTTTTTGTTTTTCTTTGAGACAGTCTTATTCCCTCACCCAGGCTGGAGTGCAGTGGCATGATCTTGGCTTACTGCAACCTCTGCCTCCCAGGTTCAAGCGATTCTGGTGTCTCATCCTCCAAAGTAGCTGGAATTATAGATGCGCACCATCACGCCCAGCTAATTTTTGTATTTTTAGTAGAGACAGGGTTTCACCACGTTGGCCAGGCTGGTCTTGAACTCCTGACTTCAAGTGATCTACCTGCCATGCTGGAATTATAGGCATGAGCCACTGCACCTTGTTGTAATTTTTGTATATAATGTAAGATTTATTTCAAGGTTCATTTTCTTGCCTATGAATATCTGATTACTCCAGAACCATTTGTTGAAAAGCCATTTTTCCTCCATTGAATTGCATCAGCACCTTTGTAAAAAACCAACTGGGCACATATTAGTTGGTGACAAATTCTTTTAGTTTTCCTTCCTTTGAGAATTTTACAATTTCCCCCAGCATTCTTGAAGGATATTTTCATTGGATATGGGATTCTGAGTTGATAGTTTTTTTAACAATGGAAAAGTGTTGTGTCACTTCTTTCTGGTTTCTGTTGTCTCTGATGAGAAATAAGCTGTCATTCAAATTATTTTTTCTATATAAGTAACATATTGTTTTTCTCTGGCTGCTTTCAAAAAATTTTTTTGTTTTGTTTTCAGAAGTTTGACTATAATGTATCTTGGTGTGAACTTCTTTGGGTTTATCCCAATTGGAATTCTCTCAGCTTCTTGAATCTATTGTTTTATGCATTTTGCCAAGTAGGAAAGTTTTCTTTGAATATTTGTTCATTTGATTATTTATTTATTAATGTATTTTTTTGAGACAGGGTCTTGCTCTGTTATCCAGGCTGGAGTACAGTGGCAGAATCATGGCTCACTGCAACCTAGACCTTCCAGGCCGAAGCGTTCCTCCCACTTCAGTCCCCAGAGTAGCTGGGACCACAGGTGTGCACCACCACACTCAATTTTTTTGTTTTTGAGGCGGAGTCTCGCTCTTTCACCAGGCTGGAGTGCAGTGGCATGATCTTGGCTCACTGCAATGTCTGCCTCCCAGATTCCAGTGATTCTCGTGCCTCAACCTCCTGAGTAGCTGGGATTACAGGTGCCTGCCACCATGCCTGGCTAATTTTTGAATTTTTGGTAGAGACGGGGTTTTACCAAGTTGGCCAGGATGGTCTCAATCTCTTGACCTCATGATCCGCCTGCCTTGGCCTCCCAAAGTGCTGGGATTACAGGCGAGAGCCACCACGCCCGGCCCCCTCCTATGTTGTCCAGGCTGGCCCCAAACTCCTGGGCTCAAGCAATCCTTCTGCCTCTGTCTACCAAAATGCTGGGATTACAGGGATGAGCTATCATGCCCCACTCTGATCTTTTATTAACAGTCTCACAGGCCCTGAGGTTGTGTTTATTATTTGTTTCTTTTCTTTTCTTCTTTTTTTTTTTTTTTTTTTTTTTTTTTTTGGTTGAGATGGAGTCTCGCTCTGTCGCCCAGGCTGGAGTACAGTGGCGCGATCTTGGCTCTGCCTCCCGGGTTCACACCATTCTCCCGCCTCAGCCTCCCGAGTAGCTGGGACTACAGGTGCCCACCACCATGCTCGGCTAATTTCGTTTTTGTATTTTTAGCAGAGACGGGGTTTCACCGTGTTAGCCAGGGATGGTCTCGATCTCCTGACCTCATGATCCACCCACCTCAGCCTCCCAAAGTGCTGGGGTTACAGGCATGAGCCACTGTACCGGCCTCTTTTATTTTCTCTTTTCTTTCTTGTTTACTTTTTCCAGTCCATTTTCTCTCTGTTGTTCAGATTGAGTAATTTCTGTTGTCCTGTCTTCCAGTTAACTGCTTGTGTTGTCCTCTTTTCCACTTTTGAGCCCATTCACTGAGCTTTTTATTTCGTTGTTGTATTTTCTATTTCTAAAATTTCTATCTGATTCTTCCTTATATCTCCTATTTCTATGCTGAGACTCTTTTTTATTTTTTCAACATGTTCATAACTGTATTTTTTTTTTTTGAGATGGAGTCTCACTCTGTCGCCCAGGCTGAAGTGCAGTGGCACGATCTCGGTGCACTGCAACCTCTGCCTCCCAGGTTCAAAAGATTCTCCTGCCTCAGGCTCCCGGGTAGCTGGAATTACAGGCATGCACCACCACACCCAGCTAATTTTTGTACTTTTTGTAGAGACAGGGTTTAACCACGTTGCCCAGGCTTGTCTCGAACTCCTGGACTCAAGCAACCAACCTGACTTGGCCTCTCAAAGTGCTGGGATTACAGGCATGAGCCACTTTGCCCGGCCTGAGTTGCATTCCTCTATGAATTTTAGAAAAAGCAATCAATTTCAACAAGAAAATTGCTGGAATTTTTATTGATTACACTGAATCTATAGATTAATTTGAGAGGAACTGACATCTTTAAAATGTTGAGTCTTCTGATTCATGACCATGGTATGGCTCTTCATTGATTTACATCGTCTTTAATTTCTCTCAGCAATGTTTTGTAGTTATTAGTGTATGATTTTGCATGTAGCTTTTGTTATATTTTTTGTCTATGTATTTTATATTTTGGATGCTGTTATAACTGGTTTTTAAGAAGTTTTAATTCCCAATTGTTTATTCCTATTATATAGCAATATAATTGATTTTAATACAGTGATCTTGCATCCTTCAGCCTTGTTAAGCTGTAGTTGCTTTTTGGATGATCCCACAGGATTTTACACACAATCATGTTATTTGAAAATACAGTTTTATTTCTTTCTTTCCAATCTGATTGCCTTTTACTTCTCTTTTTTGACTTGTTCACTGGCTAGAGCTTCTAGCACAATATCATACAGAAGTGATGAGGGTAGACCGGGTGCGGTGGCTCATGCATGTAATCCCAGCACTTTGGGAGGCCGAGGCAGGCGGATCACCTGAGGTCAGGAGTTCGAGACCAGCCTGGCCAACATGGTGAAACCCCATCTCTACTAAAAATACAAAATTTAGCTTGGCGTGATGGTGCACACCTATAATTCCAGCTACTTGGGAGGCTGAGGCAGGAGAATCGCTTGAACCTGAGAGGCAGAGGTTGCAGTGAGCTGAGATCATGCCATTGCACTCCAGCCTAGGTGACAGAACGAGACTCTGCCTCAAAAAAAAAAGCAATGAGGGCAGACTTTTTTTGCCTTAAATTAAGACATTCCTGGCCAGCTGTGGTGGCTCATGTCTGTAATGCCAATACTTTGGGAGGCCAAGGTGGGTGGATCACCTGAGATCAGGAATTTGAGACCAGCCTGGCCAACATGGTGAAACCCCGTTTCTACTAGAAATACAAAAATTAGCTGGGCGTGGCGGCAGGCACCTGTAATCCTAGCTATTCAGGTGGCTGAGGTAGGAGAATCACTTAAACCTGGGAGGCGGAGGTTGCAGTGAGCCAAGATTGTGCCCTTACACTACAGCCTGGGTGACAAGAGTGAAAGTCTGTCTCAAAATAAATAAATAAATAAATAAATAAATAAATAAAGACATTTCTGAACTTAGGAACAAAGCATTTAGTATTTTACCATTGAGTATGTTGCTAGCTGTAGGTTTTTCGTAGATACCCCTCATCGGATTGAAAATGTTTCCATGAATTCCTCGTTTGCTGGGAATTTTCTTTTCTTTGAGGTTCAGATGTTGATTTTGTGAAATATATTTTATGCATCTATTGATATAATCATGGAATTTTTCTTTTTCTGTCTGTTAATATGGTTAATTTCATTTATTGGTTTTTGAATGTTGAACCAACCTTGCATTCCTGGGAGTAAATGCTATAGATAATGTTGTATATATTTACATATTATTTTCAATGTGATAAGATTTTGTTAATATTTGCATCTGTGTTTATGAGGATGTTAATCTGTATCATCTTTACCTGTTTTTTTTTTGTTGTTTGTTTGTTTTTGAGATGGAGTCTTGGTCTGTTGCCCAGGCTAGAGTGCAGTGGCGTGATCTTGGCTCACTGCAACCTCTGCCTCCTGGGTTCAAGTGATTTCCCTGCCTGAGCCTCCCGAGTAGCTGGCAGTACAGGTGCTTGCCACCATGCCCAGCTAAATTTTGTATTTTTAGTAGAGATGGGGTTTCATCGTGTTGGTCAGGCTGGACTCGAACTCCTGAACTCAAGTGATCCGCCTGCCTCAGCCTCCCAAAGTGCTGGGATTACAGGTGTGAGCCACTGTGCCTGGCCCATTAAGGTGCATATGTATTTAGGATTGTGATATTTTCCTGTTGGACTGATTTTTTTTTTTTTTTTGAGACAGAGTCTCGCTCTGTCTGCCCAGCCTGGAGTGCAGTGGCGTGATCTCAGCTCTCATCTCACTGCAAGCTCCGCCTCCTGGATTGATGCCATTCTCCTGCCTCAGCCTCCCGAGTAGCTGGGACTACAGGTGCCCACCACCACACCCGGCTAATTTTTTTGTATTTTTAGTAGAGACGGGGTTTCACCATGTTAGCCAGGATGGTCTTGATCTCCTGACCTCGTAATCCGCCCGTCTCAGCCTCCCAAAGTGCTGGGATTCCAGGTGTGAGCCACTGCGCCCGGCTGGACTGATCTTTTATCGTTATGTAATGTCCCTTTTTGTCTTTTTTTTTTTTTTTTTTTTTTTTTGAGACAGAGTCTCACTCTGTTGCCCAGGCTGGAGTGCAGTGGCGCAATCTCGGTTCACTGCAAGCTCCACCTCCCGGCTTCACACCATTCTCCTGCCTCAGCCTCCAGAGTAGCTGGGACTACAGGCACCCACCACCATGCCCAGCTCATTTTTTTGTATTTTTTTAGTAGAGACGGGGTTTCACCATGTTAGCCAGGATGGTCTCGATCTCCTGACCTCATGATCCACCCGCCTTGGCCTCCCGAAGTGCTGGGTTTACAGGTGTGAGCTACCACGCCTGGCCCCTTTTTGTCTTTTTTTTAACCGTTGTTGCTTTAAAGTCTGTTTGTGTGATATAGGAATAGCTACTCGGCAAGGCATGATGGCTCATGCCTGTAATCCCAGCACTTTGGGAGGCTGAGACAGGTGGATCACGAGGTCAGGAGATTGAGATCATCTTTGCCACCATTGTGAAACCCCATCTCTACTAAAAATACAAAAATTAGCTTGGTGTGGTGGCATGCCCCTGTAGTCCCAGCTACTCGGGAGGCTGAGGCAGGAGAATTGCTTGAACTCAGGAGGCAGAGGTTGCAGTGAGCCAAGTTAGCGCCACTGCATTCCAGCCTGGTGACAGAGCAAGACTTAGTCTCAGAAAAAAAAACAAAAACAAAAAAACATAGCTACTCTTGGCCAGCTCACATCTATTATCCTAGCACTTTGGGAGGCCAAGGCAGGCAGATCATGAGGTCAGGAGATTGAGACCATCCTGGCTAACATGGTGAAACCCTGTCTCTACTAAAAATACAAAAAATTTAGCTGGGCATGGTGGCGCATGCCTGTAGTCCCAACTACTTGGGAGGCTGAGGCAGGAGAATTGTTTGAACCCAGGAGGCAGAGGTTGCAGTGAGCCGAGATCGTGCCACTGCACTCCAGCCTGGGCAACAGAGCGAGACTCCATCTCAAAGAAAAAAAAAAAAGAATAGCTACTCGTACTTGCTTTTGGTTTCCATTTGCGTGCAGTATCTTTTTCTACCCCTTTACCTTAAGTTTATGTGAGTCCCTATGCATTAGATGAGTCTCTTGAAGACAGCAGATGGTTGGTTGGTGAATTTTATCCATTCTGTGTCTTTTAAGTGGAGCATTCAGGCCATTTACATTCAATGTTGGTATTGAATTATGAGATAGTGTTTTATTCATAGTGATAGTTGTGCTTTTTTAAATTGTGTTATTGTTTTATAAGCCTTTTAAAACATATACTTAAAGGAGGTTCTATTTTTGTTTCAAGATTTAGAACTCCTTTTGACATTTCTTGTAGTGCTGGCTTGCTAGTGGCAAATTCTCTCAGCATTTGTTTGTCTGAAAAAGACTTTATCTCTCCTCATTTATGAAGCATAGTTTTGCTGGATACAAAATTCTTGGCTGGCAATTATTTTGTTTGAGGAGGCTAAAGATAGGACCCCAATCCCTTCTGGCTTATAGGGTTTCTGCTGAGAAATCTGCTGTTAATCTGATAGGATTTCCATTGTAGGTTCCCTGATGCTTTTGCCTCATGGCTCTTAAGATGTTTCCCTTCATCTTGACTTTAGATAACCTGATGACTGTGTGCCTAGGTAATTATCTTTTTGCAATGAATTTTTCAGGTGTTCTTTCAGCTTCTTGTATTTAGATGTTTAGATCTCTGGTGAGAGCAAGGAACTTTTCCTTGATTATTCCCTCCAATAAGCTTTCTAAATGTTTAGATTTCTCTTCTTCCTGAGGAACACCAATTATTCTTAGGTCTGGCTGTTTAACGTAATCCCAAATTTCTTGGAAGCTTTGTTCATTTTTAAAAATTCATATTCGCCGGGCGCAGTGGCTCACGCCTGTAATCCCAGCACTTTGGGAGGCCGAGGCAGGCAGATCACAAGGTCAGGAGATCGAGACCATCCTGGCTAACACGGTGAAACCCCATCTCTACTAAAAATACAAAAAATAAGCCAGGTGTGGTGGCGGTCGCCTGTAGTCCCAGCTACTCAGGAGGCTGAGGTAGGAGAATGCTATGAACCCAGGAGACAGAGCTTGCAGTGAGCCGAGATCACGCCACTGCACTCCATCCAGCCTGGGCAACAGAGCGAGACTGTCTCAAAAAAAAAAAATTCTTTTTTATTTGTCTTTGTCTGGTTGAGTTACTTCAAATGCTTTGTCTTCAAGCTCTGAAGTTCTTTCTTCTACTTGTTGGAGATAAATGTTCAGTGCCACAAAGCGAAACCAGCACTCAGGCAAAAATTTTCTCAGCAAGGCAATTTACTTCTGCAGAAGGGTGCTGCTTGTGTCAATCACGATTGCAAGAGCACACTGAACAAAGGAAAGCAGGGGTTTTTATTCCTAATGCAGTCCCTGCCTCTTTGTCATTCCTCCATGGGCTGTGGTTGGACCGCACAATCTAAACTGACCCAATTGGCTATTTGTGAATACTTTCCCAAATAAGGAAGGGAAGGGAAATGTGAGTTACAATGGTGGGATGTGCGGTTTCAAAGGGAGGAACGGGTGAAGAGTGGGTAACCAAGGGAACAGATGTGAGTTATTGATTAGGACTGACAGGAAAGTTGTTTACAGTTACAGTAACTAGGGGCAAGGAGGCATAGAGAACAAGAAAGTTGAGTTTGAGAACAAAGAACAAGGAAGTTAACAGGCTAAACCTTTGAAGAATTTTATTGTATCCTACAATTTCCCCCTTTTAATTTTTATAGTTCTTCCTCTTCAAACCTTTTTAAGATGTCTTGGCTTTGCTGTTTGACTTGATCGTCTGAAAGGAAACGCTTATCTGAATAAGGTGGAGGAGAGCTAAGGGAGATTTTAGTAAGTGCTGTTTCTATAAGCCTTTGTACTAGCCCATGGTTGCATGGTGTGACACAACACCCAACAAGAATGAGTACACCTATTATGACTGCAAGAGAAGTAAGAATTGAGGCTATGATTCCTTTCTATTTACCAAACCACCTGTCTAGCCATCCTGAAGAAGGGTTATTGACTCCAGAATTTTTAGCTAATTCATTAGATAAAATGGTAAGTCCTTGTAAGGCTTTTGTTATGCTCCCATCTGGGGCAGTATGGTTTGGGATGAAGGTACGACACTGAGTTTTAATCATAACACAAACTCTACCTTTTTCAGCTAGTATCATGCCTAGGGCCATTCTGTTTTCCTAAGCCATCTGGCTAGTCAGCCCTAACTCCTCAGCTATTCCTTTGACAGCATCCCTGGTATAATTAATAAACTGCTGTTGGTTATAATAGATGTAATTTATACAGTCTACATTTTTATTAATAGTTACCCATGGAAATATTGATTCAAATCCTGCAGACTATTTGGTCCCGGGCTTTTAATTTATCAGGTACTCCCCATGGGACTCCAGTTGCATCTAAATAAACTTGAGAGTCAAAAAACCTATAAGGGGCTTCTCTTATTTTATGGTGTTGTGGCTTTTCTTTTTCTGGCTGATGAAACGCCAGGGTGAAAGGGATAGCCAAATGGACAAGAGTGCAGGTACCACTCCAGTTACTTGGCAGAGTGTCCAGTAAGGGTCCGCCACAATACCACCATACATCTTCTTGAGGATGACTAAGGGCAGACTGATGGGTAAGCTCTTGGAAAGGCTTAAGCTCACTGCATCCTGTTAAGCTTCCAAGGAACACCAAGTTTTCCCCTTGTCGTGAGAGACAGGACGTGAAATTGACATTGGGAGCCAGAAGCTGGATGGCCCTCTGGGGCTGACCCGCAGGATATTGAACTTTGGGATAGAGCAAAGAGAGAGCTTGGCATGATTGATTGCCCCAAGCTATGGAATCCTGGAAGAGAGCTACCATGCTGCCCATGCCTGGTTGACTGGGGGACCAGCCGAGTGTAAAGGGGTCTATCTGGGTCTCTGGCTGGCCGTGAGCACAAGCATAACAATTGCTTTTGTTTCATGTGCGGACAGAATATTTGGTCCATTCCAACCAGGCATTTGCATCTTGATATTTTGTTTCAATTGCTAAAGTTTGCCTTAGATCATTTACTTCTACAATATCTACTTTAGTCTTATCATTGGGTATAGAAGGTATGGCAGTCTGATTAGAAGAAGGCTTAGAAGGAGAAGAGAGGGAAGAGGGTGAAGAGGATGAGGGATTAATAAAACGCATTTCAAAAGACCCTATGAGGTCTGTGCCGCGTTGGTCCCTATGCCATAGAAGCGACTCAAAGTAGGTCTAGAGGGTCGGTAGAGGCCGGAGTGAGAGTAGAAATCTGCACTGGATTACACTGGTTATACTGAAAATCGAGGGGAGGGGTGCTTCCTTTAGTAAAGTGAATGTATGATTTTAAGTATATACAGCCACATGTTGATGAGGTCCAGCCTTGATACTCAGTTGTCCACAGAACATCATTCCAGCTATGGCAGACCTGTTTCCCTATATTTTATGAGGAGCAAGAGTCTTGGTAGCGGGAGCCTTTTATTTTAAAGTGGCAGAGATACTTTTCTAAGGCTGAGAGTTGCCTTTGACTTTGGAGATCTCTACAGGGTATGACTAAACAGGCATCAAACATAATAACTTGGGGTGAGTTTGATTTAGTCACATTGATAACAAGGTGGTCAGCAACAGAATGAGGAAAGAAGAAAGAGTAATAGAGTAGACGAAAGAGAGTTAAACTTTTCTTAGCTTTAGTTTGAGGGGGTTTTCCCCTGGGATAATGGCCCATGACTCTGGAGGTGACAGTGCTTTCTTGACTCAGGTGTGATGGGTCTATCCTTTTTCTGCTGTCCGGACTGCAGTTTCAGTGGTTAGAAGCACCAGGTAAGGTCCTTCCCAGGCTGGCTCAAGTTTCTCCTCTTTTCAGCTCTTGATAAGGACGTGATCCCCAGGCTGATGTTGATGTACTGGGAACTCCAGAGGCAGAGCCTGTGCTAGGAGACCTTTGGTTTTAAGAAAAGAGAAAGTAGGGGAGAGACTAAGAATATAATTCCTGAGGAACTGGTGTTTTTGGAACATCAGCAGTGGAGTGTAAATAAGGCAATCCATAGAGCATCTTGTAAGGGGAAAGGCCAGTATCTTTTCGAGGAGCAGTTTGGATTCTTTTTTTTTTATTTGGTTTTGTCAAATGTTTTATTGAGTGTAGACATCTGGAGTACTATAAAACATGCATTATCTGTAGATTCAAAAAGGAGCAAGCCACATTGTTCTCACTGTCAAATGTGTTAGGCTTGGCATACATGATGGAGATTAATGAAGTATCATGAGAGTAACATGGTTCTTGAAAAGCTTCTATAATTTGGAGTAGGGTCTTAATCACATGAAAAGCAAAGGTGTTCACATTTAGTGAACTTGCATTTCATTGGGGGGAGAGGGTACACAGTATTTTAATTTTAAAACAAAAATAATTTGTTTGTCAAAGATTCCCATCTCCCCAACTTTATTTGTCCCATTGGTTTTCAGAAATTTTAATTTTTAAAAAATCAGATGCCTTTTGGAAGTTGTATGTTTATCTGAGCAGTAACTAAATTTTATTTCTTCTTCAGTTGTTAAGGTGTGTTAAATTTGAAGAAGATAATATCTCCATCTTCAACAATATAATTTCTGCCTTGTTGTCTGTACTTTCCAGCAGCCTTGACTGCATTTTCAGAACCTTCCTCTTTAAAATCTTCATATTTCATTACTTCAGCCATAATGAATCCCTTTTCAAAATCTGTGTGAATCTTTCCTGCAGCCTGAGGAGCCTTAGTCCCTTTCCTGATGGTCCGTGCACGCACTTCATCTGGGCCTGCAGTGAAAAAGTATTTTAGTTGGAGTGCTGCAAACCCAGCCTTAATGATCTTTGGCAAAGCACTTTGTGTCATGTTCGCTTCCAGATACTGCTGTCTCTCCTCAGCACTCAATTCTTGCAACTTGAGTTCCAAGGCCCCACTAAAAGGAATGACCAAGGCACCTGGGTCATACTTGTCCACCCACTCTTTAATTTTTATCAGCCATTTGTTTTTCTTTCTAATGTAGTCTTTTTCAGAAAGATTAACCAAGTAGACCATTGGTTTTGAAGTCAAAAATAAGTGTTTATTCAACACTTCAATCTCTTTGTCATTCCAATCATGATAGAAGCGAACAGGTTCTTTTGATCTATAACCCAGGATTTTACTTTGCACATTATATCATATTTGGGTTTTAGTTTTTTATCTCCTCCTCTCACAGCCACCTTTTCTAGTTTATCTATAATGGGCCCAGTCATTCCTCATCTTTAAGCTGAAGCTCTTCATGTATTATTTCTATATCTCGAATAGGATCTACACTTTCTTCAACATGTGTGATATCATCATCTTCAAAAGCACGTGTTAGATGAAAGATGCCATCACAAGCACTAAAATGAGATAAAAAAGCATTCCCCAGGCCCTGCCCATTGTGAGCTCCTTTCACAAGGCCAGCAATATCCACTACATTTAGAAAGGCAGGAATTTTGCTTGCTGGTTTGTGATATTGGCAAAGAAAGTCAAACCTTTCATCTGGCACAGGTACTCTGCTCTCATTAGGATCAATAGTGCAGAATGGGAAGTTTTCTGCTGAAGCCTGACTATTGGTTAATACATTGAAGAAAGTAGATTTCCCAACATTTGGCAATCCAACAATACCAATTTTCAGTGAGGTTCCAAATCTTCCAATGATTGGGGGTGGTTTAATTCCATCACCTCCCTTTTGAGGGGGCATCGTGCTCAGCCTGGGCTATGACACGGGGTCCCAGTAGCAGCGAGAGAAAGGTCCTGCCGGCAGCCAGAGGCGGGGAGGAAGGAGGAGAGAACGCAGGCCCGGCCCCTCCGCCGAGCGGCATGCCGCACTACGGCGGCGACAGCGGTGGAACCGCCGTTTGGATTCTTAACAGGGCAATAGGAAGATATTTGATCCCTGGCAACCGAATCTATAGAACTAACTTGGTTAAATGGTTCTTTAAGGTCTGATTCATCCTTTCTACTCTCCCTGATGAAGGTGGGTGCCAAGGAGTATGATATTTCCATCTAATGTCTAGCGCTTAGGATAGCTTTTTAATGATATGTGCTATGAAATAGGTTTCACTGTCTGAGTCAATATTTTCTATTAGCCCAAACCTGGGCACTATATTTTCAATTAATGCTTTAACTACATGATTGGCCATTGCATTTGAAAAGGGAATAGCTTCGACCCAGTGAGTGAGGTGATCTGCTATTACTAAGTACTTTAGGCAACCGATTGGGGGCATTTCAATGTAATCAGTTTGAACACTTTGGAATGGTCTTAGCCCTGAATCCCTCCCCGCCCAGGGATGATTTCTTTATAACTTGTTTGTTGGTTTCCTTACATGTTAAGCAACTATCCATAACCTGTTTGGCTAGGGTATATACCCATAAACCCTGAGAACTGTGTCACACATGGCTTGGGGTCCCCAGTGTGTCCCTTGATGCAGGTGGGTAGGATTTCTCTCATGAGCGGTTTGAATAGCATTTCTCTTTGATCTGGTAACACCCATTTTCCTTCTGAGTTTTCTTTGGCTCCATTTTTATTAATTTTTCCTTTTCTGCAGCAGACAAGGTAGGGGTTGCAGCAGGGGGAGGAAGACGAGGGGTTAAGTGAAAGGTGTTTCAGATGAAATGGCAGCCTGTTTAGCCACTTGATCTGCAAGGTTATTTCCCTGACTTGTAAAGGAAAAGTCGTTTTGGTGTCCGGGGACATGTACAATGGCTATTTCTTCTGGCAACTGGAGATTGTTTAAAACATGGACGATTAGCTCCTCGTGGGTAAGATATTTTGGCCTTTAGTTTTTTTTTGTTTTTTGGTGTTTTTTTGAGACGGAGTCTTGCTCTGTCACCCAGGCTGGAGTGCAGTGGCACGATCTCAGCTCATTGCAAGTTCCACCTCCCGGGTTCACGCCATTCTCCTGCCTCAGCCTCCTGAGTAGCTGGGACTACAGGATCCCGCTACCACACCTGGCTAATTTTTTTGTATTTTTAGTAGAGACGGGGTTTCACCATGTTAGCCAGGATGGTCTTGATCTCCTGACCTCGTGATCCGCCCACCTCAGCCTCCCAAAGTGCTGGGATTACAGGCATGAGCCACCGCGCCTGGCCTGGCCTTTAGTATTAATAAGACCTTGCTCAGCCCAAATTTTTCCAAATATATGAGCTACTCCAAAAATGTATTTAGAATCAGTATGAATAGTTCCTTCCTTGCTCTGTAAGTGTTTTAAAACCTGGCTGAGTGCAAATAGTTCACATGCTTTGGCAGACCAACTATTGGGCAACCTTCCTGACTCTGTTTCTTCAAGAGTTTCTCCATCAATTACTGAATACCCATTGTATTTTTCTCCTTTAATTGCTTGGGATCAACCATCTATAAATAAGTGTCACCCCATTTTGAAAGGGGTCTCTCTTAGATCCGGCCTGACCTTTGTTTGGTAGTCAGTTAGATCTAGACATAAGTGTTCTCTTTTTAGATTTGGGTCCCCTGTTAAGAAACCTCTCGGATTGAGTGAGTTATCAGTAGTCAAGGTTAAATCATCTTTTTAGTAAAATAGCCTCCTATTTTAAGATTCTGGAGTCAGTGAGCCACCTTCCTGCTTTTTTATTTAAAATAGCTCTAACTTGGTGGGGTGTGCTTACAGTCAATTTCCCCCCAAAGATTAATTTTCTACTTTCTTCAACTAATACTGCTGTAGCTGCAACGAATTGGATGCACTGAGGCTACCCACAGGTGACTGGGTCTAAAATTTTTGATAGGAAGGCTACGGGCTGCCGGTGACCACCATGTTCTTGAGTAAGAACCCCTAAAGCTACCCCGTTATTTACATTAACAAAAAGATGAAATGGCTTTTCTAGGGAAGCTAAGGCTAAGACAGGGGCAGTTATGAGTTTGTATTTCAGCTCTTCAACCTGATTGACTTCCTCAGAAGTCCACAGGAGACGGTCCAGTTTCCACTGGGTAAGCTTTTCATATAAAAGTTTACTTTTTAGGGCATATGAGTCAATCCATAAGCATCAATATCCAACTAATCCTAGAAATTTTCTGAGTTATTGCTTAGTTTGAGGCAAGGGTAAGGACACGATGCCTTCAACTCGTTCAGGTCCTATCCTTTGCTTACCTGCACTTATTAAGTGGCCTAAATATTTAACTTCAGGCTCCACATACTGAAGCTTTCCCTTTAAGAACCATAACCCCTCGAACTCCAGATGGTTAAGGATATGTGTAGAGAAGCCAGCTACTTTCTCTACATCTTCAACAGATACGAGAATATCATCCATGTACTGGAGCAGGCATATTTGCTTTGGGATGACAACTTTTTCTAACACTTGTTCTAAAATTTGACCAAAAAGGTTTGGAGAGTCTGTAAACCCTTGAGGTAAAACTGTCCATCAATAATGTTGTTTTCGCCCTGAATGGGGATCCTACCACTCAAAAGCAAATATGTCTCAGCTGTCTTCAGCCAAGGGGCATGCCCAGAAGGCATCTTTTAAATCTATTACTGTAAACAACTGATGGTTTTTTGGAATTTTGCTGAGAATGGTGTATGGGTTGGGGACAACAGGATGGTTAGTTTGGACTATTTGATGGCTCTAAGATCTTGTACCAAGTCGGTATGACGCATCTAATTTCTTGACTGGCAATATTGGAGTGTTATACGGGGACATACAGGGTTCAAGGAGCCCATCTTTAATAAGACTTTCAATTATAGGCTTTAATCCTATCCTGCCCTCTAGGGGTTTGGGGTATTGTTTCCTCCTTACTACTTCCCTGGGGATTCTTAACTTGATGTGGATTGGAGGGATTCAGAGTTTCTCCCGGTTTCCTTCCCTTGACCAGACACTAGGATTAATGCATTTTTCATCTGTGGTGGTGAGTAGGTTTAATGAGGTAAAGAATCCTTTAGGACCAACTTGTAAGCCTGTGCCTAATTCTAGCATTAAGTCTCTTCCTAATAGATTAGTTTCTGCCTCAGGGATCAACAAAAATTGGATATGAGTCAGCCGATCTTGGTATTTAACTTCTGTACTTTCTAAGATTTTTGCTTTAAATCCTTCTCCTTTTACCCCAGAGACTAAAAGTTCTTCTGAAGAGCAGGCAATGTTGGATGGGGGGAAGCAAATGGAGGAGCGAGCCACTCCTGAATTGACTAAAAGGTGATAAGCTCATGTTTGGTTCCCACCTGTAAATTTATCAAGGGCTCCTGGTGGGACTCGAGATAAACAGAGCCCCTGACCCCCCTGTTCTTCCTCAAAAGTCATGAGTTGAAGGGCTTCTTTCTCCTTTTCCAGTTTGGGACATTCTCTTTTGAAGTGGCCTGCCCTTCAAACGGTCTGGACGGACCGTTTATAGTTTCTGGCCCCCTGGAAGCTTTGTTTAGAAGCATAAACGAGGGTCTGGACCTTTTATAGTTTCTGGCCCCCTGGAAGCTTTGTTTAGAAGCATAAACGAGGGTCTGGACCTTTTATAGTTTCTGGCCCCCTGGAAGCTTTGTTTAGAAGCATAAACGAGGGTCTGGACCTTTTATAGTTTCTGGCCCCCTGGAAGCTTTGTTTAGAAGCATAAATGAGGGTCTGGACCTTTTATAGTTTCTGGCCCCCTGGAAGCTTTGTTTAGAAGCATAAACGAGGGTCTGGACCTTTTATAGTTTCTGGCCCCCTGGAAGCTTTGTTTAGAAGCATAAATGAGGGTCTGGACCGTCTATCGTTTCTGGCCCCCTGGAAGCTTTGTTTAGAAGCATGTGGGTGTGGGGCCACCTGCTGGAAAGTGGATAACGTGAGTTTTTGCCTTTTGTTTTTGCTTCTTTCCTCACATATATTTTTTGAGCTTCTCCCAGAAGTTCACTTAGAGGTTGGTTTTCCCAGTCTTCTAATTTTTGTAACTTTTTTGAAATATCTGGCCAACTTGTAGTGACAAAATGGAGCTTTAACACTCCCTGTCCAAGGAGATCTTCCAAATTTAGGCCTGCATATTGTCTTGTTTGGTCCTTTATTCTTGTCTAGAAATTTCATAGGCCCCCTCATCTTTTTCCTATTGTATATCAAATGCTTTAGAGAGGTTTTGGGTTCAGGGTACTGATTCCCTAATTCCCTTTATTATCATTTCCCTTAGGTCTTGCATATTTTCCCAGTGAGCTGCATTAATATCGTCCCACCGGGGGTCTTGGGTGGGAAACTTTTGATCTGCGGTAGGAATGTTTGACCAGGAGGGTGTTCGTGTTCCCAAATTGCCATAGCAGCCCTACAGATCATGCTTCTTTCCTCCCCTGAAAAGAGGACGCAGGCCGGGCGCGGTGGCTCACGCCTGTAATCCCAGCACTTTGGGAGGCCGAGGCGGGTGGATCATGAGGTCAGGAGATCGAGACCATCCTGGCTAACAAGGTGAAACCCCGTCTCTACTAAAAATACAAAAAAAATTAGCCGGGCGCAGTGGCGGGCGCCTGTAGTCCCAGCTACTCGGGAGGCTGAGGCAGGAGAATGGCGTGAACCCGGGAAGCGGAGCTTGCAGTGAGCCGAGATTGCGCCACTGCAGTCCGCAGTCCCGCCTGGGCGACAGAGCGAGACTCCGTCTCAAAAAAAAAAAAAAAAAAAAAGAAAAGAGGACGCCTAGGATGGACATTAACTCCACCCAAGTGTATAACTGAGGTCCTAAGAATTGATCAACCTGATCTGTTACCCAATAAGGTCATCCAATAACGGCTTAAGTTCCTTCTTCAAACTTCAGACCTCTGAACTGGTTAAGGGAGCATTCACAAAATTAATAGCCCCCCTGTCCTTGTGGCACCTCTTTTAAGGGGAAGAGAGTTGGGGCTGACTCCATAGATGTGGAGGGAAATGGGAAATTTTGGATATCTTTTTTACATTGTTCTACCTCACGTTGGAGTCCTTTTAGGGAGGGGTACTTAGGCTGAGAAGGAACAGGCTAATGGGATGGTGATTCCCAAGAATCAGGATTGTAAGGAGGAGGAATAACATGAGCAGGAGAAGGATCTGGAGCAGGAACGGGGACAGCAGCTGCTACCTGAGGGGAAGGGTTAGGGGCACTGAGCGTGGGGGAAGATGGTTTAGAGGATCCCATGTGCTGGAGTCTTTAGGCATGGGGACTGGCTTTTCTCACTCTTCAGTTTGAGGTGCTAGATTGGGTTTTTCCCTAGTTGTCTTTAAGGGAAAGAGGAGGACAGGTCCCTGCCTCCAACAAAGAGCATAGGCCAATTCTTCTTGAGAAACTGGACTTTTATCATTTACATATTGAATTAGAAGTTGACACATCACATCCTTGTTCAACCCAAACTTTGACCAAAAGATTGAGGGTTTGAGGATGGGTCCCTGAGTCCAAATAAAACAGCAATTGTTTGTCATTTGTTGCTTTTTCTTATGTTTAGTTCTCTCATTATCTTTCCAATATTTTAACATGAGACCTAGGGGACTAACAGCAGGAATATCTTTATTGCTGTCTTTATCCTTTTTACTCCGTGTCCTGCTTGGGGTGTTTCCCATGTTGGGTCCTAGTTAGGCTCAGTCCCTCATATTAGAGATTTCTTGCCTATCCTTTTCTGGAGGCTTGCTGAGGCTCAATCCCTCGTATTAGAGATTTCTTGCCTCTCCTTTTCTGGAGGCTTATTGAGGCTCAATTCCTCATACTAGAGATTTCTATCCTTTAGCCCCACCTGCTGGAGGCTCCTTGCACCCTTCTTTTGCTTCGTCCACTCTGGTCGCTTCCCGGAGGGGAATTTAGGTCCCTCTTACCTTTGGCACGCCCATATAAACCCCATGGCAGGATCTGTCCTAAGCCATATGAGGTGACCATGGAACCTCAGATAGGACACACTCATTCCGCACAGCAGTAGTGCTTAGTACCATTCACACAAGCAGCACCGCAAGCAGTAATGCTTGTGATCATTCATACACACTTTCAATCTCCAGAATATCTTGACCACCAAGGAAATGCTTTGTCACCCCTGTGACGTTTCTTACCTTGGTCTGTGCACAAAGTTACCTGGTCACCATGGTGTTGCAAGCCTTTTTTTCCCCACATTGCTGAGAGTCCGGATTTATTCGTCACACCGGGTGGGTTCCGATCCCTCACCCTGAGGCCACCGCAACGAGGCAGTGGGATGCGTCTCCTTATGAGAGGTGACCAGAGACCCCTTCCCTGGAGGAGAATGGGAATCCTGGATGAGCCCCAGATTTGTTGGAGATAAATGCTCAGTGCTGCAAAGTGAAACCAGCACTGAGGCGAAAGTTTTCTCAGCAAGGCAGTTTACTTCTGCAGAAGGGTGCTGCTTGTGTCAATCACGATTGCAAGAGCACACTGAACAAAGGAAAGCAGGGGTTTTTATTCCTAATGCAATCCCTCCCTCTGTGTCACTCCTTCATGGGCTGTGGTTGGACTGCACAATCTAAACTGACCCGACTGGCTATTTGTGAATACTTTCCCAAATAAGGAAGGGAAGGGAAATGTGAGTTACAGTGGTGGGACGTGCGGTTTCGAAGGGAGGAAGGGGTGAAGAGTGGGTAACCAAGGGAACAGATGTGAGTTATTGATTAGAACTGACAGGAAGGTTGTTTACAGTTACAGTAACTAGGGGCAAGGAGGCATAGAGAACAAGAAAGTTGAGTTTGAGAACAAAGAACAAGGAAGTTAACAGGCTAAACCTTTGAAGAGGAATTTTATTGTATCCTACATACTTGTTCTAGTCTGTTGTTGACACTTTCCAGTGCATTTTTTATTTCTTTAAGTGTGTCTTCCATTTGCAGAAATTGTGATTTTTTTTTCTTTATAATATCTGTTTCTCTGGAGAATTTTTCATCCATAGCCTGTATTTTTTTTGTTGTCTTTTTCTTTCTTTCTTTCTTTCCTTTTTGAGACTCTGAGCACTCTGTTGCTCACAGTGCAGTGGTGCAATCTCAGCTCACTGCAACCTCTGGCTCCTGGGTTCACGCAATCCCCCTGCCTCAGTCTCCCAAATAGCTGGTATTACAGGCACGCACCACCATGCCTGGCTGATTTTTGTATTTTTAGTAGAGATGGGGTTTCACTGTGTTGGCCAGGCTGGTCTGAAACTCCTGACCTCAAGTGATCAGCCCGCCTCAGCCTTCCAAAGTGCTGGGTTTACAGGTGTGAGCCACTGCGCCTGGCCAATCCATAGCCTGTATTGTTTTTTACATTTCTTTGTTTTCACTTTTCTCTGGTCTCTCCTTGAGTAGTTTAATAATCAACCATCTGAATTGTTTATCTGGCAATTCAGAGATTTCTTCTTGATTTGCATTCATTGCTGGGGAGCCAGTATGGTCTTTTGGAGGTGTTATAGAACCTTGTTTTGTCATATTACAATTTTTCTGATTTCTTCTCACTTGGGTAGACTATTTCAGGGGAAAAATCTGGAACTCAGGGGCTACTGTTCAGATTCTTTTGTCCCACAAAGTGACCCCTTGATGTGATGCATTCTCACTTCCCCTAGGGATGGAGCTTCGTGAGAGCCAGACTGTAGTGATTGCTATTGCTCTTCTGGGTCCAGCCACCCAGTGGGGCTACCAGGTTCCAGGCTGGTGCTGAGGAATGTCTGCAAAGAGTCCTGTGATGTGATCCGTCTTTAGCTCTCCTGGCCATGGACACCAGCACCTGCCCTGGTGGAGGTGGGAGGGGAGTAAAGTAGACTGTGAGTGTGAGAGTCCTTGCTTGTAGTTTTGTTTACTGTGCTGGCTTTCTCAAATGCTGGTTATGCTAGCAGTGAAGTTGTCACGTGGACAGACTCAGGAGCTCTGGTTAGCCAGGATGTTGAAAGCAGTGGAATTAGCTGTTTCTCATTTCTTGGAGCAGGGTTATTCTGTTGTGAGTTGCTGTAATGTCCTGACTTGGTTGGCCTCCAGCCAGGAGGTGGCGCTTTCAAGAGAACACCAGCTGCAATACTGGAAGGGGGATATAAGCTTGCCCTAAGTTGGCCAGGATAAGTATTAGGATTTCTCAGGTGATGGACAGGGCCATAAAGCTCCCAAGAGTTTATGGCTTTTGTGATCAGCTACCAGGGCGGGTAGAGAAATACTGTCAGGTTGGGGCAGGGTTAGGTGAGTCTGAGCTCAGACTCTTTCTGGGAATCTGTTACTGATTTGTAATTTTTAATTCCACAGTGTTTGAAGGACATACTTGAAATAAATTTAAAATCCATTGAGATTTGTTTCGTGGTCCAGAATATGGCCTATCTTGGTGAATGTTTCATGTGTATGTGAAACTGAGGCATCCATCCCTCAGTTTCAACCACCCATAGATTTGTAATTATTGTTACATTTACAGAAATTTGCAGGAAGGTAGAAGTTATTGTCTTGAACCATAAAATGTCTGTTTGAAGTCTTTGAGCTCCTCAAGGGTAGGCTGTATGTCCTGTTTACCTTTGATCCTCTCAGCATAATGCTTGGACCAAAATGGAAGCTCAGCAGACACTGGTTGAATGAATGAATAGATGACATTCAATTGTTAGGCTGTGTTCTTGTTTTGGATTTAGAAAATATGCTTATTGTGTTATGCAGTAAGACTGAGTCTTGGCTGGGTGCAGTGGCTTACGCCTGTAATCTCAATACTTTGGGAGGCCGAGGCGGGTGGATCACTTGACGCCAGGAGTTTGAGACCAGCCTGGCCAACATGACAAGACCCTGTCTTTACTAAAAATACAAAAAAATTAGCTGGGCATGGTGATGCACACCTGTAATCCCAGCCACTCGGTAGCCTGAGGCATGAGAATCTCTTGAACCTGAGAGGTGGAGGTTGCAGTGAGCCATGATCATGCCACTGCACTCCAGCCTGGGCAACAGATCAAGACTCAGTCTTAAAGACAAAAAAAAAATACTGAGTCTTACACACTTTTGCATCTTTGTGTCTCTATGGGTCTTCACACAGAGCTTGGCACATTGTAGCTGCTCAGTCAGCACTGTTTGTGCTGAATTGAAACAATGAGATATGTACAAAGGGGCTGTCTCTCACTACTGGGGATTTAAAGCCACCCCGAGGCATTTGACAAGCTGTTCTGGCCAAGGTTGAAGAGGTTGTCCTGTCATAAAGCCCCCCTAAGACACGATGTCACACATAGACACCACTCTCTGTGCGAAAGGGGGGGCCTGTGCACTGAACTCCCAGACTTAGCTGGGCCTCAGTGCTCTTCTTGGGTTTGGTCATAGAGCCCAAGAGGAGGTGGATAAGCTGCCTGACACTGATATGGTAAAAGGATTATCTGCAAATTTCTAGCGTCATCAAGACTGGCCTCTTTGGTAAGCAGGCCTAAAAGGCTGCCCTCAATAAACCACCCAAGCAGGTGAAAATTATCTTTTTACCCCAAGCCTACCTTTTCTACATCCTTTTCTACTTGACATGCCCCTTCTACTCCTCTTCTCTCCTTTAGGACTCATTCTCTCTCCTTTCCTCCTCTAAACCTCCTCCCAGAAAAAGACCTGATAACTTCACTTACACCGGGTTATAGATGACTAACAAAGCTTACTATTGAATATGTTGCTAGTAGAAATCTGAATAAGATACAGCAACTTTTCAACTCTGATCATGGCTTTAAGCACTAGGATGAACCACAGCCATGTAATCATTCATTTGGTTACTTAGCTCTTGCTGTGTCCCACGCATAGGGGCAGCTACTGGGGGTTTGACAGTGGACGGACCTAAAGTGGTCCCTCAGTCAGGGGACAGTACAGTACCCTAAGAGCACTGAGGAGGGCCACCCCACGTGAACTCAGGTAGTCAGGGGAGCCCTCCTGAAAGCCATGGAGAAACACATTCTAGGTAGATAACAGCACATGCAAAGGCCTAGAAGTGAGTGTCTGAGGTGGAAGTTCAGAGTCTTTGTCGTCAGCAGGACATGGAGCAACACTTGACACTGAGATTTAGGCAGAGAGAGACAGAGAGACAAAGAGAGATAGAGAGACAGAAACAGATACAGAGACAGAGTTAGAGATACAGAGAGATAGACAGAGACAGAGACAGAGATAGAGACAGAGCTAGAGATACAGAGAGAGACAGAGATACAGAGAGAGAGACAGATAGAGATACACAGAGAGAGGCAGAGACAGAAATAGAGACTGAGAGAGGCAGAGACAGAAATAGAGACTGAGAGAGGCAGAGACAGAAAGAGAGACAGAGATAGAGACTGAGAGATAGAGAGAGAGAGGAGTGGGAGGCAGGAGGAAAACCAGAGCATGAGAGGTCAAGCAGCCAAGAGAAAAGGCGAGGTCGTTAAAGAAAGGGTCAGCTGGGGCCGGGTGCAGTGGCTCATGCCTGTAATCCCAGCACTTTGGAAGACCGAGGCAGGCGGATCACGAGGTCAGGAGATCAGGACCATCCTGGCTAACATGGGGAAACCCCGCCTCTGCTAGTAAATACAAAAAAATTAGCTGGGCCTCGTGGCGGGCCGCCTGTAGTCTCAGCTACTCGGGAGGCTGAAGCAAGAGAATGGTGTGAACCCGGGAGGCGGAGCTTGCAGTGAGCCGAGATCACGCCACTGCACTCCAGCCTGGGCGACAGAGCGAGACTCCGTCTCAAAAAAAAAAAAAAAAAGAAAAAAAGGAAAGAGTCATCTGGGTTTGGTGACTAGGAGCGTACTGGTGACCTCAGTGAGAGGGGTTTCAGAGGCTTATGGAGACAGATGCAGGTTGAAGTGGGTTGTGGAGCGCGGGAGAGGTAGAAAGCAGTAAACACACCCCCCTGCCAACACCGCTCTCAGGAGACTGGTGTGAAGGGTAGGGGTCAGGACGCTAGCTGGAGAAGGAATATGGGTTCAAGGGAGAAGGGCTTTTTTCTTTTTAATAGAAGAGATCAGCAATGTGTTTAGATGCTGATGGAAGGAGCCAGAAAAAAGGAAAAGGAGAATATTGAGGTGAGACGAGATCTCCAAATGCCCAGGTGAGAAGACCAGATGAAATGGGGCACAGGAGTAGGGCTAGCTTTGGAGAGGGAGGGGAGCCTCCTCCCCTCATCCCCTGGAAGAGGAAATGGCCTATGAGAAGCCGGTGAGTGAATGGGTTTGGTGGCAGCAAGTTGAGGAAATGCCCATCTGATGGTGCCTATGCTCTCTGCTGAAAGTGAGGAAGACGGGGTGGAGTTAGAGGTTAAAGAGAGAATCTAAGGGCCGGGCACTGTGAGGAGGGCAAGGCAGGATTGGTGGAGCCCAGGAGTTCAAGACCAGCCTGGGCAACATAGACCCTGTCTCTACAAAAAAATTAAAAATTAGCTGGGTGTGGTGAGGTGTGCCTGTGGTCCCAGCTACTCAGGAAGCTGAGGTAGAAGGATCACTTGAGTGCAGGATGTTAAGGCTGCAGTGAGCTGGGATCACGCCACTGCACTCCAGCCTGAGTGACACAGCAAGACTCTGTCTTTAAAAAAAAAAAAAAGTGGCTGGCCTCGGTGGCTCACGCCTATAATCCCAGCACTTTGGGAGGCCGAAGCGGGTGGATCACCTGAGGTCAGGAGTTTGAGACCAGCCTGGCCAACATAGTGAAACCCCGTCTCTACTAAAAATACCTTAAACCCAGGAGGTGGATGTTGCAGTGAGCCGAGATCGTGCCAGTACACTCCAGCCTGGGCGACAGAGACTCCGTCTCAGAAAAAAAAAAATCCTCCATAGTCACCTGTAGTCAGCCCTTCCTCCTACTCCCACACCCTGGCAATCAGTGAACAGTTTCCTGTTCCTGTGGTTTTGACTTTGCAAGATTGTCATATAAATGGAAACGTATGGTAGCCTTTTCAGTCTGGTTTATTTTACTTAGCACAAAGCATTTGAGATTCATCTAGTCACGTGTATCCGTAGTTTGTTCCTTTTATTGAGTGGTGGTCCGTTGTATGGATGTTCCAGAACATTTGGACTATTTCTAGTTTGGGGCATAAAATGACTATTAATAAATATTCACGTACAAGTTTTGTGTGTACATAGATTTTCCTTATACTTGAGTAAAGAGCAAGCAGTGGAATTTTTGGGTCATATGGTAAGTGTAAGTGTAAGTTTAATTTTGTAAGAAACTCAAACTTTTTCAAAGCGGCTGTCTCACCAGCAATAACCGAGAGGTTCCAGTTGTTCTACATCCTCTCCAGCATTTGTTATCTTTGAAAGCCATTCTAAAAGGCATATTTCAATTTTTATTAGATCGGTATTGAAGATTTACATTATTAAACTATGTAAACAGGCCAGGCGTGATAGTTTACACCTATAATCTCTGCACTTTGGGAGGCGAAGGCAGGAGGATCACTTGAGCTCAGAAGTTCCAGGCCAGCCTGGTCAACATAGTGAGACTCTGTACAAAAAATAAATAAATAAATCAGAAAAAAATTAGCTAGGTCAGGCACAGTGGCTCATGACTGTAATCCCAACTACTTGAGAGGTCAACATGGGAGGATCGCTTGAGTCCAGGACTTCGAGACCAGCCTGGACAACATTGGGAGACACTGTCTATTTAAAAAAAAAAATTAGCTGAGTGTGGTGGTGCCCTGTGATCCCAGCTACTAAGGAGGCTGAGGTAAGAGAGTCACTTACTTGAGCACAGGTTGTGGAGGCTGCAATGAAACGTGATCACTGCACTCCAGTCTGGGCAACAGAGCAAGACTCTTTCTCAAAACAAAAAATGTAGACAGTAGTCCCAGTTGAGTCATGATTTTAGTTTTTCTTCTTCTCTTTCTTTAGTTTTTTGTGCATCTATTATATAATTAATTCATCCAAATTTTCTGCCAAAAATAGAAATCTCTTTGCAGTACATTTAGACAGATCACGTCATTTCTCCATATGATCATTTTCATGGAGACATACCTCAGGAGCCCTCCATCTCCCTGATTCCATCTGGATGGGGCACCCTGGAGGTCTGCTGCCCAGCTGTCCTCCTGAGCTCCCCATTCACCCTTATGCTCAGGGGCTCTCCCTGCCTGTTGTGCTGGGTCCCATGTTATCTTCTTTTCTATTTCTCCTTTATTTTAGTGAAGTACAACCTCCGGTTGCTTCCTGAGGGGTAGTCTTGAGACATTTATGTATCCGAAAAGACCTCAATTCATACTTGCATAGCATTTGGCTAGGTATAGAATTCTAGATTGGAAATATTTTCTCTCAGATTTTGAAGGTCTTCATTATCTTATAGCTTCAAAGGTTGGTGTTGAGAAGTCTGATGAATATTGAATTCCTGAAGCTCAGACTTTTTTCTCTCTGGAAGTTTTTGGGTTCCACTCTGTCCTCAGTGTTGTGAAATTTCTTGACAACAAAATTGGGGCTGGGTCCCCTTCATTCATTGTCATGAACACTTGGTGTTTCCTTCTCTACTGGAAACTCATGTTCTTCCTCTGTGAGAACTTGTCTTGACAAAAAAGAAACGTATTTATTAGACATCTTTCCTTGCCTCCTAGTCTGTTGTCTCTGCTGCCTGTTTCAGAAACATCTAAACAACAATTTAGCTGTTGGAGCTCCTGACCTCTTCTCTGTTCTTTCTGGAAAATATTTTTTTCAAGTTTAGCTTCTATACTTTGATTAGATTTTGCATTCCTATTATTATATTTTTTATTTTTAAGGCAAGGTCTTTCTCTGTTGCCCAGGCTGGAGTGCAGTGGCACGATCACAGTTCACTGCAGCTTTGTTCCTGGACTCAAGTGATCCTCCCACCTCAGCCTCCCAAGCAGCTGGAACTACAGGTGTGTGCCACCACACCCAGCCAGTATTTTAATTTTTTGTAGAGATGGGGTCTCCTTAGGTGGCCCAGGCTGGTGTTGAATTCCTAGGCTCAAACAATCCTCCTGCCTTAGCCTCCCAAAATGCTGGGATTACAGGCATGAGCTAAGGCACCCAGACTATATTTTTGTCAAGAATTAGTGGTGGTGGGTGTTTGAACATTTTTATTTTAGACCCTCCTATTCTTATTTCATGAATGCAAAGTTTTATCTTTCTAAAGATATCAATTATAGATTTTTTTTTTAAGACAGTTTCACTCTTGTTGACCAGGCTGGAGTGCAATGATGCGATCTCGGCTCACTGCAGCCTCTGCCTCCCAGGTTCAAGCAATTCTCCTGCCTCAGCCTCCTGAGTAGCTGGGATTACAGGCACCCACCACCACGCCCAGCTAATTTTTTGTATTTTTAGTAGAGACGGGGTTTCACCATGTTGGCCAGGCTGGTCTCGAACATCTGACCTCAGGTGATCCACCCATCTCGGCCTCCCAAAGTGCTGGGATTACAGGCGTGAGCCACCCTGCCCAGCCCAATTATAGATTTTTTAGGTTTAGGTGTTGACAGTAGCTCTCACCTCAGCCTGTTCTCTCTCCTTGTCATGCAGCCCACAGGGGAGATGGTCAGGCCAGTGTGGGGGCTAATGAATAAATGCTACACTGTGCCCACTCAGGTGGGTAAGGGCTGGCACTCCTCTTCCCCTGGAGTGGGGCGGCTGTGCTGGCACCCTTGGCAGACACAGTAAGGGGGACTGCACCTGGAAAGGATGGGCCAGTCGGGGCAGGACTACTCATCACTCATAGTGTGGGTGTCAGGGTTGTGTCACCCCTCCCACCTCCCTCTGCAGAGACGCAAAGTCAAGAGTAGGAAGAAGCCAACCTCTGAGGTAAGGCTTCCCCTGGAAGGCCCAGGGCTGGGGCTCTCTCCTTTCAGAGCTCAGTTAGACCCAGACACACGGCAGGGAGTCCCAAGGGTAGTGGCAGGCCCCCTCCAGGAAACTCACAAGGTTACCACAGCTCAACTGAAAAGGAAGAACTTCCCAGGACTGTGACACCCCAGTGTGAGAACAGGAGGATGAGGTGCTCTGAAGGCCTTTCTGCCCAGTCTGCCCTCTTATTCCTCCTGCAGGTCACGACCCCCAGGAGACCTGGAGGACTGAATGCTGCTGCCCCCAAGGAGGAGGCTGCCGTCTTATCCCAGGAGGGAGAGCAGGTGAAGTCCCCAGGGGAGGAAGCACCTAGCCCCATTCCTGCTGAGCAGGAGGTGGCAGGTACCCCAGACTGGGAGGTAAGGACAGCCCGGGGCTTCGACTGAACGTCTCCAGCGTGGGTCCAACTGAGCAGCCATGGAGCACTGCAGAGTGGGAGGCAGCAGGGCAGGGAGGCAGTGCTGGAGGCTGGCTCAACCCCAAGACCAGCAGGCCAAGCTGCCATCCCAGGGGAGCGAGGACGTCTGTGCAGAGCTGAGAGGCAGCAGCCATGTGTGAACAGACTGGGCCTCATCCTGGCCCCACCGACTTTGTGTGGACAGAGCCTGTTTCCCTGTCTGTGCAACACAGAACCTGCCTGATCTCACTGCTGGATCCCTCTTCTTCCTGCCAGGAAAATAAAAAGGTTCAAAAGGAAGTTGCTGCGTATCCATCTGGTAAGACCACTGACCCAGCGTGCTGCAGGGGGCTGCTTCCACCCTGCTTCTCAGTGACTGCCAGGGTCACAGACACCCCAGCCCTTTCCCACCTTCCTGACCTGGGGAGGGGAGGGGAGGGAAGCAGCCCAGGAGTCAGGTGCCTTGACCTTCCTGGGAGCCTCCTTGGGTGGGCAGGAACTCTGGGCCACTCCCCTGAGCTGGCTGCATCCCTACCTTTCACCACAGCTGACCTGGCCCCGGGGCATCTCAGAGGGAGGGTTGGTTGCTCCCAGGAGGGGACTCACAAGGCTGCCTGTTTCTACTTTGCAGAGGCCTCTGAGGACAGCAAAGAGCAAAGGCCCTGGGACCGGGTCTACGTGCCCATGACAGAGCTCTGGCTGGACTGGTTCTGAGCCTCTAACACCCCCAAGACTCAGAACCGTGAAGAAAATCTTTCCAATAAATCCAAGAGTTGCTGCTGCTATAGGCCAGGCTGCCACCTTTCGGGGCCTCCGTCTTCAGACAAACCCAGCCTGGCTTCATCCACACTCCCTGTCCCCACAGCTGCAGGAACAGCACTTCCTGCCACCGAGCCGTGTGACCACAGTGGATTGTCTCTGGAGGGGCCCAAGGGGGCCCTGGCCACCCTTCTGACTGACTCGGTGCCAGGGGACAGACCAACGTCCCTCTCGTGCTGACAGCCGGGCCGCACCCTGGCATGAGGGCATTTACAGAAATGCTGGCGGAACTGCTGCCAGGGAGGCTGTAGGGTCCTCTGGCAAAAGAGGCCTCAGGTGGCTCCTCAGAGTGTCTGTGGTTCTCTGTCCCAGGCTGTTCCCTAAGAAGGTCTGCCCAGGACTCAGGTAATCATATGCTCATTAGAAACTCTTGGGCACTGCCTGTGTGCCCAGCCCAGCCCATTATGTCGGTGAGGACAGACGTGGAGGACAGCAGTCCCTGCCCTTGGTTGGGGCTCCAGGCCAGCAAGGGCCACAGCCCCAGAAGGCAGAGCAGGAAGACAGGACTCGGGGCAGGTGAAGCAGCCTTCTCGTTGGCAGAAGGGAAACAGAAGCCCGGGGTGGGGAAGGGTGGGGAAGGGTGGGGAAGGGTGGGCCCGGGGTCACACGGGGTAATGGCAGAGCAAGGACTAGGGTCAGGGTCTCTGGCTCTCAGCTGCCCATGCCACCTCCTCCTTCTCTGCCCGCCCCAGTGCCTTATGGGTCCAAGGTTGACTCCTGTCCCTAGGGCAGGCCTGTGGGCCCTGCCTGATCCCTACTGGGAGGATGGTACCTAGGGTTGGAGCCAAACAAGTGTCCTCCTCCAGCGCCAGCCTGGCCCTGAGTGCGAACTCGTCACTGGTCAGGGGTCTGTACAGCAGCATCCCTGAGGGCCCAGAGAGGTAGCCAGTCCTGTGGTGAGGTGACGAGGCTGAGGGTGGTGGCTCAGTCCTGGGCTTCCATGGGGCCTTCCCAGGGAACGTTCTGGCACCTGCCGACTGAGCCCTGGGAGGTAGGTAGCCCTGGCATATAGCTCCCTGACGCCATGATTTGTCTTCCGTTTTGGGGTGTCATATATGAAGGGAGGTGACTGTTGTGATGGTGCTGGCAGGACTGCTGTCCCTGATGTGGGGTGGGCTGAGTTAGGCCTGAAATATGGGCCTCCAGGCTGAGTCCTGCCCTCTCCACCACATCCAGGGCTGACTGACACCTCTAGTCAGCCCATTCTGGCCCCTTCCCCACATGCCAGGACAATGTAGTCCTTGTCACCAATCTGGGCAGTCAGAGTTGGGTCAGTGGGGGACATGGGATTATGGGCAAGGGTAACTGACATCTGCTCAGCCTCAACGTACCCCTGTCTCAAATGCGGCCAGGCGGTGGGGTAAGCAGGAATGAGGCAGGGGTGGGGTTGCCCTGAGGAGGATGATCCCAACGAGGGCGTGAGCAGGGGACCCGAGTTGGAACTACCACATTGCTTTATTGTACATTAGAGCCTCTGGCTAGGGAGCAGGCTGGGGACTAGGTACCCCATTCTAGCGGGGCACAGCACAAAGCTCATAGGGGGATGGGCTCACCAGGAAAGCAAAGACACCATGGTGGCTGGGCCGGGGCTGTCCAGTGGGCACCGAGAAGCTGAAGTGCTGCAGCAGGGAGGTGAAGAAGAGGAAGAGCTCCATGCGGGCCAGGGGCTCCCCGAGGCATGCACGGCGGCCTGTGGGGAGGGGAGGGGCGTCAGTGAGCCTGGCTCCTGGGTGATACCCCTGCAAGACTCCACGGAAGGGGACAGGGAGCCGGGCTCCCCACAGGCACCTGCTGAGAAAGGCAGGAAGGCCTCCGGCTTCACAAAGTGGCCCTGGGCATCCAGGAAGTGTTCGGGGTGGAAGCGGAAGGGCTTCTCCCAGACGGCCTCATCCTTCAGCACCGATGACAGGTTGGTGATGAGTGTCGTTCCCTGGGCAGGAGATGCAGGGTGAGAGTGGGGACTGGACTCTAGGATGCTGGGACCCCTGCCACCAAACACACGGGGGACACACACTGCCTGGCACACAGCTGGACTCTGTCAACTAGTCCTGCGCCCGAGAAGCTCCACAGTACCCTCTCCGACCCCACAGCAGGGCGCAGTCACACCTCTCAGAGGCACCCACACTGCCCCCTCTCCCTGCAGGCGTTGGGTCCTCCAACATTCTGGCAGGTCCTGGTTTGTCTCCCCACTAGACGGGGGCTCTGGATGGACAGGCCAGCCCTGCCTATACTCTGGACCCCCCACCCAAGTGGGGACAGTCAGTGTGGTGGCATTGAGGACTAGGTGGCCAGGGTTCCTAGAGTGGGCCCACCTGGCAGTAGCCATGCTGGGGCTATCACCAGGTGCTGGTGCTGAGCTGGGGTGAGGAGGGCGCCAGGCCTACCTTAGGGATGCGGAAGCCCTGTACTTCGATGTCACGGGATGTCATATGGGTCACACCCAGGGGGACGATGTCCCCAAAGCGCTGCACCTCATGAATCACGGCAGTGGTGTAGGGCATGTGAGCCTGGTCACCCATCTCTGGTCGCCGCACCTGCCCTATCACGTCGTCGATCTCCTGTTGGACACGGCCTGGACAGACATGCGTCCCCACAATGGGTCAGCACCCAGGGGGTCCGGCCCTGACACTCCTTCTTGCCTCCTATGTTGGAGGAGGTCAGGCTTACAGGATCCTGGTCAAGCCTGTGCTTGGAGCCCCGGGTGTCCCAGCAAAGTTCATGGGCCCCCGCCTGTACCCTTCCTCCCTCGGCCCCTGCACTGTTTCCCAGATGGGCTCACGCTGCACATCCGGATGTAGGATCATGAGCAGGAGGCCCCAGGCCAGCGTGGTCGAGGTGGTCACCATCCCGGCAGAGAACAGGTCAGCCACCACTATGCGCAGGTTCTCATCATTGAAGCTGCTCTCAGGGTTCCCCTTGGCCTGAGCAGGGCCGAGAGCATACTCGGGACAGAACGGGGTAGCCCCCAAATGACCTCCAATTCTGCACCTGTCAGCCCAGATGCGGCTCGCCGGGTGATGCACTGGTCCAACCTTTTGCCCAGCCTCCCCTCATTCCTCCTGGGACGCTCAACCCACCACCCTTGCCCCCCACCGTGGCAGCCACTCTCACCTTCTCCATCTCTGCCAGGAAGGCCTCAGTCAGGTCTCGGGGGGGCTGGGCTGGGTCCCAGGTCATCCTGTGCTCAGTTAGCAGCTCATCCAGCTGGGTCAGGAAAGCCTTTTGGAAGCGTAGGACCTTGCCAGCCAGCGCTGGGATATGCAGGAGGACGGGGACAGCATTCAGCACCTACACCAGACAGAACGGGGTCTCAATCCCTCCTGTGCTCTGCGTTCACCTGGACAAGTCTCAGGCCCCAGCCATCTCCAGGTAGACCCAGGGCCTGCCTGTCCTTACCACTGACCTCACCAAGTCCCTCCCCAAGTGCCAGCCTCCACCCTCTCTCCTTGCCCAGAGGAGAAACCTAAAATCGAAATCTCTGACGTGGATAGGAGGTACAGAGTCCTTGGCCTCTCCTGGTGCCCCCTGACCCGGGCACACCTCTCCCACGACCATGTCTGAGATGTCCCCTCCTCCTCCAGGCCCTTCTTACAGTGGGGTCTCCTGGAATGTCCTTTCCCAAACCCATCTATGCAAATCCTGCTCTTCCGAGGCCCCAGTCCAGCCCCGGCACCTCTCGGGAGCTCGCCCTGCAGAGACTCCTCGGTCTCTCGCTCCGCACCTCGCGCAGAAAGCCCGACTCCTCCTTCAGTCCCTCCTGAGCTAGGTCCAGCAGCCTGAGGAAGCGAGGGTCGTCGTACTCGAAGCGGCGCCCGCAGGTGAGGGAGGCGATCACGTTGCTCACGGCTTTGTCCAAGAGACCGTTGGGGCGAAAGGGGCGTCCTGGGGGTGGGAGATGCGGGTAAGGGGTCGCCTTCCCCGTCCCCCGCCTTCCCAGTTCCCGCTTTGTGCCCTTCTGCCCATCACCCACCGGAGTGGTTGGCGAAGGCGGCACAAAGGCAGGCGGCCTCCTCGGTCACCCACTGCTCCAGCGACTTCTTGCCCAGGCCCAAGTTGCGCAAGGTGGACACGGAGAAGCGCCTCTGCTCGCGCCACGCGGGCCCATAGCGCGCCAGGAACACCCCTGGGGGTGGGACGGGCACGTGCGCGTGGCCATGAAGGCATTAGCCCCACCATCCACCACCCACTCCAACCCTATGCTCCCCCTGGTCTCCCGCAGTCCCTGGCTCTGTCCAGCTGGTCACAGGGCCCACTCTTTGTGCATCCACCTTGCTCCCTTGGCTGGGGCAGGGCTTTGCCCCACCTCGTCTCTGCCCACCCTGACCGCCTTTGCACTCAGGGAAGACCCCGCGGGCCCCGCGCCACCCACACTGAGCTTACAGCACAGGTGCGGTCCCCGCCCCCCACTTCGACACCGGATTCCAGCTGGGAAATGCGCCAGCCTCACCCATTGGGCTCCTGCCAGGTCTCGGCAGTGGCCCCGCCCACTCGTCACAAGCCCCGCCCTCGTCCCCATGCTCACACCTCCCTAGTGCAGGTGGTTTCTTGGCCCGCTGTCCCCACTCGCTGGCCTGTTTCATGTCCACGACCCCGCGCCCTCTCTGCCCAGCTCGGACTACGGTCATCACCCACCCGGGTCCCACGGAAATCTGTCTCTGTCCCCACCGCTGCTTGCCTTGGGAACGCGGCCCGAAACCCAGGATCTGGGTGATGGGCACAGGCGGGCGGTCGGCGGTGTCCTCGCCGTGGGTCACCAGCGCCTCGCGCACGGCCGCCAGCCCATTGAGCACGACCACCGGCGTCCAGGCCAGCTGCAGGCTGAACACGTCCCCGAAGCGGCGCCGCAACTGCAGAGGGAGGGTCAGGGCCTCTTGTCAAGCCAGGATCACCCCAGACTACAGGTCCTAGTCCTATTTGAACCTTGGACGACCCCCGGGGCTACCAGGAGTGAGCAGGTGGAAGGAGGAGACCCAGCCTCCTGATCGTGGGGCGGGGGTGGGGGTCACACCTTCTGTGATGGAGGAACTCAGTTTGGATGCGTCACCCAGGTATGACCTTGCAAGAGTCACCAAAATTGCCGAGAGGCCCCAGTTAGCATCCCATTCCCAGATGATGGTCCATGCCGGTGAGCAGTGAGGCCCGAGGACCCACAGTGCAAAAGGTTTGAACCGGGTCACTGCACCCCCTTCATCCTCGATTTCGTGATTTAAACGGCACTCAGGACTAACTCATCTTCCATTCCCAAGGCCTTTCCTTCTGGTGTCAGCAGAAGGGACTTTGTACTCCATAACATATGTTGCCCAATGGGCTTGCATGCCCACTGCCAAGTCCAGCTCCACCTCCAGGCCCTTGCCCTACTCTTCCTTGGCCTTTGGAAAATCCAGTCCTTCATGCCATGTATAAATGCCCTTCTCCAGGACGTCCCCCAAACCTGCTTCCCCTTCTCAGCCTGGCTTCTGGTCCAGCCTGTGGTTTCACCCACCATCCATGTTTGCTTCTGGTAGGGGAGCCTCAGCACCTCTGCCGCCCTCCAGGACCTCCTCCCTCACCTGGTCGAAGCAGTATGGTGTGTTCTGGAAGTCCACATGCAGCAGGTTGCCCAGCCCGGGCAGTGGCAGGGGGCCTGGTGGGTAGCGTGCAGCCCAGCGTTGGCGCCGGTGCATCAGGTCCACCAGGAGCAGGAAGATGGCCACTATCACGGCCAGGGGCACCAGTGCTTCTAGCCCCATACCTGCCTCACTACCAAATGGGCTCCTCTGGACACACCTGGCACCCCCACCCCACCAGGCACAGAGGACCAGGCAGGACACTCTCAGCACACCGAGCGCGTGACCCTTCCCTTATAAAGGGAGCTGATGATGGCCTTTGCCCTCTGCTGTGAGTGAACCTGCTGTGTTGACTGTGCTGCCAGTGGCAGAGTCAGGCCAGGGCGGGTATGGGCTGCTCCAGAGGTTCTTGCCCCTGCTTCCTGCTCCAGGCCCTTACCCAGGGTAGGCCGGTGGAGGGGCCTGGTCGGAGAAGTCACCCCCTCTCCCCACTCCAAGCTCCTGAAGCCTGCAAAGCCTTCTGGGATAACCAGGGTTTCAGTGGACCCGGCCATCCACCTCCCAGCTAGGCTCATACACCCTAATGTAGTCACAACCCCTCCTCCAGAACATGGCCTTGCCCTTTCCCTACCCCCACCTGCCCACTCCAGAGTGACCTTCAGCACCCTTATCTGTCACTGGCACTTACCTGGGGCCTTAGAGCTCCTGATGATGAGTGGCATCATGGGCCTGGTCCCTTCACTTCACCTTGCACTCTTGACATGCACAGACGCTATGCACACACCTGATGGTGCACAGATCTCTTGTCCACTCCCAGACACTTGTCCACTTGTTCACACTTGCAGGGACACGATTACACACGCAGAAAATCACCCACACAAAGACAATATTCACACATACACAGACTCACACTGACACTTAGGGCACACATTCTCTCTCACACACACCAGTCACACACACATACAGACCCGGCACCAAGTACCCCACTTCCCAGCCATGCCGGAGGTTTCCTGGATGGGACCACTCCTGTCCAGAGGCTGCTCCCAGCCCAGCCCACATTCCTGGGCTCTGGCCGGGCTATGGCTTCTTGTTTGCAACAGGGCTGTTCCCAGAGCTCCCAGTTGGTAGCCGGAAGGCCCTTGCCCCAGCCTGTGACAACATCCTCCCGGGCTGCCTGAGGGTCGTCCTCCTCCACTGCTTTCTGGCCTCCATGTTTCTGATTAGAAATCTGGTGGGAACGTTATGGAGGATCCTTTGTTCAGGATATGTTGCTTTATTTTTTTTTTCTTTAGACAGGGTCTCACTCTGTTGCCCAGGCCGGAGTGCAGTGGCAGGATCATGGCTCACTGCAGTCTCGACATCAAGTGGACCCCCTGCCTCCCAAGTAGCTGGGACTACAGGCACCACCCAGCCTAATTCTTTTTTTTTTTTTTTTTTTTTTGGAGACGGAGATTTCCTCTTGTTGCCCAGGCTGGTGGCTCCCCTCCATTGTGCAATGATGCAATCTCGGCTCACTACAACCTTCACCTCTAGGCTTCAAGCAATTCTCCTGCCTCAGCCTCCTAAGTAGCTGGGATTACAGGTGTGTGCCACCACGTCTAGCTTTTTGTATTTTCAGTAGAGATAGGGTTTCACCATGTTGGCCAGGCTAGTCTTGAACTCCTGACTTCAGGTGATCCACCCACCTCAGGCTCCCAAAGTGCTGGGATTATAGGCATGAGCCACCGCACCCAATCCCAGCTAATTTTGTATTTTTTGTAGAGACCGGGTTCTTCCAAGTTGTCCAGGCTGGTCTTGAATTCCTGGGGTGAAGCGATCCTCCCACCTGGGCCTCCCAAAGTGCTGGGATTACAGGCCTGAGCCACTGTGACTACCTGATACGTCTCTTCTCTCTTGCTGCTTTCAAAATCCTGTCTTTTGTGGGAGGGCAGCTGCCGAGCTCTGGACTTCTACGGGATCATCCACTGAGGACAGGAGGACCGGGCCCTCTACAGGTGGATTGTATGGCAGCTGCCATGCTTGGAGCCAGTGCTCACCGAGCACGTGGCGGCTGTGGAGCTGGACGCGGGGTTGATAAGTCCGCTGGGGGTGACGGGCTCATCCATGAGTGGTACTTGATGTGGCTGCAGAAGGCGGATGTGGTGGTGGCAGAAGTGACACAACTGTCCCTGGGTATAGGCTATGATCTGTGCCAGGCCACAGCCCTCAATAAGTGAATCCTGTGCCTGCTCCAGCCGCAGTCTGGTGGAGTGCTGTCGGCCATGATCTGGGAAGAGGCAGATGGCTCTGGGTTCCAGGTGTGGGACTACGGAGAGGGACAGGTGGAGGCCCTGCTGCATGGATAGGTTGAGGCTGATCCTCCCGAGCAGGTTGCCTCCCCTAACCCAACCATTGGACCTAATCCCATTTTATTAAATTCTTCTCATCCCAGACACTGCTCTAGTACCAGTCCTGGCTCTTTGCCCCAGGAGCAAATTAAAAGGTACATTTAAAATTCTAAAAAAAGAAAAATCTGTCTTTTGACAGTGATTATGATGATGCGTATGGCTGAAGATCTCTTTGAGTTTACCCTACTTGGAGTTTGATGAGCTTTTTGGATGTACAGATTAATATTTTTCATCAGATTTGGGAGGTTTTTCAGCCATTAATTCTTCAACTATTCCTTTACTCCTTTCTCCCTGTCTTCTTTCCTGGGACTCCCATTGCGTGTATGTCGGAAAGCTTGACGGCGTCTCCAGGTCTCTGGATCTCTGTGCATTGCTCTTCATGCTTGTTCCTGTTCCTCAGAGGGTACTACCTCAGGTGGCCTCTCTCCATAGTCACAGGCTCTTTCTTCCAATTGTTCCAATCTGCTCTTGGGCCCCTGGGATGAATTTTCATTTATTTTACCCTACAACTCCAGAATTTTTATTTGGTTCCTTTTTAAACTTTTTTTTTGTTTTTTGTTTTGTTTTGTTTTTTGGAGTATCGCTCTGTCACCCAGGCTGTAGTGCAGTGGTGCAATCTCGGCTCACTGCAATCTCTGCCTCTCGGGTTCAAGCGATTCTCCTGCCTCAGCCTCCCGAGTAGCTGGGATTACAGGCACGTGCCACCACGCCCGGCTAATTTTTGTATTTTAAGTAGAGACGGGGTTTCACCATGTTGGCCAGGCTGGTCTCAATCTCTTGACCTCATGATATGCCCGCCTCAGCCTCCCAAAGTGCTGGGATTATAGGCATGAGCCACCATGCCCAGCCCCTTTTTATAAGGTTCATCCCATTATTGATATTCTCTAATTGGTGAGACATTGTTCCCACACTTTCGTTAGTTCTTTTGACATGGTTCTTTTCTTTTTCTTGGGAGAGGGTCTCTCTGTCGCCCAAGCTGGAGTGCAGTGATGCAGTCATGGCTCACTGCAGCCTCAACTTCCTGGGCTGAAGTGATCCTCCTACCTCAGCATCCTGAGAGGCTGGGACCATAGGCAGCCAGCTAATTTTTTAAATTTTTTTGTAGAGATGGGGGTCTCACCACATTTCCCAAGCTGCTCTCAAACTCCTGGGCTCAAGCAATCCACGGGCCTCAGCTTCCCAGAGTGCTAGGATTATAGGTGTGAGCCACTGCACCAGGCCTACACGTGGTTTCTCCCTTTGAAGTACTAGCCAGGCCTGACCATGCTTAGCTTCCGAGATCAGCAGGTTCCAGCCGGTGCAGCCTCAGATGCAGCATGTTTTAGGTCTTTGAACATATTTAAATGAGCTGACTGAACGTCTTTGTCTAGCAATTGCAGCATCGGGCTGGTCCCATTGGTGACTTTTCCCGTGTCTGGGTCGTCCTTTCGGTTTCCTTTCCATGTCTCATAATTTGTTAAAACCTGGACATTTCACGGGCGATAATGTGGCAACTCCGGAAGTCAGATTCTCTTCCCTGCCAAGGATGTGTTGTTGTTGTTGCCTGTTGGAGCTGTTTCTTTGCTGGGTGACTTTTCTGAACTAATTCTGACTAAGCATTAATGTCTCCATTCCCTGCGAGCTGTGGCCACTGAAGCCGCTCTTCAGTTACGGCAGTGGTCAGCTAATGACTGGTCAGAGAGTTCCTTAGGTGCCTGGAAGCGAAGTCTTTGCCGAGTGGGTCTCTCTCTGTGTGCCGGGCGTGGCTTCAGTGCTCGGCTAGGCAGTGCTCAACTTTCCCTTAGCCGTCACCTGCTGTCTGCACAGCACCTCAGGTCAGTCACGTGTGAGGGCTCAGGGCCTTGCCGGCCTTCCTGAATATGGGCACAGCTGCAGACAGCCTTACCCACGTGCAGGGCACCTAGATTCCCAAGAAGGGGCAAGAGCTGTTCAAAACCACTACAAGCTGGACATGGTGGCTCACACCTGTAGTGTCAGTGACTCAGAAGGCTGTAATGGGAGGATGACTTGAGGCCAGGAGTTTGAGACCTAGCAAGACCCCATCCCCCACCCAAAAAAACAAAAACAACAAAAACTCACTGTGGACCGCTCATGCCCCAGCTGCTGCTTTTTAACCCCAGCTGTTATCCATCACCACAGGCAGCTTCGATTTTCAATCATGGATCTGATGACTTTCAACAAACTTTCCTGAGGAAAGTGCTGTTCTCACCAGAAGAGATCTCAGGACAAATGTAGACAGCCCTGGCAAGTGGGGTCTCCCTGGGAGCTAGCAGACAGGTGAAAGACTGACAGTTCTTGGGGAATTAGGCTTTTCTTTTGTTTTGGAGATGGCGTTTCATACTTATCACCCAGACTGGAGTGCAATGGTGTGATCTCGGCTCACTGCAACCTCTGCCTCCCAGGTTCAAGCAATTCTCCTGCCTCAGCCTCCTGAGTAGCTGGGATTACAGGCACCCACCACCACGCCCAGCTAATTTTTTGTATTTTTAGTAGAGACGGGGTTTCACCATGTTGGCCAGGCTGGTCTCGAACATCTGACCTCAGGTGATCCACCCATCTCGGCCTCCCAAAGTGCTGG
Source organism: Homo sapiens (assembly GCF_000001405.40). Classification (NCBI taxonomy): domain Eukaryota; kingdom Metazoa; phylum Chordata; class Mammalia; order Primates; family Hominidae; genus Homo; species Homo sapiens. Next base: position 42,135,574 of record NC_000022.11, read on the forward strand.
GATTACAGGCGTGAGCCACCCTGCCCAGCCCAATTATAGATTTTTTAGGTTTAGGTGTTGACAGTAGCTCTCACCTCAGCCTGTTCTCTCTCCTTGTCATGCAGCCCACAGGGGAGATGGTCAGGCCAGTGTGGGGGCTAATGAATAAATGCTACACTGTGCCCACTCAGGTGGGTAAGGGCTGGCACTCCTCTTCCCCTGGAGTGGGGCGGCTGTGCTGGCACCCTTGGCAGACACAGTAAGGGGGACTGCACCTGGAAAGGATGGGCCAGTCGGGGCAGGACTACTCATCACTCATAGTGTGGGTGTCAGGGTTGTGTCACCCCTCCCACCTCCCTCTGCAGAGACGCAAAGTCAAGAGTAGGAAGAAGCCAACCTCTGAGGTAAGGCTTCCCCTGGAAGGCCCAGGGCTGGGGCTCTCTCCTTTCAGAGCTCAGTTAGACCCAGACACACGGCAGGGAGTCCCAAGGGTAGTGGCAGGCCCCCTCCAGGAAACTCACAAGGTTACCACAGCTCAACTGAAAAGGAAGAACTTCCCAGGACTGTGACACCCCAGTGTGAGAACAGGAGGATGAGGTGCTCTGAAGGCCTTTCTGCCCAGTCTGCCCTCTTATTCCTCCTGCAGGTCACGACCCCCAGGAGACCTGGAGGACTGAATGCTGCTGCCCCCAAGGAGGAGGCTGCCGTCTTATCCCAGGAGGGAGAGCAGGTGAAGTCCCCAGGGGAGGAAGCACCTAGCCCCATTCCTGCTGAGCAGGAGGTGGCAGGTACCCCAGACTGGGAGGTAAGGACAGCCCGGGGCTTCGACTGAACGTCTCCAGCGTGGGTCCAACTGAGCAGCCATGGAGCACTGCAGAGTGGGAGGCAGCAGGGCAGGGAGGCAGTGCTGGAGGCTGGCTCAACCCCAAGACCAGCAGGCCAAGCTGCCATCCCAGGGGAGCGAGGACGTCTGTGCAGAGCTGAGAGGCAGCAGCCATGTGTGAACAGACTGGGCCTCATCCTGGCCCCACCGACTTTGTGTGGACAGAGCCTGTTTCCCTGTCTGTGCAACACAGAACCTGCCTGATCTCACTGCTGGATCCCTCTTCTTCCTGCCAGGAAAATAAAAAGGTTCAAAAGGAAGTTGCTGCGTATCCATCTGGTAAGACCACTGACCCAGCGTGCTGCAGGGGGCTGCTTCCACCCTGCTTCTCAGTGACTGCCAGGGTCACAGACACCCCAGCCCTTTCCCACCTTCCTGACCTGGGGAGGGGAGGGGAGGGAAGCAGCCCAGGAGTCAGGTGCCTTGACCTTCCTGGGAGCCTCCTTGGGTGGGCAGGAACTCTGGGCCACTCCCCTGAGCTGGCTGCATCCCTACCTTTCACCACAGCTGACCTGGCCCCGGGGCATCTCAGAGGGAGGGTTGGTTGCTCCCAGGAGGGGACTCACAAGGCTGCCTGTTTCTACTTTGCAGAGGCCTCTGAGGACAGCAAAGAGCAAAGGCCCTGGGACCGGGTCTACGTGCCCATGACAGAGCTCTGGCTGGACTGGTTCTGAGCCTCTAACACCCCCAAGACTCAGAACCGTGAAGAAAATCTTTCCAATAAATCCAAGAGTTGCTGCTGCTATAGGCCAGGCTGCCACCTTTCGGGGCCTCCGTCTTCAGACAAACCCAGCCTGGCTTCATCCACACTCCCTGTCCCCACAGCTGCAGGAACAGCACTTCCTGCCACCGAGCCGTGTGACCACAGTGGATTGTCTCTGGAGGGGCCCAAGGGGGCCCTGGCCACCCTTCTGACTGACTCGGTGCCAGGGGACAGACCAACGTCCCTCTCGTGCTGACAGCCGGGCCGCACCCTGGCATGAGGGCATTTACAGAAATGCTGGCGGAACTGCTGCCAGGGAGGCTGTAGGGTCCTCTGGCAAAAGAGGCCTCAGGTGGCTCCTCAGAGTGTCTGTGGTTCTCTGTCCCAGGCTGTTCCCTAAGAAGGTCTGCCCAGGACTCAGGTAATCATATGCTCATTAGAAACTCTTGGGCACTGCCTGTGTGCCCAGCCCAGCCCATTATGTCGGTGAGGACAGACGTGGAGGACAGCAGTCCCTGCCCTTGGTTGGGGCTCCAGGCCAGCAAGGGCCACAGCCCCAGAAGGCAGAGCAGGAAGACAGGACTCGGGGCAGGTGAAGCAGCCTTCTCGTTGGCAGAAGGGAAACAGAAGCCCGGGGTGGGGAAGGGTGGGGAAGGGTGGGGAAGGGTGGGCCCGGGGTCACACGGGGTAATGGCAGAGCAAGGACTAGGGTCAGGGTCTCTGGCTCTCAGCTGCCCATGCCACCTCCTCCTTCTCTGCCCGCCCCAGTGCCTTATGGGTCCAAGGTTGACTCCTGTCCCTAGGGCAGGCCTGTGGGCCCTGCCTGATCCCTACTGGGAGGATGGTACCTAGGGTTGGAGCCAAACAAGTGTCCTCCTCCAGCGCCAGCCTGGCCCTGAGTGCGAACTCGTCACTGGTCAGGGGTCCAGACAGCAGCATCCCTGAGGGCCCAGAGAGGTGGCCAGTCCTGTGGTGAGGTTGAGAGGTGTCAACGTGCTGGTGGTCCTCGCTCGCTCTCAGCGCCTCCTCGGCCTCAGCTTCTGCTCTGACCACACTTGAGGAGCCCTTCAGCCCAGCGCTGCACTGTGGGAGCCCCTCTCTGGACTGGTGGAGGCTGGAGCCGGCTCCGTCTGCTTGCGGGGAGGTATGGAGGGAGAGGCGTGTGCGGGAACCTGGGTTGCTCGCGGGCCAGCACCAGTTCTGGGTGGGCAGGGGCTCAGCGGGCCCTGCACTCGGAGCGGCCGGCTGGTGCCTCTGGCCCCAGGCAGTGAGGGGCTTAGCACCTGGGCCAGCAGCTGCAGAGGGGGCACCGGGTCCCCCAGTACTGCTGGCCTGCCGGCGCTCACCACACTTGAATTGTCGCCAGGCCTCAGTCACCTCCCCGCGGGGCAGGGCTCAGGACTTGCAGCCTGCCATGCCCAAGCCTCCCTACGGTGGGCTCCCTGCGAGGCCCGAGCCTCCCGGATGGGTGCCTCCCACTGCTCCACGGCACCTGGTCCCGTCCACTGCCCAAGGGCTGAGGAGTACAGGTGCCCGGTGTGGGACTAGCAGGCAGCTCTGCCTGTGGCCCTGGCATAGGATCCACTAGGCGAAGCTGGCTGGGCTCCTGAGTCAGGTGGGGACTTGGAGAACTTTTATGTCTAGCCAGAGGATTGTATATGCACCAATCAGCACTCTGTGTCTAGCTCCGGGTTCGTGCATGCACCAATTAGCACTCTATCTAGCTAATCTGGTGGGGACTTGGGGAACCTTTATTTCTAGCTAAAAGATTGTAAATACACCAATCAGCACTCTGTGTCTAGCTCAAGGTTTGTAAACACACCAGTCAGCACCCTGTGTCTAACTCAAGGTTTGTAAACGCACCAATCAGTGCTCTCTGTCTACTCTATCTAGCTAATCTAGTGGGGACTGGGACAACCTTTATGTCTAGCTAAGGGATTGTAAATACACCATTCAGCACTCTGTGTCTAGCTCAAGGTTTGTAAATATACCAATCAGTACTCTGTGTCTAGCTCAGGGATTGTAAATGCACCAATCAGCTCTCTGTAAGTGGACCAATCCACTGTCTGTAAAATGGGCCAATCAGCAGGATGTGGGTGGGGGTCAGATAAGGGAATAAAAGCAGGCTGCCTGAAGTAGCAGCGGCAACCTGGTTGCCATCATTCTTTTGCTGTTTGCAGTAAGTCTTGCTGCTGCTGCTCCCTCATTGGGTCCACACTGCCTTTATGAGTTGTAACACTGGAAGGACTGCAGTTTCACTCCTGAGGCCAGTGAGACCACAAACCCACCAGGAAGAATGAACAACTCCGTACGTGCAGCCTTAAGAGCCGTAACACTCACTGTGAAGGTCTGCAGCTTCACTCCTGAAGCCAGCAAGACCACGCACCCACCAGAAGGAAGAAACTCTGAACACGTCTTAACATCAGAAGGAACAAACTCTGAACACACCATCTTTAAGAACTGTAACACTCACCGTGAGGGTCCACGGCTTCATTCTTGAAGTCAGTGAGACCAAGAACCCACCAATTTTGGACACAAGGTGACAGGCTGAGGGCGGTGGCTCGGTCCTGGGTTTTCCTGGGGCCTTCCCAGGGAATGTTCTGGCACCTGCCGACTGAGCCCTGGGAGGTAGCCCTGGCATATAGCTCCCTGACATGATTTGTCTTCCATTTTGGGGTGTCATATATGAAGGGAGGTGACTGTTGTGATGGTGCTGGCAGGACTGCTGTCCCTGATGTGGGGTGGGCTGAGTTAGGCCTGAAATATGGGCCTCCAGGCTGAGTCCTGCCCTCTCCACCACATCCAGGGCTGACTGACACCTCTAGTCAGCCCATTCTGGCCCCTTCCCCACATGCCAGGACAATGTAGTCCTTGTCACCAATCTGGGCAGTCAGAGTTGGGTCAGTGGGGGACATGGGATTATGGGCAAGGGTAACTGACATCTGCTCAGCCTCAACGTACCCGTCTCAAATGCGGCCAGGCGGTGGGGTAAGCAGGAATGAGGCAGGGGTGGGGTTGCCCTGAGGAGGATGATCCCAACGAGGGCGTGAGCAGGGGACCCAAGTTGGAACTACCACATTGCTTTATTGTACATTAGAGCCTCTGGCTAGGGAGCAGGCTGGGGACTAGGTACCCCATTCTAGCGGGGCACAGCACAAAGCTCGTAGGGGGATGGGGTCACCAGAAAGCTGACGACACGAGAGTGGCTGGGCCGGGGCTGTCCGGCGGCCACGGAGAAGCTGAAGTGCTGCAGCAGGGAGGTGAAGAAGAGGAAGAGCTCCATGCGGGCCAGGGGCTCCCCGAGGCATGCACGGCGGCCTGTGGGGAGGGGAGGGGCGTCAGTGAGCCTGGCTCCTGGGTGATACCCCTGCAAGACTCCACGGAAGGGGACAGGGAGCCGGGCTCCCCACAGGCACCTGCTGAGAAAGGCAGGAAGGCCTCCGGCTTCACAAAGTGGCCCTGGGCATCCAGGAAGTGTTCGGGGTGGAAGCGGAAGGGCTTCTTCCAGACGGCCTCATCCTTCAGCACCGATGACAGGTTGGTGATGAGTGTCGTTCCCTGGGCAGGAGATGCAGGGTGAGAGTGGGGACTGGACTCTAGGATGCTGGGACCCCTGCCACCAAACACACGGGGGACACACACTGCCTGGCACACAGCTGGACTCTGTCAACTAGTCCTGCGCCCGAGAAGCTCCACAGTACCCTCTCCGACCCCACAGCAGGGCGCAGTCACACCTCTCAGAGGCACCCACACTGCCCCCTCTCCCTGCAGGCGCTGGGTCCTCCAACATTCTGGCAGGTCCTGATTTGTCTTCCCCACTAGACGGGGGCTCTGGATGGACAGGCCAGCCCTGCCTATACTCTGGACCCCCCATCCAAGCGGGGACAGTCAGTGTGGTGGCATTGAGGACTAGGTGGCCAGGGTTCCTAGAGTGGGCCCACCTGGCAGTAGCCATGCTGGGGCTATCACCAGGGGCTGGTGCTGAGCTGGGGTGAGGAGGGCGCCAGGCCTACCTTAGGGATGCGGAAGCCCTGTACTTCGATGTCACGGGATGTCATATGGGTCACACCCAGGGGGACGATGTCCCCAAAGTGCTGCACCTCGTGAATCACGGCAGTGGTGCAGGGCATGTGAGCCTGGTCACCCATCTCTGGTCGCCGCACCTGCCCTATCACGTCGTCGATCTCCTGTTGGACACGGACTGGACAGACATGCGTCCCCACAATGGGTCAGCACCCAGGGGACACTCTCCTTCCTCCTGTGTTGGAGGAAGTTAGGCTTACAGGAGCCTGGCCACGCCTGTGCTGGAAGCCCCGGGTGTCCCAGCTAAGCCCAGGGGCCCCCAGCTGTACCCTTCCTCCCTCAGTCCCTGCCTTGGGCCCCAGCTGGGCTCACGCTGCACATCCAGGTGTAGGATCATGAGCAGGAGGCCCCAGGCCAGCGTGGTCGAGGTGGTCACCATCCCGGCAAGGAACAGGTTACCCACCACTATGCGCAGGTTCTCATCATTGAAGCTGCTCTCAGGGCTCCCCTTGGCCTGAGCAGGGCCGAGAGGATACTCAGGGGATAGAACGGGGTAGCCCCCAAATGACCTCCAATTCTGCACCTGTCAGCCCAGATGCGGCTCGCCGGGTGATGCACTGGTCCAACCTTTTGCCCAGCCTCCCCTCATTCCTCCTGGGACGTTCAACCCACCACCCTTGCCCCCCACCGTGGCAGCCACTCTCACCTTCTCCTTCTTTGCCAGGAAGGCCTCAGTCAGGTCTCGGGGTGGCTGGGCTGGGTCCCAGGTCATCCTGTGCTCAGTTAGCAGCTCATCCAGCTGGGTCAGGAAAGCCTTTTGGAAGCGTAGGACCTTGCCAGCCAGCGCTGGGATGTGCGGGAGGACGGGGACAGCATTCAGCACCTACACCAGACAGAACGGGGTCTCAATCCCTCCTGTGCTCTGCGTTCACCTGGACCAGTCTCAGGCCCCAGCCATCTCCAGGAAGACCCAGGGCCTGCCTGTCCTTACCACTGACCTCACCAAGTCCCTCCCCAAGTGCCAGCCTCCACCCTCTCTCTCCTTGCCCAGAGGAGAAACCTAAAATCGAAATCTCCAACGTGGACGGGGGTACAGAGTCCTTGGCCTCTCCTGGTGCCCCCTGACCCGGGCACACCTCTCCCACGACCATGTCTGAGATGTCCCCTCCTCCTCCAGGCCCTTCTTACAGTGGGGTCTCCTGGAATGTCCTTTCCCAAACCCATCTATGCAAATCCTGCCCTTCGGAGGCCCCAGTCCAGCCCCGGCACCTCTCAGGAGCTCGCCCTGCAGAGACTCCTCGGTCTCTCGCTCCGCACCTCGCGCAGGAAGCCCGACTCCTCCTTCAGTCCCTCCTGAGCTAGGTCCAGCAGCCTGAGGAAGCGAGGGTCGTCGTACTCGAAGCGGCGCCCGCAGGTGAGGGAGGCGATCACGTTGCTCACGGCTTTGTCCAAGAGGCCGTTGGGGCGAAAGGGGCGTCCTGGGGGTGGGAGATGCGGGTAAGGGGTTGCCTTCTCCGTCCCCCGCCTTCCCAGTTCCCGCTTTGTGCCCTTCTGCCCATCACCCACCGGCTTGGTCGGCGAAGGCGGCACAAAGGCAGGCGGCCTCCTCGGTCACCCACTGCTCCAGCGACTTCTTGCCCAGGCCCAAGTTGCGCAAGGTGGACACGGAGAAGCGCCTCTGCTCGCGCCACGCGGGCCCATAGCGCGACAGGATCACCCCTGGGGGCGGGACGGGCACGTGGGCGTTGCCATGAAGGCCTTGGCCCCACCCTCCGCCACCCACTCCAACCCTGGCGCTCCACAAGGTCTCCCGCAGTCCCTAGCCCGGTCCAGCTGGGCACAGGGCCCACTCTTTGCTCACCCACATTGCTCCCCTGCCTGGGGCGGGGTTTGGCCCCACCTCGTCTCTGCCCACCCTGACCACCTTTCCACTCAAGGAAGATCCCGCCCGTCCCGCCCACACTGAGCCCGCAGCATAGGCGCGGTCCCCGCCACCGCCACTTCGACGCATCAGCCTCGCCCACCGGGCTTCTGGCGGGTCTGGGCAGTAGCCCCGCCCCCTCCCAGCCCACAGACTCGCACCTCCCCCGTGCAGGTGGTTTCCTGGCCCACTGTCCTCAGCCCACTCGCTGGCCTTTATCTCTGTTTCACGTCCAGGACCCCACGCCCTGTCGGCGCTGCTTGGGCTACGGTCACTGTCCACCCGGGGCCCACGGAAACGCGGTCTCTGTCCCCCACCGCCGCTTGCCTTGGGAACGCGGCCCGAAGCCCAGGACCTGGTAGATGGGCGCAGGCGGGCGGTCGGCCGTGTCCTCGCCGCGGGTCACCATCGCCTCGCGCACGGCCGCCAGCCCATTGAGCACGACCACCGGCGTCCAGGCCAGCTGCAGGCTGAACACGTCCCCGAAGCGGCGCCGCAACTGCAGAGGGAGGGTCAGGGCCTCTTGTCAAGCCAGGATCACCCCAGACTACAGGTCCTAGTCCTATTTGAACCTTGGACGACCCCCGGGGCTACCAGGAGTGAGCAGGTGGAAGGAGGAGACCCAGCCTCCTGATCGTGGGGCGGGGGTGGGGGTCACACCTTCTGTGATGGAGGAACTCAGTTTGGATGCGTCACCCAGGTATGACCTTGCAAGAGTCACCAAAATTGCCGAGAGGCCCCAGTTAGCATCCCATTCCCAGATGATGGTCCATGCCGGTGAGCAGTGAGGCCCGAGGACCCACAGTGCAAAAGGTTTGAACCGGGTCACTGCACCCCCTTCATCCTCGATTTCGTGATTTAAACGGCACTCAGGACTAACTCATCTTCCATTCCCAAGGCCTTTCCTTCTGGTGTCAGCAGAAGGGACTTTGTACTCCATAACATATGTTGCCCAATGGGCTTGCATGCCCACTGCCAAGTCCAGCTCCACCTCCAGGCCCTTGCCCTACTCTTCCTTGGCCTTTGGAAAATCCAGTCCTTCATGCCATGTATAAATGTCCTTCCCCAGGACGTCCCCCAAACCTGCTTCCCCTTCTCAGCCTGGCTTCTGATCCAGCCTGTGGTTTAACCCACCACCCATGTTTGCTGGTGGTGGGGCATCCTCAGGACCTCTGCCGCCCTCCAGGACCTCCTCCCTCACCTGGTCGAAGCAGTATGGTGTGTTCTGGAAGTCCACATGCAGCAAGGTTGCCCAGCCCGGGCAGTGGCAGGGGACCTGGCGGGTAGCGTGCAGCCCAGCGTTGGTGCCGGTGCATCAGGTCCACCAGGAGCAGGAAGATGGCCACTATCATGGCCAGGGGCACCAGTGCTTCTAGCCCCATGGCTGCCTCACTACCAACTGGGCTCCTCTGGACACACCTGGCACCCCCACCCCACCAGGCACAGAGGACCAGGCAGGACACTCTCGGCACACCGAGCGCGTGACCCTTCCCTTATAAAGGGAGCTGATGATGGCCTTCGCCCTCTGCTGTGAGTGAACCTGCTGTGTTGACTGTGCTGCCAGTGGCAGAGTCAGGCCAGGGCAGGTATGGGCTGCTCCAGAGGTCCTTGCCGCTGCTTCCTGCTCCAGGCCCTTACCCAGGGTAGGGTGGTAGAAAGGCCTGGTCGGAGAAGTCACCCCCTCTCCCCACTCCAAGCTCCCCAAGCCCACACAGGCTTCTGGGATAACCAGGGTCTCAGTGGACCCGGCCATCCACCTCCCAGCTAGGCTCATACACCCTAATGTAGTCACAACCCCTCCTCCAGAACATGACCTTGCCCTTTCCCTACCCCCACCTGCCCACTCCAGAGTGACCTTCAGCACCCTTATCTGTCACTGGCACTTACCTGGGGCCTTAGAGCTCCTGATGATGAGTGGCATCATGGGCCTGGTCCCTTCACTTCACCTTGCACTCTTGACATGCACAGACGCTATGCACACACCTGATGGTGCACAGATCTCTTGTCCACTCCCAGACACTTGTCCACTTGTTCACACTTGCAGGGACACGATTACACATGCAGAAAATCACCCACACAAAGACAATATTCACACATACACAGACTCACACTGACACTCAGGGCACACATTCTCTCTCACACACACCAGTCACACACACATACAGACCCGGCACCAAGTACCCCACTTCCCAGCCATGCCCGAGGTTTCCTGGATGGGACCTCTCCTGTCCAGAGGCTGCTCCCGGTGAGCCTCAAAGCTGTCACATGGATCCCAGCTCAGCCCACATTCTGGGCTCTGGCCGGGCCATGACTTCCTGTTTGCAACAGGGCTGTTCCCAGAGCTCCCAGTTGGTAGCCTGAAGGCCGTTGCCCCAGCCTGTGACAGCATCCTCCAGGGCTGCCTGAGGGTCGTCATTCTCCACTGCTTCCTGGCCTCCATGTTTCTGATTAGAAATCTGGTGGAAACATTATGGAGGATCCTTTATTTAGGATATGTTGCTTTTTTATTTTTATTTTTTCTTTAGACAGGGTCTCACTCTGTTGCCCGGGCCGGAGTGCAGTGGCAGGATCATGGCTCACTGCAATCTCAACATCAAGTGGACCTCCTGCCTCCCAAGTAGCTGGGACTACAGGCACCACCGAGCCCAAATAATTTTTTTTTTGAGACGGAGTTTTGCTCTGTCGCCCAGGTGGGAGTGCAATGATGCGATCTCGGCTCACTGCAACCTCCACCTCCAGGGTTCAAGCGATTCTCCTGCCTCAGCCTCCCAAGTAGCTGGGATTACAGGTGCCCACCACCATGCCTGGCTGATTTTTTGTACAAGAAGTTTATAGAACACCAAGCAGATTTAACCCAAAGAAGACGACCTCAAGGCATCTGATAATTAAACTCCGAAAGGTCAAGGATAAAGAAAGGATCCTAAAAGCAGCAAGAGAAAAGAAACAAATAACATGCAGTAGAGCTCCAATACATGACATGGGGCAGCCACCTTTCCAGTGGAAACCTTACAGGCCAGGGGGGAGTGGCATGACATATTTAAAGTGCTGAAGGAAAAAAAACTTTTAGCCTAGAATAACGTATCTGGCAAAAATATCCTTCCAACAGGAAGGAGAAATAAAGACCTTCCCAGACAAACAAAAGCTGCGAGATTTCATCAACACCAGACCTATATCCCACAAGAAATGCTAAAGGGAGTTTTTCAATCTGAAAAAAAAAAGGATATTAATGAGCAAGAAGAAATCATCTAAAGGTACAAAACTCACTGGTAATAGTAAGCACACAGAAAAACAGAGTATTATAATACTGTAATTGTGGTGTGTAAACTACTCTTATTTTAATTAGACTAAATGATGAACCAATCAAAAATAATAAGTACTTTTCAAGACAGACAGTACAGTAAGACATAAAGAGGCCGGACCCGGTGGCTCACGCAGGTAATCCCAGCACTTTGTAAGGCTGAGGTGGGTGGATCACCTGAGGGCAGGAGTTCGAGACAAGCCTGGCCAACATGGTGAAACCCCATCTCTACTAAAAATACAAAAAATTTAGCTGGGCATGGTGGTGGGCGCCTGCTACCCAGGAGGCTGAGGCAGGAGAATCGGTTGAACCTGGGAAGTGGAGGTTACAGTGAGCTGAGATCGTGCCACTGCACTCTAGCCTGGGCAACAGAGCAAGACTTTATCTCAAAAACAAAAAAAGAGAAACAACAAAAAGTTAAAAAGCACTAAGATGAACTTAAAGTGTAGAGTTTTTATTAGTCTTCCTTTTGCTTTATGTTTGTTTACACAATCAGTGTTGTCATCCGTTTAAAATAATGAGTTATAAGATAATATTTGCAAGCCTCACGGCAACCTCAAATCAAAAAGCACACAATAAGTGAGACTGTGTCTCAAAAAGAAAAGAAGAAAAAACACACAATGGATACACACACACAAAAAAGCAAGAAATTAAATCATACCACCAGAGAAAATCACCTTCATTAAAAGGAAGACAAGGAAAAAAAAAAAAAAAAAAAAAAAAAAGAGAAGACCACAAAACAGTGAGAAAAGAAATAACAAAATAGCAGGAGTAAGTCCCTGCTTAGCAATAATAACATTGAATGTAAATGGACTAAACTCTCCAATACAAAGACACAGAGTGGCTGAATGGATGAAAAAGCAAAGCTCAATGCTCTTTTGTCTAGAAGAAACACACTTCACCTGTAAAGATACACATGGACTGAAAATAAAGGGATGGAAAAAGATACTCCATGCCAATGGAAAACAAAAAAGAGCAGGAGTAGCAATACTTAGACAGAACAGATTTTAAAACAAAAACTGTAAGAGGAGGCCGGGTGTGGTGGCTCACGCCTGTAATCCCAGCACTTTGGGAGGCCAAGACGGGCGGATCACGAGGTCAGGAGATTGAGACTATCCTGGCTAACATGGTGAAACCCCGTCTCTACTAAAAATACAAAAAATTAGCCAGGCGTGGTGGCGGGCGCCTGTAGTCCCAGCTACTCAGGAGGCTGAGGCAGGAGAATGGCGTCAACCTGGGAGGCGAAGCTTGCAGTGAGCCAAGATCGCGCCACTGCACTCCAGCCTGGGTGACAGAGCGAGACTCCGTCTCCAAAACAAAACAAACAAACAACAACAACCAAAAAAACTGTAAGAGGAGACAAAGAAGGTCATCCAGCAACAGAATATAACAATTGTAAATACATATGCACACAACACTGGAGCACGTAAAGCAAATGTTATTGGAGCCCAAGAGAGACGTTAACGCAATAACAGCTAAAGACGTCAACACCCCACATTCAGCATTGGACGGGTGTCCCAGATGGAAACCCAATAAGAAAACATTAGACTTAATCTGCACTACAAAAGAAATGGACCTACTAGATACTTACAGAACACTTCGTCTAAAGTCTGCAGAATACACATTCTTCTCCTCAGCACATGGATCATTCTCAAGGATACACCATATGTTAGGTCACAAAGCAAGTCTTAAAACATTACAAATGTTAAAATAATATCAAGCATCTTCTCTGACCACAACAGAATAAAAGTGGAAATCAACAACAAGAGGAATTCTGGAAACTATACATACACGTGAAAATTAAACAATATGGTCCGGAATGGCCAGTGGTTCAATGAAGAAATTAGGAAGGAAATTTGGCTGGGCACAGTAGCTTACACCTGTAATCCCAGCACTCTGGGGGGCTGAGGCAGTCAGATGACCTGAGATAGGGAGTTCGAAAGCAGCCTGGCCAACATGGTGAAACTCCGTCTCTACAAAAAATACAAAAATTAGCAAAGCATGGTGGCATGTGCCTGCAGTCCCAGCTACTAGGGAGGCTGAGATGGGAGGATTGCTTGAACCCAGGAAGTCAAGGCTGCAGTGAGCCCTGATGGCATCACTGCACTCCAGCCTCGGTGACAGAGCAAGACCCTGTCTCAAGAAAACACACACACACACACACACACACACACACACACAGATGCTCAAACTAATATCATTTTGCTGTTAGAGCCAAGAGGGGTGGCCTGTGTAGTAAAAAGTGGGGAAGTCATTCCTTGCACAATGCAAGCCACTGGACCAAGAGTCCAAACTGACTCTTGACAGGAGGCTGGGAGATATCTGCTAAGGCCTTGGAATGTCCTGCCTGAAATAGTGTCTTTGTACATAGCTAGGGCCTTGGACCGTACAACACAGTTTATGCCAACAATGTGATCGAGGGTGGGGCCGTCAGGCCTGTATCCATCTGACTTCAGGAGGGGCTGGAGACTGAGTAACTGAGGTCAGCCATGCTGCGGGGGCTCAAGCCTAGGATGACCAACTCCCAACAAAAACCATGGACACCAAGGCCCAGGTGAGCTTCCGTGGCTGGCAGGGCTCTCTGCTGCCTCACTTACTGTTGGGGGAGAATTAAGCACTGCCTGTAGGAGTCCACCAGAAAAGAGAGCTGCAGCCTTGGCCTGGTCATTCTGGACTCTGGTCCCTGTGCCTTTCATCTTTGCTGACTTTAATCTGTACCCTTCTCTGTAATAAACTGTTAACAGGGAGAATAACAGCTTTTCTAGGGCTGTGAGACCTTCTAGAAATCACTGAACCTGAGGGTGGTCTGGGGGAGCACAACACAGTCTCCCACCCTAGCCAGGGAATGGGTTGATTCTTGGCATATGCCTATTCATATCCACCCCAGCCAAGACTTACGCATGGACTTTGTCACCAAGCCAGGCAGCCAGTGATGGGTCTCTGGGCGTGACGTGGGGGCAGGCTGTTTCCTGCTGAGAATCACTATGCCTGTATCTCAAGTAAAGTCAGGCGTCCAGGTAAGAGTGAATGAGGTGAGGCTGGTCTCGGTGGCTCACGCCTGTAATCCCAGCACTTTGGGAGGCTGAGGCTGGTGGTCACGTGAAGTCAGGAGTTTGAAACCAGACTGGCCAACATGGCGAAACCCATCACTACTAAAAAGACAAAAATGAGCCGGGGGTGGTACCCGGTGCCTGTAATCCCAGCTACTCAGGAAGCTGAGGCACGAGAATCGCTTGAACTCTGGAGGCGGAGGTTGCAGTGAGCTGAGATTGCACCACTGCACTCCAGCCTGGGTGACAGAGTAGGCTCCATCTCAAAAAAAAAAAAAAAAAAATGAATGAATGAGGTGAGGGGTGAGGGGTGAGGGGTGAGCACTGACATCAGGCAGGTGACTGACGACCCAACACAACCAGGACCTTGGCAGGGGCCCAGACTGGATACAGAAACCAAGTGGGAGCCACTAGACTAATTTATTGTACAACAGGGTCCCAGCTGAGGAGCAACTCTAGCGGGGCACAGCACAAAGCTCATAGGGGGATGGCGTCACCAGAAAGCCGACGACACGAGAGTGGCTGGGCCGGGGCTGTCCGGTGGGCACCGAGAAGCTGAAGTGCTGCAGCAGGGAGGTGAAGAAGAGGAAGAGCTCTATGCGGGCCAGGGGCTCCCCGAGGCATGCACGGCGGCCTGTGGGGAGGGGAGGGGCGTCAGTGAGCCTGGCTCCCGGGTGATACCCCTGCAAGACTCCACGGAAGGGGACAGGGAGCCGGGCTCCCCACAGGCACCTGCTGAGAAAGGCAGGAAGGCCTCCAGCTTCACAAAGTGGCCCTGGGCATCCAGGAAGTGTTCGGGGTGGAAGCGGAAGGGCTTCTCCCAGACGGCCTCATCCTTCAGCACCGATGACAGGTTGGTGAAGAGCATCATCCCCTGGGCAGGAGATGCAGGGTGAGAGTGGGGACTGGACTCTAGGATGCTGGGACCCCCAAGCACACAGGGGACACACACTGCCTGGCACACAGCTGGACTCTGTCAACTAGTCCTGTGCCCGAGAAGCTCCAGAGCACCCTCTCCGACCCCATGGCAGGGCGCAGTCACACCTCCTGGGAGCGCCCACGCTACCCCCTCTCCCTACAGGTATTGGGGTCCTCCAACATTCTGGCAGGTCCTGGTCTGCCTTCCCCACTAGACTGGGGCTCTGGATGGACAGGCCAGCCCTGCCTATACTCTGCACCCCACACCCAGGCTGGGACAGTCGATGTGGTGGCATTGAGGACTGGGTGGCCAGGGTTCCTAGACTGGGCCCACCTGGCAGTGGCCATGCTGGGGCTATCACCAGGGGCTGGTGCTGAGCTGGGGTGAGGAGGGTGCCAGGCCTACCTTAGGGATGCGGAAGCCCTGTACTTCGATGTCACGGGATGTCATATGGGTCACACCCAGGGGGACGATGTCCCCAAAGCGCTGCACCTCGTGAATCACGGCAGTGGTGCAGGGCATGCGAGCCTGGTCACCCATCTCTGGTCACCACACCTGCCCTATCACGTTGTCGATCTGTTGGACACGGCCTGGACAGACACGCGTCCCCACAATGGGTCAGCACCCAGGGGACCAGCCCTGACACTCTCCTGCCTCCTGTGTTGGAGGAGGTTAGGCTTACAGGAACCTGGCCAAGCCTGTGCTTGGAGTCCCGGGTGTCCCAGCTAAGCTCAGGGGCCCCCACCTGTACCCTTCCTCCCTTGCCCCCTGCACTGGGCCCCAGCTGGGCTCACGCTGCACATCCGGGCGTAGGATCATGAGCAGGAGGCCCCAGGCCAGCGTGATCGAGGTGGTCACCATCCCGGCAAAGAACAGGTCAGCCACCACCATGCGCAGGTTCTCATCATTGAAGCTGCTCTCAGGGTTCCCCTTGGCCTGAGCAGGGCTGAGAGGGTACTCAGGGGACAGAACGGGAAAGCCCCCAAATGACCTCCACATTCTGCACCTGTCAGCCCAGGTGCCACTTGCCAAGTGATCCAATGGACCCACCTTTTGCCTGCCTCATTCCTCCCGGACGCTCAACCCACCACCCCTGGTCCCTACCGTGTCAGCCACTCTCACCTTCTCCTTCTCTGCCAGGAAGGCCTCAGTCAGGTCTCGGGGTGGCTAGGCTGGGTCCCAGATCATTCTGTGCTCGGTCAGCAGCTCATCCAGCTGGGTCAGGAAAGCCTTTTGGGAGCGTAGGACCTTGCCAGCCAGCCCTGGGATGCGCAGGAGGAGGGGGACAACATTCAGCATCTACAGCTGACACAGAACGGGGTCTCAATCCCTCCTGTGCTCTGCGTTCACCTGGACCAGTCTCAGGCCCCAGCTGCCTCCAGGGAAGACCCAGGGCCTACCTGTCCCCACCACTCACCTCCCCAAGTCCCTCCCCAAGTGCCAGCCTCCACCCTCTCTCCTTGCCCTGGGCTGCCAGAGGAGAAACCTAAAAATCAAAATCTCCAATGTGGACAGGAGGCACAGGGTCCTTGGCCTTTCTTGGTGCCCCCTGACCCGGGCACACCTCTCCCACGACCGTATCTGAGATGTCTCCTCCTCCTCAAGGCCCTTCCTCTAGCAGTGAGCTCTTCTGGAATGTCCTTTCCCAAACCACTCTATGCAAACCCTGCTCCTTGGAGGTCCGGCTGCAGTCCCGGCACCTCTCAGGAGCTCGCCCTGCAGAGACCCTGCGGTCCCTCGCTCCACATCTCTCACAGAAAGCCCAGCTCCTCCTTCAATCCCTTCTGAGCTAGGTCCAGTAGCCTGAGGAAGCGAGGGTCGTCGTACTCGAAGCGGCACCCGCAGGTGAGGGAGGCGATCACGTTGCTCGCCGCTTTGTTCAGGAGGCCGTTGGGGTGAAAGGGGCGTCCTGGGGGCGGGAGATGCGGGTCAGGGGTCGCCTTCCCAGTCCTCCACCTTCCCAGTTCCCGCTTTGTGCCCCTCTGCCCATCACCCACTGGCTTGGTCGGCGAAGGCGGCACAGAGGCAGGCGGCCTCCTCGGTCACCCACCGCTCCAGGGACTTCTTGCCCAGGCCCAAGTTGCGCAAGGTGGACACGGAGAAGCGCCTCTGCTCGCGCCACGCGTGTCCGTAGTGTGCCAGAAACACCCCTGGGGGCGGGACGGACACATGGGCGTGGTCATGGAGGCCTTGGCCCCGCCCTCCGCCGCCCACTCCAACCCTGTGCTTTTCCTGGTCTCCCGCAGTCCCTGGCCCTGTCCAGCTGGGCACAGGGCCTGCTCTTTGCTCACTCACCTTGCTTGGGTCTTGGCCCCACCTTGGCTCTTCCGACCCTGACTGCCTTTCCACTCAGGGAAGATCCCGCCCGTCCCGCCCCGCCCATACTGAGCCCACAGCAGAGTCCATCCCGGCTTCTAGACACCCGCTTCCAGCTGGGAAAGGCGCCAGCTCCGCCCACCCGGTTCCTGGTGGGTCTCGGCAGTTGCCCCGCCCACTCACAAGCCCCTCTTCCTCCCGCCCACAGACTCGCACCTCCCCAATGGAAGTGGTTTCCTGGCTCGCTGTCCCCAACCCACTCACTGGCCCACAACCCCGCGCCCTCTCAGCCCAGCTTGGGCTACGGTCACCGCCCACCCAGGACCCACGGAAACGCAGTCTCTGTCCCCCACCGCCGCTTGCCTTGGGAGCGCGGCCCGATGCCCAGGACCTGGTAGATGGGCGCAGGCGGGCGGTCGGCGGTGTCCTCGCCGCAGGTCACCAGAGCCTCACGCACGGCCGCCAGCCCATTGAGCACGACCACCGGCATCCAGGCCAGCTGCAGGCTGAACACGTCCCCAAAGCGGTGCCGCAGCTGTAGAGGGAGGGTCAGGGCCTCCGTTGGGTCAGGGCCTCCATCAGGCCAGGGTCCCCCCAGACTGCAGGTCCTAGTCCTATTTGAACCTTAGACGACCCTCGGGGCTACCAGGAGTGAGCAGGTGGAAGGAGGAGACCCAGCCTCCCGATCCTGGGGCGGGGATGGGGTCACACCTTCTGTGATGGAGGAACTCAGTTTGGATGCGTCACCCAGGTATGACCTTGCAAGAGTCACCAAAATTGCCGAGAGGCCCCAGTTAGCATCCCATTCCCAGATGATGGTCCATGCCGGTGAGCAGTGAGGCCCGAGGACCCACAGTGCAAAAGGTTTGAACCGGGTCCACTATATCCCTTCATCCTTGATTTCTAACTTACTCATTTATTTAGACCATGTCTGGCTCTGTCACCCAGGCTGGAGCGCAATGGCGCGATCTTGGCTCACTGCAACCTCCACCTCCCGGGTTCAAGCAATTCACCTGCCTCAGCCTCCCATGTAGCTGGGATTACAGGTGCCCACCACCGTGCCCCGCTAATTTTTGTATTTTTAGTAGAGGCAGGGTTTCACCATGTTGGCCAGGCTGGTCTCGAACTCCTGACCTTGTGATCCCCCCACCTTGGTCTCCCAAGATGCTGGGATTACAGGTGTGAGCCACCGCGCCCAGCCGTTGATTTTTTTTTTTTTTTTTTTTTTTTTTTTTTTTGAGACAGAGTCTCGCTCTGTCGCCCAGACTGGAGTGTAATGGTGTGTTCTCAGCTCACTTCAAGCTCTGCCTCATGGGTTCATGCCATTCTCCTGCCTCAGCCTCCCAAGTAGCTGGGACTACAGGTGCCCACCACCTCGCCTGGCTAATTGGTTTGTATCTTTAGTAGAGACGGGTTTCATTGTGTTAGCCAGGATGGTCTCGATCTCCTAACCTCATGATCCGCCCGCCTTAGCCTCCCAAAGGGCCGGGATTACAGGCGTGAGCCACCGCGCCCGGCCTGATTTCTTATTCGTTTATTTAGACATTGTCTGGCTGTGTCACCGAGGTTGCAAGGCAATGGCACAATCTCCACTCACTACAACCTCTGCCTCCTAAGTTCAAGCAATTCTCCTGCCTCAGCCTCCCAAGTAGCTGGGATTGCAGGCGTGCACCACTGTGCCCAGCTCATTTTTTGTATGTTTAGTAGAGACCGGTTTTTGCCATGTTGGCCAGACTCATCTGGAACCCCTGACCTCAGGTGATCCGCCCACCTTGGCTTCCTTAAGTGCTGGGATTATAGGCGTGAGCCACCACGCACAGCCTGATTTCCTGATTTAAACGGCACACAGGACCCTGACTCGTCTTCCATTCCCAAGGCCTTTCCTTCTGGTGTCAGCAGAGGGGACTTTGTGCTCCTAACATATGCTGCCCAATGGGCTTGCACGCCCACTGCCAAGTCCAGCTCCACCTCCAGGCCCTTGCCCTACTCTTCCTTGGCCTTTGGAAAATCCCATCTTTCATGCCATGCATAAATGCCCTCCCCCAGGAAGTCCCTCAAATCTGCTTCCCCTTCTCAGCCTGGCTTCTTGTCCAGACTGTGGCTCCACCCACCACCCATGTTTGCTGGTGGTGGGGGATCCTCAGGACCTCCTCCCTCACCTGGTTGAAGGTGTATATGTTCTGGAAGTCCACATGCAGCAAGTTGCCCAGCCCGGGCAGTGGCAGGGGGCCTGGCGGGTAGCGTGCAGTCCAGCGTTGGTGCTGCTGCATCAGGTCCACCAGGAGCAGGAAGATGGCCACTGTCACTGCCAGGGGCACCAGTGCATCCAGCCCCATGGCTGCCTCACTGCCCATTGGGCTCCTCTGGACACACCTGGCACCTCCACCCCACCAGGCACAGAGGACCAGGCAGGACACTCTCAGCACACCCAGTGCATGACCGTTCCCTTATAAAGGGAGCTGATGATGGCCTTTGCCTTCTGCTGTGAGCCAACCTGCTGTGTTGACTGTGCTGCCAGTGGGTGCAGGGTCAGGCCAGGGCGGGTATGGGCTGCTGCAGAGGTCCTTGCCCCTGCTCGCTCTAGTTGCCTACCCAGATTAGGGTGGTGGGCGAGAGGTGGCCTGGCATGGGAGCTCCACCCAAGTTGGAGGTATGGATTGTACTGGGTGCTGGGCTGTGTACTGGGAGCATGGTGGTAAGGCTGTGAGTCAATGCCCCAACGTAATGATGACCACGGGGAGTAGGAAGGTAACATAGCTGACATGACAAGCCAGCAGTGCCATGAGGGTCCATGGGGACGTTGTCCCAGGCTGGAACAGGACTTTCTGGGAAGGATTCATGGAGAACTTTGTCTAGCTGACTGAGGGGCTGCCTAGCACTGTAGGCCACGGCACTGGCAGTGGGACCAACCCACCCCTGGAATTTCCTGTGCAGGTGGCCTGAGGGGCAGCAGGAGGCCAGCAGCTGGAGCCTGGGTCTTTTCAGGTCTGGATGAAGACTGGATCTGGGGAACAAAAGGCAGGGAGAACAGTTTATTTAAAATTTAAAAATATATATATATTTTTTAGAGACAAGATCTTGCTCTGTTGCCCAGGCTGGAGTGCAGAGCTGTGATCATAGCTCACTCAAACTCCTGTGCTCAATCAAGAGATCCTATTTTAGCGTCCTGAGTAGCTGGAACTACAGGTGCACATCATTACGCTCGGCTAATTTTTTTGTTGAGATGGGTCCTCACTATGTTGCCCACGCTGGTCTGGAACTCCTGGCTTCAAGTGATCCTCCTGCCTTGGCCTCCCAAAGTGTTGGAAATAGAGGCATGAGCCACCTGGCCCAACAGAAGTTTTGAAGCTACTCAACTGACAGAGAGAGCAAGACCCATGCCTATCTGGGGACTTCTCAGATCTGGCTTGTGGTCTCCCAAACTGGCCTCAGCTGAATGAATGTTCCTGTCCTACATGGCAGCACTGTTCTATTTGGGACTGTGAGAGAATCAAGGTGCAGGGACAGCAGGATGGTCTGGGTGCTTGTTACATGGTGGCCCTTTATACATTACCTGTATGCACTCTTGGCCTTTTGAGGTGTCAGGCCCTCCCCAAGCAGTCATCATGAATCATGATGGGGGTGTGAAGGGCAGGGACAGGCATGCCTGCAATGTGGGCAGTGTCCTCCCGAGTGCCCTCCTTACCAGCCAGAGGCCTGTAATTCAAGATATGGCAGCATGAGGAAAACATTTAATAACAATGCCTGTGGCCTTTTCCAATCATTGTGCACCTGTGGCTTCCATTGATCGGGCACTTATGTGCCAGAAACTGCTGGTCAGACTGTGTGCTCTAGCTCATTAATCCTCCCACAGCCCCCTAAGGAGGTGGTTTTATGGTCCCCAAGGCACAGAGACTGAGGCTCAGAGATCACATAACAAGGTTCAAGTCACACAGCGGTGTTAGGAGTCCACATCCAATGTGTATGCTGAGCTACTATTCTATACTGTTTGGACATTACATTCTATTAATGGTCAGTATAGATGTTTCTGGGATTTATTATTTTTAGGAAACAGATCCAACCTGCCTTCCCTGAACAGTGGTACTGCTGTGTCATGGTAAAAAGTGCACTGTGCCCTGGCAGGCCCTATGGACGTTGCCAAGTGAGATGGTGTGAAAATATGTCAGCAAGTGGTAGACTAGGAAACTGCGGGCTCTCGTTCTCCTAGAGAGCTCAATGTTAAAGCTATAGGAGACCAAAACATCGTGAGAATTCTAGAAACTAGTTAGGATGCTGCAATGCCAGCTAGTGCAGAGCCAGGGAGGGACTGCACTGGGAAGGGTAGTCAAGTTGGAGCATTTTGCTTGTTCTTGCCCTTCCCCCTGCCAGGCATAGCAATGCTACTGGGAGAGACCCTCCAATTCCCAGCTCCTCCCATGGGATGGGTTTCTGCTGGGTCCGACTCAAGAGTGCTGAGTGGTGGGGTCTGTCTGCCCTCAGAGCAGCACCTCTGCGTTTCCACAGCTGCAAGGGGACGGGGTTATGGGCAGTGGAATAGTTGTGTCTGGGTATCCTGGAGGGGATTGGTGCCAGGACCCCCGGTAAATACCAAAACCCAAGGATGCTCAGGTTCCTTATGTAAAATGGCATAGTATACCTATGCAAATGCTCCTGTATACTTTAAATCATCTCTAGATTATTTGTAATGCCTAATACAGTGTAAATGCTACATAAATAGTTGCTATACTGTACTGCTCTTATTTGTATTTTTAGTTGTTATACTTTCTCAAGTTATCTTTGATGTGTGGTTGAATTTGTGGATGCGGAGCCTGTGGGTATCGAGGGCTGCTTGTACCCTAGAAACAGAAATGGAAAGCTCCAGGGGCAGGGCCAGCCTGCAGGGGGGCAGTTTAATGGGTAAAGCTTCCGTTGTATAAAATGAAAAATTCTGGAGATTGGTTGCACAACAATCTGAACACATTTCCCACTAAACTGTACTGTGACTGTTATGATGGTACATTTTTTTAACCACAATTTAAAAACTTTATGAGTATTAAAAAAATAAATGGCTATATACACACCTATTAGAATGGCTTAAATCCAGAACACTGACAACACCAAATGCTGGCAAGGATGTGGAGCATCAGGAACTCATTCATTGCTGGTGGGAGTACAAAATGGTACAGACACTTTGGAAGAAAGTTTGGCAATTTCTTTTCCTTTTCTCAGTTTTTTTTTTTTTTTTTTTTTTTTTGAGACAGAGTCTCACTCACTCTGTCACCCAGGCTAGGAGTGCAGTGGCACGATGATCTCAGCTCACTGGAACCTTTGCCTCCTGCGTTCAAGCAATCCTCCCACCTCAGCCTCCCGTTTAGCTGGGACTGCAGGCGTGAGCCACCATGCCTGGCTGATTTTTGTATTTTTAGTAGAGACAGGGTTTCACCATGTTGGCCAGGCTGGTCTCAAACTCCTGACCTCAGGTGATCCAGACAGTTTGGCAATTTCTTACAAAACTAGACATACTCTTACCATACAATCCACCAATCGTGCTTCCTGTACTTACCCAAAGGAGTTGAGGCCTTATGTCCACACAAAAACCTGCAAAGGGATGTTTACAGCAGCTTCATTTGTAATTGTCAAAACTTGAAAGCAACCAAGATGTTCTTCAGCAGTTGAATGGATAAACTGTGGTACAGCCAGACAATGGAATTATTTATCACTAAAAAGAAACAAGCTATCAAGTCATGAAAAGACACGGGTGAACCTTAAATGCACATTACTAAGTGAATGAAGCCAATCTAAAAAAGGCTACCTACTATCTAATCTCAACTATATGATACTTTGGAAAAGGCAAAACTTTGCAGACAGTAAAAGGCTCAGCGGTGAGGGACTGGGGCTAAGGAGGAATGAACAGTGGGACACGGAGGATCCCTGGAGCAGTGAAACTACTCTGGATCATGGTGCGTCCTCGTCTTTTTGAGACAGGATTTTGCTGTCACCCAGGCTGAAGTGTGGTGGCGCGATCACGACTCACTGTAGCCTCGACCTCCTGGGCTCAAGTGATCCTCCCATCTCAGCCTCCCAAGTAGCTGAGACTACAGGCATGCACCATCATGCCTGGCTAATTTTTGTATTTTTATGTAGAGATGGGGTTTCGCCATGTTGCCCAGGCTGTTCTCGAACTCAAGCGATACACCCACCTGAGCCTCCCAAAATGCTGGGATTATAGGCGAGAGCCACCACGCCCTGCCAGATCCAGGTCTTTATACATTTGTCAAAGGCCATAAAATGTACACCACCGGGAGTGGCCCCTAGTATAAACTATGGACTTTGGGTGAAAACAGTATGCCAACTCTGGTTGGGATGTTGATAGAGGGAAAGGTATGCATACGGGGGGAAGGGGTTATATGGGAACTGTCTGTACCGTCAGCTTAATCCTTCTGTGAACATAAAACTACTTTAAAAAAATCAATTAAGACAAACACTAAAGGAACTAAAAGGCACTTGAGCAGTTGAGGAGAACTGCAGAAGCCAGAAACTGGAGTCAGGAGGCATGCGTGTATCACTGCCACTCCCCAGTGAAGGTCATTACTGAAGCCAATTTAAGGAAAGACCTAGAACAATCACAAGTGCTCCACTCAGGCAAATCAAAAGGGGACAAAAGAATAAAAGACAAAATGACAAACATTTGCTGTCAGGAAAATATTTTCCTCAAGATACATATTTTTCAAGTTTTGTGGTTTAGCCCTTGACACCTGAAGTCTATCCATTTCATTTTAACTGTATTAATGCCAAGTCAAGACCAGAATGAGACAACAACTAGCTCAAAAAAGCCATCATTTCTGTGCAGGTCCTGTTCAGTTGCCTAAGCTTGGTCCTACGGCCGGCACGGCGCACCCACCCACACCTCCATCCTGGCGGAGTGAAATGAGAAATGGACTGCTTGATGTAGCCATTAAAATACAATTAATCTGCCATTTCTGCTGCCCCAAATTGATGAACACAGAACTCATTTATAATTGCTTATTTCTGCTTCACAATATTCCTTCCAGTATTTCCATTCTCTAAAAAAGTCCATTAACATTCCATTATTTTTTTATAACCCTTAATGTTGATTGGAAATATGTCTTCATATCAACTTGAGTAAATCTGACTGTCCCCATACACTGGCCACACTCCACCTGCCCAGAGGAGTGGCAGAAGAACCCTATATTTTGTTTGCTTCCCGGCTGCGTGGCCATCGAGAGGCCAGGAATGGGACAGACAGGTTCTGATCATGGCCTCCTCTGGAGAACCAGAGCTACCCTTTGGGGGTTAGAATGGGAGAAGGAAGAGACGCATTCACTTTAAAGTAAACAGAAGAGGAAACAAGGTTAAAATGAAGTTTATTATTTTTTTGATTTTTTGATTTTTTTTGTTTTTTGTTTTTTTAAATAAAACTGTTTGTGAAACAGCTATTTTATCCCCATGGCAGAGTGACCCCTGAAAGATGCACTAACCCCTTCTTAAGGCCATAACAAGATTTTTTTGTACTTTTTTCTTTTTTTAAAACTCAGATATTTAAAAATTATACAATTTACAAAACAAAACAACACAACATAAAGAATCACGTAGCATGGGGCTGCCTATCTGACAGGTCCTCTTTTCCTTTATAAAAATGAAAGCAAAAAGAAAAAGGGGTTAAATGGGTGTTCCTGGTCAGCTTAACCCACTCTGATCACAGCGACAGTCCCTCCCCGTCCCTGCCTACAGCTCACACTGCCAGCTCTGGCAACACAGGCCTGGACCTCCTCCCATCCCCACGGGTCCCTGTGGGTCAGGGCACAGCTGCCTGGAATGTGCTGAGGACAGGGGGCCCCAGAGGAGGGTCATCCCTTGATTTTGCTGCTGCTGTGTACACTTGATGGGGTCCTTGAGGTCCTCACCAGCCACAGTGACCCAGGACACAGCTATGACCTCAGGCATCTGCCAATTTCACCCCCAAAAAGAAAAAATTAAAAAAAAAAAACCATAAATAAATAGTGTTTCTGGAAATGAAAAAAAATTTATTTTTGTGTTTAAACATCATTCCCCTACTCTTGAAAACATGGACCATCCCTGTATTTCCCCCTCCCCCAAAACCTTCCCACTTTGAGACAAATTAATGACAAAAGGATGGTTCTGCTGTGGTTTGCTTTTTCAATCCTGGGTCTAGTGTTTTCTGAACTGGTGTGAGACAGGCTAAAGATCAACGCCACACACACACCCCGTCCTTCATGAGATGAGGGTTTGTTCAGTTCAATCTCACATTTAAATTTCACTTGTCATCGGAACAAATTTGGAGATCTTTAACGAGATAATTTTAAAACAGAATCAAAAGGGATAGCGCACCTTTCATTTAAACAAAGTCTTTCCAGACTAAAAATAGATTTATATATATATATTTATCCCTCCCTTTTAATTCCCCCCACCCTTTCCCCATCATCCCACCCCTCCCCCCTCCCCCCACATTGTCACTATGGAGATTGTGTCCATGGAAACAGCCATTCCAACGTCTTGGGTCTTTCTTTCCTGTGGTGTCACTGGTTTGAGTGTGATGTGAGAACTTAAGGAAGTGCTGGCATGGGCAGGCACGCGGGCGGGGCGGGGCGGGGCAGGGCAGGGTGTGGCTGCACGGTAGGACGATTTCCATTCCATCACGAGTGTCCACCACCTTCTCATCTCCACAGTCTCACCTGGAAGACAAGGGACACACAGTGAAGGCCAGGAGCCTCCACAGGGTCCACCACCAACAGCCGCTGTTCCGTGGTACCCCTGGGAGCTTTCAGCAGGGAGCCTGCACTCACGCCCCTCTGCAGATGTGCTGCTGATATGGGACACACCCGAGACCAATGCCAGGGCCACTGTGTGGCTCTGGATCTGGAATGTGATTAAAGGCAGCAATGACCTAGTGGGGGTGCTGGGGTTGGACTCTGAGGGCTCCTCAGGGCATGTCTGCCTTCCTAGTGCATAAAGGAACCAGTACAGCAGAGAACTCCCTGACCTCAGGGCAGGCCCCACTTGTGGGGCAGCTGGTGGGGTTTTGCCAGTGTCAGGACCCCAGTTGTGACTGAAACCTACAGTACCTGGTCAATCTGTGGAAGAAACTTCTCGAAGTCCAGCCTTTTAGGACAGTTTCACAGCTGCCTCTAGTCAACACAGCTAGTTGTTTGTTTTTGAGACAAGACATCGCTCTGTCGCCTTGGCTCCCTGCAGCCTTGACCTCCTGGGCTCAAGCAATCCTCCCACCTCAGCCTTCCAAGTAGCTGGGACTACAGGTACACGCCACCATGCTTGGCTAATGACAGTCTTTTTTTTTTTTTTTTTTTTTTTTTTTTGAGACAGTCTTGCTCTATTGCCCAGACTGGAGTGTAGTGGTGTGCTCTTGGCTCACTGCAGCCTCTGCCCCCTGGGTTCAAGTGATTCTTGTGCCTCAGCCTCCCAAATAGCTGGGATCACAGGTGCACGCCACCACACCCGGCTAATTTTTGTATTTTTAGGAGAGATGTGGTTTTGCCATGTTAGGCTGGTCTAGAACTCCTGGCCCCAGCTGATCTGCCCACCTCGGCCTCCCAAAGTGTTGGGATTACAGGCGTGAGCCACTACACCTGGCCCACAGTCAGTTCTTCATGCTTAAAAAGAACACTCTTCCCATGGCCTCTAACAGGGAGGGCAGGTTTTCTGAGGCTCAGACAGAGCTGGACTATGTTAATCCTTTCGACCTCTCAGGAACCTGAGACCCCTAGGTCTCCCATCCCCAGGCTGGAGGGCTTCTCTCCTCTTCCAGCCCATGTGCAGAAGGGGATTCTGATGGCCCACGTAGGACAGATGGATTGTACCAAAGGTCCCTGTGGAACGCTTCATGGGCCATCTGATGTGGAAAGGTCTCAAAGACAAACAGCAGTTTCCTAGGAATCAGTCCAGTAAAATTTCACCAGAAGCCAGAAGTGGTGGCAGCCTTGCCCCTCCTTCACTTGCTATCTGCCAATCACTGTGCTTAAGACTGTCACTGGGGCTCACCTAACTGCTTCCTCAAGACCAATTTGGTGCCCTCCCCTGACAAACCCCAAGAACCCAAGTGTCACCAGCCCTTTCTGCTTCCATAAAGTTCACACACGCAGAACTGCTAAGGCGGCTGGGGCCTGCGGGAGCTAAGATTGAGCTGTTCCCAAGCACGTACATGCACATGCTCTTGCCCAAGGAGGTTCCTGACTACTTGGCAGAAAACACCAATAAGCAGGAACACACACAGAGGCCATGGCACAACATCACCACAGACAAGTAAAAGCAAGCCCTGGGAATGCAGGCCAGCAGTTGAGCTAATGGGCACCTACCTCCAAGAACACAGAAGGGTGTCATCTTGTTGGGGCTGCAGGATGCCCGTGTGAATCAAGGCCAATGCCCACACGTACCCTGCCAGGCTCTGCTCAAGGAGGGGACAGGGCAGGGTTTGCCCTCTTTACCAATACACAGCAGTCTTGGGCCTGCACCCCAATCTTGCTCATTACTCAGAAGAACAGGACCCCACACCAGCTCCCCAGTGAAGAATGAAGCACATGTCAGCAGCCAGGGTCTGCCTGGCCAGTTGGCTCTGCGAGCTGCTACTTGTGGGCCCCTCCCTGGGGCGCGTGGTGGCCCAGGCAGCGGCAGTTCCTCAGCACCTGCAGCCTGGGGCTCTGCCCTCTATAGCCTTCGTGTTCCTCAGGTCTGATGACTAGACCAGCCCAAACACACGATATCCTGAATGTAATGGGACCCTAACTTTTCAAGAGTTACTTTAAAAAAGTTGTTCCTTCAGTAGGGAAATTAGGAAGGAAGGAAAATTCTCTAAGCACTATGTGCCAGGCCCTGGGCTAGAAGCTTTACAGATATTATATCACAGTAACGTGGATCTGCCTGACCCCCATCTTCAAGAGAGCTAAAGCTCAGGAAGGCGACACATGTAGCCCAAAGCGACGTGGCCAGAGGTGGGACTGGGGCTTTCCCAACTGGGCCCTAGGGGCTGCGTATGCTAGGGCATGGGGTGTGGCTGAGAGACGGCTGGGTCCCCGACAGTGAGCCTGGGAGCAGCCCTGGTGCCAGCCAGCCTGAGCAGCAGGAGCGACCTGCCGCCCCTGTGCTGAAGACTGTGAATTCTCTTTTAAAGAACATCACCTTGCTCCCCAGCTGCCAGCATCCAGGGTTTCGTCTTGGGCCAACACCTTCCCAGGCTCCCTCACTTGTTCCCTCCCTTCCCTTCTCGCTCACACTGTCCTTTCTGCTCCCCTTTGGCCTCATCCGTGGCCTGAACCCGGGACGCCATCCTCGCGTCCTTCCACATCAGACTCCAAGCCTGCCTTTCCCAACTGCAGCAAAAACTCATCATCTCAACACCACTCACCCTGGCCAGGATTCGCCCAGAGCCCATTTCCTCATTTCTAAAACAGACACTAATTCCGACTAGAGAGGGAGGATATGAAGGGAAACCTAATTCTGAATCTATACTGATTAAGGGCACCGATGGTCAGGGTCCAAGAGCCCTTTTTTCCCTGGGATGCACTCATTTCTTTCTTTTTTTTTTTTTTTTTTTTGAGATGGAGTCTCACTCTGTCGTCCAGGCTGGAGTGCAGTGGCACGATCTCAGCTCACTGCAAGCTCCACGTCCCGGGTTCATGCCATTCTCCTGCCTCAGTCTCCCGAGTAGCTGGGACTACAGGCGCCCACCACCACGCCCGGCTAATTTTTTGTATTTTTAGTATTTTAGTGTTTTAATTTTTTGTATTTTTGTATTGTTAGCCAGGATGGTCTCGATCTCCTGACCTCGTGATCTGCCCGCCTCCCAAAGTGCTGGGATTATAGGCGTTAGCCACTGTGCCCGGCCTGGGATGCACTCATTTCTTTAACACAGACTCACTTGGCACTAGCATAGTTACATGCCCCGCTCTGGGCTAGGCTTTGATGGTGCAAAGACAGACGTGGTCCCTGCCCTAATGGAGCTTACAGTCTAGTGGAGAGACAGGTAGTAAACAAGTAAATGATCTGAAATTGTGGTGATGCTAGGATGGCTGCAAGCGAGGAGGGGGGCAATGGAGACAAGGATTTAGAAAGGGAAAGGCTTCTCTGAGGAAGTAGGATTTAAGCTGAGACCCAGGAGATGGGAGCCTGTTTTCAACATGAAGATGGGGAGCCAAAGTGTTTCCAGCACAAGGAACTGTGTGTGCAGAAGCCCAGAGGAAGGAAGCCTGGTCCCTGAGGAGCTGGAGGCAGCCAGGGGCCTGGAGAGTCACCTGAGACTTCCATAGGGCTCTGGAAGGCAAGGTGAGATGTCTGGGCTTTGTGTGGAAGATGACAAGAATCTCTGACGTAGAGAAGGGACAGGACTGGAGGGAGGCCTAATGAAGATTGCACTTGGCTGCTGAGCAGTGGCAGGGAGGCGGGCACTATAGCAGCCACAATGCCTGGGCTGGGGCTGGTGGGGAAGGAAAGTGGACAGACTCAGGCTCTCCTCTGGAGGTGTAACCCTGGACTGCCTCTGGACCAGTTTGGGGAAAGGGGAACTCTAGAATGTGACATTCATGCATACACACAAATGGACTGTGTGATGTCCAGCTCCAGGGGCAGGGGGGCCACGCCCCGTTCCCTGCCTTGCTCAGCGTCCATCCATGGCTGTTCTGTGCAGGGTACATAGCATCCAGGATGCAGCATTAGCCCTGATCAAGGTTATGCTTCCCATGTGCTGGACCACAGGGCCTGTTAGGGCAAGCTGGGGCCTCCTTGTTTAATTCACGACAGGAGGAAGAGCTGGGTATAGGGACTCCACTGTCAAAAGCCCTGCCAACCAATGACACAAGCCAGCAAGGCAACCCCCTTGGCACAAAGAGACAGTGGGCAACCACGGGCCTGCAGAAGGACTTTTCCCCTCCGCACTCCTGGCGAGGGTCAGGTACCAGATACCTCACAGGCTGGGAGGCAGGGGCGGCATCTTTTAACCCCAAGCCTTGGGTATTTTTTGCTATAAGAGACAGCTGCAGGGTCCAATCTGCTGCCTTGACCCCTCCAACTCCCAAGAGAAACCCACAGCTAGGCATGGCAGATCAACGGGCTGAGAGCCAGTGTGCTGTGCTGGCACTTAGAGACATTTCCCAATGGAATCTCAAAAGGTTGGCACTGCTATTCCTGTTTTTACAGAAGAAACCGAAGTACAGAGACATGGAGTAGTCTGATCTTAGTCACACAGCACCTATCATATCACTCTGTCAGAACATGGCGCACTAGGAGGCAGACACACACGCACATTCGCTGTCTGTTCCCTGCCTTGTCAGGGCACCCAATAATGGTGGCTCTCTGTCCCCAGCATGGGGCCCAAGATGAGTCCTCCTTTAGTCAGAGGTGTGATTCTATCCCCAGTCACCAGGGCTTCTACCACAAATGAAGGACGGTGACCACCCTCAATGTCACTGCTGAACTGGGAAACCAGGAAAAGCTATATGCCTTGTGGGAACAGCACATAAAAAACATTTCAGATGGACAGGACTGGATGCAGTGAGTCCATCCTCTCCCTCCAAGAGCTGAATGGAATGGTTCAACCTCAATGGACCTGAGACGACTCTCTTCAATGGGTGAGGCCACTTCATCACTGTGCTTCAACCCAGAAGGATGAAGCTCATTGTTCTGTTCAAGAGTTGGCCGGGCGCCGTGGCTCACGCCTGTAATCCCGGCACTTTGAGAGGTCAAGGCGGGAAGATCACTTGATGTCAGGAGTTCAAGGCCAGCCTGGGCAACATGGTGAAACCCCATCTCTACAAAAAATACAAAAATTAGCTGGGCGTGGTGGTGCACACCTGTAGTCCCAGCTACTCGGGAGGGCTGAGGCGGGAGAATCGCCTGAACCCCAGAGATGGAGGTTGCAGTGAGCCGAGATCGTGCCCCTGTACTCCAGCCTGGGCGACAAAGTGAGAATCCGTCTCCAAAAAAAAAAAAAAAAAGAGTCAAGGGCCCTGACAGCTAGGAAGGAAGGCCCAAGAATGACTAGAGAGGAACAGATGAACAAAATCCCCAGGAGATTTGTCCACCAGGCCCAGGGCCTGAACTTTCTTTTTCTCAAACACAGATGCAATTCCAGGACAAAAACAAAAAACACTTAAGCTCTTTCCTTAACCAGGTCTTCTAGGACACATTCCAGGAATACGCATCGTGGTCCCCTACAGAACTTGACTCTAACCATCTTGGCCTGTGCTGGCACAGGGGTGACAATGGGAAGGCACAGTGACACCCTCAGGAGCGTAGGGACATGCAGGAGGGCCAACAGAAACAGTCCTTTCAAAACCACGCAATGCAATGGCTGCCTTGTCCTAAGGGCTAATCCCAGGAAAAGGAGCAGGCAGTGCTGCCCAGCAGGTTCTGGAAAACCAGCAGCCACTCGCTGATGGTGGCAATGTACTCCAAGTCCAAGAGGCTTCATTTGCTCATCTGGTTCCTCTGACCCAGGAACACATGGAATGGCTTCCACCCACCTCCCCACTTTGCTCTGATCCCTTCACTGCCAGCCCTACTCCCCGGAAGAGGAAAGAGAAAGGCACCACACTCAACGCTCTATCAAGAAGGCACTCAGCAGCCCCCACTTGACTTCTCAAATGGCGTGGCAGCCGAGGGGCCTTCTCCGGAAATTAGTAGTGGTAACAAGGAGGAGGGCACGTTCCAGAAGGTGGTCAGGCACATGGTGGTGCCGGAAGGGACACGTCTAGCGTAGCTGTGTGAGTCAAACTCCTGAGGTCGACACAGAAGTCCTCCCATTTGAGAGAAATGACCCCTCAATGAATATTTCTGAGACAACTAGTCCTCCTGCCCCATCCTGTAGCAGCAAGTGCCACAAGGTACATTTTGGTTTTTCTTTTCTTTACAACCTATTTCCCTTCATGCCTCAGTGACGCAGGGAGGGTGAAGGAGCAGCATGGAGCTCAGAGGCCTGCAGCTTCTAGAGACCCCAAGTCCTATCATCCTGTTTTCACAGATGCCTGCCAAGAGGGCCGTGACCACAATAATCCCACACAAACTCACAGCAAGCACAACTCAATCACAAGAATTTTTTTTCTTTTTTTGAGACAGGGTCTCACTGTGGCCCAGGCTGGAATGTAGCGGCACGATCATGGCTCACTGCAGCCTCAACCTCCAGGTTTGATCAAGTGATCCTCCCAGCTCAGCCTCCTGAGTAGATGGGACTAAAGGCATGTACCACCACGCACGGCTAATTTTTTTTTTTTTTTTTAATGTAGACACAGGGTCTCACTGTTGCCCAGGCTGGTCTTGAACTCCTGGGCTTAGGCGATCCTTCTGCCTCAGCCTCCCAAAGTGCTGGCATTACAGGTATGAGCCACCATGCCCAGCCTCGAGATTTTTAAGAGTAAAATTAAATCAGATGCTAGAGTCTACTAAATCTTTGAGGATTTTTCTTTCCTTTGTACTTCTGCAAAAAGGAATCCTTCATAATACTGGAAAAAAAAGATTTCTAATAACAAAACCCAAGAGTTCTGTTGTTTTCAAAGGAAAACACACCATAAGCTTTACAGAAATGTAGTAAATTAAAAAGAAGAGACCTTTGACTGGAACCCTTTCTGAGACGGGGGAAAGAGCAGGGGCTACTGGCAAGAGATGCCCTGCCCAAGAAAGAGACCTAAAAGCCTGTTGTGTCCACTCACAAGGCCACCCCTGGCCAGCTGTGCCCTGAAGGGCTGCCTTCAGGAACAGTCACCCTGCACCCCATTGGCAGTGGACAGTTTAGAAGCCCCCACTCCTTTCCACAGATAATCTGGGGAGCTAAGTAACCAATGGAAGAACACTGCATCCACCTGGCGTTGTCATCCACAGGATGAAATGCTGGTGGCAGAGCATAGAGCGAGCAGGAGGGCAGAGGCAACGACGCCTGCTGGGAGCCGGGCAGGATGCAGGGAGCCCGGTGGCCCCGACTCACCTGTGCTTGCTGTCCTTTCCATTCCCACGAGCACACTGCCCCCCTCACCCCCGCTCCGACTGCTCTGTGCTGAGGCTGCCTTTCGCGGTCTTGTTCTGCAAGGGGGGGAGAGGGCACGGAAGGGGAGGCTGACACGGGCAAAACCAAGAGGAGACAGACAGGTGGGAGAGGACAGTGCAGAAATCAGGGAGGGCAAAGGGAGGACAGGAGTGGCACATGGAAAAGGAAAGAAAAGGCAGAGTCAGTCCTGACCGACAAACAGGAGACATTCAGACAGGGTTTTCTGAGGCAAAATGTG
Organism: Homo sapiens; assembly: GCF_000001405.40. NCBI lineage: Eukaryota > Metazoa > Chordata > Mammalia > Primates > Hominidae > Homo > Homo sapiens. Next base: position 42,168,907 of record NC_000022.11, read on the forward strand.
ACCCTTAAAAAGGGGAGTTCTAAAAATAACATGCAAATTAAGTAAAAATAAAGAGAATATAAGATCCTGTGACCACTCCCCGCCCTTCCCCAGAAATAATTTTTAAAGAAAAGCATAAGCAAGCATCTTTCAGGAGCATTTTGAGGGCAGACCTCTCTGGACAACCTCCTTCTAGTACTTTCGGCCCTACTAGATTTAAGACTGCGAGTGACCAGTGACCACCAGGTGTCAGTGTGACCTCAGCCAGAGACACAGTGCAGCCCCTGCAGGAAACATCAGGTGGCAGTGGTCTCCGTTCTGATCCTTTCTTGGGGCTCCTTCTCCATATACACCCTCCCCACACACATATGTGGTATCCACAAACAGACCATTCACCCCTTACCTCCCACCCTTTCCTAAAGGAAGCGACCACGAGACCACCTCCTAAATAAACTGGGAAGTGGAGCCCGAGACAGCCCATCCACTGTGCATCAGGCTGCTTCTGCAGAAGCACAACCTGGAAGAGACTGAGCTTCCCCAGAGCCTTGTGGTCAGCTCGACTTCTAGTCTGGGAAGATGCCTTTGCACAGGCCTCAAGGCCTAGAACCAGACTTACCAAACGCCAACCTGTGAATTGGGGTTCTATTCACCTCAAGTGGAAATCAGTGGCTTGATCGAGTTAGATATTCTCACCTCTCTTAATGAACAGACAAACACCCCCTCTCCCAAAACACATTTCTCCTGGGATCCTCATAATACTCCGAGTGCTGGCCCCCATGCCACGGGTCTCCCTTCAGCATCATGCCCCTCCACCCTCCCAGGGCCAGGAGGGGACTAACAGCCGGAGGCACAGGTGGGGACAGGTGTGGGTGAGGCCCACCAACACCTGGTCTTCAGGTCTTTCAGGAGGAGCCACCCTCGATCCCATCCCTGCTGGTAGCTCTTGGGGCCTCTGACTCACCTTGTGCTTAGGGCACCTCACCGAGAAGTTCTCCTCATGTAGCAAACAATCTGGAAGACAGAAGGGGACAGTCAGATGGAGACTTCACAGCTGGACATAGGTGTGGTCATGCTGGCTGGGATTGACAGGGTCAGACATAAAGGTAGCAGGTCGCTACACTTACTTCTAATAGGAAAACATTAGAGACAACCCAAGTAAGCTATGATACCTTAACATGATGGATATCGGTCACTTAAAAATTAACATTTGAAAAGAGTTAATGGTATGGAAAACACCCATGAAACAAAACTGCTTGAAAAAACCAGGATGTACAAATGTATAAATGTGCTAATTTTATTAAAATGTTTCTACGCATTAAAAAAAGACTTGGGGCTGGGTACCATGGCTCACACCTGTAATCCCAGCACTTTGGGAGGCCGAGGCAGAAAGATCACTTGAATCCAAGAGTCAAGACCAGCTTGGGCAACACAGTGAGATCCTGTCACTATTAAAAAAAAAAAAAAAAATACTGAAAGGCTGGGTGTGATGGCACTTGCCTATAGTCCCAGCTACTTGGGAGGCTGAGGTGAGAAGACTGCTTGAGCCCAGGAGTTCAGACTGCAGTAAGCTACTATCACATCACTGCACTATAGCCTAGGCAAGCAAAACTGTCTTAAAAAAAAAAAAAACTACTTGGGAGGCTGAGGCAGGAGAATCACTTGAACCAGAGAGTCGGAGGTTGCAGTGAGCCGAGATCACACCACTGCACTCCAGCCTGGTGACAGAGCGAGACTCCGTCTCAAAAAAAAAAAAAAAAAAAAAAAAAAAAAGACTGAAAGGAAATCTATGAATATGTAACAATAATTCTCTTTGGGTAAGAAGATACAGCTGATTTAAATTTTATCTTTTCTATATTCCCACGATATCACCAATAAATGCTATTTTAAAAATCCTTGATTCTAGGCTAACCCCATTTCTCAGGCTCAAGCCAAAGCCTCCTTGTAAAAACACTTTAAAATCTAGACGCGTATTTTCTTCTCTGTACAGAGAATGCCCAGGTGTCTGAGACAGAAAGGTGGCCAGGCCCAAGAGCCCCACTGTCACCTTTGCCCCACGACCCACGGAGACACAGAAGCCTCCAACACAAATCACATAATCCACACTAAATGCTTCAGAGGAAGGTAAAATCCCATGAGGATGCTTTTAATCCTTGGAGGAAAAATGATTCATTCCAACTTGTAACATGATGACAGCATCCTGGATGGCAGCAAGGACACATCTGCCTCCAGGTGAGCTGAGCTCTCACACAAGGGTAGTGCATGGATCAGGGCAAGGAAATCTAATTAATGAGTTCACTCTGCACACCACAGCTCCTGGAGACCGACAGCCAGGTCACTGGTGCAAAACGCGGTGGCAGAATGTTAATAAATATTGATAACACATTCTCAGAGAGCTCCCAGGCACCATGGCAGGAGGCAGCCACGGTACTTATCCTTGTTAAATTTAAACTGAGATCCAGACTAGCAGCCTGTGCACCCACAGATTTCAAGTGCAATAGTAATAAGCAATGAACATACACATGAAAACTTTTCAGGTCCCGGTATCCTAAAACAAATCAAAAAGACCCTTTTATATTTGGCCAGACCTGGAACATCATAGCCTGTCTTTCGTTGGAGCCCATGAGTATCTAAGAGAGTGGGCGGCAGCCTTCTTGGCTCCGTGGGCCCAAGAGCTCAGCAACTTACTACTAACCTCCAAGCCCCTCCCCCAGCAAGCAACTAGCAAGGCAATAAATGAAATGTGTTAATTTAAAACCCACAAGTACATAGTGTGACCAAGACTCCCGCTGCTCCAATCTGCCAGAGAGTTTATAAACAGCAGGAGCCAGACAACTGGAGCTCAGGGGATATGCTCTCTTCTTACCTGGGCTCTGGCAGCAAGCACTATGCTGGCTTAGTCTCTAGTTTGGGCCAAACAGAAACAGTACAGCACACGTGGGGCTGGGCCACGCTTACGCCACAGGGGTTTATACCAGTGAGGACAGGGACCACACGAGCAGCAAAGGGTGCCATCAGAAAGGCGCAGGTGGCTCAGTTCCCTCACGGCCACAGAACAGTGACCAGCTGTGATGGACCATTAATAAAACACGCCTCATGTTAGGAAATGCGTTCCCTCTGAGTTAGAAGCAGAAAAGAGTAAGACACTATGAATGCACGCTAACGACAACTTGAAACTAATGCCAGATACATCTGGAAATGAAGTCTCCTACAGCAATCTGCCTGAGGCAGTGTCCATCTCTGACAAGGCCTCCCATGCAGGAACACTGTGCAGACAATGCCCTCCTCTGTTCTCATACATGTCCACAGGCCGTCAGGAAGCACAATTCACGTTCCTGGCAGGGGCCAGAACCACAGCTAGAGAGCTCAGAAACCTGGAGGGCACAGGGGAGCTTCTCCTCTTACCAGTCCCTGCTGGGAGGGAAGAGTGAAGAGCAGTAGGTGTAGTAAAACCTCTTCTGAGGACTCTGAACAGGCAACTGCACCTACATGGCCAGCCAGTCAAGGTCTCTCAATCTGTGTTCTTCAAGGCCCAGGCACCATCCTACACTGTCCAGAGGGCGCAGTCAGCACTTCTGCATAGTGAAGTCAAAGTAAACAGCTTGCGAGATCATCATCCAAGCTCAAAAAGACCTACAAGGTGGCCTAGTCAACAAGATGGCTTGCAGACACAAACATCAACCCCCAGAAGAGAAGGCCACTTTCATTTCCCTCTTCAAGCTCAAAGGCAGAATGGATTTACTAAGCTCCTCATTATAAGCTCTGTGAAGCTTCAGATACCCACATGCATCCACATGCTCCCAGGCTGAGGATGGTGGGCTCAAGGAGGGAGGTAGGAAAAACAAGAAGGGTTTAATGTCCTTTGGATCTGTTGTGTAGCAGACACAGACTCCAATTCACCTACACTCTACCCCAGTACTACTGTTATTCCTTATGTTGGCACACTGCAGGGCTTGGGACACAGGGGCCTGCCAGCCCCACCCTGCCTTGCCGAAGGGTAGGCTCAGGCTCCTGGGCCATAAGGAGGGAAATATGGGGCTCTTGGCACTGGGACTGGCTCCTGTGAGGCAGACGGCTGTCCCCCGGGGAGGAGTCAGACTACTGGCATTTCCTAATGACCCATCCAGGGCTCTGATGGCACCAGCAAGATCAAAGTCTGCAGCAGAGATAGCAGCTTTAAAATGCTACTGCAACGAGAGCTGCAGAAAGTAGAATTCCCAGCTGTTTTTTCATGAGAGTAGAAGAAAAAAAAAAAACCCTCCACACAAGGTTCTTTACGCACAGTGGAATTATTAATGAGCTACCACAGCCTTTTTTTCTCGTCTTAATTGTTGTGGCTCATTGCATTAAATACATTAATTAAAAAAAAAAAAAAACAGAGCTCATGCTCTTATTACTGTAACCCCCCCCACCTGGAGCCAAATCCTGTGCCTATGACATAACAAGCAACACAAAACAGCTGACCATGATGTCAGAAATGCAGGGTCAACATCAGGTGGGGGGGAAGGTGGCAGGAGTCACAGATCATGAAACAAAGATTCTGTTTCTATGGAGATGTCCCAGTAATAAAAGTCTTCCCTGAGACATCAACAGCTCTTTAAAGATCTGGGTGGGTTGACAGCAAGGCAGAGATGAAAATGTTAAACTGCTCTTTACTCCATAAGGGAGGTTAGGGATTCTCAAACCAAGGACTTATTTTTGTTATGATTAGAAAGAAAAGTCCATCAATAAACTTGTTTCCTGGATACAAAGTTACATCATACACAGAGAGCAATTTCCAAGAAGACTGTGTGGAATAATACAAGCGTCCATCCCCACAGAGCAGTGCAGGCCTCTGGGTCACTGTGACTTGGGTCATCAAAAAGACCGCAATGACCAAGACATGGTCATCTTGTGAAACTGCCTCTGGGTCCCAGGTCTCCACATGAAGGAGCAAAGTGCACAGCAGCAGAGGCAGCAAAGCCAGAGGCCGACAGCCCTACCCTCACTCCTCCCAACCCAGACCCCTCTGTCTTGCTGGACACGCGGCCACCAACTTCTGTTAAATAGAGATGCTACCAGCTTAACTAGGCAGGCTACCAAGATGGGCCCCAAAACAGAAAATGACAGACACCATTTACTCACAAGTCCTCAGCTAATAATGAGGGTCCTGCGCTTCTCTGCTGGTGGGCTGGGGTGACAACCTGGGCACAAGCTTCCACTAGAGGAGAGGATGTTCCAGTGCTCTATGGCCCCTTCCAAAAAATCCCAACCATATTGCCTGAACTTGGGTTGAGGAGGGTAGCTCTAAGCCTGTGCTGTTCAGCCACTAGCCATACATGGCCACTTAAGTTTACATTAAAAAAAAAAATTCATTTCCTCAGTCCCACTAGCACTCAATGATCACATCTGGTTTGTGGTTACCACATTGGAGAGTGCTGAGCTAGAGCGTTTCCATCATTGCAGTATGTTAGGCTGAGCTTTGCTGCTTGACATCTTAGAAGCTGGACCAGAAGGCAGGCTATCAGCAGAACGGGGGCAGCCTCCAGGGGGGCCCTTGCTGAAGTGTGCTCGGGTGGGATGTGGCACCGGCCTGTCAGCACACCCTAATGTGTCCCTGAACACAGCCTCAGTGGGGGACCACTTCTTACCCAGCTGCGAACTGGGAGAGCCAAAACTCACAGTATTCCCAATATAAAACTAACAATCAACCATAAAAAAACTTAATACTTAAAAATCCTCATATATAGCTGGGCATAATGGTACATGCCTGTATTCCCAGCTAGTTGGGAGGATCGCTTGAGCCTAAGAGTTTGAGTCCAGCCTGGGCAACACAGTGAGACCCTGTCTCAAAAAAAATTTTTTTTTTTTTCACTTAAAAGCCATTTTCTTGGCCAGGCGCGGTGGCTCACGCCTGTAATCCCAGCACTTTGGGGGGCCAAGGTGGGCAGATCACAAGGTCAGGAGATCGAGACCATCCCGGCTAACACGGTGAAACCCCGTCTCTACTAAAAACAGAAAAAATTAGCCGGGCGTGGCGGCGGGCGCCTGTAGTCCCAGCTGCTGGGGCGGCTGAGGCAGGAGAATGGCGTGAACCCGGGAGGCGGAGCTTGCAGTGAGCCGAGATCGCGCCACTGCACTCCAGTCGGGGCAACACAGCGAGACTCTGTCTCAAAAAACAAAAAAAAAAAGCCATTTTTTTCAACTAGAAACAAAACTTTATATTACTGCTCCCCCTCTTTCCTGGCCACTAGACTACAGGGAAGAAAACACAATATTACGATGTAACTAGAGGTAATGAAAATGAGAAAAGGCAACTGGTTGGCTCTTTTAAAAACTTATTTTTATTTGAACAGACCTGTTCTTGCTATGTTATCCAGGCTGAACTTGAACTCCTGGCCTCAAGTGATCCTCTAGCCTCAGCCTCCCGAGTACCTGAGATTACAGGTGTGAACCACCATACCTAGTTAACTGGTTAGCTCTCTTTCTTTTTCTTTTGAGACAGAGTCTCGCTCTGTTGCCAGGCTGGAGTGCAGTGGCGTGATCTCAGCTCACTGCAACCTCCACCTCCCGGGTTCAAGCGATTCCCCTACCTCAGCCTCCCAAGTAGCTGGGACTACAGGCACGCGCCACCACACCTGGCTAATTTTTCATATTTTAGTAGTGACAGGGTTTCACCATGTTGGCCAGGCTGGTCTCAATCTCCTGACCTTGTGATCCGCCCACTTCGGCCTCCCAAAGTGATGGGATTACAGGTGTGAGCCACCGTGCCTGGCCCAACTGGTTAGCTCTTGAAAGAGAAGGATTTAACAGCTGTACTACAGAATATGGCAGACCATGACCCAGGGTAAATTACACCTTAGACTCAACATGAAAACATTTGGAGGAAAAAAGAGAACAGAAGGGATGGACTAAAACCCAAACTCCCTGAACTGACATTTCAAGGCTACTTCATTTTTGTTTTGAGATAGGGTCTCACTCTGTTGCCCAGGCTGGAGTGCAGTGGCCCAACTGAGGGTCATGCAGCCCCTCCTGGGTCCTTCCATCTCAGCCTCCCTGGGTAGCTGGGACTACAGACAAGGGCCACCACGCCTGGCTAATTTTTTGTATTTTTTGTAGAGACAGGGTTTCACCATGTTGGCCAGGCTGGTCTCGAACTCCTGGGCTCAAGCAATCCTCCCACCTCAGCCTCCGAAAGTGCTGGGATTACAGGTGTGAGCCACCACACCTGGCACTCTGTTTCTGATTCCCTATCTTTCCGTTGATCAAATAGTGCCTTGGCCATCAAGCTGCCTTTCAGTCCACATGTACGTGTGAATACACACACTTTTGTAATAGTCTAACTGGCATCAGCATTATCTTCTCTACCTCTCTTGTTCTTTTTAACTGTTTCTCCTACAGAAGCTTGGAGAGAAAAGAGGGAAGGGGGAGGTAAGGGCAAGAAGGATGTGAAAGGAATGGAGACATATGCTTAAACAAAAGTCAGGAGCTGCAAGCAACTGCTGCGCTGGAAGGAAGGGGGGGGCAGGATGAATTCTGAGACCTGATCCAAGTCTGTTGGCCCTGCTCTGTGTATGTTATGCCTCACGCCTGTTCCCATCATGCAGTCAGCCACGCCCTCTTCCCCTTCCCATCAAATTCAAATCAAACCCCGCCTCCTATGGACAGCGTGGCTGCCTCCGTGGACAGCCCTGCTTCTCTCCTGGGGAAGCACAGAGAGGGGGCATGCACATGACAAGCACCATGCTACTTGCTGCCTTCTCTCACCACTTTTCCTCAAACGTGACCACAGGCATTATGGGGGCTGCCTGGGTGATGGTCTTAGATACATCTAATGCTCAAGTAACTAGAGGACATTATGTCAAGTGAAATAAGCCAGGCACGGAAAGTTAAAAGCTGCATGTTCTCGCTCATGTGGAAATTTAAAAAGCTGATCTTACGGAAGTATTAAAAAGTAGAACAGAGGATACTAGAGGCCAGGAAGGGGAAAGGAAAGGAAGAGATAAGTAGAGATTTGTTAAAGAATACAAAATTACATCTAGATGGGAGAAATAAGTTCTAGTATTCTGTATCACTGTAGGATAACCACAGTTAACAACATTATATTGTATAGTTTCAAATGACTAGAAGATACCAAATGTTCCCAACACAGACATGTTGTTTGAGACGATGGATTTGCTAATTACCTAGGTCTGATCATTTTATATATATATTGAAACATTACTGAGCACCCCATATCTACAATTACTGTCCATTAAAAAAAGTAAAAAACGCTGGGCGCGGTGGCTCACGTCTGTAATCCCAGCACTTTGGGAGGCTGAGGTGGGTGGATCACCTGAGGTCGGGAGTTTGAAACCAGCCTGGCCAACATGGCAAAACCCCGTCTCTACTAAAAATACAAAAATTAGCCGGGCATGGTGGTGGGCGCCTGTAGTCCCAGCTACTCGGGAGGCTGTGGCAGGAGAATCACTTGAATCTGGGAGGCAGAGGTTGCAGTGGGCTGAGATCATGCCATTGTACTTTAGCCTGGGCGATAAGAGCGAAACTTCGTCTCAAAAAGAAAAGTAAAAAACTTAATAAACTTGAAATTAACACCCACCTTGCCGCCAAAAAAGTAACTGGGGAAAACACCCACTGAAGGGACTAAAAGTCTAGAGTAAGAAAGGTGATTTTCCCAGGTTATCGAAGCTCTGAGTCAAAACTCAAGTCTTCTGCGTCACTCATTGGATGGCACTTCTTTAACAAAATGTTTCCCTTCTTTCAACAGTTAACACACTGCAAAACATCCCCCTATCATCTCAGCAAAGAAAATACAACACTCTATTGTATGTATACAACGTACTGTGATTTAGAGTAAGAAATACATATTTTAGTCTTCATCCCTGATTCCTGGCACAGACCTCCTAAAACCCGTGTAAATTCCTGAGCAATTAGGGGTGCTAGGAGCATCTTTTCTTCTAATATTTGGTTTTTGATCCTGGTTCCTGACATGGAGCTCCTAAACCCTTGGAATTTCCTGGATAGGAGCACTTTTTGTTCTAAGGCTACTCTTGGTGGTTCCTGGATGGGGGCTGGGCACCAGAGAGACGAAGCTGTGATTAGCAGCTTGGAACTGTTAGCTCTACCCACCCCACTCCAGGAAGGACAGAGGGGGTGAAGATTGAGTTAATAATTGATTATGCCTACATGATGAAGCCTCCAAAAAATCCGTGAACTACTGGATTCAGAGGGCTTCTGGACTGCTGAGTAGATGAAGGTGCCTCAGGGGTGGTGCCCCTGGAGAGAGCATGGACGCTCCATGCCCCTGCCCACACATCTGGCCCTATGTTTCTTTCATGTGGCTGTTCATCTGCATCCTTTATAATGGGTAAACACAAGTGAAGTGTTTCCGTGAATTCTGTGAGCCATGTTAAACATTAATCAAACCCAAGGAAGCGGTCTTGGGAACCCCAGTTTATAGTTGATCACTCAGAAACACAGGTCATAACACAGGGCTTGAGATTGGTATATGAAGTGGGGAGCGGTCTTGTGGGACTGAGCCCTTAACCTGTAGGGGCTGCACTAACTCTGCTTAGTATCAGAACCAAGCTAAACTATAGGACACCCAGTTGGTGTCCAATGGTGAATTACCTGTGTGATGCTATCAAGAAAAGAAAGTAAAAAGACAACTCAGAGAATGGAAGAAAACATTTGCAAACCACATATCCAGAATTACAAATAATTCTTTTTTTTTTTTTTTTTTTTTTTGAGACAGAGTCTCACTCTGTTGCCCAGGCTGGAGTGCAGTGGCGTGATCTCGCAACCTCTGCCTCCCGGGTTCAAGTGATTCTCCTGCCTCAGACTCCCGAGTAGCTGGGACTATAGGTGCGCGTCACATCTGGCTAATTTTTGTAGTTTTAGTAGAGACGGGGTTTCACTATTTTAGCCAGGCTGGTCTTGAACTCCTGACCCCATGATCCACCCGCCCGGCCTACAAATAATTCTTAAAACTTGACATTAAAAAGATAAACAACCCAATTTTACAATGGGCAAAGGATGTGAATAGCTATTTCTCCAAAGAAGATGTACAAATGGCCAATAGGCACAAGAAAAAAATGCTCGACATTAGCCATCAGGGAAATACAAATAAAAACCACAATGAAATAACATTTCATACCCACTGGGCTGGCTACAATTAAAAAAAAAAAAAAAAAGAAACACATATGACAGCAAGTGTCAGGGAGGACCTGGGGAAAGGAGAACACTCATGCACTGCCACTGAGAACGTAAAATGGGGCAGCCATTTTGGAAAACAGTCTGACAGTTCCTTAAAAGGTTAAACAGAGTTACCATATGATCCAGCAATTCTACTCCCAGGTACACATCCAAGAGAACTGAAAACATGTTCACACAAATGCTTGCATGTGAATGTTCTATAGCAGCATTATTCATAACAGTCAAAAAGTGGAAGTAACCCAAATGTACAGCAAAGCCCACAGAGATAGAAAGGATTGAGTCCAACAGAGCTTAAAGGGAAAAAAAAATCATAAAAATTTAAAAAAGAAAACAGAATAGTGGTTGCCAGGGACTGGAGGGAAGGGAAGGGAGATGAGTGCTGCTAATGGGTGGGAAGTTTTTTTATGAAGTGACAAAAAAAAAAAAAAAAAAAAAGAAAAGAAAAGAAAAAAAACAACGACAACAGAGAGAATCAAACTGTATGTCCTAATCCTTTGGATGCTCTGGACAAGGGTCTGTGGTCTCCTCTTACCTGCATCAATGGCACACGGGTAATGGTATCGGAAGGAGCAGCCTTTGTTGTAGCAGCCCAAGGTGGCGCCTGCCTCCTGGCAGTGGGAACATTTCTGAAAGGAAGGGAAAAGTCAGGCATGTCAGTATCCCAGATTTGGCCCTCTCCTCCAGGCCTTCCCTGGTCCCCATCTGTTAGACCTCAGCACGTGTCTCTGTGGTTAGAGGAGTCCGTGGTGGCAGGATGAGCTGGTCAATTTCTAAATGCCATTCACTGACCACACCATGGGAAGGGATCCAGCAATAATGTTTTAGACCAAGCCTCACAAATGTTCTCAAATCAACAATACAGCAGGGTGAGATGAGCAATCCATGTCATAAAGGACATGCCAGAGTGGGGTCCCCAGCCCTGCCTCTGGTACCCCCGCCATCCACCCACCCACACACTATGCCAGGCATTTCCTTGCTGCTATCGTGAGCGGCCTGCAGATCTTCCCTGTTTACTTCTGCTGTGAAAATCTGGGGTAAGAGAGGGTAAGGTAGTAGAGTTATATATAAACCTTTTAGAATTAGAAGTGGAATTTGGTTTCTAGTTCTTGTATTTGTAAGAAGATTTTATTTTTATTTTTGATCTACTTACCCCAAATGCCCAATACATTTCCCTTTTCAGAAAATATGGGCTCCTGTGTGCAAATGGTATTTTTATACATGAATCTTATTTTAAATGCACCAGAAAACCTGCCATGAATTTCTGGCTAAGTGAGACATTATTTTGTAATTGAGACACTCCTCCTTATATGGTCAGGTTTTCTTAAAGTGGGGCACATCTCTGTCAGCCCTGTGATGTGGCTGCTGTGAGTGCTCATCCTGTCAGGTAAGAAATGTGTCCTATCAGCAACAAACACATTCATAAAACTCAACCACATGTGACCCTACTAAGGATGCTGGCTCTTCAGATAGCAGAGGCACACAACCAGCAAGACTAGCTGGAAGAGACAGAAACTTGTTCCTGCTTCTATGAAAAATAAAAGTGTTCCCTAAGCAATTACACTGAGCTGGCTCAGGCCCCCGACACAGATACTGATGGAAAACTACACTAACGCCAGCAACAGCAAAGCCCAAGCGCTCGCCACGCTCAGACTGAATGATCTCATCCAGCCCTCTGCACTATTCCACCTGGCAGGCACTCCTAATGCTTCACGTGAAACTCTTGAGACACCAAAGGGAAAATAACTTGTTCCAGGTCAGAGCTGAGATTCTGGATGATCATCTCTGGCATCCTCCAGAGACAAAAGAGGTAGGAACAAGGGCTGGAAGAGATTAGTCCTTCAAAAGCTTTGCCCTGCTCTCAGAAGATCAAGGTCCTTCTGGGTGCCCATAATCAGTAAATGTTTATCATGTGCCCTCGCACCCTTGTTAAGAGAGAAAAGATCATTTGGTCTGGAGTAAACCAAGGACAAGTTCACAGCATTTCTAGTAGCCCTAGACTCTGTCGACCTTTGTCAGTGCCACAGAGCATCTCAGAATCAAAAGGACTATCAACTTCAGAGAAGGGAGTGTGGGTAGTCCATCGGTGGCCAACCTGCAGCCATGTCTGCTGCCACTTTCTTTTTTTGAGATGGAGTCTTGCTTTGTCGCCCAGGCTGGAGTGCAGTAGCGCAATCTTGGCTCACTGCAACCTCTGCCTCCCAGTTTCAAGCCATTCTCCTGCCTCAGCCTCCTGAGTAGCTGGGATTACAGGCGTATGCCACCACGCCAGGCTAATTTTTGTATTTTTAGTAGAGATGGGGTTTTGCATATTGGCCAAGCTGGTCTCAAACTCCTGACCTCATCGCATCTGGCCTCCTGCTGCCACTTTCTTACTCAAGAGGCCCGAAGATATGGCCCTCCCTACCCTGGGGGATGAATCACAGTGAGTGGTGGCCATTTAGGAATGGGTATGGTCAAGCATTTCTGGTAGGAAAGTCTGCAGGAAAAAGGGCTTCTGAAAACATTTTGCACTCCCCCCAACCTTTTTTTTTTTTTTTTTAATATATTTTGAGACGATGTCTTGCTCTGTCACCCAGGATGGAGTGCAGTGGCACAATCATGGCTCACTGCAGTCTCTACCTCCCAGGCTCAGGTGATTCTCCTGACCTCAGCCTCCCGAGTAGCTGAGACTACAGGGTGTGTGCTACCACATCCAGCTTTTTCAAAAAATGTTTTTGTAGAGACAGGGTCTCACTATGTTGCCCAGGCTGTCCTTGAACTCCTGGGCTCAAGCAATTCTCCCATCTCAGCCTCCAAAAGTGCTAAGATTACAAGCATGAAAGTTTCACCCTCTCAAAAAGAGACAAGAGGGAGGAACAGGTAATTTTTCTTGCGCAGCCTCTGTGAGGATTAGACAGTGGGATCTGTGGCAGCCACAGTATCACCATGAGGGGACAGCCCTGAAGACAAAGCCAGCCTGCTGAGGACAGAAGAGTGGCAAGATGGAGAGACCTGGGCCTACCATGACACTGTCAAGCACTAAATCACCCAAACCCAGGACCAGGCCACCTCTAGCCTTGTTACAGGAAACTTGGGTGCTGCTGTAGAAGGGTTAAGTATGCATGCTCTGGAACCTAAATAACTGCCTGGTAAGTGGCTCCACTTTCTAGCTCTGCCTTCTTGGCCAAACTCCTAACCTCTGTTCCTCAACCTACAGACGTGGGACTAATAATAGCACTCACCTCATAGAAATGTCATAAGGGTTAAATGAATTAATTCAGGCTTAAAACAGTGGCTGGGTCAAAAGTGCTAAGTAAATGTGACCCAAGATGACCATGTGTCAGACATATGCTAGATAATCTACAAAGACCATCTCATGAAAAGCAACCACACAGCAGGCCTCATCACCATCCCGGTTTACAAGAGGAAAGAGAAGACGTGGAGCTTAGATCTGAACAATGTCCATTTGCTTCCTACCTCAACTCCACAACCTGGCAAGCAGTGTGCAAACTCCACTATGATTAATTTATAACATTGCATCCAAAGGGGAAAGACTCTCAGGCTGTATTAGGGACTTAGAGAAAGATCCTTAAAGACAGTTTAGTTCAGTGGTTTTTGAAGTGTGGTCCCCTGGAACAGCAGCATCAGCAACACTCAGGGACTTGTCAGAAATGCAGTTTTGTTTTTTGGGTTATTTTTGAGACAGAGTCTCGTTCTGTCACCCAGGCTAGAGTGCAGTGGCACAGTCTTGGCTCACTGCAACCTCCGACTCCCATGTTCAAGTGATTCTCGTGCCTCAGCTTCCCAAGTAGCTAGGATTACAGGCATGAACCACCACACCTGGCAACTTTTTGTTTTTTTACTAGAGACGGGGTTTCAACATGTTGGCCAGGCTGGTCTTGAACTTCTGACCTCAAGTGATCCACCTGCCTTGGCTTCCCAAAGTGCTGGGATTACAGGCGTGAGCCACTGTGCTTGGCAGAAATGCACGCTTTTGAGCCCCACCTAAATCTGTGTTGTGAGAAGTCCTCCAGGCTATTCTGATGTACAATGCAGTTTGAGGACCACTGGTCTAATTCAACTCCCCAACTTTTCAGATGCGGAAAAAAGAAACCCAGAGAGACACAATGACTGGGTGAGCTAGGATTACTGGATTACTGGTTTCCTGAGAGCCATTCAGTGTTCTGTCTCCTACAGAGCAATCAGATCTTGGGATATGGTAGGCAGAATCCCAAGAACCTGTGATCTTATATATACAAAATCAACTTTGTGGATGAGATTAAGTCAAGGACCTTGAGATGGGAAGAATATGCTAGGTTATCCAGGTGGGCCCAATCTAATCACACAGGCCCATAAAAGCAAACGATTCCCCCCCAGAGGGAGTTACAGTTGTCAGCTTCAGGGAGACCTGATGATTTGCCAGCAGGGTCATAGGTGCAATGCTGCTGGCCTGGAAGATGGGAGAAGGGACAGGGCGGCAGCTGCAGAATTTTTAAAAGGCAAGGAAGCATGTTCTCCCCTAAGACTCTGGACTTTTCCAAAGCCCAGCCCACACCTCAATTCCAGCCCAGTAAGACACCTGTGTTGGACTTTGAACCTACAGAACTGTAAGCAGAACTGTATTAACAAGTTTGTGGTAAGGTGTTATGACAATGATAGAAAACTAATACACGGGGATTTCCCAAGACTCTCAAGTGATTGTTCATTTTCCTTTTAGGTTCTTTTTTTTTTTTTTTGATGGAGTTTCGCTCTTGTCGCTCTGGAGTGCAATGGCATGATCTCGGCTCACCGCAACCTCCACCTCCCGGGTTCAAGCGATTCCCCTGCCTCAGCCTCCCGAGTAGATGGGATTACAGGCACCTGCCACCACGCCCAGCTAATCTTTGTATTTTTAGTAGAGATGAGGTTTCACCATGTTGGCCAGGCTAGTCTTGAACTCCTGATCTCAGGTGATCTGCCCACCTCAGCCTCTCAAAGTGCTGGGATTACAGGCATCAGCCACCGCACCTGGCCTTAGGTTCTTTAATGCAACAGATTTCTCCCTCAATTTGCCTAGTGAAACCTACAATTTCACTAGGCAAATTGTGACATCAGGAGATCAATAAAGAAGGAACTCTGGGTCTGTCTTCGACATCTGTTTTTCTTGTAGAAGAAACAAGAGGCTAAAGCAAAGTGACCTGCTAAAGATCACATAGCTAGTAAGAGAACTTAGAACTTTACCTCTTTTTCTTCTGAACCCCAAGTTCAACTTTCTTCATACCATACCATGACGCCTGTTAGCCCCCTTCATTCACTCAACTATCCAACATTTGAAAAGTACTTTCTAGGTGCCAGGTGCCAAAGATAGAATATAAATACTTATCTATAGTATCTTCCATGTGTAAGGTTTTCCCTTCTACCCAAAAATCAATACCCAGGCCAGTACAATTTCTAATTAAATTTTTATTCTATACTTTTTACCTGGAGTAGCTATTTGCATTATCATCCTCCTATGCTACAAATAATATATTAAAGTCACTGCACAGCTAAATGTCCTTTGTTTTTGACCACAGTGTTACTACATTCACTCCAAGCAGAGGTAAGTCCATACAATACTGCTCCCCAGGAAGAATGAGACACATTGGGGGCTCCAAGCATGATTTCTAAATTAAGACACATTTTAAAAATAAGGAATGGCCCAAACTTCAAAATCTTTTAATAGTAAATTTTTTATTATGGAAGGGAATAAAAACTATTTTTAAAGAACTCTAATAAGAACCTCACATTTTTTGATACTCTAAACTTGGGAAATAAATTATAAAAGGTATTATTAGTTTTGGGACATGTTTTAACGGAAAGTGGCCCAGATACAGAGCTTGAACCTTTCACCAGACTTTGTCACTGTCTCAGAGGCAGGGCTCGCTGACTTGAGGTAGCAAACTGCAAGGACTGAGTCAACTAGCGTTGTTTAATCCTTATCTGAGGGAAGCTTTAAGGGAGCCTTCTCCAAGCCTGATGCCTGCTCATTCACAGAAAGGCTCTTTCTTATGAGATATAACAGCAACCTGAATCATCATCCTGTTTAATTAGCATCTCAGAGCAGCCTCAGAACACCAAAGCAACTGGGTCACAGTAGTATTATAGCACACTGATGACAACTGGTTTTGTTCAAGCCTTGCAGATTACCCTCCACTACTGTGCCTAAGACGGCTCTTATCCAGCATGGCACACACTTCTGCTCATGCTCACAATATTTACTTACTCATGTTTGTCCATCTCCCCTAAACTGTGAGACTTGTTCTTGCACCCCCCAAGGACTGGCACACCATAGGCACTGTAAATGTGGGCTGATGGAATGAATGCAATGTCTGACAAACTTGAGAGCCTGAAGACAACTAATGAGGATACTCTTCAATGAGTTACAAAACTGATGCTGGTGGAGCTTGGAGAATGTGGAACAAGGTATGTGTTCATTTTTGGCCACCAGCAAAAAGTTTTTTGTCCTTTTAATTATGCCTCCTACATCTAGGATGGAAGCCGCTGTCCTCCCAGCTATCAATGCCAACTACGTGGCAGCTAGATGGGCTACATACAAGGAGCTACCCTTCAAGGCCCTGTGAGCATTTCTTTGATGCAACTCTGCATCCTATCAAGCTTCTTAAAGACTACTTCAAAGTGTTAGCCAAAGCAATACATACATAGCCCTAGGTGTTTTGGTCCTTACTTCCTTAGAGCTAGACGATCTCCTTACGTTTCTTCATGAAAAGCTCATGAGACTGGCTGGAGAACCTTTAACTTGCCATTAACACAAAGACTGAGGGAATGGGCTCTGGCACCAGCCTCTGGGACCTGCACCACGGCCCAGTACCACCAAGGCTTCCCAGTCAACCTCAGAGGGACAGAGACTTGTCCAGTTCTTCTCAGGTCCATTTACTCAGTGCTACTCAAGTTATGGTACATGGATTTAGAATCTGCACTTATGTCCTACAGCTGCTCCGGCAAAAGTGCCAGTTTCAGAAACTGAATCCATTAAATACACACTTAATCAATTATGATGTCAGTATGAAACATCAGCCAGCCACTCACTGGCTAAGGGCTAATTGTGTGTACTTAAGACAAAAGTTCCAGGCTTGACTAGCTTTTTAGAATAAATGTGGTTGGTCTAATGTGCATACTGTCCAGGTATGATGCAGCACAGGGCTACTGGAGAAAAAAACTGAGGGTGTCAGCACACGTGTGAAAGCCAAAAGTCACCAGGTCAATTTTATCATCTGTAAAATGGGGATAACAGTATTTGCTTTGCCTTCTGCCTAAAGCTGCTGTGTAAAATAACCATAAAAGTGTTTTACAAACTAGAAAGTTATGTAATTATTAGAACTTTTAAATAAAAATTACATAAAACATACATTCATCTCTGTCATACTTTGGCAATTACTGATATCAAAATCAGATATAATACAAAGTACAGTCTATTAAATTAAGACAAACAGTTTAAAGTTAATTTTTTGTTAAGTAATTTCTCTCCTACAATCTGCCTTAAACAAGCAGACCCTGCATGGGTCTGGACACCTGCTGCTGGTCGTTTTTTTGGTAAGTCTAGCTGCTGTATGTTTCAGTAATGTTTCATCTCCGACGGTGTGGAAGGTCAGTTCTTGGCCAAGTCTCTGGACACTTCACTTCTTAGCTACTATTTACTATTACTTTCATTGTATCTCCCCTCTCAATTCTCCTATCTGGGACCAATACAAACTAAAACTATTTTTAAAGCTTTCTAAAGCATTTTGCATTACAAGAAAAGATGTTAAATAAATGGGGACTAATAATGACACACAACTGCATACAAATTAAATTCTAGCAGGATTTCGAAAGCATTGAAAACTGCCCCAAAATGGCATATTGAGCACAACTAGAATGAGAAAAACCGCCTCACAGGCTTGCCTGTTGTACTCTACAGACAGTGCCCTCTGTTATGTGGAGAGCAGACCTGGAAACCAATGACTCCTTTGCTGCCTGCATCAGAGTCACCTGCCAGGTGCTCCTAGCCATACTTCTCCAAACCTGTCCCTACTCACATTAATCTAGAATAATCTGCTGTGGCTGATTCTGGACCCTCTGCTGCCATGTGGATCTTAGGTCCAACAGATGGTACTATTCCTTACAACACACTTAGGGCCCAATAGTTCATCTTCTCTGCCTCCTGGGACCCAGTCATCTGCTTCCCTCCAATACAAGCCCATGAAAACACTCACACAAACTTTCTTTAATCTGATCATCTTTCAAGCATAATTTGAAATAAAATTATATATTTAGATCACCATTCTCCTCCCATAAAAGCCCCAATCAAAACATGGCTCTGCTACAGATCCTGACAAGTATTTGTTTCTTTGGGAAAACCTTTCAAGTCAAATTATAAACCTGTAATAAGTGTCTCTGTGGCTGAGTGGTGGTTGGGTGGTAGCTGGCCCCAGAAGTGGTACAAAACGCACAGAAAGCCTGACCCAGGTCCAAATCTCTTGAGTGTGGCCGTTTTGGCGGCATCTAACAGCTACATCCTTGGATTCTGTTTTGATCCACAAAGAAAGCCCGTTCCCTTATTTCCCTTCCGATGTCTTTGTGCCCATAAGGTGGGACCAGCCTGTCTGCAGTTTATAGTAAAGTTATGATGTTTTCCATCAGGTTAGAAAGGTTGGGATTAAAGGACTTTTCTCCTTCATTAAGAATGTCCTTCTTTGTCTTTCTGTACTTCATCTACCAAACAGAGGATGTCAGAAATTAGCCACAATCTTGAGCAGATAAAGAACATATTCAGAATACACACAGCTTTATACAATGGACTTACTCATTTTAACACTGAGCAAACAAATAATGAGAAGTTAGTAGGTCTAAGACGCAGCTGGGGAAGGAGGTCTTTTCTCCAGAAGATTCTGTCACATACCTCTTTTTATGCCATTGTTGCTTTAAAAAATCCAGATTCTCAGGCCGGGCATGGTGGCTCACGCCTGTAATTCCAGCACTTTGTGAGGCCGAGGCAGGCGGATCACCTGAGGTCACGAGTTTGAGACCAGGCTGGCCAACACAGTGAAACCCTGTCTCTACTAAAAATACAAAAATTAGCTGGGTGTGGTGGTGCATGGCTGTAATCCCAGCTACTCGGGAGGCTGAGGCAGGAGAATCGTTTGAACCTGGGAGGTGGAGGTTGCAGTGAGCGAGATCATGCCATTGTACTCCAGCCTGGGCAACAAGAGTGAAACTCCGTCTCAAAAAAAAAAAAAAAAAAAAAAAAAAATCCAGATTCTCACCCGTGAGCTGTGTTATGAGGAAGGGACCTCTGCAATAATGTGAAGGTAACCCTTGGCTAACGAAAGTAAAAACACCAGACCCATGCTTCTTCAGAATCATAAAGTGTAAGTTATTCTACTGAATGTGAAGAAGGCAGTTTGACTTCCTAACGAGCTGTTCTCTGGGACTTTTAATTTGCCTTATTAATGTGTCAATCCTGATTCCACAGCATAAAACTGCATGTCCAGAAAGTAGAAACATGGGTTGGATGAAAATTAATAAGAACTTGATCAGGCTGGTCTTTCCCCTTGACATGCAGGTTTCTCTAAAGGTTGTAAGACACTGTGTGATCAAGGTGCCTTTTATTCTCAGGGCTCTTTTCTTTGATATTTAAGTTCCCTTAGGAGTTGATGGTATCGACTTCAGAAGTATAATAATCTTTTCTTTTTATTCATTCTACAAATTTTTATTGCATGCCTGTGTGCAGGGGCTGAAATGGGGAGCCAAAAGTTCACCTAGTGTCTACCCTCCAGGAGCTCACAGAATGATCTGGGGGTAAAGCAAAATTTAAACAGTGATGTAAACAGTACTTCAGAGCGCAGACTTAATGCCACCAACCTAGTTAAGGAAGTCAGGAAAGCATTCTTGAGGGAGTGTAGCTTGACCTGAGTCATAAAGAGTGAGTAAGAGCTACCTGGGGGGAAGGGGAACAAACTGCTTTGTGGAGGGACAAGCAGGCAGGGTGTAGGGAACCAACACAGTGGAGCACAACTCTGAGAGGGTGGGAAGCTGATATGCAGGAACCCAGGGCCAACAATGGCTGTTGCTGGGTTAGGGATGATATGGAAGAGTTTGGGTACTGGTGGTGGAAATGCATACAAGAGGCAGCATAGACTTCGAAGGTAAAACCGACAGGACTTGATGCTGACACATGGCCAGGGGGTCTGTGAGATGTGTTGCAGTGAGCCTGAGTGTGTGGCAGTGTAAATCAGCACAGTGGACAGGGAGCCCTCTGGATGCCAGCACAGCAGGATTCTGATGAGGTGAGCACACACGTGGCACCTGCTCTAAATGCTACTTTCTCCTAGAAAGATTCCATTTACAGAAGAGAATGTTTTGGACTGAGAGCAAAATCTCAACTGGTCAGGAATGGGTTTAATTCCAAATGACATTTTATGGGTAACTACGAGAAACCTTTTATAGAACACAGGCTATCTTCCTGCTTTAGTAAATAGCTCAGGGTTTTGAGTAAACTGATTGTTTTCCGTTGTCTTAGAGTTATGATTCTGTATTAAGAGTATTCTTGTAAGACACGAGGAAGAGACTAGGCTTTATCAAAGTGATCCCAGGACATAGCCTAAAACTTGCTTTTTAAAATAAATCCCTGCTAGCAAGCTTTTTTTCCGTATCATTTTACTTCTCCTAAAGTAGAGGACAACAACGACAAATCTAGTCAAAGAAACTGTTCCAGTTAGTTTAACTGACAATTCCTCTGTGTACCTTCCTTATATTCAGATATTCCTTATCAGAAATCTTTTTTGATTTTTACCTCAAATTTAGGCAGTCTAAAAACAAAGACAAGAAATAAGGAAAAGAGAGAAAGCTGGGGCGGAGAGGAAGTTCTCGGAGTTTTTCACTGGAGCGGAGCTGTCCACTGAAGCTGCTGATCTGGAATAGCAGCAGGGCTAAAAGAAACTTATACTTGGCCCTGTCTCTCACTGGTACAGGAGCCTAGGCAAGTTAATTTAAGTCTTGATTTTCTCAACAATACATTGGGGATAATACCCAGTTGGGAAAAAAGGGCACGGTGGGGGTATCTTCTGCTACTTAAAGACACTGATCAGGGCAAAATAACCTGAACAGGGCCAAGTAAGGTGGCCCATGTCTGTTATCCCAGCACTTTGGGAGGTTGAGGTGGGAGGACTGCCTGAGGCCAGGAGTTCAAGATTAGCCTGGGCAACAAAGAAAGGCCCTGTCTCTACAAAAAATAAAATTAAATTTGCTGGGTGTGTTGGCACTCCCTGTAGTCCCAGCTATTCAGGAGGCTGAGGCAGGAGGACTGCTCAAGCCCATGAGGTCAAGGCTGCAGCCAACTATGATCACACCACTGCATTCCAGCCTGGATGACAGGGCAAGACCTTGACTGACACACACACACACACACACCCTGCACATACTTCCCAGGAAGTACCAGCACTGATCCCTAGTCATTTTGTTACTCTCTAGTCCCATGTGGAATGGATGGTCCCTTGAAACTACAAAGGCCGTCTGTGCTTGTCTGCAAGGCTATGGGCAGCAGCACAGACATCCAGGAGGAGTTAAAGCTAACAATCTACTATTGCTACTAAACCAAACCCAGCTATGCTGCCACACAAAGGGGTTCCTTTTGTCTATTTAGAGCGTATTTTACAGGTCAGACACAGTATTTAACCACTTATTCCCCACCCTCAGCTATCTGCTTTACTATGTACACTTTATTGATGTTTAAGTAACATGTGAAAATATGGCAGGTGATACTAATAATTTCTACCAAGGTGCCCACAAAAAAGAAAGTTCGTAATTATCACACATGGTATGAACTTCAACTGCAGATATGGTAGGCAGATATCAGCCACTTGCTGTGGGTTTTTAATGTTCTGTAACACTGTAACTCTAATTATCCTGGGTTTACAGCCTTCAGGTTCTGCATTAATAAATTTATGGAGGCAAAACAAAGGAGGAACAAAAAACAATTTCCCAAATAAAATACATCCATTTGCCTCAATTTAAGTTAAATCCAATCTATGTCCCCCTTCTGGAAAATTAAAGCATTACTCAAGAAGGCCTGGTTTAGTAATTTTTCTCTTGCACAAAATGTATACGTAGTTTGTTATAATGTTAATATGAAGTCTCATAACTCAGAAGGCCAACACAGGTGTCACTAATGATGTTTCTTTGTGCTAACCAAACTTGCCTTTTTTTCTGAAACACAGTTTGCATTTTATTATTATTTTTTAGATGGAGTCTCACTCTGTTGCCCAGGCTGGAGTACAGTGACGAGATCTTGGCTCACTGAAACCTCTACCTCCCGGGTTCAAGTGATGCTCCTGCCTTAGCCTCTAAAGTAGCTGGATTACAGGCACCCACCATCACGTCCAGCTAACTTTTGTATTTTTAGTAGAGACGGGGTTTCACCATATTGGCCAGGCTGGTCTCGAACTCCTGACCTAAGGTGATCCACCCTCCTCGGCCTCCCAAAGTGCGGGGATTACAGGCATGAGCCACTGCACCCAGCCTGCATTTTATCTTATCTACAGTTATATATACTCCATTAAAATAATCCTAATCAGAGGGTTTCTTTTATAGCCCCAAAAGAAAATTGCCACTGTGCTGAAAACCTTATATATTTTGTCTAACGGAGTTTTTCCTATGTTAAAAGGAGCTTGTGCCCTTTAAGAAATTAGAAAGGAAGGGCACAGAGTGCTAGAGTCCAGGACTAGGTATAAGCCATTGATTAGCACTTTTCCTCTGAATAAAAGCAGAGAACCTGAGAAAAGGCTGAACCCAGCAGGAGTAGGAGACCTGCGGCAGCCCTGTGATGAAGAAAGAGAAGAGCTTTTTCTCAAGTACAGGGAGAGAAATACTTACATAGTTTGAAACACTGAAATTGAAGTTGCACAAGGTCTTGCACTAGCTTATTTTTATTTTACCCTTTGCTCAAACAGTGGATTAGCTTATAAAGAGAAATGATTACATTTTGTGCTTTCTGAATCTAAAAAGGCATCTTTTTAAAGAAATTACACTCCAGGGAAGTGACTCTTGGTGTAAGCTGCTTCTCTCCATGGCTCATCCTACCCAGGAGTTGGGTCTGTGCTTCCAGAAAGCCAATTACTGGAAGCTGCTTATTCACAAGGCACCCATACTGAAATGTTTACAGTTTCAGTGCAGAAACGACAAACCTGCTGCCACAATAGGACTCCCTTAACAAGATTTCAAATCTGTGAAGATCATACTGAAGCGGAAATCTCCAAAGCTGTTCCAAACACTTGGCTCTGGAGGTCTTTCTCATTTTTACTCCTTTCTTCCTACTTGCATTCATATTACCTTCCTCTTTCGCACCCGGAGCCACTGCCATCTCACCAACGCTCTCGCCTGTCCATCTTCTCAAACAGGTTGAGGTATTGTCAGGCAAAGCCACCCTATTCCTGGAAGTGGCAAGTTTTTCAAAGGCAGGGGCAGCCTGACAGGACAGACACTGGAGGCTCAGGAAATAGCAGAGTCCCAGCAGAAAGGAACTTTCAAAAACGAGGATATCTTGATATACTGAAGCTAATGCCAATGAAACTACCACAGGATCACTGGTCCTCAAATCCTAAGCCAGCCCCTGCCACCTCTCAGCCAAGCTTCAGTGGGGTCATTTAATTTGGCAACAACATGAGACATAGTCTCACATCTCATTTCAGGTCACTCCCACAGGTCATGCTCAAACCGGGGCCTTTTCTTCCTGGAAACCTACTGGAAGGAAAAACTACGTCCACACTAGAATGGAAACTTTGGCACCCAAATCTGTGACTAGCTTATGAACCTTCAGTTTTCAGAATTGATTTTTGCATTTCTCAAAGGGTAACTCTGCCACCTGCACCAGCATGGTCCTAAGCTTGAGTTAAAAAACACAGACTGAGGACACTGTCCCAGAAGAGACTGAATGGGAAGCATCCCAGGTTCTTATCCTCAAGAAAGTTTTAGAACTATTGGTTCAATTCATCTTCATAGATATGGAAATTTTCTTCTACATTTCTGTTTCAGAAGATTCCTACCAGATTAGGAAGATACTCAGCAAGAGTACAATCCTCATTTCAACAGAAAAGGAAAAAGGAAAAAAAGAAAAGGAAACTCCAAGAGTCTCCATGAAGAAAATAGAGATCTGGAAGTAATATAACCAAGTTTAGAAATCCTGCATAATTCCTCAATACATCTCCTCCTCCTCCACCTACACTTTTTTTTTTTTTTGAGATAGGGTCTCGCTCTGTCACTCATTCATCAAGCCAAAGAGTTTGAGGTTGCAGTGAGCTTTGATTGTGCCACTGTACTCATAGTGGAACAATCAGAGCTCACTGCAACCTCAAATTCCTGGGCTAGAGGAATCCTCTTGCCTCTACTTCCTTAGTAGCTGGGACCACAGGTGCATACCACTGCACTTGGCTGATTTATTTTTTGTAGAGATGGCATCTCACTTTGTTGCCCAAGCTGGTCTCAAACTCCTGGGCTTAGGCAATCCTCCTACCTCAGCCTCCTGAAGTGATGGGATTACAGATGTGAGCCACCATGCCCAGGCCCAAGATTTAAGTGTCTATTGTTAGGACAGATTTCATTTATCCAACACCTTGACAAGGCAGTCCAGTTATTAACTCCATTTTACAGGTTAAGAAATTCAGCTTAGGGGCTAAGTGATGTTATAGTTTCCCAAGAAGCCAACTCCTACAGATGTCTGGATGAAGGATAAAATATGACCTAAAAGATTCTATAATTATGACTCTTTGCCAACAAAGACCGTCCAGTAAATTCAAGAGCCTCTGTGCTCTCCTTTGGGCCTTGTCTCTGGGCAGTGTGGTGGTCGTATAATAAAAGGTGGTTCTATCACATGACTTTTCTTTCAAGAGTGAGATTAGAAAAAAGCAACAAGTAGAGGATGGGACTGGTCAGATTATTGAAATTGTCTGAAAATACACCAATGACTAAGGGATTTCAGAGTTCCCAAGTCAAATTAAGGAGCTAAAGGCAACAACTGGGTGTTTGCTGGTGGTTTCAGAGCTCCTTGGGGGTCCGTGGGAAAAGTGAGTCTTTATGTGGCTGGATCATTTCCTGGGGTTCTCTACAGCTAATTTGGAAGATCTTAAACAGAGAATCTTCTGGAGCTGAGCAACAAGATTTTTTGTTGGCATATTCACCTTAAATGGAGCTTTTTTCCAAAGGTGGGAAGGGATGAGGTAGGTCTGAGAGAACAGAATGCTGGGTCAGCAAGTTAGTGAGATTCCATTATTGGGAGATGATTTGCTTCAATGAAGAACGGTTTCTGTGGCACTGCTAAAACCCTCGCCCTGCCAGGAGGCGAAACTAAAACATTAGTAGTTGATACAGATACTATCAACAACCCCGGCCGCCTTGCACAATGTTCCTCAGGTCTCTACCAGGGATGCTTAACGCTTATCCCTGTCCTGATGTACCCTAGTGAAGGAACAAGTTGTCACTTGGCCCACAGTGAGAGGGCTAAATACTAATGACTCTGCTTCTGCCTGGGAGAGTGTGGGGTGGGGGCGGGGGTAGCGGTAGATGGTGTTACTGAGAAAGCCAGGCAAAGTGGTTGTTCAGAGCAGAGAACTAAGAGAGTGCTCTTGGTGGACTGTGAGTTTCACAGGGCATGGTGGAGGAGACTGGCAAAGCAGCAGAGTGTGGTTCTTGACATGTGCCTATTTCCCCTGCCACTCACGCTTCAAACCCCCCAAGTCACTCTAGTAGTGGCAGGTCCAAGTGCCACATGGGGAGGGCAGGCCTCTGAGGCCTTACTGACTCAGCCCTCCCTTTGGCCGAGTTAGGTGTAGCTTCTCCACACTTACACAGACCTCACAGTATCCATAGACCATGCCTCCCAGCACTTACACAAGTGCTCACTGAACATAAGGTGGGGCTGCTTTTACCTGCTAAAAACTATCCACTGGAAATTCCTTCATTCTGAAATGGTCATTGTGCATTTCAATGTCTAGGAGGCATCTCAGACTTAACATGAACAAAATACAACTCCTGAATCCCCACCAAACCTGTTCTCTTGGGAGACCCTGGAGGAAGAACAGGTTTGGTGGTGATTCAGGAGTTGTGTTTTTCAACATTCAGGTGGCACTACATTCACCCAGTGGCAACTCACATTTTTGTCCCCAGAGACATACACTGAAACTCATGAACAACAAAGCCTCATACAGATGCCCTCTATAATGAAGGCAAAACCTGTTCCTCTGCCTTACAAAGAACCACAAGGACAAGAAATTAAGAATGCTGCTGGTCATCCATCTCTCATCATTTTTTTCCCCAAAACTATAACAGGAAAACAAAAATCAGTCTCACTACCAAAACACATTTTAACATCTCCTTAAATTTTTATACGTAGATTAAAATTCTGACCAGCATATTCACAAATTATTTCCAATATTACATACTTTTTTTTTTTTTTTTTGAGATGGAGTTTCGCTCTTGTCACCCAGGCTGGAGTGCAATGGCGCGATCTCAGCTCACTGCAACCTCCACCTCCCGGTTCAAGCGATTCTCCCGCCTCAGCCTCCCCAGCAGTTGGGATTACAGGTGCCCACCACCATGCCCAGCTAACTTCTGTATTTTTAGTAGAGATGGGGTTTCCCCACGTTGGCCAGGCTAGTCTCAAACTCCTGACCTCAGGTGGTCCGCCTGCCTCGGCCTCCCACAGTGCCAGGATTACAGGTGTGAGCCACCATGCCCAGCTCAATATTACATACTTTTAAACATACATATTTAAATGGCATCCAAAGGCCCACCTCTTCCCACTGGAGGTTACATTGCTTCTACGTGTCTCTTAAAGAACCTGTCAGTCACAAATTTACCCTGCACTGATCACCCCCCATGCCAGGCATTAGGGTGGGCTCTGGGGCCAACTCAGCCCTTGGGGAGCCTATCTGGTGAGGACGACAATCAGATAAGCTGGTAGTCACCCCAAGAGCAGCTCCAGCTTAGCTGGGCATTTGCATAAGTGCTGGGAGGCATAGGCTCTGAATACTGTTGGGTCTGTGTAACCTGCAAAGGGAAGGCTGAGTCAGTAAGGTCTCAGAGGTCTGTCCTACCCTCAGTGAGGAGGCACTCAGACCTGCCACTATTGGAGTGACTTGGGGGATTTGACCCATGGGTGCTAAGTGGTGTAACAGGTAAAATGGGAGTGCAGCTGGGCAGCACTTGCTGCCTGGGGAATGAGGTGACAGGTGAGCTGGTTTTAAATCGATGTGCTTTTCACAAATAATAGTGGATTAAAATGCCCAGGCCTGCTCTCTGAAGAGGAGGGAGACACAAAGTCTTATATCAGCAAACAAATACATTTCATTTTTGAGGGGTTGCCCTTTCAAAGCATTAGTATATTTTTATTACTTCAATAAAGAACCCTACCTAGAAACAAGCAAACAGAATAATTTGGGAACTGTCCTATCACTTATCCTAATGAATTACACTATTATCCTAGCAACCAGCTTTGTATGAAAAAACAAAAATAACTTTCAAGCAAACCAGAGGCCTTCACCTGACATGTGTCTGAACTAAGATTTAAGGTTCACAATCACAGCTTTCAAAGTCTGGAACCACATGGCACCCCTAGGGAGCCAGCCACAATGAATAGGCCTGAGACTTGTTAGATGAATATACATTTTACTAGAAACTTCCACTAGCTGCTCCGTGAGAAACACATAACAGAGATGAAATGCCTCCACCGCTGAACAATGTCAGGGCACCCAGGTCCCACTGGTGGTGCTAGTCCATCAGAAGGGACTAGCACCACTTCAGATTTGAGTTCGGCTGGAAATTTGTTATTCTGTTGACCCTGGTATTGTCTATCTGCCTGTGTAGCAGTTCTTCAATTCTATTTTCATAAGGCACGTTAACTGACAGCAGTATGCTGCCAACATCTTCAAATTAAGTGTCAGCTCTTAAGTGCATACAACCAAAATCACTCCACTATTACCAGGTTTACGTGGACAGCATCAGATAGGGCTGAATTTTCTCTTCAGTTTAATTTCCACCAATAAGTTTAGAGACAGGAGGGTTATCTTTACTAAACCAACACATGAGGACACAATTCTAAGGCTGATGCTAGGTAGCTCATAATATTTGCTTCCTTTAAAACCACATCAACTCAAAAGCTTCCAGGAATAGTTTAGCCTCCACCAAGGAGGCTACTTGATTTCCAGCAAAGTTAGTTTTATCCTTTACAGTCCTCTATCATCATCTAATTTACAGATGAGAAACTTTTTTTTTTTTTTTTTTGAGATGGAGTCTCGCTGTGTCGCCCAGGCTGGAGGGCAGTGGCGCGATCTCGGCTCACTGCAAGCTCCGCCTCCCGGGTTCATGCCATTCTCCTGCCTCAGCCTCCAGAGTAGCTGGGACTACAGGTGCCCGCCACCACGCCCGGCTAATTTTTTGTATTTTTAGTAGAGACAGGGTTTCACCGTGTTAGCCAGGATGGTCTCGATCTCCTGACCTTGTGATCCGCCCGTCTCGGCCTGCCAAAGTGCTGGGATTACAGGCGTGAGCCACCGTGCCCGGCTGGGATGAGAAACTTTTTAAGAGCTCTACTAATGCCTAATTTAGGGGCACCCCTGAAGAAAGGAGTTCCATACATCTCAATTTTCCAGAGAAGTGATTCAGGCTATGAGAAATAGGTACAGAAAAACAAATTGAGAATAATAAAATTCCAAATTAACAATTAATGGACATTAAACACAAAATTAACAGGGAACAACATTAATATCACTAATAAAATAAATGAAAAGGAACTAAAAGTTTAAAAAGAAGGTCCAATGCCACTGAGGTAGCAGTAAACAGGCTCACCTGTCCTCATGGATGCTCATGCCTTGTTATGACCCTTTGTTGATTAAACCACAAGACAATGCCTATCAAAAACCATAACAATGTTGGCCCTTCTTGACCTAGCAGTTCAACAGCCATAAATTTTTCTTTAAATCGAAAAATAAAAATGCTTATTGCTCCATAGAAAGTAGTAAATTAACTGGAAACCACCTCAATAAAAGTGCGGTACTTGAATAAATTACATTATACTCACGCTAAACTAAGAAAAAAGAAATCACAGATTAGAATGAAAATTAAAATTACAAAATAAAGTAAAAAAAGCAACACAGACTTGTATCTACACTGTGATGATGGAGACTCACAAGGTTTGAATCCTGGGCAAGCTCCTCTCTGGACCTCAAATCTCACCTGGAGTGTGATGAGACCCACCAGAAAGGGTTGGTTTGAGGTCTAAATGTGGTAATTCACGTATAGTGCTTAGAAAGCATTCAGTACATGTTAGCAGTCATTACAGTCATTCCTGGCATCCATGGAGGACTGGTTCCAGGACCTCTGCCAATACCAAACTCCACGGATGCCCAAGTCGCTTATATAAAATAGCACAGTATTTGTATATAAGCTAAGCACATCCTCCTGTATACTTTAAGCCATCTCTAGATTATGTATGATACCTAATATGATGTAGCTAATGCTATGCAAAGTTGTTATACTTTCTCATTTAGAGAATAATGACAAGAAGAAAAAAGTCTGTATATATTCAGAACAGATGGAATTTTTCCAAGTTTTTTTTTTTTTTTTGAGACAGTCTCGCTGTGTCGCCCAGGCTGGAGTGCAGTGGCGTGATCTTGGCTCACTGCAAGCTCCGCCTCCTGGGTTCACGCCATTCTCCTGCCTCAGCCTCCCGAGTAGCTGGGACTACAGGCGCCCGCCACCACGTCCAGCTAATTTTTTTTGTATTTTTAGTAGAGACAGGGTTTCACTGTGTTGGCCAGGCTGGTCTTGAACTCCTGACCTCAGGTGATCTGCCCACCTTGGCCTCCCAAGGTTCTGGGATTACAGGCGTGAGCCACTGCGCCCTGCCCCCTCCAAATATTTCCAATCTGCTGTTGATTGAATCTAAGAATGCAGAACCCATGAATATGGGAAGCTAACTGTATTATACTATTATATCTAGTGAAATAATCAGCACATGGACAAAATCTAGAAGAGTCAGATATGTTGGGTTATCAGGATTGCGGCATTCTTCTACGAACAGTTCCATTAGTTTTACAATAAGAATAATACTGTTATCTTTATGTAAATAATATGTAAATCTTTTTCATGACTCAGGAGTTCAAATGGGAACCCTGACCAGCACAGATGGTGCCAGCACCTCATCTAAACCCTGTGGCCAATTTTTCTTTTCTTCTGCCTTTTCCCATGTTTCTTGCTCCTTCCTATGGGCAGAGCGACGATTCCCACTTCAGAGCCCATTTCACCATAGAGTCATGTGGTAGCACTTTGCCTAGCCTCAATTCAGTGCATAAAGGCACGAGGCTGCATTCTGAAACTGAGGAAATAGGGTACAACTGTGCACAACAGAGAGGTTTTCTTCAGGCCCATAAAAATGTTTGACATGTGCTCTTTCTCAGTGTAATTAAATACAGTCTTGGTTTTTCACCACATTGTCAGTATCTTGGGAAAATTATTTTAAAAGTCTAAACAGGCCAGGTGTGGTGGCTCAGGCCTGTAATCCCGACACTTTGGGAGGCCAAGGCAAGTGGATCACCTGAGGTCAGCAGTTCGAGACCAGACTGGCTAACATGGCAAAACCCCATCTCTACAAAAAAAAAAAAAAAAAAAAAAAAAAAAAAATTAGCCAGATGTGGTGACAGGAGAATCGCTTGAACCTGGGAGGCAGAGGTTGCAGTGAGCTGGGATCGCACCACTGCACTCCAGACTGGGCAAGAGTGACTCTGTCCAAAAAAAAAAAAAAGCCCAAACAGCAAGTTATCCTTTCTGTTTCCCCTTCCAATTACATTTTAGGAATAATTATGATGATAGCTTAAATTTTTTTGGTATCTTTTTGGGATTCTCTGGGTTTTTTTTTATAAACATGACACAGACCTCATGATTTCCTATTTTTCTCTCCACTTTCTTTCAATTTGGATTTAAAAATTTATCAGTTTACATCTATTTGAAAGGCTAAATAAAAAGCAAGCAGTTATTTAAAATGCTGTATTAGAATCTAGTGTTGACTTATCTAAACATGTATATTAGGCTGAACTGCCTTCATATCTAATATTTTCTTGTCTAATACATATTAAACGCAAACCTAAATTTCTTTTCTTCAACCCTTCTTTCTGTTATTGGTATGTTGATGACCCCTCACCTCGCCCACTGACTTGCTGGAGCTAGAAACCTCAACTTCATCCTTGACCTCTGCCTCCTCACTTTCCCAAACCTGCTGCATCTAGTCAGTGTTTAAAATCTATCAACTTTAGCCGGGTGTGGTGACTCACGCCTATAATCCCAGCACTTTGGGAGGCAGGTGGATCGCCTGAGGTCAGGAGTTCGAGGCCAGCCTGGCCAACATGGTCAAACCCCATCTCTACTAAAAAATACAAAAATTAGTCGGCATGGTGGCACATGCTTGTAATCCCAGCTACTTGGGAGGCTGAGGCCTGGGAGGATGTTTGAAACTGGGGGGTGGAGGTTGCAGTGAGCCGAGAACGTGCCACTGCACTCCAGCATGGGTGACAGAGCAGGACTTCGTCTCAAAAAAAAAAAAAAAAAAAAGTCTATCAACTTTGAATCCCTAAAACGTTTCTCAGATCCATCCAATCCTTCTGACTCCCGTTTCTACCACATACTCGGTCCTTACCAGCTCTTGCACAAATTAATCCCACAGCCTCTCGAATGACCTGTCTGCTTCTGATGTCTCCCTACTTATTTCCTGAGTTTCCTTTATAAAACACAAACCTGTACATGTGACTTACACGCTTAGAAATCACTAATGGTTTTGCACTGCCCGTAAATTAAAGGCTAAATCCTTCAAATACAATAGATCCCTGATATGGTTTGGATCTGTGACTTCACCAAATCTCAGGTTGAACTGTAGCACCCAATGCTGGAGGCAGGGCCTGGTGGGAGGTGGCTGGATCATGTGGGTGCTATTCCTGTGATACTGAGTTCTCACAAGACCTGGTTGTTTGAAAGTGTGCAACACCTCGCACCTCACTCTGTCTTGCTCCTGCCATGCAAGAAGCCTTCCTGCTCCCCCTCTACCTCCCTCCATGACTGTAAGTTTCCTGAGGCCTCCCCAGAAGCTGAGCAGATGCAGGCATCATGCTTCCTATACAGCTTCCAGAACTGTGAGCCAATTCAACCTCTTTTCTTCATACATCACCCAGCCTCAGGTATTTCTTTACGGACTAATACAAGCCCTCTGGAGTTCACATATTCTCAGTATATTCACTGTTTTAGGGGAGGAGGTGGAATGCTATAGGGAAGTATTTGTCCTGAATCATTCTGTGGATACACCACACAAACTCAGAATTCTTAATTATTTTGGGCCTTTTAGTGCTGACATGTTAAAAAGTTTACTTAAAAAAACAACTTTAGACCAGGCGCGGTGGCTCATGCCTGTAATCCCAACACTTCGGGAGGCTGAGGCAGACGGATCAGTTGAGGTCAGGAGTTCGAGATCAGCCTCGCCAACATGGTGAAACCCCGTCTCTACTAAAAATACAAAAATTAGCCAGGCATGGTGGCAGGTGCCTGCAACTTCAGCTACTCAGGAGGCTGAGGCAGGAGAATTGCTTGAACCTGGGAGGCGAAGGTTTCAGTGAGCCGAAATTGTGCCATTGCGGTCCAGCCTGGGGGATAGAGGAAGACTCAGTCTCAAAAAAAAAACAAAACCAAACCAAAAAAACCCAACTTTACTACCAGGCAGATTCTTTTCTTTCGCTTTAGATAATCGCTATCAAAACTTTGTCATCTCACTAGAATGTTAATGCTTTTACTTAACATGCAAGGTAGATTTTAGTCCCTCCCTTTTGCCTTCTGTCTTTTGAGAGATATAATTCCTGAGTGTGTTCGTGTTGGCTGATGCTATTTCATAAGACATAATATTAATACTGCACCTGAAATACCTCACACCCTGCCACCCTTCCCCCCGCAGCAAACTTGAGTTTCCAACAAGAGTAAAAAGGAGATAATGTTTTTATTTCCACCAAGGACAACTTTCAAAGAGATTAAGTTCTGAACACCCCTGGCAAGATGAGCTAGCTGCACTATGATGGAACTACAACATAAGCTATAGAGTACTGAGTGAGCTTGCTAACAGGAACACATCTTTACTAAGACAACAATGAGGGAGGACACCATCTGAGGGCGGTCACCAGTCTGCAGCTTGCATTTCCTCTGAAACCACCTAACTGTTGAAATGTGCCAAACACTGCTCTAAGCACTTTCCAAAGAGCAACACATTTAATCCTCCTAACATACCTCTTTACTGTAGGTGCTGTCAGTTTTCATACTTTGTATGGTAAGGACAGTGAAGCACAGAGGTTAAGTGACTTGAGCTAGTGACCTCGCAAGGAAACAACAAGTCCTGGAATTCATATGAAGCAGTGTGACTCTGGGGCTCTCACCCAGGCCTCCCCTCTACACAGCTGTTGAGGAGAACGGCAAAAGCCAGGACCTTCCGGGGCAAGTGTTTAGCTGCCTTGATTTTCTCTTCTCATACGTTTTTCCAATAAATTGGACGAATCTGATCTGCAGTAGCAAGCCTTGAGGGTCCCGCGAAATTGGCCTTGGCTTGGGGTGCGGAGGAGGAACCTCCATTTTCCTGAAACAGTATTGGATGAAGCAAGCCGTATCTTTTGGAAAAATCGAAGCCCTAGTGCAGGACCTGTGTGCGGCAAGGCATTGCTTTCTGCAGAATCACACAAACTTTCCTGCATGAAGTTCAGAAGCCTTGACATAGAGCTTCTCTAACCACACACCAGCTAAGGGGCCGAGGCTGAGGCTGAGTCACCCTGCAAGTTCCCTGACAGGAGTTTAACTTCACATTTCAACTGGTTTTCCAGTAGAGACTCAAGATATTTGTTGAATTGAAAGGGATGCCTGCTTTTACATACTATTTGCTGTTAGCTCTTTTAACAGATTAGCAATAACTAGTTTAACATCCCAGGGATGAGTAATTAACATATAATAACTTGTGTGTTGTGGCTTGTTTATCAATATTTTTGTTTATGGTCCTTTGGGATTTTTTTGAATATTTTTCTCTACTTATTTATTTTGAGACTAGGTCATTAAGACTGGCTAATTTTCGTATTTTTGGTAGAGACAGGGTTTCTCCATGTTGCCCAGGCTGGTCTCAAACTCCTGGGCTCAGGTAATCCAAAGTGCTAGGATTACAAGCATAAGCCACCTTGCCCAGCCTTGGCCAAAGAATCGTGTACTCCTTATAAATTTTACTTTAAAATCAAGTGTAATGCTCCCCACATCATCCCCCTACCTCTAGAGAGAAAAAAAAAGTCAAGAAATAAATCGTAGTAAAATTTGAGTCCTTCAATTTGTCATGATTTATTCTGTAAGGTAATATATGCAATAAAATTCAAAACTGAAAATTTCACTTGATTCCTTAGAATTTGGACGAAATCCTGAAAGAAAATGAACCTTTTCTCTGGAAATTTAGTGTCAATGTCATCATGCAGTGATATAAAAAGATATACCACACAGTGTTAAGAAAAACAGGTAAATTAGATACAAGTCTCTGCTATATACTGAAAGCCATGGGAACAGGGCGCCACCGCCTAGAGAGTGAGAAATGAAGATGGGTCCCAGCAGAAGTAACAAAAAGCAAGTGCTTGCCAGAGAGAGGGGGCTGGGAGGGAGAGGAGAATGGAGAAAGGGAGTGTGGGAATGTGAGAAAGGGCAGTTGTAGCAAGCACAGAGGAAGAACAATCAGGTAGGGGTGGGGGTGAGGTACTGGAGTTAGGAGCAGAGAACAGGAGTTGAAGGGAGCCTTCACCAGGATGGGGGCCTTGCCAGGCCCTGGAAATGACCACCTTCAAGGAACATATAGTTGAGAATTTAGAGAGCATGTAGACTGGTGGCTCTATTTTACAGTTAAACTAGAGAGCCTACCTTTCTGACTTGGCTGTTTTGATGTTTTAATATGTGATTTCATTTTCATAATGTAATCAATCTATTTTATATTTTCCAAATCATGTTTTCCATCACAATTTAAAGTAAATTTAAGAAAGATGTGAGTCTGTTAGATGGGGGAAGTAAATAATTATCCATTATTTAAACTTGTATTAAAAATAAGCCCCTAAACTGGCCAGGTGCAGTGGCTCACACCTATAATCCCAGTACTTTGGGAGGCCGAGGAGGGTGGATTCCTTAAGGTCAGGAGTTCAAGGCCAGCTTGGCCAACATCCTCAAATCCCGTCTCTACTAAAAATACAAAAATTAGCTGGGTGTGGTGGCACGCACCTGTAATTCCAGCTACTGGGGAGGCTGAGACAGGAGAATCACTTGAATACAGGAGGCGGAGGTTGCCGTGAGCCGAGATCATGCCACTGCACTCCAGCCTGGACAACAGAGTGAGACCCTGTCTCAAAAAATCAAGGAAAAAAAACCCTAAATATAATCTTTAATATATTGATTCAGAAATTTAAAGAAAATTGGCCAGGCACAGTGGCTCAGGCCTGTAATCCCAGCACTTTGGGTGGCTGAGGCAGGTGGATCACTTGAGATCAGGAGTTTGAGATCAGCCTGGCCAACATGGTGAAACCCTGTCTCTATTAAAAATACAAAAATTAGCCAGGTGTGGTGGTGCATGACTGCAGTCCCAGTTACTTGGGAGGCTGAGGCAGGAGAGTCACTTGAACCCACGAGGAGGTGGTTGCAGTGAGCCAAGATTGTGCCACTGCACTCCAGCCTGGCAACAGAGCAAGACTCATCTCAAAATAAAAATAAAAATAGAAAATAAAAATTAACCTAAAACCAGTTAACATATACTGTCAGGTAAAAAAAAAAGATTAAAAGTTTCCCAAGGGGGGTTGGAAAAATTTGGGAGGGGCACCTTCTATGAGAGGGGAACAAGCAAAGACTCCCCGACTCCCCCACTAGTAGGGCTATCCAGCCTCAAGGGATCCATGGCCACCAGATCTACCTTCTGTCACATCCCTGCACGCCTTGGCATTCCTTAATGTCTCAAAGGTGATTTGTACATACCAAGTTATATCCATACCCATTCAGAGGCAATTACCTCTGTAATATCATTCATGTCAGAGGTCATTGTGATTCTCATACACAATTATACCAAGGCAAACAGTGGTCAATGTTGGACAGAAGCAAAGGGGACTTGTGCTGAAATGAATAGATTCACAAGTCCCACACTTGTGGGAAGGGAAAAAGGAAGGGAAAAAGGAAGGGAAGTAAACACCATTTTTAAATATAGAAATGTTCTAGTTTTCGGCAATTTTCAGAGTAGTGTGACACAGGGAGAGGAGCAATGTCTCTTGAGGACTTCCCAATATTTTAATATAACATCGTGCTTGTCAAAACACCTGATAAATACATAGGCCAAAATGGATCTCTAATGAAATATATGTGACTTTATCTTACATGATAGGATTAAGGGCATGCTCATTAAGCAAGACCAAAACTGAATGCATCTATCTGCTAAAACCTAGTAAGATAAAACTAGACTCAAAGTATCCTGGACAATTGAAACATCATCTGTCAAATTAAATAAAAGGCAAGTTAGTGTAATTTTAATTTGTCCTTGAGTGCACTGAGAAAAGTAGAATAAAAGCTAGGTAAATAAAAGCTAGAAACGGATCTTATAGTGATAGTGGTACATCAGCTCAAAGAGACAACAAGCCTAACTTTTTTCTTATTTTTTTTAGAGATTGAATCCCACTCAGTCGCCCAGGCTAGAGTGCAGTGGCACCATCTTGGCTCACTGCAACCTCCGTCTCCTAGGCTCAAGCCATTCTCCTGCCTCAGCCTCCCGAGTAGCTGGGATTACAGGTGCCTGTCACCATGTCCAGCTAATTTTTGCATATTTTTAGTAGACACGGGGTTTGACCATGTTGGCCAGGCTGGTCTTGAACTCCTGACCTCAGGCGATCTGCCCACCTCGGCCTCCCAAAGTGCTGGGACTACAGGCGTGAGCCATCATGCTCGGCCCAAGACCTGAATTGAGACACAGGATCTAGAGATTTGCTGGGGAAGATTTAGCCTGATTACTGATTATCAATTATTGCTATAGAACACCTAAAAGTTTACACAAAAAAACTGGGCTGAGATATGTTAATAATAAATGTTGAAATAACGAAAACACTGTCAGATGGTCACATACACATATGCACATCAAAAAGCAATAAACAGGCTGGGCGCAGTGACCCACACCTGTAATCCCAACACTCTAGGAGGTCAAGGCAGATGGATGATCTGAGGTCAGGAGTTCCAGACCAGCCTGGCCAACATGGTGAAACCCCACAACAAAGTGAGATTCTGTCTCAAAAAACAAACAACAAAAAACCCACCAAATACTGTGACTTTCCAAGGAAAGTTGGGAAGCAAGAACTCAACTTTGACAAGAGGATGATTAACGGATTATTTTGAGCGCTCAAATTTGACTAAAGAATTTTGTACTTGAGGGTCTTAAATGTTACATCCTCCTAGGATCTTTGCATTTTAAAATGTCATTGTGTATAAACTTCTTAGGGGAAGTGAATCTTCTACCTCAAACTTGGAGTTTCACCGTGATGTTAATAATGGAGACAGGGAAGGAGGCACAAAGAAAAGACCGTAATTGGGAGATAGGGGACATGATAAGAGTAAAGGGCAAGCTCCTTGCATGACTGAATTAAAATGTTCTAATTTCAAATATATATTTCACATTCAATATAATTTTTACTATAGTCTATGGGCACTTCTTTTTGCCAGAAGGTTATAAATAATATGGTAGACTACTAAACATACAGTTGTACATCCATCTGATCCCTTCCCACGAAAAAGTGGATAAACTTGCAAGATAAACTCATGACACCATGAGCAATGGGAAGCTGGAAACATGAGAGATGAAGTGAGTGACAGTGATTCTGTGCACTGCAAGGAAGCAGACAGTAATGATGAGTGCAGTGGAGGAGCCCCCAGAAAGCCAGCCACTTTAGGGCACAGAGCTTGGGGAGGCCTCAGTAAGTGGGGGTGCAACATGGGGCTGAAAAATAGAGCATTAGCCCAAAGTTTCTAAGAGGAGTTAGATCCTTAACCCAGTTCAACCAGGTAACTGTTCTCATCCACTGAAAACAGGCGGGAGATTGTCAAAGTCCGCGCACTGAATCATGAGCCCATATCCCCACCCACACAACCCTACCATCCTCTTCTCCACTTGGCTTTTAGGACGCTGGCAGCCAAGCTTGCATCTCTAGACAGGAAATCTCAAGATTTTTCTCTGGAACAAAAAAAAAAATGTTTTTTTTTCCTCTGGGAAAACTCAACTCAGAAAAAAGACCCATATGCTGGCTGGCTGCCTTATTATTCTACGGAGAGGACTACAGGCTAGCAAGCCTGGCCCATACTGTAACAGAGAGCTTCAAGTCATTTTTTAAAACATCTCTTTCTCTCTTAAAAATATAAATCAAGGCTGGGTGCAGTGGCTCAAGCCTGTAATCCCAGCACTTTGGGAGGCCGAGGTGGGCGGATCACCTGAGGTCAGGAGCTCGAGACCAGACTGACCAACGTGGAGAAACCTCATGTCTTCTAAAAATACAAAATTAGCTGTGCATGGTGGCGCATGCCTCTAATCCCAGCTACTCAGGAGGCTGAGGCAAGAGAATCGCTTGAACCTGGGAAGCGGAGGTTGCGGTGAGCTGAGATTGCGCCATTGCACTCCAGCCTGGGCAACAAGAGCGAAACCCCATCTCAATAAAGAAAAAAAAATCAAGACATCTGAAGAACCTCTAACAAGAAAGAGAAAATAGGAAACAGACAAAGATTTTTAAAAATTATAGTACAGGCCAAGTGTAGTGGCTCACGCCTGTAATTCCAGCACTTTGGAAGGCTGACGTGGGAGGATTGCTTAAGCTCAGGTGGTGAGACCAGCCTGCCTGGGCAACAAAGTGAGATGCTGTCTCTACAAAAAGTAAAAAACTTAGCCAGGTGTACTGGCATGCACCTGTGGTCCAGCTACTTGGGAGGATCCCTTGAGCCCAGTGGTTGGAGGCTGCAGTGAGCCATCATCACATCACTGCACTCCAGCCTGGGTAAGGGCATGAAACTGAAACAAAAACAAAAACAAAAAATACGTTATAATGTATTCAAAAAGCAAGAGAAACGATTATAGCCATCAACTAGGCTCTGATTATTCTTTAAAAGTCAGTACATTCAGAGAAAAAAAAAGCTCTTCAAAATATCAAGAAAAAAAATAAGTAAATAAAAGGCTAGAAGGCTGGGCACTGTGGCTTGTGGCACATGCCTATAATCCTGGTACTTTAGAAGACCGAAGTGGAAGGATTGCTTGAGTCCAGCAGTTTGAGACCACTCTGGGCAACACAGTGAGACCTTGTTTCTGCAAAAAATATAAATATTAGCTGGGCATGGTGGCACACACCTTTAGTCCCAGGTACCAGGGAGCCCCAGAGTTCGAGAATGCAGTAAGCTGTGATCGCACCACTGCATTCCAGCCTGAGTGACAACAAAACAAAACAAAACAAAACAAAACCAAAACAAAACCCACATACAAAAAAGATTAGATGATAAAGCTGAAGAAAGCATAGAGAAATCAGAACAAAAAGATAATGAGATAAAACATAAAACAGAGGAGAAAAGATAAAAACAGCGGATCAATCCAGGAGGTAAAATGCCTTATATTAACAGGAATTATAAAGAGAGCAGAGAAAATAGAGGGAAGGAAATTTTCAAAGAACTACCACATGACAAATTGCCTGAACTGAAAGACATCAGCGTACATAAGATCTCATAGAGTAGCCAACACAACCATGAAATGACCTAGTCAAGACCTATCATTTTGACATCTCAAGACCCTAGGGAAAAGGAGAAGATCCTCAAACTTTCCAGAAGAAAAACAGAACATGCATCAAGGGATGAAAAATTAGAATGGCAGTCTTCTCAACTGCAGCACTGGAAGCTAGTGGACAAACCAGGAAGAACGACTGCAAGACAGTGAGAGAAAAATCACTTCCAATCTAGAATTCCACACCTAGCCAACTCTCAATTAAGCATGAGGCTAGGATAAAGTCATGCTCAGATATATAGGATCTCAACATTTTTACACTCCCACACACCCTTTCTCACAAAACTACTAAAGGATGATGCACGCCCTTAAATGAAGGCTCACTTTAAGAATGAGGAAGAAATGGGATTCAGGAAACAGAACATTCAATAGAGGAGAGAAAGAAATGAAGATGATGATGTTGATGATCTGCCCCAGGATAAGTTATGAAACAGATCCAAAGAATAAATATCCTAACTGGAAAGTGTGCGTTAGAAAAGATGTGGCCCAAGAAACTTGAAATATAATAATATGCTTCATAAGCATTATACATTTCAAAAAATGAAAAACGATTTTAGAAGTCTATACAAATCTTCCAAATTACCTATTTCATTTTCTGTCCATCACATGGGCATAGGCACTTTAATTTGGAGGAATAATCATGTGACATGTAAGAACAAAAACATGCAAGAAAAGGAACCAAATGAAATAAAAATCCCAAGCTGGTAAGAGATTTCTCATACTCACCATCTCTCTGGCTATTTCCAGCGCTTCCTGCAGGCCATAGAGCCTGCCACAAACCAGGTAGATTCCATTGGCCCAGAGAATACAACCCTCATGGACCCAAAATTCATTGCTGTCAAGAGGTAGTTCAGGGATTTGTAACTCCAGCTCAGGGCCACCTTCTGAAGTGGTGGGCACGGAGGGCTTCGAGTCCAAAACAGTCTTTTCACTGCTGCCCTCAGTGGCTGCTTTTTTACAAGGGAGCCCCCTGGACAGGGACCGAGGGCCTCCACCACAGTCTTCCGAGCGGTGGCGCCGCTTAAACCTGGGGTGTGCGGCCAGGCTTCTCTGCTCCTTCTGCTGCTGCTGCTGCTCTTCCTCCTCCTCAGTGTCCGTCTTGGAGCCATTAGAAGCACTTTTGTGCCGTACCTTAACTTTGCTCTGCATTTCTGTGGCCCTCTTAGGAGGTGGATTCTTCGGGAGAGTGGCTGCATAATCTTGGGGATAAAAAGGTCCAAAGAGGTCACCCATGTTCCGGTAACTGGCCCACTTGCCACACAGACAGCAAACCAGGTGCCCCATAACCGAAGACTCTGTCACAACAGGTCCCTGCAGCATAAAGGACGAGGCCGGGAGCGCCTTGCTTTCAGTGCTGCTAGGTGGAGGGGTCAGTGACCTCTGACCCTTCCTGCCCCTCACTAATTTGGTCTGTTCTTCTTCCTCAGCATTGATGATTGTACAAACGGCTCCAAGTTCACACTTATTTACTACATGGATGTAAGGGTAAAAAGACTTGTTCTTGGCATCAGTTTTATCCAGTGGCTGGGTGGCATATTTTAGTTTGATCTCAGGTTCTTGGGGTTCCACAATGGGAACTGCTTGTTTGGTTTTTCGCTTCCTCGGCTGGGCCCCAGGCTTCCTTCTCTCCCTCCTTTGCCTCTGTTTTTTTGGCTTTGGCTCTCCATCTGCAGAACCTTCTGGTATCTGTGGGGGCTGAGGGGGTGGAGGCGGTGGCTGCTGCTGTTTCTTTTGCTTATTCACACTACCAATGGGTCTCCCCTTCTTCTTTCCTGATGGGAAATATCCCTTTGGAGGGAAACCCTCTTGCTTCGGTGAAATCGTCACTGTATCGTTCTCCTTCTCTTCAGCCTTGGGGTTTGCCTCAGGGGCCAATATGCCCACTGGAGGTACATTCTTTGAGTCTGGAAAGATTAAAGGTGCTGTTCCACCCAGGGAACCATCTGGTCTCCCTTGGTTACTACCAGGCTTCTGTGAGGTTGTGGATGTCATGGCACCAGGGGGTTCCTTTCCGGCAGTAACTGTTTCTGCATGTGTCTCTGTCTTCACTTTGTCATCCACGCTGCCACGCCACTCTTCTGAAGACCTTGGAAGAGGTTTCTCTACGTGCAACTCCTGGTTTGCTGGACTGACTAGGTCCGAAGCCACCTCACCTTTTCTCTTCTCTATGTCAGCATCCTGAACAGCAACACTCCCACCTTCAGGAGGACCACTCTTCAAAGACAGTATATCATCAAGCGTAACCGTGTCTCCCCCAGCCTCCGCACTGTTCGAAGATGCGCTCCTCCTAATATTTGGGGATGTAATCTTCTGAACTATAGCTTCCAATTTCAATCCCCGTCCTTTCCGTGGGGGCAGTATTTTGGTCTTAGCAGGGCTTGTGAGGGTAACAGCAGGGCAGTTTCTACTATCTGGACTTGGAAGGTCCTTGGAGGAATCTCTCTTAGGGATAGACTTGATATCCTGACTGTGAGAAAGATGGGCATAGGAATTGAATGCTTTATCAGCGCCTTCTTTTGATGAGTGAAGGAGGCGACCTTTATCTTCAGTGCTACTGTTCTTTACATCTTGTGACTGTCTCTTACTGGGAATGGGAGAGATAAAAGAACGAACACGCCTCCTCATGATTAAGGGGTTTTGAGAAGAATGATCCTCCTGGCCTGGAAGTCTCAGCATAACACTACCAGGTTTGGATGACTGTGTAGCCTCAGCTAGTCCATGTCCATCAGTCTCATGGGGCGGCCCATACCTTTTTTGACTGGACATTCCTGGAGGACCGCTGCTTTTGGCTGGAGAAGTTTGCCGAGAAAGATCCCAACAGGATTCTTGTAACTTCTGGGAGCCATGCTTTAATTCCATGCCCTTGTTAGGCAGACCATCACTAGACATTAGGCAGCGCCCAGCCTCCTGGGCACTGGGGTCATGGTAAGTCCCCACTGGTGGGCCATACATCATACCATCTTTGTCATTTTTCAGAGGGCTCCGTACTCTGTCAAGAAACTGCTGCTGCCTTGGACTCTTCCGTGGCCCCTCCTGCCTGTGCTGTGCTGCAGCAATTACTCCCTGAGCAGAACCGCTGCTCCAGTCTTTATACTCCTCTGGTTGCTGTTGGTACATCTGTCTCTTATAATGCAGCTGAGAATTCAAACCTGCGTTAGGGTCCCCATAAGCATGAGCCCGAGTATTTGCATGATAAGCAGAGGCCAGGGTTTCTGAGTTGGGAGAAAAGGGAGTGTGTAAAGAACTCCGGTTAGCCCTCTCTGAAAAGGTCATGTGTGGATTCATGTGATGAGGGTCTCCCCCTGGGCCTCTGCTCCGCCCAGGAGACATTTTCAATTTTTCTGCAAAGTCATGATATTGAGAAGGGGACCGACCCCTCATGCCCTCCCGACCACCAACTCTGCCAGGGACCCGCCGCATTGGCGTGGGTCTGCTGTCTTGCGGGCCATAGTCTGAAAGGGAATCATGGGTTGCTGCTCCAGGGCTGGCATTGCCGCGGTAAGACTCATGCTTGATGCTAGGAGGATGGCAGTGGTCTCCAGATTTCTTGTTGTTGAAACTAGCTTGAGATTTAGACTGTTCAAAGTCTTCCTCTTTTATCTGCCCGCTCTGGGATTTCAGCTTGGTTTCCATGGACACCAAACCACCAGGAAGAATGACCGACTGACTTAAAGTTGGATTGAGACGGTCATTCCTCCCAATTCTGGTGTCGGCACTCATGTGTCCCAGTGAGTGAGCCCCTGGGTCCCTGACAATCTGTCTTAGTGGAGAAATATCACAGATCACTGATCTTCTTTCAGAGAGGGAACCCCCAGGCTCATGTGCTGATGACTGAGGCTCTATTTCAAACTTTCTGGGAATTGGATAGTCAGTCAAATTGATCTGTTTCATTTCAGGAGCTGTGCTGCTTGATTTCCTTTCCCAGGGGCCCCAGTGGGGATTTTCTAATAGAGACCCAATGCTTTTGTTCAGAAGGCCCCTGCTAGCTAATTCATTGGTTTGACTAACCAAGACATTGGGCCTTGTGGTTCCTTCTAGGCTACCAGCCATCCCCTGATGCTCTTGAGTACTCCTAGAATATCTCCTGTCAGGGTGGTGGTGGTAACCCTGAAGCACTTCCTGCAGGAGGCTTGGGAATTTTTCATTTCTACCCTTTCGTTCCCCATGGCCAGTGAAATCTCCCTTTTCTTGCCCTGTAGGATACTGAGGAAAGCCACTGACATTTCGTGGCACGGCTGACCCGAAACTATCTTTGTAACTATAGCGCAGACTTCCAGGAGATTTGCTAGGCTCAGTTCTGCTCGTAAAACCAGGGCCCGCTGCAGAGTGGCCACTCTGGCCATTTCCTTCTCCATTATGGTTGGAGTTGTTATCGCCATTCTTGTTTCCTTTGCTCCCTCCTCCTCCTGGAGGCTCTGGCTGGGGAAGTGATGCATGACTGGTTTCCTTTGCCCCACCATTGCTAGGTGGCCTTTGAGTGGCTGCAGGATCATCCTCTTGGGAGCCTTTATCTTGTCCACCAGGCTTTTCTACCCGACCTGTCATGGCTTCCCGGGAGACAATCACCCCAACAGTCTTCTCATTAACCTTTGGGTTCCCGTCGGATGACAATGGCATGTCCTTAGCGCCTGGTGAGGTGGCCTCTTCTCTTGCGGCAGGACTAGCATTGAGTCTGGGGGGTTCATTCTGAGCACCTTGTGCCG
Source organism: Homo sapiens (assembly GCF_000001405.40). Lineage (NCBI taxonomy): Eukaryota > Metazoa > Chordata > Mammalia > Primates > Hominidae > Homo > Homo sapiens. The sequence continues at coordinate 42,213,628 of NC_000022.11, forward strand.
GTGAGGAGCCAGCTTTCTCAGAGGCTCCACCCTTGTAGGTGGTGTCAGAGCTGGTGCTCTGGCCACTTAGTTGCCGCACTCTCTCGCCTTGATCCTCTGAACTGCTGGAGCAGCCTCCATCTAATGACTCTGCCATAGGGGACTTCAGCTGTTCTTCAGGTTGTGAGGAGCCTTCAGAATTTGTGCAGCTATCTGCTTTCTTGGAAGATGAGGGCCTCTTGGAGGTCTTCTTCTGAGGAGTCAGGGCATCAGAAAGTAACATGTGCTGGACAGTGTTAGGAAGATTGGCCACTTGAGTACTCAGAGCACTCAAACTACTCAACCCAGGATCTGTCAGTCGCTTTTCTGGTACCCCTTCTAGTCCAAACCCTTTGAAGCCTGCAGCATGAGAATTAGGACTGGGCATCATTGATGGGGTTGGACTGAGTTGAGGCATTAACTGTAAAATTCTGTTTCTGGAACCCATAGGCACACTGCCTTGCCCACACTGGAGATTCTCCCCAGTCTGCATGAGAGGAGATGGGGTAGAACTACAGCTTGGAGACTGAACCACAGAGGCAGCTGGAGAAGGGTTAGAAATGGGGCTGAAGTTCTGGTGAAACTGCATGGGGGACCTCACAGGAACCTCAGGCTGGTTGTACTGCCCCACTTGGCTTTGCAGGGGCAGCTTGGTGGCAGCGTTAGTATACTGCATCACATGCTGAGAAGGGTGTTGTTGTTGCTGCGGTTGCTGCTGCTGCTGCCCCTGTTGGGTCCCTTGTGGAATCTTTGCCTGTTCAAAATTCTTCATAGATTGAGGCTGATAGCTGTAATTGGATTGTGTTCCATAAGCCTGTGCATTAGAACCCACATTGTGTCCTTCATACTGAGATCCAGCATTCACATTGTAACTGCCATCATAGCTCTGTCCAGACTGGCTAAAACGCTGTGGTGAAGGGAAGGAGGAGGAGGAGGAGGAGGAAGCAGAAGACTGATAGTGTTGGCCAAACTGACCCACTCTTAACTGGTAACCAGCAGCAGAGGATGGCAGAGTTGAGGGCCGCTGCATTGGCTGTAGATGGGATGAGCTGGATGCTGGTTGGCCAGTGGCCTGTGGCAGGGGCTGATGGGACTGGTAAAGCTGTTGTCTCAACTGCTGGACTTGCTGCTGCTGCTGCTGGCTGGAAGCCTGCTGTTGGTACTGAGCACTCCCTGGAGAGAAAGGCCCAGTGTAATCCTGCTGATAATGTGACACACCGCCAAGGCCAGAGTGCTGTGCTTGAAACTGGCCCACATGACCCTCACTCCCATACTGATTGCCAAAGCTGCTCCCCTGGGGGGGTCCATAGCTCTGCACAGGCCCAGAAGGCCTTCGCTGAGGAGGCTGTGGGGTTCCTGTAGTCACGGGGTCTTTGTTGCCTGCCATGTAGTAAAAATCTCCAGCCTCTTTCCTGAAACCCTGGTAACCTTGATGGCCAGAGGTCTCGCTAGCCATCGCTGCCGCAGCAGCTGCTGCTCCTCGTCGTCCACCACCACTGCCACTGCCACTGCTGCCACTACTGCCACCTGTACCTCCAAAATTCTGGAACATCTGGGCCTGACGAGGGCTGAACTCTTCTAGCCGGGATGAGCCGTGTACCTCCTGTGGGTAGCTTTGCTGGTTTCCGTGGTAACTGCTTTGCTCCCGAAAGGACTGCATACTGTTCAGCAGCACAGCAGCAGGCCAACAGCCCTCCTAGAAATAGAAGAAAGAAAAACATTAGACACGCATCTCCTTGGTACAAATAAAATCAAGTCTAGATGATGGAGGGAATAAAGATGAATCAGAGGCCCAGATGAAGCTGACTGGTTTGAATTTCTATTTTTTTTTTTTGGTTTTTTGAGACAAGAGTCTCACTCTGTCACCCAGGCTGGAGTGCAATTGCACGATCTCAGCTCAATGCAACTTCTGCCTGCAGGGTTCAAGCAATTCTCTTGCCTCAGCCTCCCGAGTAGCTGGGACTACAGGCGCATGGCCACCAGGCTCGGCTAATTTTTTGTATTTTTAGTAGAGACAGGGTTTCACTGTGCTGGCCAGGCTGGTCTCGAACTCCTGACCTCGTGATCCGCCCACCTCGGCCTCCCAAAGTGCTGGAATTACAGGCATGAGCCACCACGCCTGACCTTGAATTTCATCTTTTATATTTTATCCTATCCACTTCTGAAAATGCACATATGCAGAGAAATGGCCTAAAGAGTGAGGCAAGAATCTGTAGTAGAATGAAAAGCAGCACTCTGAGTGCATACAAACCCAATACAGCAAAAACATGTATGTCTCATATATCTAATAATGCCTTATTAGACAAATGAGCCCCCAAACTCAACCAGATTAAAATATGGGGCTGTGTTATTACTGTCAATGAAAAACAGCAATTTTTCAATAAGCCTCCCAGTTATGCGGGGGAGGGGGTGTGGGGTAAGAAAAACCAAATCCTTTTTTTTTTTTTTTTTTTTTTTTTTTTGAGACAAGGTCTCACTCTTGCCCAGGCTGGAGTGTGCAGGGGCACAGTCGTAGTTCACTGCAGCATCAAACACCTGGCTTCAAATGATCCTCCTGCCTCGGCCTCTCAAAGTTTTGGGACTACAGGCATAAGCCACTACTTTCATTTCTCTGCTTTCATGTATTAGGGTGATCACTGAACTGCGGGTTTTAACACTGGCTGCTGATCGCCACTCCCCAACACTGAGAAACAGACCTGGCCAGAGAACTGCAGCCAATTCCTTATGTCCAAGTGCAAATTTTTGCAGCTTTACTATAATTGCCAACTACCTGTGATGACTGGTGACTCCAGGACACTCAGCCCATATGGGTTCCACACAAACTTTGGAGTCAACCTCTTCTTGGCATATGACTGTGTCTACAGCACCCCTCTCTCCACCACTCTCCTTCAATTCCCAGGTACAAAGGGCTAGACTTAAGCCAGTGAATAGCAGTGACTATTCTTCCAGATTATTTTGGGAGGTTTCCAAGAAGTTCCAGCACCTTTACCCGCCATGTGGTATTTGTATTTGCCAGTTTTTTAAATTCACAGTTATTACTGGCCATTACTATGAAAGAATTAGAAGCAATCATCTTGGAGGACAGCAAAAAACAGAGAGGAAAATAGGAATTCATCAAGCCTAGGACCCAGACTCTTTCAAAGTTATCTGACTGAGCCACCACTTTGTATTACCTATTATAATCCCTCTTAATCAATCAAGCTGATTTTTTCCCCTTTCACCTGGGCCTGTCTCCTCAGAGTCAGAGATGAAAGGGACAAGGCCAAATTGCTCCAAGTGACTTTAGAACCAATTACTTAAAAAAACAAGTTCCAAAATACATATAGGGTAAAGTGAGGTGTAATAGACAGTTTAGTTTAGTTACAATGGTTTATGAAGCTAGTTTCCTAGTTCCCCTGAAGGGGAGCTGAAAATGGAGTTGCCTGCAGGAAAGTCAACAACCTTTTTAAAGGTAAGTCAGATTTATCCTCTCCAATCCCTGGAGTGGCTCCCACCTCATTCTTTGGGAAACTGGTCTCAAAGGCCCCTGCTCCCACCCCCTTGACCTCTCTGAGCTCCTCCCCTATCACTCTCTGCTCTAGCCCCACAGTTGCCTTGTTCCTGGAACAGGCCTACCACATATCTACATAGGAACTCTGTTCTCACCTGCACGTTCTTCTCCCAGAGCCAGATAGCTTGCTCTCCTTCCAGTCTTTGGGCAAGTGTCACTCATTCCCTGGTCATTCTAGTAAAAACAGCCAGCTCCACACCTTTTCCCTGGCTGTAACTCCCTCCCCTGTTTTATCCCCTGCCTGGCCCCATACTTACTCCAAACAGACACATATATGCTACTTGTTTACTGTCTGTCTCTCCTCTGACTAAAATGTAAACTCCTTAAAGGGCAGAAACTGACTGTTCCTTGCTGTAATCCTCACGTCATCACACCGGAGTCTGTGTGAATGATTAAATGGTGTAAGAACTAGGCCTTAGAGAACTAGGCTAGAACTCACATATTCAGAGATGGTGCTGTGGGAGTGACATGAGAGAATTATAGAAAGTGAAAATAGAATATGATCAACCTAAAAGCAGAGCTGGAGGATGCTGAAGACCTTGCCTGTAAAATCCCATGAGTCCGGTTCTAAGGGAAAGACCCAGCTTGAGTCCACATGAGAACTGAGGAAAGACTTCAGAAAGTAAATATTGATTAGAGCAGAAGATGGCCAGTAACCCCAAATTCTAAAAGCTTGACCCATATCTTGAAATATCGTAAGTCTAAAACAGCTAGACAAGGGTCTACTTCCTTAAGCTTGATTATATAGTCATGTGACCCAAAACAATCGCTAAACATTCATGTGCAAATAATGTCAGAATCTAAAGGAAACTTCTCATCCTATTCAAAATGCCTCTGTTGCTTTGTTCCAGTGAATCTGCAGGGCAGTAGGTAATAGCTATTCAAATGGTGATGATGCTGCTTGACACTGTTCCAGCACTTCACATACACTAACTCATTTAATCCTCACAACACTAGCACGCTCCTTTTACAGATGAGGAAACAGAAGCAGAGTTCACAAAGCTCCTAGGCAGCAGGGCTGGGGGCAGGACATGTTTTTAACATTACATTGCCCAGAGGGTCTTCCACATGGTCAGTAAAAAATACCAGTTGTCCTGTCAGTTTGGCCTTGAAAGTGGGTAGCCACCCACAATAAATCTGTCCCTTCACTGCCACCCTCTTATAAGGACCTCCATACTGTTCCAGCTGGCTCTTCACCCGCTCCCCATCATTCTTAGAACTATCAAGAGCAATTCTGTCTACATGAGTATTAATTTTTTCCCCTTGTGATGTGCTCCTGCTCTACTCCTCAGTGCCAGTGGCCTTCTCTAGATAAAACAAGGCTGAATGGGGGCTAAATTGAACAAAAACATTAAAGCTAGCAGTTTAAACTAATGAAAAGCCTTCTCAAGAGATATTCTCTATAAAAAGCTATGTTACATGTTGTTTAATTAATCCTTCTGGAAATAAAATCAGGCTTCTGAAGATCTGAGTGTATAAACAATGTTGCCACTTGCTCCATATTCTTCCTAAATAGGAGCCACCAAGAGCTAAAGGCCACTTTAAACATCAGGGTATCAGGCCTGAGGCTGCCCTATCTCCAGACAGGGAAAACAGATACAGGAAGGACTCCTTCTTAGGTCTGTTCTCAGCCTTCCCCTGCAGATTCCCTGTCCTGTATGATACCCCTTTCCCTATTGTTATGGTTCTACTTTATGAAAAAGAAAAAAAAAAAATCCAAGGCCAAATACCTCCTGCAGGGTTCCAGTCATGCTAAATATTCTTAGTATACATGAAGCACCTGAGTAGGAGAAGGTGGTTGCCCAGGTTTATCTTTTTTAGGAATGCCAAGTAAACCAATTAAGAAAACCAACTAGCATATACCAACGACAGAAAATGTAAACCTGGAGCTATAAAATAAGTAATAGGCTGGGTGTGGTGGCTCACACCTGTAATCCCAGTGTTTTGGGAGGCTGAGGTGTGAGGATCGCTTGAGGTCAGGAGTTCAAGACCAGCCTGGGTTAAAAAAAATTTTAAATGCACAGTGTCATGAGGTGTGCCTACAGTCCCAGCTGCTCAAGAGGCTGAGGTAGGACGATTGCTTGAACTCAGGAGTTCGAGGCTGCAACGAGCTATGAATGTGCCAATGTGCTCCACCCTGGGTGACAGTAACCCTGTCTCAAAAAAAAAAAAAAAAAAAAAAAAAAGCTAATAGAGATAATTCCAATTTTATCCCATCATCTTAAAAAAAGCATCAGTGTAGTCAGTTTTAAAGCACTGTGATTAGTAATAATAAGTGCCTGAATTCCTTTGTTTAAATGAATACAAATAGTAAGGAAAATCTGATACCTCAAAGGAATAAGTCACCTAAGGAACTTGCATACACACTCTAAAAAAGAGGCTGGGCACAGTGGCTCACCCCTGTAATCCCTGAACTTTGGGAGGTCAAGGCGGGCAGATCACTTGGGCTCAGGAGTTCGAGACCAGCCTGGGCAACATGGCGAAACCCTATCTTTATAAAAAATACAAAAATTAGCCAGGCATGGTGATGCGTGCCTGTAGTCCCAGCACCTCGGGGGGCTGAGGCAGGAGGATCGCCTGAGCCTCGGAGGCAGAGGTTGCAGTGAGCAGAGATCGCGCCACTGCCCTCCAGCCTGGGCAACAAAGCGAGATTCCGTCTCAATAAATAAATAAAAAAGAGGCCTACCGATGTACTTCCCATCCATAATGACTCTCCCTTTCCTGTTTTTCTCCTATATTCCTAACTTTCTGAACAGTTTCAGAAGGGCTGTGGAGGTGTATTAGTGAGGTCCAGAACTCTGTGCCTAAACATTCCAGAGTCCATGTGCCGACCTCACAAACTCACTCATAACCAGCTGCAGACTTGTTCTCCCCATCCTATTAGAGGGCTGATGACCTTGCCCTCTTATAGAAAACCAACATTGGCTTTCTCTGTCCTTCTTCCTCCATATGTCCAACAACATCCCACTTCCCAATCCATTCTCTTTTTTGGAAAGAGAGTCTCACTCTGTTGCCCAGGCTGGAGTGCAGTGGCATGACCACAGGCTCACTGCGGCCTCAACTCCCAGCTCAGGCAATCCTCCTGCCTCAGCCTCCCAAGTAGCTGGGACCACAGGCATGGGACCCCTGGCTAATTTTTAAAAAATAATTGGGACTATGGCTAATTTTTATAATTTCTTAAAAATAGAGACAGAGTCTCACTGTGCTGTCCAGGCTGGTCTCAAACTCCTGGGCTCAAGCCATCCTGCTGTTTCAACCTCCCAAAGTGCTAGAATTCAGCCATTGTGCCTGGCCCCAGCTAATTTTTTCATCCTCTGTCATGATTTTCTGCTTATTCTCCTTCTTTGCCTTTAAATCCTCAAGACATTGACAATGATGCATCTAGTTATAGCCTGTGTAAGGGATATTCCCTGTTTGCCCCCACAGCCTCTCCTCACCCATCTCCACCCTACTCTATGCCCTAGAACGGACAATGGAAGGACAACTGACAGGCCCCACCACCCTTGCCTTCTGACCCAGTTTGGCTGGTAAGAGGCAGGAGAGGAGGAAAGTGAGAGGAACTTACTCTCCTGGCTCCCACCCCGAGGTTACTGAGGCTGGCTGAGACCCTCCACCAATGGCTGCAGCTCCATCGGGCAACCTCAACATATAGCCACTTTCTCCAAACTCCAGGAACCACTTCATCCTCTGCCCTTCAGGTCTAGAAGGCAGTAGGTAACAACTCCCTGCTACTGCTAGCACAGAAGACTTCACTTTCCTGTTGGCTTCCCCAAACCCTGCTCACCCTTTCCAGTCCCTTTATTAATCTTCTGCATTGTTGTCAACTCAGCATCGTGACCACCCTCCTTCCAAGCTCTCCTCTGCAGATCAGAAGCTGAGAACTTCCGTTCCAGAACCCTTTAGCAGCATGGTTCTGGGTTAGAGTTTGCAATGAGAAGTGCAAGAGAGATTTAGAAGGCAAAATAAACGTAGAGGTTGATGATATTCCCTGGAGGTAGATGCAGCACACGTGGATTCATAGCGGCTTCCCCATGAGCTCACGAGAACCATTCACTATGACACTTCAGTATGAAATCATCAGGAACCTTCCCAATTCCAGTTCTTCCAGGGTTGGGTAAAGCCTTAATTCCTGTATCAAAACCATTCATACCGGAATAGACAACTTCTCTTTTCCTGAATGAACCCTGAATGATACAATTAAACACTCCTTAAATTACCCAGTTTGAATGTGCCATCTGTTTTCTACTGGGACCCTGACTGATAAGAGTTCTTCTCATTCCTAGGATTTCAGAGTAGACTATTGCCACTTGGGGAATGAGAGACTTCTATTTCATGCACTATGACATAGAACAGGGACTAAAAATCCTCCCTCAACAAAACACTTAGAAATGTCAGACAAAATGTATAGCCAAGTTGCAAGAAAGTAAGAAATGCCCAAAGTCCAAAATTGGATGAGATACTATGAAGAGAGTTGCAGGCAGGTGCTGGGCTCTGAATGCCAAGGATGTGGGGTCTATAGGGCTTATTAACCATATGGCAAAGGGTTTTTTTTTTTTTTTTTGAGACGGAGTCTCGTTCTGTTGCCCAGGCTGGAGTGCAGTGGCGATATCTCGGCTCACTGCAAGCTCCGCCTCCCGGGTTCACGTCATTCTCCTGCCTCAGCCTCCCAAGTAGCTGGGACTACAGGCGCCCACCACCGTGCCTGGCTGATTTTTTGTATTTTTAGTAGAGACAGGGTTTCACCGTGTTAGCCAGGATGGTCTCGATCTCCTGACCTCATGATCCGCCCGCCTCAGCCTCCCAAAGTGCTGGGATTACAGGCATGAGCCACCGCGCCCGGCCCCATATGGCAAAGGTTTTAATGACCATGCAGAGACAGAGCAAGGCCTCTGGCCCTCTAGACAGATCAGTACTTAAGGACTCTGGACAGTGTCACTTGTGACTGTAATCATTTCTAAAAGACAACAAATGCATTTATTATTAGGCAGTAACTAACTCATTTTCAATGACAAAGATAAGGTTGTTCTTCCTCAACTGACCCAACTGCCTATTCTCAAAGAAAACCATGATCATCCCAAGCAAGAAGCTTTAGAATAACCCCAAACTGACCTTTCACTTTGACTCTGTATTTACCATGCTACCTCATCATGACACTACTCTCCTTCCTGTATTTGTCCTTTCCCATTCCATTCTCGTCACTGTCATTTTCATCTTTCTTGGGCTAGAATAACACCTGAAAAGTTCTCTTTCCCAGTACTTTCTTTTGCTTAACTGCCATTTTGACACCATCACACCCCCCCATAGGCCCTGAAGCCCTGTGACATCTTCCCAACACAATTTCTGCTTCTCCCCACCCTCTCAAACAAGCCTGCTCAGCCCCCTTTGTGCCATCGGCCCACTCTCACCTTGGTCTCAACTTGGAGCCTTTTAAGCATCCCCAGGCCCATAAATTCCTTCTTGCCACATGAGATCATATGGTTCTTAAGAGCTCTTAGAATGTGTCCTGCTGTATCTTAAGAGCTCCTAAAATGTGTTATCCATGTGATTTTCTCTACAAATCTTCCTCTAAGCAGAGAATGTGTTGGCTTTACCTTGCTTAGTAAAAACAAACCAATTAAAGTATTTACCTTTAACCAGTATCTAAGGTATGTACCACTGATATAATAAAAATTGCTGGCCGGCCACAGTGGCTCACACCTGTAATCCCAGCACTTTGGGAGGCCGAGGCAGGCAGACTGTTTGAGCTCAGGAGACCAGCATGGGCAACATAACAAGACCCCGTCTCCACAAAAAATACAAAAGAATTAGCTGGGTGTGCTGGCTTGTGCCTGTAGTCCCAGCCACTCCAGAGGCTGAGGCAGGAGGATCACTTGAGCCTGGGAGGCAGAGGTTGCAGTGAGCCGAGGCTGCACGCTACTACACTCCAGCCTGGGTGCTACAGTAAGACCTGTCCCAGTAAATAAATAAATAATTGCCATTTATTTAGCAATCTATATATGTTAGTCACTGTGTGGTTTTACCTGTAACTCAATTAATGAATGAGGGGGAAAAATTAATGTAATTTTTTCCAAAAGTCCAAATTTTCCAAAAGTCACTCCTCTAGGACAAGTTGGAGCTGACATTCTGTAACTCCAATTCTTCTGATTCTAGAGCCCATAACCCTTTCTTTCACTGTACCACAAAATTAGGCAAGGAAGATCCAAATGCATATTTTTGAAAATCCTGACACACACTTGGGTCAGATCTCTAATAACTGTAGCTATCAATTATTGCCATGCCTCACACATGTGACACACTATCAGGTGCTTTACACAAATGTTAATGCATTTCATCCTTACCATGATCTAAGAAATGTTAGTAATCCTTTTTGTAAATGGAGACTCAGAAGTTAAACAAGCAAAATATTCATGGTAAACAATGAGATAAGATATATAATATGCCCACTGCAAAACCCAGTCTGTATTTCCCAATCTGTGACATTGGGAAGCATTTTAGAAAGGAATCTTGAGGAATCTTGCTAGAATTTAGTTGACTGCTTGTACCTAGATATATCTGTAACACCTGTATCGTTTGTTTTGTGTATGTGCAAATGTGGGATCTTCCTAAGTGTATCAAGCATAAAGATCTGCTCAGTGACTTAATATTTCATACTCTATGTCCTGTTTGCACATGGGCAGAGCCTATATTTTTCTCAGTGGCTAAAAGTTATCTTAGTGTAATAGGACTTCAGAATAAAATGAAGTGTAATGAAGGTGCTGGCTTCCTCCCTGACTTGGGAGATCAGAAGAGTCTGAAAGCAACTCAGAATTCGCAAGTCAGTTCCTTGTCTAGAAGGAAAGAAACCCACAAGAATGCTGCATATCTAAAAAGATTGCTTTCTGGGTGTCAAAACTCATATTAGCCATGTAAGCCATAAAAAATATCCACCTTGAATCATGACCAAATACATGCAGGCAAAAACTAGGGGGATAAATTTGTAACTATTACATTTCCTGGCCAGGCGCAGTGGCTCACGCCTGTAATACCAGCACTTTGGGAGGCCGAGGTGGGCGGATAACGAGGTCAGGAGATTGAGACCATCCTGGCTAACACAGTGAAACCCCGTCTCTACTAAAAATACAAAAAAATTAGTCGGGCGTGGTGGTAGGCACCTGTAGTCCCAGCTACTCAGGAGGCTGAGGCAGGAGAATGGCGTGAACCTGGGAGGCAGAGATTGCAGTGAGATCGCACCACTGCACTCCAGCCTGGGCAACAAGCGAGACTCTGTCTCAAAAAAAAAATTTCCTAAAAAATTTAAAAGATGATATCCCATCTGGTTAGGTTAGGCTAAAGCTGGTACAAAAAAAAAAAAAAAAAAAAAAAAAAAGCACCATAAATGATTATGACTCTTGGAAAAGAAAACTGGTAATAAAACAGTCAACCAAACAAAAAAACAAAATACCAACATATTCACTCCAGTAATATGTATTAGAAGAAAAAACTGGCAACAACCTATTTGAAAATTGATTAAACAAATTATGGTATATCCACTCAAAGAAATAGTACATAATCATTTTAAACAATTGCAAAGACTCTAGCACCATAGAAAATTACATAGTATCAGATGAAAAGAGCAGCTCACGTAAACTTATACCTGTGCTATGATTATAACTATCTGAAAATGAGGCATTCATTTAGTCCCAGGCCAAAGGGAATAATGGAGAAAAAAGGAAAACTTCTGGACTATCCAAGATGGCAGTGTTGTGGAAGTATTTTTTCCCCTTTTCATTTCTATTTACATTAATTTTTGTGTAGGAAATAATCACTTTTTTTTTTTTTTTTTGAGACAGAGTCTTACACTGCACTGCTGGAGTGCAGTGGTGCAATCTTGGCTCACTGTAGCCTCTGCCTCCCAGGTTCAAGCAATTCTCCTGCCTCAGCCTCCCAAGTAGCTGAGATTACAGGTGCCTGCCACCACGTCCGGCTAATTTTTGTATTTTTAGTAGAGACAGCATTTCGCCATGTTGGCCAGGCTGGTCTTGAACTCCTGACCTCAAGTGATCCACCTGTCTTGGCTTCCCAAAGTGCTGCGATTACAGGGTGAGCCACAGTGCTCAGCCAAAATGTCATTAACCTCATTTAAAAATTACAACCCTTAGGCCGGGCGCGGTGGCTCACACCTGTAATCCCAGCACTTTGGGAGGCCGAGGCGGGTGGATCATGAGGTCAGGAGATCGAGACCATCCTGGCTAACAAGGTGAAACCCCGTCTCTACTAAAAATACAAAAAATTAGCCGGGCGCGGTGGCGGGCGCCTGTAGTCCCAGCTACTCGGGAGGCTGAGGCAGGAGAATGGCGTGAACCCGGGAGGCGGAGCTTGCAGTGAGCCGAGATTGCGCCACTGCAGTCCGCAGTCCGGCCTGGGCGACAGAGCGAGACTCCGTCTCAAAAAAAAAAAAAAAAAAAAAATTACAACCCTTGAACTATCTCAACAGTATCAGAGCTTTATCTGTTCCTACTGACAGCAAAGTGCTGCTCTGCCCAAGGGAAAGAAATAGAGGCACAGGGGACCCCACAAGTCAGAAGCAGGAGGGAAGGGAGGAGCCTGCCAGACAGGACCTCTACTTCAGGAAACCTGGTGCCAATGCCACACACAGGGTTGTTGGACACCACAGTGCCCAGGCAAGTGTGCACACAGGGTCACTAGCTCAAAATTATTTTTTGAGAATCAGGCCTAAAGTCAGCTGAATTCCAACCCACAGTCGGCAGGCCTATTATTAGGCATAATTTCAAACAGCCAAGAGGCTGCAAGCATCCTATATCCACCACATGCTTCTGTAACTCTGCAAGGAGATGCTATAAATCTGCTCCTGAGCAGACCAAAGGCACCTGGGCCCTATCCTGGCCCCACCCCCACTCCATGGCTATCTGTCTTATTTTCACAGGGGCATCCCAAGATCACTTCAGATGACCACATATGTGAGCAGGATGGCCAAACAGTTCCCAAAAAGGGGGCAGGAGAAGGGTGGGAGCAGGACATCTCTGGGGCTAGCTAGAGGCTCCTGTGGGATTTTCTTAAATGCTGAGCGTAGGGGCTTCTGAGATGTCATTGAATATATTTTTTCATTCAAAGGTTGTATTAATACATAATTTCTAAACCTTCAGAGGCAAAAGGGAGGTAATTAGTGTTGCCACTTATAGGCTAAAAGGATGTTCCATTTTATAATTCATTCAAATATAATTTTGAGGCCGGGCCTGGTGGCTCAAGCCTGTAATCCCAGCACTTCGGAAGGCTGAGGCAGGCAGATCACACCTGAGGTCAGAAGTTCAAGACCAGCCTGGCCAACATGGTGAAATGCTGTCTCTACTAAAAATACAAAAACTGGCCACATACGGTGGCGGAAACCTATAATCCCAGCTACTCAGGAGGCTGTGGCAGGAGAATCGCTTGAACACAGGAGGTGGAGGTTGCAGTGAGCCAAGATCACGCCACTGAACTCCATCCAGCGTGGGTGACAGAGTGAGATTCTGTCTCTTAAAAAGAAATAATAATAAAACAAACAAATACAATTCTGAATTAAAATTCAAAAGATATCAATGACCAATCCAAAGCAGAAGTGGGCAAAAGCTATATGAAAATTAGAGACTTCACTGAACAACCCAAAAAAGCTCAAAACAAAAGGAAAGAAACAAACTAGCAGAACAAATGGTATAGCTAGATAAAAAGGGCTAGTATTGTAAAGACGTTAAGTCTCCACATATTAGTTTATAAAATTCTAATAGGTTCCAGTCAAAATCTCAATAGGATATTAAAAAATAATTTTTAAGACTGGGCGTGGTGGCTCACGCCTGTAATCCCAGCACTTTGAGAGGCCAAGGCAGGCAGAACACACGAGGCCAGGAGTTCAAGACCAGCCTGGCCATTACAGTGAAACCCCGTCTCTACTAAAAATACAAAAATTAGCTGGGCATGGTGGCACATGCCCGTAATCCTAGCTACTCGAGTGGCTGAGGCACAAGAATCACTTGAACTCTGGAGGCTGCAGTGAGCTAAGATCGTTCCATTGCACTCCAGCCTGGGAGACAGAGCAACAGCCTCTCTCAAAAAAAAATAGTAATTTTAAATTACTTCAAATGTACAGAAAAGTGCAAAAATAGTTCAAAGGGCTCACATACCCTCTTTCAACGAGATTCTCCAACTGATGCTTTACCTCATTTGCTCCATTATCTTTTCCTGACCCCTTTGAGAGCAGGCTGAAGGCATGAAGCTCCATTGTTGCTCAATACTCTAGTGCGTTATTTCCAAAAACAAGGACATTCTCCTCCATAACCAGCATACAAGCCTCCACATCAGGAAATCAACACTGATACTACACTCTCAATCCAATCCATAGACCCCATTTGAATTTTGTCAGCTGTCCCAACAATGTCTTTCCTTTCTAGTCCAGGAGTCTACCCCAGAGCTACATCTCACCAGTGTCAATCAATCTGGAATAGTTCCCTTTTCTCTTCCTGACTTCCATGTCCCTGCCAGAGTACAGTCTTTTCATTTTGCAGGATAACCCTCAATCTGATCTGTATTTCCTCGTGACCAGACTCAGGTCATGCTTCCTTAGCGGCAATACCAGACACATGGTGCTGTATTCTTCCCAGGACATTGCATAAGAAGAAGACTGATGGCAACCCATCCCACTACTGCTGATATTTACCACATTCACCTGGTCAAGCTTATTAGAGATGTAGTGTCTCAGGCCCCACAGACCTACAGGATCAGATTCTGCATGTTAACAAGGTCACTAGCAAGTCACACATATGTTACTGTTTGTGAAGTACCAGTGAAAGGTCTTATAAAAAGTAAGAGCCACATGGGGAAGTTCAGATTTTATTAGAAGCCTTTGGAGGGTTTTAAACTATAGAGTGGCATGATCTGGTTTCAGTTCTTAAATGGCTCCTCTGGCTGTTTTGTGGAAAACAGACCAGGGGAGGGGCAAGGACAGAGCAGGGAATTAGTTAGTTGGTAGTCTGGTTAAGGGACGTTGGCTGCATGGGTGAATGTGGTGTTGATGGAGGTAGTGACACACAGTCAAAACGGACACAGTCTGAAGTCAGAGCCAACAGAAATTGCTAACGGATCAGAAGTGGACATGAGAGTCATAACAACAATGATAAACAGCAGCAGCCAACACTAGTTAAACACAAGCCATGTGCCAGCCACTGCTCCATGTCTTTTCAGGTGAAAATTCATTCAACTGTCACAATAATCCCAAGAGGTACAAGTGACAACCCCACTTTATTCAAATGAAGACAACATGGTAGAGAGAGGTTGTGTAGCTGCCCAAGGCCTCAGATCTGAGCTTAGGCAGTGACTGGGGAGCTTGTACTCCATTCACCATCCCTTACAGAACAACTGCAAACACTGCACCATTTGTGAAGAGGAACGAGGCTGGTAAAGGGAATCAAGAGTGCTTTGCCAAACATGGCAACACGCGATTCCCATTGCACATCCACATGGAAACAGCAGGGAGACAGCCAATGCGACAGGATCTCCAAGGAAAGGTGGAGTAGAGATAAAAATGGGAAGGTCATTAGCACAGAGGTAGTATTTAAAGCCAACAGAGTAGATGAGATCACCCAGAGCAGTTTTTCAAACTGCAGGCTGTGAAATCAATTTAGTGGGTCATGAACAGCACTTAAAAAAAAATGAAATAGAGCAGAATGGAAAATAACAGAGTCCACGGCTCATGAAGTATAAGAACCGTTTTGTGAAACTTTTGTTTCTGTTGTGTCTGTGTGCACAAGACGGTGTAGTGTGTTTGTACTTGTCCGGCATTTGGTATGGCTGAACAAAAAGATTTAAAACCACTGGTCTAGAGGCTAACTTGGAGTGACTGATCCCTGCAATCACTCTATCATTTAGAAGGTGGAGAAGAGGAAAAGAAGCCAGAAAAGGAGAGTGAAGAAGTAGGAAGGAGGAAAGGCAGTGGGGGGGTCCCAAGCAAATGTGACATGTTGGACATCCAACGTGCTGGTGAGAGTCATGCAGTATGATCACAGCAGAGATGTCCATAATTATGGAATGGCAAGGTAAGCACACAGCTGTGGGAGCAGAGGGGCACCTAACCTGTTTAAACTTAGCACAGAATAAAAAAGGGAAGGAGAGAGGTGATATTAGGATTTTATTTGAGATCTAAGTTTAAGGGAACGGCAGGATATCCAGTCTGTAACTTCCATAAACAGCAAATATCCAATCATTCTTTTATTGTTGTTTTTAAGCATCTACTATGTGCTGGGCTGTTTACTAGACCTGGGAAAATAACTAGGACACTGTTCTATCCTGAAAAGCCTCAAACTGCAAGAGAGTAACGCAGGTACAGTACAGTGAAGAGAGAGGGTCAGAAGATAGGGTGCGTAACAACAGGTTTGTTGAAGGCCACGGCAATTTTCCTTTCCAACCATACTGCTCACTATTGGCCAAACCCACCACTCCACACAGACCATGCGCTCCGACCTCTTGATTTGTGCTTGGCCTCTCCCCAAAACACTTTCCAAATCTGAGTCATTCCTCAAGGCCATTTGGCTTCCTCACTGAAGGCTTCAGGAAAACGGCTCAGCTTGGTGATCTTGCCTTCCCCAAACAGCTACAGCACTTCTTGTCCATACACCATTACCTGGTGGCTGTGTCCTTATTTCCCCACTTGGTATGAATGCCTTATCTCCCCAGCTGAGCCATGTATTGTTGAAGGCATGTAACAAACATGTCTCACATCTACAAGGTCCTCAAACAGCAGCCAAGCAAACACTTGTTGCTCTGCTACTAGACTTCCCTCCAATCCAGCTTGCATTTCAGCATCTTACTGAAAAAGATCTGATTAATTCACCCCCTATTTTAAAACCTTCACTGGCTCCCAATTATTAGTACAGCACATGCAGACTTGTCTTCCAGGTGTACCACACAGCTTTCCCTTCCCTGCCTCCCAAACACCTTAAAGTTGAAGCAACAGCAATAAAAATAGTCACGTGCTACATAACACATTTCTGTCAACAATGACCACGTACACAATGGTGGTCCCATCAGAGTACAATGGAGCTGAAAAACTCCTATTGCCTGGTGATGCTGTAGCTGTCATAATGCAACATATTACCTCCTTGTTTATG
Organism: Homo sapiens; assembly: GCF_000001405.40. NCBI lineage: Eukaryota > Metazoa > Chordata > Mammalia > Primates > Hominidae > Homo > Homo sapiens. The sequence continues at coordinate 42,230,329 of NC_000022.11, forward strand.
GTCATGCAAGTGTAAACCTAATATACTGCCAGTGGTATAAAAGCATAGCACATACAACTATGTACAGTACATAATACTTGAAAATAAACTATGTTACTGGTTTACATATCCTATGTAGAATTCTATGTTATGTATACTATGTATTCTACTTATAAAAATAGTTAACTAAAGCTGGGTGTGGGAGCATGTGCCTATAAGTCCTAGCTACTCAGGAGGCTGAGGCAGAGAATCGCTTGAACCTGGGAGGTGGAGGTTGCAGTGAGCCGAGATCATGCCACTGCACTCCAGTCTGGGCGACAGAGAGAGACTGTCTCAAAAAAAAAACCAAAGCAAACAAACAAAAGACACTGTTATCATAGGAGATGATAGCTCCATGTGTGTTACTGACCCTAAAGACCTTCCAGTGGGCCAAGATGTGAAGCTGGAAGACAGTGATATTGATTATTCTGACCCTGTGTAGGTTTAGGCTAATGCATGTGTTTGTGTCTTAGTTTTTAACAAAAGTGTTTAAAAAGTGAAAAAATAAAAAATAAAAAATATTTAAATATGGCTCGGTGAGGTGGCTCACGTCTGTAATCCCAGTACTTTGGAAGGCCAAGGTGGGTGGATCACATGGGGTCTGGAATTCCAGACCAGCCTGGCCAACACGGTGAAACCCCGTCTCTACTAAAAAAAACACAAAAATTAGCCAGGTGTAATGGCGTGTGCCTGTAGTACCAACTACTTGGGAGGCTAAGGCAGGAGAATCGCTTGAACTCGCGACATGGAGGCTGCAGTGAGCTGAGACTGCACCATTCCACTCCAACCTGGGCGACACAGCAAGACTCTGTCTCAAATAATGATAATAAATAGAAAAAAAAGCTTATAAAGTGGCTAGGCCTGGTGGCTCACACCTACAATTCCAGAACTTTTGGGAGGCAGAGGAGAAAGGATTGCTTGATGCCAGGAGTTTGAGACCAGCCTGGGCAACATAGCATGACTCCAGCTCTATAAAAACTAAAAAAACGTAGCCAAGCACGGTGGTATGCACCTGTAGTCCTAGCTACTCAGGAGGCTTAAGTGAGGGTTGCTTGAGCCCAGGAGTTTGAGGTTACAGGGAGCTATGACTGTGCCACTGCACTCCAGCCTGGAACAGAGTAAGACCTTATCTCTAAGAGTAATTAATAATAATCATAAAAAAGTTTATAGAATAACACAATGACAGAAAATATTTTTGAACAGCTGCACAATGTATTTGTGGTTTAAGCTAAGTGTTATTACAAGAGTCAAAAGGTTACAAATTTTTAAAGTTTTTAAAGTAAAAAAGTTACAGTAATCTGGCCAGGGACTGGTGGCTCATGCCTGTAATCCCAGCATTTTGAGAGGCCCAGGCGGGTGGATCACAAGGTCAGCAGATCAAGACCATCCTGGCTAATACGGTGAAACCCCGTCTCTACTAAAAATACAAAAAATTAGCCAGGTGTGGTGGCGGGCACCTGTAGTCCCAGCTACTCGAGAGGCTGAGGCAGAAGAATGACGTGAACCCGGGAGGCGGAGCTTGCAGTGAGCCAAGATCAAGCCACCGCACTCCAGCCTGGGCGACAGAGAGAGACTCCGTCTCAAAAAAAAAAAAAAAAAAGTTACAGTAATCTAAGGTTAATAATATCAAAACAAGAAAACTTTAAAAAATAAATTTAGTGTAGTCCAAATGTACAGTGTTTATACATCTACAGTAGTGTGCAGTAACGTCCTGGGCCTTTACCTTCATTCACCATTCACTCACTGACTCACCCAGAACAACTTCCTTATCTTTTATACCTTATTTTTACTGTACCTTCTCTATGTTTAGACATATGCAGATACATACTTACCACTCTTTTACAATCTCCTACAGCATTCAGTACAGTAACATGCGGTACAGGTTTGTATCCTAGGAGCAATAGGCTATACCACATAGCCTAGATGGGCAGTCGGCTACACCCAGGCTAGGTGTGTGTAAGTACATCCTAAGATGTTAGAACAACGACAAAAATCACTCAATGATGCACTTCTTAGAAATATTCTGTTGTTAACTGAGGCATGATTGTACCAAAACAAAAAAAAAACAACGTACCACCAGCACCAAAGGTGCCAGAGATGAAAATTAGAAAGACGACTGATATTCATTCAACTGCTGACAACAGATGTTTTGGGGGTGGGATTACAGGGCATAGTCATCTTTCAGCAACTAGTTCGATCGGCCGGGCGCAGTGGCTCACGCCCGTAATCCCAGCACTTTGGGAGGTCGAGGCGGGCGGATCACGAGGTCAGGAGATCGAGACCATCCTGTCTAACACGGTGAAACCCCATCTCTACTAAAAAAAATACAAAAAAATTAGCACGGCGTGGTGGCGGGCACCTGTGGTCCCAGCAACCCGGGAGGCGGAGCTTGCAGTGAGCCTAGATCGTGCCACTGCGCTCCAGCCTGGGCAACAGAGCAAGACTCCGTCTCCAAAAAGAAAAAAAAAAAAAAAAACTAGTTTGACCAACATGCTAATTTTAAAACAAATAAAATTTAAAAGAAAACAATAATTGCAACTACTTTTATTGAGTGTTTAAATTATGTGCAATGCAATATTTTTTGTTTGTTTTGAGACAGAGTCTCCCTCTGTCGTCCAGGCTGGAGTGCACTGGTGCAATCTCGGCTCAGTGCAACCTCTGCCTCCCTGGTTCAAGCAATTCTCCTGCCTCAGTCTCCCAAGTAGCTGAGATTACAGGCTTGTGCCACAATACCCGGCTAATTTTTGTATTTTTAGTAGAGGCGAGGTTTTAACCATGTTGGCCAGACTGGTCTCGGACTCCTGACCTGAAGTCATCCACCTGCCTCGGCCTCCCAAAGTGCTAGGATTACAGGTGTGAGCCATCACACCCAGCTGCAATGCAATATATTATAGTCTCATTTAATCTTAACTCTATTATGCAGTAACTAGCCATTCTGCAGATGAGGAAACAAAGGCTCAGAAAGTTTAGTAACTCTCATAAGGTTATACAGCCAGTCAGTAAGGAAGACAGGCTGGGACTAACAAGGAATGTGCCCTAACTTCTACTGTTCTTAGCAATGTTCTGTGTATTCCCAGCACACCCAGCAGGCACCTTCTGCACCTTTTCGTTTGTTCAGCCTGGTCCTTCTGCGTGAATAATACCAGCTTTGCTGACATACCACTCACCTTTCAAGTCCAGTGCAAATCGCACTTTTCCCTTAACACCTTCCTAGAACACAAGCCATGATAAGCATTACCAGAGTTATCTACCCTTCTATTTCCCCCACAGCGTGGGACCTTAGTTCTCTTACTGCCACGCACAGAGCAAGCAATCGAACACTGGGTGAATTAAGTTGACAATATAAATTCTCTTTCTGACAAATGTAAAGGTAACAGATGAAGACCAAAAGTTTTAATCTGTGAGGAAAATTAATACCAAGAAAGGGTTTCCATAATCCCTACCTGCATTCTCTGCTCTGAACCTCACCTCTCACTGAGGCATAAGGAAAGGCAGGTTAATTTTCACCTCTTCCAAAAAGTGGCTTTACATAATAAATCCCACTTCTGAAGAATAAAAGCTACCTAACTTGTTATTAAAAATGTAAGCAATGAGAATAAAAAGGTTTCTTTAGAGTTTTTAAAATTACTTTCAATGCCTCTAGCCCTTGAAAGAAAGCACTTAAGTTTAGTACAAACAAAATGTAAAAACATGAAAACTTACTTTCCCTATACATAAACATGGAGACACAAAACCAGTGAAACAGACACGTTTAAAATTCAAAATGCTCTTAACTGACCACATCCTAATTTACGAGCAGAAGTCGAGTCCAAACAAAAACACACTGTAAAACAAAAGTGCTGGCTAACAACCTTAGAAAGAAAATATAGGAGGGGACAAACAGATTTTAATGTGTCCTTGGCCTTCCTGAGCAAAGCAATGAGAAATGCAGTCAACCAAAGCATTTAGACTTGATTTTACTGGACGTACCAACACCATAGGTCAACCTGTCAAATGAAGCAAAAAGCAGAACCGAGTTCTATGGGTTTAGTCCCCTCCAGATAAAAGCCAATGAACCTTTTTACAGTTTATGGGGTCCTCTCCATATGGCTGGGGATGCAGGCATGGGAGGAATATTGTCTGGACGATTAATTCCTGTGAAATGAACACAGGAGTTAGGAGGAGCGGAGGTGAGTCAACACACTCTACACTTCCACGGTTGCCTCAAACTCACCACAATTCCAAAATACCAAGAAACAATGTGCTAGTTCTTGCTTTTTTTAAGTGTCCATAAGCTAAAAGTCCTTCTGAAGATTGAGCGTCCCACTTAAAAGCCCAAACCAAAAAATAGTTTGCAGGATTATTTCAAATATATTAAAAACATCAAAATGCTAACTCCAAACTAAGGTGAAATAGTTACATCTAAGTATCCAAGAAGAGCATCAAGAATTAGCAAATTAATTTAGGGTCAGAAAACCTAATAATTAGGGTCAGAAGAACAAAAAGATCATTTCGGTAGCATAAGAACTTTGTGCCGGGTGCAGTGGCTCACGCCTGTAAATCCCAGAACTTTTGGAGGGCAGGGCAGGCGGATCACGAGGTCAGGAGTTCAAGACAAGCCTGGCCAACATGGTGAAACCCCACCTCTACTAAAAAAAATACAAGAATTAGCCAGGCATAGTGGCGCATGCCTGTAGTCCCACATACTCGGGAGGCTGAGGCAGGAGAATTGCTTGAGCCCAGGAGACAGAAGTTGCAGTGAGCCGAGATCGTGCCACTGCACTCCAGTCTGGCCAACAGAATGAGACTCTGTCTCAAAAAAAAAAAAAAAAAGAACTTTGTAAATGTCTGTCGCTCTAGACCTTATTTTAGGGTGCAAGCCATAACTATGATAAGGAGGGTGCCATGTATAAATGTAACAGACACTGAGACAAAAGAAAACTACTCCTGACAGCAGTTTGCTGTCTTTCCCAAGAGATTTGAGGAACAGTAACCATAAAACTTTCCTCCTCCCTTCTCAACTGGGGACTTCTCTGATGTAATATCAGGGAGAAGAACAAGGGAACATTGGGTATCAACTGGTGCACACCATCTCTCTCCTGAAGTGACAGAAAGAACATTGAGTAGTACTATCTTACCTAGAGTCAAACTAAATGACTTGAACAAAGAGACCAAGAAAAACATGTTTAGAAAATCATCTAGAAATAGGATTTTATTTTAGTAAGCGAAGTGAACAAAAAATACAATTTTATTTGTACATACAATTGCTTCCACTATTAAATTTGTTTTCTATTGATTCTTCTGGGTCATCTGTTGGAAAAAGTACTACATTTAGAATTAAGAAATCTAAATACTTCCTAGTCTTGCCACTTGTTCTGTGACTTGGGCAAGTTATTTAACCCATATGTCTCACATTCTTCACCTGCAAAAGTGGAGTTAACCTACCTTGCCACCACACGGGAATGTCCCACAGTAAGTCTGCAAACAGCTAAGTACCATATAAATCAAAATTATCACTGTTAGAATTACCACCCTCTTTCCCTCTCTCAGGTAAAAACTTGAACCAATAATAAAATAAGTAAAAGACACCAGACATGGTGGCTCACGCCTATAATCCCAGCACTTTGGGAGGCCGAGGCAGGCAGATCACTTGAGGTCAGGAGTTCAAGATCAGCCTGGCCAACATGGTGAAACCCTGTCTCTACCAAAAATACAAAAATTAGCTGGGCATGGTGGCAGGCACCTGTAATCCGAGAATCACTTGCTTGTACACCCAGGAAGCAGAGGTTGCAGTGAGCCGAGATCTCACCACTGCACACTCCAGCCTGGGTGACAGTGAGATTCCACTTCAAAAAAACAAACAAAAACAAAAACAAAAAAACAAGTAAAAGACAACAAGGAAAAAAATGGAAAAGAGGTTATCAAACAAACAAAATAAACCCTAAAAAACACAATAAATAACTACTGATTGGTGTAACAGCACTCTGTGACAGGTAATTTTTGTCATTCTCGAGTTAGGAAAGATCCCACACCCTGGGATCTACAGTCCATTCATAGAAATCACAGCAGGGTTAAATCCTCATCAATCCTCTAATTCACAATGAAGAATGCCGACGGAGCGCATTCTTAATCTATATGGCAAGAACTACAAGCCACAGGACCAATCCCCACCCTCCCCACAGAGGGACAGTGGCCTGACAGTTGGAGCTCTACTTGGAGGCAGATGGCCTCTAAAGTGCAAGAGTTTTCCCTTCTTCCCTGACCACTGGCATGCAATTAGCAAACACCCTAACCCCAGTCATTCTGAAATAAGCCAATGGAGAGTCACCTGCAATCCTAAATTTTGAAAATAAAAAAGTCAAAGAGACACAAACATTCTATGAAAAATCAGCCACAAGCATAACATTGCAGGTATTGTGGGTCTGGTTCCAGACCGTGGCAATAAAGCGAGTCACACAAATTTTCTGGTTTTCCAGCACATATTAACTTTTATATGTGTACGCTATACTTCAGTCTACTAAGTGTGAAATGGTATTATGTCTAAAAGACAATGTTCATACCTTAATTTAAAAAATACTTTATCGTTAAAAAATGCTAACAATCATCTGAGCCTTCAGGGAGTCCTAATCTTTTTGCTGACGGAGGGTCTTGCCTCCATGTTGATGGCTGCTGACTAATTAGGGTGGTGGTTGCTGAAGGCTGAGGTGGCTGTGGCAAATTTCTTCAAATAACACACCCATGAAGTCTGACGCATCGACTGGCTCTTCCTTTTCTAAGAGATTTTTCTATAGCATGCCAAACTGTTTGATAGCATTTTACCCACAGTGGAACTTCTTTCAAAACTGCAGTCAGTTCTCTTCAACCCCGCCACTGCTTAATCAACTACGTTTATGTAATATTCTAAATCTTTCATTGGCATTTCAACAATGTTCACAGCATCTTCATCAGGAGTAGATTCCATCTCAATAAATCACTTTCTTTGCTCATCCATAAGCAGCAACTCCTCATCTGTTCAAGTTTTATCATGAGATTACAGCAATCCAGTCACATCTCCAGGCTCCACTTTTAATTCGAGTTCTCTTGCTATTTCTACCACATCTGCAGTTCCTGCCTCCACTGAAGTCCTGAACCCCTCAAAGTCATCCATGAGGGCTGGAATCATCTTCCAAACTCCTGTTCATGTACTGACCTCCTCCCATGAATCACAAATGTTCTTAATGGCATTTAGAATGGTAAATCCTTTCCGAAAGGTTTTCAATTCACTCTGCCCAGACCCACTAGAGGAATTATTATGTATAGCAGCTAGAGCCTTATGAAACATATTTCTTAAATAAGACTTGAAAATCAAAATGATTCCTTGATCCAGGGGCTGCAGAATAGATGTTGTGTTAGCAAGCATGAAAACAACATTTATCTCCTTATACATTTCCATCAGAGCTCTTAGGTGACCAGGTATACTGTCAAGAAGTAATATTCTGAAAGAAATCTTTTGAGTAGTAGGTCTCAACAGTGGCCTTAAAATATTCATTAAACCATTCTGTAAACAGATGTGCTGTCATCTAGGTTTTGTTGATCCACTGACAGAGCACAGGCAGAGTAGATTTAGCATAAATTTATGGGCCCTAGAATTATTAGAATGGTAAATGAGCACTGGCATCAACCTAAATTCACCAGCTACACCAGCTCCTAATAACAGTCAGCCTGTCTTTTGAAGCCAGGCACTGACTTCTCCTAATTATGGAAGTCCTAGATGGCATCTTTTCTGACATAAGGCTACACTGAATATCTGTTCAATATAGCCACCTTCATCAGTGATCTTGGCTACATCTTCTAGATAACTTGCTGCAGCTTCTACATTAGCACTTGCTTCAACTTGCATTTTAATGTTACAGAGATGGTTTCAAGAACTTTAGGAACCAATCTGTGCTAGCTTCAAACTTCACTTCTGCAGCTTCTTACTTTTTTCAGCCTTCACAGAAGTGAAAAGAGAAAGTCTTGCTCTGGGATTAGGCTCTGGCTTAAGGGAATGTTGCGGCTGGTTGATTTTCCATCTGAGTCACTAAAACTTTTCCATATCAGCAATAAGCTGTTTCGTTTTCTTCTCATTCATGTGTTCACTGGAGTTGTACTTTTAACTTTCTTCAAGAACCTTTTCTTGCATTCATAACTTGGCCACGTTTGGTGCAATAGGCCTAGTATTCAGCCTATCTTGGCTTTTGACATGCCTTCCTCACTAAACCATCATTTCTAGCTTCTGATTTAAAAGTGAGAGATGTGCAATTCTTCCTGTCACTTGAACATTTAATGGTCATGATCAGGTTATTAACTGACCTAACTTCAATACTGTTGTGTCTGAGGTAACAGAGAGACCTGAGGAGGTGGTGAGATGGGGGGACACCCAGTTGGCAGCAGTCTGAACACACATCTATACACAACATGTATATATTAAGTTCGCCGTCTTATATGGGAGTGCTTTGTGGCGCTCCAAAACAATTACAAAAGTAACATCAGGCCGGGCGCGGTGGCTCACGCCTGTAATCCCAGCACTTTGGGAGGCCGAGGTGGGTGGATCATGAGGTCAGGAGATTGAGACCAACCTGGCTAACACGGTGAAACCCTGTCTCTACTAAAAATACAAAAAAATTAGCCAGGTGTGATGGCGGGCACCTGTAGTCCCAGCTACTCGGGAGGCTGACGCAGGAGAATGGCGTGAACGCGGCAGGCAGAGCTTGCAGTGAGCCGAAATCGCACCACTGCACTCCAGCCTGGGCGACAGAGCGAGACTCCATCTCAAAAAAGAAAAAAAAAAGTAACATCGATGATCACTGATCACAGATCTTCATGACAGATAACAATTTTAAAAGTTTAAGGCTGGGCGCGGTGGCTCATGCCTGTAATCCCAGCACTTTGGGAGGCCGAAGCGGGTGGATCATCTGAGAACAGGAGTTCGAGACCAGCCTAGCCAATACGGAGAAACCCCGTCTCTACTAAAAATACAAAATTAGCAGGGCGTGATGGCGCATGCCTGTAATCCCAGCTACTCGGGAGGCTAAGGCAGGAGAATCACTTGAACCCCGGAGGCGGAGATTGCAGTGAGCCAAAATCACGCCATTGCACTCCAGCCTGGGGAACAAGAGTGAAAATCTCTCTCAGAAAAAAAAAAAAAGTTTAAAATATTCAGGCCAGGTGTGGTGGCTCATGCCTGTAATCCCAGCACTTTGGGAGGCTGAGGCAGGCAGATCACTTCAGGTTAGGAGTTCCAGACCAGTCTGGCCAACACAGTGAAACCCCACCTCTACTAAAAATAAAAATATTAGCCGGGCATGGTGGTGCACACCTGTAATCCCAGCTACTCACGAGGCTGAGGGGGAGAATCGCTAGAACCCAGGAGGTGGAGGTTGTAGTGAGCCGAGATGGCGCCACTTCACTCCAGTGCAGCTCTGGGAGACAGAGCGAGACTCCGACTCAAAAATAAATAAAATAAAATGAATAAAATGTTTAAAATATTGGGAGAATTACCAAAATGTGGCACAAAGACACAAAGTGAGCACATGCTGTTGAAAAATTGGCACCAACAGACTTAGACTTGCTCAATGCAGGGTTGCAATAAACCTTCAATTTATAAAACAAAAAAATCCCACAATATCTGTGAAGTACAATAAAGTAGAATGCAATAAAATGAGGTATCCCTGTATTTCCAAAGCTTCTAGGTGGTAATAATAATAGCTAAAATTTATCTAATCATTACTGTAAGTCTGGCAATGTTCTAAAAGCTTTAGTTATGAACTAATTTAACTGGCACAGCCACCCACGAGGTAGGTACAATTATTATTTCCATTTTCTAGACAACGAAACAGAGGCAGAATAGTCATTTGCTTGACGTCACATTGCAAACAAGGGGCAGAGCTGGGATTCAAAAATCAGGCGACTGGCTGCAGAGATCATGCTCTAGATAGTGAGTCTTAAAGCACCCACCAACCAATACCACCTGGTTTACCCAAACAATTCAGGCATCTTAACAGTGTCACACAGAGACATAAACAATAATACAGTATAATAGTATCACTCACCATATGGTCACTTGTTTCAAGGTTAATGTTAGAATAACATGAGTCCATGAAAATAAGACCTTGTTTTCTGTTTACAGTAATACAGACTAAATAACTGCACAAAAAACTGGATACAATATATATACATCTTTCCAAAAGTAACAAAAATCTAACAAGATAGTGAGATATTACCAAATTAATATCCTGAAAAAGATGGAAATCCAAAGAAAGAGGCAAGACCTGGGGGCATTTGTTGATTTGCCAGTGGAGGCCCAGAAAGTGCCTGGCTCACTCCAAGGCCTTGCATAGGAGATAACTTATAACTCATAACTCAGTAACGCGCTCCTCACCCCAGCGAACCTGTGAACTGAGGCCCCATAGGGCTGCATCCTAGGAGTAAGACTGAAGTAGAAGTAAATAAGCCCTCCCATGGACTCAGCTTCAAACCATCTGGATAGTCCATAAAAAACTCAAATCTTCAACTTTTTTTTTTTTCTGAGACAGAGTCTTGCTCTGTCCCCCCCAGGCTGGAGTGCAGTGGCGCCATCTCAGTTCACTGCGACCTCCGCCTCCCGGGTTCATACGACTCTCCTGCCTCAGCCTCCCAAGTAGCTGGGATTACAAGCACCCGCCATCACGCCCGGCTAATTTCTGTATTTTTAGTAAGGAGGGGGTTTCACCATGTTGGCCAGGCTGGTCTCGAACTCCTGACCTCAGCTGATCTGCCTGCCTCAGTCTCCCAAAGTGCTCTGGGATTACAGGCCTTAGCCAGCGCGCCTGGGCTTCAACTTGTATTAAAATGATCCTCGTTGGCTAGTGCCGTCAGTCACCTGGAAAAAGACATCACACCCAAAGCCTCTAATTATTTCTATAAACAATTTTTCAAATACCATGTCCAGCACACAAACATATGAACAAAGTACCATGAGTAAGAACCATGAGAGGCAGTTATAGATCCAAAGGAACTCCAAATACTGGAGATATCAGGAGACTATAAAAGAATTATATTTAGTATGTTCTAGGAAATAAAAGCGAAGTTTGAAAAATTTAGCAGGGAACAGGAATCCATAAAAAACAATGTAGCAGACTTGAAAAGAATCACAACTGAAAAATACAGTAAGATATTGGTAAGAACTATCCATTGAGTTATTAAATTAAAAGCAGATTAATCGGCTGGCGCGGTGGCTCATACTTGTAATTCCAGCACTTTGGGAGGCTGGGGCAGGTGGCTCACTTGAGGCCAGGAGTTGAAGACCAGCTTGGCCATCATGGTGAAACTCCATCTCTACTAAAAGTACAAAAATTGGCCAGGTGTAGGGGCACACACCTGTGGTCCCAGCTACTCGAGAGGTTAAGGCACAAGAACTGCTTGAACCCAGGAGGCAGAGGGTGCAGTGAGAGCCAAGATCGTGCCACTGCACTGCACCCCAGCCTGGGCGAAAGAGTGAGACTCTTGTCTCAAAAAAACGCAGATTAGTCAAAGAGAAGACTGATTAACTGAAAACAGGTCAAAGTAATCTACCCAGAATGAAAAATAGAAAAGAAAAAAAACACTTGTAATGGATGCCATTTAATCCCAGCACTTTAGGAGGCTTAGGCGGGCAGATCAGGAAGTCAGGAGATCGAGACCATCCTGGCTAACACAGTGAAACCCCGTGTCTACTAAAAATACAAAAAATTAGCCAGGCGTGGTAATAAGTGCCTGTAAGTCCCAGCTACTCGGGAGGCCGAGGCAGAAGAATCACTTGAACCCAGGAGGCGGAGGTTGCAGTGAGCCGAAATCGCACCACCGCACTCCAGCCTGGGCGACAGAGCGAGACTTCGCCTCAAAAAAAAAAAAAAAAAAAAAAAAACAGAAAAGAAAGGGTGACTACAAGGTTGAATGTATCCCTGTATGGGTGGACTCTTAGAATGAGAAGGGAATGGAGGCAAGGCAGTAAGTGAGGAGAAGTATTGGGAATTTTCCAGAACAAATAAGAGATATCACCAAAGAATCAAGAATCTTGGTGAATACAAAACAGATGGTCTCTATTATCTAGAATGTCTTCCAAAAATAACATGAACCTGTTCTGTAAGTATAGTACCACCACAATTAAATATCTATTGTGGTCATATTAGGGGTTATCATAGGGTATACTATATAGACGAACTTACAACACTCTCAGCACGTGAGGAGCTCAAAGTCAAGGATTTAGAAGAGGTATTTTCAACTGTGAAGATCTCTCTACCCGGCCAGGCGAGGTGGCTCACACCTATAATCCCAGCACTTTGGGAGGCTGAGGCACGCGGATCACCTGAGGTCAGGAGTTCAAGACCAGCCTGGCCAACATGGTGAAACCCCATCTCTACTAAAAATACAAAACTTGGCCAAGGGTGGTGGTGGGCACCTGTAATCCCAGCTACACGGGAGACTGAGGCAGGAGAATCACTTGAACCCAGGAGGCAGAGGTTGCAGTGAGTGGAGATCGCACCACTGCACTTCAGCTTGGGTGACAGAGCAAGACTCTGTCTCAAAAAAAGAAAAAAGACATGCAGGAACCTTAAATGATTATTGCTAAGTGAAAGACATGAATCTGAAGTGGCTACATGACTTTAGCTATATAATATTCTGGAAAACACCAAACTGTAAAGTCAGTAGGAAGATCAATGATTACCAAGGATCCAAGGGAAGAGGGGGAAGGATGAATACGGAGAGAGTACAGGTGACTCCTGGGATAGTGAAACAATTCTGTATAATACTGTATTAGCAGATGTAAGACATTATGCATTTGTCCAAACCCACAGAATATACAACAAAGAATGAACTCAAGTCAGTTGCTGTGGCTAGCACCTGTAATCTCACCTGAATCCAGCAGCTCAAGGTTACTGCGAGCTATGATTGTACCACTGCACTGGCTGGCAGAGCAAGACACTGTCTCAAAAAAAAAAAAAAAAAAAAAAAAAAAAAGTCAGGCATGATGGCTCACGCCTGTAATCCCAGCACTTTGGGAGGCTGAGGTGGACTGATCACTTGACGTCAGAAATTTGAGACCAGCCTGGCCAACACGGTGAAACCCTGTCTCTACTAAAAATATAAAAATTAGCAGGCATGGTGGTGGGTGCCTGTAATCCCAGCTACTCAGAAGGCTGAGGCAGGAGAATCGCTTGAACCCTGGAGGTGGAGGTTGCAGTGAGCTGAGATCACACCACTGCACTCCAGCCTGGGCAACAGAGCAAGACTCCCTCTCAAAAACAAACAAAAAAAGGTCAAATATGAACTGGACTTGAGTTAATAATAAAATATCAATACTGTATATCAAGTGTAGCAAATGCACCACACTAATATGAGATATTAGTAATAGTGGAACCTATGGTTGGATTGAGGGAGGGTAAACAGGAACTCTCTTATTGCTCATTTTTTCTGTAAACCTAAAACTGCTCTAAGCAATAAAGTCTACTAACATTTCTCTTAAAAAGTTAATGTATCAGGAAAAATGAACCACAATGACACAGCACTTCATACCCATAGGTATGGCTATAGGAAAGAAAACAAAAAATTACAAGTGTTGGTGATGATGTGGAGAGACTGGAACCCTCACATATTGCTGGTGGGGGCCAGGCACACTGGATCACTTGAAGCCAGGAGTTAGGAGACCAGCCTGGCCAACCATGGTGAGACCCTGTCTATAAAAATACAAAAATTAGACAGGTATGGTGGCACATACCTGTAATCCCAGCTATTTGGGAGGCTGAAGCAAGAGAATCACTCGAGCCCAGTGAGTGAAGCCTGTAGTGATCCACGATCATGCCACTGCCCTCCAGCCTGGGCCACACATGGGAATATAAAATATTCAGCCACTGTGAAAAAGTCTGGTGGTTCTTCAAAAAGTTGAATACAGAATTACACGATCCAGCAACTCCATTCCTAGGTATATACTCAAAATAAGTGAAAACAGGTATCCAAACAAATAGATATACACACATGTTCATAGCAGCACTATTCAAAATAGCCAAAAGGTGGAAACAACCGAAATGTCCATCAACAGATGAACGGATGAACAGATTGTGGTATATACATAAAACTGAGTATGTATTCAGCCATGAAAAGGAATGAAGTACTCATACACAATACAATGTAGATAAATCTCAAAACACTACGCGCTAAGTGAAAGAAGTCAGACATGAAAGGTCACATATTGTACGATTCCATCTAATGAAATATCCAAAAGAAGTAAATCTAAAAACAGAAAGCAGATCGGTGGTTGCAAAGGACTGGCAGAAGAGGGCAAGGGGAGTAACTGCTTAATGGGTAGCAGGTTTACTTTGGGACTAGATACAGGTTGTTATGGGTGCACACATTGTGAATGCAGCAAACGCCACTCGAGTGTTCGCTTAAAAATGATTAATTTTGTCACGTGAATTTCATATCAATTTAAAAAAATCTGGCTGGGCGCAGTGGCTCACACCTGTAATCCCAACACTTTGGGAGGCTGAGGCAGGAGGATCACTTGAGTTCAGGAGTTCAAGACCAGCCTGGACAACATGGCGAAACCCCATCTCTACAAAAAAAAATACCAAAATCAGCTGGGCATGGTGGTGCGCACCTGTAATCCTAGCTACTGGGGTGGTTGAGGCACAAGATTTGCTTCAGCCTGGGAGGCGGAGATTGCAGTGAGCCGTGATCATGCCACTGCACTCCAGCCTGGGCAACAGAGCCGGATCCTGTCTCAGAAGAGAAAAAGAAAAAGAAAAAAAATCTCTAAAAAGGTGTAACTGAGAAGAACCTAGGACATGCAAGAGCAAGTAATTCATTACATAGTCTTCCCCTTTAGTTATCTCCCTTACTCCTTTTTTTCTCTTTGTAGCTGGGACTACAGGCATGCACCACTATGCCCGGCTATTTTTAATTTTGTAGAGACGAGGTCTCACTATGCTGCCCAGGCTGGTCTCCAACACCTGGGTTCAAGTGATCCTCCCACCTAGCATCCCATTGTAGGCGTCAACTACTGTGTCCAGCCTCCTTTACTCCTGTCTCATTCCCATGGCTACTCATCTCGGCCCTGCAAAAACATGAAACGTGGAAGAACAAGATGCTATCTGGGAGGTTTCTAACACTAAATTAAATATTGTTTCTTTGAACACTGACCTACTTCTCCCTTAAGAACTGAGTCCTAGTACTAAAAACTAACCTTTCACCATCATCTTCCTAAAATATTGTGATACCTTCTGCAATGCCCTTTTAAGGGGGTCAAGACAATTCATGTATTCACCCTAAGACAGCTTCCTCCAGCGCGATGTCAACCTTTCTGCCCACCTGCTCAGGACCTCAATTTTGCTAAGATCACTAGCTCTTACTAAGCTTTGGTAGAATTAACCAATGTTTTCTAGCGCCTTTCCCTCTCTATGGCCAATTTTATTTTTAAATTTTATTTATGTATTTTTTGGAGAGAAGGTCTCACTACGTTGCCCAGACTGGTCTCCAACTCCTCGCCTCAAGCAATCCTCCCACCTCAGCCCCTGAATAGATGGAATTACAGGCATGAGCCACCACAGCCAGCTCTATGGTCAAATTTTTACAACGTATTATCAATGATCTAGTTGTCTGTTTCCCACACAATACTGTTGAACACCCTGAGGACAAGTACTAGGACTCATCCCCAAACTCTGAAAAATGGTGCTTCTCAGTCGTTTCCCCATTTGGTTTCTTTTCTTCTACTCTAAAATACTAGACCCAATTTGCTTAATTCTTTTTCTTTTTTCTTTTTTTTCTGAGATGGAGTCTCACTCTGTCACCCAGGCTGGAGTGCACTGGTGTGATCTTGGCTCACTGCAACCTCCACCTACCAGGTTCAAGTGATTCTCTTACCTCAGCCTCCGTGTAGCTGGCGTTACAGGCGCATGCCACCACGCCCAGCTAACTTTCGTATTTTTGGTAGAGACAGGGTTTCGCCATGTTGGCCAGGCTGGTCTTAAACTCTTTACCTCACCTCAAGTGACCCATCCGCCTCGGCCTCCCAAAGTGCTGGGATACAGGCATGAGTCACCAGGCCTGGCCTCAATATACTTAATTCTTTACCTACATTGTTTCTCCTGGCTTCAAAAAGCTTCCTGACCACCAAAACTAATCCTTGGAAAAGGACAAGTCTTCCCTACACCAAAACTAAATACCATTGTTTGCCTTTTTCTCGTACGTGTTTTTCTCTACCTCTAAAATGATTGCTTGTTCATGTGTTCAATGCACCGTAGAGGATACGGCAAGTGCCAATACCATAATCTTGCCCTCAGGGAGGACTGGGGAAGGAGGGCAAGAACACATTTAGAAAGGTATAATAGGCTGGGCACGGTGGCTCACGCCTGTAATCCCAGCATTTTGGGAGGCTGAGGCAGGCAGATCACGAGGTCAGGAGTTTGAGACCAGCCTGGCCAACATGGTGAAACGCCATCTCTACCAAAAATACAAAAATTAGCCAGGCGTGGTGGCGGGTGCCTGTAATCCCAGCTACTTGGGAGGCTGATGCAGGAGAACTGCTTGAACCTGGGAAGCAGGGGTTGCAGTGAGCCGAGATTGCGCCACTGCACTCCAGCCTGGGGGACAGAGCAAGACTCTGTCTCAAAAAATTAAAAAAAAAAAAAAAAGGAAAAAAGAAAGGTATAATAAAAAGCAAAAAGCAAAGATTAAAGGTGCACCAGAAAATTACAAACGTCATGAAGGAAACATCCAGTTAAGGGAATGTTAGATTTCATGGAGAAAAGTAACATTTGAGAAAGGCCTTGAAATATAACTATCTCAAAAGATGGAGAACAGGCTGCACGCGGTGGCTCATACCTGTGATCCCAGCACTTTGGGAGGCCGAGGCAGGTGGATCACCTGAGGTCAGGAGTTAGAGACCAGCCTGGTCAACATGGTGAAATCCCATCTCTACTAAAAATATAAGAATTTGCTTGGCGTGGTGGCAGGCGCCTGTAATCCCAGCTACTCAGGAGGCTGAGGCAGGAGAATGGCATGAACCCGGGAGGCGGAGCTTGCAGTGAGCCGAGATGGTGCCACTGCACTCCAGCCTGGGTGATAGAGCGAGACTCCATCTCAAAAAAAAAAAAAAAAAAGATAAGATGGAGAACAGAAAAGAGGACACGGACCCAGACCTGGAAATAAAGGCACCTCTGGGGACACCGAGCTGCAGCAGAGGATACAACTGGGGAAACCAGGAGATGTGGTTAGAGAGGCAGGGCAGGGTCCTACCATGGAACCCTGAAGACCAAGGCAAGGTGTCTAAATTTAACTCAGTACACAAATGAAAAGGATACGACAAGAGCTACCTTTCAGAAGATTTTCTGGCAGTAGTTGGGAAGACACTAGACCAGGGACTGGGGAAGAAAGGTTACTATTCACGAAGCTACAAGAGCTCAGGCAGGTCCAGCACCATGCTCATTTAAACCACTACCAATCTCTACTTCCACAAGCCTTGACCTGTCTCCTACTTGACTGGTTCCTCCGCATCTCTTCAAGACACCTCTCTTCAATTTCCTCACTTAAAATCACTAACTAGAAAGAAAAAATTAATAGTCTGTTCTACAGAAGTGACTTAAAAAGTGAATATTGTAGACTGATACAACCTTCTGGTTCATAGCCTTTACAACAAATATGTTGGCTCCTACTGTGTGTCAGGCACTACTCTAGGAAACATGGATGCAGACAGGGATGGAGTAGGCAAAGTTTCCATCCCATGGTGCTTACATTTTGTGAAGGAAACAGATACAAGACAAGACTGTCAGATAATTGCTGTGAAGGGAGAACAGGGCTGAGGGAGAGAGCACGTACTCATGTGGGCGCTGCCTGGGCTCAGGTGGGCAGGGAAAGCCTGTCAGTGTGGGGAGAAAGCAGCAGCCACATGGTGTACATTTTTACAAAGTATACATTTTACACTAAAAGGGAGAAACAGGTTTTGAAGCCACATAGAGTTGCATGCCAGCCCTGGCTCTATCACTTGGTGGCTGAGGAACCTCTTCCAAATGAATGAATCTCTCTTCAGTCTGTTTCTTTATCCCCGTTTTACAGATAAAATACTGACTTTATTGGGTTATTCTGAGAGAATTAAATAATGAATATAAAACGTGCACTGTGCCTGGTACTGGGTAAGGGATCTGTAAATATTAACTACTGATTTACTACATCAGTGATTAAATATACATAGAAATTATTTTGCTGCTATATCTAAACACTAGATTTAGCAAAAACTGTCTGCAATCAGTACCAATCATAATCCCAAATGCCATAATCCTGAATGTTAAAATCCCAAAAGACTAAAGTCTAAAAATCCCTAATGTTTAAAACCACAACCCCAAAAGATTAAAATCCCAAATGATGAAATCCCAAAAGCCGAATTTTGGGGCAGGGAATTTGCATAGTTTTGGTTGTACACAATAGTTACACCATGCTAGGTGGAACTATGACCTTGCTATTGTCATTATCTGGAAATTAAGTATGGTTTAAGGAGATGCCTATGGGTACCAAGTTGCCGAGGATAGATTTGTGGACTTAATTTTAGCTATCAACTTGACAGGAACACCTAGAAACCTGGTAAAGCACTGTGTTGTGTGTGTGTCTGTGAGGATGTTTTCAGAGATTAGTGTGCGAGTCTGAGTAGGCAAGGAGAGCCCTCTATGTTGGTGGGTATCATCCAATCAGCCAGGAGCCCAGGGAGTACACAGAAGGTGAATTGCTGAGAGCTAGAACAGACTTTTCTTCTGCTGCCTTGGACATCAGAACTCCAGGCTTGCCAGCCTTTGGACTCCAGGACTTAACCAGTGGCCCCCTGAATTCTGAGGCTTTTTGACCTTGGACCGAGAGATAACACCATTAGCTTCCCTGGTTCTGAGGCCTTTGGATTTGGACTGAGGTATGCTACTGGCATCCCAGGGTCTCAAGCCTGCAGATGATCTGTCATGGGACTTCTCAGCCACCATTAATCATATGAGCCAATTCCCCTAATAAATTCCCTCATATCTATACACATATCCTATTGGTTCTGTCTCCCTAGGGAACCCTGACTAATGCAGATTTGGTGTTGGGGAAGCTGAGTATCAGTTCTTCTTACTTTATTCTTTACAGCACAATTGAAGAGATCTGTGAAACTCTTCCCTCGCAAAAAGGCTCTGATAAGTGTACACGGCTACTTAATGGCGAAAGATAAAAGTTTAAAAGCTAATTATCACTGGTGCTGCAAAAGCAGAAATTGCAACGGCCAGGCAATAATCAGGCTTTCAAATAGACAGTATATACTTACAAAATTTGTGGATCACAACCACTTTGCAAATAAAACTGGAGCAAGTGCTTTGAAGATCGCAGAAGTGAAAATACAGGCAAAAAATACAAGAAATCTCCCCTGCCAAATTATTCAATGGTGTATTATTTCTGCTCCTTCACACATAGTGCCAATTTGCTATGCTATATATTTTATCTTCACATCATTTCTAATACTGGAGATATAAATTGTGTAGAGACTTTTGGAGAGTTCTAATTAATTCTATGCATTTTTTTTTTGCAAACTGAACTCCACAGAAGTGCATTATCACAACACTGACTTCATGTGTAAGCTCTGGCTGTGTTCATCAAAACGTAGAAGCCAGGTGTGGTGGAGCACCTGTAGTCAGTCCCGGCTACTAGGGAGGCTGAGGTAGGAGGATCACTTGAGGCCAGGAGTTTGAGGCTGAAGTGCACTATGATCATGCCTGTGAATAGTCACTGCACTCCAGCATGGGCAACATAGCTAGAAGACTATGGTCTCTTTAAAAAAAGTTGAAACTGGCCAGGCACGGTGGCTCACATCTGTAATCCCAGCACTTGTGAGGCCAAGGCGGGCAGATCACCCAAGGTCAGGAGTTCGAGGCCAGCCTGGCCAATACGGTGAAATCCTGTCTCTACAAAAATTAATAATACAAAAATTAGCCAGGCGTGGTGGCGGGGCGCCTGTAATCCCAGCTACTTGGAAGGCTGAGGCAGGAAAATCGCCTGAACCCAGGAGACAAAGGTTGCAGTGAGCCGAGACCACACCATTGCACTTCAGCCTCAGCAACAACAGTGAAACTCCATCTCAAAAAAAAAAAAAAAAAAAAAAGGTGAACCTTCAATGAGATGTCCTTTTTTTATACTGTTTTTGTGAAAGATAAAATTCAACAATATCTCTGCTCTTCAGGAGACTGCACACACAGTGATGACCCATCCTTGTTTTTACTACCTCATCAAAAGACCTAGTTTGTCCATCATGGTATTTCAGAGGACCACAGTTACAAAATGTAACACCCATGCAACTACGGTTAGTATACTGAGTGATTAAACTTGCAAAATACATTTGTTACTATTTTATTGTGTAAAGTGGTGTACTAGGCTGTTCCTGCATTGCTATGAAGGAATACTTAAAAGAAAAGAGATTTAATTGGCTTACAGTTCTGCAGGCTGTACAGGAGGCATAGTGGCACCTGCTTCCAGGAAGGCCTCAGGAAGCTTCCAATCATGGCAGAAGGCAAAGGGGGAACAGGCACATCACATGATGAGGACTGAGCAAGAGAGAGTGTGAGGTGCCACACTTTTAAAACAGCCAGATCTCGCGAGAAGTCGCTCACCGTCTCGAGGACAGCATCAAGGGGATGGTACTAAACCATTCATGAAAAATCCACCCACATAATCCAATCACCTCCTACCAGCCTCCACTTCCAATATTGGGGATTACAATTCAACATGAGATTTGGGCAGGGACACATATCCAAACTATATTAAGTGGCCTATGAAGTGTTGTCATGTTTTTGTTTCTCAAATAAATCCCCTTTAAAAAAGGTAAATAAGTGGTTTTTCTGTTTGTTTATTGAAGACAAAGTCTTGCTCTGTTGCCCAGACAGCGCCATCACAGCTCACTCCAACCTCTGCCTCCCAGACCCAAGAGATCCTCCCACCTCAGTCTCCCAAGTAGCTGGACTATAGGTGCACGCTAGCTTGCTAATTTTTGTATTTTTTTGTAGAGACAGGGTTTCTCCACGTTGCCCAGGCTGATCTTGAACTCCTGGGCTCAAGCAATCTGCCCACCTTGGCTTCCCAAAATACTGAGATTACAGGTGTGAGACTCTGTACCTGGCCAAACAAGTGTCTTTTTTTTTTTTTTTTTTTTTTTTTTTTGAGACAGAATCTCACTCTGTCACCCAGGTTGGAGTACAGTGGCATGATCTCAGCTCACTGCAACCTCCGCCTCCCATGTTCAAGTGATTCTCGTGCCTCAGCATCCCGAGTAGCGGGGACTACAGGCACTTGCAACCATGCCTAGATAATTTTTATATTTTTAGTAGAGACGGGGTTTTGCCATGTTGGCCAGGCTGGTCTCAAACTCCTGAGCTCAAGTGATCTGCCCACCTAGGCCTCTCAACATGCTGGGATTACAGGAGTGAGCCACCGCACCTGGCCCAAATAAGTATTTTTTAAATAATGTTTTAAAATTATTTTTTCCAGAATTATATTGTTTGGATTTCGATATTTTGGGATTTCAGTATTTGGGATTATGGCATCAAGAACTGTGTCTTTTAGGCCAGGCGCAGTGGCTCATGCCTGTAATCCCAGCACTTCGGGAGGCTGAGGTGGGCAGATCACCTGAGGTCGGGAGTTTGAGACCAGCCTGGCCAACGTGGCAAAACCCTGCCAAGGTGGGCAGATCACCTGAGGTCAGGAGTTCAAGACCAGCCTGGGCAACATGGCGAAACTCTGTCTCTACCTGTATTTTTTTTTGTAAAAATACAAAAAAATTAGCCGGGTGTGGTGGCACGCACCTATAATCCCAGCTACTTGGGAGGCTCAGGCAGGAGAATCACTTGAACCCAAGAGACAGAGGTTGCAGTGAGCCGAGCACCACTGCACTCCAGCCTGGGCGACAGAACGAAAGTCCATCTCAAAAAAAAAAAGAAAAAAATAAAAAAAAGAACTGTCTCTTTCAGAATTATGGCCTAAACCCGTCTGAAACAACTATTCAAGAAGTCTTTGGGAGAGCTAACACCTACAAACATAAACTTCGGTAATATTTTATAAAATATTCTTAAAAATCACCTTTATCCACACACAAGACAGTTTTAAAAGCTTTGGAGACTGAGTCCAGCTCTGTCGCCAGGCTGGAGTGCAGTGGCACATCTCGACTCACTGCAACCTCCACCTCCCAGGTTTAAGCGATTCTCCCGCCTCAGCCTCCCAAGTAGCTGGGATTACAGGCACGCACCACCATGCCCAGCTAATTTTTGTATTTTTAGTAGAGACGGGGCTTCACCTTGTTGGCCAGGATGGTCTTAATTTCCTGACCTCATGATCCGCTGCTCACCTCGGCCTCCCAAAATGTTGGGATTACAGGTGTGAGCCACGGTGCCCAGCCTTTAAAAGCTTTTTTAACTGAAACACTAGAGTAACAATCTTGGCATTTTTAAACGTATATAATTATCCCTATATATAAAACTATTTTAACAAAAATAACTATTTTCATACAACCATTTTAACTCTAGAATAAAAATACTGTTATAGTGAGATTTTTTCAAATATTTAATTTAGTAGAGTCAAATGTTTAACAAAAATAAAATATTATGAAGTATATAGTATATATTTTAATAAAAGGCTAATAAACTGAATCAGGTCAATAAGAGAAGCAAAATACTGGTTTATAAAACTAAGGCCTTCAAGTGACAGGGGGCCATAGGAAAAAAACAACAAAACAAAAACTAAGGCTTTATTCATTTATAAGTGGCAAAAGAAAAAATTTCCTATTTCCCTATTCCCTAATGATTTAATGTAAACTAAAGCAAAGAGAATGCATTAGTTCACTCTTCCTTAGAAACCTACACCATCTACTAATTTGCTAATGAAATCAGATACATGAGTTCTACATGATCAGTGTTGTGACTTCACATTAGTAGAGACGCTACTTGAGTTGCACTGTCACTGGGTTCCAGAAAGAGAATTTCCTAACGAATCACTAAGAAAGCTTCTTCAACAGATACAGGACGGGCTAGTATCAAAATATAGAAAAAAAAATAAAGTAGAGATAATGCTTTGTCTGTTGAAAAATATTTATTAAACTTCTCTAAAAGGGATTACATAAATATATTATCTCAACTACTATAATTAGATGTCAATTCCAATTCCTTAGTAATATTTTCAAGATTTACCCCTTAAATATAGGCGTATGAAAAACCAAAAGCATCAACAAAAGTTTTATTTATATAAAAAGATTTATGCTGGAATGTTAAAATCTAATATTTTGATTTTGAAAGCAAGTTGATTTTTTAAAAACCCTGAAAACAGTAGAGTGAACTGGCATTCCTTGAAAAGCTGAACAAAATAAGTTTAGTAAAAACAAGTAATAAATTTATTAATTCAGAAAGGATCCTGAACCATGAACCAAAGAGAAAAAAGTAACTGAAGAGGCCGGGCATGGTGGCTCATGCCTGTAATCCCAGCACTTTGGGAGGCCAGGCAGGAGAATCACCTGAGGTCAGGAGTTTGAGACCAGCCTGACCAACATGGAGAAACCCTGTCTCTACTAAAAATACAAAATTAGCCGGGTGTAGTGGCGCATGCCTGTAATCTCAGCTACTTGGGAGGCTGAGGCAGGAAAATCGCTTGAACCCGGGAGGCGGAGGTTGCGGTGAGCTGAGATCGTGCCATTGCACTCCAGCCTGGGCAACAAGAGCAAAACTCCCTTTCAAAAAAAAAAAAAAAAAAAAAAAGTAACTGAAGCTTCCACAGCATATTCCTTTGAGAGCTGGCAGCGAAATTTTATTTACTGATTCACTCAAAAATATCTGCTAAGCATTAGCTACATATCAAGCACTGTTCTAGATGCTGGGAATATGATGGGCAACAGACAAGTCCTTGCCCTCACACAGCAGACTATTCTCCCAGGTAGATCCCAGGATGGTACTTCCCAGCTCCACTCCACTTTCTTTTTCTTTGTTTCTATAATCCAAAACTAAACTCTTCCTCTTCAAATGGCCACAAACTTATCCTGCAAGTTATATTCCAGCTCATTTAAATTAAACATTCACACAGGGTACAGGTTAAGGGCACAGAGTCCAGAGCCAGGGTGCCTGTGGTATCATGATATATACTGGGTATTGTCCAGCCCTTGTAACAGTGTTTTGTTATAATATTGGGTATGTTAAGGCCTGGGGAAACAATCTCTCACCTGTCCTCCATTCACCTGCCCTAAGGCAGGACTCTAATCCTTTCCCACCTCTCAGACTGTGGCTCTTAAGACCCTCCTCAGAGGGCGTCCAGCCCTATACCCTGGGAGAAGAAATTGACATCAGGAAACTTCCATAAAAATCCAAAAGGAGCTGGTCCCAGCACTTTGAGAGGCCGTGACAGGCAGATCACAGGGTCAGCAGATCGAGAATATCTTCACCAACACAGTGAAACCCCGTCT
Source organism: Homo sapiens (assembly GCF_000001405.40). NCBI lineage: Eukaryota > Metazoa > Chordata > Mammalia > Primates > Hominidae > Homo > Homo sapiens. Next base: position 42,254,798 of record NC_000022.11, read on the forward strand.
CTACTAAAAATACAAAAATTAGCCGCGGGTGGAGGCGGGCGCCTGTAGTCCCAAATACTCTGGAGGCTGAGGCAGGAGAATGGCGTGAACCTGGGAGGCAGAGCTTGAGAAGAGATGGCACCACTGCACTCCAGCCTGGGTGACACAGCAAGACTCCGTCTCAAAAAAAAAAAAAAAAAAAAGGTAGAGGAAAAACATGATTAGAGGTGAGAGTTTTTCCCAATTCCCAATCCTGGCTCTGCTACTTAATAGTTGGGTGACCTTGGGCAAGTCACTCAACCTCCGTTATTCAGTTTTCTCGTTTGAAAAACAGAGGTAATAACACTATCTCCTAACTTTTTTGTCAAATGTTTAGAACAAGTCCTGGCCCTTGGAATTTATTGTTTATATAAAAATATTCACAATGTTGGCTGGGCATGGTGCTCATGCCTGTAATCCCAGCACTTTGGGAGGCCAAGGCGGGCGGATCACGAGGTCAGGAAATCGAGACCATCTTGACCAACATGGTAAAACCCCGTCTCTACTAAAAATACCAAAAAAAAGTAGCCGGGCTTGGTGGTGCGTGCCTGTAGTCCCAGCTAGTTGGGAGGCTAAGGCAGGGGCATCACTTGAACCCGGGAGGAGGAGACTGCCATGAGCTGAGATCGCGCCACTGCACTCCAACCTGGCAACAGAGTGAGACTTCATCTCAAACAACAACAACAACAACAACAACAACAACAACAACAACAAAACCACATTATTTATTGTTATAAATGTTTGGGTAAATAAAATATGCTTGCCGACCTGTTTTGGAATCAACATGGGTTGATGCCAAAATTTCCTGTAAATCCATTTTATTTAAACCAATTGCTAAATTTTACAGATCCTTCTTATGCAGACTAGGGCTTTGGGCATGAGAAAATCAGAACAGTAAGAGGCCAAGATGATCAATTCATCATCTGTTTCCGGCCCTCCCCTCTCCTTCCCACCACCATCTCTCCTCAGTCAGAACAACGCCCCCAACCATGTATTCACACCTCTCTTCACAAAACTTTGTTCCATTTATGAGACTCAAGTGCCCCAGCCCCAGGTTCAAAGCTATTCCCACCTTGCTCTCATACTATTAGGCCCACGCTCCCTTCTGACCTTCCCCTCTGTCATCTCTAGGCCCTTAGCCTAAGGGCCCAGGGTTTGATTGATAATATGCTACATACTTTTGAGCCTTGGTTCCCAAAAGACCTCTCTTAGGAATGCTCTTTCTCCACTCTTCCACTTGTCTCTCTCTCTCGTCCATCCTTCAAGGTCTACCCAAATGCTCCCTCCTCTACCGGCTTCTCCAATATTCTTCCCATACTTGATCAGGAGGGAGCAGCCTCTTGCCTAGTTCTCCCCAGCACTCCAGCTACACCACTATTACAGCCTTATCAATCATTCATACGTTTGATAAATGTTAATTTTCCATATTGGACTCTCCCACAGACCCTGAACTCTAAGGAAAAGTGAAGTGTTTTATTTGATTTTTGTGTGTGTGTGCCTAGCATGGCAACTACTTAGCAAACTTGGCTGAACAGAAATTTTCTTTTTTCTTTTATTTTCTCTGATGTGTTTCATTCCCATAGGCTTCATTTGGCCTGTGTCCCTTATCTTTAGGGGAAGCCAACTTTCAGCACATGCGCTAGCCAATGTAGCAAAGTTTTTTTTTTTTTTTTAAAGAGACATTTAACAAATTATGCAGGCTGTGATGTCCTTCATTCCAGCTCAAATTTCTCCTACTGAATATGCTAGAACTTAAATCCACTTCCACGAAGACTTTCAACAAGAGAAGATGAAAATCCTATTCCTGCTATATTTAAACTCACATCTACTAGAAAAACAAAAAACAAAAAACAAAAAAGTAGCATTAAGTTCAATGCATAGTGTATCTTTTCATTTACATCTGTTTAGTAATGTACAGGTACTGGTAAATCTGTTTAGGTTCATTTACACTGACTGTATGTTGTGTTTATAGGAGTCATCTGGCTGGAATCTGGCAGGCATGTTCTCTACACTTCTGCCATGGAGTAACAATTCTATTTTATTGTTCTAAAACTCTCCAGGAGCCAGGCACAGTGGCTGATGCCTGTAATCCCAGCACTTTGGAAGGCCTAGGCAAGAAGATTGCTTGAGGCCAGGAGTTCAAAATCAGCCTGGTCAACATAGAGAGACCCCAATCTCTACAAAAGAAAATAAAATTAGCAGGGTGTGGTGGCATGTGCCTGTAGTCGCAGATACTCAGGAGGCCGAGGAAGGAAGATCATTTGAGTCCAGGAACTCAAGGCTGCAGTGCGCCATGACTGTATCACCACACTCCAGCCTGGGTGACAGTGCAACATCCTGTCTCAAAAATTAAAATAAAACCCTCCAGGAGAAATACCCAGCATTCCTTACAGGGCAGGCGGTTCTCTGGGTTCTTCACCTAAACCGCTAATATTCCATCTGACCCTGTCTGCTATGGTTTTCCTGCTTATATTTTCTCTGGATTTTTTCCCCTATTCTTTACTGATTTTAGTTACTCTTAGAAGAGCTTTGCAAGTTTTCTACAACAAATCCAAATTCAACATTACTTTAATAGAATTATGTGAACAGGACACAAAGACATAGATTAATAAGACATGGTGATCACCTAAGAATATACAAATTTGCGATGAAACAGACACATTCTATTTTAACTCTAATATACGGCTAGAGATGGGAAGGAGGGAGAAGTATTAGAGAGCAGAGGCTCAGAGGCAAAATGGTACATTCTTTCTCAATGCACTGGCAGGCAACAATGCAGATGATGGGGCTATAAAAGCAAAACACAGCCCTGACTATAAGGACCTTAGAGCCTAGTGAAATGGTGTTTGAAAATATTCTGCAAGTCTTTTTTCAGCAAAAATCTTATGTTGATATACCCAAAAGATAAGAGAGATGATGAGCTGCTCTGGCTGGAGTTGAGAAGAGGATGACCCTCACTTCTACCCCAGCCAGGCCACCTGTTTCCCAAAATGCCTCTGCAGACCTGGGGGAGCCCAGCACGGAAGAGATGAGAGTGCCCCCCTGCCGCCTTTCTTCCATCTTATTCTGTTTTGATATAACACTTAGCACACTGCCACCTAACTATACAGCTAGTGCTACATGCATATTTTTTAAATAAAATGTGAGGGCTCTGAAATAATTTACAAGTCACTGGTCTAATAAATGGGATTGCTCTAATATATGGGGAACAGTGGAATTGCCAGACACAAGGCACAAAAAGTTGTGTCCAAATCACTGGAATCCAAAACTAGACAAAGGATTATAAAGGTCTGACCAGTTTCTCTAAAATCCCAGGAAGTAGAAAGCTCATCTTAACTACTTTCTTACTTTATCCCTACAATTACTGTTTCCTTAGTCAGCTCTATCCGCTTGGCAGGAAGTTTCTTAAAATCTTTCATGCTTTCTTGAAACCTCCAACTCTCCATACCTCCCCCCCCTTCCCTAGGCAGAGGATCTTCAGTGCGCAAAGAGTACTCCTTACATTCCTGCCCCATGCGCAGCCTGCTTCTCACCCACACACCTCTGCTCGCACCTCTGCTCTCCTGTGGGAGAAGGATATTCTTACTACCCAACGCCAATCACAGGGGATCACACTGGGTTCTGAGTTCCCCAGGAATGTCCTCAATCCAACATCCTCTCACTCTCCTGCATCTTCAACACCATCCTGTGTGCTGGCTCCTCATCAGAATTTACGCATGCTCTGGTTTCACATACACTTAGGATTTTCACTTCAGGATGGTGCCAAAGTGACAAGCATTCAGTAGAAACCCTACTTTGAGTACCCACACAACCATTCTGCTTCTCACTTTTTCAGTATAGTATTCAATAAATGCAACACTTTTATTATAAAATGAGCTTTGTGTTAGGTGATTTTGCCCAATTATAGGCTCATGTAGGTAGGTGTTGCCAGCACATCCAAGGCTAGGCTAGGTTATGATATTCAGTAGGCCAGGTGCATTAAATATACCTTCGACTTAGGACGGATGGGTTTATCAGGATGTAACTCCATAAGAAGTATTTATATTAAAAGAAAAAAACACATAAAAGAGTTCTCTTGATCCCAGATTCTCCCTGCATCTGTATTTTACTTTTCTCTAACAGCCAAACTTTAGGAAGGTCTGACTCCCAATTTACTGTCTTCACTTCACCTTTCTCATCAATACATGACAATCTAGCTTTAGTTTACCACTCCCCAGAAGCCTGCCTCCCTCTCCACCCAACTGACATTTCTCAGTAATCTTGTCTACTGCCTCTGACACGAAAAAGTCTTCCCTGGTTCCATGCTCTCTGGAGTTTCCTCCAGCCTGTCTGGTGGGTCTTAAATAGCCCTGCTGCTATTTAAGAGCCACCATGCTCCCTTAATCGCTAGCTTTTCTCAGAGTTTCTGTTCTGGGCCCTTGAGCACTTGTCATTGTTAGCAAGAATAACATAACTCCCTGGGGGGTTCTGAAACTACAAAACCTTTTAGGGGGCTGAGACCCAAGTTAAGTCTCTATTACTAGCAGGAGATGCCCATCAATTAGGAAGCAAGGAAGAAACAACTTCTCTACATACTTACATTATTAATCTACCCCTAAGGGCAACCTCATGTACTCCTAGGCTGGAATTATGATATACATGCAACCTCCAAGTCTTAATCTATAGCCCAGTTCCTTCTCCTAAATGGCAGATCTGTGCTCAAACACGTGATGTCTTACAAGCATCTCTAACTTACATTCAAAACCAAGTTCATCACTTTATACCCTATTCCAATATTCGCTTCCTCAGTTGTTTTCTATTTTAATGAATGGCAATGCCATCACCTAGTTTCCCAAAACAAGTTTTGCCTCTCCTTGGCACCTCCTCCCTCACCAAGTCCACTTTCAACAGCTCTCATCCTACCACCACTATCCTCAATAATGTCACTTAACACATTTGGCCCACTGTGTATCAAATACTGCTGCCTATATAGCAGTGAAGGAGGCATGCTTAACCCTGAGAGGAAAAGGGAGATAAACAAAAGGACAAGATAAATTCAGGCTGTTCATGGAGGCTCATGCCTGTAATCCCAGGAGGATCGCTTGAAGCCAGGAGTTCAAGACCAGCCTGGGCAAAGTGAGACCCTTGTCTCTATTTTTTAAAAATAAATTAATTAATTTAAAAATGTTTTAAAGAATAAATTCAGACTATGATAAAAGCTATGAACAAAACAAGGCAGGGTGATGTAATGGGGCACTACTTTAGACAGGGAGGGTCAGAGAAAACCTTTCAGAGAAGGTCACATTTAGGTTGAACCTGAATGACAAACAGAAACAACTCAAAGATTTGAGAAGCAGAGTGTTCCAGACACAGGAAGGAGCCAAGTGTAAAGGTCCTAAGGTAGAAATGAGCTTGAGGAGTTCAAGAAACAAGAGGGAAGGTGAACAAACCTGTAGCTTAGAGAGCAAGAAGGAGACCAGGTCAAATGGTTTCAGAAGGAGGCAAAGGTTAGATATGACCCTGTTGGCCACCATATGAAAGCAATGAAAGACCACTGGAGCATTTTAGGAAGGCAATTGACATAATCCAATTTGAATTTTTAAGAGATCACTTTAGCTGATAAGTGGAAAAAATGGTTTGGGAGGAAGGCAAAAATAGGGGGTAGGAAAAACAGGAAACTAATAATACAGTTCAGATAAGAGGGTATGGTTCTTGAGATGAGAGGGAACAAATTCATGAGAGATACATATATGTATATGGTTTTTGTGAGGCACAATCACAGCTCGCAGATGCAATACGCCCACCTCAGCCTCCCAAGTAGCCGAGACCACAGATGAACATCACCATGCCTGGTTAATTTTTAAAAAATTTTAGAGACAGGGTCTCACTGTGTTGCCCAGGCCTTTCTTAAACTCCTGGACTCAAGCGATCCACCTGCCTTAGCCTCCCAAAGTGCTGGGATTACAGATGTGAGCCACCACGACTGGCCCAAACTTATGTTTTGAATATAACGCGAACAGAACCTGCTGAGCAATTAGATGTTGAGAGTGAGGGGGAAAAGGAATCTAGAACAATTCCTGGGTTGTTTTTGGCTGCAGGTTACAGGTGATTTTTACAGTCAAATCACATACAGCATATGATTTAATCAGTTTTGATGAATGCCTATCAAGACCTAACCATTTCTATACTCTAAAAAGTTCCCTCACATCTTCTCTTGGTCAATCCCTTTCTACCCAAGAAGCAACACCAATCTGAAATCTAGTACATAAATAAGTTCTGCCCATTCTGGAATGTCCATTAAGTGGGATCACCCATTACATATGATTTTTGGTTTTTCACTGAGCATATTTGTGAGATTAATCCTTATTACACGTATCTGTAGTTTGTTCCTTTTTGTTTGTGGTCTTCCATTGTATGAACATGCCAATTTGTTATCTACTGTCTCGCTGATGGACATCTGGACTGTTTAGTTTTGGTTATTATTTGGCTATTAATATTCTTATGTAAGTCTTATTTGTGGACATTTTCATTTCTCTTGGATAAATACCTAGAAATTAAACTGCTGGGTCACAGGGCAGATGTATGTTCAACTTTTTGAGAAACTGCCAGTTTTCCAAAGTGGTTGCATCATTTTATACTCCCATCAGCAGTGCATTCAAGTTCCAGCTGCCTGACTCCTACGTGTTTTGCTTAAATAACTCTTACCTATGCCACAATCAAACTCACAGTCTTTCAGCTCTTCAAACATATTTCATTCTACATTTTTTTTTTTGAGACCTTTGTGGATGCACTCAGGATACATTCCTCCTTGCCCCATCCCCTTTGCTGCCTCTTATTCATTCAACAAATATCCTGAAGGATGAGAAAAAGGCTAGGCTTGCCAGAGTGCTATGGATACAGGAAACAGTATATAAAAAAGTTCCAGATGGTGGCTCACACCTGTAATCCCAGCACTTTGGGAGGCCGAGGTGGGCAGATCACGAGGTCAGGAGTTCAAGACCAGACTGGCCAACATGGTGGAACCTGTCTCTACTAAAAATACAAAAATTAGCTGGGCCTGGTGGCGGGCGCCTGTAATCCCAGCTAGTCGGGAGGCTGAGGCAGGAGAATCACTTGAACCTGGGAGGCGGAGGTTGCAGTGAGCAAAGATTGAGTCACTGCACTCCAGCCTGGGTGACAGAGCAAGACTCCATCTCGAAAAAAGTTCCAGAGGTGGGAAAGAGCTTGCTACCTTCTGGGGCCTAAAAAAAAGTGAATGTGACTGGAGGGCCGTGAACAAAAGCAGCAGGAGGGTCAGAGAGGCAGGCAGAAGCCAGATTATTCTGGCCCTTGTGAACCATGTGGGGGAGTTTGGAATCTAAGTGCTATGGAAAACCATTAAAAGATTTTAAGCAGACACATACGACTCTTGGCCGCTCTGGGTGAAGTGGAATAGAGGCAGACACCAGCAGAAATGAGGCGGCCATCATCATGTTCCAGGTAAGAGGTAAAGAGGGTAGTGGCAGTACAGATGAAAGAAGTTATCATCTTATGGAAATAGCACTGACAGTAACTTGATGATAGATTTAGAGGTAGAGGGTGGTGAGAGAAAAGGAGGAATCTGATTTGAGAAACCGGGTAAACGGTAGAGCCCCTTACAGAGTTGGGGACAAATGCAGGACAAAGAGTTTGTGAGGAATAAGTGTTCAGTTTTGGACTTAAGCTCACAATACCAGTGAGATGGTCAAGCCGCTGTGTCGAGCAGGAGTTGAAGGCGCTAGAAGACATCTAGCTGAAGATGTGAATGTGGGGATCATCATCTTATGAACAAACAAAAGCCTGGGGAGATCAGAGATCACCGAGGGAGAAAGGACACTGAAAAAATAGGGTCTGGAGAATGCCAATGGTCAAGCATAAGAGGACAAACAACCAGAGGTGGGAAGAGACACTGAGCTCAGCAGGCTGATGAGGAAATACATGGTCCCGCTCTGAGAACCCTCCAGTGACCTCTCAAGTCAGGGTTATACACCTGGTACAGCATCTTCTATTCCCCTTATGAGAATACTTTTGATAACCCTATTTAATTGCCCTTCTCTACTATATACTAGGCCAATATTTGAGAACATAAAATCAACAGAATTAGCACGGACCAGCCCTGCTCTTAGACACTGGACTAAGACCAGTCCAGTGTCTTAGTACATAGCACAACATAGACTGATGGTTTAATGGACAGCTACCATTCTGAGTGCCACCTGCAGGCAGTCCACTTCACCATATACTTTTCCTATTTTAGTGCCTTCCCCCAACAGCCCAAAAGAAGATATATCTCCGTTGCACAGATAAGGAAACTACAGCTCAGGCAAAATGCCAAAAGTCACTGATAGCAAGTGATGGAGCCAGGATGAGGTTGCACATCCTCCTTCACACGCTCTGCTGCCTTCCATCACGTGGACTTTCTTCAGCAATAATATCCTCTCACATCACTACCAAAGGGATACAGAATCTGGCCTCAGGTAATTGGTCTCCCACAGCACTAAGTCAGGGAAACGCCCAGAGAAGTACCCCTGCTTGACTTCTCAAGAATCCCTATTTCTTGCCAAGCACAGTGAACATTCTCCAGACTCTCAAAGTAGTGCTTCATCCTTAGGGCACTTCTAAATGCAGCAGTGAAATCTGGCTTCCCTGAAACTGAGGTCTGGAGGTAAGCTGCTGGAGCCTTAACTCTTTTTCAATTCTAGAAACCCATTTTAGCCACCTATCAGGAGTTTCACCCTACATCCAAAAGGCCTCACTCTAAATGAACTAAATCTGATCATGGCCAAGGAAGTTTCTCCATGTCACCTATTTTGGACCAAGGCATAATTAGGATGAGAGAAACCAATGGGGCCTAAGAAGACAACACTACACATCTTTGTGAAAATTAACAGCAGTACAATTTTGTCTCTGCTTTCAAGCTTGATGTGTGCCATCTCTCCTTGATATCTTAAGATTGGAACTACATAGGCTTTTTCCTAAGCGAGTACATTAACACCCAGGAGCTTCCTTTTTCCACTCAAGAGCCACTGTGAACTATGCTGGTAAGAGCGTGGGGCATAGATGGCAAAGAATAGGTCCTACCCTTGATTCTGTCAGTATAAAGCCACATAACTTTGGGTAAATGACCAGCCTCTTGGCATCTTCCTGAGTTGTAAAGCCAAAGGGTTAGACTAGACAATTTTTTAGGTGTCTTCCAGCTCTAAAATTCTATAATCAGAGAGTATGGAAAGGATGGGAGAAGGCACGCTGGATGCCAGCTGGCTGGGAAAGACTGAGAGGATGAGCCCTCCTGGCTATGGTTAACAAAGCCTTTCTGATCCGCACAGTTCCCTCCCTTGCCAGAGCCTCTGCTTAGAGCTATCCTTGCTTTCCTTGACATCCCCACCCCCCTACCCAAACAGAAGATCCCCAACACAGAAACATGAACACATCTACAGGTCTAGATCTAAAGTGGGGCGGGGGCGGGGCGGGGGCAGGGTGGGGGAGGGGGGAGAAACAGACATAACCAGAGAATGTTTCCTACACTGTCTAACACTCACCAATATTACAATACATCTCCACATTTTTTATCAGGATGATTTTTTAAAAAAAGCAGACAACACTCCTCTTTCTTAGCCTTTACAAGGTACCACTAATGATCTCCCTTAAGCTCTTTTGAGCCAGGTCCCTATTCACAAACCAAAAAGATATAAACAGAGGGAACACTTCAACCAGCCCACTTCCATCCTTTGGATTAACTTCTCAAGATGCTCAGGGCTAAACAAATTATTTACTTTGTTTAATGTCATTTTCATCCAGCCCACAGATCAAGTTCGACTGCCCTACTGGCAGAAAAGGCTTCAGAACAGGGATTATCTTTGTGACCACTCTAAAGTAACATCCCCTGAGTTATTTCACATTGTTTTCTTATTTTCTTCACCGCTATTATCATCACCTGACATTTTTATTTACTGTTTACAGTCTGTCTCCAGAGTAGGCTCTTTCTTGCCCACCATCACATTTCCCATACTTAGAATGCCTGTAAATACTTGTTAATGCAAATTAGCACACACATGCACGCGGACCTTAATCCACATTCAGGGACATGACATTCAAAAGTGGAAACCATCTTCCAATCATACTGATATCAAATGTTCCAATGAATTTCTACTCTTTCCTATAGAACAGCTTACATATGCATACTGCAATAATGATATTTTCCCTAGTAGTTTTAATTCCCCACTATGAAACACCAGATAATAAGCCACGGATATACCAGCTAACTCATGTTATAGTTCATCTTCCTGCTGGGTCACGCATATTACCCAAAAAGCAAACATTGCTCTTACACAGAAAGTACTGATTGTGTTTGTCGCCATGAGAACCTTTTCACCCATACCACATGTACCAAGGGTATTACAGGACTTTCAACAGCCTAACCAATAATCAAAAACTATCCAGTGCAATGTGACCAAATTATGCTCTACTAACTATAAATACCTTGATTTCAGTATACTGTATTCTTTTTCTTCTTTTTTTGGACAGGATCTTGCTCTGTCTCCCAGGCTGGAGTACAATGGCAACAACATGGCTCACTGTAGCCTCAACCTCTCAGGTTCAAATGATCCTCACACCTCAGCCTCCTGAATAGTCTGGACTACAGGCACCCACGTCACATCTGGCCTTTTTTATTTTGCAGAGACCAGGTCTCACTATGTTGCCCAGGCTTACTGTATTTCAAAGGTATCACTGTCATGTACCGTTTTACTTCAATGGTTTTATTGTTTTGCTTTATCTTGTTACTTTTTTACCTCCACAAAAAGAAAATGAAGACAGCAGAGACAAAGCCCCAGACAGAATGAATGAGTACTAAGGTGCCTTGAACACAAAGTCCCCATGAGTAAGAAGGCTTAAGGCATACTGTGGAAAGAACTGTCTTTGGTAAATATATCTTTTGAGTCCCACCCAGTCGAACTGAGTGAGAGCAGTCACCATACAAAATGATTCTAGTGCATTGTAAACTAGTCAGGAAGAGATAGCCCTTTACGTATTATGTTACTCTTTAAGCTGATACCAAAGTTTTCAGCTCAGGACAGAATGACGGAATTAAGTATGAAAAGAGAAATTTTTTCACAGATTAAATCTCAAGTACACTGGCAAAACTGACCAAGTATGGGCAAGGTAAAAGTTTAGGGAACTCCCAGGGGGTCACAAAACCATAAGCAGTCACAAAAACCACCCTTTCCAGTATTTCACCTAAATCTAGATTTCAGGTTCATCATAGCTTTAAAATTAAAAAAAAAAAAAAAGAGGGGCACAGCAGGAAGATATGGATTCCAGGGCCGCACTTACCACTGACTGATTTGTGCCTTGAGCAGGCAACAAACCTAGTACAGCACAGGCTCTGGAGCCAACAGCAGGAGGGTTATATCTAAGCCTTGAGCCTCATTAGCTCTACCAGCTCTCAGGGAAAGGAAAGGTCATCTATCTCTAAGGTCAGCTGGGTGGATATTGTAACACAATTTAAAATGCCTTGGACAGAGTCTAGCACAAAAGCTTGTTTTTTATACAAATGCCAGCATTTTTTCCTGCCTATATGAAAGGTAGGTTGGACTCATGAGAAAAAGTCCAACTCCAATTAAGTGTGATCATTTCAATTACATTCCATTTTATCTTACAGAGTTTTAAAAAGTTGGCCAGGTGCAGTGGCTCATATCTGTAACCCCAGCACTTTGGGAGGCTGAGGCAGGCTGATAACCTCCTGACCTCACCTGAGATCAGGAGTTCGAGACTGGCCTGGCCAAGATGGCGAATCCCCATCTCTACTAAAAATACAAAAAAATAGCCAGGCATGGTGGCAGGAGCCCGTAATCCCAGCTATTCGGGAGGCTGAGGCAGGGGAATCGCTTGAGCCTAGAAAGAGAAGGTTGCAGTGAGCAGAGACTGTGCCACTGCACTCCAGCCTGGGCAACAGAGCGAGACTCCGTCTCAAAACAAACAAACAAAAAAGTATACCACTACTAGGTTATGGAACCTAAAAGCCATGTCTCCCGATATCTTACCAACTTTGGCAACCTCTCACGTGAATACACACAAATTACTTTGTAGAATGAAAATTTTATAACAATTTTTTCCCTTGTAAGTTTTATAAGACAAGTGTAATATACATGTGAGCATGATAACTGCTTACAATTTAATAGGCCGGGCACGGTGGCTCATGCCTGTAATCCCAGCACTTTGGGAGGCTGAGGCAGGCGGCTCACCTGAGGTCGAGTTTGAGACCAGCCTGACCAACATGGAGAAATCCCGTCTCTACTGAAAATACAAAATTAGCCAGGCGAGGTGGCGCATGCCTGTAATCCTAGCTACTCGGGAGGCTGAGGCAGGAGACTCGCTTGAACCCTGGAGGCTGAGGTTGCAGTGAGCCAAGATCGCACCACTGCACTCCCAGCTGGGCAACAAGAGCGAGACTCCATCTCAAAACAACAACAGAAAAAACAAAACCAATTTGAGTAATCGGAGTTTTTTTAAACACCACACTGAACGCAAGGTCATAATTCAAATCCTAACAAACTGTTTATTCTAGAAAATCACAAATAATCTGTGTGGCTATATAAAAGTGTCTACTTGTGGGCTGGGCATGGTGGCTCATACCTGTAATCCCAGCACTTTGGGGGCCCAAGGCGGGTGGATCATGAGGTCAAGAGATTGAGACCATCCTGCCCAATATGGTGAAATCCCATCTCTACTAAAAATACAAAAATTAGCTGGGCGTGGTGGTGCGCACCTGTAGTCCCAGCTACTCAGGAGGCTGAGGTGGGAGAATTGCTTGAACCCGGGAGGCGGAGGTTACAGTGGGCCGAGATAGTGCCACTGCACTCCAGCCTGGCAACAGAGAGAGACTCTGTCTCAAAAAAACAAACAAAAAAGTGTTTACTTGTGTGATAGGCCTGATGGTAACATACAAGAAAATTACTACCAAACTGTCTCCGAAGTCAATAATTATAAGCACTCTGCCCCTATGCTGGGATCCTTTTGGAAACTGTTCAAAGAGACTGAATCAAAAAGTGATCTAGCCCAGGCGCAGTGGTTCACACCTGTAATCCCAGCACTTTGGGAAGTCAAGGCAGGCGGATCACCTGAGGTCAGGAGTTCAAGACCAGCCTGGCTAACATGGCGAAATGTTGTCTCTACTTAAAATACAAAAATTAGCCGGGTGTGGTAGTGTATGCCTCTAATCCCAGCTACTCGGGAGGCTGACGCAGGAGAATCACCTGAAACTGGGAGGTAGAGGCTGCAGTGAGCTGAGATCGTGCCACTGCACTCCAGCCTGGACAACAGAACAACACTGTGTCAAAATAAATAAGTAAATAAAAGGGGATTTAATTTTAAAAATTAAATAATATATAAAAATAAAAAGTGATCTGAGAAAGACATATTGTAACATATTGGGCTCATATCCGGCCCAGCAGCACAGTTCTAGAAATTTAAGACAAATTCTGAGGTTGGTATAGAAATACTTACCAGTCAAAAGCACAGCCTAAGGCCTTCACACACCATAAAATCAGTGAAACTAATTGCGGTTCTTCAGCATCTGCGGAGCACTGGCTACCAGTAAGGAGAAAGTTGGGGATGCAGATAATCAGTGCACCCTGAGGTGACAGTTAATTCCACTAGCATACCATTTCACAGGAGATGTTATGGCATTCTACTTCATCCCCCTACTCTGAGAATGCTGAAACTGGCTGGAAATTTCAACAGTTAGCCAAATGTCAAATGTCCTTTGAAGAACTTTAATAAAATCTGGATCCTCCAAAATCCCCTGCGTAGAAAGATCTTGGAACTCCTCTGAGCCAACATACACAGACCCAATCACATGTTATCCACACATTTTCCAAGTAGACAAATATTCTCTGAAACATTTTCTGATAACTTCTTTCACAAAGACAAAAAATATGTTAAGGTGCATTCCACCTAGGTCAGAATAATACACTTTCTGATCTGAAGCACAGAACAGCAAGTGGGATTTCAAAAAAGAGCGTACCCTGACCAACTTTTATGCTCTGTTGAAGGCAGAGGCTGGAAGCTTAAAGACAGGCTTTTAAAAGCCAGCTAAGGTACAGTCTGCATTTCTCAGAAAAGTTGCCTATGGCTAAAACAGAGCACAAAATGAGAGATAAAAAAGCAAAACCACAAACCCCTGTACCGTCTGACCCGGGAGTCCTCACTTAACAGATGAGAAAATTACCAGGGAAAGTAACTTGCCCTGGGCTGCAGTTTATTTGGCGTCAAAGCTGTAAGCAGATTCCTGGTCTCCCAGGTCGGAATTCAGTGTAGCTTCCCCATCCACCTAACTGCCACCCCACGGAAGATGCTGTATAAAACTCTTCACTCTTCACTGAGGCTGTTAACATAAGGGTCCAATTATCATTCAAAGATCAGCCTGTTAGATAATAGCTCGAAAATTCCATCCATTTTACAGCAGTTACCAGAGACATCTAATCTTCGAGGAAAAAAAAGCAAAAAGGAAAAGGGGGAAATCCTAATTTTGACCTGACCCCTAAGGTCAAACTAAAGGATTGAATACAGACCAGCAGACCGTATTGGTATCCGCAACCACAAAAACAGACAATAATCCCACCCACAAGCAGAGGAAGACGGCCGCTCCTCGGCACCGCCCCCCAACTCACTAAATTCCACTCCCATTCCGGCGTCCAGAGGACAGTGCACCTCCCGCCGTAGCCTGAGAGGGATCGGCCCGATTGGCCACGCTCCTTCAAACCACCACTTTCCCCCGAAAAAGGGACGAAAGCCTCAGGTCCCCAAACGAGCGCTCCCTCGCCCAGAGACCCCGGCTTGCACACCCCGCCCTGTTCCCCGCGGCGCGGGAGGAGAGGCCGCCCCACACAGGAAGTGTGTCCTGCGCCGGGACCTTGCGCCCAACCCGCCGGTACCTGCCCTCCGCCCCCAACAGGCGAGAAGCAGCCGCGTCCACATGGCTTCAGGTGTTCACATGGCAGTAAACGGGCCCCTGCTCTCCTGGGCGCCCCAGCGCGGCGCCCTCCCGCCCACATCCCGGCCCAGCCCCGCTGGCCTCGCCTCCAGCCCGTAGCCAAGAGGCGAGCGCGGCCGGTGCCCCCGGGGCTGCCAGGGGCCCCGAAGCAGGCGGCGCTGACTCCCGGACGCCGCCCGCTCACACCCGCCGCCTTTGCACCCAAGGCCT
The DNA here is from genome assembly GCF_000001405.40 of Homo sapiens. Classification (NCBI taxonomy): domain Eukaryota; kingdom Metazoa; phylum Chordata; class Mammalia; order Primates; family Hominidae; genus Homo; species Homo sapiens. Next base: position 42,270,012 of record NC_000022.11, read on the forward strand.
CGCGCGACCAGCAGGTAGACCTTCCCTCCGCACCCTCGGGCCAGCACCGGCACCCAAGCCCCGCCGGAACCCCGGGCCGGCCCAAGACACCTTAGCCCTCTGATGCCAGGCCTGGCCCGGGCCCCTGCCCGCACTCTTGGGTCGGGCCGGGCAGCAACACTCCCCTCAGCACCCCAAGCCCTGACTCGGAGTCCAGGAGGCTCCGCACTCCCAGGTTGGGTCCGGCCGGGACCTCTGCTCCCAGCCCCCGAGGCCGGACACCCCGGCCCGGCCCCAGTCCTTCAGGCCCAACCCTCTCCCTGCCCCTCAGGCCCGGGAGGCGGTTACCTGCAGGAGCCCCCCGCCCAGTCCCTCGGCCTCCGCCGGGGGCGGGCGGGGAGGGAGCGGTGGCGACGGCGGGCGGCGCTGCGCGGGGTGGGGGTGGGGGTGGCTCCGCCGCCTCCAGCTCGGGCGCCCGGGCCGGCGGCGGGGCGGGCCGGGGCCGCGGCCCCTCGAGGCTCGCTCCGGCCCGCGCGCTCGCTCCCCGGTCAGGCGCGCCTCAGGGCGGGCTCCCCTGGCGGAGGCCGCGGCCGCCTCGCAGGGGCCGAAAGCGGCTGGGCTCGGGGTTTTTTCTCTCCATTCTCCCAACACACAGGAAATAACAGAGCGTCAGGTGACGGCGCGCGGCCAATGGGGAGGCTCCGGGCCGCGGCGCGCGGGCGGGCGGGAGGGCGCGCGGCGGGGCGGGGCGCGCGGCGGGGGCGGGGCGCTGGGGGCGGGGCCGGGCGCGCGCGTGCCCACCCGCGTGCGGCGGCGTCGAGGCTGGCGCGCGCCGGGTAGGGATCGCGAAGACCCCCACCTCGCGGCAGGGTCGCACGGGGTTCTCCTCTGCGGCCGCTGGGCGCCGCGCGCCACCCGCCCAGTGCCATCTTGGCCTGCGCCTCAGGGCCGTCTTGGGGGTGGACGCGAGCCAACTTTCTGGGGGAGTTGGTGGCCCGGAATCTCTCTGGGATTTCTGGAGTTCCCTGGAGCCTCCAACTCCAGAATCGCGCCTCTTGCGGCCCGGGAGGTCCGCGGGCGAGGACCCGGTCTCCTCTCGGTGACCTGTTTAGTGGGGTCGGGCGTGGGGGCGGCTCCTGCCCGCCAAGAGCCCTCTGGGCCGGGGGCAGCCCAAGACCTAGCTGGTCCCGCCTGGGTCCCTGGCAGCCCCCGCCCATGGGTTCCAGGTGTCCGTGGAGGAACGACTTGGGTCCTCTCAGAGCCTCAGTTTCCACCGCGGAAAACGCGAGGAGGGAGGCCCACCTACCTCACCTGTAAAACGGACGCTCCAGCTGCCTTCTGCTGCGGCATTAAGAAGCTGCAATGCCAGGCTGACTGCGCCCAGGGTCCCGAATTAATTTGCCGATAAGGCGGAGGATTTGCGGTGCCAAGGCCTCAGCTTGTTCCCAGCCTTCCTTTGCAAACCTGATGTTTCTAAAGCAAAGGAAGGGCTTGACTTCTTTATAAAGAAAATCGCAATTGTAGAGCAACTAATATGTAGATGTTGGTGCCCCCACGGCCATCAAAAGTGACAAGGCCAGCAAGAGTAGGATGCGTTGAGAATTTGTGATCCTGCCCCTGACCTTTGACCTGGCCAAATTCTCCTCCCACTTTGGGCCTCAGTTTCCTGTGGGTGAGGAGAGTTTGGATTAGATGTCCCTAATGTTGGCTAAAATTGCCGATTCTAAATTAGGCTCCCATCTGTCCTAGATGTTAGGGGAGTATGTGGCTTCCTCTCCTGAAGCAACCCAACTTAAAAGTTGGGATTGGAAAAGTGCTTCCGGCAGCAGGTGGGGATTGTCAGGAACCAGGTGTGGTCTGGAACCCAGATTTCCATATATTTGAGGTACACAGCTTCCCGGGGCCTGCTTTTACTTTTTGACCTTTCACCCCACCTAGCCATTGCCTTTTCTCAGGCTACCCAAGGAGGGTCTCAGGGTCCCAGGCAGAGCCCCAGGTGGTCCTGGGCCCCTTGGCAGGAGCATGTACTTGGGGAAGGCAGTGATTTCTCCTGGCTTCTGTCCAATCTCACAAAGTGGGGGCTGGCTCCAAAGCAGGTCAGGACTATTCCTGGGGACTTGATTCCCCAACACCTCCTGCATGCCAGGCTCTTCCGGGGCAGAGCTGAACAAGCCACGGGGCCCTGCCCTCTGATTATTCCCATTGTTCTTCTGAGTTTCATTTTCAAATTCTCAGGCCTCAAGACTTTTAAAAGACCAGTACCTGGCTTCTCCTGGGATCAGGGCTGTAAAGGGAAAGCTGGAAGAGGCACTCAGCACAAATCAATGTTTTCTGGACAAAAATAGGAGAATGCAGGGCCTCCTGAAGACTGGTGTTGGGGGCACCCTTAATTTCTTGAGAGAATTCATGAAGAAAGATGAATCCTTTTTCCTTAGAGTCCCCTGCCCCATCATTCTTCCATTCTTTCCCTTCTTCATAACCTCACTTGCGTCTCAGATGCAGGGCCCGGGGGATGCTGACAATCTGTCGCAGAGCCTCATTCAAAAGGGAAAGAATAAAGAATGCAGACAGATAACTGGAGTCCAGGCGCCTGTCAGCTCCTGCCTCTTATAACCATGCAGCCCCCTCCCCGCCCTTTCAGACCCTGCCAGAACATTGCCCCAATGCCCTCCACCTGGAAACTTCCCCAGTCCTTGGACCAGGCCAGCTGGGCCTCTTTATCCCTGAAAGCCTGCCACTTTCTCTTTTGGTTCCATCTGGAAAAAGAACGTGTATGGGCATCATAGCCAACAGGAAGATGTGGGTTACTCTTGGACTGCGTGGCCTTGGACAAGTCACTTCCCCCTTTGGTTTCCTCAGCTATAAAATGGAGATAATATTATCTCACTGGGCCGGGTGTGGTGGCTCACACCTGTAATCCCAGCACTTTGGGAAGCCGAGGTGTGAGGATTGCTTGAGGCCAGGAGTTCAAGACCAACCTGCGCAACACAGTGAGACTCCCCCTCATCTCTATTTATTTAAAAGAAAAAAATTTTTTTTTAATTACCTCACTCATAAGGTGTTGTGGGACTCTCAAGAGAGCTGCATAGGCCAGGCACAGTGGCTTACGCCTGTAATCCCAGCACTTGGGAGGCCAAGGGGGGTGTATCACCTGAGGTCAGGAGTTCAAGACCACCCTGACCAACATGGTGAAACCCTGTCTCTACTAAAAATACAAAAATTAGCTGGGCGTGGTGGCGGGCGCCTGTAATCCCAGCTACTTGGGAGGCTGAGGCAGGAGAATCGCCTGAACCCTGGAGGCAAAGGTTGCAGTTAGCTGAGATTGTGCTGTTGCACTCCAGCCTGGGCGACAAGAGCAAAACTCCGTCTCAAAAAAAAAAAAAAAAAAAAAAAAAAAATTCAGTGCAGTACCAGGCACTGTTAACACTAGCTGCATGTTCTATGACATGGACACAAAAGGACATGAGTAGACTGAGGCTCAAACAGGTTAAGTTGCTGCCCAAGATTGCACAGTGGCAGGCACTCAATAACTGAGCGCCCCTTCCTCTGAAATCACATTAGTGTTTTCTGTTGTTCTCTCACTGTCTCAAATGCATGGATCCTGTTTTTCCTACCACACTCGGAGCTCTTTAAGGAAAGAACAGTAAAAAAAAAAACAAACAAAAAAACAAAAACAGTAGACTAGTTTTTTTCCCCCTCCCTCCTAACCCAGTCCACTCAAAAATTACTTATTGAACTGAATCAGTGTATCAATTCTAGAAACAAAATTAATCCTTTCCCTCCTCCTCTGGCTCAAAGACGGCTTTTGGAAACACTGTATCACTCCTTTTATTACAAACTCCTCTGCCCTCCTCCAGGCGCCTGGGCCACTCCAGGATTACAAATGGAGCCTTCTGCCTCTAGGTCACTGATTCTACTACCATCTGTCAGCGTGGATTGATTGAGGAGACTGGCCCTGCTCGGCAGATCAGTGACTTGTGCGAAGTGAGCCAGGGTGTCGGTGCCTTCAGAGCAGGCGGATGTCCTTCCTCACTTGCCAGCTCTCGTGAGCAGACACACAGCCCTCACCTTTATCCTTCACCAAGCTCCAGCTCTCCTTCCTCTTGGGAGGCGCCGCCTGCTAACTCAGTCACACCAAGAGGGAGGCCTGGAATTCCTGCTCACAAGCTCGGGGCTTCATCTGCAGTCTGCCAGGAGGCAACTTACAAAAGCCTCTGGCTAACAGAGCGGGAAACTCCCCACAGCCTCCTGCTGTGCCTGTCCCCAAGCCACGCACTGTCCCCTTGCAAAGCACAAGGATACTGAGAGTGCACAAACAGCAGGGGTGGAGAGCCTCTGTGGGCACGCCCTCATTCTGTGCCCTCATTCCACAGGAGCCCCTGCTTTGTGCAAGTCTCTGAGCCCGCATGGAGGGAGCATGGGGGCTCAGAACAGTTCTTTCTGGGGCAAGGTCAGGGGAGGCTCTAAAGTTATGGTGGTGGGGAGGGCCTTAAAACAGAGGACCAGAGAATACCAAGACTTAGGGGTGTGGGGGAGAGCCACCTGCTGTGCCCAGGAGGACTGTGCCCAGTGCAGGGGAAAAAGATGAAGCTGCGGAGTTGGGCAAGGGTGGGATCCTGCAGGGCCTTAGAGCATTGACATGTTTGGCATGGATTTGTTTCACAGGGTCCCACAGAAACTTCTGCTCTCCAGGTTTGCCCCTCCACTCTGCCCTCCAGGATAGAAGTGTGGCATCCTAATCTGGGATGCATCCATCTCTCCCCCTGGACTGTGAGCATATGCAGGGCAGAGACACCTCTGCTTCTCTTGGGTCTCCGGCATCCTGTGCAGGGTAGGGCACCATGTCCATTAAAATGATGTTAATGAGGATGATACAGCCCAGAGGAATCCAGGCTTACTATGAACCAGGCACTATGCAGATTTCCCTTTATCATCCCAGTTCTTCTTATTTGCAGCAGTCTAATGAGTTTGGTACTGTTATCACCCCTATTTTACAGATGGGGCCACTGAGGTGCAAAGAGTTTAACTTATCCCAAGTCACACAGTTTGGAAGAGGCTGAGCTGGTATTTGAACCCAGGTTTTCAGAGGCTGCACTCTTAACCACCAAGCTTCCCAGCACTCAGCAAACACTGGAAAGACAGAGATGGACCTAGACAGTCAGTAGGACCAAAAGTCTGCAGGCCGATAGGGAAAGAATGTAAGAGGACGGCATGGGCAGCGCCAGCCCCTCCAGCAGTCATATATTAAGCCCTGGACACTGGGCAGCTCGGGCAGGTCGGGGGGCCTCAGACTCTCGGACCCCATGCCTGGAAGACCACGGTCTGCCCAACAAGCAGCAGCTGCTGTGAATCGACTTACACATCTTCCCCACAGGTGAGCAGAGAGCTAACACCTGAGGATAGGCCAAGAAACGGGAAGCCCGTGCAACCTGAGCGCACAGATCACCCCCACCTGCCCGGCACTCACTGTCCCCAGTGGCTGGACTCTCATCGGGCCAGTCACTGAGCTGGCGCCAGCCTGGTCTCACCAGTGTGTGTCTTTAAATCATCCAATTTCTTCAGCTGTAAATTGGGCTGGGAGGGGCCAGGTGAGCTGCCTGCCTCAGGGGAGTCGGCGCCCTTACCTGAGTGATCCCATTCACTCCTCACAACAAACCCATGAGGCAGGGATTGTCATCTTCATTGTACAGAGCAGGAAATGGGTGCACACAGAGGTTAAGAGACTTGCCCAGGTCACACAGCTAGGAAGAGGCTGTGATTTGAACTCAGTCTTCTGGCTCCAAAGCCCCCACAGAGTCACTCAGGGCACTACAAAGAGTTAACCTGAATATGAAATGATCTAAGAGTCGCAGTGACAAAGGCATGCTCTAAGCGCTTTTCCTGCAGTAACTTGCTTAATCCTTACAACAACCCTATAAAGTGGGTACTGTTCTCGCCTCATTTTGCAGATGAGGAAACTGAGGCACAGAGCAGCTCGGAGGGGGCAGAGCTGAATCTGACAGGCTACAGGGCCCCTGCGTTGCTTTGTTATAAGATGACAATAAGGAAGTTCCTTTCCTTTGGGATTATTTCTGCCTGAAAGCTCAAGACTTTTAGCCACATCATTGTCTGGGCTCCACGGGAAGGCAGTGCCACATGCTGAGGCATGCTGGGAAAAGACTTTGTTCCATCCTGTTTTGTTGACATGCTCTTCATTTTTAAGCCTGAAACCGAAGCTTCCTGCTAAGAATTCAAACCATGGAGAAAAACGCAGCCATGATAACGGCCACTACTTCCTGAGCCTCCAGTGTTCCCTGTGCTTGGGGATCCATATATGTCACTTAACCTTAACCTTCACAACACCAGGGCAGCCTCCATTTTCACAAGTGAAGAAATGGAGGCCCAGAGTCACTTAGAAGATGCTCGAAGGTGCACAGCTGCTAAGTGGTGGTGCTGGGATTTGTCCTCAGGTCCTCAAGAGTCCTGACTCTTATGTGCTGGCTCCCCACGGAGGCGTGGAGTCTTGTTTGCTGGGCATTTGACAGAAATGTTTCTGCTCATCTTCTGCCACAGGTTGGTCCTTCAGCGTCAAGATTCCTGGGCCACTTATTAATAGAAGGCACCAGGACACAGGTGCAGGGATGCAGAGCTGGATGCTGCCTTCTCAATAGGAGAAGCCAAGAAACGCAGATGCCGATGCTTAATCAACTCCGTCTCTCCCTCTAGTGACTCGGGGATAGCTGCCCTGATGCCAAGGCGATTGTCTTCTGGAAGCAGCCACGCCGTGTGAGGTTCCTCATCACTGCCCTGCATCTCCCTGCGAGCTCTCGGGGATAATTGCAAAATCACGTTTGATTCCAGGGGAGCAGAAAGCAGCAGGAGCCGTGAATTCTCCAACTCTTAACTGGTCCTCGACTGGAGCCACTTTTCCCTGCCCACCCATCCCTGTGGCGGATTCATTACAGTTATCCAAAGCCGGTTTTAACTTTGCTCCCCCTGGCTCAGAAGTCTGTCAGTGGGTCCTGAGCGGCTTCACCATTCAAGTTTATTCCTATCAGCCTGGAATACAATGCTCTATCTGGCTCCGCTTGCTTCTCCAAACCTTCTCTCCCAGGTCTCATTCTGCCTCTCTGTCTAACTAGACAAGTTGGCTTCCTGTCCTGTGCCTGTCTGCTCCCTGCAGCAGGAATGCCGTTCCCTCTTCCCTACAGATTGAAATTATATCCTCTTTCAAGTCTTACTCAAATGCCACCTCCTCCACAAACTCTTAACACTTATTCATTCATTCAACAAACATTGACTGAGCCCTTATGACAAGCATTGATCCCAAGGGTCCCTGTGGTCATGAAGTTTATGGTGCCATGGAGCTGTTAGAAAAAGAATCATCACATAAATAATCATCTGATAACAGCCATGATACAAATTAGTAAGAAAGTGTGGCAGGAGCACAGCAGATGTACAATAGGGACCCTGAGCCTTGGGGATCTAGGACATTTGAGCTGAGGCCTGAAAGACAAGTAGGAAGTAACCACATGGTGAAGTTGGAGGAGAGCTCCAGGCAGAGGGCACGGCATGGGCAAAGGCCCTGCGGTAGGAGGGAACAAGTAGATTTCCAGGAAGGGCACAGGGGCCTGCAGGGTAATGTAAGTGAAATGAGAAAGCTGGAGATGCAGCTGGAGCAGGACAGTACAGGCCACAGAGGCTTTGCGACTTTATCCCTGGGCAAAAAGAGGAGATGATGAAGGATTCTGAGCACAGGACACAAGCCAGTATGTATTTAGACGCGATCCTGCCCTGTGGCTGAGCCTCTTCTGAGAAGTGCAGGCCCTGTGTCACGTCACCCTGAACCTCAGTCATCAGGGTTTTGGATGTGAGTTTCCATATCCCTCTTCCTAGGCCAAGCTCTCAAAGGCAAGGCTGACCTCTGGTCTTCAGCTTCATCCTCATCAGCCAGGCCAGTGCCCAGCACAAGGAGCTGCTCCAAAAACATACGTGGGTTGAACCAGTGACCAGGACAAGACGCTTATCAGCATTTCCCTGCGAAGGAGCAGGGCTGCCTGTAAAGCCTTCCACATTCTCTAGAAATTACAAAGTTCAAGGGTTTTAGTGAGGCCACGACTCAGGGAGCCCTTGAGAGCCAAGCTGGCATCCCACTGCTGTGCACACCCAGCCTGGGCACACAGTATGACCCTGCCCAGGCATCTGCCTGCGGCCGTCTGGTGAATGACCAGAAACAGAACCGAAAGCTCTGTAAAGTGCTCTCAAGGTTACAAAGCATGTTTCACAGGAGCAGTTTCATCTCACACGGGCAGCCCTCTGAGCTGGGTAGTTACTGCTTTACAGATGAGGAAACTGAGGCCCGGGAGAGGGCGGGACCTCAGCAAATCAAGAAAAAACTGAGACTAGGACCTAACGGAAGTCCAGGCTATGAATGGCCCCCGTAGGGTTAAAAGAGCTTTCTAGAAATTTCTTTGAAAACTATTGTAAAGTGACATATTTCCTCAGGATGTCTGTCACGCCAGCAGTGGGAGCCAACACACCAACTCTCAGAGGCTGTTCCCCCTGCGCGGCAGATCCAGACGCTCAGCTCCCAGGCCTGGAGGCTGGCGGCTTAGCCCAGGGCACAGGAGGAGGCTGCCTGGGTTTGGCGCTGACTTACAGCAGGTGCTGAGGGAATGCTGAGGAGAGGCAAGGCTGATTCAAGAGGCCGACAACAGAGAACATTCCTAGAGCTCTCCCGCCAGCTAGGCATGGTGCTAAGTGCATTACCTGCGTCCACTCGTAACATCCTCACAACACTGTGAATACGATGACCATCCCCATGTACAGGCGTGGACGCTAAGGCTCAGAGCAATAAATAATTAGCCTGAGATCACACGGCAGGTGAGTGCAGAGGCCGGATCTGAACCCACACATTGCCCTTAAGCAACCCCATGTCCTGAGCAAAGGTGAGCAGAAACATCTTGGGAAGAGGGAACCACGACTGTATCTTCCTCAGCAGACATGATGGTGCAGGGTACCCCTTCCCCTGCCCACCTGACGACCATTATTCCCATTATCAGTATATCCCTCTGTGGGCAAATGATGACAGACATGCATGGTAACCACTTCTTCACAAGTTTTGTGTCTCCCCAGCCTCCTCCCCTAGGGCTCTCTAGGCTTCCTTTACCCGTCCTGCCTCAGATGGACTCCCAGCATCATCATCTGCCTCTGTGCCTTCTTGGTAGTAGGTGGGTGTGAAAAAGAAAGGAAGGGCCAGGTGCAGTGGCTCATACCTGTAGTCCCAGCACTTTGGGAGGCTGAGGCGGGCGGATCACCTGAGGTCAGGAGTTCGAAACCAGCCTGGCCAACATGGTGAAACCCTATCTCTGGTGGCAGGTGCCTGTAATCCCAGCTACTTGGAAGGCTGAGGCTGGAGAATCACTTGAACCTGGGAGGCAGAGGTTGCAGTGAGCAGAGATTGCGCCACTGCACTCCAGTCTGGGCAACAGAGCGACTCCCTCTCAATAAATAAAATAAAATAAGGAAGGACAGAGGGCAATGTGACCTTCGGCAAGCTCCCTAAGCTCCTGAAGCCTCAGCCTTTTCACCCGTAGAACAGGGACATTAACATCACCCCCGAGTGAGGGCTGCAGGCACACAGTGACTGCGCTTCTCAGTGCCACAAGTGCTGTTGCCATCATTCCAGCCTCAGGTGCTCCGTGAGGTGGGACGATTCACCCCATGAGCAAACAGGCTCAGGGAGGTGTGGTGCCTACAGTCACCCAGCAGACACAGCGGAGCAAGGAGGAAGCCACACCTGTTGGATCCCAAAGCTTCTGCTGAGGGGAGGAGGGAGAGTGAATGAGCCACTGGGGGCCTCCGTGGCAATCGGGCTCACAAAGCCATGTGTGGGCTGGATGTGGCTCCCCAGCCCCGTAGACACCACCCCAGGTGCTCCTCACAGGTGATGGGGTGTGTTGTCTATGGGGCTCTTGTGCCCTCTGGGGGCCTCTGGGGAGCTGCTACTGGGCTGGGCCCTCTCGGTCCCTGAGCCTAGACCAGGTGAGTTACTAGCAGGGACAGGAGGAGAAATGGGAAAGCTAGGCAAGAGGTCACTCATCTGTGGGCTGAGTGCAGAATGGGAGGGAAGAAAGCATCCTTTCTGGAAAAATCAATGGGCAGATGATACCGCCCAAGTCACTACCTACATGGAAACCTTCCAAGAAAACCAAAGCAACAAGAGAATCACAGCCCCTTAGAGCAGTGGCGGGCCTGAGAGGTGAACAGACCCAAGTCCGCCTCACACAGCTAGGGAAATCGAAGTCCAGGATGGTGGTCACAACTCGCTCAAGGCCCCACGGTGTGTAGGTGACTCCGCCACGTATGAGGGGCGTCCAGCCCCAGGCAGCTCATTTACAGTGGTGGGTGGGCCTTTGTGGTCTCCATGCCTCACACTCCAGCCATCCACTTCCCTCTGTTCTTGCCTTTGCTAAGCAAGGGGACTGGTTTAGCTTCACCCAGAAACTACCAAATCTCTGGGGCTTTTCCCTGCACACTTTTAGTTTCTAGGCTGCCCTGGCCCCTGCTCTGCCCCTACATGTGGCTCAGGGTGGGGAGAGACTATTAAGCTAATACATAGTTAGGCAACTAGAACACAGCCTGCAAATCTCGCAGTCAGTGCTCCTCAGTCTTGGCTATTATTACCAGACACGATGACCATCTCCATTTTACAACTAGGGAAACTGAGGCTCAGATGGATTGAGTGATTAGACCCCAGACACTAGGTGCTAGAGCCTTTGCTCTCTGGAGTTATCTTTTTTTAAGCTAACAATTATTCAGTGCCCCCTGGGAGCCAGGCTCTGGCTGACTGCTTTGTGAGAATGATCTCATGTAATCCTCACCTCAGCCCTGTGATGTAGGTATTATTATTACCCAAGAACACAAAGACTCACAGAGGGCAGGTAACTTCCTTGAAGCCACACAGCTAGGAAATGGGAGAGCCAGGATTGAACCCAGGCAGTCTGGCCTCAGGACGTTGGCCACCCCTCTGTGCTGCCATCTCCGTTGGGGATAGGTCTGGGGGACTAGCCACCCCAGTCTCCCACAGGAGCCTCCAGTCATCTCGGGGTCCCAGGCTGGAGGAGCTGCTCCTGAACCCTTCACCCCTTGATCGGCATCCAAACTGCTTCCCGCCAATTTGGTTCCAGCTCAGAATGTGGCCTGGGCTGGTCCTGAGACTCCAAATTAAAAGAAGACCCAAGCTGGTCTTTAAATTCAAATCTGAGGCCATCTGGGAATCCCAGCACAAGGCAGCCTGAGAGAGGCTGGCTTGGGAGCAGCTAGAACAAGCCAGCTTTGCAAGATCCTGAAAACGGGTCCAAAGAAGGCGAGTTTGCAATGACTGCGGTGTCCATGTGGCACCGCCCAGTCTGTCATCAGGTCAGGTTCTCCCTTCCTCCACAAGTGGCTCCCCCAGCCAGTGAAACAAGGGCCCCACTTCCACTGTCGCCGCCTCTCCCCACTCTTCCCTTCCAACGGCTTCAGCCACAGAGTGCAACCCGCCTCTTACACCTTGGATGCGCTGTTCTTGCACTTCCCTCTGATGGTACACCCTCTCCTGCCTTAGCACGGCAAACTCCTACTCACTCTTCAAGGCCTTCAAATGCCACCTCCTCTGTGAAGCCTCTCTTGATTTCCCTGTCAGACCTCACAGGGGTACTCAGGGAAAAGATTTCTGTGGGGAAAAAACCCCTTGGGGTGAGTTTGCCCAAAGGAAGTGAGCCCATCACACCGTCTAGGACATGGGGAGAGGGCAGCTGTTCCATCCTGGTGGTCCCACTTCCTGGGGGGTCTGAGTCTGGGTGTGTTCCTCTGAGCTCTAGGAACAGGGCTCCTCTATGCCCAGCTCTGGGCAGGTGCCAGGAGTGCAGAGGGGAGGCCTTAAGTGTCCCTGTAACCAAGGATGGTCACCCAGGCTCTGCACCCAAAGGCCTAACAGGGAGACAGACCCACGTCTGTGTGGTCAGGACTGTGAGAGGGCAAAGAAGGTGGGCCAGGCACAGGACCCAAGTCCACCTGAGAGAAGGACAGGGAAGGCTTCCTGGAGGAAGTGAATTGAGACCAGAAGACTTGACCAGAAAAGAGGAGGTGGTGACGTCAGGTTAGGGACCAGCTCCAGGGGAAGGGAGACTGGAAGGAGAGCCACAGCCTTCCCCTGACCTTCTGCCTGTAGATGGTTCCTGCCCTGGCTTCTCAGCTTAGAACTCACAGTCTCTGCTAGGGCCTGAGCTACGGCCTGGCCCTGGTAAAACTCACTCCACCATGCCCTCTCTGGAGGCCTGCTGTAAACACACTGACCACCTGCGCCCATGTCACTGCACCTGCCTGAGCCCTGTGGCAGCCCAGAGACTTGTACCATGGCCGCTTCCTGGCCCAGGGCAGGCTCAAGCTCCCTTGCCCTCATGGGCCCGTCAGAGGAGTCAAGGTCCAGGAGGCTGTGCTAACAGCCCCTGGCTGCAGAGCTGTTTGCCAACCTCCAGGCCAGCCAGGCCAGCACTGTAGCCGGGGGAGCGCCCAGCCCTGGCCTTCGTTCTGCAAAGCCCCATCCCAGCCTCGGTCCCAGGTTCTCGGTCTCTGGTCACGCTTGGGAAGCAGCTGCGGGCAGAAGTAGCCTTCAGAGACCTCAGGCTGCCCAGGCTAAGAGAATGATGGAACGGTGACCCTGGCTGGGGGCAGAGACCTGGGAGGGAGGCCGGAGAGCTGGGACAGCGCCTGGGGGTTGGGAGAGCTGCCCAGGCCTCCTCCGGGGTGAGCTGAGGAGGGGCTGCCATGCCTGGGAGGAGGGGGCCGGCTCCTCCTGCCTCGCCGGCCTGTCTGTCTCCAGCTCTTCACTGTAAAATAAATGCAAGAAGCACACGCCAGATAGAAAAAAAGGGAGGGCCAAATAAAGCCCCACGCCGCCCAGCACGGGCTCCCTCCGTGGGTCTGGGCCAGGGCCTCGGCCTGGGTTACTTGCTGCTCCTTTTCCCGGGAAACCACTGGTGCCAAATTTGCATTTACCACAAACAGAGACAACACAATGTCATAATCCTTCTCCTGTCATTCTCCGCTCTCTTCCTCCTCCCACCTCAGACACACACACGCTAACACAAAATGACGGCTCCCTCGACAGCCTGAATGAGCAAAGCCCTCGATCTGCCTCTTCATTGTTGGCGTTTCTCTCGGCCCTCGCTCCGTGCCCATCGCCCAACTCGCAGCAGACCACCCACTGCCCCTCCTTTGTCCCGCATCACCACTGACAAATGGCCTGCTGGAGGTGGAAGAACATGCCTGGAAATAGTGGAGGGGGGGAGAGGGAGCAGCCAGCCCCAACCCCCCGCCGCTCTGCACCCTCACACCCGGGCTGGCTGCGCACGGCGGCTGGATCTGGACCGGAGGGGACGGGGGCGCGGCTGGATCTGGACCGGAGGGGACGGGGGCGGGCACTCGGCCCCTGGGACTGTGACCCGGGGCCCTGCCCTTCACGCCCCTGCTGCTGCCGCGCTCCCCGAGCAGCCCCCTCGGGCCCCTCCTCTCCCGGCCACCCTCCTGGGCACTGCTCTGAACATCCCCCGCCTCCCCGCCCTCCATCGCTCTTTATGGCAGTTTCAAAGCTACAGCCGCCACTCGAGCAGCTGCGGCCTTTGATGGGGACAAGGCAGTAAAGGCCGCCCGGGAGGCCCCTGCCCAGCCCTGCCCTGGCCCGGCGCGGCCCCTGCCCGCCCCCGGGGAGCCTCGGGCCAGGGCAGCGCGGCGCGGCGGAGCACCCGGCGGGCACGCCTCGCACGCCAGAGCAAACTTTCACGACCGCGGGAGAGGCACCGCGCACACCGTTACCTTTGCAGCCGCATCCTTCCCTGGCCCTTGCCCCAGACCCCTTGCCAGCCCGGCGACCACGGGGGAGGAAAACAACTCCTGAGCCGAGGCGGGGGAGGAGGGGAAAGGGAAAAAAGGAGAAGGAAAAGGAAAGGGGGGCAGTTTCTCGGCTCTCAGCCTCCTCGCGGCTCCTCCTGCCCAAGCCGGCAAGTGAAGTCACAGGGCCGGGGCGGTGACATCAGCTGAGCCTCTGACATCACGGCCCCTGCCGATCTCACCTCTGCAGGGTGGAGATGGAGGAGCAGCGGGGAGGAGGGATGGATGGATGGAGGAGGGAGGGGAGCACCCGATCCCCCCTCGCCTTCAACTGCGGAGAGCGCGTGCCAGCGTGGAGGGGGGCAGGGGAGGGGCGGGCTCATCTGAAGAGTATGTCTTATCTCTATAGATAGGGGCGATTATGTGTCTATTTATAATTGGCCCCAGAGTAAATGGCTTAAAAGGGGCCAACGCCCACCACAGGTGAGAATCGCAGCTCACTGCTGTGCTTGGAGACTGTGGGGTAAAGGCAAGTGTGACCGTTCATAGAGCACCTACTGTGTGCTGGGGATTTGCACCCAGCACCTTAGGTGGTCGTCACGAGGACCAGAGAGGGCTGCATTTTACCTGGCAAGGCTCAGAAAGGGAAGGGCATCTCTGAGGCTGCAGAGCAGGAAGGTGAGCTGGGATGTGAGGCCAGCAAAGTGGCCCAGAGCCTGAAGGGCTAGCTGGGCAGCTCCAGGGCTAAAGCCTTCATGGGCCACTGGAGTGAGCCCTGGCTGCCCCCTACAAAGGTGGGCTTGGAAAGGGCAGGGCATGGCAGTCCCGACCACCTTTTGTCCCAAGTCCCATCTCAGGGAGGCCACAGCAAGAGGAGGCCTGGCCTGGGGTCCTGGCTCTGTTTCTCTGTGTACAACAGCAGCGTCCGTTCCGAGGGGCTGAGCACCTACTACCTGCAAGCCCAGCACAGGCGCTTCACACCCCCTTCCTACCCCATGGCAATGCCTGAGAGGTAAGCACCAACGCCCCGTGTCAAGATGGGGAAACCAAGGCCCAGGAAGCATTGGGACACAACAGAGACCCAAGTGTCCAGTGCCTGGACTCTGGGCCGTGGCCAGATCCTTGACCTGAGCCGCCTACTCCGTAGCTGTTCAAGCCATCCTTGGCCTGGTGGGGACTTCCCTGTCCAGTGTTCCAGCCTCTGCCCTCCAGTGAGAGGCCATGCACTTCACTCGGCCATGCTCGCTTCAGCCTGAGGCCCCTGGCCCAGGGCCCCTCCAGGCCCTGCTCTGCCTACTCCACGGCAGGGCCCTTCCCCTCTTCCCTGGTGCCACGGGGCAGCTGGGCTGCTGACCACTGGCTGCCCCAAACTTGGCACACGCCTGCCACTGAGCTTCTGTGCCTGGCACCTGGTGAGGGCCTACTAAGCGCCAGGTCCTGGTTATCTCATTTCATCCTTCCCATATCTAGGATGTCAGGGTTACAGGCAAGGACACAAGGCAGCTCCCACCGACTATAAAGTACTTCCATTCCTCCTGGCCCTTCCCTAATCCTGGAGCTAGTATTCCCGCCTCGGTCCTTGGGACCCCCTCCGAGCAGCGCACCAGTCCCTGCCCCTACCAAGGGCTGCGTCTGCATTTAGGACCTAACATGGTACAGAATCCACAGGAGGCATTCCGCAGCCCTTCTAGATAAACTACTACTCAAAGACTGCAACTGGAAATGCCAGTGAAGAAACCTAGAACAAACGCCTTCATTCTGTGCTCTTTGGTTTTTATTTTTATTTTATTTTATTATTATTTTATTTTTTTTGTAGGGATAGGGTCTCACTATGTTGCCTAAGCTGGTCTCGAACTCATGGGCTCAAGTGATCCTCCCACCTCAGCCATCCAAAGTGCTAGGATTAAAGGTGTGAGCCACCGCACCCAGTTCTTTAAACAAACCATGCTCTCTCTTGCCTCTGGGCCTTTGCACATGCTGTTCTCTCTCCTCCCCCTACTCCCACCACTTCCTGCGTTACATGAGGGTCTCGACTTAGACCTCACTTCCTCTGAGAAGCCTGACCCCCAAGTCCAAGTCAAATGCCACTTTCTATGCTTTTCCCCCATAGCAGCTCATATGCCGTGTCCTGTAAGGCAGGAAGAAATGGTGGAAAGGGGTAGGGACTCTGAGGCTGACTGCTCAAGTTCAAATCCTGGCTCCCCAACTCACTCACTGGGTGACCTTAGACAAGCCACTGACCCCTCTGAGCCTGCCTCACCCTATGTGAAGCTGACAGCGTAACAGCAGTGTCCCTTCAGAGGGTCTCAGCACAGTGCAGACCCTCGAAAGACCTCAGAGAACTGTACCTGTCCCCTCCCAGTGGGGCTTTGAGATTGGCCAAGGACATGGGTCTGTCATCCTCTGCCCCTTGTCCTCTGATCCACACAGTGCATACTCAAGAAATACGCCCTGAGGAACCTAGGCAGGGTTGACTGGAACAGTGAATTGAAGAACTGCAATTCAGTTTGGCAGGCACCTACATCAGGCTGTCTGGTTTTAAATCCTGGCTCCACCACTTCCTTCCTGTGTGACTGTGTGACCTTGAGTAAGTTCCTTCTTAGAGCCACACATGCTCCACCTGTAAAATGGGGATAAGAATAGGACCTACCTTATAAGGTTGCTATAAGATTACATGAGATAAGAGATACAAAATGCTTACAATGGCCTTTCTAAGCAAGAGCCGATCCCAGTTAGCGGCCAGCAAGATTACTTTATCTGATCAGGGTAATCAGAGCAAGGTGTCCAGAGGACAGAACACAGTCTGAGAGAGATGTGCTGTGGCAGTGGGAAGAAAGTGCGCTTCAGGGGATCAGAGACTAGGCTCCAAATAAGCTTGCCAAGCCTCAGTTTCCTCCTTTGAAGCAGGGTAACACTCTTTATGTCACTGAGATTTTGCGTGGGTAATTTCAGACAAGGAGTACAAATGTGCCTCCTCGTACCAGGCCAGGCACTTCGTAGATAAGGAATAGATGTGGGTTCCCATCAGTCCCTTGAACCGTGGAGGACGTGTGCACAATTATTCAATAACTTCTCACAAACACCCTAACATGAGTGAGGTGGGATCCCAGGCCAGGAGCAAAAGATGCAGAGAAGGGCCTTGAAAGGAGTACAGCTGGGAGTCGGCATCAGGAAAGGCTTCCTGGAGGAGGAGGTATGTAAGCTGGATCAGGATGGCTGGGGGGAAGGGAGGAGGGGGCAAATGCATGGATAGGAGGGTATGGGCACCCAACCCCAGAAGCAAAAAAGCACATTTCCAAGGCGACAACTCCCAGGCACATTTGGGTAGAGAGGACATGTTGCCTCTATTTGGGAGCACAGGTTTTTGGGAGCATGGTGGCTGAGCTAGAGGGCTCAGGGAGCACCACGCCTTTGTTCTGGACACATTATTGTTGGGGATGAAGGCCAACAAAGAAACCAGAACGTCTGAGCTGGGAGGAATGCTGGAATCATCTAGTTCAACCATTTCACAGATGAGCAAACTGAGGCCCAGAGAACGGAACTGAGTTACCCAGTCACACCACTAACAAAGAGCAGAGCTAGAGTTCCACTCCAGGCTGTCCAGTTCTAGAGCCTAGGCTTTTAACCAACATACTCTACTGCATCTCATCATAGCACAGATCCATCCCATCACGTATGCATGCATTCATTCAAGCAGGGCTGTGTGAGCTCTTACTGTTCCCGGCACTGAGGAGTCAGCAGTGAAAGCACAGCCAAGCCCAAGGAGCCCCACCTGCCTGTCCCTGACCCCTGCCACCTTGCACTGTGCCCAGCTGTTTCAGAGCTCAGTTGATCCTCCTGAAAAGCCCGGTTTCAAATTTAGCTGCTCAAGACCACAGACCATTCTACTGCTGGAAAACCACAAACCAGCCCCCTTTCAAAGGCCGTTACATTGCTTGCATGGGAAAGGGGGAGTAAAGACAATTGGTCCAGCATCCATTTCTGGGCGTGGTGAGTTGCATGGAAGTCTAAAGCCTCACTAGCCAAAAAAAAAGAAAAGAAAAGAAAAAAAAGTCCTGCAAATCAGATTTGGAAATGTTCAACAGACAGGGAGTGAAGCAATTGAGCGAAAAAGTGCAATGGTTGAATTCCTTCACCAGAAGAGCTTTCGGCAAGTCCAGCACCCTGGGCAAAGAGGAGGCAGGCCAGTTGTATGTGCTGGGCACCCTACAGAAAGCCCTCTTGAGCTCCCAGGAGAACAGGACCTTTTCCTATTAAGAGATCAGAGTGCTGGCCTGGCGTGGTGGCTCACTCCTGTAATCCCAGCATTCTGGGAGGCCAACGTGGGTGAATTACTTGAGGCCAGGAGTTCAAGACCAGCCTGGCCAACACGGTAAAACCCCGTCTACTAAAAATACAAAAATTAGCCAGGCATGGCCAGGCGCGGTGGCTCACGCCTGTAATCCCAGAACGTTGGGAGGCCGAGGCAGGCAGATCACGAGGTCAGGAAATCGAGACCATCCTGGCCAACATAGTGAAACCCTGTCTCAACTAAAATACAAAAAATTAGCCAGGCATGGTGGCACATGCCTGTAGTCCCAGCTACTCGGGAGGCTGAAGCAGAAGAATCGCTTAAACCCAGGAGGTGGAGGCTGCAGTGAGCTGAGATCATGCTACTGTACTCTAACCTGGCAATAGAGCAAGACTCCATCTCAGGAAAAAAAAAAAAAAAAAAAAGCCGGGCATGGTGGCGTGCCCCTGTAGTCCCAGCTACTCGTGAGATTGAGATGGGAGAATCACTTGAACCTGGGAGGGAGGCAGAGGTTGCAGTGAGCCGAGATCATGCCACTGTACTCCAGTCTGGGCAACAGGCTGTATTTTTGAGACCCTGTATCAAAAAAAAAAAAAAAAAAAAAAAAAAAAAAAGACAGAGAGCAGAGTGTCTGCTCTGTTCCTTGCCCATTACACTGTTCCACCCCAAAAGGCTGGCACAACGTTGCCATTCTACAGATAAGGAAACTGAGGCCCAGAGAAAGAAAGACTTGCCCAAGGGCAGTGCAGGCCTGGGCTGGCTCCAAAGACCACACTCCTCCCTCCACACTGCCACTTTGGTGCAAGCCTGGGCAGGCCTCATTCCTTCTCTGCACCTCGGTTTCCTTGCCCTTAAGTGAAGACACTGGGGAAGATCAGGAGGCTCCTTTCCAGCCCTGGCATTCAGTGCTTCCATCCAGTGAAGCAGTCAGGCGGGGGCCGATGACTGGGAGGAAGGCCAGACCAACAGATATTCCCCGACCCACATCACCACCAGTTTCACCTGGTCTCCACTGCTGCCCTAAGTTAGACTACAAAACAGCCCCAGAACAGCAGATCTTAAAACAGGCACCCGCTTTTCTCACTTGGACCTCCACTTCAGGGAAGTGAGGTATTTTTATACCCATTTTACAGATGGGGCCACCAGTGCTCTCTCCCTGCCACCACATCCCACCGACACACTCTGGGAGGTTCCGAACACCAGATCTGCCATTGCCCAAAGAGCAGAGACAAAGCAAGAGGAACTGGTGGCTGCTGAACTCAGGTTCTTAGTAGAATTATTAACAATAATCTTTAACATCTGCATAGCACAGAGCCACTCCTGGCTGTGCAAAATGCTCACAGCCTGTTTTCTCCTCCATGAAGTGGGAAAAATAATAGACTTTCCCCTGAGATGGCAAGGTAGGAATGATGCATCCTGTTCTACAGATGAAGAAACTGAGGCCCTGAAAGGTGGTGTAAAGTGTGCGGTGAAGCTGCAACTCCAATGTGGGTCTGTGACCCTGAACTTAGGCGGCTAAAGGGAGAGAAAGGCCTGAGAGAGGCGTCAGATGGGCTGAGATTCTGAACCACACACACTTTTATCTGCTGGCAGTCCGCCAATGGCTGCAAATAAGGGATGATCTGCCCACCTGAGGCCACCAGGAGCCTGCAGCCTGCCCCGGGCACAGCTGCCACCCTGGCAGACCCCCAAAGAGCGCCCCAAAGGATTGCCCCGCCCCCGAGCTTTTTCCCATTCCAAACATGCCAGAGCCCTGCGGACCCCGGAGGCTGCTACTTAGCGCCAGATTAATCACACCGAATTCTCCATCCAGATATTGCGTGCAGGCCGAACTCCCACCGCTAATCGCCGTAATATTCTCCTCGGCGTGTGCAGGCGGCCGGGGCGATGTTCCAGGAATATTAATTCTCCACAGCCGGCTCACTCCCGCCGCACGCATGCGCCCCCTGCACCGCCGGCTGCTGCTTGGGGAGCGGGGGTCAGCCAGGGGGACAAGGGCCAGCAGGAGGCAGGGCTGGGCCCCAATCCTTGCTGGGGGCCAGGGCCAGAGGTGGGCCAGAGCCTGCAGCAGGGCCTGCCCCCTTCATCCTGTCTCTTCTCCCAGTCCTGACCCCCAGTACCCTGCCCTAGGATGTGCAGGAGGCTCGGGGCCCCTGAGAAGCGGCCCAGCACAGGCCGTCTGATGTCCTCTCAACACAGCAGAGCTCCGAGGAACTGGCAGCCAGGGGCTAGCTAATCCCAGCCAAAACACACGGAATGAGAATCGTTCAGAATCTTTCATCTGCTCAAAATATAAAAACCCCAGTGAAGGGAGGCTGGGTCAGCTGTGGGTGTGACCAGGCCATGGAGCGGGCAGGCTGGGGGCACGTGGGAGGCCTCTGCTCCTGACCTTTGCTTAGCACAGGCAGGGGACCCTCTCCCCACAGTGTGGCCTGTGATATTAGAGCCAAGGGCAGGCTGGGAGGGAAAGGCTTCTGGTTTCTGGAGGGTACCAGAGGAGAAGGAGCGCGTGCCCCTGAGCCCACTCGCTGTGGCTGCAGCATACACCGCTGGGCCTGCCCCTTCAGCGTTGGTCGCTGGGCTAACACTAGGCCTGGGGATGAGGCTGGGATGAGATGCTGGCCTCAAGGACAATTCAAGGCAATTCAAGGACGAGGTCAGCCTCCCAGAGCACACAGGGGCCTTGGGGCAGGCCTGCTGCCCATCCTGGTCCACTGAAGACCCTAGAACAGTGCTGGGAGGACTCACATCTTCAGGGGCTTTGCAAAGCACCCCCTCTTACCTTACCTCGGTACAACCTCAGTACAACCATGAGAGGCAGCTTGAAAATGCCCATTTACAAATAAGGAAACTGAGGCATGGAGAGGTGAAGTAAGGGGTCCAGCCAGATCCGTCCCCAGGCTGCCAGGATCGGAACCTAGGGTCCTCTCCTCTGGACAGTGGAGCCTCACTCCATGCCCCATCCTTCCCGTCTCTGGGACTCCATCTCCTCTTCTCTGAACATTTTAAGGTCCTCCCAGTCCCCACAAACTGTCCAACAAACACAAGCATTTATTGAGTGCCTCCTGTGTGCCAGGGATCCAGAAATGCATGATGTTACTTAAGAAGCTCACAGTCTGGTGGAAAGGAAAGTAAGTAAACCAATGACCGCGGTCCAGCCTGAGCCCCAGGGGAGGGGCCCTCCCCACAGCCTTGGGGTTAGACAGGGCTTCCAGGAGGAAGCATTCCCTGAGGAGAGGGCAGTGTGTGGAGCGGCAAAGGAAGGGGATCTCCATACTAGAGTCTCGACCAGGGTAGACAGATGTGTGTCCTGAGCCCGCTGGAGGTCATAGGCCTCAGGGCTGCCCCTCGGCAAAGCAGCTGGACCGTCTGGACTATGAGCCCTGGGGCAGCAGCAGCAGTGCCTGTGCTGGGACCGCCTCTGGGAGATGTCATCTGCCAAGAGAGCAGTTTTCCTGATGGTGCATGCAGCAAAGGCAGCCCCTGCATGGGGAATCAGAGGAGAGCAAGAAGGGTGTGGCTGAGAGGGGAACAGATGGGGTGCTGGGCAGGACTGCTGTGGATCCAGGTGGATCCTGACCCGGCTGCCTGGCCTAGCCCAGGCTGGGCAAAGGTGGAGTCCTGGGGCCACAAGATGCCTAGGAGGGGCCTCTTGAGCCAGGGTCTCCTGATTCTGGTCCAGAGCACAGATACACACAAAGGCAGCCCAGCCTAAAGAAGCAAGCAGAAGGGCTAGCGTGAGGGGGTGGGGCCCTACCCAATTCCTTTCCAGCACAGATTAAGAGCATCCAAGTTGAAACCACAGATGTGAGGGAGGAAGGTCAGGCCCCTGGCTCCATGATCCTCCCTGACAACAGCCAGCACCTATTGTCTCCTGCCCCTGTGGACCTGAGGTCTCTGACCTGGGTAAAAGCAGGCACCTCTCACACACCACCCCTCGTATGAGACCCGTGAGCACTAATGGGGCCTCACTCCCATTTCTTAGATAAAGAAACTTAGCACAGCACCCATAGGCCCTC
The DNA here is from genome assembly GCF_000001405.40 of Homo sapiens. Classification (NCBI taxonomy): domain Eukaryota; kingdom Metazoa; phylum Chordata; class Mammalia; order Primates; family Hominidae; genus Homo; species Homo sapiens. Next base: position 42,292,152 of record NC_000022.11, read on the forward strand.
CTGTCATGCTGGGCTCTCTGCCCATAGTCTCACAGGGTATGGACGAGGGTCAGCACCCCCATTTTGCAAGAAGAAAGCTCACCCAGGTCCCACGGCGGTAGTAGGCAATACCTTACAGTTCCCAGGGTTGGGCCTGCGTGTTCCGTGTCCTGATCCGCTGAGGCCCCAGTGCTAAAATCAGGCCACGTGCACTAGGTCAAGGATGCCACAGAAGGAGCCCTTTCTGGCCTCATCCTGCCCTGCAGTCCCCAAACATGGTTCTGTGCCCTGGACTCACTTGACAGATGAGGAATCCGAGGCAGAGCTGGGACTCAGCTAGGACCCAGCACATACGCTGAGGATAGGGACATAACAAGGGCTCAGCCTGGCCCTCAATGAGGTAACATCCTGCGTGTCAACTGTAACCAAGGTAGGTTGTGAGATGCCAGAAGAGTGGGCAGCACGGTGGCCTGGATAAATCCCAGAAGGCATCCCAGAAGAGGGGGTGTTTAAGCAGGAACTTGGAGGACAAGGAGGCCTGTTTGAGCTGCAAAGCAGCACACACCTGGGACACAGGACCCCACGGCTAGGAAGACAAGGCTCGGATTGGATTCTCAGGCCTCTCTGCTCCCAGCCAGCCCCTCTGCGCCTCCAGGGCCGGCCGAGCACTAGCCCAGGCCCAGGAGAATCTACTGAATGACCGGGTCTCAGCTTGAGCGGCACAGACACATGGCTGGTGTGACCCTTCCACTGTCCCCAGCGCTGGATACTAGATCCCACATCCCCCTCCCACTCTGTCCTGCCCACCAGGAGTGGCGGGGTTTGAATTTCAGGAGCTGGGCCTCATAGGCAGGGCAGAAAGGCCAGGGAGTGGGGCCCAGCTCTGGGGCAAGGCAGGGCAGGATACAAAGCCCCGGGGCCAGCTCCCAGCAGGAGGCCTCCTGGCCAGGCCCAAGCCCAGGAGGAGGCCAAGTGTCCTTCCTTGGCACCTTCCCTAAAAGATTCAATAGTGTAGTGTTGGCCCCCCAGCCCCTCGAATAGGGGGAAGATCCAAGGTCAGACCCAGCTTCTCCACTCCTGGCTGACTCTGAGCAAACTGCCACCCTGCTCCAGCCCCAGTGTGCTCAACTGAAACAGGAGCTGGATACACCTGTCTTGCAAGGTTATTGCCAGGATTCAGAGTATTGTCCCTAGGTGGGTGCCAAACAAAAAGGGCAAAGGTCAGCTCATTCCCTAGGGCTCGGCATTCAGACAGACCCAGGGGAATAAAACCAGGTGGTTTCCTGGAGGTGGGAATTCCCATTTGACCTCCTTTATCCTGCATGACTACCTGGGGAGGGTGGTTCTCATTCCACAAATGAGAGTCTGAGGACAGCGGGGTGAGGGGGCTCAGCCAAGGTCACAGAGCTCCCAATCTCAGGTGTCCCTGCCTGACTCTGTAAGGGGGTATCTTCAGGCTATGGGAAGGGGAGGGTAGGGAGGAGGCCTGGGGCACCTTAACCAGCCCACTGGCCAACCCTAGCCTAAGGGCAGGCCTGGGGAGGCAAGAGGCTTAGCCCCCAGCTTGGAGTAAGAAAAGAATGCCCTCAGGCTGGGCGCGGTGGCTCAGGCCTGTAATCCCAGCACTTTGGGAGGCCAAGGCGGGCAGATCACGAGGTCAGGAGTTTGAGACCAGCCCGACCAACATGGTGAAACACCGTCTCTACTAACATTACAAAAATTAGCCGGGTGTGGTGGCATGAGCCTGTAATCCCAGCTACTCAGGAGGCTGAGGCAGGAGAATCGCTTGAACCCTGGAGCCGGAGGTTGCAGTGAGGCAAAACTGCACCACAGCACTCCACCCTGGGCCACAAAGGGAGACTCCGTCTCAAAGAACGCCCTCAGCTGCCCATGTCTCCATTTGGGCTCTCACAGGGGCTTGTTTTGAAAGCCAGGAAGTGATAGAGCCCTAGGACAGGAGCCAGGAAGAGCCTGGGAAGTGGGAACATCCCCGCAGGGCCAGCCTCACAGTGGGGAATCCTCCCTCCCCACACACACACCCGCCAGCCCGCTCCACCCCGGTCACATCCTGCCACTGCACCTGCAGTGCGGTGCATTAATAGAGCACAAACCCTGCGTGCACTACACTGGCAGGCACCTGCCAATCTCAGCCCGCGACCCCGCCCTAGCCCCCTCTCCCGGAGGACAGATAATTCTCTTGCTCTCCCAGCCTGACAAAATAACTAATGCTAACTCAATAAAGTTCCCCTTGAAGGTTTTTAATTACCAGACTGTGCTGAAGACTAAAGACTCCAGGAGCGGGAGGGAGGCCAGGGAAGGCTGCTGGGGGTCGGCGTGGCAGAGGCAGGGAAGTCACTGGCAGGCAGTGCTCCCAGGCGAGCAGGTTGGGAAAGGGCCCTCCCTCCCAGCTCCGGGAGAGGGCAGGGCCAGGCTGTTGCTGTCCAGGGTGCTGGGCCCAGCGGTCACAAGGATTTAGGACTCACATTTTCAACAGCGGCCACTGATGGAGGCCAGGCTAGGCTCCTGGCAGGGACTTGATGGAGATTATCTCATTTAGGCCTCACAGCCAACCACAAAGTAGACGCTGATGTCCCAACTCTGTAGATGAGGACAATGAGGCTCAGAGGTGGGCAGTGGCTTGCTGTGGTCACACACCACGCCTGGACTGTCCAACTGCAGCAGGTGCAGGCGGAGTGCCTGGCAGCCTGCAGAGGGGAATACACACCGGTGCTGTGGTTGGGTGGAGGGCCCTGGGGGACAGGGATGACCCTCAGATAGGATCCAAAGGTGCTTGATGGCTTCTGTGCAGGGAGACATGCTGGCGCTGGCAGGATTGAGGCTGCCCAAGGAAACCTACGCGCTGCCTAGAGGCAGGGGCCGCCTGGTTGGGCCCACCTGGAACACCACCAGCCATGGGCAAGGGACCTGAAGACCCAGTGATGAACCCCCACTGCCACTGAGGGAGATGACAGCGTGGGGGGCAGGGCACAGGAGGAGAGAGGGTGACACAGTCTGGTCCCTAAGCCTCCTAACCCCAGCCTGGGCCCTTCCTCCTTGATGGAGAGAGAAGACAGTAACATTTGAGGTGAAGCATACAGCTGCCCCTGCACCATAGCCACCCTAAACTCCTCTTTTGCTGCAGCCTCCCCACCCTCTGTGAGCCAGCCCTACCCTTTCAGCCCCATTCACTCCACACTCCCCACCGCTGGGCTGCCTTCTGGTCCTTCCCACCTGGCAAGCCTGCTGCTGCCTTGGGGCCTCTGCCCTGGCTGTCCCCCTCCCTGAGATGCTCCTCCCTTATGTTTTCTTTTCTTTTTTTTTTTTTTTTTTGAGACAGAGTTTTGCTCTTGTTGCCCGGGCTGGAGTGCAATGGCACAATCTCGGCTCACTGCAACCTCCGCCTCCCAGGTTCAAGCAATTCTCCTGCCTCAGCCTCCTGAGGAGCTGGGATTACAGGCAGGCACCACCACGCCCGGCTAATTTTGTATTTTTAGTAGAGACAGGGTTTCTCCATGTTGAGGCTAGTCTCGAACTCCTAACCTCAAGTGATCCACCCACCTCAGCCTCCCAAAGTGTTGGGATTACAGGCGTGAGCCACCGCGCCCGGCCTACTCCCTTATGTTTTCATACAACCAGCTCATGTCCTTCAGGCCAAAGCCTAAATGACACCTCCTCAGAGAAGCCTTCCTTGAACTCCCCACCTCAGCAGCAGAAATCCTGTGCAGCCTTCAGCCCCAACCCATATACCCATCCCCTCCTCCTCCAGGCAGGCTTTCCACACAGCGTGACCAGTTCCCACATGGTACAGGCTGCCCTCCACAAGACCCTGGGCATCACTGAGGGCATGGACTTTGAAGCCAGCAAGCTGGGGTTCCAATCTTGCCTTCCCCGTTTTCTAGCTATAGATGGATCTGTTTCCTCATCCGTAAAATGGGGGTAAGAACAGTCCTTAGCCCATCTGAGTTTTGTGAGGACTACCGAGTGAAGATGTGTCAGGACTTAGACCCCTGCCTGGCAGGTGAGTGCTTGGCAGTGCAGGATCACCATCATGACCACCATCATCATCTTCAGCAGCAGCCTGGCCTCCCCGAGCCAGGCCTCAGCGAACGGGATGCTGTGTCCTTGACCCCCAGCACAGGCCCTGGACACATGGACACTCAGCAAGTACTGGCTCAGTGTCTGACCCTGTGAGACAGGCCTGAGGATGTGAACAGCTCCCACTGCCCTGGCTGCACTCTTTGCTGCTGCTTTGCAAACCTGCAACGGCGCCAACTTGGGGGTGGTGCCGAGAGCCAGTGCAGCTGTGCCCGGCTCCCCAAGGGCCATGAGGGGCAGTTGGAGGCCCCAACACCCAGCCCTGCCTGGAGTCTCCTGGCCGGGATCACAGCCCTGCGGCGTTCGAGCTGCTGCCCACCAGCCGGCCCCCTGGCATTGGGCCCGGGATGCCAGCCAGCCAGAGAGGAAGCAGCTTGGCTGGCAGCCAGCTCACAGTGCCCGAGCTGTCAGCCGGGAGGCAGGCCAGGCAGGGCTGAGACCCCCACCCCCAAACAGGGCTCCAGCCAGGCAGTGCGACAGGGCCAAGTTTCTCCTCACCACCCGAGCCACAAGGGGGCCCTGCTGATGCCAGCCCCAAGCAGGGCTCAGGGATGTAATCACGCTGCAGGGGGACCCAGGAGGCCCCGTCGCCATTTATTCAGCTCAGCTTTTCGCGAATGAGAAAGCAGCACGAGGAGCAGGGGGAGATTTTCAAGTCAAATAACAGTAAAAACAGCAGCAACTACAGCTGACACTCAGCAAGCACTCACTCCATGCCAGGTGCTCCATGCACTCCGGCACTGACATCTCTCCAAAGGAAGGTGCTATAGTTAAACCCACTCTACAGATGTGGCAACTGAGTTCAGAGAGGTGCAGTAACCCACCCAGAACCACACAGCAAACTGGAGAAGTCAGTTTAAACTTGGGCCCCAGAACCTGTGTCCCAACCCCTATGCACTACTGGTTCAGGCAGGCCTCAGTGCCCATACCCACAATGGATGGCCCAGCTGGGCGACCTTGGGCAAGGAGGCTGCCCATCTGGAAAATGGGCATGATCAGAGAGGGCTACGCTGTAGAACTGACCAGGGGGCTGAAAAAAGAAAAACAGGTGAGGAGCTACTTCCTGTCCCCTGCCAGGCCTGAGCAGAGGTCAGACTCCCTAGCTGGCTTAAGGGTTGGTCATATTCATGGAGCGGCAAGAATGAGGAGTGGGTCCTCATTTGCATTAGACGGTAAATCTAAGGACACTGGTTGTGCCTTCTTTTTACCAGCAACAAGAACTCATCAGAGCCCCTCCCAACCTTCTCCCATCCCCCACTGCCTCCTGAGCACCCTCCAAGGGCACAGCTGGGTGAGCCCCATGGCTGGGCTGGAGGGGCCAGACACTGGGGAGGGGCAGTTCACAGGGTCAGCCATGAAAGCCCATGATCCCTGAGCCTCGAGCTCAGCCCCCAGGAGCTTCCCCTTCATAACCTCTTCTCCCAACCCAGACCAGGCAGACTTAGGAAATACTGGCCAGAGAGAATCTTGAGCCACACAATTCAGACAAATGTGTGTGGACTCCCCTCTTGCCCCACAAACCACAACAGAAGGCCTCGGGTCGCATCCCCCCACCAGCTGGGGCCCCTGTCAGGCAGGGCCCAGCATTCCTGGCTGATGGTGAGGAGATGAGACCCAGGGTGGAAGGAACACATGGAGGGTTCACAGCAGGGCTCCTCTCTGGCACCCATGCAGAGCAGGCAAGGATGAACATGTGCTGGTTTCAGGGCTGGGCCTGGGGGTGCAAAGGTGACCGCTCAGCCCAGCTGCTCACATCTGTACAAAGTGGTGGGGCTTTTCAGCATCTGTCTTCTCAATAGACTCAAAGCAAACCCATGGGAGAGAAGGCATCACCACTGTCTCCATTTCTCACATGTCCTGAGAGGGCCAGTGACTTGCCCAAAGTCACACAGCTGATCAGGGCACAAATCCCAGGGCCCTGGTGCTCCTATCACCAGATTCCCTAGCCCGGAGGAGGGCTGAGCCCTCAGCCAGAGCCAAGGCTCAGCTTCCAGCGACTCATCCAAGAACTGAGATGGAGCAGGGGATGAGTGAGGACAGGCAGGGTTTGACATCAGCGGAGGTGCTCCTGGAGAGAGGGTAGGTGAAGGTGGGCACATGGGCGATTGACCCAAAGGGCCGACTGTTGTTGGGGCACCCATTGGGTGTGGAAGGCGACAGCAGCTGCTGCTGAGAAGTTATTCTAGGGAGACAGGAGTAGTGTCACTATGGTTTCAAGGAGGAAAACAAGGCACATGCCGGGGTGGTGACTCCAGGGCCGAAGCCTCCTTGGCTATCACTGAAGACCATCCTGCCCAGAACCCCGAAGCAGAAGGCCTGGGTCCCAGCCCTGCTGTCAAGTCTCGGCACTTCCCTGAGCCTGGGCTCTTCATCTTTGCACGGATGGTGCTGGGGGAGGGGGCAGTGGGACAGGCAACACTCTCACATCCCCTGTGGATAGCTGGGCACATAGTAGGCCTACCAGCTGGCATGGTCGCAAGTTTGCCCTAATTTCATCTATCTCTGCACTTGCCTTTTGTGGGGACACCCACCTAGATGACAAATTTGACCAAAGAAACCACAGCAGGGATGGGCCAGAGCCTGGAGGCCAGAGCAGCAGGCAGTCCCCTCCCCACCAGGCCTTCCCCAGGACAGTCCAGAACCAGCGTGCCCAATGCCCCGGCCTCCAGGAGCCATCCCTGCCTCAAGTCGGGGGAGGACGAGAGGGCCCAGGGCAGGGAGGGGCCGGGCACCACGGCCAGCACAGAGGAGGCACCCACTGGTGTGTCCTCAGCCTTAGAAGCTGTGGACCAACTGAAACAGAGAATAACCATGGCAGTGATGGGTGGGCTCCAAGGGTTCCCACACCCACCGCCTGCCCAGACCCCTGCTGTGGAGGGGAACGGAGACCTGGAGGGGTACCCCCAAAAATCTGGACTTGGCCCTGCAGGCTTCTCTGGCCTTTAGAAGGCACGGGAGGATGGGGGCAAGGGGGCGGTAGGCAGACAGCAAGAGCAACCAGTGAGCCCAGAGGACAATCACAGGGAGGACGGCGGCAAGGAGGTGAGGCCATGTCTGGCTGGGGGTGCAGGAACTGAGGGTCCTTCCCAGCCCCTCTCCCCACATCCAGCCCCCTGCTCTGGCACTCTCTCCATCTGCCTCTCACACAGTCCTTACCTTGCTCTCCCTCCCCATGGACTCTCTCTCCCATCTCCCCTCCCCACTCCTAGCCAACCTCCAATGCCCTGGGGCCTCAATTTCCCCCAGGACAAAGGGGCCTCAAGGCCTCATGAACAGAACATGCTGGCAGTGGTGGGTCACCCAGGAACCCCGAGGAACTGGAATGGGGGTGGAGGGGAATCACATGTCCCACTGGTCACCAGTCCCTCTTGCCTTTCTGTCCCAGCTAGCAGCTCTCCAACCTCTGTACCTCTCCCCGAACGCAGGCCCCCCTGCCCGCACCCCAACACTTCAAGACCTCCTAGGAGTGACCTGGCTGGGGTCTCTCTAGGTCAGGTAATTAATAGCAGGAGGGAAGTGCAATTAGCAGGTACCTGGAGTGGGGTCGGTAAGAGAGAATAGCAGAGGAGGAGGAAGTGGTGGGGATGGGGGAGGGGAAGAGAGAAGGGGGAGAAGGAAGCGGAGGGGAGGAGGGAGGAGGGAAAAGACAGAAAGGGGTAGAAGGGAAGCTTGGAGCGGGTGGAGGAGGAGGGGGAAAGGGAGCAGAGGAAGAAAGGAGAGGAGGGGAAGGAAGGGCGGGGAGGGGGAGGGGGAGGGGCGCGCTGAAATCACCCGCAACATCAAAGCCTTCCCCAGCCGCAAAGCAGTCACGTGCAGCCTGGTTCCTTTCGTTCCTTCGTTCCTTCGCTGGTAGAAGCCGCTGGGCCTGGGGCTGCTGAAGGAATTTTAAAACGAGGCAGATTGTCTGGAATATCAGGGGGTTAGGGGAATGCGGTTTTATCTCAAGGCAGGGTAAGGGGAGGCAGGTTTTGAAACCTGTTCCCCCAAGGAGAGCGGCAGGGCTTTGGGGCCTCTGCTAGGAGGCTGGGCAGGTGGCCAAGAGTGAAGACCACCCAGCTACTCCTGCCGGTGAGAGCTCGTGGCTGGGCCAGCCCAGATATCAACAGAAGCCAGAAATCTAGATTTGTATGTGAAAACTTCCCTGTTTTAATTTTGGCTCAAACTAAAAAAAAAAAGAAAAAAAGCGCCACATGGGCCAAATAGAGCATGTCCTGACTGGGGCCCAGAACCTCGGTCACCTCCCACTTCTGATGGTGGGCAGCAACGCTTTTGTTTCCCAGGGGGCACTGAGGCCCAGGAAGGGAAAGGCACTTGTTCAGGGACACACACAGTGAGTGCTCAAGGGGTGCGGGCTAAGACTTGGGGTCTCAGGACTCCCATGCCTGAAGCCTCCTGCGGTCAGCAGCCCAAGGGGCAGGGCTGTGGCTGCTGGGAAAGGGAAGTATAGGGAGGTTAGTGGCAGGGGAGGGTCTCAGAAAACCCCTCGTCCAGCCCAGGGCCAACACACTCAGCCCCACTCATCACCCTGATGACTAACCCAGGCCTGCCTCTCTGCCTTTGCCTCTGCTCAGCCCATCCTCCCTATCCACTCCTGACATTCCCTCCTCCCCCTGCCAAGACCTGGGCAGCTTCCCCTCCCCCGAGCCCCACCTGCAGAATGCACCATGCATTCAACCATTCATTCTTCTGTTGCTCCCCAAGGCCCTGAGTCAGCCTTAACCCCACCTTCAGAGGCCAGGACAGGGGAGGGTGTTTAGGATAGAGAGGTGTGGCCTCCAAGGAGGAAGCAGCTACCTCTGTAGGGTGGCGGTAGGGGAGTCTCCCCAAAGGAAGGTCCTAGGGCAGAGCATGGCATCTGCACTTACCAGGGTGGAGGTGTAAATGGCTGCTGGAAGCCAGAGGCAAGGCTGGGAGGAGGTGGATGTGGGGGTTCAGAAATGCGGAAGTTTATCTTGCGGGCACTAGGGAGCCGTTGGAGGTGTGTAAGCAGGAGAGAGGTCGGCTCAGATCTTCACTATGGGGCTGTCAGGACAAGGCGAGGATGGAGTCATTCATAGGTTCAACAAGTGTTTGCTGAGCACTTACTCTGTGCCACGCCCCAGGGAGACAGAGGAGAGCCAGACAGACAAGGCGTGCACCTTGGGGAGACAGACGTGACCACACAACCACCACCACAGGGTGAGGGGGCTATGGTGGGGGCTGGACTGGGTAAGGCACGTGGCCTGGTCCCTCCAAAGAGGAATCCACCTGCAAGGTGAGGACAGGAGGGGACACTGTTCCCAGCCAAGGAGGTGGCATGCACACAGGCCCAGAGGTGGAGAAAGCAGGGCTTCCTAAGTCAAAGTGATTCGACAGGCGGAGGTGTCTGCAAGAGCCATGCCAAAGGTGACAGAGCTCCCTGGCGTAGCTCCAGGGCAATGGAAACCTTTGGGAGGGGTCTGGGAGCAGCAAGGGAGGGAAGGTGGGAAGCAATGTTTGCAGGCTGGGGAGACCTGGCTGCGTCCCTTGGCTCCCTGAAGTCTGTCGTGGGGAACAGGGGACTCCCTTTCTCACTGCCAGCGGGCAAAACCCGAGCAGATGGGCAGCCATTCCCCTGGTAGATTTCAGTTCTCCGAGGAGGAGCACTCCAGTGCACAGCCGCTTGGCTGGACGGCCACGGGGGCTGGTGTGAGCAAGACTCAGGGCCGGCAGGCCTGGATTCCGGGCCCAGGGCTCGCAAGTACAGCTGGACGACCTCAGGCAGGTCCCTCAACCTAAGCCCCCAGAGGAAAGGCCTCTTGGAGGAGCTGGGAGAGAACCCCCTGATGGGTCTGCATGGCACAGACCCACCTCTTAGCCCAGAGCAAGAGCCGGCAAAGGAGGGACAGCTAATGGGACAGGAGGCAAAGGGGCCAGTCTGGGAGAGCTGAGGGGCCCCTCACTGGGCAGGTGCCTTGATGCTGCCTTAAGGGCACTATCGGGTGTTGAGTCCCCTTCTCCAGATGGGGAAACTGAGACCGGGGCTCCCACAACAGTCAGGACTGACACTAGATGGCACTCAGGCTGGTGGTGGCTGCAGCTGGGGGTCTCTAGGACAAAAGAGACGGTCTCTGTGGGGACCCATAGAGTGGGCAGCCTTCTCTCTCAATTCCAGCCATGGACAGCAAAGGGCGGGGGCTGAGCGTACAGAGGCAGCCTTGGTGGGGGAGGTGAGAGGCACGTTCCTCTACCCTCAAAGAGCTCCCACCCCACCCACTGGCCTCCAAGCCATGCAGGGAGGCCACTAGCCATGCCCCTTTCACAGAGGAAGAAACCAAGGCCAGGAGAGGAGGCTTTGCCAAGGTCACCAGCCAGTGGAAGGCAAAGACAGAGACCGGCCTCTTTCATCCCTGTCCTTGCTTGGTGGGATTCCTGGATGTCTCACATGGTGGGGCCAGGGCAGGGAGAAGGAGGAAAGAAAGAAGGAAGAACAGAAACAGGCACTGGCCATGACCCTGCCCTGCAGGACTTATCCAGAACCCCCCACCCACTACACTCAAATCACAGACCACCCAGCACCTCCCATCCTGTAGTTCCGGAACAATTTCTTTACCCAAATGTGTGCCCCACGCCTGGGTGCAACTTCAGGCTGGGACCCCGTCAGGTTCAACCAGAGCCTCCAGCCCTGGCACACGGCACGGGTTTAATAGATGCTGGGGTGACTATTCATGGAAACCACCACCACAGCCATTTATTGTTTTTTTGAGACAGAGCCTCGCTCTGTTGCCCAGGCTGGAGTGCAGTGGCACAATCTCCGCTCACTGCAACCTCCGCCTCCCGGGTTCAAGCAATCCTCCTGCCTCAGCCTCCCAGGTAGCTGGGATTACGGGTGCCCAACACAACGCTCGGATAATTTTTGTATTTTTAGTAGCGACGGGGTTTCACCATGTTGGCCAGGCTGGTCTCAAACTCCTGACCTCATGTGATCTACCTGCCTTGGCCTTCCAAAGTGCTGGGATTACAGGCGTGAGCCACCATGCCAGGCCAAGCAACCATCTACTGGATGTCCCCTTGTGCCAGGTTCTGCCATGCATCATCTTATTTAGTCTTCACCACGCGTACCGAGGAGCTGAGGGGTATCCACACTATCGTGCAGAGGAGACCGAGGCTCAGAGAGGTCCGGCTCAGGCCCTTGCCCCAGATCAGACAGAAACGGCTCATCCTAGTGGACACTCCGAGCGTTCGCTCGGTGCAGGGCAGGGATCCAGGCACTCTGCAGTCGAGCTCTGTAACCTGCACAACACCCCATGGGCAGCTATTACACCGTTTTCCAGCCGAGGGCATGAGTATGCAGAGAACTGAAGTAACTTGCCTGATAAGCACATGAACTGGGAATGGATTCTGGACTGTCTGGCCTCACCTTTAACTATCTCCTCCCATGATGGCCAGCCAGGTGAAGGAGCCACACTCCCACCCTCAGCTGTGCCCTGCCCACACATTCACCAGGGGACCCTTGCGGATTAGAGGAGATGGGTCTGCGGATGGCAGGGGAGTGCACTGCTTGGAAAACGCTCAGGCCAAAGGGAGGAGGAAGAGGACTGGGGGAGAAGAGGAAGCATAGAGGTGAGAGGAGGAGGGGCAGGGAGCTAGGGACAGGGAGGGAGGGAGAGGGGAATGTGGAGAGGAGGGGAGCGGGGAAAGAAAAGGGGGAGAGGGGAGAGAGAGAAGAGAGAATGGAGAAAGGGGAAGGGGAGGCAGGAGAAAGAGTGAAGAGGGGCCACTCTCTCCCAGGTGCCTGGCAGACCATACTCCAGTCTAGCTGTGCCCGGGAAGGTCTGCCCCACCCCCCTGCCGCAAGAACATCAAAGCTAGGTCCCAGCCAGCCCAAAGGTAGCGTCCTTTGAGGTTTGGCGGTGATGGGGCCATATTTCAGGCTGATATGAAGCAGGCTGTGCCCCACCCCCTCCCACTGGGAGATCCCCATCTGGGCTGTCTACTTAATACCCCATTAAGGGAGAAAATATACAGCCAGAAGCACCCCCGCCCCGCCTTAGCTGCCCGTTCCACGGAAAAGATCAAAGCTGTGCTAGATTCCCGCCTAGAAATTCCATAAATAGAGCACAGATTGGAGGAGAGGCAGGTAGAGCCCAACAGGGTGGTGAGCACAGGGAGGTGGGGAGGCTGGGCTGGATGCAGGAAGGGACTCCTGGACGCATGCTGGGGGTGTTGGGAGACAGCCCTGGGCAGCCAGCCCCACATCCCCCAGCCTTTCCCCGCAGAGCCCTCCCAACTCACTGAGAGGACTCAGCACCTTCCCCTGGGCTTACAAAGCCTGTTGCATGCTGCGTCCGTGCACTGCCGCGCAGAGATCCCCTTGCCTGGTCCTGGGAGGTACAGGGTAGCAAGTCTACGTCTGTTGTGCCAGGCAGGCACTCTGATGAACATCTAACTCTCACAGCAACCCTATGAGGTGGGCAGAATCATGTAATTCCATAGCTGGGGAAACCGAGGCAGAGAGGAGTGAAGTGACCTGCCCAGGGTGGTGAGAAGCTGCAAGTTTTAGCTTCCTGGTGTCCACTCCTCCATACTGAAGTGCTAGACTTATACTGGGGGAGGTCCCCACTTCAGGGGCGCTCTTGGTGGGATGTGAACCAGGTGTCAGTTGTACAGCTAAGGTCGGGCGCTGGGGCCTGTTCCAGGCTGAAGACTGGAGTCCCGTGACCTCCAGCTTAACCTGGCCCCAGTTTCTACCAGGGGCCCCGTACTCTTGGGGGTTTGTCTCTACAGCTTGTGCTCTTTCCAAACCAGGAAATAGGCTCAGAGATGCCCAGGGAATGCACAGCCTGTGGGGTGTTTGAGCACACAGCAGACCCTCTCCCTGGTCGCCCATGGGAGAGAGAAAGCAGGACCTGAACTAAATAACCCCCTGGAGCCCCTCCCCATGCAGTCGTACAGCACTGCAAACACAACCTGAGCAAATGTCAGACCCACGCTCCAGCTCCAGCACTGCCTCCTGGCCCCCAAGGCTGCTGGTAAGAATCAGTTCAAGAGCTGGCCCAATCCCCTAATTCATACTAGGCAGTGATTGACTACTTCCTATTAATGAGGACCAGCTCCCTGCCCCCCTCAGGGCATGGCACTGCCATCCACCTGGGGCCAGAAACATGGGGCCATCCCACCCCTTAACCCCCAGCATCCTTCTTGGTCCTCCTATGACTGCCTCCCAAACACTCCACACTTGCCACTCCATGGGTCTCTCTAAACTGCACATCTGACCAAGTCTCTCCCAGTCCCCAGGGGAGACCAGACCCCTGGCCCTGGACACCTGGCTCACCCCACCAGAACCTGCTGTGTTATCTCCCGAACAGCTGCTAAGTCAACATCTACAGGACAAATGGATGGATGAAGGTGCTGTTCCTGGAAATGCACTGTGCTGTTCCAGGATGGGGGACCACTTTCCCAGCCACCTCCCATTCGTCCTTCCAGACCCTGGCCTCCCCAGACTGCCTTCCCTGGTCTCCACACCCCTGGCCTGACAGTGGCCCCTGGATGGGTGTCATCATCAGTGTGCCACCTGCCTCCCCCGTGGCTGGGAGATCCCTGGACCTCCCACCCCAGATCTGGCCCTCCCCCACCCCATCTCCATCCTCATGCAGGCCTGGCCCTCAGATGCTCTCAAAGCTGGAGGGCAGGAAAAGCCCCTCAGGAGGGAGGCACTGGCAGCCGTGGAGGGCAGGGGTGCTCCTGGGGGCTCGGAGACCTCTGCTCCCTTCATGGTCCAGCAAAGGCTGGCATTGGCTGAGCCTCCTTGCCTCCCCCTCCCCACTGAGCAATCTCCCAGATCTGGTGAGGCTTGGTGAGCCCATCTGAACATGGGAAAAACCTCCTGCCTCTGCGAGGGGGCACCGCAGGCAGCGTGGACTGAGTGGCTGCTGCGGCCTCGCCACCCCCGCCTCAAGCTGAGCGCATGGCTAAGCCGGAGACGGAGCCGCTGTGCGCGCCGCTGCCAGCTCCCCGCCTCGCAGAAAGCCTCCATTTTGCAGGGAGAAATTAATGAAAGGCAGAAGCCTGGGAAATTAGGAGTTGCCACCTGCAATTCTCCTTCCAAGGAAAGTGGCGCGAGGGCTGATGAGGGCTGCAGCCGCCCTGCCAGGCTGGGCCAGCAGCTGAGGACCTCATCTGCCTGCCAGGAGCAGGTGGCAAGCAATGTGGGTGGGGGGTGCTGCTAGGGGACCCCCAGGCTCAGGCAGCCCTGCCCAGGGACTTCTAAACTGGGGAAGCCTCCAGGAGAAACTTCCTTTGCCCTCCATTACCTCTACTTGACAGGCAGGCAGTGGGCCTCCACTGTGCCCGTGGAACCCATGGCTCACAGGGCATCCATGGGCCCACCTCCTCCAGGCTGGTGGGAGAATTAGGGAAACAGCACTAATGGGGCTTCGTCTGAGCCTGGGGCTGTGCTGGGTGCCTTCGCCTCAGGAGCCCCCATGCCACTGGGATGGAGCTGCCGTAGGCATTTTACTGAGCAGGAAATGGAGGCTCAGGAGGGCAACACTTGTTGAAGTCTGAGAGGAGCGTCCAGGTTTGGTGGCTCACACCTGTAATCCCAGCACTTTGGGAGGCCAAGGTGGGCGGATCACCTGAGGTCAGGAGTTCGAGACCAGCCTGGACAACATGGTGAAACTCTGTCTCTACTAAAAATACAAAAATTAGCCAGGCATGGTGGCACGCTCCTGTAATCCCAGCTACTCGGGATGCTGAGGCACGAGAATCGCTTGACCCTGGGGAGCGGAGGTTGCAGTGACCCGAGATCATGCCACTGCACTCCACCCTGGGTGACAGAGCAAGACTCTGTCTTAAAAAAAAAAAAAAAAAAAAAAAAGACTGAGAGGAGGGGCAGCCAGGGCCGGGCACCAACCCGAGCCATCTGGTGGCAATGGTGGGCTCTGACGACAGCATGGGGTTGCCCCTGAGATGCACCAAGGGAGGCAGCAGCAGAGGACGCCGGCTGCAGTAGCTACAACCAGCATTTGACCAGCAGTGCACAGTGGTCAGGTCAGGGCCATTCTCTAAAAGCATCCTCGCCCCGGAATGTGAGGGTGGGACCTTGTCTGGTCACCAAGCAAGCCAAGTTCCTTCATTCCCTGCCTTCCATCTGCACTTAGGCCCAGAGTGGCGGACAGCTGGGAAGGGTGACTTTGGAGCCACTGCTCTGATTCCCCCTGCCCCGCCTACTCTGACTGGAGCTAGACTATTCCTTCCTTTCCAATAGCCCGCTGATCCCTAGCTCCCTCTGATCTCTGCCCTCACGGGATGTAAATTCAGACTAAGGTGTGGATGACTGATACCAGCTTCATCTCTCTCCCGGCCAAGGGCATGTACATTCTGAAGCACTAAACTTGACATCCCAACTGTGATGATGGTGACTCACAGAGGTGAGGAGCTAAGTGAAGCGTCCCCTGGGATGGGACTCTAGAAGCTCTGACCCAGCACAGGCATGGAACACAAGATAATGCAACCATCGCAGCGGAAGACGAGGCCTCCTGTGCCACTCACACCCCTTGGGCTACATGTCTGCAGGTAAGCCCCATGGCTCTCTGAGCCTCGGTCTCTTCACACTCTCCCCTACCCAGCGGTGTGACTCCGGTCAGGTCCCTCAGACTCTCTGAGCTCCAGCTTGGACGGCCAGCTGGACACCGGCCTCCTGTGGTATCCTTCGGAAGACGAACTTCGAGGCACTGCTATCTCCCAGCTCCACAGCCCTGGCCATATGTTATTATAATGGCCTTGGCCAATAGGGGCGCAGGCTATTAGAATGAGTTAAGACCAGATTAATCTGCTTAAAAATATATGCCTGGTTTTTACGCTATGCATTCCCTCCTAACAGCACAGGCTCCTTCCAGGCCATTATCTCGTTTTATCGTTAATTCAATTCCATAAACATGTATTAAGTGTCTATAATGCGTGGAGCCCTGGTCTGGTAGCTGGGGTGGGGAGAGGGGGCTATGGGGGTGACGGAAGCCCTGGCCCCCAAGGTGCCTATAGTGAGGCGGGGGACCCACCTGACCCTCAACCCCTTGGACGTGAAGCAAGTGAGAGAGAGAGCTCGAGGAGGAAAATGTTCACCAGCCTAGAGGTTTGGAGGCGCTTCCTGGAGGGGGCCCACAAACACTAGGGGTGGAGACAGTAACATGTGACTCAGACAGAGGGCTACTAGGTGCCAGGTAGTGTTCTCAGCACTTTACAGACTCACTTAGTCCTCCCTATCCTTGGGGGCAGGCACTAATGTCACCCCCATTTTACAAATGAACAGAGTCTCAAGGAGGTAATGAAGGCCCCAAAGCACCCTAGGTGAAGCCACGAATCCAACCCCAGAGTCTGGGCTTTACCTCTGCACAACGTCCCCAGGGTCTTAGAAGTGTACCCAGGGCCATGGCAGGCACAAGGTATCTGGGAATGAAAGAAGGAACACTGAGCCTCCCCCATGGCCAGAAGTGAGTCTGGTCCCTTCAAGTGAGTCCTTGAGGGATGGCTGGATTTTGGTGAGCAGAGATGAAGTGAGGACAGGGGAGGGAGATCCTCCCAGCTAGGCCAGGAGCAGGACCACAGAGGCAGCTGGCCCTAGGTCTCAATCCTGGCTCCCTGTCGCTGGCCAGGTGATCACATGCTATTACTTAATATCTCTGAGCCTCAGTTTCCATCTCTACAGAAATGGTAGGTGGCACCTGCCTTGCTAGACCCAGGCGTGGGTGAAACGGGCTGGGATTGCACACAGGCCCTGAGGGTAGAGCTTACTGAGAGCAGAGGGGCACTGAACACCCAGGGAACACGCCGGTGCCTGCCGCCTGGTGCAGAGGCCTCACAGGACACCCTGGCGGGGGAGGCTGAGAGAAGCATGGCCGGCCGGCCACAGAGAGGCTGGCCTGGAAGGGGCAGGAGGCGGTGGACCATGCCCACTCTGCAAATGAGGAGACAGATAAGAGCGGAGCCGGCAACCCCTGCGGGACAGTCACTGGGCTTGTTTTCATGTTCTTCCCCAGAGATTTACAGACAGCAAGTGCTCCCCAAGGTCTCCACCAGGGGACAAATGCCAGGAGCCCCCGCCTGCCCTGTCAGCTGGGAGGGGACACTGCTAAGGGAACAGGGTAGGCTAGACAAGCAGGACGGGGGACTACAGAGCCTGTGAACTGCCACATGCCAGGATCCTCAACCTGTCACCCAGACCCCGCCAGGCCCCAGTGCCCTGGGCCTCCCTCCCCAGCTTGGGCCTCCGCGCTCTGGCCTGACCCACCTCCCCAGCCTCCTCCTTTACTGCTCCCCTTCTGCCCACCTCGCCCCCGCTGCCCCAGGCTCCTGAGCTTCCCCCTCCCCACATTCAGGAGTTCCCTACCCATCTACGGCTGCTGCACACCCCAACCGTGCCCGTGGCCCTCCACACCTCTGCCCACACTGTCCCCAATGCCAGCAACGCCCCTGCAACTCCCCACTGCCTAGAAAACCTGTATTCTTCCTTCCAGTCTCAGCTCAGACTTCTTTCCTCTCAAAGTGCCTCTGGACTGCCCTGTCTGGCTTTTCATGTCAGCTGCCAGTCGTCACCTCTCTGAGCCTTGCTGTCCTCGTCTGCAGAATAGGGGTGACACCAGCACCTCACAGTGTTGTGGTGAGGATGAAGTAAGAAAAACACAAACTGCCTGGGAAGCTGCTTCTGTCATCATCGCCATGAGGATGCTCTGAGGTTGTGTCCAAGGCTAACTCCACACTGGCCCTAATCTTACCCCTTCCAGCCCTGTCTCTCCAGTGCCCTGCACAGGGCCTGGTGCCCAGGCACTGCTGAATCAGAGGGCAGAACAGCCAACTGCCCGGAGCGGCCATGAAGTTTTCCCAGAAAAGGTGGACTTTGAAGGATGTGTAGGAGTTTATAAAGGGGCAGATGAGGAGGAAAAAATGAGGAGCAAACTCTAGGCAGAGGGAATTGTTTCTGTTGGACCTTGCAGGCCTTAACTGCCTGCCACACTGAGGAGTTTACATTTCATCCCAGGGGCAGTAGGAAATGGAAAGTGTTTAATTAGGGCAATGACAATCATATGTTGGCACATTCATCTAACACTTGCTAAGGGCCTACTATGTGCCAGGTCCTGGGGATCTAGTGGAAACAAGATGGACAGTCCCTGGGGCTACGGAGCCCATGTCCCACTGGGGGAGACAGACAGTGAGAGACTCTCACAAATAACCCATTGATGCCAGCTCTCTGGGGGGTTGTGCGGGGGGGAGTAAGTGGTGCTAAGAGACTGTCGACAATAACAGGAATCCAGCCAGGGGGGCGCGTGGGCTCAGAGGAAGCAGTGTTTCAGCCAGGCTAGACGAGGAAGGCATGCAGAGAACTTTCCAGGCAGAGCCCTGAGGAGGAAAGGAGTATGGCTCGTGGAAGTGGCAGCCCGCATGGCTGGAATACAGTGGAGAGGACTGGCGTGGCAATGGAGTGCAAGGAGACAGGGCCTGTGGTGGACATGAGCAGGGTGGATTTTAGCCCCCAGGCAATGGGTGGCCAGGCCAGGAGCCTGAGTCTGGAAAGTTGCAAATTCCTGGACAGAGAGTGACAAGCCAGCCCCAACAGGTGGATCTGTGGTTTAAGGAGGCCACTCTGAGAGCCCAGGAGGGCCCCGCAGAGCCTGGGCCGCCCGCCTGCCCGCCCTCTTTTCTCCCCAGCAGAGCAGCGGCAGGCAGATTGATGAGGCGGAGGCTCAATCTGTCTTGAGTTTAGCTCAGCTTCTGGCTGCATCTTGGATGACACTGGCTCATCAATACCCAAGAAAATACGGCCTGGAGGGAGGAACACTTAGGAACCGTATGGCTGGCCCAAGGCTGGCCCGGTGGCATCCAGGGATTGCTCCCCTCAGAAGGTGCACACGAGTGCAGGAATCGGGGGACAGGGGGGTGGCCAGGCTCCCAAACTGCGGCTCACACACAGCCTGCCTCCCCTCAAGGACCTGCACGCCAGCCCTCCCACCTGCGGCAGGCTCTGGGCAGGGGTCCCTGCGGGGCTGGCGACTGGGACCTGCAGTCAGGGAGGCAGAAGGGGGCTGCCTAAGTGCTTCATCTCCTGGCACCAGGCCCAGGCCCAAGGCCTTTCCCAAGGGGACTGGGGGGAAGGGCAGGAGGGGCACTGAATGGTGTGTCATAGAGTAGGTACCCCCTGTGCCTCAGTTTCCTCATAAGAGAAACGAGGACATTTTTGCCTCAGGGTGGTGTGGGGATCAAATCAGCCTCTAGAAGTGATCACCTTTCCTAAAGGACAAAAGGCTGTGAGGATTGGGCCCTCTCTCAGCAGCTGCAAACCAGAGGGGCTGACCTTGGTGCCCTGCAGGGGCCACACCACCATCATACACCCATGTTGTGGACAGGAGCAAGGTGCAGTTGAAGGGTATGGACGGGAATCATGCAGACCCCAGGCCTGGCCCTCCCAGCTGGGAAACCTGCTAGCGGTGCCTCAGTCCCCTCCCCTGCAAAACGGGGATGAAAACATCCCAAGCCCAGGGCTGTAGGGCTGAAAAGAGCAAGAAAAGTGCAATCCCGGGCACCCTGCAGGCACACAGGAGCTGCCGCGTGTCCTCCCAACTCTGATTTCCCCGTCTCTTCCACAGACCCCTGCACCAGAGCCCTGCATAGTCAAGACAGCCCTGTTCTCCTAGGCACATAGGTTACCCAGAAGCTGGGACTTGAAAGGGTCTCCTTCCTAGAAGGGGTAGTGAGACTCTAGGGTTCTGCATTTTAGAAGAACTTAGGGCAACAGTTATGCCAAAGGAATGAATCACAAACGGTAAAACTTCTGCCAAAAGGCAACAGAGAAGGAGGAAGACATGGAGGATGGGGAAGGTTGCTCCTAGGACTTAGAAATCACCTTGCAGAGACAGGAAGTAGTGATAGGGTATGTACTATATGGCCAACATTACACCAGGTGCAGGAGCTACAGAAGAAGGGCACTCTCCAATGCCGAGAAGGTGCCATCATGGATGAGTGAATGAGTAAGCAGCTGTGGGGATTACAGCAGCAAGGACTCTGCCACTGCCCCTCCTGACTGGTCCCCCAGTAGTCAGCGGGCCACCTGCCTGGTACCAGGACAGCCCACACAGACATGGCCCTGCCTTGTCTAGACCAGCAGCTGCTGAGAATGAGATCCCCATGGGTGTAGCTGGTAGAATAAATGGGTTCCCTGGCTGGACTTGACCTTATTGAGGGGGTCTGATGGAGCCAGGCCAGGTGGGGCCCCAGGCCTCAGAGGAATATACAAAAGGAGCTATGGAGGCGGGCCTGGGGGAATGAGGGTTGGGGGAGCTTGGATTCTAGAATCCACACTACCCACAAAACCACTATGGGGATCAAAGCCCAAGGTGATGACCCACGTTCAGAGCCAGCTCTATTATCACCCATTCCCCAGGGTGTGGAGTGGGCTGTGGGGACAGACAGACCTGTTGCCGCCCTGGCCTGGCAATCCCATTGCTGTCAGGTCCCGGTCACCCCCCATCCCTGCTGAGCCTCAGGCTCCCCATCTGCAAGATGTGACTGGTCATCCCTTCATGAAGAGCCAGGAGCTGCAAGTCCCTGGAAGCTCATAGAGTATCTCCCTCCTCTCCCCATTGTCTGAGCCACAGGTGAAAGCATGGGGCCCCAATCTAGTGCCCTGCATGCCCAATGCCCAGGCCTCAAGGCCCACGTCTGCAGAGCCCAGGGGAAAGGTGCCTTGAGGACGAAGCTGGGTCCTGGGGAGCCAGCTCCAGTACTGGGGGTGGCTCACTGTTTCCTGTCCAGGAATGCTCAGGACAACCAGCTTCTTGCAATCTTCCCAGCTCAGGCTCCCCAGCCTGAGTCACACCATCACCATACTGTGGACCCTGGACAAGCCTCCGGACTTTTCTGGGCCTCACCTTCCCCACCTGGGAGTGCAGGTGCTAATGCCCACCTGTGGGCTGTGTCACACCATAGGCCAAGAGCTTCTTCAGTGCCTGGCACTCAGTAGGCCTGCAATAAATGGAGACAGCTGCTAGGATGCAGGCGAACCCCCTGGTGCACAGTAGGGTCTCAACCCAATCCCGCTGACCCCATAGCATGGACAAGGCGAGGTTCTCAAAGGCCTCTGAGAGCCAGAGGTGCCTAGACCTGCCTCGTGCAATACAGCATCCTCTCCACAAGTCAGGAAAGGCCCCTGCAGCTGCGAGCAGAGCCCTGCCCGCTGCACTCTCCCATTACCCTCTCAGCCTTCCTTCACATTGCTTCCTGCCTCACACCACCTCCTCCAGGGGGTGCCTCGATCATCTGCCAGAATGCAACTCACTTTCCTGTGGATACCTCTGGGGTTCTGTTAGGACCCTGGATGTCCCCAAGACACCTGAGGCTCACTGCAGCCTCAACAGAATTCTTTCTTTTTTTTTTTTTTTTTTTTGAGACAGAGTCTCGCTTTGTCGCCCCAGCTGGAGTGCAGGGGCACGATCTTGGCTCACTGCAACCTCCACCTCCTGTGTTCAAGCAGTTCTCCCGCCTCAGCCTCCCGAGTAGCTGGGATTACACAAGTGTGCCACCACGCCCAGCTCACTTTTGTATTTTTAGTAGAGACAGGGTTTCGCCAAGCTGGCCAGGCTGGTCTCAAACTCCTGACTTCAAGTGATCTGCCCGCCTCGGCCTCCCAAAGTGCTGAGGTTAGAGGCGTGAGTCACCGCGCCGGGCCAACAGAATTCCCCGCCTCAGGGAACACCTTTGCCCCGGCTGTTCCCGCTGCCTGGAATGCTCTTTCCCAAGATCTGTGCGTGACTGCCTCCTTCCTGTCCTTCCCTTCTCAGTGCAACGGCAGGTGCTCTGTCTGCTGTGTTCAGAGCTGTGACCTTTGTGCCTACATAGCGCCTGCAACAAGGCAGATACAGGCTCAGCAGGGAGCCCCGTTCCTGAGGCTGGGGCTGCCCTATAGGGGCCCCTTGTGGCCACTCCAGGGCAGAGAGAAGACATCTCCGCTAACCCAAGGACCTGAAGATAAACTTGGAGGTGATGTGGTGCATGTCTGGAACTGGCCAGAATCCGTCTCTTCCGGATGTGTGCTCTGGGGCAGATGCCTAATGCGAATCGCTTCTGTCATCAGGACACCTGGGGGCTTGACACGGACCAGCTGCCGCTGCCGGGGGACAGGCTGCCAGAGCGCCGATGGGCTCTCAGCGAAATTGATGGCCATTGTCAGAAAATGATTTCCCCATGGCCACATCGCAGGCCCTCGGAGGAGCTTGAATCCCAGGCATCGATGCCTCCTGCGGCAGGCGGGCAGGCGGCCAGGCATGTGGGCAGGCAGCCCACACCTGACCCAGCTGCTTCCCAGAGCCGGGGAGCTAGCAATTACCAGGCGGGAAGAGGAACCCGCAGGTCCTGCACCCAGGAGGCCCAAGCCAAGGGCTGAGGGCTAGCAGGGAGCCCGCCTCTCCCAGGGAGAACAGGGGGTCCTGCCCTGCACCCCTCCTGTCTGCTCTGTGCCCACAAGCCCAGTGCTGACTGGCACAGTGCAAGCACCCGGTGGATGTCTGCTGAATGAAGGAAGGAAGAATGAACTCTAGAAACTTCAGAGAGGATTCTGGAGCAGCATCTGGAGAGGGGATTCAACAACAATAAAGAGGGCAGGGGCACGAAAACCTGGGCTCCAGAACCCCTCCCTCCAGCCCCGACCCAGGGAGGAGGGGAGCGGCTGAATGAGGGGAGGTGGCAGAGCGGAAGGCCCTCACAGCCCAGCCTCCTGGCCCAAAGTCTTCAGCTCACACCACAGCAGGATGTTTTTGTTTTAAACTGGCTGTGCCTCCTTTAAAAGTAAGAGGTGGCAGGAAATTGGATCTGATGACACAAAGCCAGTTTTCACACAATTTTTCAGAAACCTGGAATCAAGGAATGGTCTGAGGAGACCCAAGCAGGGAGGGGGCAGACAGGAGGCTGTGGACACCTCTAGAGATTTCCCCAGGGCAGTCCTGACAGGGGAGGTTCTGGAACAGTTCAGTCTGTCAGCAATCACCAGCCACCTAATGGGGGCCTGAAGCAATGAAAAGTGGGAGAAGCCAGTGGGAGCCCCAGGGTGCTCACACACCATGCTGGGGGTGCAGGAGAGGCACCACAGTGGGCTCCATCTGGGGTCCTCATGGCAGGTGGGCTGCAGGTGAGGACAGGCTCAGAGAGGAAGGACTCTCTGAAGGACAGGCAGCTTGAAGCTGGGGTATCCAGGCCAGGCACACAGGGTAAGAGAGGAAAGGAGGGCAGCCCAGGCAGGTGGAATGGGCTGGACATAGGCAGGAAGAGCAACATCCACTCCCTTGCCTATTCACTCAACAAACTTTCACTGGTTCTACCTCTGGGCAAAGTCCTGGGCTGGCCATGGGGCCAACACTGAGTGAGACTTCCTCACTGAAGCTGGTGGCTTCAGGAAGGTGTGGACAGTGCCATGAATGAGGGAAGCCTAGGGGGCCAGAGAGGGGGGCACATAAGACATCTACCATCCTGGGACAGGGCTGGTCAGAGAGGACTACCCAGAGGAGGCATCATTAGAGTGGCAGATGAACCAGAGGTAGCCCCAGGTGGAGGAGACAAGAAAGGCATCCAGGCAGAGGGAACAGCAGGAGTAAAGATATAAAGACAAGGCTGGGCGTGGTGGCTCACGCCTGTAATCCCAGCACTTTGGGAGGCCGAGGTGGGTGGATCACTTGAGGTCAGGAGTTTGAGACCATCCTGGCCAACATGGTGAAATCCCGTCTCTATTAAAAATACAAAAAATTAGCTGGGCGTGGTGGTGCATGCCTGTAATCCAGGTTACTCGTTGTCAGGAGAATCGCTTGAACCCAGGAGGCGGAGGTTGCAGTGAGCTGAGATCGCGCCACTGCACTCCAGTCTGAGTGACAGAACAAGACTCTGTCTCAAAAAAAAAAAAAAAAAAAAAAAGATTTAAAGACAAGAGGCCACATCAAGGCAGGATTTGGACTTTATCCGAGCACCAGGGAGCCCTGGCAGCTTCCAAGGAAGAAGGGACCCAGGCAGGTTTGCAGGCTAGGAAAGTCACCAGGCACAAATGGAATAAAGACTGCAAAGTGCCTGCAGGCTTCCAGGGCCAGAGTGGTGATGAGAAGATGCTCCCAAACGCTGACCCTGTGAAAATGTGACACCCAAAAGAGCACTAGCATGGGAGTCTCTGCTCAGTTCAGTCCCCTGGGCCTTCCCTGCACCCATGCAGCAGGGGCACACCACACATACTCAAGGAGACAGACTGGCCCACAAGTTAATCTGTCAGAGCCTGGAGGGTCAGAGAAGGGCGAGGTGGGCAGAGGCTCCTCCTCCACCTGCCAGGTTCAAGCGATTCGCCTGTCTCAGCCTCCTGAGCAGCTGGGACTACAGGCATGCGCCACCACGCCCGGCTGATTTTTGTATTTTTAGTAGAGACGGGGTTTCACCATGTTGGCCAGGCTGGTCCTGAACTTGACTTCAAGTGATCCGCCTTCCTCGGCCTCCCAAAGTGCTAGGATTACACGCGTGAGCCACTGCGCCCTGCTGGCCCACCTTTTCTTGCTGAAGCCAGGATCCGAACACATCACTTCCCTGCTCAAGGGCCATCGATAGCTCCCACCACCTCCTGGATCACAGTCAAACTCTTTGGCCTCCAGCCCCTCTGAAGCTGACACTGGCAGAACTTTCTGGTCTCATCTCCACCACTTCACTCCAGCCAAGCGTCGCCCTTTCCCCAAGTGCCAGGCGTCTTTTCCCGTCTGTGCCCACTGCTTTTCTCTTCCTGGAATGCCCTTCCTTACCCCTTTGCTGCCAAGTGGACTCTGGCATGGCCGTAAGGCATCTTCAATGGTCCCATGTCCTCAACACTCTTCCCAGACACCCCAAATCCCCCAAAGAGCACTGGCAACACTATCCGTCTGCCTCCCCTGCAGACTGAGCGCTCTGTGTGCTTGGCCACGTCTGACTCACCCCACCTTCCCCGCCCGCCCTCACTCGGCACACCCTCAACATTTGCTGAAATGAATAAATTATCTCATTTAGCCACAGAGCACTCCCAGCTTGAATGTCGGAGGTTCAGCCAAGAGCCCTAGCGTGGAAATCACCACACTGAAGGTGGCAATATTTCACCTCGCCCAGAAATTTACTGCAAGTTCTCAAGTCTCCCTAGAGTGCGTGTTTATGTGTGTGGTGGGGAAGGAGGGGCGGCGCTGGGTGACGGAGCTTCGATTTAAACACAGATGACGGAAAATCTCCTTTTCCTCCCACTATGTCTGGCCCACCAAGCCCACCTAGGCCCTTCCCCAGTGTCACCTCATTACCCACTCACTACCTGGTACATGGGCAAAGAAAAATACCCCCATCTCACCAAGGTGGAAACTGAGGCTCGGAGAGGCCAAGTGACTGGCCCAAGGCAGCACCCTCAGAGGAGGGCTCTGCTCCTGCATTCCCGCTGGGGGCTGGGGGGGAAAGGGGTGTAGACTCAGCCGCAGGACAGCGGGAGGGTGGGGGTTCTGTGGGCCTTTCCCACGGTCCAGCAGTGGGGAGGGTGGAAGAAGGGAGCCGAGGTGGGCACAGGGCGATCCCTCCCTCACAACGCTACAGAGAAAAATGGCAGGCAGCCAGCAGGGCCCAATTAGGTAGCCAGCTTCAAAGGCACCCATGAGCCAGTAAGAGCCAGATCCCACTCGAGCCCAGGCGGGGCACCCTCCTGGCTGCCTGCCGTGCATGCCTGTCCATCCCCTGGCAGCCCCATTGGCCACACTCCCAGAGCCCTATGGGGCAGGCAGGCCCAGGCCCAGACAAGCCCCTGCACAGGGGCGTGTGCCCAGGGCAGCCTGGGCCTTGACCCCACAAGCACCCCCGGCCCGCTTACCTGCCAGAGGCCCTGGCCATGGCCACAGGCCCCAACGGGGCACCACAGGCCCCGCCCTGCTCGCCAGGTATGATTTGCATATGCTAATTAGCCGCACATCTCTTGCTCCCCTTGGAGCCAGCTTGTTTGGGGAACGGCTGGATCTGGCTATACCTGTACCATGCTGATGTCACGCCGAGCTATTTCCAGCCCAGTTGCCATGGAAACCACAAGGCCTCAGCTCCAGTTAGGAGTTCAATATATAATTTACTTACTTCCCCATCCCCCCAGCCCCACCCCAAAAAGACTAGGGCGTACAGGGAACAATTGGCTAAAATATACAATAACACCCTCCACTTCCCTCGCGGCCTGTGAGAGGAGAGGGGAGGAGGAGGAGGGAGGAGTGCGGCGCAGCGGAACGGTAAATTCATTTTGGAAGAAGGGGGGATGGCAGGGAGGAGAGAAGAGCTTTCCTCATTAAGACGAAGAACAGAGGCTGGCACTCAGGGATGATTCCAGGGAGCAGGCCCGGGCCAGGCAGGAGTCAGGATGCCGCCCTCTGCCCAGTGAGCCCTAGCACTGCCCAGCCAAGCCTTCATCAGGGACCACGAGTGAGGGATGACTCCAGGCCCCCAGCCACCAGGCTGCAGGTGACCTGGGGTTTCTGTGGAAGCCCAGGGCTTATGAGGGCACTGCTGTCTCAGCTGCCACTGCTCTGGTACTTCCAGACACAGGGATGCCATCAAGGCCTGCTGTTCATAAGCAGGTCCCAGTATGGGGGTGGGGGGCACTGGCCACCTCCATGCCTGGGTGTGTGGGGTGCTCCTGATTGACCCTGTGGCCAGCTGAGGCCTGGGGCCATGAAATCAGCCAGCAGAGGCACCTGCCCAATGGAGCTTAGGGCCCTGGCACTGCCCTGACCTGAGATCACTCCAGCTGTGTTCTAAAGGCATTCTCTGACACCTGCTCTGTGCCACACCTTGTAAGGGGTACTAGGGGGGCATGAGAGGACTCAGACACAGCCCCACATGCAGGGAACATTCAGGCTGGCCGTGGGAGGGCAGAGATGGTGCTATGGGGACACTAAGGAGGTATGTGACCGTCACACGTAAAGTCTAGGAAGACTTCCTGGAGGAGGTGCTGGCCAGAGCTAAGGCTTGAAGGGTGAAGACTTGGCTGGGGGCTGTGGGAGGACATTCCAAGCAGCACATACAGCATGGGGAAGAGTACTCCTCTGGCCCTGCCCTTCCACTCCACAGGCATGGGGATCTGGGGGCCAGGCCACCTGCTGCTGCTCTAAACTCCCCAAGTGCTCCAAGCAACCCCGGCTCCACTCCTGCCTGGGCAGCCATGGAAAGCCATGGGGGCTCTCATCGTGTGTGTTGGGGAGACAGGGGACCTCATCCCAGGCTTCTCTCCCCAGACCTCCCCTGCCTCCTGAGCCTGGCCAGCAGGGCTCTGGGCAAGCCATTTCCCTTTCAGACCTTCAATTCCCTCCCAGTAAAATAGGACATTATTTGAGCCCACAGAATCAAATGAGGAAGCAAGTAGTCAACGGGCAGGGTTTTCACTTCTACCAGCGCTGGAACTTTGCAACCATGATTCCTAACCCCCGATGAGTATCAGGATCCCCATTTCCCAGATGGAGGAACTGAGGACAAATGAACAACTAAACAAAGTGTCAGGGCTGACTCTGAGCCCTTCTTCACACCCTGCAGCGGCCTGGATGAACTCCACGGTGGACAGGCGAGGAGGCCGGGGAAGCCAGCTAGGAGTCCTGGGTTTCCCACCCCGGAGCAGGGCTGTGCCGCAGCTGTGTCACTGGATCCCCTTACCCCCACCTGCAGGGTGTTTCCCAGGAAGTCTCCTTCTCCCTCCCACCCCAGCACCTGGTCTCTCCCAGCCCTGAGCCCCCAGATCCTGCCCCACTGCTCTACTCCAGGCTCTACCCCAAGGCTCTGCTCTGCTGTTTTCCATCTTCCCTCCATTCCCACCACTGCCATCTCGGTTCAGGAGTAAGATGAAGAAGCACAGCGAGCTCCTACTTTCACTTTTGAGACTGGCCCCCCTGACCTCTCCGCCTTCTCCACTTCCATTCTCACCCCTGCTCACTCTGCTCCAGTCACCCGCCTTCTGGCTGTTTCTCAAACTTACCAGCCTCCTTTGGGCCTCTGGACTCTTGCAAGTTCTGTTCTGCCCACCTAAAATGCCCTTCCCAGAGAGCCATGGAATGCAGCAATGAGAGCAGGCAGGATGGAGCCGTACAGCCTGGGTCTGATGCATTGCCACTTAGCAGCTGTGGACCTTAGGCACCACCAGTGAAATGGGCACGATGACCCTCATGGCCTTGTTGTGTGGGTTCACGCACAGGGGCTGGACACCAGCTCCTTCCCTCCTTCAGGTCTCTGACTCAATGTGCCCTTCCTCCACCTCAATCCCCACTGCCAGCCCTTCCTCCAACAGCCGTCCCAGCCCCCGGCCTGCACTGTGGATTTATTTGTCCATCAAGTGAACATCCCTCTCCCCTAGCACTTCATCTCCAGGAGAATAGAACAAAGTCAGTTGCATTCCTGCTGTATCTCCGGGCTGTGTACACAGCAGGTGCTCAACACGTGTGAGGGGACTGATGTGGGGATGAATGCACCTGGCAGTGCATAAATGAACAAAAGACACGTGACCCACAGGCCTCCCTGGAGCTCCAGAGCCATCCCAAGCCGGGAATCCCCATTTATCAGCCAAATGGCTACATCCGCAACTTTGCCAGGGGTGGCAGAGGGGACTCAGGTACTGCGAATACCTGGCTGGCAGGAAATGCCTCTCATGAGGGACCCACCAGAGGTGGGGGCCCCCAGATCAGCAACCAGCGCCAGGCACACTCACAGCTGTGTTTGTCCACAGTCATGGCCATTCCCACTCCACCACCGCCCAGTAATGTACACACAGTCTCCCAGGAAACTGCAAAAAATGAGTTAATATAACATTATGGCTGAGAATTTAAATACACAGGAGTCAGGCAACGCAGACTTACAGTTCCCCAAGCAACTGTAAAAGCCGCGCGCAAGCAATTCAGGAGCAAGGGCTGGGAGAAGATTTAAGGCCTTCTTGGCCAGAGGTAGACCTGGGGGCTGCCATACCCTGACCTCTCAGTGACGGACAGAGGCTCCAGACAGGCGGCACTTCAGGGCATGAGGGAACGCCTGGCACCAGGGATGGGCAACGCAGGCCATGTGGCTCACTGGACACGGCCCCTCTGGGGAACACAAGGGTGGCTCCAGCAGGGACTGGAAGGAAGAAGCCTGTCCCATGGCCAGCTCTGTGAGCTAGGCCCCAGCTCCACTCACATGCCCACCTCCCGGCTCCTCTGGCCAGGTCACCCTAAGGGCCCAGGACCCCATATGCAGCTCTACACCCCTGTCCACTCTTCTGCAAAGGCATGGCCCATGGGGAAGCTTTCCAGGGCTCTTGTCCTCTCTTCAACAAAATGGACTCCTTTTTACAATTACCATTATAATTCCCTGCTGTGTTCACACCCCAACTCCACGCTCAGGAGCCTTGCAACCTATAACTAGCAAATCGCTGGTTTGCTGGGTGCTTAGCTTCTTCATGTAAAACAGGGGGACCAGGCTGGGCGCGGTGACTCACACCTGTAATCCTAGCACTTTGGAAGGCGGAGGTGGGCCGATCACCTGAGGTCAAGAGTTTGAGTCCAGCCTGGCCAACATGGTGAAACCCCATCACTTCCAAAAATACAAAAATTAGCTGGTCATGGTGGCAAATGCCTGTAATCCCAGCTACTCGGGAGGCTGAGGCACAAGAATCGCTTGAACCCAGGAGGCGGAGGTTGCAGTGAGCTGAGATCACGCCACTGCACTCCAGCCTGGGTGACAGAGCGAGACTCCATCTTAAAAAAAAAAAAAGATAATAAAAATTAAAAAGTAGGGAGACTAACACCTACCTCACAGGCCTGGGACAATGAGATGAATTCACACATGTAAAATATTTGGAACAAGGCCCAGCACTCAGCAATTGCTCAATAAATATGAGCAGGTATTACGGCTGCTGTTATTAATATTGCTATTGTTCTTGTTTTTCCTTTCTCATTCAAAAAGAATCTGAGGAAACACAAAACAGGCAGTGGCACTTAAGGGAGGCAGAGAATAAAGAGTTCATTCATTCGTTCACTCGGTAAAGATTTACTGAAGGCTTGCTGTGCAGGCCTGGAGGGGCAGCTGTGAACACTCAGAAGATGTATAAGAGGACCCTGGGGAGTGAGCCCAGCATGCACCATAAGGGCCTTTCAGAGGCTGGCTGCCAATCTGGCTCAGGCTTCCCGGCAGCCGTCAGAGAGAGGAGAAGGGGGTCTGCTGGAAGTTGTCAGAGCCACAGACAGGGCCCTTCCTCGAGATCACACGTCAGCAGTGAAGATCCATGGTCTCCCTGGGGAGGAGCTCCCGTGGAGGAGGCAGGGCCTGAACTGGGCTGAGAAAGGTTGGGCAGAGGAGAGGAAGGACGTTCGTTCATTCACTGGCTCAGCATTTGTTAGGCATGGAGTGTGTGGCCAGCAGGAAGGTTCCTAACACATCAGTGCTGAGTGACCAAATGAGTGAGTGAGTGAGCAAGCGCCTGAGTGAGTGAGCACCTGAGGGAATGAATGAGTGTCTGAGGGAATGAATAAGTGTCTGAGTGAATGAATGAGTGCCCGAGGGAATGAATGAGTGTCTGAGTGAATGAATGAGTGCCTGAGTAAATGAATGAGTGCCTGAGTAAATGAATGTGCCTCCTGGCAGTGGGGAGGCTCGCCATCCCCAGGCTCAGATCTGGATCACTCACCTGGCTGTTTTCATTTTCTGGTTTTTTTTTTGTTTGTTTTTCGTTTTTTTTGAGATGGAGTTTCACTCTCGTTGCCCAGGCTGGAGTGCAATGGTGCGATCTCAGCTCACTGCAACCTCTGCCTCCCAGGTTCAAGTGATTCTCCTGCCTCAGCCTCCCGAGTAGCTTGGGTTATAGGCACCTGCCACCACGACTGGCTGATTTTGTATTTTTAGTAGAAACGGGGTTTCTCCATGTTGGTCAGGCTGGTCTCAAACTCCCAACCTCAGGTGGCCCACCTCAGCCTCCCAAAGTGTTGAGATTACAGGCGTGAGCCACCACGCCCAGCCCACCTGGCTGTTTTCTTTGGCCTCTTGTTCAGAGGCCAAAGCCCCCACTGGATAACCCACTCCAGAACCCAAGCCCGGAAGGGTCTGAGCCTCGTGGAAGGGTGGGTGGGATGGCAGGGTGGCAGTGGCAGCCAGGGGCAGCCAGGGCCAGCATGGAGGGGCCATTCAGACAGCAGCGACTGGATTCTGAGGACATTGCAGCAGGAATGCCCTCAGAGGTCATTAGCATCACAGGGAAGGGGGCACCTGTCAGCTGAGGGAACAGGAGGACGGTGGAAGAGATGGGAGTGCTACTCTCGGTCATCCAGGGGTGGTCTCTAGGAGGAGGTGGCAGCTGACCCGAGCCATGCAGGGCTCCAAAGTGAGAGCTTTCAGGAGGGGATATAGCAAATGCAAAGGCTGGAAGCAGGAAGTGCACATAGGAGGGAGGAGAAGCGGGAAGCAGGCTTGGAGAGCAGGAACCAGACTCTGGCCATGGATAGCTGAATGCACCCACACCTTCTTCCCAGAGGCAGAAATGCAGGAAAAGCCGAGAAGCCTCTGCTTCCTCATCTGTAAAACGGGGATGACAACTGTACCTACTTTCCAAGGCTGTGAGGATTAAATGGGAGAGTGAGCTGTTGCGGTGGTCGCGGTGGTGGTAGTGGTGATGGAGGTTATGGTGGTGGTGGTGGTGGTGGTGATGGAGGTTATGGTGGTGGAGGTGGTGGTGGTGATGGAGGTTATGGTGGTGGTGGTGGTGATGGAGGTTATGGTGGTGGTGGTGATGGTGGTGGTGGAGGTTATGGTGGTGGAGGTGGTGGCGGAGGTTATGGTGGTGGTGGTGGTGATGGAGGTTATGGTGGTGGTGGTGGTGGTGATGGAGGTTATGGTGGTGGTGGTGGTGGTGATGGAGGTTATGGTGGTGGTGGTGGTGGTGGTTATGGTGGTGGTGGTGGTGGTGGTGATAGAGGTTATGGTGATGGTGGTGGTGATGGAGGTTATGGTGGTGGTGGTGGAGGTTATGGTGGAGGTGGTGATGATGGTGGTGATGGTGGTGGCCATTATTATTGGAAGGGGAAGGGAACAAAGGAAAGAGGGTGTGGGAGGGAGGAGAGACGAATAAACCAGTGAGGGTAAAAGGTAAACATTAATTAATTTCACTAGGCCTGATAAGACTTGAGAGAAATGGAAACTGGGAGACAAACAGAAGTAGTGATAGAAGAAAATAACCTCCACCATTCCAGAAAATAATCTCCACCATCTGAGAAAATAATCTCCACCATTCCAGAAAATAATCTCCACCATCTGAGAAAATAATCTCCACCATCCGATAAAATAATCTCCACCAACCGAGAAAATAATCTCCACCATTTGAGAAAATAATCTCCACCATTGGAGAAAATAATTTCCACCATCCGAGAAGATAATCTCCACCATCCGAGAAAATAATCTCCACCATTCGAGAAAAAATAATCTCCATCATTTAAGAAAATAATCTCCACCATTTGAGAAAAAATAATCTCCACCATCTGAGAAAATAATCTCCA
Source organism: Homo sapiens (assembly GCF_000001405.40). NCBI lineage: Eukaryota > Metazoa > Chordata > Mammalia > Primates > Hominidae > Homo > Homo sapiens. The sequence continues at coordinate 42,324,731 of NC_000022.11, forward strand.
CCATCTGAGAAAATAACCTCCACCATTTGTTCTGAATCGTGTGGTTTGCTAATGTCCTTTTACAGCCACTGTCTCATGCAATCTCCCAGCAGCCTGGGGAGTCTTATTATCTCCATCTTGCAGGTGAGGACCCAGAGGCCCTGAGGGAATACAAGGCACATGGGGAATATGGCCTGCCTCAGGTCTGGGGATGAAGAGAGGCCAGAAGAAGCCAGGCTCGGATGCCTCATCCCAAAACTGGGTTCTCCCCTTGGCCCTAGCCTGGTGCCTGAGAGTGCAGACCCGGATGCTCCCTCTTTGTCTTCCCACCCTGCTGGGACTCAGGAAACCGCATGGGCGGGTGGGAGGATGCTGAGCTCTCTGCCGGCAGCCCCAACTACAGATGCCTCTCCGTGCTCAGGCTTCTGGGCCAGCGCCCCCCTAACCAGAGCTCTGCTCCTCTGGGCCTCCTCCCGACTGGGCACTCGGATACTCTATGGTGCTGGAGCCACCACCTCTGTGCTCCCCTGGATGTTCTGGGCGGGGCCAGGCAAGGAAATGTTCCTCCCTGGGAAGCCCAGGGCAGCAGCAGCCACTCCCAGGCTGGCTCTGAGAGGCAAAACCTCCAGGAAAAGTGCCTCTGCCCGGTGGCCCCCACTCAGCCACTCCTCACCTCAACAGGTGGGGCCCTTGGGGCCAGGCCCACGTGACTGTCACAGCAAGACCACCCTTTCCTGCCCAGTAAACCCTGATTTCCTCCCCCAAGAGGCAGGGCTGGCACCAGCCCAAGCAGTACTCATGCACACGGTGGCAAGTCACACCAGCTCGGGGGGAGGGGAGGGCATGAGACTTCATTCAATTCTGGCCACGTCTGTGTAGTGAGCCCTTCGGCCTGGGCATTGTGCCAGGCATCCCAGGTAGGCAGGACAAAGGGAGGCCCTCAAGGAGCTCACAGTCCAAAACAGGGTAGAAGCTGGGCCGCACCCAAGGACGGCACCCTGAGGCTACGCAGGACAGGGAACCATCACCTGCCAGAGCTGGGAAGTGGAGGCCGTGGGGAGCAAGGCACTGCATTTCCGAGCCCCAATTCTGCAGCCGACTTGCCTGGAGCCAGCGCGCCTCTCTGAGGTTCAGCCTCTCATGTCAAAAGTGGGGGTCAGGGCCCTAGCTTGCAGGATTAGCAGGGTTCAGAGGCACAGGTACTGCTATTATTGCCGTCCTCAGGTGAGTAAGACATGGTTTCTCCCAGGCACCAGCATCTGTCTTGCTCTGGTTGTTGTCACAGGACATCTGGCCTGTGCACCACCTAAGGCCCCCTTTCAAGACCAAAATACAGGCTTCTCTGGCTGCCAGGGGTGCCAGCTGCTGAGGGTCCCTTTGGTGAAGGAGCCAACTCCCCCCAGGAGAGGAAGGAGCCATCCTCTCCTGGGGACAGCTAACCACTGACCAGTCAACGCAGGATGTAATGGCTGAGCCCCTGCCTTGGTCTGGAACCAAGCGGGACCACCCCTGCTCCCAAGTGCCCGTGAGATCACCTGAGGCCTCTGTTTCTATTGCACTGCAGCCCAACCTCACCCTCTGCCCCCCACAGGAGTTGTTATTAAGAGTGTTCCCCAGTAAACCTCTCCAGGGTCACCCTGGATTCTGATTCTGGTGAAGCCGCCCTGTGACAATGCCCCTTCCCATCTCGGCTGGGGCCCAAGAGCCGTGCACCAAATCCCTCATAGAAATGAGACATAGCACCGTCGCCTGCTATGCTGCCAGCAGCACCTTGGACAGACCCTGTGACATGCTTCCAACTCTCCGCTCTTCAATCTAGGGCAGGCATTTGTGCCCAGCTGACAGATGCCAGGTTCTGGGTAAGGATGGGGGCCACCAGCGAGAGCCCTGGACTCAAAGCCTCAGGGAGCCAGGTACAGGCTCAGCCCTGCCGTTTAGCCAGGCCACCCAAGGCCAGCACATCACCCCTCTGGGCCTCAGTTTCCTCATCTGTAAAACCATAACTGTAGTCTGGACAGAACCTTTACATTGGCAAAGAGCTGCCATGTCCCCTCTTAGGGGGCTCCACCAGAGCAGCATCAACCTTGCTAATCTTCAACTGAAGAGCCCAGAGAGGGCCACACTTGCCCGATGCCACACAGCCAGCTGATTCCAGAGCCGGAGCGCTGGGCACAAGCACCCTGCTCTGCAGCGGCCACTCACTCAATCCTTTACCAATCATTTCTGGAATGCCTTTTATAGTGAGGAAAGGGCAGATCTTTTTCCACAACATGACGCGATCTGGCAGCAGATCAGGAAGGAGAAGAGGAACGATCACGTATTCAATGATGACTGTGTGCCAGGCACTTCTCCAAGAGACTCTAACCCTCGCGGCAACGATGAGGCGAGGGGCTATATCCCAGCTTGGAGGGGAGGGGGCGGAGGCACTGGGTGCCCACAGAGCTAAGCCAGGGTTTACCCCAGGGCTGAGTCTGGAGGCTGGCACTGATATAGAGGGGCCACGGCAATGCCCTTGGCGCAGGAGCTAAGAATGGTGCTAGATGTAACCCTTCCTGAAGACATCCCCAGGTGGGGAGAGGCCTCATGCTGAAGGATCAGAAGGTGGAGCAGTGGGCACCTGCCATGGCCCTCAGAAAACCCTGCTGAGGGAAGGCACCTCTGACCTTGGCCATGAACTCCCCCTCCCCCAACCTGCCAATGAGATAGAAGCCAGAGGTGCAGGGCACAGGCCTCTCCACCAACCTGCAGCTGGGCCCAAAGGGTGAGTGGGAACCCCAGGAAATGGGACAGGAGACACGGCTCACTCATTTCCTGTGCGGAAGCTTCGGGCCAGGGCACCTCGCACAGACACTTCACACACATTCCCACAATAAGTCCTCACATGCAGGCTTTGATGGGACAGTGAGCCCATTTTATAGATGAGAAAACCGAGGCTCAGAGATGGCACCCTCCTTACCCGAGACTGAATGCAGAGGAAGAGGTGGAGCTGGGCTGTGAACCCTGAGACTTCTAGGCCTGGGGCTCTAAGGACATTCCAGATTCACAGAATCCAAAAGTCCATGTCTGACATCTCATGTGACCGCTCCCAGAGGGCCCAGCTCATCAGGCACCACACCCCTGCCCTCAGATCCTCTTGCTCAAAAAACACAGGTTGCCTTCCCCGGCCTCAAAGTATAGCACTCCCTACCGCAGGGGCTTTGCACAGGCTTTCTCTTAGCCTTGCACACTGTTTCCTGCTTACTCATTTAATTCCTACCTCCTTCCCATCATAGCTCTGGGCCCCCTCCTCCAGGAAGCCTCCCTGACTTCCTTCAGTCTTCACAGCCCTTATGTCAGCTGCGACGTTACTTTCACCTCTGTGAATATCTGATTTGCCATTACTATTGTTGGGTCAGGGCTTGTCTTCTCTCAACTGAACAAATGCCCCTTCTCCACCCACCCTCCCAGGCTCAGCCATGCAGGGGGCGTGAGCTGCTCTCTACTCGGGAGAACCACACGTCTCTAGCTGTTCTGCCCACGTGTCCGCTCCAGCCAGACTGGACACAGCCTCTGCAGGGCCCAGCTCTCTGCAACATATTTTCAGCAAATGAGCAGCCCTGTGGGGCATCCTGTGGGCTCCCCTGAGGCAAGACGGGATGGGCGCCCTCAGGGTCCAGGCATGTGGCTCCGAGGTCTAGGCCCACTGAGGGTGTGTGTGGAGGCAGCTCAGCTCTAAGGCTCTAGCAGTACCCAGTCCCACAAGGCTCAAGCACAGCTCCCATCCGCAGCCCCCCGTGAACCTGGTCTGGTCCCCTGTCCAGCCCCCTTCCCACCTTCATCTCTTGGTTGCACATCCAGGCTCTAGCTTCAGATCACCCAGGATCAAATGCCAGCTCACCTACTCCCTGGCTCACCTCCCACTCACCCACGCCCTGAGCAAGTCACTTAACCTCTCTGTGCCTCCGTTTCCTGGTCACAGGGTTGTGGGTAGAGTCAAAGGGATCACACATGTGAAATGCTTAATCTAGGTGCTGGCACACGGTCAGGGCTCAGCACCCCTTTGGGATTGTCAGTGTTCACTGGTTCACTAAACCCCTTTGCTAAAGCTTGCCCCAGACGGGGGGGAAAGCCCCCACCCCAGGTCTTAGCCAGGGAAGGGCATCCCCGGTGAAAGTCACAGGCTGGGGCAGGACAAGCCACAAGCATCCTGGTGCTCTCTCCAGCCTCGTGCCTCCCTGCCCACTGTGTGGGAAGCCTGAAACGCCTGAACCACATGACCCCAGGCCCAGGCCGGCTGGAGCCTGCTCTGTCCACATGGGTCTCCCAGCACCCTCCACCTCACTCTGCAGCCCCTTGTTTGTTAATTTCATTTCCCCGCTCCCCCTCTGAGCCAGGACAGAGACTGGTGGGGTCTCCAAGAGCCCGGGAGAGGCGGGTGGATCTGATAAACCATTCTCTTCCAGGGCCAGCACCTTCTCAGGCAGGCGGCAGCGCAGTCACACCAAGAAGTGATAAGGAGTCAGAAGAGCGGTGGGAATTCCTCCCTTCCTGCAGCAAGGCCATAAACCATCCTCATCCCCAGCACACAGGCTGCCAAGGGCTGCTTCCATCCGCCCAGCTGTGGGGGTGAGCACCTGGCGAGACTGGCGCCCAGCCTGAACGCACCTGCCAGGAGAATGGCCACAGGACAGATGACCACGTAGGACTCAGGGCCTCACACTCGCCTCTGCAGGAGGAAGAGACCATGGATATTCAGGAGCAAAGTAAGGAGGGCGAGCAGGCTCAAGGAGGAGAGAAGCGGGGCTCGAGGCTGGGAGGCCATGAATGCCGAGCCAGAACGTGGGCTTTGTGCAGTGGTAACAGGGAGCTATGGATGGTGTGGGGTGGAAAAAGCAAGGAGACGGGAGGGGAGGTGGGGTCAGGATGACCATAGTAGACACATGCTGGATCGCCACCCAGGAGGCCACTGCAGGGATGCAGGAGGGCTGAGAGGGTGGCCTAGCCACAGACGGTGGCAGAGAAACCGGGAAGCAGCTCAGGGCTGGCCGTGGGGGAGGCCAGAGGCTCTTGGGGCTGCAGGCCAGTGCCCATTCCCTTGCCACTCCCCCCACCGAGTCCCCTTCCTCCCCCTGCCTGCCTGCCCCATCCCCAAGCAAAGCCAAGTGGGAAAGTGTGGCCCCCGAAATGGCTGTGGGCTCAGTGGGAGGTGGAGGGAGTATGAACTCACCAGGGGCCACCAAGTTCAAATACAGGTAGGTCCTGGCCCAGAGTAATAGGAAACCCACCCAGCCATCTAGCAGAGGCCCTCGGCTGCCTGTGGGCCCCTTCCCTTGGCCTCCTCCATCAGGCAAGAGCTTAAGGCCTCAACAGGGACCCAGGCCCACCGCCACCCCATCTGAGTGGCCCTGCAGATTCCACTCCAAGCTGAGCAGACAACCCCTGGCCAGGGCCTCTCAGGGGGCCACCAGGCAGGCTGGAGGCTGCAGAGGCCTGGAGGGCACTGCCTTCTATGCTGTGGGTCTCAATTTCCTCATCTGCAGCATGAAACAGTGATCCTTCCTTCCAGGGCCATAACAAAGGGTCAATGAGAGGGCATCACAGTGAACTTGCTGAGCACAGGGCAGGAATAAGTCCCTGAGGCACTGACGTTTGCAGTGTCCCCGGGTGCCCAACATCCCTCCAAACACCTCGCTCCTTCCCCCCCACCTCAGGGCCTTTGTACACGCTGTTCCTCCTGCCTGCAACACTCTTCTCTGTGTCTCTCCCCTGCTGGTTGTTCTGAGCTCAGATGCTATATCCTCCAGGAAGTCTTTTCTATCCCCTAGATGAGGTCACAGCCCCACAGTCTCCCCCAAACCAGACTGAAAACTCCACGAATGCAGAACAGGGACTGTCTTGCTCACTGCTGTGTGTTCTTACTATTTATTAAATGAATAAATAAATGAGTGGATGAGTGAGACATGACAACTCTTGACCTTCAGTGACAACACAGGGCCATCGGGGTGGCAGGGCCTGCCTTGAGGGCTGTGGGCACCCATCCGAGCCCCTGATCCAGCCCACAGAGTCCAGGAAGTGTTCCCAGAGGAGGCAACAGTTCAGCCTGAATTCAGAAACTTGAAGCTGCAAGGTCACCAATACCTACTTTACAGATGGGGAAACTGAGGCCTAGGATCAGGGGCTGCCCGTGAATGTCCTGAGAAGCTGCCCTGCTTCGCTGGTCTAAGGCTCTGCCAAGTCCCCCACCCCTGAGTGGCCCATCTCATTCCCCTGGGGCTGCCCCACAGCCCACCCAGGGCCGCCACCCCCTGCCCCTGGTCATCCATCGAGCAGGTGGCAGGGCTGCTCGGGGCTGGGGCGGTCCTGGGCATGCGGTTGCACTGCTGAGTCGGGCAGCTGGCAGCAGCACAGCTACGAACCAGCTGTTTGGATGACAAACTGTGTTCAAGCTTCATTAGGGTAATCACGGGCTCCCCTCCCGGCAGCGCCGCGGAGCGCGACTGTCAACCTGAACTAATCAAACCCGGCCCCAGGACACCCGCCCGCCTGGCTGACAAGCCGCTAAGCCACGAGCCACCGGGTGCTGCACAGCTCCCGGCAGAGACCCAGTCCTGCCGCACGCCCTGGAAACAGCTGGCCTCACAGAGACCTACTGTGTGCTCCCTGAGATCTCGTGAGCCTCAGAGGCCCTATCAGGGAGGGACAATCACAACAGTCACTCCCATTTCTATAGCCCACGAGAGAAAGTGACTTACCAAAGCCACATAGCCTTGTGGGGTTAAGTCAGACAGGAACCCAGGTCCACCAGGGACCCCCATCACCAGCCCTATTCCCAGTGCCTCCCAGACCCGGGCAACCTTGCCTCTTCCTGCCCTTGAGGCCCAGCAGGCTGAGCTTGGAGCTCTGAGGCTGTGGTCAGATGTGTGGCCTCAGCAAGTCCCTTGACATGTCTAGGGCTTGAGCCCTGCACCCCAACAGCAGCCTGGGGGCTCTGATGGTGCAGGTGTGGAAAGCACTCTGCCAGGCACTGGGGGTGGTGCAGAACCTGCCTTGTAGTCTATGGTCACTACCCTGCGCAGCTGGGCTGTAAGCCAGCCCACTTGCCTTACATCCTCAGAATCTGAACTTAGCCAGGAAGGGAAGGTCTGGTTCCTTCATTTGACAACTGGGGAAAATGGGGCCAAGAGAGGGGTGTCAGAGATCACGGAATGTAGTGGAAAGAGTACAGGCTTTAGAGACAGATGGATATTCCTTCATCCACTCATCCGCTCAACAAATACTAGCAAGATGCTATCACATGTCAGGTGCTCAGGACTTGCTGAAGGAACAGATGACAGGAAGGAAGAGTGAGTGAACCAACGAAAGGCACCGGGGTCCAGCCGTGAACTCAGCAGACACCATCCCTGCCTCCTGGAGTTTTCTGTCTAGGGCGAGCAGATGCATAACAGATAACTATTACAAATGACATGGGCACTACGAACTAGCCTGATAACATGCACCAGGAAGGCCCTGCCTGGCAGAGGAGGTGATACTCCAGCTGGGCTCTGAGGGTATTAGCCAGGCAGGGAGAAGCTTGGGAGGTCGGAACAGCAAGTGCAAAGGCCCTGAGGTAGGAAGCAGCTCAGGGCTTTTGAGAACAAAAGGTCCCTCTATGTGGCTGGAGTGTAGTGACCAGTGCAGGAGCTGGAGCAGGAACAGCCAGGGGGAGGATCTCGGTCTCATTCCAAGGGTGATGGCAATGTAAGCAAGGGCAGCACTCTGGGTTCGACGGGGAGAGTGAGCGGGAGAGTTCAAATACCAGTTCAGCCAATTTCTTTCTTTCTTTCTTTTTTTGAGGCGGAGTCTCGCTCTGTTGTTGCCTAGGCTGGAGTGTAGTGGTACCATCTCGGCTCACTGCAACCTCCGCCTCCCGGGCTCAAGCAATTCTCCTGCCTCAGCCTCCCTGCTAATTTTTGCAATTTTAGTAGAGATGGGGTTTCACCATATTGGCCAGGCTGGTCTCAAACTCCTGACCTCAAGTGATCTGCCTGCCTCAGCCTCCCAAAGTGCTGGGATTACAGGCATGAGCCACCGTGCCCCGCACAGCCAATTTCTGATAAAGCAACTGCATGGGCAAACACGATGCTACAGGAAAGGGACCATGCTGTGCGGCTCTGTTTCTATAAAGTGCAGAGATGGACAAGGCCAGCCTCTACTGTCAGATGCCAGGAGTGGGGGCAGCTGCTGGCAGCAGGTGGGGGTTGACTGGGAGGAGCACGGGGGAGCCTCCAGGGGCACTGGGGATGTTCTAGGTCTGGATCTGGATGGAGGCTGCACAGCTACCTATAGCTGTACACTTAAGAAGTGTGCACTTTTCTGTATTAAGTTATACCTCCAAGAAAAAGTAAAAACAAAAGCCTGGCTGCGTCACTCTGCCTCTCTTAATCTCTGTTTTTGCATTGGCAAAATGCAATGGCAGGAGCTGCCCCACTGTGCAGAGGCTTTAGAGGACGGTGCACCCAGTCTGTGTGCAGTGGCAGGAGCTGCCTCGCTGTGCAGAGGCTTTAGGGGATGGTGCACCAGGGCTGTGTGTAGACAGTGGCAGGAGGTGCCTCACTGTGCAGAGGCTTTAGAGGATGGTGCACCAGGGCTGTGTGTAGACAGTGGCAGGAGCTGCCTCGCTGTGCAGAAGCTTTAGAGGATGGTGCACCAGGGCTGTGTGTAGACAGTGGCAGGAGCTGTCTCGCTGTGCAGAGGCTTTAGAGGACGGTGCACCAGGGCTGTGCACAAGCCTGGCTGACAGCCACTGCACCATGAACGCAAGTCACACAGAAGCAGAAAAGTATCTGGCTTCCACCACACCTTGGCCCTCTTTGAGCCTCAGTTTCGGTAAGGAACCAGTGGTCCCCACCTGCCTCAGAGGCAAAGGGGTAAAGGTGTAAAAACCCTCATATCAGGCCCCTGTGAGCCAGCTTGCCCCTCGCCACAAAGTGGAGAGCAATTCAGAGACCAGAACACACAGTATGCCTACTGCTCCACGCAGTAGGTACTAAGCCTGTAACTCACTGCCCACAGCCACACACAGAGGAAGGCGATAGAAGGCAGGCCTAGCCCAAGCTTCCAGGTGCCCAACCTGCTCACCCACTATGTGCCAGGCCTGGCCTAGGGCTTCCCTCTAGGAGGAGCACCGGCCCACCACGATGGCTCCTCCAGGTGCCACTGGGACACAGGACCATAGGCACAAGCGCAGTGGGAACCCAGGCCAACGGGTGGCCCCTGCCTGGGGCTGGAGTTTAGCAGACTCCTGTGGGAACAGGCTCACAAGGTTCCAGATGAGCCACCAGATAAAGGTGACTCAACATAATGGTACCCTTGGTGTCAGAGGGGCTGCATGGCCAGGTGCCCCTCACACCATGGGCAGCTGGAAGCAGGGAGAGGCCTGGTTCCCTGTCCAGAGCCTGAACATCTCACCCTCCTCCCTGGGACCTTGGGTGGCCTTGGGAAATCAGACTGGTGGCAACCTCACCAACAATTTGTAGGCTCAGCTGTCCTCACGGCCCTTTAATATCATTTTCTCATGAGTCTGCCAACAACCTAGGGACAGGGCCCGGGGTCAGAATCATCATTGGCTCCATTTTACAGAGGAGTACACTGAGGCTCTAGGAGGTTTGGTGTCCCAGGGGTACCCCAATGAGGAGTCAAGAAGCAGCTAGATGGCTGGATGCCCATGGTCAGCCCCTGGGCACAACTCAGTCCCCTGTGCCCTGTCCTCCCCATCACCTGGGGGCTGCTCACTCAAGCAGCCAGTTCACTCAGTCAGTCAACAAACAGCAACTGTGTGCTGCAGCCACTGTTCTAGGAGCTGGAGGCAGAGCAGGGAACAGGCTAGGCTGCAGGGAGGTGGTTCCGAGTCAACAACCGCTCCAGCCCTTACACACTCGGCACATGCCGAGAACAACAGTGTGGCAGACACACTGGCGCCTGTCATGAGCCAGGCGCTGCACTGAGACTATCACATCTAATTCTCTAAGCAGCCTCACAAGGGTGGAATAGTCATCCCCATTTTACAGATGAGGACGCTGAGGCTCAAATTCAGGGCCTTGCCTGAGTGTAGTCTCACAGCCTAGTCTAAGTGGGGAAGGATCTGGCCCCAAGCACGTGGGCTCCTCAGTCCTGTCTGTCCGTCCCATGGGACTTTTAGTCCTTTGTGTGAGTTGTCGGAAGGGAACCTTGCTCTGGACCTCAGCAATGGATGGATCTAGCAGGGCCTCAGGATGAACCAGGACCCAAGACTCCACACCCCATCCCGTGTCTCAGGCCCTGGCTGCCTACAGTATCCAGAGCTGTACACCCTCTGGGCCCGGAGCCCAGCCTGACTTTCGTTCTGCATACGCTCCTGGGACCTGGGCTCCACAGAGACATCCGAGACCATTCCTGCTCCCGGGGCCCTGCCCACATCAGCTCAGCCCCAGCAAAGATCCCAGTTTTGTGCTGGCCCCCACCAGGCAAGAGGGGTGGGGAAACAGACAAGAAAGCAAGGAGTCCCACTTGGGATGCTCTCCCCGCACACCTCCCATGGCTGGCACCTTCTCCTGCCCCTGATAAAGGCTCCCTGGCCACCCTGCCTCTATCAGCACCCCCTGCACCTCCCACTCTCTCTCTGGCACCACTCAGCTTTTCCACACAGCCCTGCCCACAGGCCGGCACCAGCCACGTTTTCACCTGTTTGCTGTCTGTCACTCCTACTCCACTGTGAGCTCCTCGAGGGTGAGAACCTGGTCTGCTTTATTCACAAATGTAGCTCTCCCCATCCCACCCCCAATCAGTACCACATCTGGTGCATAGTAGGGCTGCAATATCCTTATTAAGGGACTGCATTTGCTGAATGAATACTGACTGGCAGAGAGAATGCGAGAACACAGTGCACGCATCTGTTACCCCTGACTCTGAGCAGACAGCAGGGGGGCAGAGAGTGGGGAAGTGTCCCAGGCAGAAGGCATAGCAGGGGCAGAGACCTGAGGGCAAGAAAGAACTGGGCTCTGGGACCTCTAAGTGCAGCTTCTGAGTGCGGCAGAAGCACAGGACGTGAGACTAGGGAGCCAGTAGGGTGGCAAGGGGGTGACAGGGAGCCCTTCAGGGTGCCAGCTCTGGGGTGGGGGTGCCCCAGCACTCAGATCACGCCCCCAGCCCTGCCCAAACCAGCAACGAGCCTGGCCCCTAGCCCAACTTTACCCCCGAGGCCACCTGTGGTGGGCAACCAAATCTGGGGGCCAGCCATCACTCCTCCTCTGCCCAGACACCAGGAATACAGTCCTGGCACCCACCCACAGGTCTGGGAGCCAACCTGCCACCATGCAGGCTGCAACCTGTGACCTTGGCCCCATTAGCGTGGCCTCCTCCAGTCAAGCAAACCAGCTGGCGCCAAAAAACAGAGCAGGTTGGGTGAACTCCTCATTGCAGAGGATGGCACGGCTGCAGGCAGCAGGAGACATCACTTACACGCTCCAGCCGGGATCTGTTGGGGAGGGGTGGTGGTGGCAAGAACTGGGTGTGTCCAGGGCAGCAAACAGCTCTCACACCCAGGCTGGACTGACCTGGCATGGCTCGGGTAGCTAGGTTGGAAAACCCACCCCAGACAGCCTCTCTCTCTCCAGGCCTCAGGCTGGGCCTCGGCTCCCGCCCCCTCTCCCCTTGGATGACCTCAGCTCTGGATGCCCCCGGAGCACTCCAGCCAGAGGTTCCCTGCTCAGGCCTGCTTCAGGCATCCCTTCTCCTGCATGCATCCCAGGCATCCTATCTGGGCTCTTCCCTCCCCCACCTCCCCATGCCACGTGGACTCTCCCAGCTCCAGCCCCACTGCCATCTCCCTCCTTCACCCGTCTCTGCCTCCAAACCTGCTACTGAGACCCTCTAAAGGGTGCCCGCCACCTTTAGAATAAAATCCCAGGCATCTCCTGGCCCTACTGGCCCACATGGCACAGTCTGGCCCCTAAACCCCCTCCACACACACACCTATCCACCATACTCCAGCCACAATGGCCTCCTTTCTGCCCCACACCCAGACAAACTCAGACCTGCCACAGGGCCTTTGCACGGGCCCCTGACTAGGGTGCTCTTCCCCCTGACCTCCCTCACGACTGGTACTCCTCGCTCTTCAGGCCTCAACTCAAACATTTCCTCTTGCAGAGACCTCTCCAGAGGACCCTGGCCAGCGGTATCCACATGTGCACCCCACCCTGATCATCACCACACAGCACAGAACTGCTTCCCATAGCCACGTATCTTCTTCCTTGCTCACTGTCTGTCTCCCCATCAGCCTGGGAGTTGCACAACACAGTGGCTGTGCGTGAAGAGTCACTGCTGTGCCCTCGGGCCTGGCACACAGCACTCCACACATCTGTTCACTGAATGAGTGCATGGAGTCCTGGTCTCCATGGCGCAGTCAGATCTGACCACATCAGGGGCTCCTGGGCCCTCCAGATGCTGCTGCCTCATGTCCAAGGCCCCTGTGGTCTAGCCCTGACACTGGGGTGCCTCCTGTCACTGATTCCCAAACCCACGCTGCCATCATGCCCTCCCTGCCACTCCTCTCCCCCTTATCCTCTCCCTGGCACCTCCTCTGACCTGCCCAAGCCCATACCTCCCCCTCCTGCCTGTCCCTCCCCCAGTCTTCAGTACCTTCAGCTCCCATCCCTGCTCACCCTTGCATTCACAGCCTGGCATCAGCTTCCCATTCCCCACCTTCCTGCCTGTCACTTCTGCTTACAAGCCCTGGTGCCACTGCCAATGCTTGGTGTCCCCCTCATCCTGTGCTTTTGTACCTCCAAGCCTTTGACCACTGCTATTCCCTCTGCCTAAGGGCTCTTCCCCCTCTTCTCAGCTGGATGAGCTCTTATTCATCCTGCAAGACCCAACTCAAAATGTCTCCTCTTTTGTAAAATCCTGCCTGATCCTTCTCCTGCATCAGTCAGGACATTACTGGTTGCAAGAGAAAGAAACACAACTCAAAATAGCTTGAGCAAAAAAGAGAACATGTTGATTTATATAACTAAATATTCCAGGGGTAGTTTCAGGCATTCTGGATCCAGAGGCCCAAATTAAGTCACCTATCCATCCACATCTGGGCTCTGCCTCCTTCCATGTGATGACCTTATCCGCAATCCTCCATCCTAAATGCAGCTGTGGAAGAGGGTGGCCGGTGGCCTCATATTCACACCCTTCAGTTTCAACAATCACAGCTGAGTCCAAATCCAGAATGGGCCTGGGAGGGGGTCTCAGGCCCTGCATACTCAACCTTCAGTCACAGTTCCAGGGAAGCCTTTGACGGGCTCAGATGGGCCACATGCCCCTTTCTCCACCAGTCACTGTGGCCAGAGGGAGGGGGTACTGGGCCCCACCTGGGTCCAGTGGGGGCATGCGTCCCAGGAAGAAAACCCTCTGGGCCCAGGTCCTACTCTGTACACAACTCCCGCCTCGGTCTCCACGCGTCCCCTGAGATCCCCCACCGCCCTGGATGTTCACGGTTCTGCAGCATGAGAAATCCCCTCGCAGCTGGGTCCCCAGTGCCCGCTCCGTGACAGCCCCAGAAGAGGGCCGGAGAAACTTTTCGTCTGAATGGAGGTCGGCTGCACAGAGGAAACTACACGTGCTGGGTGTGTAATAACGGGTTAACCATCACCCCTGGCAGGCAGCAGATCTGCATTTTCACGGAGGCCTCAGGGGGACACAAAGCTTAAATGGCAGCGCAGAGTCGGGAGGGGGGTGCCCAGGGGGCCTCAGCAGAGCCCCGTCCCTCCCGGCAGCCCGGCCTGCAGGGGCCACTCGGCCAATCCCGAAGAGCTCGCTCAGGGGCTGCGAGTGGAAGGGCTGGGAAAATAATTACCGAGGAGGCCCGGGAGGGAGGCGGGGAGGCTGGCGAGAGGCTTAATGAAACTGCTAACGCGTTAGTGATTCCTGCCTGCTCGGGAAAGGCGGAGGCAGACAGCCATGTTGCCAGCTCCTGCGACGGAGGCTGCCAGGCGGGACGGGCTGGGCACGGCACGAGGCGGCAACAATAGGCACCTCTTCATCATCTGCCTCTCAACACGTGACTTTCAAAGGGCAATCTTAATATATCAAAGTCCAGATGACAGTTTATTTCAACACATCTCGTATTAAATTGGGCTGGAGTCCCTTCAGATGCATTATAAATATAAAGGCTAAAATTCTGATTAAAGCCATAATCACGGAGATCTAAGGATGGGGGTGAGCAGGGTGTCTGGTCCCATTTTTCAGATAGGAGAGGTCATCTATATCCAGGGAGACAGGGTTGTTCCAGAAGGCATCCAGCCCTTTAAAGCCCTCCCACGAGCAGCCCCTCTCCTCCCCACCCCTGGGTCTTTCCAGTCTCAGAAAAGCTCTGTGAGGCAGGCAGATGCCACGAACCCCCTTAACAGGTGCTCCCCAAAGAGTCCGGACCAAAGACACACAGCGAAGCCACAGGGGCAGTCGCTGCACCCAAGGCTCAGACTCCTGGCCTAGCGCTCGTCCTCACACAAGGTGGGCACTTACTGGTCACTGCAATCTACACTGTGGTTTCCAGTTTACATCTCACTGCAGCTCCAGGCGAGAAAACAGAGGCACACAGAGACTAAGTGATATATCCAAGGCCACACAGCTGGACAGATCTAGAGCCAGGACTCAGGGCTGGGGTTTCAGAATCCAAAACTACTCACTTTTTCTTCAAACATTCTGCAGGGCACAGTGGGTACCTGGTACCCCCTGGCTTGTTGAAGGAAAGATCTGGGGCCATAGAGAAGCCCATAGCGACTAAACCCAGCATTCTCTGGGCAGCGAACTGCATGGAAGGCCAAGTGAGGAGTTGGGGCAGCTGGTGGGGCCAGAAATGACCACAAAAACGGCGCTCACTCTGCACCCACTCTGCGTCAGCATGTGCTGGACAATTACTACTGCGGGATTCCCATTGTCCAAAGGAGGAAACTGAGGCTTGCAGAAACAGAACCACATGCCTTAGAGAGTGACCCTCAGCTAGTGAGTGGCACAGCCACAGTGAGATTCAATCATCCCAGGAGGTGGCCCTGCCCCAACTGCTGCCTATCCCAAGCCTGGGGCAGGCACTTGGCCAGCCAGGTGCTCACGGGGCCAGCCTGATGCTCACGGAGCCAGCCTGATGCGCAGACTCAGGCCAGAACCTCAGGTATCCGGTGGGGCCCATCTCCCTCCCACCATCCCAGGATGCACGAAAGAGTTTTAGGGTGGGAGACAAGAATGGGCCTGGGAAGGGGGCCTCAGTCCCTGCATACTCAGCAAAGCTCCCCCTGCTCCTGACCTGGTCAACAGCTGGGTCAGGGGGTAGGGGGAGTAGGCCAGAACCCCAGTGACTAGCTGGGCTCCTGCCATATTGAGACCTGGTACAAACAAGGTCTGTAAGGAAAGGATGAACCTTTCCTTACCTGTTCTGCTTCACTGGCCCCCTTAGAGCCGTCCAGACATTCCCAGGCCCAGGGAGACGCCTTTCAAGGGGCCCAGCAGCTCATGCAAGCCTGTCCCCATCTGTTCCCAGGTCTGTTTCCCCAGGGGGACTGTCAGAGGGCAAGGCCACATTTGAACCACCTCTGTGGGTACAAGACCCTTGTGCAAGAGCCTGTTCTGGATGAATGAATGAGTGAGTGAATAAATGATGGAACAAACCAATGTCACCCAACCAGCAGTCCCTTCCCGCGGTAGCCTGCACCCAGCACAACCATTGTTTCTGTCCATTGAAAGGGACCTCCACTGCATGAGACTAGCCCTGGCCCTCAGCCATCACCAGACAAGAAAACTGAGGCTCAGAGGGCCCAGGGCCTCCTGGGAGGTGGCAGCACCAGGATTCAACCCCAGACAGATGGACTCAGTCTGTGCCTTAGCCTCAGGATCTGCCCAGCCTTCATTTCCAAAGACAAGTACACAAGCACTCACCTGGCCCACCCCACTCCACCCCACCCTGAGAGCACAACCATGCCCATTCCTGGGACAAGGACATTCAGGTGCAGAGCAGTAGAGGGCCTAACCCAAGGTCACAGAGTCATCAGGACGCACAGCAAGGTCTCAAACTCAAATGGCTGCCTCCATCCCTCATCATCTCTTCCACACGCCAAAGCTGCCTCCTTCCCCATCAACGCAATAAAGAAGGGAAGGGGGAGGGGGAGGGGAAAGGGGAGGGGAAAGGAGAGGAGGGAAGCCCCCCCCCCCACCCCAACCAGCCCGCAGCCGGCTCCTTTCTGGTCAGGGAGAAAGCCTCTAATGAAGGCCCTGCAGATGCCGCGAAGCTGGCAGTGTCAGCCTGGGAGCCCCGCGGAGCTGCGGGGCGCGCAGCTCTGCTCCCAATTAGCACACAGGTCCTCCATCAAAGCGCGCGCCGGCTGCCAGGAGCAGAGGCCGGAGGGACGGCCCTGCTAGCAGCAGGAGGAGGCCGTGGCTCTCTGGCAAGCCCTGGCCTCTGCTCCTTGCCTTTCTGGGGGGGATGCAAACCCCCCAGTCCCCCACACTCACTCACACCCTCTCCAATCAGCCAGCTCAGGGCAGACGCCGTCACCCCGGGGGACACGCTAATGAAGATGGCCGACATTAATCTCTTCCCTCTCCCGACAGGTCAATTTATAGTTCCACGGGGAGCCCTGGCGCTCGGCCAGAGGGCCTGACATAACTCTCCCTGTTCCCCGGGAGGACATCAGGGGTGGGCTAGATGGGGCAAGGGAGGCTGGAGACACCCGAGACAGGACAGGGAGGGACCCTCTGCCTGAGCACCCACCATTACCGTCCCAGCGAATCCAGGTGGGTAAGGACCTGGGCCCCTGAACTCAAAGGCAGAGGGTCAATCCTCGGCTTCTCAATCAAGGGCATCCTGCTCACAGGCAGAAGACCCCCAAGGAAGCAGGAGGCTTCTGACACCTGCTCCTTGTCAGCCTCAAGGGGATTCCGAGAGCCCTGTAAGGGACCCTTCCGCTTCTGCCAGCCTCCCCAGTGTTCATTCCTCAAAGACCTGTGAGCTGGCCACACAGGGGCTGGCCCTGTGCTGGACCCTGGGGACACACCAACCCGGGCCCCAGCTCTCCCAGTCTGGATCAGCGGGGTGGGCGGGGGGGGCAAGATGGAAGCGTCCTACCACATTGAGAGCAATAATGGAAGGATTTGCCAGGAGCTGGGGGCACCCATGGAAAAAGGCCTTCACTTCACCCACCTGAGAAGGAGATGGGAGTCTGGGAGGACCACAGGGAGGAGGGGATGTAGCTGGGCCTTGAGGATGAGCAGTTCAGGAGGCTGGAAGACTTGGGGGAGGGGATGTGTGGGGAAGAGACCATCTCAGGCAGGGAAGACCCAGTGCTTAGGGGGTCTAAGACCAGGGTACATCCACTTCCCTGGGGTGAGGCCAGAGAGGTGGGCAGGGGAGACGGCTCAGAGGAGAGGTCCAGCCTCGAAAAGTGGCTCAGGAGGTTGGCCTAGTTTAGGTTTGTGGACAGCTGAAGAGTTTGGAAGCTCAGAGCTGCATTTAAAATGATAGCTTTGGCAATGGCGTCCCAATGGACAGTCATGGATGGGGAGGAGGGGCCGGTACGTCCAGGGCAGATGGGGAATGGGGGAGAAACGACGGGAGGGCTGACTGGATGGACAGGCAGGTAGGAAGGCCACAGGCCTGGAGTCTCCAGGGTGGGTACTGGGTGGAAGTGATGCCACAGTCCTGGGGTAGGATAAAGACTGGGACCTGATGCTAAGCTTGTGAGCCGGGGAAGGCCCCAAAGCCCAGGGCTGAGAGAGGCCAGGACCCAAATGTTGGCCCGGGTTCAAAACTCTGAGCAGCACTAGACTACCTCCTGGAGGTAGTTCATCTCATTGGGCAG
This sequence comes from Homo sapiens, assembly GCF_000001405.40. Lineage (NCBI taxonomy): Eukaryota > Metazoa > Chordata > Mammalia > Primates > Hominidae > Homo > Homo sapiens. The sequence goes on from NC_000022.11 coordinate 42,342,541, forward strand.
AGGTGAAGCCAGGGGGCTGTCCCCTTGCCAGACACTAGGAGAGGAGGCAGGGGCCTGCCAAGGGCCGGGTGTGTGGCTAGGCAGCCCCACCATGCTGGACAGAGCCCTCGGGTCAGAAGCAGGTGGACAAGGCTGCCCCCATCTCACCCAGTTCCAGAGCCCGACCCTACTTCCGCATTAAATTGGTGCTCCCAGAATCCCAGCTGAATGGATGACCCTCCCTCTAGGCCCTGGACCCTCCCCATTTCCTCCCCCTCCTTCAGGGCTACCTACCAGGTCTCATCTAATCCCCTCGGGCACCGTGGGGGTGTCTCCTTTTCCCTAGGCTGGACACCCAAGGCCAGGGAGCTAAGGGGCCTTGTTTAAAACCTTTCAGCTTCTAGGCGCTAGTCAGGAGGGAACCAGGGTCCAACTGACCCCAAAGCACACACTCTTAAGGAAAGGAGGAAAAAGAGCAAGGCTGAAATAAAAAACGCAAGCGCTTACAGTGGCTGCATTATGGTGGTGGGACAATGGATGATTTTTTTTTCTTCTTTTCTACAATGAAATATTCATAGCCTCACTCTGTCGCTGTGAGTGTCCTGGAGGGGTGAGCTCCCACTGTAGAGTCAAGCGGCCCCAGGGGCAAATCCCGGCTGGCCACTTGCTAGCCGGGGACCTTGAGCGAGCCATTTGCCCACTCTTAGCCTCCGTTTTCTCATCTGTACAATGGGGACAAACACCCCCTACTTCAGAGGAACGGTCACCGCTGGCGCACAGCAGGCGCGCGATAAGTGCCAGCCTTTGAGCCTCACACCCCCGCGTCCTCGCCACCTGTCTGGCCTCCAGAGGGAACTTGAGACGCCCCCACGTGCCAGACGCGGATGCTGGGCGGGCATCGGGCCCCAGGGGCTGGCGCCCACCCCCCGCCCCCCGCCGCGCCCGCGCTGTCCCCTTACCCTGGCGGCCGGAGGGCCGGCATCGGTCCCGCAGGAGAGCCCGGGCAGCGGGGCCGGGCTCCGGAGCGCGGGGCGCGGGCGCGAGCAGGGCGCGCGGGGGCGCGGGCCGCGCGCTCCGGGCCGTGCGCCCCGCGGCCGCCGCGTCCTCGCCTCCAGCGCGGGCCCCGCGCGCCCCGGCCGGCCCGGGGGCAGGCCCTGCGCAGCGCCGCGCCGGGTGGGGGGCGGGCCTCGCGGGCCCTGGAGAGGCGCCCGGGCGGCGCGGGCTCCCGGCGGGCGCGGGCGGCGCCGCTGCGGTGGCCCCGCCGCTGAGTGGTGGGACGCGATTTACTGGCTGCAATTCCCGGCGCCCCTCGATGGCACTTAAGAGAGACCGGGAGGGAGCCGGGGAGAGCGGGCGGAGGGCGGGCGGGCGGGCGGAGGAGGGGCGGCGGGAGCCGTGCGCGCCGGCGGGGGAGGGGCGCGGGCGGGGGCGGGCGGGCGGGAGGTGGGGAGAGGCCCGGATGGAGGCGGCGGGCGGCCGCGGCGCGCCGGGCTGGGGTAGGGGGGGCTCTGCCTCCAGCCCCCGCCCACCCGCGCCCAGCCCCCCACGCACGGTGCCGCTGCTGGGGGTGAGGCCAGCCCCCACTCCACCGGCTCTCCCCACCCCACGCCTTCAGAAAACCCCCACCAGCCCACCGGCCGCCCCCCCCTCCCGCCCACCGTTCCTCCCTCACCGACCCCCCTTCTAACCGGCCTGCGCCACCCCCACCCGCATCCCCACGGCCACCAGAGATCAGAAACTCTAGGCCCACGGGCCCAACCCAGCCTGAAGCCAGGCTTGCGTGACACCATAGTATTTTTTGTTTTTAATTGGAATTAATTCTCATCGTTTAAAAATCTGGAATTTTCTCATAAAAATCCACCGATCAGCTCGGTTTGGAGAAGAGAAGGCCCGGGCAGCAGCCTCCCCCTCGTGCATTCCGCTTGCCAGCCGTCTGTCAAGACGCGGGCCCGCAGCTGGCCTCAGTCCCCACCAGGCCCACCTGCCTGGCCTGGGAGGCGCGCGAGTTCTCCCGCCCCAGCCTGCCATACCCCAGTGCATCGCAGGTCCCCCTCTGTGGATGGCCACCCCCACCCCGTAAGGCCCCTCTTCTGGGAAGCTTCCCGGGACTGCCCCCCGAGTGGCCACCCAGTCCCTCTGTGCAGCCACAGCCCCCGTGGAGGTGGTGGCGCCTGCTCCGCCCCGCCTGAGTCCTCCCTGGCTGGCACCGCGGCCTCTGCGGCTGCGCTCTCGCCACAGGGCTGCTGCTCTCTGGCTGGATTCTCCCTCCGTCCTGGCTCTGGGCCTGGCCCACAGTAGGCGCTCAGTAAGTGTTGGCTGAGCAGCAACCGAAGAAGAAAGGCCGGGATTGGGATTCCACAAGGCAGCCTGGGCCGTGGCAGGCACAGGGCACCGGTCCCTGCAGCTGATGTTCATTTTAAAAGCCCCGAATGTTCATTCGGGGTGGCTCTCGCCAACCAAGGAAGCTAATGATTTCCAAGCTCATTTTTCTCCACCTTAATCCCACTGCCAAGGCTTCCAAGCCTCTGTTGCTGCTGCCCTCAGACTGGGATCAGATCCCTCCAGGAGGTGCAGTCTGCCTGGGGACTGTCCAGGAGGGCCCGCAGGGTCCAGCTGTGCCACCCTGGCACCTGTGAGGCCACAGCCAGGTCTCAGGGCCACCGGGTCTGAGGGCAGCAGCTGGCCAGTGTCCCTGGGGGCAGGAGAGAGGGACAAATTAGCTTAGACAGCCCCCCAGGGCCGACACAGCTCTACTGACTCCTGGGGCAGGTGCCGGGGTACCCCTGCATGCTGCTGCTTCCTGAGCAGAGGACAAGGGGGAGTTGGACAAGAGCTGCCCCTTCCCAGCCACCAGACGCATCTCAGGTTTTACTAAAAATCTGTGTCACAAACCCAGCCAGACACCAGCATCCCATTTTACAGAGAAGAAACAGGTTCAGACTGGGTGACCTTGCCAAGGTCACAAGGCTGACCGGGCACTAAGCCAGAAGCTTATGCACCCCCCAAAGTGTCCCTACCCTGAAGGGAAGCAAGACCCCCCTCAGGGTTAGATCCAGAGCTAAGTCCAGGAGGTGGGACTGGTCTGCAGTGCAGGAGAGGCAGGCACCTGCATCCCAGAGCTGGCTCCAGACAGGTCTCCCTCCTGGGAGGGAGGTTGCACAACCTGGGCACCCCACCTCCTCAACTACTCCCTTGCCACAGCGGCCTGGCCAGTTGCCCTCCTCACTGAGGGGGCAGGAAAGCAGGCCTAGCTCAACAGCCAGCAACAACACACGAGCCACAGACCACCTTCCTGGGCCTCAGTGTGCCCATCTGTCATGTGGGGGAACACCGCCAGCCTCTATGGGCTTTTATGGGGGAGCGGGGGCAAACAAGACAGCTGATGATGGGCAAGGAAGAGGGAGAACCAGGCAGTTAATGCTCCAGCTCTGAGCTGGTCTGGGTTCACATCCTGACTTCCCGATCACCTAGCTGTGACTCACCTGCTCGAGGCCTCAGTTTCCTCATCTGTAAAAACAGTAGAGGGGATTATAAAACCAACAGACTCAAGAGACTGTAATGAGGGTGACAGGACCATGCATGGTTGGGACCTCAGCACAATCTGACAATCCCAAGGCCTAAGACCTGTGACCTTGAAGGTGGAAACAGGAAAAAGGAGCAGCTAAACACATGGACCCTGGAGGGTTCACATCCAGCTCTGCTCTGTGTGGCCTTGGGCAAGTTACCTAACCTTACTGGCCTCAGTTGCTCTGTCTGTAAAGTGGGGCTATTAATGACAGTTCTCACCTTATCAGGTTGTGCTGGGGCTTAAATTAGATAACTCAGGTTCTGTACTTAGAACAGCACCTGGCACCAGTAACACTCAAACAGCACTAGTTTGCTTCTCATTACTCTCGAGATTATAAAGGCAACCAGTCCCAAGCTCGAGGAGATGCTCCTGCTGTCCCCAGGAGACCGTGGACCTGATTTTTCATTCAGAAAATAATCAGACAGACCTACGTTCAAATTCTACCTCTACCAGCTGGCACCTCTAGGCAGGCCTCAGTCTCCTCAGCTGTGAAGTGGGGGCACAGCGCCTACCGCAGCTGCTCTCCAGCTACACCTGAGCCTCACCCTCCCGTTGCCCCTCACCAGCTTTCCAGTGAAATGAAGACAGCTCAGTTGGGGACCCTGACTACAGCCCCAACAGTGGCCAGATGGGGCACCGGACCCAGAGCAGCCCCTCGTGCAGTCTGAGAGCCCCAGGGCTGCCTAGGCAGGTGGCTGGGGGACCAGCTGAGCCTCTCGGGGCCCAGATTGTTCCAGAAGCCATGGACGGGTACCACCTGGAGAGAGGGATGAGGGTCCCTCAGAGAGGCCTTTCCTGACCCCCTAGCTTCAGTCATTCCCAGTTTTCCTGTTTCTATGGTAACGACCATTATCTATAGTCATCCTTCTTCACCTGTGAGTTGTCTGTCTTTGCCCTCCCTCACCCAGGGTCCATGAGTGTGGGGATTTTCGTCTGTCTTGATCCCTGCTAGACCGCTAGCATCTAGAAGAGTGCAAAGCGCATAGTAGGTGCTCAACAAATATATGCCACTGAATAAGGATTCTCAGATAGTAACAGTTAGCTAGAAGGCTGGGATGGCGGAGCCCCTGCCTGTGCGTAGCTCCCCTTCCTGGAAGACAGCCCCGTCCAGCTGTGGTCCCCTTCTCTCCGTCTCCCCACAGCAGGGGTGAGGAGGCCTGGAGTTGGTCCCCTCTACAGCCAGGAAGCATGTCACTTTCACGGCAGTGCAACGGGGTTTCTCGGGCGAGGGAGGGACCTGGGCAATTTTCTGGCTCACAGCTCATTCCAGAGCTGCCTGGTGACACAGACGTCCCAGCCCCCACAGGCCCAGGGAGGCCCTGCTCCAGCAGATGCAGCCTGGGATTCCCACCCTCGTGCCACCCACTGGGACTGAAGGGGCTTGCCGACTGAGCCCCAGGATGTCATCTGGGGGCTGGGCTCCCGTCCGCAGCCCCAGCCCCAGGCCCTCACGTGTGCACAGCACTCCCCCGTTACAGTTTACAAAGTGCGTTCACAGACATTATCACGTCGGCTCCTAAACGCCCCCTAAAAACCACAATAAATCTCTCGCTCTGGCTCCCGAGCCCACCGGCTGCTGCATAATCAGTGAGCAGAGAGGCCTCAGGGCCCACAGCCTGCCAAAGCCGAGGCAGCGCCAGCAGGGGCAGAGGGGGCTCCACGTGGGCGGGTGGCAGGTGGCGGGTGGCAGGCCCAGCTGGGGCGCCGCAGGAGCGAGGAGCCTGCCGGAGGCCCAATCCTGCAGAGGCAAAGTCAAAAAATGCTGTCTCAACACAGAATGTCTCCTGGAAGATGGGACCAGCAGGTCTTGAGGGGAGGTGATGGGGACCCAGGGGCGGGGCAAAGTCTAGGAAGGGGCTGAGTGCTCTTTAGTACTTAGTAGCATCATTGAGGAGGTGTAGCTAGGAGGTAAACATGGTTCTCAGTCCAGCACTTGGGGCCCAGGGACAGTCAGCCCAGCTGGCTTCTCCCGCTCTGCTCCTCTTCATTCCTAGATAACGGCCCTCCACTAGCGCGGGCCCCCTGGCTATGGGCTCCCGTGGCAGGGCTCCCCATGTGCCAAGCCTTTGCGCACTTGGTCGTTCTTTTTGTCTGCAAGATCCTTACCGCTGTGTTGAAGTCCTAACCTTCCTTGAAGGGAAATTGAGAACTCTCTCACCTGGAGATCCCTCCCCAGCTTCTGGAAGCCACACTTGGGCCCCAGAGCTGCACCTGGGTTCACCTCCCTTAACCGTCACAAGTCCCTTTACCACTTTGTACCTCATGCCCTGGGACAGGGGCTGCATCGTGCTGCCTTTGCAATGGCCCAGGGCCCCCGCACGCAGAAGGGGTGCCTGTGAACGACAGTGACCCGCCAATGACATGAGGCCTCAGGCTTATAGGAGGAGGTGAGACCCCATGTGACAGATACAGCCAGCACCGCTCCTGTGTTTGCAGCCCAGCCACTGGCTTTGGGCAGCCCCAGAGAAAGATTCCCCCAAATGTCTGAGCCGAATCAGCCAGCGGCTGCAGTTGGGTTTTGTTTTTTCACATTTCCCTTGATTCTCAAAGTTATAGGAGCTCAACTTACAAACTATGGAAAGTTCAAGAAGTTTAAATAAGCAGGGCAAGGGAGGGCCTGGTGTAAGGGGGCGGTGGCTGCCCTGGCAGGCTTCCCTCCCGCAGCCTGCCCCATAAGCCTTGGGCTGGACCTCCAGGCCGCAGAGGTGGCTGATCTGTCACACTGGCGGTTGTGAAGCAGGTGGCAGCTTCTCTGTAGTCACCTATGAAAGGATCTAGCATTTCTGCTTTCCCCGGTTATCAAAACCAGCTGCCAGACCTGAGCCTTGGTCGGGGGTCAGGGGACACCATAGGCCCTGTGAAGTGTTCACGCTGCGGTGTCTGAAGCCCAATAGAGGCAGAGGGAGTGGGGGAACTGGAGGTGGGAGGTGACTCATGGGGCAGATATCCTCCCTCCCAGGGGACACTGGACCCCCTCCATGAGACCCCTGAGCCCACAGCCAGAGGACTGGGAGAGCAGAGCCCAGGCAGCCCCAGGGCCTGGCTCCTTGGCCTGGTATCCCAGCTCCTTCCCCCAGCAAGGGACTTGTATCCAGAAGCACCAAGAATTCTTACAATGTACAATCAAAGGACAAGTAGACCAATTTTTTTTTTTTTTTTTTTTTTTTCTGAGACTGAGTCTCGCCCTGTTGCCCAGGCTGGAGTACAGTGGCACAGTCTTGGCTCACTGCAACCTCTGCCTCCCGGCTTCAAGCAATTTTCTGCCTCAGCCTCCTGAGTAGCTGGGATTACAGGCGCGTGCCACCACACCTGGCTAATTTTTTGTATCTTTAGTAGAGACAGGGTTTCACTCGAACTCCTGACCTTGTGATCCACCTGCCTCGGCCTCCCAAAGTGCTGGGATTACAGGGGTGAGCCACCACGCCCAGCCCAAATAGACCAATTTTTAAATGTGCAAAAGATTGGAATAGAATTTCTCCAAAGAAGATATTCAAATGGCCAGGTGCAGTGGTTCACGCCTGTAATCCCAGCACTTTGGGAGGCCAAGGTGGGCGGATCACCTGAGGTCAGGAGTTTGAGATCAGCCTAGCCAACATGGTGAAACCCTGTCTCCACTAAAAATACAAAAATTAGTTGGGTGTGGTGGTGGGCGCCTGTAATCCCAGCTACTTGGGAGGCTGAGGCAGGAGAATCACTTGAACCCAGGAGGTGGAGGTTGCAGTGAGCCGAGATCACATCACTTCCTGGGTGACAGAGTGAAGCCCTGTCTCAAAAAAAAAAAAACGCTTGACATCATTAGTCACTAGTCAAAATCACAATGAGATGCCATTTAATACCCACTGGGATATCAAAAAGACAAGCAATAACACGTGTTGGTGAATATTTGCAGAAATTGGAATACGTGTGCTTTGCTGGTGGGGATATAAAATGGTGCAGCCACTGTGAAAACCATCTAGCCATTTAGCAAAACATTAAAAAATGAGTTATTCTATGACCTAGCAGCTTCACTCCTAGGTATACACACCGAAAAGAAGGGAAAGTATATGTCCACATGAAAACCTGAACACAAATGTTTCCAGCAGTTTTTTTGTTTTTGTTTTTTCCTTTACTGTGATGAAGTTTCAGTCTTGTTGCCCAGGCTGGAGTGTAATGGCGCAATCTCGGCTCACTGCAACCTCTGCCTCCCAGGTTCAAGTGATTCTCCTGCCTCAGCCTCCCTAGTAGCTGGGATTACAGGCATGTGCCACCACACCCAGCTAATTTTTGTATTTTTAGTAGAGATGAGGTTTCACCATGTTGGTCAGGCTGGTCTCGAACTCCTGACCTTAGGTGATGCACCTGCCTTGGCCTCCCAAAGTGCTGATATTACAGGCATGAACCACCATGCCTGGCCCCAGCATCATTATTCATGATCTCCAGAAAGTAGAAACAACCCATATGTCCACTCACGGATGAATGGATAAATAAGATGTGGCATATCCATACAGGGGAATATTATTCAGCCATAAAAAGGAGTGAAGTACCCATTCATGCTACTACATGATGAATCTTAAAACACGCTATACTAAGTGAAAGAAGCCAGACACATATTGTCTGGAGTCCATTCATTTAAAATGTCCAAAACTGGCAAATCCATACAGACAGAAAGTAGATTAGCGGTTGCCAGGGGCTGGAGAAGAGGGGATATTGGAGAGTGATTTCTAATGGATATGGAGTTTCTTTTGGAGATTATTAAAATGTTTTGGAATTAGATATTGGTGATTATTAAAAACCACTGAATTATGTGCCTTAAAAGGATGAATTACATGGTATGTGACTTTTATCTTAATAAAACCGTTTATTATTTATTTATTTAGAGACAGTCTTGTTCTGTCCCTCAGGCTACAGTGCAGCGTTGCGATCACAGCTCACTGCAGCCTCGAACTCTTGGGCTTAAGTGATCCTCCCGCCTCAGCCTTGTGAGTAGCTGAGACTACAGGCATGCATCATTACACCTGGCTAATTTTTTAAATTTTTAGTAGAGAAGAGTTCTCACTATGTTGCCCAAGCCTGTCTCAAACTCCTGAGCTCAAGGAAGCCTCCCACCTTGGCCTCCCACAGTGCTGTGATTACAGATGTAAGGCACCATGCCTGACCAATAAAACTGTTTTTTCAAAAAATAGGGTCCCCCACACCTCAGTGTATTCCACAGGCGCCTGGGAGCCAGCCCTGCTCTCTGCCCAGGCTCAGACCCTGCCCCTCCGAAGCCACCATCCTGGGACAATGAGACACAATGGGGGCAGGGATGCCAGGAGCCGACATGCTGAGGTGGTCAGGGCTCCCTCCACTGGGTCCAGCTGCCTGCTGCCGTGGGCCTTTCGCTCTGGCTGTTGCTTCTTCCTGCAATACTCTTCCCTTTGTCCTGCTCATCCTCCAGAACTCAGCTCAGCGTGCTGGTCCGCAGAGGGGCCTTGCCTGATCCTACACCCTTGTAACTGATTCTCAGTCTCAGTCCTCTCCCAGTTCCCAGCGTTTGACACAATCATGGGGCCAGTGCAAAGCGGATGCACAGTCAACGTTATGTGTGAAGCAGGGGCAAGTAGCTCAGTGAGAGGTTGATGGTGTTTAGGAGGGGTGAGTTGTTGGGGGAGTGGACATCCACCCCACGAATCAGGAAGCCACGAGGATGAGGAGGGGGTGAGCTGGACGCAGATTCTAGAATGATCCCTTTGGTTGTTCTGCAGGGGATGGACCAGCAGTACCAGGCTGGAGACCTGAGGCCGGATAGAGGCCATGGCCTTAGTCCAGGCCTGGAGAGGCAGGGCCCGGCCTTGGACAGAGGATGCACTGGAGGAGGGGAGGGGCACACTTCAGAGAAATTTGGGAGCCAAAATCAAAGTGACTTGGGGATGGCAACAATGTGAGGGAGAGGGAGCCCAGGATGGCACCAGGTTTTGGTGGTGTGAAGGGCCAGGTGAGGATGGGACATTTCTGAGGTCGGGAGCACTGTAGGAGGAGCACATCTGGTATGGCTGACTCTGAGAGGCTGACTCTGAGACCCCAGCAAGCAGTGCCACCCCCACTTATTAAGTCCATCCTCATACCCCATGACACTTCCCATGTCCATCTCCCTTGACATCCAATTGCCGAGGTCAGGTCTCCACAGCCCCTACCTGGTCAAAGCCTCCTGCCATCAAACCAGGTGCCTTTTCTCATTTGTCCTCCATGGTGCCAACAGTTAAAATCAGCACAGCTTGGTCATTCTTCAGCTCAGAAACCTTTGATTGCTCCCTACTGCTCTCTGAACAAAGTCCAGATGCTCCAGCCAGGCCCATGAGACCCTCCAGGGCCAGTCCACTTGGCTTTGCAGCCTCCCCTGCGCCCGCCCGGTTCCTTCACTCCCATCCCATCCCGCACACTCTTCTCTGCTCTGTGCCCTTGCTCCTGCCACACTTCCCACCCCAGATGCCCTGCCCCTAGCTCCCTTCCCCAGTGGGCCTCAGCAGCAGGGGGTCGCCACTCTAGTAGTCTTTGCTGGAACCCAAACCAGGGGATGTGGCTGGACCAGGAATTTTTTCTTTTAGTTCATTTAATTAAAAAAAATTTAAAAAAAAACACTTTTTAGAGACAGGTTCTCTCTCTGTTGCCCAGGCTGGAGTGCAGCGGTGCAATCATAGCTCACTGCAACCTCAAACTCCTGGGCTCAAGGGATTCTCCCACCTTAGCCTCCTGAATAGCTGGGACTACAGGTGCACACCACCACACCTGGCTAATTTTTAAATTTTTTGTAGAGACGGGCTCTCCGTATGTCACCCAGGCTGGTCTTGAACTCCTGAGCTCAAGTGATCCTCCCGCCTCAGCCTCCCAAAGTGATGGGATTACAGGGATGAGCCACTGTGGTTGGCCAGTTTTTTTTGATAGTGACTTTATTTTAAATGACATAGAAATATGTAACAATCATAGTGGGACATGGTGGTGCACACCTGTAGTCCCAGCTATTAAGGAGGCTGAGGTGGGAGGATCCCGTGAGCCCAGGAGTTCAAGGCTGCAGTGAGCTGTGATCACACCACTGCGCTTCAACCTGGGTGACAGAGTGAGACCCTGTTTCTTAAAACAATTTTATTTAATAATTTTAAAAAAAGACCTTAAATCAGAAAGATTGTATTGTGCACCCGGTTGAGAAGTTGTCCCAGGCTCAGACACACAATGTCAAAGTCCTGGAGAACAGGGACCCTGTCTGTCATGTTCACGGATGTGGCCCCAGCACCTGGGATCTCTTGTCTGGGTGCCAAGGTGGGGTTGGGGGAAGGGTGAGAAGAGGGATGGGCATGGAGAGTAGGGAAGGAAGGAGGGAGGACAGGAAGGAGGGTGGGAGATATCTGGGGGTGAGTGGGTGGGTGGGGGGATTCATACCAGCCCATGGGCCACTTTTTTTTTTTTTTTTGAGAAAGAATGTCTCTCTGTTGCCCAGGCTGGAGTGCAGTGGTACGATCTCAGCTCACTGCAATCTCCGTCTCCTAGATTCAAGCGATTCTCCTGACTGCCTCAGCCTCCCAAGTAGCTGGGATTACAGGTGCCTGCCACTACACCTGCCTAATTTTTGTATTTTTAGTAGAGACAGGGTTTCACCATGTTGGCCAGGCTGGTCTCGAACTCCTGACCTGAAGTGATCCGCCGGCCTCGGCCTCTTAAAGTGCTGGGATTACAGGCATCAGCCACCTCGCCCAGCCACCCATGGGCCACTTTAGGCCCAGCCCCTAGTCCAGAGCTCAGAGAGGCCAGGATGGGATCCACATAGTCCCATGAACTGCCGGGGTGCAGAGGTCCCCAGCTCTCCGAACCACAGGGTTGCCAAGCTGGAACCCCCACTTGGCCATGGGCATCTGACCATTTGGCATCCTTGTCCTCCAGCCTCCCTAAGGGCCTCAGCTGAGCCTGTAGGCCCGGCTGGCCTTCCAGCCAAATTGACCAGATCTCTCGGGAATCATCCTTGACGCCTCTGCTCACTCCCTCTCTCCTGCATCCAATCCATCAGCAAATCCTGTTAGATTCTTTTCAGAGCCTCCTCTCTGTCTCCCTGTCCTGCCCTGGCCCCTCCCCCAGTCTATTCCCAACTCAGCAGCCAGAGGGATCCTTTTAAATGGTGCGTCCAGGAGGCCTCACCATCTGGCCCCCATTTCCTCTCTGAGCTCATCTGCCACCTCCTCCCCGCCACTTCCCTGCAGCCACATTGGCTCCTGTTACTCCCCGACTGTGCCAGGCACGCTCCCCACTCAGGGCCTTTGCTCTCTGCCTGGAAGGAATGCTCTTCCCCCAGAGCTACCTTCTCACCTCCTCACCCGCTTCCTGTCTTTGCTCAGATGCCACTTTCTCAATGAGACCTTCCATGGACACCTATTTATAATTGAAAAAAACAAATGTATCCCCTTTCTGCCCTTCCCTGTTTTATTTTTCTCCTTAGCACTTAGCATTCTTGATCACAATACCTGTTGCTTCCTTATTATGTTTTTTGTCTGTTTCTGTCCATTGGAATGTGATCTACAGCGGGGCAGGGGTGTTGTCTGTTTTGTCCACTGTTGTGTCCCCTGCACAGAGCATGGGGCCTATAGGGCTCACATTAGATGCTCCAAAGACATGTGCAATATGAATGAATGAGTGAATGAATAAATGAACCTCAGCCGGGTGCAGTGGCTCACACCTATAATCCCAGCACTTTGGGAGGCTGAGGTAGACAGATCACGAGGTCGGGAGTTTGAGACCAGCCTGGCAAACATGGTGAAACCCCATCTCTACTAAAAATACAAAAATTAGCTGGGCGTGGTGGCACATGCCTGTAATCCCAGTTACTTGGGAGGCTGAGGCACAAGAATTGCTTGAACCCGGGAGGCGGAGGTTGCAGTGAGCCGAGATAGTGCCACTGCACTCCAGCCTGGGTGACTGAGTGAGACTCCATCTCAAAATAAATAAATAAATTAATAAATAAAATAACAAAAACAAAAAAACAAATCTCTCTGAGGTCCAGGCTTGTTCCTCCTGGCCTGGCCTGGCCTGCCCTAGGCCCCATGCGGTCCCACCTGCTGCCTTGGTCCCCCGCTGCTCTAGCCTGCTATGTGCCACTTTACTGCCCCTACTGAAGGCTGCCAGACAGGCACAGCCATGGGAAGCACCGAAAGTTGAGTTGAGTTCAACAGAAGATGATCCAGGGCTGGCCCATCTCCACTGGGTTCAGAACCATTACACAGCACCTTCTCCAGCAGGCCCGGGTGCACCCCAGTGCCTGGACTCCTCTGGCCGCCACTCCTAGCGTCAGAGGAGTCCAGGCACCGGACCACCACTTTGCCTTTCTTCCCCCCTTTACTTCTCCATACTCATTTCCTACTTGAGCCTCAGGTCCAGCCTGGCCAGGTAGACAGAGTGGGCACAACAGGGTCATGGGGGCCATTGCACAAATGAGGAAAGGAGCTGAGAAGTCACATGGGTTGCCCAAGTCGTCCCCTACTCTCCCCACCCCATGCCCCTGCCTGATGAAGTTGGATCGGGCGTGCTGGCTGGCCAGGACACTGTGTGGGCATGGGGAGTCCTCAAGCCCCATCCCACCCCCTGGAGGCTGACAGCTGGGAGACTGAGGCCAAAGGCAGCCCCACTGCAGCACTGCACAGGGACTTCATGCGGGGCCCTGGATGTGGAGGACCTGGAGGCCTAGAGACCTGGAGGAACTTGTCAGCCGCAGAGGTTGTGAGTGTGTGTGTGTGTAGGTGTTGTAGGTGTGTGCATGTGTGCATGTGTGTGCGCACCTGCATGTACATGTATGTATTATAGGGCACAGGACTCATGAAGTGACAGATCACCATGGGGTCCCCAAATCCACACCCCTCACCCCAGCAACTCCAAGGGGTAGCCTGGAGATAGGAAGGGCACCCAGGAGGGAGAGAAGGGGGTTTCTGGACCATTCAACAAGGGGCATCACAGAACAGGATCTTAACCAGTGTATGGAACAGCAAAGTCAGCCTGATCCAGGTGCAAAACCCAACTGCTCAAGTACTCACTGCAGTTTAGGCAGGCGGCCTAGTCTTGCTAAGCTTCAATTATATTATCTGCAAAATGGACCTAATAATTCCCATGTTACAGGGTGGTCAGAATAAAACAAGATGCAGGTTGAGCGCAGGGCCTCACTCCTGTAATCCCAGCACTTTGGGAGGCCAAGGCGTGCAGATCATCTGAGGTCAGGAGTTCGAGACCAGCCTGGCCAACATGGTGAAACCCCGTTTCTACTAAAAATACAAAAATTAGCCAGGTATGGTGGCACGTGGCTGTAGTCCCAGCTACTCGGGAGGCTGAGGCAGGAGAATCGCTTGAACTTGGGAGGCAGAGGTTGCAGTGAGCCGAAATTGCGCCACTGCACTCCAGCCTGGGCGACAGAGCGAGACTCCGACTCAAAAAACAAAACAAAACAAAACAAGATGCAGTGCACACTCAATAAATGATCACTGTTTAGTTTGTTGCTAGAATGGGCTGTCCTTTCATTCTAGAATCACTCAGTGCTCCCTGAGCCCTGATCCAGCCTTACTATGAGCTGGGAACCAGACAGGAGGCCTTGCCCTCAAGGGACTCGCACATTATAGTTATAATAACGACATGCATGAATGTGTGTGTCCCAGCTGCCTGCCTTTCCGAGGCCGTGTGGTTTGCCGCTTTATAAGCACAAAGTCATTGAATCCCCGAGAGAATACTACGCATTGGGGGCTGCTACCATCATCTTGCTGATGAAGAAACAGAGAGGTGAAGGAACTTGTTCAGGGTCATCCAGTGGACAAGGTCCAGAGCCAGGATCTGAAACAAAGATCTCACTCCCACACTCATGCAGGACAGAAACCTGCACAACCCAGGTCATTAACTGCTCAAATCAAGGTAGCACTTGGGGCTGTGGGAGCACTGAGGAAGGAGAAGCTTAAGGGGAGTTCAGGAAGGGACTCACAGGGGACGTTAGTGAGCAGGGACTTAGAGGCATGAAGGCTTGGACAGGAGAAGAGGAAGGGTGGGCCAGGCAGGGATGACAGCCTGGACAGAGGCCCAGAGCAGGGGACAGGAAGCTCAACCCACGTCCGCCCCCCTGCCTGGATCCTAGCTCCGCTCATCGCCGCTGTGGTTCTCGAAGGCCCTCTTATCCTCTGGCCTTTGCCTATGCTGTTCCCTGTTTGCATGCTGTTCCCCTTTTTATCCTGTGCTCTAGGCTCAGTAGTGGGTGACAGAGCAGGATTTGAAAACAGGCCTATGGGACTCCCAGACATGTGCCTTTCCCCATGCAGTGCCCTGCCTCACAGAGAGAGAGAGCGACTCACACCTGGCGAGACCGAGGGTTGAGTCTGCCAGGAAGAGCATGGTGAGCAGGGGGAACAGAATGTGGCAACATGTGAGGGCAGACTCAGGACTGTGCCTGGGTCTGTCTTCCTGCCCAGCCTGGGGTCCACCTCTCACACTCCAGGGCTCCAAAGCCAGTGCTCCTTCCCCTGGCCTGCCTGGGGGATGGCAAGATTTAGATAGAGAATGACTTACTGACTTCAGAGTCCCACAGCCCTGGGTTAGAGCCCCTGGCCCTCATATCACTCTGGCCAAGTTGCTTCCACTCCCTGAACCTTGGCTTTCTCTCCTGTGAATGAGACTGTACCTGAAGAATGATTAAGGAAAGTCCCTGGCACAGAGTAGGTGCCTGGCAAATACCAACGGACAGGAGCCTCGGGACAGATCCCGTTCTGTCCTGGCATGGTGCCGTTTCCTAGCTAGGGAGCCAGCAGGCTCTGCAGGGCAGGGAGGCTCTGCGCTTAGCTAGGTGGTGTTGCAATGAGAGCAGCAAGGTTTCTGAGTGAGCCCTGCCCCTCCTGGGGCCAGTATCGGTGGGGGCTAGAGCCCTGCTCTCCAGTAACTCACTGTAGCCCTCCCAGTTACTCAAGGAGCTGGCCACGGCCCAGCCCAGCGGACAGAGGAGGCAGGTGTCTGGGGCTGGTTGACCCTCAGCCTGGACACCACCCTCCACACACAAGGAGGCAGTGGTGGTCCATGGGGCTGCTCTTCCTAGGCAGGGCTGTTGGAGGTGGCCCCTTCCCACTCTGCTCTGAGAGCCTGACTATTAGAGGGGACACTCAGAGGCCCAGGAGGTGACAATGGCACTTACTGGGCACTCTTTGGGCCAGAAAGAGGCTGGGTGCTTTACAGAGCCTCTGACAGATGGGTATTAATATCCGCATTTTGGCCTGGCGTGGTGGCTCACGCCTGTAATCTCAGCACTTTGGGAGGCCGAGGTGGGCAGATCAATTGAGGTCAGGAGTTTGAGACCAGCCTGGCGAACATGGTGAAACCCCGTCTCTACTAAAAATACAAAAATTAGCTGGGTGCAGTGGCGGGTGCCTGTAATCCTAGCTACTTGGGAGGCTGAGGCAGGAGAGTCGCTTGAAACTGTGAGGCAGAGGTTGCAGTGAGCTGAGATTGCGCCACTGCCCTCCAGCCTGGGCGACAGAGTGAGAGTTTGTCTCAAAAAACAAACAAACAAAACAAAACAAAAAAAATTAGGTGGGTATGGTGGTGGGCGCCTGTAATCCCAGCTACTCAGGAGACTGAGGCAGGAGAATCACTTGATCCCCGGAGGTGGAGTTTGCAGTGAGCCGAGATCACACCACTGCACCCCAGCCTGGGGAACACAGTGAGACTCCGTTTCAAAAAAAAAAATTAGAATTAAAAAAAAATAAGAAAAAAAAAATCCCCATTTCACAGATAAGGAAACTGAGGCTTGGATAGGTCAAAGATACCCGGACTCCTTAGTCCAACAGCACCTCTGACCTTAATCTCCCCTCATCCCACACGCAGAGGTTGTTTGAATTCTAGTGATGGGAAGATCACTCCTGCCAAGACCCCACCTTTGGGCATGCGTGAAAGAAAACTCTTCTCAGTGGAGACTGAATTGGCCTCCTGAAACTCCCACCCTAGGGCTGAGCACTCTGTCCCCAAAACAGTCTTCAGAGCTTGAGCACAGCAGGACACCCCAGTAAGCCAGTATGCCTCCCCTGGGTAGCTCCTTTCTGAGCCTTAGTTCCTCCAGCTGTAAAACAGGGTTACAACGGTCCCTTACTCAAGGGATGGTTGTGAGGCTTTAGGGTGTTAATAAACCTAGAATATTCCAGGAGCATCCCGAGTCCTCAGAGAAGCTGCGGCCAAGAGGAGAGGCTCAGAGGGCCTTCCAGGGACCCAACTCACCTTCCCCAAAGGAGGAATTGGCCGTGATCAGGGCAGCCCAGGGGAGGGATGGAGTGGGGACCACGGCTCGGGAGCCCGTGGCGAGCAGGCATTTCACCTGCACTCTACTGCCTCTTCCCAGACCTGGCCCTCCCAGAGGATGTGGCTCAGTCTTGCTAAAGGACAGCAGGAATCAGGGCCAGGCAGGGCTGGGTTCAAGTCCTTTGTCTGCCATTTACCAGCCACGTGTTTGGTGTAGCTGTTGGTTACCTCGCTGCTCTCAGCCTGGCGTCTGCAGCTTGGAGGAAGGCCCTGTCTCCCGGGGCTGTGGTGTCCAACAGTATGTGAGGCCCAAAGCAGAGTGGCCCCTCAAGTGCAGAGCCAAGCACACCCCAGGCCTGGGCCCCGCTGGGGACAGCCAGGCCACCCCATCATGGTCCTCCCTGCACTGAGGGAGGGACTGGAGAAGTGCAGCTCAGGAGAAGGACCCCACGTCTTGGCACATTCTGTTTCCCCTGCTCACCATGCTGTTCCTGGCAGACTTCTCTTCCCCTGGGGCCTTCCAGGCTTAAGTCTCTCCCTCTTTGTGAGGCAGGACACTGCAGCGGGGAAGCATGTACGTGATCAGGAGTACACTGATGGGGCAACTGAGGCCCAGAGAGAGGGAGCGATGTGTGCAGGATCACGCAGCTGGAGGATGAGAGCTAAGATTCCACCCCAGGCCTCTGCTGCTCCTCCTGGCACTTAAGCCTTCCCCAATCCATCCCCACACACATGCCCAGCACATCCCCACCTCGGGGCCTTTGCCCACTCCATAATCCCGATCTGGGGTTACGGTGCCCTCTCTCTGCCCAGCTGGATCTTACTGACCTTTAAGGCCCCTACTCTTGCTGTCCTCCCAGCCCTGTCCTTAGCCCCTAGAGCACACTGTCCACCCGACCCGCCTCCCCATCCAATTCCTCTTCACCCTTCAGCTCACCTGGGGATGCCCCTCCTTGGGGGAGCTCCCTCTGATCGGCTAGACCACCTCCTCTTCTGAGCCCATTCCCGGAGGCCACCCCCACTCCACCCACTTTGTGATTTCTAGCTCAGAGTCTCTCTCCTTCCCCAGATGAGGGCTCTCAGGGCACTTGTTTACACATGTTGCCTCAGCACCCAACACAGATCCTGGCGCAGACCAGGTGTTCGATACTGGCCGTCTCTGCACGGCACCCATCCAGCTATCGTTTCATTCAGCAAATGTTTATTGAGCACCTGCCCTGTGTTGGAGACCTGAGATACAGCAGTGGGAAAACAGGCAGGGCCCGCTCTGACTCAGGTGACATTCTAGTGACACGTATGCACATGTCCAAGCCAAGGGCCAGTGGCATAGATGCTAGAGGGCAAAGACTGGGGGAAGGGCCAGGCATGGTGGCTCACACCTGTAATCCCAGCACTTTGGCTGAGGCAGGCAGATCACCTGAGGTCAGGAGTCACGGTGAAACATGGTTTCACCATGACCTCAGGTGATCCCCTGTTTCTACTAAAAAATACAAAACTTAGCTGGGCATGGTGGCAGGTGCCTGTAATCCCAGCTACTCAGGAGGCTGAGGCGTGAGAATTACTTGAATCCGGGAGGCGGAGGCTGCAGTGAGCTGAGATCTCACCACTGCACTCCAGCCTGGGCGACAGAGTGAGACTCTGTCTCAAAAAAAAAAAAAAAACATGGGGAAAGGATGGGGAGGGTCATAAGGGAAGGTCTGTCTGAGCAGGTCATTTTTTTTTTTTTTTTTTTTGAGATGGAGTCTCTCTCTGTTGGCAGGCTGGAGTGCAGTGGCACAATCTTGGCTCACTGCAACCTTCGCCTCCCAGGTTCAAGCAATTCTTCTGCCTCAGCCTCCTGAGTAGCTGGGACTACAGGCATGTGCCACTCTGCCCGGCCAATTTCTGTATTTGTCTTTTTTTAGTAGAGATGGGGTTTCACAATATTGGCCAGGCTGGTCTCGAACTCCTGACCTCCTGACCTCAGGTGATCTGCCCGCCTCAGCCTCTCAAAGTGCTGGGATTACAGGTGTGAGCCACTGTGCCTGGTCTTTTTTTTTTTAGAGACAGGGTATTTGCTCTGTCACCTAGGCTGGGGCTCCAGTGATCCTCCTACCTCAGCTACCTCAGCCTCCAGAGTAGCTGGGTCTATAAGCGCACACCACCACGCCCAGCTGATTTTTATTTTTTGTAGAGAAGGGGTCTCGCCATGTTGCTCAGGCTGGTCTGAAACTTCTGGGCTCAAGCGATACTCCTGCCCACGTCTCCCAAAATGCTGGGATTACAGGCATGAGCCACGGTGCCCGGCCACAGGTAACATCTGATCGGAGCACTGGAGGAAGTGAATGCGGGAGTGATGGAAATATCAGAGGAAAGAGTATACTGGGGAGCGGGAGCAGCACGTGCAAAGGCCCTGGGGCAGGACCACACACAGCACGTTGGAGGAATAACAAGATCTGGGAGCGAGTTGGGGGGCAGGAGCTGAGGTCTGAGAGGGAACAAGCTGGGGCCACTGACAGGGCCCTCCCTGACCCTGAATGCATGGGAGTCATTGCAGAGCTCTGGGCAGAGGCATGCAGGAGCTGACTGAAGTTCTAACAGGACCACTCTGCTACTATGTGAAGAATGAATTCCAGAGGGCAGAGGAGGCAGGGAGACCCACGAGGAGGCTGCTGTGCCATCCAGGCAGGCAATGCCGGTGGTGCGGTGGAGGTGGAAGGAAGGGTGGAGTGCTGAGATAGAGACAGAGGAGAAGTTAAGGGTCAGGAATAATCCCAAGGCTTTTGGCCTGAGCAAGTGAAGGGAAAGTGGAGGTGAGAGGTTTGTGACTAGTTGAGGCAGAGCTGCCCACTGGCCATCCACGTGGAGAGGTGGCACAAGCTGTTGGCTGGATAGGTCTAGGTTTTGGGAGAGAAGTCCAGGCGGTGTGGGCACCTGCTGTATGACTCCCCATGTCCTGCACATAGTAGGTCCTCAGTAAATGCCTGCTTATTGGGCCTGCAGGGGACACATTACTGGCCACAGCCCAGCTCCCAGCCTCCAGGAGAGGCAGACAAGGGGCCCAGGGCCAATCATAGAGAGCCACACCCTGAGGGGCACGTGGGGCACCACCAGCATTTCTTGGGTGGCACTGTGGAGGGGAAGCTGGGAAGACCTCTTGGGCGAGGTGGTGGAAATCTTGGCAGGTGGAGATGGGTGTTGTGGGAAGGCGAGAAAGTGGAGGAGGAAGGCCCAGTGGAGCCGAGGTGAAGTGGACGGTGCAGGAGCCGAACCCTGGTTTCAATTTGGGCTCTGGGACTGTGAGCAAGACACTTAACCTCTGAGGTCTCCATTGCTGACAGGAATGCTAACTGTCCCCTTTCATGGGTTTGTGTGGGGATCAAATGAATTAATCCATGGAAACTGTGGCGAACAACATGATGGCAGGTGCTCAGTAAACATCACCTGCCTGTTAGCATTGCATCCAAAGCTGCCTGGGAGGAGGGACAGAGCACAGGGAGGGAGAGGGGAACAGCACAGGAGGCCTGGGGGACAGGAGCCTGGGGCCCAGAAAACGAGGGGATTTTATTCCCTTTGGGCGATTGGAGTCATGGGAAGTTCTGCAGAGAAAGGAGTAGATGTTCCTGTCAGTCCTTGATTAGCCTCCGCCTGTGCTCGACTTGGTACACTCCCTCCCATCCTAGGCCGGAGGGTCCTAGCCAGCAACCTGCCTCCTGGGCCCAGGACACACTCATGCGGCTAATGCTTGGTCAGTCCAGGCCTTCTGAGGCCGTTCATCCTCACAGCAGCCTCATGTGTGAGGCCGGTCCTATTATTATTATTGTTTGACAAGTGAGGACACCAAGGCACAGCGAATGTCACACAGATCAATGTCGTCTTGCAGATAGCAGGGGACAGAGCCAGGAGTCAAGCCCAGGCTGGGGATTCAACTCCAGAATCCACACTGGCCTCTCCCAGCTATGAGAATGGCCTCGGAGCCCTTTGAGGTGCCCTCAGAGCCTCGGATGCCCTCAGAGCTGGGCATTGTGTGACACATCCAGCACTACTGTTCTCCCAACAGGCAGGGTGGGGGCCATTGTGTCCACTTTCAGGGAAAGAAGCTGAAAGGTGGTGTGACTTGCTCAGGGCCCCGAAGTTTGCTTCTGGAGCAGCTGGGACCTCAGCCCAGGTCTGGGACGTCCCTGTGCTGGGTGCTTGGCAGGCACGACACATGCAATCTTGCACCCAAGCCTATTTCCGAGGTGAATACTGAGGCCCCCTCAGCCTGGAGTTATTTCTGAGGTCCTTGCTGTCTTTTGAGGAGGAAGAAAATGGATTCCCCCTCCCAGGCCCCTAGGCTTCATGTCCCAGGTCCCTTTACTTTTTCTTCTTCTTCTTCTTCTTTTTTTTTTTTTTTTTGAGATGGAGTCTTGCTCTGTCACCCAGGCTGGAGTGCAGTGGCGCGATCTCGGCTCACTGGAACCTCTGCCTCCCGTGTTCAAGCAGTTCTCCTATCTCAGCCTCCCAAGTAGCTGGGGTTACAGGCGTGCACCACCACTCCTGGCTAATTTTTTGTATTTTTAGTAGAGATGGGGTTTCGCCATGTTGGCCAGGCTGGTCTTGAACTCCTGACCTCAGGTGATCTGCCCTCTTGGCCTCCCAAATTGCTGGGACTATAGGCATGAGCCACCGCGCCCAGCCCCAGGTCCCTTTACTTCTGTTCCTCTCTTGACTCTCTCCTTTCAAAGAGGCTTCTCATTCCAAGAAGCGCCTGGCCCACTGGTCTTGGTCCCGCCCTGCTGACAGCCAGTTATCCCCTGAGCCCAGCCAGGAGACTGAAAAGCTTTACTGCATTCTCTTAAGGGCTTCACAGCCAGGAAAACCAGCAAAGGGGAATATAGTGTCTGCAGACCGGTGAGGTCCAGGGTCGCTCCATAAAAATGGATTCCTGGAAAAACATAAACCAGCAATTTACCCTGTGAATTTTATTGGCCTAAAAAAAAAAAAAAGGCTATCTCATTTGAATAATGAAGAGAGATAAACCATTCCTAGCTCCTCTTTTATTAGTGAATAAGGACACAAACACTCAACAGAAATGGAACACTCACACAAAGCTTCAGGTCTGATTTATTAGCCACTTTAGTTTCATAAAACTCAGCATTTCTATTAAAATAAAATGATGTCCAAAAGGTTTGCTTGTTTTTAAGAAAATTGCATTTAATACAGGGCAAGACTTTGTTATGGTTTATTTATTTATTTATTTATTTTTTAAACAAAGCTCAAATTCTCCTGACTTCACGCCTGTTACTACAGCTGGAGGGAAACCGATTTCAGAATCTATCTGATATGTCGGATTTCTTTGTGGCATCCACTTCATCGCTCAGCAGCCAGCCATGATGTCATAAGCCCATCAGATTTCCGGTAGGGGGAAAACGCTGGGGAATTGGAAAGAATGGATGTTTCTTACCCGTCAGGAAGGCAGGGGAAGGAGCTGGGTATGTTTGGGAGGAGAAGCCGCGTGGCTGGTGGGGGACAGGAGCAGGCTCAATGTTTGTGATATTAAATGTCAGGCAGAAACCTGAAAACCCCAGCTACCCAGATGTTTTCTCAATATCCAGATGTCTG
Organism: Homo sapiens; assembly: GCF_000001405.40. Lineage (NCBI taxonomy): Eukaryota > Metazoa > Chordata > Mammalia > Primates > Hominidae > Homo > Homo sapiens. Next base: position 42,364,916 of record NC_000022.11, read on the forward strand.
GCACTGAGCAGACCATGCTCCCGCCTCCCAGGAGGTGCTCAGCATTTGGGCTTTGACCTCAGGTCTCCGGGTGAGCGCACACTGCCAGGAGCTGTACATCCTCGCGGCTGCCCACCCTTGGGTTTGGGATTTTTTTTCTAAATCTTTACACATAGATGACAGGAGTAACTAGGTCCAGATTTTTAAAAGCTGTTGAAGCAGTGATTTGAGAAGTTCAGTCTCTGGAACGCTATGTAAGCCAAAAAGGAGGAAAAAAAAAAAAAAACCCTCAGCCAACACACACACAAACATATGTGACTCTTAAGCCATAGGACTTAAGAACCCAAAACAAAACCAGCAAGTCTGAGAACCAGGGCTGGAGACCGACACTGAGAAGCGCTGAGCCCTCCCCCAGGAGCACGCTTTCCCCCAAATCAGAAAAACACCGCACAGCTTTGTTCTTCCTGACAAAGCCCCTTGCTTCCAGGGAGCCGACAGTTGCCAACAAAAGCACAGGGTGGAACTCATTTACACGCAGGCTGGGCTTCAAGGAGCCATCAAGTGCAGAAATGGAAATGGCTTTGCCTAGGAGCCCTGCCTCCCTGCGACTGGTAATGGGGACCCCTGGAGCCTGGGGGAGCCCCGCAGGTCACAGATGGAGCAGGGTCCTGGCCTCCTGGTGCCTGGCTAAGCATCTGCCCCACGGAAGTCACCACCTAGGCTTGTGACATCACAGCTAATTGCCCCTGACAATGAGCCAGGAACTGCAGGCCCCTCAGGGCTGCAAGCCTGAGACTTCACAGGGAGCCGGGAGGAGAGGCAGCTGGGGAGGGGCCATCGCCAATTAAAACCCAGTGCTCAGATAACAAGAAAGAAGTGGTTGAGGGGGACAGTATCGTCTCTGGTGGGGAGAGGGCAGGAGGAAGTGGGTGTGCGGAAGGGGCTGAGGGTGGGGTATTTGTGCCCTCATCTCCTACCACAATCCCCACCCCCAGCCTTTACAGATGAGGACATTGAGGCCAGGGGTGGCTGAGTGGCCTGCCCAGGGTCACCAGGCTAATTAGCAGGACAGTCAGTACAAGGGAAAAGAAAACATAGGTCTGGCACTGCCCAGGTCTTCCCTAAACTTACCTAATTTAATCCTCGCAGCACTCTGTGAGGGAGGGGTTATCCTTAACCTCAGTTTCCAGAGGAGCCAGTGGAGGCACAGAGAGCTTAAGTAATTTGCCCAAGGCCACACAGCGCATCATTAGCAGAACTTGGCCTGAACTTCTAGTCACCTGATTCTGAATCCTGTGTTCTTTCTGCCGGGTGGGGGCAGGCAGTTGAGGTTTAACTGGGAGTTGTGAATCTGATCTAAATACATATTTAAAATGCTGGTGATCCCCACAGAACAGAAGGGAGCAAATCATTGCAAATTAATTTTTTTAAAGCCATTCCAGGCAGGAGGCTTGCTGGCCAGGTGGGTGGGTGGGGAGGCTGCTTTTATTCTGTCCCCGCCAGAGCCTGAATAAAGCAAGTTGACTGTCTCTCTAGCTGTGCGTGGCGGCCACTCAGAGCTCCTGAAGTGGGGCAGTGGGGGGTGTGGGAGACTGGAGAAAAGCTTTGTTAGGCATCTGCGAGGGCTTCATCTGCCCCAGGAAAAGTGCCAGGCACACGGGTCCAATGGAGCCAGGGGAGGGAGGATTCACTGTGTATAGAAACCATGCAAAAAAAAAAAAAAAAAAAAAAAAATCAGTCCCCCTGAGCCGGGTTCCTAATTTCCAAGTGAGAGTTTCAATGTGCCGTGGGTCAACTGAGCAGCAATTGCTGGCCCAGAGACCTGACTCTGGGTCAGAGCTGTGCTGCCCAGGGCCCTGCCCACCAGGATGGGGGAGGCCAGGCAGTCACTGTGGTCCTATATCCCAGCTACTCTGGGGGCCCTGTCGGCCACCACCTTCTCCCAGAGCAGCACTTGAAGAAGACAAGTCTCCAAGAGATGGGACAGAAGAAAGAGGAGACAGGTCGGTCTGAGCTCAGGGAACAGGACTAGCGCCTGCCCTGGGCCTCCCCTGGCAGGTCCACTCTCCCTGCAGCCAGCCAGCCTTGGCACTGCAGTGGTCAGGCTGTGCCAGGCCTCTCCCTTCACAAGGCCTGCTGGTTTCTTTTACTTTGTTTCTGTGAACGGCAAATGGGGTGTGGAGCCCAGGACTCGGGCCAGGGAAGGGGAAAGAAAAGTTTCTGCCATCTGGATGCCTGACCTTGCTGAGCCACTCCTGTTTTTCTGGGGAAATCCTACCCATCTTTTATTTGCTTTGCCTACCATCCACCCAGAAAAGATTTGGGTCCTGCCCTCATGGCACTTACAATCGACAGGGGGAGCTAAACATTGACCAATTAATGGCATAAAAGTGTCCATGGAGGGGGTGGTCCCATGCTATGAGAGTCCATCATAGTGGAATCATCAAGTCAGGGAGGTCAGGGCAGGCTTCCTGGAGGAGGTGACATTTGTGCTGGGGCCCAAAGGATGAGGAGTGTTAATTGCTCTGACTCACTGTCATCCTTGCAGAGTCCCTCTCTGATATCCTCCTAAGGTCGCCTCCCCTCCCCATACCCTGGTCCCCTTCTTGACTGTCTGTTGTTCATCTATATCCCTGCCCTGGTCTGGAAGCCCTATGAGGGCAGAGGCCGGGCCTGTCTTAGTCACTGCTGAATTGCGCATGCCCGGCACTTAGTAGGTGTGCCGGACCACCTGTGGTGGTCTACACTGCCTATTTGTAACTATTTGCTGATCAAAAGAATAAACAACATGTGCAAAAGGCTTTGTAGTAGGGGAAATCCCAGGACAGGAGGATGTGGGAGTAGGAACGGGGGCAAAGGGACAGAAGGTGATGGGAGATGAGGCTGTGCCTCCCTAAGAACCTCCCTAGAAATGCGGGTATCTCCTCCAGCCAAGGGAAACCCTTCTGCCCTTCCCCTGTGGCAGAGACTGTGGTAGGGTGTCTTTCTTACCCTAGAGGAGAGAGTGTCGCATAAATACGCTGCCCCACCCGAAGCGCTCCAGGCACAGCACCCCGGACACAAAGCAGGTGGGCACTAGCACCCCCTGCCCAGTACTCTGCCACCAGCTTCCCTCCTGCGTTCATTCTCTCACCCAGTGCTGCGGGGCCACCTGGAGCTACAGAGAGGGAGTGGGATCCACCCCCAGCAGATCCGAAGGTCTCAATCCAGGGCTTCCCTGCATCCCAGCCCCAGGTCTCACCTGCACTACCCCCATGGCTAGCACCCTTTCTCCTCACTGAGGCGGAGGTGGAAGAAGAGGAGCCAGGACAAATGGGGTTTGAGTCCCTGGGTCTGATTACGAGCGTGGGACGGGTGCCAAATTGGCCTCTTCGTCCCTCAGCTTCCTCACAAGTGAGGTGGAGACTCCCCAGGCTTCCCCGGAGCCAGGGACAGAGTGAGCGCTTGATGATCCCGTCTAAAAGTCTCAAAATGAGCCCCCTTTGGTCTCGCTCTGTCGCCCCAAATCCCTCTCCCGCCTCAGCTGCAGTTTCTCCAGCTCCCGAGGAAGGGGGGCACCCGAATTCCAGCCGCTGAGGCTGGAGTTTGGAGTTCGCCCAAGGAGCTTCCGCCCTGGGATGCGGCTGAGACCCGACAGGTGGGTCCCGTCCCCGCCCCAGATGTGCGCCTGGCCCCTCGGAGGCGCGGCTCCGCCTACGCCCAGACCCTTCCTCCCCGCCAGCCCGCTCAGCGCGCTCTGGCAAACTTTCCGCGTCCAGAACCCGCCCGCGTCTACACCTGCTCGCGGTTCAACCGCAAGCGCAAGTCTACACGGTCTCACCTGCCCCCGGGTTGCTGAAGGGTGCCTCGGTCACGGGGCCGCGTCTCCACAGGCTCAACAGCTGCGAGTCCCCGGGACTGCCGACCTCAGCCTTGGGGATCCGTCTTGACCACCCCCGGATTCGGAGGCGCCCGGGCCGGACCACCTGTGCTGGTCTCCACCTCCTCGGCAACCCCGGGTCACCGGAGATGCTGCAGCTCGAGGGTCCCGCCTGCACCATCCATGGCTCTCGAGATCCTTCAGAGCGCGGACCCGGCCGAGACCCCGCGGAGCCGCTGCGCGTGGCTGGTGCCCGCGGTCGCCCCGCAGTCCCGTATGCGGCGAAACCGCCGGGGCTGCTTACCTGGCCCGCACCCTCACGCTCCCGTCCGGGCTGCGCAGCCGCTTCTCTCACACATTTTGCGATAACATCGATGGCGAAAGAAAATGTTGTAAATCCTCCTGCGGCCACGTGGCTGTCCCCCCACCCCCTTCTCCCTTTCTCTGGCCCTCAGGACAAAAAGGCCCCGCGGCCGGCCGCTGGCCACGGGGCTCTGGGCGGGCGAAGCTGGCTGCAGCGGGGCGTGGTCTGGGGAGGGGCCGGACCGGGGCGGGCGGGGCGTGGTCGGGGCAGGGGCGGGGCGCGCTGGTTCCGGCCGCCCTCCCCGCGGAAACCGGGCCTGAGACTAGGGCTCCTGTTCCAGCTCTTGATTGGTCGGTCGGCCAGCACTGCTGACGTCTGATTGGCTGAGACAAAGAAGGGACTAAGGCCGTAGGGGTGGGGGTTTGTGGATTTCATTCTTTGCCTTTTCGCTCCGGCGGTGGCCGCTGCTCTTTCGGACCTTCCTGAACTCTGCGGCCTTTTCCTCTCTGCTTCCGTGGTCCCTATCATAACGCTACCTGCATTTCCTTGTCCTTCTCTACCAAACAGCACCTGGAGATAGGGACATGGGGTTCGTGCTGCTCACCACTGTCTCCCCAGGGCCTAGCACACAGTACGTGCTCAAAACGGTTAGTTGAATGAATTCGTGGAAAATATGCATACAGGTGTTTAGAGCTATCTTTAATGTTGGCAACATCCCTAGGAGATATTACTATTCTCTCCCGAGGATGAGGAAACCGAGGTGCAGCGAAATTCGGTCACGTGGGGATGAATGGCTGAGCTGATGCTGGGACATGCTTACATTACTGGATCTCGGATCCTCTACACAGTGATGCCCTGTGCAGTGTCAGAGCTCAGTTTCCCGTCTATCAAGAGTGTTGTGTTAGAGCACAAGATAGGTTAGAAGATGGGTTATTACTGCCAGGTCCTGTGGCTCACGCCTATAATTCTAGCACTTTGGGAGGCCAGGGTGGGAGAAGCGCTTGCGCCCAGGAGTTCGAAACCAGCCTGGGCAACATGGCGAAACCCCGTCTCTACAAAAAAAAAATTAAGAAGTTTTCTGGGCATGGTGGTGTGCACCTGTACTCCCAGCTACTTGGGAGGCTGAGGTGGGAGGATCACTTGAGCCCAGGAGTTGGAAGCTGCAGTGTTATGATTGTACCACTTGCACTCCAGCCTGGGTGACAGAAAAAAAAAAAAACCCGTCTCTACTAAAAATACAAAAAATTAGCCTGGCGTGGTGGTGGGCACCTGTAGTCCCAGCTAGCTACTCGGGAAGCTGAGGCAAGAGAATGGCGTGAACCCGGGAGGCGGAGCTTGCAGTAAGCCGAGATGGCACCACTGCATTCCAGCCTGGGTGACAGAGTGAGACTCCATCTCAAAACAAAACAAAAACAAAAACAAAAAAACTTACTTCGGCCGGGCACAGTGGCTCACGCCTGTAATCCCAGCACTTTGGGAAGCCGAGGTGGGTGGATCACCTGAGGTCAGGAGTTCGAGACCAGCCTGGCCAACATCATGAAACCCCATCTCTACTAAAAAATACAAAAATTAGCTGAGCATGCTGGTGGGCACCTGTAATCCCAGCTACTCGGGAGGCTGGGGCAGGAGAATCACTTGAACCCAGGAGGCAGAGGTTGTAGTGAGCTGAGGTCATGCCACTGGCACTCCAGCCTGGGTGATAAGAGCGAAACTCTGTCTCAAAAAAAAAAAGTGTCATTTAAATGAACATGCTTGAACATGCTATACCCAGCACTGTGCTTGGCAGTATGAATGACACAGCCTCTGCTTCCATGTTAAATTCCTGGTAACCTGCTGGGCTCTTTCCCTTCCTGGGAATCCATCCCCTGAACCCCCCTCTGCACCCCCATCACAGGGGAAGTTGGAAGCACTCTGCTCAAACCATGCTGCATTGCCCACTCTGACAGTTTGGGGCATTTGGGGTGGATTTTCCTGTGGAAGTCATGGGGAGCACCGTGAAGCAGACTGACTTCCCGGCTGCTGTTCTCTGATGGAGAGGGGGTCCTTGGGATGCCCCCCCAAGTAGGTCCTTTTGATTGAGAGATGATGTATGAGATGGGATGGGGGAGAGGGCTTCCTCTGACAAAGGAAGGTGTAGAAGCTTCTCCCGGAGTTGGGCAGAGAAGGGTTAATCAACTAGAAAAATGCTGAGAGCCTGTCTCCCATAGGCAGCCAGATTGAGGCATGAAGAGGAGGAGCTGGCTTGGTGGTGTGGTGAATGAGTGCTCCCTGCATCTGTCTTCACATGGCCTTCTTATAGGGACATCAGTCATTAGATTTAGGCCCCATCCTAATCCGGTATGACCTCATCTTAAGAAGATTACATTTGCAAAGACCCTATTTCCTAATCAGGTTGCATTCACAGGTATCGGCGGTCAGGACTTCAATATATCTTTCTGGGGGACACAGTTCAACAAGGCTCAATGAGGAAAGAACATTTTGATTAGTAGGGAACATCGAGAGCAGAGGCCCCAGGGCTGCACAAGGTGGATGTCCCTGTCGCTGCCCACTGTTCTCTTGGGACTACACAGATCCTGGTGCCTAGCAGCTGTGGAAACAGAGTTGGGAGGCAGCCGACCCTCTGGACATCAGGCCTTTTCAGCTGACCCTGCCCAGCCTGGTGCCAGAGCAGGGCCCTGCCTGCCTGCCCCTCCTCCCTCTTCCTGCCTGGTCCTCATTCCCACCCACATCCCAAGATGGACAAGGACAATAAAAGCTGTTTCATAAGCAGCTGGTGATTAATTGCCAAGCTAATTAAAGAGGCAGTAATTGCACTCTGATTTCAGAGGAAGGAGTGATGTCTTGGGCAGGGGTGGGTGGTCAGCTTAGGTCTCCCTGACAAGGCAGAGCCAGAAGACAGAAAGGATTTGAAAAGCCAGGAAGAAAAAACAGGTGCACTTTTTTTTTTTTTTTGAAACGGAGTCTCGCTCTGTCTCTCAGGCTAGAGTGCAGTAGTGCAATGTTGGTCCACTGCAACCTCCACCTCCCAGGTTCAAGTGATTCTCCTGCTTCAGCCTCCCAAGTAGCTGGGACTACAGGTGCATGCCCCCATGCCCCACCAATTTTTTTTTTTTTAGACAGAGTCTCACTCTGCTGCCAGGCTGGAGTGCAGTGGCACGATCTCCGCTCACTGCAACCTCCGCCTCCTGGGTTCAAGCAATTCTCCTGCCTCAGCCTCCCTAGTAGCTGAGACTACAGGCATGCACCACCACACCCAGCTCATTTTTGTATTTTTAGTAGAGACAGGGTTTCACTATGTTGGCCAGGCTGGTCTCGAGCTCCTGACCTCAGGTGATCCTCCCTCCTCAGCCTCCCAAAGTGCTGGGACCACAGGCATGAGCCACTGTGCCCATCCGAAGCACCCTCTTTCTAGAGGTGCACCTGTTGGCTGCGCACAGTGGCTCACACCTGTAATCCCAGCGCTCTGGGAGGCCGATGTGGGTGGATCACCTGAGCTCAGGAGTTCGAGACCAGCCTGGCCAACATGGTGAAACCCTGTCTCTACTAAAAATACAAAAATTAGCTGGGTATGGTGGCACGCACCTGTAGTCCCAGCTACTTGAGAGGCTGAGGCAAGAGAATCGCTTGAACCTGGGAGGCTGCGGTTGCAGTGAGCCAAGATTGCACCATTGCACTCCAGCCCAGGCGACAGACAGAGACTCCATCTCAAAAAAAAAAAAAAAAAAAATAGTGGGTGCTTCAATCATAGCTGCACATAGCTGCAATATTTCATTTGACAGAGTCAGATGGGGGACTTAGATGCTTAAGCTTATCTCTGTACTTTTCCATGTCTTCGAAATATTTCATTAACATCCACACACACACAAAAATGGCAGGGGAGAGGTTAAGTGTTTCTAAATTCTAGTTTGGGATTTATAAATGGCTTCAAATACCAGTGTGCCTTACTTTACACAGTGGAGAGGGTCTTAAAATTCTGCGTCAATTGAATCCCGTTGGCCTACCCAGTAAATCTTAACGCCTCTGATGCTCTAGCTTCATTTCTGATTGATTTTCCCTGGCAGAGGTACCAAATTCTTTGCTTTAAGTGTCAGGCTCTCTCTGTCAAGTAGTTAATGACCTATAAAGCACTTAAAACGTACTGGAGGAGATGCGATTTGGAGGCACCCTGCAGTGTATCCTCTCTTATTGTCGGTAATCACCCCTCATTTATTTGCTCTTATTGGTTTGGAATTTGCTATCAGGTTTTCCTAAAGCCAAGCCCACCAGGAATGGTCCAATTCTATGTGGGCCCAGATGGGTGCCGGGATTGGAACCTAGGGGCAGTGGGCAGCCAGTGTGGCCTCTTTCCTCACGAGCCCTTCGGCTTGGGTGCCCTGGTCATCTCATGGCCACACATTCAGCGGCTCTGCCTCTTGCCAGCTGAGTGATCTTGAGCATTCAGTGCCCCCCTCCAAGCCTCACTTTCCTCTTCCACACTGCCCCAGAGCTGGTGCCTGCCCCTGAACAACTGGAAGATGACTCCAGCCTGGTGAAGTCAGTGCTGGGAGCCGTAGAAGAGGCCCAAGGTCAGGGTGAGCATGGAGGTCATGACCGAGGCAAGCTCCAGGGTCAGAGGTCATAGGAAGCATCCCCAAGGAGCACAAAACAGGGTGGGCCACTGACCTCGGGGCAGAAGAGCCTCTCAGAGAGGGGCCCAGCCTGGGAGGCAGAATAGGCTCTTCTAGGAGGGAAAGTGTCTTCATTTTCTTTTCTTTTTTTTTCCTTGAGACGGAGTCTTGCTCTGTCGCCCAGGCTGGAGTGCAATGGCGCAATCTTGGCTCATTGCAACCGCCATCTCCCAGGTTCAAGCGATTCTCCTGCCTCAGCCTCCTGAGTACTGGGACTACAGGCATGCACCACTACACCCAGCTAATTTTTCTATTTTTAGTAGAGACAGGTTTCGCCATGTTGGCCAGGCTGGTCTCAAACTCCTGACTTCAGGTGATCCACCTGCCCTCAGCCTCCCAAAGTGCTGGGATTACAGGCGTGAGCCTGGCCAGTGTCTTCATTTTCTATGGCTGCTGTAACTAATCACCACAAACCTGGTGACTTAAAACAACACACGTTATCCCTATTGAAAAGCCGGGAGAAAAAAGAAAGAAAAAAATTATTTTTTAAAAACCCACAACACGACACACATTTATTTTCTTACAGTTCTCAAGACCGGAAATTCAGAATCAGTTTCAACAGGCAGAAACCAGGGTGTTCACAGGGCCACGTTCCCTCCAGAAGCTTTGAGGAGTATCCGTTTCCTTGCCCTCTCCTGCTTCTGGGGCTCTGTTCCCCGGCTGTGGCCTCTTCTTCCATGTTCAAAACCAGCGGCGTACCATCTTCAGACCTCTTTCTCTGCTTCCATCATCACACCACCTTCTGCCTTTGGTCTGTAATCTCCCTCTGCATCCCCCTTTATAAGGGCGTTTGTGATTGTAATGATCCAGGATAACCTCCTCATCTCCAGATCCTTAATCACATCTGCGGCGCCTTTGTCATATAAGGTAACATTCACAGGTTCCAGGATTAGGATGTGGATATCTTGGCGAGGGTGGGATTCTTCAGGCTACCACAGAAAGCCACCAACCAAAGTGGTTCAGATCATGGATTCTGAAGCCACTGCTGGGGCCTGAATCTCAACTGCACCATCTGCCAGCTAGGTGACTTTGGGCGAGTTGTTATATCTTTTTAAGGCTCAGTTTCCTCATCTGTGAAATGAGATCAATGCCTACTTATTGCCACAGATAAAAACTGAATAGGCATTTAACCATCTGACAGGTAGAGGGAGTTTCATGCGCCAGAGCCTGGACCTTGAAAGAGGCCCCAGCAGGGCCCTTCTGTAGGAGGAAAGGAGGAAGGGCAGGAAAGGGTACGGGCAGGGCAGGCTGGGTGGAGGAAGAAGCTGAACCACGTCCCAGGGAAGTGTGTGTGTGCTCTGTCCTAAGGGTAATGAACAGGGGACAACAGAAAGTGTTTAAGTAGGGCAATTTTTTTTGGTTTATTTTTGTTTTGTGTTATTGAAATGCAATTCACATATTATAAATTTACCCTTTTAAAGTGTACAATTCAATGGATTTTAGCATATTCAAGAGGTTGCGTAACCATCACTGCTGTCGCATTCCAGAACATTTCCATTACCTCATAAAAAATCCCCATACCCATTAGCAGTTCTTTTTTTTTTTTTTTTTTTTGAGACAGAGTCTTGCTCTGTCGCCCAGGCTGGAGTGCAATGGCGCTATCTCGGCTCACTGCAAGCTCTGTCTCCCGGGTTCACGCCACTCTCCTGCCTCAGCCTCCCAAGTAGCTGGAACTACACGGACCCGTCACCACGCCCGGCTAATTTTTTGTATTTTTAGTAGAGGTGGGGTTTCACCGTGTTAGCCAGGATGGTCTCGATCTCCTGACCTCATGATCCGCCCACCTTGGCCTCCCAAAGTGCTGATTACAGGTGTGAGCCACCGTGCCCGGCCAGCAGTTCTTTTTTTTTTTTTTTTTTTTTGAGACAGAGTCTCACTCTGTCGCCCAGGCTGGAGGGCAGTGGCACCCTGTCGGCTCACTGCAACCTCAGTCTCCTGGGTTCAAGCAATTCTCCTGCCTCAGCCTCCTGAGTAGCTGGGATTATAGGCGCCCACCATCACGCCCAGCTAATTTTTATATTTTTAGTAGAGATATGGTTTCACCATGTTGGCCAGGCTGGTCTCGAACTCCTGACCTCGATGATCCACCTGCCTTGGCCTCCCAAAGTGCTAGGATTACAGGCGTGAGCCACCGTGCCCGGCTGTCTGGATAATTTTTGTATTTTTAGTTGCGATAGGGTTTCACCCATGTTGGCCAGGCGTGGGCCACTGCGCCTGGCCCCCATTAGCAGTTCTAAAGCTCTCTGCAACCTTGAACTCCAATCTTGAGCTCCAGGCTTGAACCCAGGAAGAAGGCAGGGGTGCCTTGAGCACCACAATGACCATCTCTATTTCTGGAACTGGTCACTTGGCTGTGGGTCCTACCCTTATCCCTGGGACTCAGCTGCACAGACTTGTCCCAATGGGTCAGGAAGGACAGCAGCTCTCCTGACTCCACCCCCGTCACATGACATGCCAGGGTTCCCCACCCATAAGGGGCAGGAGATTGTGGGGCTGCTGGAGGAAGTTGTGGGGGCATTTGAGGCTGAGTGCTGGCTAAGCAGCAATGGCTTATGCCGGTAATCCCAGCATTTGGGAGGCCAAGGTGGCAGGATCGCTTGAGCTCAGGAGTTTGAGACCAGCCTGGGCAACACGGCAAAACCCGGTCTCTATGAAAAATACAAAAAATTAGCCAGGTGTGATGGTGCGCACCTGTAGTGCCAGCTACTCCGGAGGCTGAGGTAGAGGACCGCTGGAGCACAGAGGTTGAGGCTGCAGTGAGCTGTGATCGCACCACTGCACTCCAGCCTGGATGACAGAGTGAGACCCTGTCTCAAAAAAAAAAAAAAAAAAAAAAAACCAAACCGAAAACACATTAAAATTTTTCTTTTTGGAAAACCATCCAATCAGCCAGAGAGACACAGAAAAAAAGGAGCTTCTCCAGTGCTCCCCACACACCCCCGCCACCACCCCTGGCCGGGCTCTGTTCTGCTGGCTACTTGGGGGAGTCTCAGGCCCTGAATGATCAGGGACATGTGGCCTGGCCTAGAGGCAGCTGAGGCAGGAGGGAGGCCATCTGGTGAGGCGAGAGGTAGCGGTCAGGACATTGCTGAGTCCGCTGAGGCATCCCCTGGCAGTCACAAGGGCTTCTGGGATCAATTAGCAGAACCACCCTAACAGGGCTCATGGCCCCTGACGCAGGCACGTGTCCTCAGAGCCTCTTGACAGCCTTGGCAGCCAGGAATTGAAAGGAGGTGGGGGAGGGGGATGTCGGCCTTTCCCCTGTGCCTGGCCTCGCCTCCAACAGCTCAGCACAGAGCCTCCCCGCCCTCCCCATTAGGCGGAGGCTGCCGGCCTTCCAGAGCCTGCACTTCTTATTGCCTTGCTTCTCCTGGTGTTGTGGGTGCAGCAACAGTCTGCCTCAATTTTCACATATGTAAAATGGGTCATATACTAATTAAAGATCACTTCCTGGAAATAAAAAAAAAAATTATCCCTTTTTCACTAAGAACAGGTGTTGAATCAACAGCAAAGGAAAAGACTCCTTTATTTTTTGAACAAACAGCTCCTAAGCCCCTACTGTGAGTCAGGCACAGACAAAGAGAGACAAATGAGGTGTTTGCCATGCTTGGGAAACACGGGAATTCTGGGGGGAGATGGATGTGTGTGAACTGATTCAGTTTGAAGAGGTCAAAGAAATGAGAGGATTCAGTAAACTGCTTGGTGTGGGAGGGGGCTTTAAGGAAGACTTCACAGTGGAGGTAGCATTTTTTTTTTTTTTTGAGATGGAGTTTTACTCTGTGGCTGATATCTGTGGTATGTGCCACCACACCCGGCTAATTTTTGTATTTTTAGTAGAGATGGGGTTTTGCCATGTTGGCTAGGCTGGTCTCCGACTCCTGACGTGAGGTGATCTGCCTGCCTTGGCCTCCCAAAGTGGTGGGATTGTAGGCGTGAGCCACTGTGCCCAGCTGGAGGTAGCATTTGAGCAGGAATTCCTCAGGCAAAGAATAGGGTGCAGGTCCTCAGGGCAGGGAGAATGGTAGGAGCCCAGACTCAGAGGTGGGGAGCTCAGCATCTTGGGGAACAGCAGCCATAGATGGAAGCATGAATGGAGCTGGGGTGACTTTGGGCCAGTAGGAGCCAATCAGAAATGAGCTGGTGGACTCCATGAAGACAGGACTGTCCATTTCTTATTCCAGCCACAGCACTGGGCTTGACACATAGTTGGAGCGGGACAAATGTTGTTAAAAGAATGAAGGATGGCCAGGTGTGGTGGCTCACACCTGTAATCCCAGCAATTTGGGAGGCTGAGGCAGGCGGATCACTTGAGGTCAGGAGTTTGAGACCATCCTGGCCAACGTGGTGAAACCCTGTCTCTACTAAAAATACAAAAAATTAGCCAGGCGTGGTGGCACTCATCTGTGATCCCAGCTACTTGGGAAGCTGAGGCAGGAGAATTGCTTGAACCTGGGAGACAGAGGTTGCAGTGAGCCAAGATTGCACCACAGCACTCCAGCCTGGGTGATAGGAGGGAAACCCTGTCTCAAAAAAAAAAAAAAAAAAAAAAAAAAAAAAAAGCCAAGCATAGTGGCTCACACCTGTAATCCCAGCATTTTGGGAGGCCGAGGTAGGTGGATTTCTTGAAGTCAGGAGTTTGAGACCAGCCTGGCCAATATGGTGAAACCCCATCTCCACTAAAAATACAAAAAAAATTAGCTGGGCCTGGTGGCACGTGCCTGTAGTCCCAGCTACTCGGGAGGCTGGGGCAGAAGAATTGCTTGAACCCAGGAGGTGGAGATTGCAGTGTGCCCAGATCACACCACTGCACTCCAGCCTGGGCCTCACAGAGAGACTCCATCTCAAAAAAAAAAAAAGAAAGAAAGAAAGAAGAAAAGAAAAAAAAAAGTGAAGGAGTGGTAGGAGTGGTAAGAGCCCTGAATGTGAGACTAAGGGGTTGAGCCCCGATCCTATGGACAGTGGAAACCACTGTGAGTTTTGGTATAGGGTGTGAGGTAGGGGTCATGTAGAGGTTTGGCTCTCCCAGCACCAATTGTTGAAAAGACTGTTCCCCATTGAATGATGGTGGCCCCCTTGTTGGAATGAATTGACCATTACCATAAGGTATGGCAGGCTTTTGAGAGAGGAATCATGTGGTCAGATATGTATTATAGAAAGATCAGGTGAGACTTGTTTGGACTGGGAATGGCTGGGAGGAGGAGGGGTTGGAGGGAGGCTCTTATGGGTGGACTTGATGGCAGGGGGACAGAAGGGGCATCTGGGGAGAAGAGACATCCCTGGATCAGCCCATGGCGGGCAGCAAGGTACAGGGCTATGTCCTGAGCCAAGGCCAGGATCTGGCCCACTTGGGCCTGTGGAACTCACTGGGGGATGGGGATGGGGCAGTCAAGGGAGAGACAGAGAAAATGCCCCCACTCCTCGGCCCCTCAAGGTCCTCAAAGTGGTAAAATAAAACCCACTCCAGATATAGCCATTTGCAAAGTCAGTTTTCAGGTAATGAAAGGATTGTAATGGAAAAACAATGCCAATTACAGCAGCATTATCCGGGATTATAAAGCTTCTAAGAGGCGGCTCACACCTCCAGGCATGCTGTGCCTGGGAATTTCCAGGGTAGACTTGGGATCAGAGCATACAGGCTGCCAGGATCCAGGCCTCACAGTGGGCGTGGGCTGCTGGGGAGGCCCAACCCCTGGGGCTCTATGGATCTGCCTCCATTTCCCCAAAGAGATAGAATACCGGGAGGCAGGAGGACCCCCCCAACTTCACACACACACACACACACACACACACACACACACACTTCTGAGAAATTGGATAAGAGGAATGTGAGGCTGCCAGCCCATCTCTGAAGGAAACCTGTTCTTCTGTGGGCTTCCCTACTCCTGGGGACACCACATCCCTCCATGGCTCTTTCTGCCTCCCCCATCACCTCCCCTACCTGGCCTTGGGGACAGCAGGACTGCACACATGCCCTTGGGGACAGCAGGACTGCACACACGCCGAGGCAGCCCAGCGTTGCTCCTCCTGGGCTGTGTGACCTGGAGCCAGTCAGCTGTTCTGAGTGGTAGCTTCTGCTTCGATAAAATGGGGAGATCACCCCTGCCCACCATCACAGACCTATTTTCAGGATTAAATGAAATATTCTAGATAAAGAGTCCGAGGAATAGAAACCAGTCCAACCTCGGGGCCTGGCGATTTGGTGGTGACTGTTAGAACAGTGAACTTCTATGCACTGGGTCCCAGGAATCCCTCCTCATTTCCCATAGGGAAAGTTTTGCAGATGTGTGTGTGTACAAGGATGTTCCCTGCAGCCCCTTATGTGAGGTTGAAAAATCATAAACAACTGAAAAGGCCTTCGATAGGGGGCCTGATTAAATTAGGATCCATCTGTCCTGCAGGATCCTTTGCTGTAATTGGAGTCTGGCAGCTCCTGTGTGCTGTCTCCGGCAGATCCCACCACGTGGGGCTGCATCAACAAAGCAAGTGCAAACAACACCTACAAAATGAATGCATCGCGGCTGTTCGGAAGCCCGCACGGCGCTCCACATTTTACATGTTCACAGGTAGACACCTAGATGCCATAAAAGCAGCGACGAAGAAAACACTCCCAAATGACCCGATTGGTTACTACTGGGGAGGGGACGGGTATGGAGGCTGGGAGGTGGCAGGTGCATCAGAGGAGTTTCACTTTGCTGTAGTTTTAATGTTTCACTGTAACATATGCTTCTGTCACCCACATATGTCACCTCCAGACACACACAAAACACACGCCAACACCAAGTTCAGAGAGTCTGGCCTGACCCGCGCTCAGTCAAGGCTGAGGCCATCATTCTGACCACAGGTCAGGGAAGGGAGACTGGGGAAGCCCCCTCAGGTGGACAAATGACATCCCCTGGCATTGCAAGGAATGGAGTGACGCCACTCAGCCTGGCTGGACTGAGCCAACGGCCCACCTCTCCTGCATAAGCTGTCTGCCAAGAAAACTATTGAACTACATAAAAATCCATCCCTGAAATCCCAGAGGCATCTTTAGAATGGAGCATGGACTTTACATTAGAATGTGCTTTAACAAAAAAAAAAAGAGAGAGAGAGAGAAAGAAAAAGGAAAAGCAGGTTTTGCCTGTAACTTGAGTTCAGGTTTGTGACACTGGGTGGCCAAAGAGCACTGCCTACCCTGGCCGAGGCCACCAGGCTCAGTTCCTGCAATATTGGCTGTGAAGGGAACCCCAGCCACACCGGGTTCAGCGCAGAACCAGCACATGTTCCCATGGAAACTCTGCTGCCAGAATCCCCTGGAAATGTTTGCTGAGGAGGGGCCACCGTTTACCGCACCCACTGCAAGTTCTGGACTGGTGGTAGAGGCTGGGCACAGACTGACCTCCAGAAGAAGTCCATGGGCCCTCTGCTAGGGTGGCACCAGACTTCCCTGGTCCCACAGGACAGCCAGTGGCCTCCTAGCTTAGTTCTGGGCCCCCGCCTGCAAGCACACGTGGCAAGGAGGGCTTCAGCAGGCTCGCAGAACCGAGTGGCAAGGCCCCTGCTCCCAGAAGCTGGTTTCCCAGGATGATTTTCTCAAGCAAGTGCTGACAGAGCAGGAGTCAAGCGGGGGTGGGGTTGGAGGCTGAAACCCATTGAAGGGGTCAACTTCCTAGAGGCAGGCAGGGATGCCTGGGGGTGCCAGACGTGGCTGAGATGTTTCTGCAGAGGGGAGGTTGGGAAGACCTAGGAGGGCAGGGCAGGCTGGGCCGGGAGAGATGGTGGGAAATCCCACCAGGTCAGGGGCCAGTGGGCAGAGGGAAGCATCAGCTGAGACCCAGAGACAGGGCTGCCCTGCTGCGGTAGGGCCCAGGGGCAGGGGCCTGCAGGGGCTGCCTGGGGCTTCCCTTCCCCACCCTAACTCCAGTCCCCACTCAGGACTGCTCACATCCGTCCGTCCTGGAAGGTCCACAGCTCCCCTTCACCTAGGCCTCACCTACTCCACTCAAGCCACCCCATCCCCCTTAGCTTTTCCCCTCCAGGCCCATTCATTCAGCTCCTGCTAAGCCAGCACCCTCCTTCCCTCACCTCTCTGCTTACCTTGCTCCCACCCCCAGCTCTGGGCAGCCCTGGCCTGTCCATCTGATCGTGCTACCCCGTAGGCACTCCTTAAAGGCATGGCTGCAGAGAGCCTGGGCCCAGCTCCCAGGGAGGCCTGCCTCTCACTTAGACTCCTCTGTACTGCCCCAGAAGCCTATTCCTTCTGAAGGACGAGTCTTGAAGGAAATGCACACCCACTGAGCTTCTGCCTGAGCCAGGGAGTCCCCTTCTGTCCTTTCTGAGACACTGAGTAGTGTTTGTTTGTTTGTTTATTTGGACAGAGCGTGCTCTGTAGCCCAGGCTGGTGTGCAGTGGTGCCACTTCGGCTCACTGCAACCTCTGTCTCCCAGGTTCAAGAGATTCTCCTGCCTTAGCCTCTCGAGTAGCTGGGACTACAGGTGCGTGCCACCACACCAGGCTAATTTTTGTATTTTTAGTAGAGACGGGGTTTCACCACGTTGGCCAGGCTGGTCTCAAACTCCTGGCCTCAAGTGATCCACCCGCCTCGGCCTCCCAACATGCTGGGATTACAGGCATAAGCCACTACGCCTGGCCTGAGCTGTCTTGACTGTCACTGCAAACTGAGGCTCAGGTGGCCAGTGACTTGCCCAAGTCCACAAGGCTGTGGGAGGTGGAGCAGGGATTCAAGGGAGGCCCTGAGGCCACCCAGCCTGGGTGGGTCTCAAAAGCAATTTTCTTCTCTTCCCTCCTCCACCCATTCATAGTGGAAAGCAAGCCTGCACCCCAGGAGCTCCCATTCATACCCTCTCTGTCCCCTCTCTGTTCTTCCTCCTCCCGCCTGCCCCATGCACCTCCCACCCTGAAGTTCCCTGCCACCCCTCGCCCTGTGCCAGCTTGTCTCTGCAGGCTCTCAGTCCTGGGGGCTGGAGAACAGGTGCTCAGTCCTCTTTGCTGCCCACAGAAGTCTCAGAACATTCTTGCCCCACCCTCCCTTGGGCCAAAGCCCTTTAGGGTCCCGTCCTTTCATGCTGTGCTCTCCTCCTCCTCCTCCTCCTCCCTGCCTCTCTCCTTGCTCACTGAAGACCTCAGCACCCACTGCCTCCCAGCCTTGCCCTGAACCAAGCACAGACGACCACCACGCTGGCAATGTCTCTGTCCACCAGAGGGGTGATGGGTCAGCCCCCAAGAACCTCCTACGCCACAGGGAGGAGTTGGAATTTTATTCCAAGTGAGGCAAAAACCATGCAAGGTATAGAGCAGGGGAGGCCAAGGCCAGGTGTGGGTTTAATCGGGGTCTGTCGGTGGCAGGGCAGCTGCAGGGAGGCCGTGTTGGTGATGCCTGGGCCAGGGCACAGTGGTAAAGTTTAACCCAGGCTCCCCTGTCTACCCCTGAAAAAGACTGGAAAATGCTGAGTCCCAGCCAAGGGTCCAGGGTCTAGGAGCTGAGGTCAGAGAGGCCCAGGAGGTGGGGGAGGCAGGCCCAGTGAGGTGGCCCTCTCCTGGTCTTGCTGGCTTCGGTTTTCCCAGGGGAGCTCACTGCACCCTGAGCGGCATTGTCCCCCATTGCCCTGACCCTTGCCCCCACCTCCTTGGCTGGTGGAGCCAGGAGCCTGGGAGGCCCCTGTGCACACCTGGCAGCTTCACCTCCCCAAACAGGCCCGGAGTTCATTCAAATCCAGCCTCTGGGAGCAGGGGCCTTGCCACTCGGTTATGTGAGCCTGCTAAAGCCCTCCTTGCCATGTGTGCTTGCAGGCGGGGGCCCAGAACCAAGTTGGGAGGCCACTGGCTGTCCTGTGGGACCAGAGAAGTCTGGTGCCACCCTAGCAGGGCCAAGGGACTTCTTCTGGACGTCAGTCTGTGCCCAGCCTCTACCACCAGCTTTCCCTTCCCTGCAGGGAGGGGCATGACCTGCAGAACCAAAGGTGCTTCTGTGAGCCAGTAGCCCAGTGCTGCTTGGGGGCAGGGGCGGGGCCTGTGCCTTGGGTTCCCCCCCCTCCCTGGGCACATTTGGGGTTGGGGCAGCCCACACGGTGGGGTGGGAAGATTGACCTGCCCATTTTACAAATGAGCAAAGGTGGGAGAACTCAGGGAGACATGGGGGAGCAGAGGGAGGAAGCAGAGCCCAACAGCCCGGGGCACCCGGACCCCAGCCACTGCCTGCCTGTGGATGGGTTTCTGGCCACGGTGCAGGGCTACTGCGAGGAGGAAATGAGGGTGATGTGGGCACCTGAAACAGCAGAAATGGCTCAGGGCCAGGCACTGGGGAGCCACTGTCCCCATGGGGCTTGAGCTTCTGCCTCAGAGGGACCTTCCGGCTGCCATTGAGGGTCCCAGCACCAAACCCCACAGCTGGACCACTTGGGACCTCAATCCACAGGGGGCCAGGGCTGCGGCCTATGGCAGATAAAGATAGAGGAGGAGGGCTGGATGAAGCCACAGGTGGTGGGCACAGGATAGGCCAGACAGAAGGGACTTTGGGGGACTCCACCTTGGGTAGAAGGAGGGACAGCTGAGGTCCTGTGGTGGAGAAGGCCTGGAGCAGAGGGTGACCAAGGAGATGACAGAGTGCACGTACAGGGCCAGGCCAATGGGAGTGGGAACCCTTGGGAGAGGGAGCTTCAGGCCATTCATTCAGTTCCTGTTTAGCCAGCACCCTCCTCCCCTCATCTGTCCCTCTGCCCTCACCCCAACATGCCAGAATCTCCTTCCTCTCCAGCTTGTACCCAAGCCCTCTCTGCTCCATGCCCCCAGCCTGCTGACCACCTCTCAGCCATGTCCTGGGCCTCCAGATCTGTCCCTGATCCTAGTCTTGCCTCTGAGGGGTCCATCATCCTTGTCTGTCCCCCAGACCTCCCACGCCAGCCCCTGCTCCCACCCTGCCTGGCTGCCTCGTGCCTCTGGCCCAGCTGGGTAGGTAGGGATTTGCATAGCTGCTCCCCAGCTCCTCCATACCTCGGCTCCCCACACAGCACTGCTAGGCGCCCCTGCAGGGTCCTCCCTCAGCTCAGAGGCTGCCCTACTGGCTGAGGTGCAGGCTGGTGCCAAGAGAGCATGCTGCTCTGTCAGCATGAGGCAGTGAGCAGGGCTCTGGGCAAGGGTGGCATCCAGGAAAGCCCTTGAAGACTGAGGGGCGCTTTGCTGGTTGGGCCAAGGGAGGAAGGGCCTGCCTGGCAGAAGGAACAGCCTGGGCAAAGGCCCCAAGATGGGAAAGCCTTGGTGGTTGGGGCATAGAATGGGGGGGCAGTGGGGCCGGCCAAGACAGGAAGGGCCTTGAATGTGAGGGTGAAATGATGGGGTGTCCCTGGGGGCCTTACTCCCAACTCAGATCAAGTCCTTTGGTGGCAGGGGCTGCCCCGGTCCTCTGACCCAGGGCAAGCTCTATGAGCGGTGGAGCCCATCCTAGAGATTTTCATAGACCAGGTTAAGTTCGCCATCATCTTCGAATCTATGCGGTCTCTCCTGGATAGAAAAGAAGAAAGGGAGGGAAGGAGAGAAAGAGAGAGAATGACCATTAAGAATGAACTTGCACTAATTTAGTTTTAGCCAGAGGGCAACAGATCACTTCCTGTGTAGCTTTGATGGGGGGCCTGCCCTCTGTCTCCAAGCCCACCTCCCCAGCCTCTTCCCCCACCATGCTGCCCCCACCCCTGCCCATTGCCCTCCAGCCACATGGGCCTGCCCTTCCAGCCTCAGAGCTTCCCCCACAGCTCTGCCCTCTGCCTTCTGCCCTATGTGTGGGATGCGCCTCCTCCCACAGACACACCTGTTCCATGACTGCCCCCTACTCACTCTGCCTGCGGGCTCATCATAGGGTCCCAGGGACCCCCTCCCTCCCTCCCCACCCTGGCTGGTCCCTCCCAGAAGAACACCCCTCACAACAGGGCTACAAATGCCTCTGTGTGTCCATGGGGTCAGCGACCTATTCCTGCAGACTATGGCTCCCAGAGGGTAGGGACATGCCTAGTTCTCCTGTCCAGCACCCCAGGGCCTGGCACAGGGTGGGCACTGCCGGAGATGTCCCTGCTTTCACTCAGGGTCTAGTTGAGGGCTGAGTATAGAAAGGGCTTTGAGAACAGGCGATTTAACAAATAGTGCCAGCCCGAGCCAGAGAAGGCCAAGTGCCAGGCGCCCGCACTCCCTGACAGATGTTCCAAGAGGCCTGTGGGCTCCTGTTCTGGCTGAACAACGCCTCACGCTTGACGGTGCTGGAAGCTCTGGTGCAGATGTTATTCAGCTTGGAACACATTTGAATTCAGAGGCAGTTGGTATTGCAGGAAAACACTGCTCATCCACTTTACAGATGAGCAAACAGGTTTAAGAGAGAAAGTATGGGCCGGGCGCGGTGCCTCACACCTTTAATCCCAGCACTTTGGGAGGCTGAGGTGGGTGAATCATGAGGTCAGGAGTTCGAGACCAGCCTGGCCAACATGGTGAAAACCTGTCTGTACTAAAAACACAAAAAATTAGCTGGGCACAGGGGCGGGCGCCTGTAATCCCAGCTACTCGGGAGGCTGAGGCAGGAGAATTGCTTGAACCTGAGAAGTGGAGGTTGCAGTGAGCTGAGATCGCGCCACTGCACTCTGGCCTGGGTGATGGAGCAAGACTCTGTCTCAAAACAAAAACAAAAACAAACAAACACACACACACACACACACACACACACACAAAACAAAAACAAAAAAAAAGAGAGAAAGTATGATTGGGTAATATGCCTGAGGCCCTATCATGACAATCACAGAACCCTGACCAGGCCAGCCCAGCTTCTACCAGCTCACACTCTAGCTCCAGACTTTAGCCAACACCAACCTGGGGGCAGCTGGAAGCCTAACACCCCTGTCTGACTGACCATGTGGACACTGTGCCCAGTGATAGTTACAGTGGCTCATAGTGCATGGGCACAGCTGGGTCCCAGGCAGCTCTCTCAGTACATTCTACCCTCACTGAACATCTATGAGGTGGGTACTGTTAGGTTGCTCAATCTGCACACAAGGAGATTCAGACACAGAGAAGTCAGACACCTCGGCCAGGGCTGCACAGTGGCTAAGGGACAGAGCAGGAACTCAAACGCACCAGTCCTCTTAACCAGCAGGCCAGCTGCCACCAGGAGATGGCTGGGATTCCACAGCAGGTGGCTCACTTCCATGTCCCATTTGCCCCCCCACTTCACCAGTGATGGGAGGGTCAGATGGAGCAAGAAGCCAGGCTTGGTGCCCCAGCGCCTGTGTACCTGGGAGAGGGGGCTCTGCTTGGCGGTGGGTGAGCTGCCATCCTCATTCTCGATGCAGGCATAGACCTCGGTCTCGCGGCGCTGCAGAGCCTACAGGAAACGGGGTGCCAGGATCAGGGGCAAGTGTGTAGAGGGGCAGTCCCTGGCCCCAGCAGCCAGCCCCCTGCCTGTTACACACCCCACCGTGGGAGCCCAGGGGAGGGTGAAGCCCAGCCACACCTTTGCACCTGCCACCCCCTTTCCCAGAGTCACCTTTCCCCTTCCCTGCCTGTAAAGGGCTGACCCCTCTCTGTTCTCGGCCACCTCCCTAACCTCCCTTAAGGACCTCCAGTAGAGCCTTGTATTCCACCTGGAGGGTTCTATCCAGGCTTCCACCTGGCTGGCAAGAGAAAGGGCCAGGCCTCCTCCTGCTGTCCCTGCCTGTCCCTAGGCTCTTAAGGGCTTGGCAGCCAGCAGCCCCCTGCATGATACCTGTGGCCACTGCTCCAATAGGATGCCCCCATGACCTCTGCCTTCACCCCCCTGTTCAAAGCCCCGGCCCCTGTGAGGGTCCTCCCACCCACCCATACCCTCTAGCTCTCCCCAACCCCCACCCCAGCCTGTATTCAAGGATAACCCAGGCACCCACTGGGGTCACACTCCCTGGTCATCGAGCCTGTGCCCTGCTGGGGGATTCCAGAGTCCAATCCTGGTTCTCAGCACACCCCTCATCCCCCTTGCCTGTCACTTTCCTTTCATTCCCCTCAGCCACCCCTCCTGGGCCACCTGGGCTGCTGTCATCACCCATATGCGCCTCCCTGGAGGTCTCAAGCTCCTGCCACCCACTCTCTGACCACGGTCCCCCCATAGCCCAAGCCTCCTCCCAGGAAGCCCGAGTCAGTATTGAGCTCAGCTGGGCTTGGAGGCCCTGTCCCTGGCCTCACGGCTCCTGCACTGGGTCATGTCGGAGTCCTGCTCCCACCAGCATCTCACCAGATGGGAACCCCTTGAGGGCAGGGACCATGCCTAGTCTATCTCTGGGTTTCTGATTCTACAGCTGTGCTTGGCACAAAGGGAGCAGCACCAAATGAGCTATGGTAAGGGGGCTTCCCCGTCACTCGGGTGTGTCCTAGGCCCACTCACTCTTGGCCCAGCTAAGAAAGGCCTAGCCAGAGACCTCAGGATGGTAGAAAGAACCGGGGCTTTAAAGTCAGACAAGAGTAGGTTCGAATCTCGGCTCTGACTGCGCCAGCCAAAGGCAACCCCTTAACCGCTCCATGCCTCAGTTTCCACGTCTGTAAAATGGGAATAATCACATCTATTTTGCAGGTTCAATGCATGATTAAATGAGATACTGTGCACAAAGGGCCACACACACAGTCAGGGAAGTAGTAGGTGCTTAATAAACTGCTGTTGAATGGTCAAGAGAAGCATGAGGCCTGCCCACCTCCCCTCTCTGGGATCACAGACCAGACCCTCCCTCAGAACCTGTTGGACTCCGGAGCAGAGCCCACCAACAGCCTAAGCAAGAGCAGAAGCCTTTCCTTCCTGAGTGTACGTGTCATATGGATGCCGGCTGGTTGCCAAGGAGGCGGTTTCCCTGGCAACAGGCAAGCAGGGGTTGCTGAGGCAGGCTGGAGAGACAGGTGGTGCTCAGAGGCAGGAGGAGGGCGGGAGGCGGGAGGGAAGGAGGGAGGGAGGCAGGCGCCAAGAGGCAGCTGGGCATGAAAATCCAAGTAATAAACCATTTGGCACTTGGGAGACCCTCACTTCAAGGGCATCAGACATGGGGATGGTGGGGCGGCCCTGAGGACGAGTTCAAGGGGTCTCTGAGCCAGAAACAGGCTGGGTCTGGGGAGAGGGGCTTCCAACCTGCTTCCTTGTAGGAAAGGGACCAGGGCTGCCCCAGGAAGAAGCCTCATTTGGAATGGAGGGAAACTTCCAAGTCCTGCCCTGCCTTGTGCGGCCTTCGTGCCTGTCCGGAGCACCAGCCACCCCAGCTGGTCTGGCACCCAGGATGGGAATGTTCCTCTGTGGTCCTGTGCCCCCAACCCTCCACCCACCCAGGCCCAGACCCCTTCTAAGTCTCACAGATCTGACAGTCTCTCTGAGCTGGATGATTCTGGTCACAGAGAAAAGGGAGGGGAGCAGTCTCCTTGCCCATGTCTCGGCAGGGGAGTAGATCTGGGGTTCCCTCTCCCTCCTGTCCAGCTCAGCCGGGCTGCCCAGAACACATGAGCCCAGAGAGGGCAGGTGATGCAGGGCCAGAGAAGACTAGCCTGCCCTGGGATGCTGCAGGCCCCCAACCCATACAGTGGGGGAGTCGGGGAATAGGCGAGTGGGCGGTGGTGCAGTGGGCAGGGCAGGAGCAGCTGCGGGGCTGAGAACAGGGGAGGCTGCGGAGGTGGCCACCAATTAGCAGCTGCTGAGTGAGGCCTTGACAAGTCCTGACCCGCTGGGTGCATTTATATGCAGGGTATGACCTGCATCACCAGGCTGTGAAATGCAGGGTGCAGCCTTGGCAACAGGACACCCTTTGAGCTCCTGAACCATCCCCTCCTGGCCCTCCCTTAGGTATGCCTGCTGGGAGATTGCACAGGCCTTGGAATGGGCCACTTGTGGGGCTGGGGCTGGGCTGGGCTGGGGGTTGGGGGCTGGGGTCTGGGAGGGTGCTGGGCTGTGGCTGGGCTGGGTGTTGGGGGCTGGGGGGCTGGGCTGGGCTGGGCTGGGGGCTGGGCTGGGCTGCGGCTGTTTGTCTGGGATCCAGGCCCCCCAGGCCCTTTGCCTCCTGCTGCCCAGTGGGCAATGGTGCTGACCCCAGTGATCATCCAACTGGCAGAGGTGTGAAGTCAATGCTGAGGCCTTCTCCAGGCAGGCTGAGGCCAGAGCTGAAGTTAGTGTCCCTGGGCCTGGACCTAGTCTGAGAGTCCTGGGCATTGGGGGTGATGGGTGAGATCTGGGGGTGTTGTTCGGGAAGGAACACACTCCGTGGAGAAGCAATTCAGCTCTAGACCAGGCAGTGGAAATGGGGAGCCCCTGAAGGCTTTCCTCACCATGCATCAGAGTCGTGTGTTAGAAAGGTCCCTCCGGCAGCAGCTCAGAGCAGGAACGGGAGCAGGAGGGCCTGGAGGCTGAGAGTAAGATCGAGGATGCTGGGCCAGGCTGGGCTGGGACAGAGCCGCCGGGTGGGTGGGGGTTCTGAGTACTGCTGCTGAATGAGGACGCAGATCACATCCTGACGCCTCACATTTGCTACTGAGTGTCCCCACTTCCCTGTGCTGGGCCCCGTGGAAACCCGGACACCCTGGGAGGTAAGAACAGGCTTCTGCCCATCATATAGTAGGTGACCCCTGAGCACTTACTGTGTGCTGGGTGCCAGGAGGCTCTAGATTGACAATAATCACAGTAAAAGGTAGCCATGAAGGCACTGGAGAGACTCAAAGAAGGAAGATAGGGAGGTTGGGATGGGACAGGAAAGGGAAGAGGGGGCAATTTTGAAAGGGAAGTCAGGAAAATGCTGCACTGAAAGGTCCCATGAGGGTAGAGAGCTGAAAGAATGAGGGAGCGGGCTGGGTGTGGTGGCTCACCCCTGTAATCCCAGCACTTTGGGAGGCTGAGGAGGGCAGGTCACCTGAGGTCAGGAGTTCAAGACCAGCCCAGCCAACATGGCAAAACCCCGTCTTTACTAAAAATACAAAAATTAGCCGGGCGTGGTGACGGGTGCCTGTAGTCCCAGATACTCAGGAGGCTGAGGCAGGAGAATCACTTGAACCCGGGAGGTAGAGGTTGCAGTGAGCCAAGATTGTGCCACTGCACTCAAGCCTGGGCAACAGAGTGAGACTCCGTCTCAAAAAAAAAAAAAAAAAAAAGAGGGAGCAGCCGTGGCCAGTGTCAGGAAGGCCACCCTGGGGCGGAGGGAATAGCCAGCACAGAGGCCCAGGGCGCTGACCTTGACCCTTGGTGAGAGGGGAACCTCTGCAGGACCGTGGCGGTCGTAAGAACTGCTTCACAGACCTCCACTTCAAGGGATCGGAACTGACCAAGGGCTCAAAACCGCCCAGCTGCTGGGCCTTGAAACCTGTTACCACATTTGCATGGAGGCCACATGCCTCTGACCTGGGCACTCCTCACACCCCTAGGCAGTGTGACGGTTTAGGGGCTTCCTTCCCTTGGGATCAGACCTGCTCCGCGGAGGGGCTGCTCTCCCAGTCTTCCCCAGCCCCTTCCTCATCTTCTCTCCCAGAGGGTTTCTCTAATAAACCCCTTGCTCACCTAACCCCATCTTGGTGTCTCTGTCTCAGAGGGCTCTGAGCAGAGGGCCATGATCTGTCGATGGCTTACCAGGATCATTGGCTACTGCCAGGTGAAAAATGAACAGGGGTCTTGGGGGTGGGGGTAGGGGGACATGGGGAGGGGAAAGGATAAAAATAGACCAGCTGCTTAGAGACCAACTGCAGGACTCCAGGCAAGAAACGGGAGTGGCTCCCACCAGTGTTAGCGCTGGGGCAGTGAGAAGGGCTGGATTCTGGATACGTTTTGAAGCAAGATTTGTTGATAGATCAGATATGGGCAGTGATTGAAACACAGATGGAGAGAACAACTTCAACATTTCCAGCCTGAGCAACGGGAAGGATGGAGCAGCGATGAGGAGACGTGGGTAAGAGGCACTCAGAGGGGTAAAAAGTTGGAGTTCGAGGCTGGGCGCAGTGGCTCACATCTGCAATCCTAGCACTTTGGGAGGCTGAGGCAGGCGGATCATTTGAGGTCAGGAGTTCGAGACCAGCCTGGCCAACATGTTGAAACCCCATCTCTACTAAAAATACAAAAACTAGCCGGGTGTGGTAGTGCGCACCTGTAATCCCAGCTACTCAGGAGGCTGAGGCAAGAGAATCACTTGAACCTGGGAGGCGGAGGTTGCAGTGAGCCGAGATCACGCCACTGCACTCCAGCCTGGGTGACAAGAGCGAGACTCTGTCTCAAAAAAAAAAAAAAAAAAAAAAAATCGGAGTTTGGTTTGAGAGAGATGTTGTTTAGACATTCAAGTGGGGTTGACTCTGGTGTTCAGAGGAGATGTCTGGGCTGGAAATATAAACTTGGGAGTTGTCAGGATATAGATGGTCTTCAGAACCTTGTGGCTAAATGACATCACCCAGTGAAGGGAATGAAGAAGAAAAAGGGTCCCAGGATGGGCTCCAACATTTACTCCAATCTTTACAGTTCAGGGTTCCACTGGTTCTGGAAGAGGAACAAGTGAAAGGGGCTGAGGAGGTGTGATGGTGAGGCAGGGGAGGATCAGGAGAGTGTGGAATGTTCTGGAAGCAAGTGAAGAAAGTGTGTTTGAGGAGGAGGGAGAGCTCAAGGGTGTCAGATGCCGTTGATTCATCAAGGAAGGTGAGGACCGAGAACTGCCCATTGG
This sequence comes from Homo sapiens, assembly GCF_000001405.40. Taxonomy (NCBI): domain Eukaryota; kingdom Metazoa; phylum Chordata; class Mammalia; order Primates; family Hominidae; genus Homo; species Homo sapiens. The sequence goes on from NC_000022.11 coordinate 42,392,384, forward strand.
TTTAACAATGTGGAGTCAATGGTGACCCTGAGAAGGAAGGTTCTGGCGAAGAGGAGGGTTGCAAGCCTGTAGAGAGAAACAGAAAGGAGAGGGAGAGGGGCTGAAGGTGAGAGGGCTCTGTCAACGCTGGAGGAACTCTGTTCTAAGGTGCTGTGGAGAAACGGCAGGGAGCTGGAGGGGGATGCGGGCTCAAGGAATTTCAGATGGAAGAAATCACAGCATGTTTGCAAGCTGTAAACCAATATTGTACTGTTAACCCTGTTTTGCAGATTATGGAACTAAGACTCAGAAAGTTTAAGTAGCAGACCCAGTAAGCAAAAGAACAAGGCTCGGATGGGGGTTTTGGTGGGTTTGTCTGACCCACCCCGAATTCATGCTTTTAATATGTCAAGTTTTTTCTTCTATTTTTAAATTTATTTATTTTTATTTATTTTGTGACAGAGTCTCGCTCTGTCACCCAGGCTGGAGTGCAGTGGCATAATCTCGGCTCACTGCAACTTCTGCCTCCCAGGTTCAAGTGATTCTCCTGTCTCAGCCTCCCAAGCAGCTGAGGCAACAGGTGTGCACCACCATGCCTGGCTAATTTTTGTATTTTTAGTAGAGAGGGGGTTTCATCATGTTGGCCAGGCTGGTCTTGAACTCCTGACCTCAGGTGACTCACCCACCTCAGCCTCCCAAAGAATAGGTCAAGTTTTTTTTAAAACAAATTGAAGTAGTAAAGCTTTTTTTTTCATGTCATAATATGCCATGAGCACTCTTCCACATGAATAAAAAGCAAGAATTGACAATAATTAAAAGAAGAAATAGACAAATCCACAATCATACTGGCAGATTTTAACTAACTTCTGTTAAAAATTGAGAAAACAGGCCAAAAAAATCAGTAAGAACCAGATGTGGTGGTATGCACCTGTAATTCCAGCTAATCGGGAGGTTGTGGTAGAAAGAGCACTTGAACCCAGAAGTTCAAGACCAGCTGGGCCACATAGTGAGAACTCATGAAAAAAATTATTTATTTATTTATTTATTTTATTTTTTATTTTTTTGAGTCGGAGTCTCGCTCTGTGGCCCAGGCTGGAGTGCAGTGGCATGATCTCAGCTCACAGCAACCTCCGCCTCCCAGGTTCAAGCGATTCTCCTGCCTCGGCCTCCTGAGTATCTGGGACTACAGGCGCCCGCCACCACGCCTGACTAATTTTTTTTTTTTTTGTATTTTTAGTAGAGACGGGGTTTCAGCATGTTGGCCAGGATGGTCTCGATCTCTTGACCTCGTGATCTGCCCACCTCAGCTTCCCAAAGTGCTGGGATTACAGGCATGAGCCACTGCACCCAGCCAAAAAAAAAAAAAAGTTTAATTAGTAAGGATCAATTGTTAATCCTTAATGAGAGTACTCATTCAACAGTTTTGAATGTCTAATTATATGATGGCTATGTGGTGTTTTTATTTTTACCTAATTCCACAGTGATCAGAGAGTATGTTCTGTATGGTTTTTAATCCTTTTGAATTTTTTGAGACTTGCTTTATGGCTCAGTTTATATTCTGTGTGCACTTGAAAATAACACGTACCATGCCTGGTTGAATGAGTATTCCATATATGTCAATTAGGCCAAGTTTGTTGATCATGTTGATAAAATATTCCATATCCTTATTTTTATTTATTTATTTATTTTTGAGACGGAGTTTCGCTCTTGCTGCCCAGGCTGGAGTGCAATGGCGCAATCTTGGTTCACCGCAACCTCCGCCTCCCGGGTTCAAGCAATTCTCCTGCCTCAGCCTCCCGAGTAGCTGGGATTACAGGCATGTGCCACCATGCCCGGCTAATTTTTTTGTATTTTTAGTAGAGATGGGGTTTCTCCATGTTGGTCAGGCTGGTCTCAAACTCCCCACCTCAGGTGATCCACCAGCCTCTGCCTCCCAAAGTGCTGGGATTACAGGGGTAAGCCACTGCGCTCAGCCCTCCATGTCCTTATTGATCCTTATTAATTTAAAAAAAAATTTTAATGGGGTCTTGCTATGTTGCCAAGACTGTCTCAGACTCCTGGGCTCAAGCAATCCTCCTACCTCAGCCTCCTGAGTAGCTGGGATTATAGATGTGCGCCACCACATTACATTAAGCAAATCACATTTAAGTAACCAGTGAGGAAAGGAAGAATTCTCAATGGAAATTTTAAACTGAAAGATAATGAAAACATGACATATCAAAACTTGTGGGATGCAGCTAAAGCCATATCAAAGGGAAGTTCATACTGTAAGTGCACAAATTAGAAAAGAAGAAAGATAGGAAATTACTTAAGTATCCACCCAAAGAAGGAAGACTATATTTTAAAAAAAACCTTCCCCGGAGACTGGGAAACAAGACAAGGATACCTGCTATCACCACCTCTATTCACCATCATTGTATCAGAGGCCTCAGGCAGTGCAATAAAGTGGAAAAAAAATAAGGTATAAGGATTGGGCCGGGTGCGGTGGCTCACGCCTGTAATCCCAGCACTTTGAGAGGCCAAGGTGGGAGGATCACTTGAGCCCAGGAACTCAAAACCAGCCTGGGCAATATAGTGAGACCTTGTCTCTACAAAAAATTAAAAAACTCAAAACCAGCCTGGGCAATATAGTGAGACCTTGTCTCTACAAAAAATTAAAAAATTAGCCAAGTGCAGTGTCTCACACTCATAGTCCCAGCCACCCGGGAGGCTGAGGTGGGAAGATAGCTGGAGACCGGGAGGTGGAGGTTGAAGTAAGCCAAGATCACACCACTGCACTCCAGCCTGAGTGACAGAGAAAGACCCTGTCTCAAAAAAAAAAATAAAACAGGCCAAGCGTGGTGGCTCACGCCTGTAATCCCAGCACTTTAGGAGGCCGAGGCGGGTGGATCACCTGAAGTCAGGAGTTCGAGACCAGCCTGGCCAACATGGCAAAACCCCATTTCTACTAAAAATACAAAAAAATTAGCCAGGTATGGTGGTGGTCTCCTGTAATCCCAGCTACTCAGGAGGCTGAGACAGGAGAATCGCTTGAACAGGGGAGACAGAGGTTGAAGTGAGCTGAGATTGCACCGTTGCACTCCAGCCTGGGCGACAAAAGCAAGACTCTGTCTCAAAAAAAAATAATAATAAATATAAATAATAAAAATAAAATAAAATAATGAGGATTGGAAAGGAAAAAGTAAAACTTGCATTATTCATAGATGACATGACTGGGTTCGTAGAAAATCCAAAGGAAGGCCAGGCGCGGTGGCTCACACCTGTAATCCCAGCACTTTGGGAGGCTGAGGTGGGCGGACCACGAGGTCAGGAGATCGAGACCATCCTGGCTAACATGGTGAAACCCCGTCTCTACTAAAAATACAAAAAAATTAGCCGGGCGCAGTGGCGGGCACCTGTAGTCCCAGCTACTTGGGAGGCTGAGGCAAGAGAATGGCATGAACCTGGGAGGCAGAGCTTGCAGTGAGCCAAGATCGTGCCACTGCACTCCAGCCTGGGCGACAGAGCGAGACTCTGCTCAAAAAAAAAAAAAAAAGAAAGAAAAGAAGAAAAGTAAAGAAAGTGAAAATGGGGACAAAACCTTTACCCTAAAACCTTATCAAGAGGATTGATAAAATATAACAGGTGTAAAGTCCTGCCATGATCCCTGGCACATAGTAGGTACACAACAAATGGCTCTTGATACCATCATCGTTGTGACTGTCACTCTTCTCCGCCCAGGCCCAATCCCAGTTGGTAGACCCTTATGTCAAGGGCTTGGCAAAGTTCTATGACCTCTACTCTCCAAGCTGGCCTGCAACTCTGCAGGCAGTTAGGTCTGTTCACCTCACTCCAGAGAAGTCGGCCTGCATCCTAGAGGCTGTGAAACCCAGGCAAAAAGAAGCTCTGCTCAAAAGAGCTCTTCCGTTAAACATAATCTCATAGAAAGATATTTATTCACGTGGAAAGATGTTCATGAAAAAAATAGCTGTATTGCTCCAATTAAAAAAGAAGTATGTGTGAGTGCGTATGGGTTTCTTTGTATATATTTATAGAAAAAATACTGGAAAATATATTAGTCAATGTTCTTAGTATTTATCCTGGAAGAAGATGGGATTAGGATGCTGGTTATTTTCTTCTTTTATATATATATATATATATCTCACATATGTGTATGCTGGGGGAGAGGGAAAGTGAGAGTGAGAGGGAGAGAGAGAAATATTTTCATCTAACAGTTGACACCAGAATCCCTGGTAGGGAAAATACCACTATGAGATGCTGGGAGACAGGAGAGAGTATGAGGAAGTCTCCGGCCACGTGCAAAACCGTGGCTGACAGAAACTCCCCAGGATGGGGAAGCTGAAAGCCCTTTGAGAACCATCACATTCCACTTGGAACTGTTGGCACTGCCCCACAGGGACATTTCCTTGGCCTCGCTGCCACCCGCCCCATCCTCAGCAGACAAGGCTGTATCCTGGGCGTCCTCTGTGTGGTGTTCTGTGGCGTTATTAGGGTGAGTCAATGTTGTGGGAACAGAAACGACAGCACGTACGAGCAGAACCCAAGCACCATCGCAGCCAGGGGGCGTGCACCTGGGGGGCGTGCACCTGGGGAGCGTGCACCTGGGAACCTGCAGGGCCCCAGAAGGGCTGTGTGCCTTCCAGGCGTGGAGTGGGGAGCCCACCTGGCGGTGCCAGATCTCACGAGATGGGGACCCCAGCTGGCACTGGGTGGCATTTCTTCTTCCCTTGCTCTACTTGGAGCATATGTTGTTCGTGGAGCCGAAAGGAACGTAGCAAAAAGAGTGTTCCCAGCCCTCCCCGGCCCCAGCCGCTGGGCAGAGGGCTGCATGCTGGCTGGCTGGCCAGGCTGGGGCAGCCTGGCCTCCTCGGCCCCTACGCTGCACCCACCTTCCACTTCCTGGAGATGCACCCACATCTCCAGGAAAATTGTTTCAGAAAATGCCTACAACACAGCAGAGAGTGGAACAAACAGGGTCCCAACGCATGTCTGCGCTGTGATTGTGACCATGTAAGATAATATCTGCATGTGCCAGGAGGGGAGAGAGCAAATCATTACAAATCACTGATGTGTTAAGGGCGTGGGATGGCGCCTGACCTCTTCCTCTTTTTGTGATTTTTGTTGTTTATACAATAAAAACAGGAGGAAGTGGTAAGAGCTGTTTGGTCAGATGAAGGAGCTTTCTTCATTCTTCGCCAACTTGTGCCGTCACTACCCCTTGTCCCAGAATGAGGATCCATGCCAAGGAGGGGAACAGGGCATGGGGGGCACCTGACATTCGTATGCCTTCCAGGAGCCCTGCACGTGTCATCTCTTTTCAGCTTCAGAGAAATTCCATGAGGTAAGAATTGTTATCCCCATTTTATAGATGAGGAACTTGAGGCTAGGAGAGTCCACACAGCTGGTACAAGACTGAGCCAGACAGACCCTGGTACAAGACAGACTCTGCCTAAGGCCTGAAAGAGGTGGAGGGAGCCGGGGGCCCCGGGACTCACTGTGTAGACAGATTCTGAAGGATGCTGCTTGGGGCTGCTGGCAGATCTTGGATCTGGGCACTTCCTGGTGGGGTCCTTCCCTGGACCCCGCATCCGCTTCTGTAGGGAGAAAGGAGTCAGGGCCAGGGATGAGTGGCTCTCGTCTTCCTCCCCGCACAGACCCCCCAGGGGAAAGGATGGCAGATTGTCATGAGGTCACACAGAGATTCATCACTCAGTCCCTCCCACTCACCCTCTCCAGGGAAACATGGCAAATGCCTACAAGACCTGCATCAAGCCATTCCTGCACCTGGAGACACAGGAAATGGAAAAGGCCCACACGAGGTGATGTCCCTGGACAGAGCACCTGGCTGGTAGGGACCCAAGCTACTGGGACCAGTGCCAGTGGGGCAGGGCCCCAGGGACCGAGCCAGCAGCCATGGGTGGGCCCCTAGTGGTGCCAGCCAGGTCCAGTGTCCAGTCTTCCTCTGCTGTCACTGGCTCTGGCCTCGAGCGAGCCAGTTCCCCTCTGGGCCTTGGTTTTATTTATTATTATTATTATTATTATTATTATTATTATTATTATTATTATTTGAGATGGAGTCTCACTCTGTTGCCCAGGCTGGGGTGCAATGGTGCAATCTCAGCTTACTGCAACCTCTGCCTCCCGGGTTCAAGCGATTCTCCCGCCTCAGCCTCCTGAGCAGCTGGGACTACGGGCATGTGTGCCACCACGCCCGGCTAATTTTGTATTTTTAGTAGAGATGAGGTGTCACCATGTTGGACAGGCTGGTCTCGAACTCCTGACCTCAGGTGATCCACCGCCTTGGCGTCCCAAAATGCTGGGATTACAGGTGTGAGCCACTGCACCCGGCCATGGGTCTTGGTTTCTTCAGCAATAACCCTCTTTTGTGAGACTGATGCAAAGTTACAATGAGGGCACAAGGAGTAGGTGCCTGGTGCTTAGGAGGTGCTGCTTAGAAGGCCCTTGCTCAACCAACACACACTTGATAGCACTGGCAAGCCAGGCAGTGTGAGGAGGTGGGCACCGTCCCTACCCTCCTGGAGTTTAGGGACCAGTGAAGAGATGGAGGATGAACCAGTGGTTTTGCCGAAACATGGTATGTGGGTTGATTGCCAGGCACAGAGCCTCTGGCACATGAGGAGGAAACCAATGCCCCACTGGGCAGAAGCGATATTGAAGGTGAAATCCTGAGGGCAAGAAGTTCATTTAGCAAAAGAGGGAGGAGGGAGCCTCAGGTAGAGGGAACAGCAGGTGCCAAGGCCTGGAGGTCTGGAGGCACGTGGAGAAGGTCAGCATAGGCCAGGCACGGTGGCTCATGCCTGTAATCCCAGCACTTTGGGACTCGGAGGCCGAGTCGGGTGGATCACCTGAGATCAGGAGTTTGAGACCAGCCTGGCCAACATGGCAACACCCCATCTCTACTAAAAATATAAAAACTAGCTGGGCATGGTTGTGGGCGCCTGTAATCCCAGCTACTCGGGAGGGTGAGGCAGGAGAATCGCTTGAACCCAGGGGGCGGAGGTTGCAGTAAATCGAGATCACACCATTGCACTCCAGCCTGGGAGACAGAGCGAGATCCCATCTCAAAAAAAAAAAAAAAAAGAAAGAAAGAAAAAAAGAGAGAGAGAGAGAAGGTCAGTGTGTGGCCCGAGAGAGGAGCCTGCCTGGGAGGGGCAGGCGTGGCGTGGCCGTGCTGGCTGCATGAAGAGCATAGGAAACATCTGAGGGCTCGAAGTGGGAGCGCCAGGGTCAGAGCTGTGCTGGAGAAAGCTCCCGCTGGTCACAGTGGAGGCTGGGCCGGGCCTGCTGGGAAGGTGAAGGCTGGGGAGTCACGAGGCGGTACAGGCAGCCCTCTGGAGGCAGAGGGAGGTGGCCTGGACATCCCCCCTCATTGCAGGCACCACACGGCCACTGCTGACAGTGGAGCCACAACTGCCTCATCTCAGGGCAGAAGCTAATTAAAAACCCTGGCCTCCTGCCAAACCCCAGCCCATTTACTGCGGGATTAGCTGCTGAGAGCTACTTAACTCGCAGGCAGAAGCCGGCGCCACCCCCAGTCACAGCACATAATGGCTCAGAGCATGGAGCCAGGTAGGGTTCTCAACACCTGACCTGCCTTCTCTCACGCGCCCTCCACAAACCGCAGGTGAATCTTTCCATCCTCTCTGTTCTGTACATGAGGGAGTGAAGGCTCAGAGAAGGCAGGTGACTTGCCGAGGCCACGCAGCCAGGAAGTGGCAGAGGCAAGATTTGAATCCAGGTCTGTGTTTCACCAAGATATTGACGAGACAGGAGCTGGAGTTTTGACTCCTCTGCTTAGTTAGAACGTGTGAGCCTCACAGACACAGAGCAGTGCTGGCGTCTGTGTAGCACTTGACAGTTTACGAAGTCTGCTGGGACTTGTCCTTATTTTCATTTAATTCTCATAACAGCCAGAGGAGGTGGGCATGGAATTGCCCGTTTAACAGACAGGGGGCCAGGTGCAGTGGTTCATGTCTGTAATACTAGCACTTTGGGAAGCCAAGGTGGGTGGATCACTTGAGGTCGGGAGTTCGAGACCAGCCTGGCCAACATAGTGAAACCCCATCTCTACTAAAAATACAAAAATTAGCCATGTGTGGTGGTGAGCACCTGTAGTCCCAGCTACTCGGGAGGCTGAGGCAGAGAATTGCTTGAACCTGGGAGGTGGAGGTTGCAGTGAGCTGAGATTGCACCATTGCACTCCAGCCTGGGCAAAAAGAGTGAGACTCTATCTCAAAAACAAAACAAAACAAAAACAGGAGGGGGAAGCTGAGGCTTGTCCAGCTGGTAAAAGGCTGTCCTTGGATCAAACCCAGATGTGTGTCCTCAAATCCAGGGCTGCCTCCCCTGCACCACCTGCTTCTTGAGGGCACCGTCACAGTCAGAGGTAGTGGTCTGCCCCAGTGCACCTCAGTGCCTCCTCTTGTCAAGGCAGCTGGGGACCTAGTGTCTGTCTCTTCGCTGAGCTGGCCGACCTGGACACCACCAGGGCTGAGGATGTGAGCTCATGGGCAGTGGGTCTCCCGCGAGGCTGACCTGGGCTCAGCTCTTTGGACCTGCCGGGGCTGGAAAGCAAGGTCCCTGGAGCTCAGTTAGCTCTTGGTGTCCCTCCCTGGCCCTCCTACGCGCTGGGCCTGGGCTGGGCATGGAAGACCCTGTGGTGAACAAGACCCACGCCTGGCCTCGAGGCTCTGTCAGTGAGACTGATGGGGTTGCCAGAGAAGTGAGTGCCACTGGGGATCCCAAGAAGGGGCCCCAAGTCTGCAGGGGACTGAAGCAGACGTCTCAGGGCCATCTTGCGCTGTCTTCTGAAGACACGGGAGGAACTTCAAAGCTCTCCCAGTCTAAGAAGGTATCTTAGACATTGCGAACAGCTCGGGGGCAGGAGTGTCATGGATGCACAGAAGAATGGACAGTTAGACAGAAAGGAGGAGATGAGCCACAGGCTGGCACGGGTGGGGCCACGAAAGGCCAAATGCCATGGTGTCTACCCGAAGGGCAGTGGGGGCCACCAGGGAAGTGGCTGCAGTTGCATTGTATAAACCTCCCTCTGCTGCCACAGATGCGGGGTGGACTGTAGGTTGGGGCTGGCAAGGGGAGGAGGCAGGATCTCCAGGAGAGAGGCCTCCTGGGGGTGCTGGGGAGGCTGGGCCGGGGCAAGGGGTCCCGTGGAGGAGGGAGGGAGCCTTCTTGAAAACTCACATTACATTATGGGGGTGGGGCTGCTTTGCTCCCTGCCCATCCCTGCCCACTGAGCGCTCTGTCCTCGGGGCCAACATTTGCCTTTCAACTGTGATTTTCAGATGAATCACGAGTGTGGCTTCTCCCAACACGCCCAGCTCTCTGTGGTCCAAGTCTCCCCTCCCTAGTAGATGGTGGTGGGACAGGGAGTCACCAGGCCTGGGCTGAGATCCAGCTGTGCACACCAGGGGTGCTGCCATCAGCAGCTCAGGAAGCCTGTTGGGCCTCAGCTTCCTGCTCTGTAAAATGGGAGCAATAATGTGGCCTTGCCCACCTCACATCCTGGCCACTTCTGCCTTATCTTCCAGGTCCTCGCATGCATTTATCCTGTCATTCCTTCCACAAGCATGCACTGCGTGCCAGGCTCCCCCAGGTGCTGGGGACACTAAGTCCCCCGCCTACAGGGGCTATGCTATGGCAGGACAGACAGCATAAAGACAGACGCCAGGTTGTGACAGAAGCCAGGGTGTGGCAGCAGAGACCTATATTCCAGGAGAGGGTGATGGAGCCCAGCCTGGGACGCCTAGGAAGCCCCGGGGAAGGGGCTGGATCCGGGACAGACTGAGTGCAGGGCTTGCTGAGGGATGGATGTGGGGAGAGAGAAGAGCCGAGCACAACTCCAAGGCTTGGGCCTGAGCATCTGGAGCACGTGTGCTGGGACGCAGAGGACTCGGGGACTGAGCACTGCTCTGGACGCATGAGGTGGCGGCACCCTCAGGCCCCCACGTGGGGCTGTGGACCATGGTCTGGAGCTTGGGGAGGGGTCTGAGCAGCAGCATCTGTGGACAGGGAATGCCACCCGCAGAGCAGAAACTTTGCTGCAGGAGCACACACAGAGCGCGGAAGGGCTCGGAGGAAGGGGCCCGGGATGTGCCAGAATTTAGAGGTCACCAAGAGGGGGGTGACCCAGCAAAGCTGCCTATGGGGTGGGACAGAACAAGGAGGGCATGTTGTCCTGGTACCAAGAGGCGGAGTGTGCTGTGAGGCGGGAGGCCTGCTGTGCCCAATGCCATGAGAGGATGAGGATGAGGACGGGCCAGCCGCAGGGAGCGCCTGCTCTGGGAACACCACTTTGACCCCTCAAGTCAGGCAGGAGCCCCCAAACCTACTCTCATGGCAGGAATCATGGCGATTGCTGCCTTCTCAAGAGAGAGACCTCTCCTGGTACTCAAAGCGCCTCAGACCCACACCGGTCCCTCTGTGCCTTCTTTTTTTTTTTTTTTTTTTTTTGAGATGGAGTTTTGCTCTGTCACCCAGGCTGGAGTGCAGTAGCGCAATCCAGGCTCACTGCATCCTCCGCCTCCCAGGTTTAAGCAATTCTCTGCCTCAGCCTCCCGAGTAACTGGGATTACAGGAGCCTACCACCATGCCCGGCTAATTTTTTTTTTGTATTTTTAGTAGAGACAGGGTTTCACCATCTTGGCCAGGCTGATCTTGAACTCCTGACCTTGTGACCACCCACCTCGGACTCCCAAAGTGTTGGGATTATAGTCGTGAGCCACCACGCCCGGCCCCCTCTGTGCCTTCTACAACCCCATGACACAGCTCCTCTGTTTGGCATCCCCACTGGGGAAACCGAAGCCTGGAGCACCCAGCTCAAGCTCGCAGAGGTTGGTAAGTGGCAGAGCTGGAACTGAACGAAGGCCCAACTCTGTGCTTTTAAGCCCCCTGCTGATTTCTACTTCCTTTCTTCCTGAACAGGTCATGACAGCATAACAGCTGATCTCCCCAGCTAAGAGTTTAGCTTGCTGTGTTCCCAGCCTCTGTACAGGGCCTGACACATAGTAGGTGCTCAGCTCTGTCGCCCAGGCTGGAGTGCAGTGGTGCAATCTCGGCTCATTGCAACCTCCGCCTCTCGGCTAATTTGTATTTTTAGTACAGGTGGGGGTTTGCCATGTTGGCCAGGCTGGTCTTGAACTCCCGACCTCAGGTGATCAGCCAACCTGAGCCTCCCAAAGTGCTGGGATTATAGGCGTGAGCCACTGTACCCAGCCTGAATGAATGAATTTAATGACAGGTGTGAAAGGGCCCTATAAATGGTAAGCCCTTCAGCAAATGTTTATTGAGGGCCTACTATGTCAGGGGACCTGTGCTAGAGGCTGGGGCTTGGGCAGGGAACAGGCCGAGAGGCACCCGGCCTCACACAGCTGGCCTTGACGAAGAGATGGAGTAAGCTCAGGGGACCTACAGATGACGAGGGCAGAGGCAAAAGAGGTGTCAGGGAAGAAAGCCATGGTGTCAGAGAGGGCCTCTCTGAGCTGGGTACATGGGAGCTGGATCCAGAAAGCAAAGAAGGAGATCTCTGGGAGGGATCCCAGGTGCCGAAATACAGAGAACAAGGAGGGCCTGGGAAGCCTCTGCTGTTGAAGGGCCTGCGGGCAGGGCTGACTGTGCCACCTGTGGGTCATCCATTCCTGGGCTCTACCCCCATCCCTCCTGCCCCAGCCCCTCCGGGCAGACTTCATGCATCACCAGTTCTTACCACCCTCCAGCTCCCATCTTCCCGGGGGTGTGAGCTCCGTGCCCTCCCTGCTGGCCTTTGCAGAAGTCAGGTGCAGGCATTGCCCCGGGAGGCAATGCCATTCTTCCAGACTTGCCCCAGTGGAGTCGCACACTCTGCTCTTTGTCCTCACTGTCCCCAAAGCTGCCAACCGCGGTTCGGGTCCACCCTCTGCCACTTCTGGTTGGTAGTTTCCAGCTTCAATTCATTTATCCACCACTGCAGGTGCTCCCGGGTCCTCTGTGCCTGGAGGGAGCCTCTTTCTCCTGGACTCTCTCCTTACCCCATCCTGCCGCTGCCATCAGGGGCATCCACAGCGAACCAGGGGCTCCCAGGGCTGCTTTAGCAATGCAAACGCAGCAGCTGCTCTGGCCTCCGGGTTCTCTTTCCCTTCCAGCCCAGGCTCTCACATCAGCCGTTCTCCCCAGGTACAGAGGGTGTGTGGGCAGCAGAAAGCTTCTGCTGTGTGTCAGGCACCCAACTGGTGCTTCAGAAGTGCTCTCCTGCAGATCTCCTGATGTCAGGAGTTTGAGACCAGCCTGGCCAACATGGTGAAACCCAGTCTCTACTAAAAATACAAAATTAGCCAGGCGTGGTATCGCACGTCTGTAATCCCAGCTACTTGGGAGGCTGAGGCAGGAGAATCACTTGAATCTGAGAGGCGGAGGTGCAGTGAGTCAAGGTCGCACCATTGTACTCCAGCCTAGGCAAAGAGTAAAACTCCATCTCAAAAAAAAAAAAAAAAAAAAGTGCTCTCCTTCCATGTTCACTTAGTGGGCAGGGTCTACCCTCCTTATCCCATTTCCAGAGGAGGAAACTGAGGCTCAGAGAGGATCCAAACCTGACAAGAGGGCTTGCTTTCACCCTGTTGGCACTTAGCCTAGTGATGGCACACACGAGACACTTTGCAGACATTCCTGGAAGCACAGGCAGGGTGGTGAGAGGAGGAAGAGGAAGGCAGGAGTCACTGAGGCCATCCTGGAGGGGAGGGAGCAGGGACCAGAACTCAAGCCCAGGGCTCTGAGCTTTGTCCCCTCCTTTACTAATACTGTGATCCAGTTTCTACGGTCCGGTCCCATCTTTGTAGGGCAGGAGCTGACGTTGCTCAGCAAATGGGGGGCTCAAGGTTAAGATCTCGCCTGGCCCCGTTCTGTTCCTTGCCTACTGTGTTTCGTGTACACAGAGGGCACTTGTGTGGGTCACTCCTGTAAGCCTGGGTGGGGGTCCGCAGGCGGGGGGAGTCCCTTGTCACCTGTGCCTGAAGCCCAGTTTCTGTGTCCACGCCCCAGCTCCTCCCCTGGCCTCATTTCGAGTGCCTGGGGACTGCTCGGTAGTGAACAAATCGAGAGATACCCTACTTGCTATCATCATGGGAAAAGCCGAAGCAGGGAGGGAGGGCATATATTGAGGGCGAGAGTCGGGGGCGTGCAAGAAAGGCCCAGGCCGGGCACATGGCAGGTGCATACTCGTGCTGGCTTGGGGAGGGAGGCAGCCTGAAGCCAGTGGGTCTCCATCCTAACCCTGGGCTCATGAAAGCTGAAGGAAGTGTTTCCCACCCATCTCGGGTCTTCTTGGCTCAGCTCATCCCTCTGGCTGGGCTGGAGTCAAGGCGGAGCACAGAGCCCTCCTGGACTTCACAGTGGTACCCAAGGCCTGCGACTCACTTCACCCTGAAGCTCATTAACAGGGCAAGGTCAAAGTAGGACCATTCGCGCCAGTGTCAGACCCATGGGAAGGAGGGGAGCCAGCATCGTGGCTGAGGCCCTGACCCAGACGTTGGCTCACAGAAGGCAGGAAATGCAGCCCCTGGGGCTCCCGGGGGTGAAAGGCGCCAAGCTCATGCTTTTTTCGTACCTCAGAGCCTTCTTGGAAAAGCGATGACATCCCCAGCCTCAAGACAAGGATGGGAAACTAAGGCACGGGCTCCAGACCCAGGCCTGCCACTTGCTCTGGCTCAGGCACGCTCTGACCTTCAGCTTCCTCGCCTGCTCTTCCAGTCCACAGCTCACCTGACACCTGCGGGGCAGGCGCAGATCCAAATACCCCCCGGCTCGCGCCTCACCCCCCGAGGGAGCAGAGCAAACCACTTGCGCGAGTCCCTTTGGGTCCGCTTCCAGCCTTTCATCTGCTTTGCTCACCACTTCCCTGAGGCCACCCTGATCCCGGCTCCTGTCATCTCTGCCTGGACTTTGCAGTAGCTCCTCACTGGGTGTCCCTCACTCAGACAGAGGGTCCATCAGAATCTAGGTCTGATCTCACCCCCTTCCTTGTATCACATAGAGTAAGGGCTAAAGTCCTTTCAATGCCCCCTACCTGGCTGCATCTCCTTCCACTTCCCATCCGTCTACTCTCTGTGAGCTCAGGCTACACCAGCCACATGGGCCCCCATGCAGCTCCTGGGACACCCCATGCCCGCTTCTGCCTCAGAGCACCTGCATCCACTATTCTCCCACTGGCACGCCCAGCCCTGATGTGCACCTGCCTCCCTCATTCCAGGTGCTTCTCCATTCCCATGCCGACCTCCCTTCACATTGCTGAGTTTCCCCCAATAATTATCCCATCTGATATATACGACCTACTCACTGGGTGGTGCATCGTCGGTCTCGCCTCAACAGGAATGCCAATTTAATGAAAACAGATTTCCTTTCTTTTCTTTTTCCTTTTTTTTTGAGACAGAGTCTCACTCTGTCGCCCAGGCTGGAGTGCAGTGGTGCCATCTCGGCTCACTGCAACCTCCACCTCCCAGGTTTAGGTGATTCTCTTGCCTCAGGCTTCTAAGTAACTGGGACTACAGGCGTGTGACCACCACACCCGGCTAATTTTTTGTATCTTTAGTAGAGACAGGGTTTCACTGTGTTAGCCAGGATGGTCTCGGTCTCCTGACCTTGTGATCTGCCTGCCTCGGCCTCCCAAAGTGCTGGGATTACAGGCATGAGCCACCGCACCCGGACCTTCCTCTTTTTTTTTTTTTTTTTAGATGGAGTCTCGCTGTGTTGCCCAGGGGCTGGAGTGCAGTGGCGCCATCTCAACTCACTAAAATCTCTGCCTCCTGGGTTCAAGCTATTCTCCTGCCTCAGCCTCCTGAGTAGCTGGGATGACAAGCATGTGCCACAATACCCAGCTAGTTTTTGTATTTTTAGTAGAGATGGGGTTTTGCTATGTTGGCCAAGCTAGTCTTGAACTCCTGGCCTCAAGTGATCCGCCTGTCTCGGCCTCCCAAAGTGCCAGGATTACAAGCATAAGCCACCGCACCCAGCCTTTTATTTATTTTTCTTGAGACTGTCGCCCAGGCTGGAGTGCACTGGTGTGATCTCAGCTCACTGCAACCTCCACCTCCCGGGTTCAAGCAATTCTCCCACTTCAGCCTCCCAAGTAGCTGGGATTACAGGCGCCTACCACCACACCTGGCTAATGTTTTTGTATTTTTAGTAGAGATGGGGTTTCACCACGGGGGTCAGGCTGGTCTCAAACTTTCTTTCTTTTTTGAGATGGTCTCCCTCTGTCGCTCAGGCTGGAGTGCAGTGGTGTGATCACAGCTCACTGCAGCTTTGACCTCCTGGGCTCAAGCGATCCTTCCACCTCAGCCTTCCAAGTAGCCCAGGACCACAGGTGCATGCTACCATGACTGGCTAATTTTTTAAAATGTTTTGTAGAGATGGGGTCTCTCTCTGTTACCCACGCTGATATTGAACTCCTAAGCTCAGGAAATCCTCCTGCCTCAGTCTTCTAAAGTGCTGGAATTACAGGTGTGAGCCACCATACCTGGCAGACAGATTTCTCTTTTTTTTTTTTTTTTTTTTTTGAGACTTAGTCTTGCTTTGTCACCCAGGCTGAAGTGCAGTAGTGTAATCTCACTACAACCTCCGCCTCGCAGGTTCAAGCAATTCTCCTGCCTCAGCCTCTGGGATTACAGGCACCTGCCAATGCACCCAGCTAATTTTTGTATTTTTAGTAGAGATGGGATTTTGCCATGTTGGCCAGGCTGGTCTCGAACTCCTGACCTCAAGTGATCCACCCACCTCGGCCTCCCAAAGTGCTGGTATTACAGGCATGAGCCACCGTGCTCAGCCTCAGATAGAGATTTCTTGATTTCAGTTTGGTCATTGCTGTATCCCTGGTGCCTAGAACAGGGCCTGGAATGTAGGTTTTCAGTGTTTGTTGAATGAATGAACACATAAATTCCCGTGGAAGAGAGCTCTTCTCTGGGTGTGGGTAGGGTCTTGGCCTTCAGATGCAGGGGCTGAGCCTTTTTTGACCCAGGGAGACCCCAATGATGGTGCCAGTGTTCACGCCTCACACCCAGGGCTGTTGCTGACTCAGCTGCCCCCAGGCTTGGCCCCGAAGGTCCCCGGAGGGTGGAGCAGTAGCCTGAGCTGCTAACAGCAGCCTCTGACGAGCCCTGACCCATCAGCTTTGCACCCCTGAGCCTGGGAGAACCTGGTACCCGCTGGGCACTGCATCCTTTCACTCAGCATGCTGTCTGAGCACCACCATGTGCTGGGCAAGGAGCCCCTGAACAAGACTGCCTCGGCCTCTGGCCTCCTGGCACTTGCTGCCAGGCAGGGAGGGTGGGCCAGCATCGAACAGGAATCCATAGGGCTGGGTGATGATGAGCATGAGGGGAGCCCCAGCAGAGAGGTTCCCTCCCCAGGCAGGTGCCACCCACAGTGTGAGCAGGAGCCGTCCAGGTGAGGAAATGGACCAAGCCACCCCATCCTGCACTCTAGCCCTGACTGCAGTACACTTACTATGCGACCCTGGGCAAATCACAACGTCTCTGAGCCTGACCTTCCAGAGCTGTGAAATGGGAAAAAACCTCGTCATGGAGCTATGCTGGAGGGTGTTTGGGAGGGTGTGTGGGAGGGTGTGTGGGAGGGTTGCTGGAGGGCGTGCGAGAGGGCGAGTGGGAGGGTGTGTGGGAGAGCACCTGTGTGAGTGGCTGGTAGCCCCTTCATCCCTTCCAGCCTGCTGGGATCAAGAAAACCTGAGCAGGGATTCCCTAATCTGGGGAGCTAGAAATGGTAGGCAGGAGGGCCTGCAGCCTCTCCCAGGTTCTCAGAGGGACATGGGACCTGGGAAAGCCTGCAGAGCCCTGGTTTCTTGCAACAAGATCAAAAGGCACCCCATGGCAGCACAGGGAGTGGCACAGGAGGGATGCCCCCAGCCCTGGTGCAAGGGGCCACGAGGGCCACCTGTTACAGATGTGGATGTGCCCTCACCAGGGCCCACCAAACGCCCTGCAGAGGGCAGGCGGGCAGCCGGTGGCGTGTCGGGTGGAGGGGCTGCATGGCTGTGAGCACTGATCCCGTACCTTGTTCCAGAGCAGCAGGGCCGTGCCCACTACACTCAGGACACTCAGGAGGCCGGTGAAGCCAAAGAGCAGGAGCTTCTGTGGACTCTGCGGGGGCTCTCGGTACCCTGCGTCTAGGAGGAAGCGCAGGGGAGCAGAGGGGTCAGTGACCCAGGAGAAAGCGGGGCACACACACCTGATGTTCTCCCTCACTCAGGACCCTGTTTTCAATGCTACCCCGCCAACACGCTCCACACCCCACTAGGCCCCCTGGGAGCCAGGGTTCGGGCCTTCATTGTCCCCTCACTCCTTTTCATGCTCACTGCCTTGCTTCTCTGTAAGGACAGGGGCCATTTGCTCTTCCGGTGCCCCTGCCCCCGTGACCTGGCTCCCCTGTGGGCTGCTTGTAGGGCCCTGAGCGAGATGTCTCCCCTCTCGGGGCCTCTTCTTTTCCCTGTGTGAGGTGGTGATAATACGGGTGGATGTGGCTAGGGCTGAAGGAGGCGGATTTATCCTGGGACTGACAGGGGGCTGCACCCAGGCTAGGTGAGGCCCAGCCCTCCTACCCCA
Organism: Homo sapiens; assembly: GCF_000001405.40. Taxonomy (NCBI): domain Eukaryota; kingdom Metazoa; phylum Chordata; class Mammalia; order Primates; family Hominidae; genus Homo; species Homo sapiens. Next base: position 42,409,984 of record NC_000022.11, read on the forward strand.
TGCCATCCCCAGTCCCTCCTGCTGGCATCCAGTCCTCCTTCCCCTCACCCCATCCATCCATCCGACTGGCAAAAACACACGGAGTGCCAACCACATGCCAGGCACATGAGCATGATTTCCCCAGCACTGCCTATTGTCAGCCACCAGCCCATATGGGCACCATCTCCTTCAACCTCATCCAAGTCCTTGGAAGGCAGAGGATCGCCATGAAGACCAGGCCCAAGATCACATCGGGCAAGCAGCAGGACAGAGGTTCAAACCCAGGTCTATGGGATTCCGAAGCCCCCAGCTCCTTCCAGGGGATCGCAGAGGTAGGTCAGAGAATCAGGGCTTTGGTGATGGGCTCACTCATAACTTTTGGGATCATCACTCCTTTGAGAATGTGATGAAAACTGGCTGGGTGTGCTGGCTCATGCCTGTAATCCCAACACTCTTGGAGGCTGAGGTGGGCGGATCACTTGAGGTCAGGATTCGAGACCAGCCTGGCCAACATGGCGAAATCTTGTCTCTATTAAAAATACAAAAAGTAGCCAGGTGTGGTGGTGGACATCTGTAATCCCAGGTACTTGGGAGGCTGAGGCATGAGAATCGCTTGAACCCAGGAGGCAGAGATTGCAGTGAGCCAAGATTGGGCCAGTGCACTTCAGCCTGGGTGACAGAGCGAGACTCTGTCTCAAAAAAAAAAAAAAAGAGAGAGCATGATGAAAACTAAAGATCTGTCTCTGGAAAGGTGTATTATACATGAGCCAAGTGCTCACATACACGAGGCCCCCACAAATACATACATGCACATACCTAGTTCTGCAGAAGTTCCCCCACCATGATGCCCATGGCACACTGAGACCAAGGGCCCAAGGGAGCTCTTTTAGGTCACCTGCCAGCGGCGTTCAGGAGCAGATCTGCATGCCCGGCCCTGCCCTTTCCACACCCAGATGGAGCCCTGGCACAGCCGTAGGCCGGGGCTCCCTGAAGTGGGTCTGCCTGCTTTGCCAATGCTGGTAGACAAGGCAAACCATTCTCTATTTCTTTTCTTTTCTTTTTTTTTTTTTTTTTTTTTTGAGATGGAGTTTTGCTCTTGTCACCCAGGCTGGAGTGCAATGGTGCGATCTAGGCTCACTGCAACTTCCCATCCTGGGTTCAAGAAATTCTTATGCCTCAGCCTCCTGAGTAGCTGGGATTACAGGCACCTGCCACCATGCCCAGCTAATTTTTGTGTTTTTAGTAGAGACGGGGTTTCACCATGTTGGCCAGGCTGGTCTCGAATCCCTGACCTCAGGTGATCCACCCGCCTCAGCCTCCCAAAGTGCTGGGATGTGTGAGCCACTGCGCCTGGCCCCATTCTCTATTTCCGATCCAAAGTCCCAAACTGCCATTTGAAACCTCTGTGTCCTTTGCCCTGGAAGAGCCACAGAGGAAGCCTTACCTCTGACCAGGATGAAGGTGCCGCTGCCTCTCACCGTGGAGTGTGGCCAGTGGACAGAGCAGTAGTAGGTGCCAGTGGCCGATGCTCCCGGCAGCACAAGGGTGACCTGGCAGTCCAGGGTGTGGCTCTGGTTCTCTGTGCCCAGTCCAGGGTGGCAGTTTGTTGGCTTCTTAGGGCTCCTCTGTCCCTGGAGATCTTCATGAAAGTAGCTGACTGTGAAAACCTTGAATTGGGGAGTGTATGGATAGGTGATCCTGCAGCTGAAGGAGATAGCTGTGTTGGCCAGGGAGGCCATGATGGGCAGGCCGGTGTGGGTCACTGACTGTCCTCCTGGAGGGGAAGCAAAGGGAGAGAGCAACAGGTCACTTGAGGCTGCCTCAGTCCCACCCACTTGCCTGTTAAGGCTCACGACCGGGTGCGGTGGCTCACACCTGTAATTCCAACACTTTGGGAGGCCGAGGCAGGCGGATCACTGGAGGTCAGGAGTTCAAGACTAGCCTGGCCAACATGGTGAAACCCCGTCTCTACTAAAAATACAAAAATTAGCCAGGCTAACTTTTTTATGCCCATAACCCCAGCACTTTGGGAGGCTAAGGTGGGCCGATCACCTGAGGTCAGGAGTTTGAGACCAGCCTGGCCAACATGGCAAAACCTGTCTCTATTAAAAATACAAAGATTAGCCAGGTGTGGTAGTGTATGCCTGTAATCCCAGCTACTCGGGAGACTGACGCAGGAGAATCGCTTGAACCTGGGAGGCTGAGGTTGCAGTGAGCAGAGATCATGCCACTGCACTCTAGCCTGGGCGACAAGAGCAAGAGTCCGTCTCAGAAAAAAAAAAAAGAAAGACAAGTCTCGTGCATCGTGTGAGCTTACCTCTGCAGGTGCAGCCCCTACCTCTCCTGCACTTGCTGTGTGCCGGAGTTGTGCCAAGCATATTACGCACACCACTCTACCTCTCCTAATATACCCCAAGGCAAAGTGAGAGCCCCTGTTTTATGAAGAAGAAGAGTCTGAGGGTCAGGGAGTTGAAGCACTTAGCTCCAGATTCCTCAGCAGGTAGAGAGTGGAGCTACAACCCCATCCAGGGCTGGGGAACACCAGAGCCTGCGCTCCCAACCCCTCTTCTTCCCAAAGGCCAAGAGGCCACCTGGGATCAAAGCACAGGCCTGAGAAGAGAGAAAGCTGGTGATGGATGAGAAATAAAGAAGGAGGCAGGAAAACAAAATAAAGAAACCCAAGCGTTTCCTGGCGGTAGACAGAGAGGGAGGCAGGTCTGCCCACAGTTCTCCCCGTGCCAAAGTAAGGAGGCATTCAGGCAGCGGGAGACACAAACCTCTCCCGGACTCTGGGCTCGGAGAGGATTTGTCAGGTTTTTTACAGTATAACAGGCAACATCCTGAGAGCAGTTTTTCCAACAACGCAGAGGTGCTCCACGTGGGGCCATTTCGGCTGTGATCATGATGTCAATGACCATGACAAAGCCAGTTTTGTAGGAGCCACCCCTCCCCCCACTCATCAGAGGCACCTCAGAAAACAGTTTGAAAATTCCCAAAGCAGCAGCCCTGCCTGGGGGGCTCTAACCCCTGCTGCAGGCCTCTGAGATGCTGTTTGGATCCTGGGCTGGGGGCAGCAGCCGCCCCCTGCCCCAGACTTCAGCTGCACAGGCCCCTCGGCTTTAGCGCTCCTGGGTTCTCCAGGCCCCTCCTTCTCCAGCAGCTGAGCAGCAGACAGTTCTAAATTGAGGTCGGCAGCCAGCAGCCAAGAACATGCAGGCCGGATTGTTAATCGGGAGAAGATCGTGTCTTTGAGATGCTCAGAGGAGCCGCAAGATTTATTTTATTGGGGAAAGAGAGGTGTGGGCCCTGCCTGTGGTGTGGGGCTGGAGGGAGGCCAGGCTCATCTCTTCCCAGGTCTCTTCAGTTCAGCTCTGAGCCAGAGCTCTGGGAAGGGGGTCCCAAAGGGAGGCCAGCCTTCTGGAAGATGCGGGAACAGAGATGGAGTTGGCCCTGTGCGTCAGTTAATCCCTCAAAATTCTGGCAATGCTGATATTTTGAGCTTCCTGTTGAGCCACTAAAGAGACACCCCCAGGCTGGGCAGGGTGGCTCATGCCTGTAATCCTAGCACTTTGGGAGGCCGAGGCGGGTGGATTGCTTGAGGCCTGGAGTTCGAGACCAGCCTGGCTAACATGGTGAAACCCCGCCTCTACTAAAAATACAAAAAAAGAAAAAAAAATCAGGAGCCGCGGTGGCTCAGGCCTGTTGTCCTGTCACATAAGAAGGCAAGGCCAGGCATTTGAGACCAGCCTGGACAACACAGAAAGCCCTCATCTATATAACAACAATAATAACAACAACAACAAAAATTTGGCCAGGGCTGTTGGCTCATGCCCGTAATCCCAGCACTTTGGGAAGCCAAGGTGGGCAGATCTCTTGAGGTCAGGAGTTCAAGATCAGTTTGGCCAACATGGCAAAACCCCGTCTCTACTAAAAATAAAAATATTAGCCAGGTGTGGTGGTGGGCACCTGTAATCCCAGCTACTCAGGAGGCTGAGGCAGGAAAATCGCTTGAATCTGGGAGGTGGAGGTTGCAGTGAGCCAAGATCGCGCCACTGCACTCCAGCCTGAATGACAGAGCAAGACTTCGTCTCAAAAAAAACAAAAAGAAGAAAGAAAGAAAAAGAGAGACACACCCTCCCTCAAAGAACTAAAGGCACTCACAGTTCCAGGGAATCGACTCACATGTCGGCAGTCACAGTGGGTTCGACTTGTAATTGACATAACGACACTCGCTTGTGAAATGTCATTCCAGGGAGCTGGCACCCGGGCCCCCTCCAGGGCTCCCCTCTGGTGGACGGAGCAGGGGGGATTTTACCCTGGACTTTGTATCTCCGGACTCTACTGCAGGATTGCTGCTGTTTAATGATAACATTACATTCATTTTGTCATAAAACTAAGAGCCTTGCTTCAGGGCACGGACTTATCCGAGATGGGACAGGGGCAGGGTAGGCATATAGAGATGGGGGCTGTTATATTGTCCCCCAGGGACCCAGGTGGGCTGGGATGGTGGCGCGTGTCTGTAATCCCAGCTACTCAGGAGCCAAAGCAGAAGGACCTCTTGAAGCCAGGAGTTCAAGGCCAGCCTGGGCATCAAATTTTTTTTTTTTTAAATTAAAAAAATTTTTTTTTAGAGACAAGAGGGGTAGAGTGAACCACAAATGACATCACCACCGACCCTGCCCAGCAGCCCTGCACAGCACTCACAGGCCACTGCCCCCTCTGTGTACCTACCCTGTGGCCCCCTCGACCTGTGACCTCCATATCCTCACCCGGGGCCTCCTGCTCCTCCTCACAGTGTATCTAAGAGGCCACTCCAGGGGGAGGGCAGATACACTGTCAGCACCATGAAACCTTCCTGCTTGTCCTGGGCAGGAAGACTTCAGACCAATTTCTTTAAAAATTCTCCCTGTCTGAGGTATCCTTCTAGAAAATGATGAACTCTGCTACTGCAATTAAGCCGATCTTTACAATTCCAGGGAAATCTATAAAAACAGACGTCCGTTGTTCTATATTCTTTTGGGATTCATTTCTTTAAGGTCACCGAGTTAGGCTCATGACAATGCACTGCTCTGGCTTAGATCAGCCACAGCGAGGAGAGGCTTCGAAACGAGAACCTCAGACCTCTGATGAAACTGCTGTGTCCAAAAAGTAAAGAGAGGAAGCCGTCTCTGACGAGCTCAGTCAATAACAACGTCCAGTCTGGAGACGTCAGGCCAAAAAACCCGGGGGAGGAGAGGAGGTCCGCAGTTACAGCCAAGACCTCTGGGTTCTGGCCTGCGAATGTAGCTCACCACCTCCCCTGCACCTACACCTTCCTTTCTTTCTTTCTTTCTTTTTTTTTTTTTTTTTTTTTTTGAGATGGAGTCTCGCTCTGTCGCCCAGGCTGGAGTGCGATGGCGCGATCTCAGCTCACTGCAAACTCTACCTCCTGGGTTCACGCCATTCTCCTGCCTCAGCCTTCCGAGCAGCTGGGACCACAGGCACCCGCCACCATGCCTGGCTAATTTTTTGTATTTTTAGTAGAGACGGGGTTTCACCGTGTTAGCCAGAATGGTCTCAATCTCCTGACCTCGTGATCTGCCCACCTCGGCCTCCCAAAGTGCTGGGATTACAGGCGTGAGCCACCGCGCCCGGCCTGCACCTTCCTTTCAATGGGGCATCAGCACCCCAGAGCTGGAATCCTGCAACTGCCCAGCTCCCACCCCATCTCCTGGACCCGTGCCTCCCAGAGGCCCCTTCAGGGGTGTAGGCTGTAGAGGTCTAGGCCCTAGTTGGCTGCCAACTAGAAGCGGTCCCCCGTGAAGGCACAGTGCTGATAGGTTTCACGGTCATTTCCAAGTCCACAAATTCTTTTCAGCTGTCATTTGTTTGTGCCTCCCACAAACATTGAAGGGGTACCAGTTAGGTCACAGGCCCTGTCCCAGACCAGGAGGGGCTCCCTGCCGTGGCAACATCCCCAGTCCAAAAGGGAAGGAGCAGAAAGAGCCTGAGGCAGAAGGGCTGGTATGGGGAGCATTGAGTTTGCCTGGGATGAGGTTGGGGTGCAGGGTTTGTGGCCCGGGGGTCTAGAGGGTGTCCATGACCCAGAAGTAGGAACCCACAGACAGAAGGAAAAGAAAAATTACAGGAATTGTATCCTGGCTTGGTGTGACACAGGTCCTATGTCAATTAAACACCACGACGATCCTAGGCGGCAACTATTGCAACCGCGTTCTGGAGCGGGTCTAGCTAGGAGTGGTGGCACACGCCTGTAGTTCCAGCTACTCAGGAAGTCGAAGCAGGAGGATCGCTTGAGCCCAGGAGTTTGAGACCAGCCTGAGCACATAGTGAAATCCCATCTCAAAACCAAAACCAAAAAGCAGAGGATCTTAAAGGCCCAAAACCACAGAGATCATGAGTGGTGGGGCCAGGCTTCGGACCCCAGTTGGTCTGGCTGTGTTGAGGAAGAAGAGCCAGCACCCAGGCTGGGAAGCTGTCATCAGATATGGCAGGGGGTGCTCACATTGGCACTGGGCACAGTAGCCATCAGATGCTAATAAGAGGTTTGTCAGAACCCTGGTGGGCCTCACAAATTTTCACCACCAGATGGCCAACAAGTGGCTACTTGGCTCCAGGATCACATGGAGACCACGGGGTCACAGAAGGTGGGTGTAGAGGGGGCTGGGGAGAGCTGCAGGGCATCCGGCCTGCCCCGGGGGTGCCTGCTTCTCACCCCAGGCTGAGAGGGGCTTTAGCGGGACCCTGGCTGAACTTGAGCAGTATTCCCTGAGTGAGGGCACTCGGCCGCTATCTATCTCATGCCAGGGCGTGGTGTGGCTGCATCATGCTTTGTCCCTTTTCTGGCAAAGGCAGTATGTCCCCATGGGATAACGTGGTCCGGGGCAGTGAGCTGGCTGAGTGTCCTTCTAGACTGGCTCATGCAGCTGCCTAGAGGGGCCCACGGCCTGGAGAGGAAGACCAGGGTGGATACCAGACGCCGGGGGCTGAGGAGGGAGTGAGAGCCACAGAATTCCAGTTAGCAATCCCCCACTTCCGTGGGGGCCCCAACGGACTCCACGCAACACCGCAAGCACGCAGAGCCCAGGGCCAGCCTCCCCCGCACCTGACAAGGCAGGTCTTTTCTGCCTCCACCCAGGTTGACCGGTGGGGACGGACAAGGAAGGGGTCTGGGTGGGAAAGAGAAGAGGCACCTCGCCCCTCACCCTCACACAGGCTTCAGGTGGCCTGGGGAACCACTTCAGCTTTAGAGTTTGAAGTTTTGTCTGTTACACAGGGTTAGAGATGTGAAGAACTGGGACGCATTTGTGACTTTCGGTGACCATAGAACTTTGACTTAGAGTGACCAGAGGAGCTGAGTTTTGCCAGGAGAAATCCCCCAGCACCAAGGGGCCTAGAGGGCCCAGGAGCTGCTCCCAGCTGCTTTTCTGGTTATTCTCCAGGTCCCATGGGATCTGGGGCAGGCAGAGCTGGAACAGGTCCTGGGGCGCAGGGAGGAAACGTCTCAAGGAGCCCCAGGTGTTTTCTGTGCAGGGAACGGATTTGAGAACTTCCCTTCCACTTAGAGAGTTTAGGAGGATTTGAGATTTGCCCTGTGGAGAGCGGGGCCTGGAGGTGGCTGCAAGGAGCACCCCTGAGGCTCAGGGAGGGCAGAGTTGGGGCAGAGAGTGAGGAGGGGCTGGTGAGGACCTGAACTCTCCTGCCTGGCCTGCCCTGCTGCAGGGGCAGGGAGTTTGGCCCAGGGGGAGTTTTCTGAACAGGAGCTTCTTGAACCTGCTGAATGTGGATAGGATGGTGCAGGGAGAGGGGAGAGGGCACCCATAGTGAGGACCATGGGGGAGGAGGGGTGGAGCAGGAGGGCAGCAGGGCCATCAGAGGCAGGGTTGCCACACGGTGTCTGGGAGGGCCCCCGCCCCGTCCCCGGGCTTGGCTGTTTGTTTTGAGTCTTCAACTCCTCTCCTGTGCCTCCCCACCCCCACAGAACTGCAAGCGCAGACATCTCATCTGGGCAGCGCCGTGGATCCCTGCTTAGTCTGCCCACCCTGCTTTACAGGAGACTGTGTTTTGGGGGGTGACACACCCTCCATCCCTCACTTCTCTGCAGCTCCAGGGAAGTCCCTCCCACACTGTGAGGAAGCCTTGGGCCTGGCCAGAAATAGGGGCGATGAGCGGGGGCGTTTGGGAAAAGCCCAGGTTCTGGAGGCAACAGGCCTGGATGCGGCTCCTGGCTCTGCCACTTCAAGGCTGTGCAACTTGGGCAGCTGGCTTTACTTCTCTGACCTCAGTGTCTCCCCACAACACAGGGGGAGCAACAATGCCAGCCTTAAGGGGTTGTGGTGGGATTAATTGGGACCTGGAACCCAGCTACTTGCCACGGGCCAGGCTGCCTTTCCCCAGGGACAAGAATGAGACAGGGAGTCCTCCTTGGGGATCTACAAAGGCAAATCCCAGCTGGGTGTGGTGGCTCATGCCTATTAACCCCAGCACTTTGGGAGGCCGAGGCAGGCAGATCACATGAGGTCAGAAGTTCAAGACCAGCCTGGCCAACATGGTGAAACCCCTTCTATACTAAAAATACAAAAAAGTATCTGGGTGTAGTGGCACAAGCCTATAGTCTCAGATACTTGGGAGGGTAAGGCAAGAGAATCGCTTGAACCCAGGAGGCGGAGATTGCAGTGAGCCGAGATCGCACTGCTACACTCCAGCCTGGGTGACAAGAGCTATCTCTGTTTTTTTTTTTTTTAAAAGGCAAATGCCAGCCCTATACCCTTCTGCCGGGTTAAATGACATGCCCTCAGTGCAGGGCACATAGGCCCTGATGGTCCAGGCACAGAAGGACCCCCAGGGGTCTTTCCCTGACCCAGACTTGGGCACTGTCCCTGTCCCGGGCGCTGGCCTGGCCTGGCTGAAGGCCCCTCAGGGGTGTGGTGTGTGCAGGGCTGGGGGCATGAACAGCCCTCTGCCTTCAGCCTCCAGCTGCTCTTCTCCCACCCTTGTTGGGAAAGAGTTTGTCAACCGCCCACGGGTGCCTGAGTCCTTCCTTTTCCGGTTCTTCTTATGAATCTGTGGCTGCTTGAACTTGGAGTTTGAGAGCTGGGCGGAGTTGCTATCCTCCCACACCTGGCGCGGGGACCACATGCCGAGTGAGTCCCTGGCGGGGTGTGCCCCCACGTGTTTGTGTGCCCACCTGGCAGCTTTCCTGTGGATCACTGATGTTCAGGATCAGACCTGCCCACCACCTGCACAACGCCCCCATCCCTCCAACTCAACAGCTCCCATCCAGTCCCCTCTCCTGCCCAACCAGGGCTGTCTCTGTGGCTCTGAGTCCCCAGCGATCCACAAACTCATCCTGCTCCTGCCCTGCCTGAACCGGCAGGGGCTCCCTGCTGGAGGAGACCCAGGAAGGAGTCTGAAATCAATTTACGGGGTCAAGACAAGCAATTAAAAAAAATAGAACATGAAGCATTTCATGCGTAGTAAGGGCACTGTTTGCGACCTTCTAGTTTCAGTTATATTCATACAATTGGGTTCAGACAGGGTCACGCTAAAACATGCATCTCTTAACTTTGGGCCACTGCTAAGAAAAATGGAAAGTCCCTGGCTTGGAGGATCCAGTTCTTGCCTCCCAGGACCTGCACAGCCCCGCTCAGCTGCTCTCTGGCCCTCACTCGCCCACTCCTGCGTAGACGTCAGCCTGCCACACTCCGGCGCCTTCGCCCGTGCTGTTCCGGCTGTGCGGAATGTCCTACCCATTCCTTCCTCTCCTGGGCTTTGGGGTCCCCCTCTGTCTCCAGGACATGCTCACTTCCTCCCTGAGCCACTCCTGGGTGTCTGGCTGCCCCGCACAGCACAGACTCTCAGGCGTCACTGTTAAGCCATGTGATCAGAAGAGCCAATGTCCCCTGGGTTTGGTTTCACCTTTTGCAGATGACAAAACTGAGGCTCAGAGAAGGCAAGAGGTTTGCCCAAATTGCAGTGGTAGACATGGGATTTTAAGCTGGGTCCCTTTGAGTCTGTAATCCCACTCTTGGTTTTTTTTTTTTTTTTTTTTTTTTTTTTTTTTTTTTCTGAGGCAGAATTTTGCTCTTGTACCCAGGCTCGAGTGAAATGGCACGATCTCGGCTCACTACAACCTCCACCTCCCCGGTTCAAGCAATTCTCCTGCCTCAGCTTCCCAAGTTGCTAGGATTACAGGCATGCGCCACCTCGCCTGGCTAATTTTGTATTTTTAGTAGAGGTGGGGTTTCACCATGTTGGCCAGGCTAGTCTCGAACTCCTGAACTTGGGTGATTTCTTGAGCTCAGGACTTTAAGATCAGCCTGCAGAATATAGTGAGACCCCATCTCTACTCAATAAATAAATAAATTAGCCAGGCATGATGGCATGCCTGTAGTCCTAGCTACTCAGGAGGCTGAGGCAGGAGGATCACCTGAGCCTGGGAGTTCGAAGCTGCAATGAATTATGATCATGCCACTGCACTCCAGCCTGGGTGACAAAGAGAGACCCTCTCTCAAAAAACAAACAGGCTGGGTGCAGTGGGTCACGCCTGTAATCCCAGCACTTTGGGAGGCCAAGGCAGGTGGATCACTAGAGGTCAGGAGTTCAAGACCAGCCTGGCCAACACGGTGAAACACTGTCTCTACTAAAAATACAAAAATTAGCCGGGTATGGTGGCAGGCGCCTGTGATCCCAGCTACTCGGGAGGCTGAGGCAAGAGAATCGCTTGAACCCAGAAGGCAGAGGTTGCAGTGAGCCGAGATCACGCACGCCACTGCACTCCAGCCTGTGTGACAGAGCGAGACTCTGTCACAAACAAACAAACAAACAAACTCCTCAAAGCAAGAAAAGAAAACATTCTCAAAGGAAAGAAATATACTTCTTTAAAGGGAGTCAAAAATTCAGAGGCTGTTTCCTTAAACTTGGGTCATCTAATAGGTAGACAGGGCCAGCAATAGGTAGGGGCCTGGGGACAATGGTAGTCAGAAATGGCCCTGCAGCACTGGGGGACTGTTATTGTCACCTCAGCTCAAGCACAGCCTGTGGCTCCCAAAACAGGAGTGACCCCCGAGCCCTCTACAGGCTGGCCCTGTGACAAAGCCAGTGCTGCAGAGGGCCAGATGGCATCCCTGTTCTGCAGCAGGGGCGGACATTTTGGGAAAGGAATGCACCGTGGAAAACTTGGTATGCTCTTATTGAAAATGCTCCCATGGGCTAGGCGCAGTGGCTCACGCCTGTAATCCCAGCACTCTGGGAGCGTGAGGTGGGTGGATCTCCTGAGGTCAGGAGTTTGAGACCAGCCTGGCCAACATGGTGAAACCCCGTCTCTGTTAAAAATACAAAAATTAGCCAGGTGTGGTGGGGTGGTGGGCACCTGTAATCCCAGCTACTCGGGAGGCTGAGGCAGGAACCTGGGAGGCAGAGGTTGCGGTGAGCCGAGATCGCATCATTGCACTCCAGCCTGGGCAGTAAGAGTGAAACTCTGTCTCAAAAAAAAAAAAAAAAGAAAAGAAAAAGAGAAGAAAAGAAGAAAATGCTTCTGTGGCTTCCTCTCACCCCCAGAATCTGCCACCCACAATCTCCCCCGTCCCTCACACTCTGCTCCAGCTGCTGAGGCTCCTCCCACCACCAAGTCATGGGCCAGGGCTTTGGTCCCGGCTCCCCACTGCATGGAACTCAATCCCTTCTATGGCATCAAGCGCGCGTTGTCAGTCAAGGGCGTGAGGACCCAGACAACGCTGATCAAAGGTATCCATCCCAAGTTAGGTCGATTTTAAAGGAAAACACTTTGATTCCCCAGGTACAGAAGAAAGCAGTTCCCACAGTCTTTATTTTAGGCATGGGGTTTGCCCTCCAATTTAATTCTGGCATCTCTCAGAGCTGTGCCTTTTTAAAGGCCCATCTGAAAGGCTGCGATCGGGGCTCTCAGAGCCCCAGCCATGTGCCTGAGCACAAATCCCAGGATGCCACAGATGAGCAAGCGGGCAGGACACAGGCATCAAATGCAAAAGCGTGTGGCCAAGTGGCTGGTGAGGGAGGGGCATTTTGCAGGACTTGGAAGACAACCTTTGAACAGAGACTATTTCGGAGCTTTTAGCACCGTTGCCTTTGGAATGGCGCCATCGGACAGGTTGTCACATCTTTCAACACCTCCAAATTACAAAGATGCCTCAAGACGTGGCCATTTCCACAGCCCATCCATGGCTCATTTTCATGCCTCTAGACCCCCGAACCAGGGTGTACGGTGGCCGCTCGGGGACACAAACCAAGTGCAGAACGTCCAAGGTTTGAATCGGGAATAAGCCTCACAAGGGTCAATCAGTGTCTTTACAGCAGTTGCCTCCTTTTTGCCTGTTTTGAAAGTCAAGGCCGGGCGCAGGTGCTCACGCCTGTAATCCCAGCACTTTGGGAAGCTGAGGCGGGCGGATCATCTGAGGTCAGTAGTTCGAGACCAGACTGGCCAACATGGTGAAACCCCATCTCTACTAAAAATACAAAATTTAGCTGGGCATGGTGGCACGCACCTGTAGCCCCAGCTACTCAGGAGGCTGGGCAGGAGAATCGCTTGAACCCGGGAGGTGGAGGGTGAGCCGAGACCGCGCCACTACACTCCAGCCTGGGTGACAGAGTGAGACTCTGTCTCAAAACAAAAACAAAAAAAGAAGGTCAAAAAAAGGTCAAGTCGCTCCAACTTTGGAGCTCATTTGAGAGTGTGGTCTGGGTCATCAGGGGACTCAGCCTCTCCTTTTATAGCCACCCCTGTACCCTCAAAGGGGCATCAGGATGGTGTGGAAGGTGGCAATAGGGCCAAAAGGGTGAGGTTGGGTCTGCTTCTTGTCTCTGAATTGGAGTGGGCAAAATGAAGTGAGGGGAACAGGCTGGGCGTGGTGGCTCACGCCTGTAATCCTAGCACTTTGGGAGGCCGAGGCGGGTGGATCACGAGGTCAAGAGTTTGAGACCAGCGTGGTCAAGATGGTGAAACCCTGTCTCTACTAAAAATACAAACATTAGCTGTGCGTGGTGGCGGGCGCCTGTAATCCCAGCTACTTGGGAGGCTGAGGCATGAGAATCACTTGAACCTGCGAGGCAGAGATTGCAGTGAGCCAAGATCTCGCCACTGCACTCCAGGCTAGGCGACAGAGCAAGACTCCATCTCAAAAAAAAAAAAAAAAGGAAATGAAGTGAGGGGAACAGACCCCCCAGAGAGTGCCTCCTTCAGCAGGGAGTGTTTGTTCACCCAAAGTCTCACCAAGGAGGGCCAGGCCCTGCCACCAGGAAGGGAGCTGACAGATGGAGACAGAAAGAGGTGGGAGAAAGGAAAGACTGTGGGCTGCAGGAGTCCAGACAGGGGGGCCCATCTCAGCCTGGGAGGGGCAAGGGGTTCCTGGGAAGGCAACTCTTGGAGTGTGGGTCATTATTTGGTTTTTAAATTAGAATTCTTTAGGTACCCCTACCACCTCCCAGTAACAGAGTGAAACATGTTCACTGTAGAAATTCTAAAAATGCCCAGCATTTTCGGAGGCCAAGGTGGGAGGATTACTTGACCTCAGGAATTCAAGGCCAGTCTGGGCAACATAGCAAGACCCCATTTCTGAAATAAATAAATAAATAAAATTAGCTGGGCAAGGTAGCAGTGCCTGCAGTTCCAGCTACTCTGGAAGCTGAGGTGGGAGGACCACTTGAGTCCAGGAGTTTGAGGCTGCAGTGAGCCATGACTGTATCACCTCAGTCCAGCCTGGGTGACAGTATGAAACCCCATCCCTCTTTTCTTTTTTTTTTTTTGAGATGGAGTCTCACCTTGTTGCCCAGGCTGGAGTGCAGTGGCATGATCTCAGCTCACTGCAATCTCTGCCTCCCAGGTTCAAGAGATTCTCCTGCCTCAGCCTCCTGAGTTGCTGGGATTACAGGCATGTGCCACCACACCCAGCTAGTTTTTGTATTTTAGTAGAGGGAGGGTTTCACCAGGTTGGCCAGGCTGGTCTTGAACTCCTGACCTCATGACCTCACCATGTTGGCCAGTCTCAAACTCCTGACCTCATGACCTCACCATGCTGGTCTCAAACTCCTGTTCACTGAGGCAGTGATCTGCCTGACTCGGCCTCCCAAAGTGCTGGGATTACAGATGTGAGCCATCACACTGGCTGAGACCCCATCTCTTTAAAAAAAAACAAACACATGGCTGGGCGCGGTGGCTCATGCCTGTAATCCCAGCACTTTGGGAGGCCAAGGCGGGCGGATCACAACGTCAGGAGATTGAGACCATCCTGGCTAACACGGTGAAACCCCACCTTTACTAAAAATACAAAAAATTAGACGAGCATGGTGGCAGGCGCCTGTAGTCCCAGCTACTCGGGAGGCTGAGGCAGGAGAATGGCGTGAACCAGGGAGGCAGAGCTTGCGATGAACCGAGATTGTGCCACTGCACTCCAGCCTAGGGGATAGAGCGAGACTCCGTCTCAAAAAAGAAACAAAAAAAGAAACACAAAAAACATACAAACAACAAGAAAAAGAAATTCTAGAAATGACAACAAAATCTCAAGAAGCAAGCCGAACTTGTTCAGCTGAACAGTTCTGCCACCCGACCTCACAGCTGAGTATCTTGCTATCTTTCTTCCCATCCCTTTACGAAGCTGAACTTGGAAGGAAGAGAAGAGCAGGAGGCAGACAGTTGGGGGAGGGGTGTGGAGAGAGGTTTCAAACGCAAGAAAGTTCTCGGGTAAAGCTTCTCAAATTCTTGAAATGGGCACTGTGCCTTGGTGGAGTTGGAAGGAATGATTTGTGTCTGGGAGGGGGGTACAAGGGGATGCCTCAGAGGTGGGGAGCAGCTTGAACACTGCCCTGGAAACCTAGTGGAGCCTGTGAGGGCTTTTAAATTGGAAAGTGACATGATCATCTTCCTTCCTTCCTCCCTCCTTCCCTCCCTCTCTCTTTCTTTCCTTTCTTTCTTTCTTTTCGTATTTATTTATTTATTTATTTATTTTCTGAGATGGAGTCTTGCTCTGTCGCCCAGGCTGGAGTGCAGTGGTGCAATCCCGTCTCACAGCAAACTCTACCTCCCAGGTTCAAACAATTCTCCTGACTCAGCCTCCCCAGTAGCTGGAATTACAGGTGCATGCCACCATGCCTGGCTAATTTTTTGTATTTTTGGTGAAGAAGGGGTTTCACCATGTTGGCCAGGCTGGTCTCGAACTCCTGACCTCAGGTGATCCACAAACCTCGGCCCCCCAAAGTGCGGGATTACAGGTGTGAGCCACTGTGCCTGGCCCATATTTGCATTTTAGAACAAGGACAAGAGAAATACTAGAATTCCAGTCTCCCTCAGCCTTTGAAACCCTGCCTCGCATTAGTGATTCCTTCTGTGGGATCTGTTGCACTCTTGCTCTCGGCCTCCTTTTAAAATATATATGCTTCTGGCTGTTAACACACTAACTCCTTCCCCTGGACAACTTGGCTAGCTCACTTTTATCCTGACTTCTCTTAAATCTCTACCTCCCACAAGATCCCTCGCCCTCCAGGCACACAACCTCTCCAGGCCTCCATCCTTCCCTCTGTCCTCCCCTCCTTACCCTTCCACTTCCTCCACCCTGCCAGCTCCCTCCTTCCCTCCCTGTCTGCCGCCTCCTGCCCGCCACAGGATGCTTTCAGCTGGCTGGCTCCGCTGCCACCAAGGAGGTCAGCAAAGATGCTGGTGGGTCCTGAGGCTTCTGGCCTTGACCATGACCCTGCAGACCCTCTCTCTTTGACCTTCCCTCCTCTTCCCCTCCACGCCCAGCCTTCCTGAGCCCGCGTACTCTCTCTGCACTGTCCCTGGCTTTTCTCACACAGCCTGCCTCTTAAAGTTGGATGCTTGTTCCTTGGCTCTGCCCACAGCCTCACGTGCCTCAGGCGAGCTCAGTCATGCCCCACATGCCTCTGAGCGCCTGTGTGCTCGGGATCACAGATGAACACCTTGGGGGAGAGGGAGGGGAACTGGGTTTGTTCAGGGTGGGGAAGGGGCCAGAGGGGGTACTACAGAAGAGCCTATGAGTTTGACCTTGACAGAGAGTTTGGATGTCACCAGGTGGGCAAGTGAGAGGATACCCTCCAGACCCAGGGAGCAGTGTAGAAAGAAGCAAAGGTTCAGGGGAGTGGGTGTGGCTGGCTTCTTCAGGGGATGGGAGTCCTCTGCCTCCGGCCAACCTCAAAGGTGGGAGTGGCCATAAGGAGCAGGCACCCAGGAAGAAGGGGTGGCCGAGGGATGGGGAGGGTCTTATCTGAATACACCAGGGTTAGGGGCCTGCTGAGGGCAGTGAGGCTGTTTGCGGTTATGCTCTGTGGACCTCTGGCCCCTGGCCCACCAGCAGCAAGCAAAGATCTGGCCCAGGCCCTGCCCCTCCTCCACCTCAGCACCTGCAATGGGGTGCGTGGGGAGCAGAAACAGCCAGGGTCAGCATTCCACCTCCTCTGGCTCTTCTCGGCACCCTGCACAGCCTCCAAGCCCTAGAATGAAGCCCCCAGGTGCAGCCACTCATCAAATAGACCCTCAGCAGCCAAGCACATCCAAGTCCCAGCCAAGACTCTGCAGCCCCTCCTCTGTGCTTGGCCTGGTGCTGGACTCGGCCTCAGAGAACCGGCTCAGGTGGGGCCTGGCCCTCCAGGCCCTCTGTTTTGGCAAAGGCGCCATCAGGGCTCTGGCCTGAGTGCACCCTGGGACAGTGAATCACCCCTGCCTACAGGGGGACTGGGGAGGCCATGGTGAGCCCCTTGGCCTGCAAGGACCTGAGTCTCAGGGTGCAGAGGAATAGGTGGGGCCAGTGGCTGGGCCCAGAGAAGCCTGGTGGGCAGGACCCCCACGATCCACGACCCATGACTCACGACCGAAGATGAGCACTGAGTCCCCTCCCTCACTGTGCCCTCGAGCCCTGTCCCTAGGGCCAAAGCCTCACAGACCCTCCCTGAGGGGTCCCAGGTGCCACGCCCTGAGGCCATCATGGTACTGGATGTACCTTCCTATTGCTGTCTGGGAGGATGCTGAGCACCCAGGCGGGGGGGCTCGTGGAGGTTCAGCGTACTCCAGAGACTTGGCCAAAGGCTCCCAGGACCCAAATCCAGCCTGCTCAGACCTTACCAGGAGCCCAGGCGCCCCACTTGCCAATCTCATGTCCATACCCCTCCCCTCCCTCTCACCAGGCTCACCCCGTCCCTTTCTCTGGTTTCAGCCCCATCTGGGTCCTGTTGCCCACGTCCCCACTAGGGTATGGCCTTGCTTAGATCCACAAGGAGCAAGCAGAGGGTCAGATCCTGCCTCCGGGTCCACATTTCCCCAGGATGCCTGTGTCCTCCCTCCCATTCACTACACAGGGGGTCTCATTACCCTACCAACGCTGGAGAGGAGCCAGGGCTCAGGGAGGGCAGAGGAAGGGCAGAGGACGACTACCCAGCCCTTCCATCTCCTCCCCCAGGCGCCCCTCCTGTGGCATCGCGTCTCCACCCTGCTCAGAGCTTAATTCATCCTTGATTGTCACCATTTCCTGAGCATCTGCTGGGTGCTGGTCCCGTGCTGGGAGTCAAGGATTAGAAGCCACATGAGTCCGCACAGTACCTTTTGATTTTTTCAACCACTTAAAAATATAAAAACCATTCATAACTCACAAGCCATACAAGAGGCAGTGGGCTGGGTTTAGCCCACCGGCCGTGGTTTCAACTCTTGCTCTATCTATAGCAACAAAACGAACTTCAGCCATATCGTGGACTGGATCTATCTTAAAAAACATAATGCTCAGTGAAAGAAGCGGGTCACCGGAGAATACACACAGTATCCTTCAATTACACAAAGTTCACAAACAGGCAAAGCTAGTCCATATGGTTTCGGGATGTGTACTAATGATAAAACTACAAAGAAATGCCAGTAAGTGATCCCCCCACAAGCTGGGATGGGGGTACCTTTGGTGGGGCACGGAGCGGGGCAGTGTCTGTGGGGCGAGGGGAGTAGAAGGGGCTCTGAGGCACTGGGATGTTCTCATTCTTGACCTGGTGAGAGTCACACAGGACTTTGTTTTCTAGTGCTTACCACGCAGCACTGCGGTTTTTGTGCGATAGTTCACCATGACAGAGGAGACAGCAGTGAGACAGGACCCGCTGGGAGTGTGCCCGGACCCCTACCTGAGGGGCATTTGTGATCCACCCAACCACAATCTGCATCCCACTCCTGTGTCAGACTTCCCCTGCCGTCAAGCTGAGCCTCTCCCGGCCCTCCTGGCCCTGCCTTTTGGGCTCTCAGCCCTCATTCCCTCAGCCACCTCCCGCTCTGTCCCCACTCCGCGGGCAGCCTTTCCAGCACTCCCCTGCCTCTCCCCGCCCACCTCTGCCTGTGCCTCGAAAGTCCTTTATTGGGATTTAGACAAAGATGAAAAACAGAGGCTACTCCTGACAGAGGTCCGGAGCGGCGGGAAGGGAGGCAGGAGGTCTCAGCCGGGAGCAGGCAGGGGCTCCTGAACATCTTTTTTTATTATTATTACTTTTTTGAGACAGAGTCCTGCTCTGTCACCCAGGCTGGAGTTCAGTGGCACGATCTCAGCTCAGTGCAGCCTCTGCCTCCCAGGTTCAAGCAATTCTCCTGCCTCAGCCTCCTGAGTAGCTGGGATTACAGGCGCACACCACCTGGATCCAGAACAAACTTGTCTGGTAACTCCGGCCAAGGCTCACGGTCCCACCAGGCTGAGAGTGGGGCCTATGGCTTGTTCACGTCTGGGTCCCTCTGGTGCCTAGAACCGGTCCTTTTCAATGGATATGTGAGAAATAAATACAGCCCAGAGTTCTGGAAAGGCCACAGAGAGGGGACTGACATTTGCAGAGGACACTAAGGTGCAGAGAGGTTAAGTAATTGCCTGAGGTCACACAGCTGTCACCAGAAGAAGGCAGGCCTGGAACTCAGGTCTGTCCAGCCCCAAAGTCCTTGGGGAGGACTGAGGCCCATGGAAGCTGAGTTGCAGCTGCTCCTGGAAAAGCCAAGCCCCCAGCAATTCCTGTCTTGGGGAGACCACCAGTGGCTGCCTTTGAGAAAAGCAGGCTTTGCAGAGGGGTCAAGAAGCCAGAGGACAGGCCCAAGTCCCGGCTCAAGTGGGAGGAGGAGGATGGCTGGGAGCAGGAGCAGGTACCCAGGATGAGCTGGAGGCCGTGGGCTCACCAACTGCACCTCAAGTTTCCATGGCTCTGGCGAGGCTGGCAGGTGGCTGACACTCACTGAGGACTAATGACATACTGGGCACTCAGTCCTCAGGATGTGTTTAGGCAGGCAGTGTTATCACATCCATTTAACAGAGGAGACAATTGAGGCATAGCGATAGAAGTAATCTGCCCAGGGTGCCTGGGCAAGTAGCAGAGCTCAAATTCAAACTGGGCCGGGTGCGGTGGCTCACGCCTGTAATCCCAGCACTTTGGGAGGCCAAGGTGGGGGGATCACCTGAGGTCAGGAGTTCGAGACCAGCCTGGCCAACACGGTGAAAACCTGACTCTACTAAAAATACAGAAATTAGCCAGGCATGGTGGTGGGTGCCTGCAATCCCAGCTACTCAGGAGGCTGAGGCAGGAGAATCGCTTGAACCTGGGAGGCGGAGGTTGCAGTAAGCCGAGATGGTGCCACTGCACTCCAGCCTGGGCAACAGAGCGAGACTCCGTCTCAAAATAAATAAATAAATAAAAAATCAAACTGAAGATGAATGCCCCTGGCCTGTACTCCTAAGCCAGCATCCTCTCGCAAGTTCAGGGATACGATGCAGAATCAGGGACGCTGGCCTTCAGTGACACCCCTGTGGACACAGCTGAGGGATGCAAGCTGGGTTGGTACTGACAGGTGGCAGAGCTGGTTGCACCAGGCTGATGGTTAAGGCTGATGGTTACGGTCAGGGGAGGTTTGGAAGATGTGGGAGGGGCAAGATTCCTTCCAGCAAACCCTCAAAGCTCTGAGACGAGAAGGCAGGGGTGTGACATGGAGTGACAGATAGATGAAGGGGGATGCACAGGGGTAGGACAAAGAGCGGGTTGGGGGTTGGGCACAGTGGCTCACGCCTGTAATCCCAGCACTTTGGGAGGCCAAGGCGGGTGGATCACCTGAGGTCAGGAGTTCGAGACCAGCCTGGGCAACACTGTGAGTCTCTATCTCTACGAAAAAATTTAAAAAATAGCTGGGTGTGGTGGCACACGCTGTGGTTCCAGTTATTCGGGAGGCTGAGGTGGGAGGATCATTTGAGTGAGGGAGGCAGAGGTTGTAGTGAGCTGAGATTGCACCACTGCACTCCAGCCTGGTGGACGGAGCGAGACCCTGTCTCAAAAAAATAAAAACAGGACGGGCACAGTGGCTCACGCCTGTAATCCCAGCACTTTGGGAGGCTGAGGCGGGCAGATCACCTGCGGTCAGGAGTTCAAGACCAGCCTGGCCAACATGGCAAAACTCTGTCTCTACTAAAAATACAAAAATTAGCTGGGCATGGTGGTGGGCACCTGTAGTGCCAGCTACTCGTGAGGCTGAGGCAGGAGAATCACTTGAACCCAGGAGGCAGAGGTTGCCGTGAACCAAGATGGCGCCATTGCACTTCAGCCTGAGTGACAAGAGTGAAACTCTCAAAAAAAAAAAAAAAAAAAAAAATCATGGGTGGGGGTTTGTCTGCTGCTCCAAGGGACTCTAGGACACCGTAAGGGTGTTTTCACCTCTTGTGAAAGAACAGTTTCTCTTTTATGTAATGTTTGTTGCAATACCGGGTGGGAGGGGGTGGCACTGGGAATGTTTTGTTATAGTTGAGACTGTTACAAAAGAGCTTTTCCCCAGTAGCACCCCATAAAACCTCTTACTGCTCGGTTACCAGGGTGTGCTGGGTGTCTTTTGGGGAGGAGGAACCACACAAAGGGAAAGGATGGGAATTGGGGGGAAATTAAATTAAAAATGACTGTAGTTGAGACACATTGACACTAACAGGCTGCATTTCCGGGGTCTGGCCGTGTTTGCACCAACTGTCTGGGGTGTGGGGCGAGGCGTGCACAGGATTAAAGGAGATGGTGTCCTAGGGCTCTGGGCTGCAGCCTGGGGAGGTACACACAGGTCAGCCTTTGCCTCCCCAGGGTAAGTTTCCGGTGAAGAACATTCTTTACAAGTAAGAGGATCCTCTGAGCCTACTGGCCGAGGGGCCCAGCTTGGGGCTGAGGCTGGCCTGGGGCTGAGGCTGGCCTCTACTTACCGGCTAGGTCTTGAGCAAACGAACTGGCTTCCCTGGGCCTCCTTTTCCCTGTCCTTAAAATGGTGCAGGTGAGGACAATAGGAGCCCCAAGGGGTGCTGTGAGGGTGGCCAGTACGTGCCCTGCTAAGGGCTCCATAAAGCCTAATTTGTGGTCATGAGAGGGGGTGCAGCAGGACAGGGTGGGGGCAGCTCTTGAAAGCCCCATAAACTAAGAGAATAGAAAGGAAGGCACCCTGTCTCCACAGTGGAGGCCACCCCTTTGGCCAGAGGGAGGGTTGGCTGCTGCCCGGCCAAGGAGGGGCAGAGAGAATCTGGCAGAATTCACTGAGCCCTCGTGCTGGCAGCCCTGGAATGGGACCCTCCTGGGCCGTCCCTGGCCTGATGAACTGGCCCTGAGGCTACCTACCCCACAGCTTGGCTCGGATCCCGGCCACCCAGCTTCCAAGAAAGCCTGGAACCAGGAAAGGAGCGCCGCTGGCGTGGAAAGACACACTTGCATCCTAAAACACTTGGCCTCTGGTTGTGTTTCAGGAACTGGGAGGTGAGACCCTTTCTGGTGACTGACAGTTTTGTGCCTCTGGGCGCAGAGCCCTGTGGCTGGCCCTGGTATCCCCCCCTCCCCCCTCTCCCCGCTCTCCCTGGCCAATGCCAGCAACAACCCAGAGGGTAGCCCCACCACTTGCCAGGTTCAACGCAGTGTCCCCCGCAGCAGCCACGTGAGGTTCCTCGGATGGGGAGCTGTCCCTCCCCCCTGCCCCGCCCCTGGCCCCAGCCACACAGCGCCCACCCTCCTTGTTTAAGGGCCAGGAGGCCAGACTGCTGGGGCAAAGCTGTCACAGCAGCGAGGGAGAGAGCGCTGTCCCCCTCCCCTTCAAAAGCCACCTTGGCAAGGCATTAGCTAAACATCTTCTCGGTCCCAGAAGGCTTCCCCTGTGAAGTCTGCAGCGTTCAAACGACAACCAGCAAATCCCCAGAGACAGGTCCCTGGGAATTAGCTGCGCCGGGCGGGATGAAAGCCGCTCTGATGTTCTGGAGCGAGAGAGTAGAGAGAAGGAGGAAGACAGACACTACCTGCCAGTCGCAGGGTCCCGGGCAGCAGCAGCACGCCAAGGAGGAGCCAGGGGGCTGCGGGGAGCCCAGGAGGGCGTGGGAGGCCTGGCAGGGCCCGCCACCTCACAGGCTGGTTCTCCATCTGGGGGCCTGCTTGTCTGCGGCGACTCTTTAGTTCACAGGAGGGGACGGCCGGCGCTGACAGCTTCCCCTTTGCTTTCCCCACGAAGCTCCTCCCTGGCAGCCCCTGACCTTCCGCTCAGAAGCAAAGCTGGAACAGCCCAGCAGGGTGGCCGCCAGATGAGGAACCTGGCACTGAGACTGGTCCAGGCCACACAACCAGAAGAAGAGCTGGAGACGGGACCCAAGCCTCCCCACTCCAACCCCTGGTGGGCTTCACCCTGTCTCGGCCCCTTTCCAGCAGGGGCCCCGTCCAGGAGACACTGGTAACTGTGCAGAGGGATCATGGGATTTCCATGAGTGACTTCGGGCCTTGGTTTAGCCTCTCACTTCTGAAACACTTTTAAAACGACCACAAGCATGTTCACACAAACTTCTCTAAAATATTCTGAGAATCCCTTAATAATGTGTTTACCAAAGGTAGGTTTTTTGGTGAGGGGTGGTAGGGAGGCTGGGGTGAAGGGCAGGAGCCTCATGTTCCCAGCCCTAGAGAGGGCCAAACACCCAGGGCAGGTGAAAGGCAGGCTGCCCATCATTCACCCAGCGAGAACCTCTGTGGGTCCCCTGCAGAGGCCCAGGAGACGCCTCCTCTCTGGTCCATCTCTAACGTCAGCTCCTCCCTGTGGCTGCCCTAAAGCTTAGCTCACTCGGCCTCCCAACTGTGAGACCCTCGAACTGCTTCCCCATTGGCTGCAGGTCACAGCCCCTGCTCTCACTTCTAGCAGCATCAGCCGGGGACAGGAATTGTTTGCTGCCGGGACCCCCTTCCCCAGCAGACTGGGAGCCCCTCACCCTTGGCACCCACACATCTGCCTGCGTGTCTGGAGTGGCAGAGGAAAGGGGCTGGGGTGTGGTGATGGCTGGTGGAGCTGGAGGCACCTGGTACATGGAAGACGCAGGCGGGAAGGTGGCTGAGTTTCAGCGCATGCTGAGCGCTTACCTCCCTTCTCTGCAGGTGTCCCTTCACTCACCAGATAAATGTGATGATCCCAGTTGTACAAAAGAGAAGACCTCGGCCCCAGGAGGCAAAACAACATGCCTAGGATCAGGGCAGGTCTGTGGGGCGGGCATTTGAACTGCCAGTGGTATGATGTCCGAGCCTTCTCCCACCCTGCTACTGCCTGCTCAGGTGTGTCCAGCTGCAGCCCCCGGTGACGGCATCATGAGATCCATTTCAGTTCTTTGCACACATGCTTTTCCCTGGGCTGCTCCAAACATGAACAGTGAAAGCCTAAAGACGTTTCCACCAATGCCACGAGCACTGGGAGGCTGGCAAGAGCAGGGGCCGCCCACCAGGGGAGGAAGACATATGAACAGGAGAAGTTTCCTACCGCGCAGGGGGCAGGCGGGGACCCCAGTGTTATTGACTGTTGATCCATCACAGTGATACATGCTCACATATGTCACAGTGAGATGCAGACCCGCTGCTTCACGCTATTCCTGGCTCCTGGGAGTAGCAGGTTGTCTAAGCACCTTGATGCCATGGTGATAGACCTCGTGTCAATGCCTCAGGGTACACGGGGAGCATTGGAAAAGCATCGGTCTGTGCCTCTACAAGTCTCATTACGACTTGGCACTGGGAGGCAGCTGAATGCCAAACTGCCTCGGAACAAGGGAGCCTGCTCTTCCAGCCCTGGTGCCGCCTCCGCTCCTGCCCCTGTGCCAGCTCACTGACCCTACCTCTCAGCCTGTCACGGTGCCCCCCACACCCCAACTCTGTACCTCGGACTCCCGGGAGTTCTGCCGCCTCTGAGTCTGGGTCTAGCCTGCTGCACACCTGGTTTCCACGCTTGCCTGCCTGAGCTGCCTGTCTTCCTCCCCTCTCCTTCTTGAGCCTGGCCCAGGGGGTGCAGGAATGGACGGATGGGTGAGCATAAGGCAGGGAGAAGCCTTCCTCCAGGCTTGATATGAAGGCAGGTGCCCAACACCACGCTGGTGCACAAGAGGCCTCAAGGGAAGGGGTAGCCTCTGGGAGGCAGGGTGGGAGGAGGCGTGCATACTCCCCAGGCAGGCCCTGGGCTGTGGAGCGCAGACATGACTGGACAAGAAGCAGCTGAGGGTCCCAGCTCATTGCCCAGTTTCTGAGACGCTCTGCAGCCACGCAGCCTCCTGGGGAGAGGCAGGGACGCACCTTGGCAAGGAGCCCAGCAGCCCTGGCTGCGCTGTCGGGGCCTCGTGTCTGGCCCTGATCCTCCTCGGGAGCCAGGGGGATAGAAATAAAACCGCAGCGCATCCAGGAGCCTCATTTCTACCAAAACTTTCTAGCACCTCTCATGTGCTTCCTCTCCTGTGCCCTCAGCCAGAGCTGTGAATAAACAGTAAAGGCCCCAAAGGCTGAAGGCGGAGCAGAGGAATGAGGAGGCTCTGTGGGTGTCCCAGGGGCAGCTTCAGTGGCACAGCCTTCGAGCTAGGCCTTGGCAGCTGAATTTGCAGGTGAGGTCCCTGGGGACCACACGTCTCAGCCACTGGCTTTTGCCCAGACCTCCGTCCATTCCCCGTTTATCCGTGCATCTATGCCTCACAGTATACTGAACACCTGCCCTGCCCTGGGCCCTGGCCTCACGGAGGCTGTAGAAGTGAAAGAGCCTAGCCTCCCTGGGAAGCCTAGGGGCACGGCAACCTCAGCAGAGTGAAGCAATAATAGAGCAGTTCCGGGAAGCTTCCAAGCGCCTGACACTGCTCCAGGGGACCTGCTCTCCTTGCCAGTTTAATCCTCACTGCAGCCCTATGGGGCAGGCACTCTAATCACCTCCATTGTACAGATGAGGAAACTGAGGAACAGGGAGGTTAAAGTAATTTCTGAGTGGCAGCCCTGAAGGAGGTGGAAGCTGGGTGGGGAAATGGGGGAGCCCAGGTGTCCCCTGCAGTCCCCAGGGGCCTCCTCGACACCAAGACTAAGGCTTTCCAAATGAGACCACAATTACTGGCCTCTGTTTTCTTTTTCTTTTCTTTCTTTTTTTTTTTTTTTTGAGACAGAATTTTTCTCTTGTTGCCCAGGCTGGAGTGCAATGGCGCGATCTCGGCTCACCGTAAACTCTGCCTCCCGGGTTCAAGTGATTCTCCTGCCTCAGCCTCCCGAGTAGCTGGGATTACAGGCATGTGCCACCACGCCCGGCTAATTTTGTATTTTTAGTAGAGATGGCATTTCTTCATGTTGGTCAGGCTGGTCTCGAACTCCCAACCTCAGGTGATCCGCCCACCTCAGCCTCCCAAAGTGCTGCGATTATAGGTGTGAGCCACTTTGCCCAGCTGGTCTCTGTTTTCAGTTTAGTTCCACAAACACTTATTATGTGCCTACTGCGTGCCAGGCATTGGGCAGACAAAACATAAGTCATGGTTTTGCCCTCAAGGCGCTCCCTGTCCAGGGAGAAAAACAGATCCCCTACCCACGACCACCTCCAAGATTTCCTTTTCTTCTTCTTTTTTTTTTTTTTTTTTTTTGAGACAGGCTCAAAAAAGACTCCACTAGGCTGGAGTGCAGTGGCATGATCTCAGCTCACTGAAATCTCTGCCTTGCGGGTTCAAGTGATTCTCCCGCCTCAGCCTTCCGAGTAGTTGGGATTACAGGCGCCTGCCACCACACCTGGCTAATTTTTGTATTTTTAGTAGAGATAGGGTTTTACCATGTTGGCCAGGCTGGTCTCGAACTCCTGACCTCAGGTGATCTGCCCGCCTTGGCCTCCCGAAGTGCTGGGACTACAGGCGTGAGCCACCGCACCCGGCCTCAATCCAGGATTTTCAAATGCCCCAGCCAGCAAGTGGCAGCTGAGAGGCCTCCAGCCGGGACACAGTGAGGTCCTGAGCTCTTCATGGTTCCTTTCTGCACAGGAAGCAGAAGTGCCGTGGGAAGGAGATCCCTCTGCTCCCCGCTGCGGCTGCGAAAATCACTTCCTTCCTCCCCAAAGACTCCAGCACCAAGAGGAGCTGAGCCGACCAGCAGGAGGGACCCCTCAGAATGACCCTCTGAGCTGGCTTCACTGAGGCAAAAAGGGTTCCAGGGTACTCAGGGGCCGATCCACCCTCTCTCTCAAACACCCTCACTATCAAAAAGGGCAGCCTCCATCCTAGGAGCAGCCGGGTTTACCTCTGGGGCCGTCTTGTGCCTCGCAGTGGCCCTGCAGCTGGGTGGTGCTGACCCCACCAGAGGCAGGCAGACCCACCTGGAGGCCATCTGCCCGCAGGCTGCCCGGGCTGGAAGCCTGGCCTGGCTTGTCTCCAGAATCCCCTCTCAGTTCCAGCTGCTTGTATTTTTGGCTCTTAAGCATTTGTTTGATGCCAGACACAGTTCTAAAGGCTTTTCTTGTACTTCAGCCCTCATAGAAACCTTGTATGGGAGGTGTTATGACTGCTCCTGCTTCGCAGATGAGGAAACTGGAGTTCAGAGAACACAAGCCACTTGCCCAAGGCCACACAGCGAAGACGCAGTGGAACAAGGGCTCCAGCTCCCGGGACCTGGCTTTAACCACTGCGCTCTCCTGCAATTCACCTGGTCCTTTAATCAGGGCAGATATTATACGCCTCAGCTGACATATTTAGTGAGGGAGAAAAACAGTGACTCACCTGCTTGAGGTCACAGAGGGGACCCGGGCTTTTCTACTGGACACATACCATGGTCCCCCTGCTATGCTCAGTTTCTGGGAGGCAGCAAGGAGCTAGTGCCAACTCCCCAACCCCGCCACACCAAAAGGAATCTTCAAGATCTGGAAGAAACAAAAAACAAAGGTGGCATGATTTTTTCTTTTTGTCTTTTTTTTTTTTTTTTTCTGAGATGGAGTCTCGCTCCGTCACCCAGGCTGGAGTGCAGTGGTGCGATCTTGGCTCACTGCAACCTCCTCCTCCCAGGTTCAAGTGATTCTCCTGTCTCAGCCTCCCAAGCAGCTGGGATTAAAGGCACCCACCACCACACCCGGCTATGTTTGTATTTTTTAGTAGAGACGGGGTTTTACCATGTTGGCCAGGCTGGTCTCGAACTCCTGGCCTCAAGTGATCTGCCCGCCTCGGTCTCCCAAAGTGCTGGGATTACAGGTGTGACCTACCATACCCGGCCACAATTTTCAACATTTATTCCACGTCCACCATGTGCCAAGGTTCTGGGAGGCTCGGGCCCTTGACACAACCATGTCCCTGAAAGAGACGAGCACAGAACCAGGAGGCCCTCAGACAACAGACGCCAGAGCCACCAAGTCCCCCACTAACGGTGCCACCCACTTCCCCTCCTGGCCACGCAGGACGGCCCCAGGGTTGGCCTGTGCTGATGGTGCCACCTGGTGGTAGACATGGGAACGCCCTCACCTGAGATTTCCTCTCCGTGACCCTTCTTCCCCCTCTAGGGGTCCTGGGCTGCCCTGAGGCCACCGCCTAGCAAGATCAAGATAGGGCTTGAGCGGCAGTGGGATAGGGCAGTGGGGGTTCCGGGGGGGTCCGGTGCAGGCAGAACCAAGAGTGTGCCGGCGGAGGGCTGTCGGTACAGGGTGCAGGGCGTGGCGGCTGCAGGACCTCAGCTTGCCTCTTTAAATCCCTTCCTGGGCACCGCGGTGGCCCGGCCCTTTCCCCTCGTGCTGTTTCTGCTGGAAACGCCGCACAGTCTCCTCGGGGGCAGCCGCCAGCGGAAACGGTTATTGGCCGCCAGGCAAGCCAGTCCCATCCTTCCCAGCAACTGGGACTTTCCGGGCAGGGCTCCCCAGCGCGGGTTCAGCTAATTAAGGAAGCAATTAGCCTCCCCTGAGGCTATTCATGCTTCCTCACCCACAGTTCTCAGGTTCTGTGAGACCAGAGCCTCAGTCTCCCGTGAGCAGAGGGTGTGTGTGTGGCTGCCACTATTCTGCAGACACGCTGGCTCCACCCCAGAGAGTTGCAGGGCCAGGAAATCTGCATTTAAACAGACCCTGGCTCTCACACTTCGGAAACTGCCCGAAGCACCTCTCAAATATGGGACAGGTTTGATACTCCCTCCCCCTCTCCGTTCCCCCGCTTCTCCCTTCTTCGCCCTCCTTCCCACTTCCTCCCTCCTCCCCGCCCCTTCTGCCCCCCACCTGCCCTCCCTCCCTCCCTTCCATCCTTCCTCCTCCTCCCGGCAACCTTTCTCCCTTCCCCACTCCCTCCCCTCTCCCTCCTCCTTGTAGGGACAGCGCCGCGTCCTGGGAAGGGCAGGGGCTCTGGCGTGAGCTCAGTTTGCATCCCAGCCTTGTCTCCTCAGGCGTTGAAGTGGGGGGCAGTTTCTGCATCCACAAAATGGGGATGAAATACCCACTTTGTCAGGGTTTAGTGAAGAACAATGGAAGTAAACGAAGTGAGAGCACTCTGCAAACAGTGAGATGTTGATAGAAAAGTAGTTTTAGGCCAGGCGAGGTGGCTCACGCCTGTAATCCCAGCACTTTGGGAGGCTGTGGCGGGTGGATCACCTGAGGTCAGGAGTTTGAGACCAGCCTGACCAACATGGAGAAACACCGTCTCCACTAAAAATACAAAATTAGCCGGGCATGGTGGCGCACGCCTGTAATCCTAGCTACTCGGGAGGCTGAGGCAGGAGAATCGCTTGAACCCGGGAGGTGGAGGTTGCAGTGAGCCGAGATTGCGCCATTGCACTCCAGACTGGGCAGCAAGAGCAAAACTCTGTCTCACAAAAAAAAAAAAAAAAAAAAAGAAGCTTCCAGGAGTAGACAGGAGGGCTCGCAGGAGGGACTGGGGTGTTCCTTCCAGGCTGAGAGGCTGAGGCTGGAGAGAGACGCAGGGGAAGTGGAATGAGAAGGCCTCCCTCCTCCCCTAGGCCTCCTCTGATGAAAACTACCTTCTCTCTCCAGCATCCACAGTCAGATGCATAAAACCATTTATTTTTTCTGTTCAGAAATTACTGGTATTGCAACTAGTATTGATTTTTACTGTTTTCATTTCACATGTACAGATTTTCAGCTGCATTCAGAGTTCAGCAGCTTTCGGGCGGTTCCTGGAAGCCCGACGTCATTTATAATCCGGTTTCTGAGTGGGAACGGCTTTCTCTGGGAGACAGCTCCTTGGGAAGTTAGAGACTTCCTGCACTTATTGGACTCGAACATCCATTCTGTACAAAATGCCCCGCAACACTGAGGAGATGCTGTTTTGTTTTTGTTTGTTTGTTTGTTTTTTCGAGACGGAGTTTTACTCCTGTTGCCCAGACTGGAGTGCAATGGTGCGATCTTGGCTCACTGCAACCTCCGCCTCCCGGGTTCAAGTGATTCTCCTGCCTCAGCCTTCTGAGTAGCTGGGACTACAGGCAAGATGCTGTTTTAGGACCAGAAATCTCCCAGGGGTGTGCAGATCAACAGTAATCCCAGTCTGCCCTCCATCGTCGGAATAGAATCAGAGGGAGGGAAAATCCGCCTTTGGATCTCTGGACCATGATCTTTCCAGCAGGTCACAGGTGACCAAAGGCTTCACTTGCAGAAGCCCCCTCCCCAGGAAACTCCCCTGGGGCAAAACGAAAGTGTTTTGGGCGTTTTTGTCTGCCTGGCAGGGAGCCTGTGCCTGAGTCACTGTTTCTCTTGAGCTTCCCTTTTCTTTTCTTTCCTCCCGGTGTCTGCTGATTTTGTGTCAAACAAGGAGCATGGGGCCAGGCCATCTCTGAGCTGCCCGTGGGACGGGGACTTGGGCACTTGCCAGGAGCGGCTGGCCTAGGAGTGGGCGGGAGGCCCTTGGTCACCCACCCCAGGGCCTGGCTTCAGGTGGCCACAGCTTTCTGACCCCCTTCTGGGCACTGGGCCACCAGCTGCTGGGCATGGCCAGTGAGTGAGGGTGAGGGCAAGATGAGGAAGAGGTGGCGTAAGGTGGGAAAGGATTACTTGCCAGACGCTTGGCTGAGTCTGTTCTCTAAGCCATGCTGCGAGGCAGGTGCTATTGTGTCTGCATTTTGCGGATGAGGAAACTGTGGCTCAGAGAAGGGAAGTCACTGTTTTAAGGTGAAGTGGCCAGTGGAGGTGGGGCTAGGGTTCGAATCCTAGGATCAGGCACACTGCCTGGGGATAACCTCTAGAGGTGTCTGTGCTTCCCAGCTAGACCGGAGCTCGCTGCAGCCCCTCACTTTTTCCCCGGTCCTGCTTCAGGCCCCACTTCCTCTCTGCAGGTGCTTAGGCCGAAAATCAGGAATCTCTTGAATGAATGCATGAAGGTGGAGCCCTTTCCCTTAATGCGCAGGTGAAAAGGGCACCTCGGTGGATTCTACTAAATTTAATAGAAGGTAAGTAGGACCTGGGTCACACCGGCTTGTGGAAAGTGGAGGTCAGAATCTGAGAGGCTGCGTTTGGCACTAGGTGGGAAGGAGCTGGCTAGGGGGCAGAGGAAAGAGGGCAGGTGGCTTCGGATCCGGGGTCTCTCTTTCGTTCAACTCCGTGGGTGTTAAGGGAGCCCCATGGCGGCCTGGGCAAGCGCTGAGAGCACCTGGAAAGAGAACACCCCGCTGGACCCTCCTCTCCCCTCACTTCCAGTTGCACAGGCGAGGCCCAGCCACCTGGACGCAGGCCCAGAAGCCCAGGAGGCGGGCTAGGGGAAGGAGGGGTTTCCTGGGTCACCAGCCCCTCCCCACCGGGTCCCTGGTTCGCAGGAGGCCTCGAGGCTCGGTCCCCTGCCCGCCCCCTCTACTCTGTTTCCCCACTGCCCACAGCCTGGCCTGGTAAACAGCCCTTTCCCTGGGAATTTCTCCCCAGCATCTCCGGCAGGTGTGGATGGGGGTTTGTGGCCACCCAGCCTCCCCTTCTCCAGGCCAAGACATCCCTGGTCCTGTTTGTCCTCCCAACATGGCTTCCAGACCCTTCTCCGTGGGGGACCCCAGCCTGCATTTCCGGTTCAGATAGGGTCTGACCAGGATGGAGGTTGGAACTGTGGTCCCCTCACCATGGACACATGGCTCCTGGGAGACCCCTGGCTCCTTTCGGGTCCCCCATTTCCTTCCAGCTGGGGTCAGGGCCAGCCAGCTGCAGGATACCCTCTGCTGTGCCCCTTCTGGGCCCCAGGAGGCCCTTCCTTCCTCTTGGGATGAGGGCGCCGTCCCTACATGCTTGTCTTGTGGGTGCCTGGTGATGCTGAACCACCTGGGCCTCCCTCATGGCGAGGCCCTTCCTTCCTCGCAGGGACCCATTCGGGGTGGCCCTTAGGAAGGGAGCTGTTTTGGAAGACCCCTTGACTGCCCTTCTCCTCTGTCTCATCCTCATTCCAGGACCTTGCTCAGTGGCTGAGATTGTATACTCGTCATTTTGATTTAGAAAAAGACATGATCAGGTTCTGGGATCTATTCTCCCTAAGGATGTCTGGCCAGGGTAATAGCCCTGCACTGAGCAGAAGGCATGGAGACCACAGGGTGGGCCACAGAGCAGGAAAGATCGAGGGAAGGGGCAAAGAATGGCAGAGGTGAAGGAATCCAGAGTACTCCAGGTGCTGCACACACACCAGACCTCACAGCCCCCTGTGGAGCTCAGATTATTCCCTTATTTTTCTTTTTTTTTTTTTTTTTGAGATGGAGTTTCCCTCTTGTTGCCCAGGCTGGAGTGCAAAAGTGCAATCTCCGCTCACCACAACCTCTGCCTCCCAGGTTCAAGCTATTCTCCTGCCTCAGCCTCCCGAGTAGCTGGGATTACAGGCATGTGCCACCACGCCCAGCTAATTTCGTATTTTTAGTAGAGACAGGGTTTCTCCATGTTAGTCAGGCAGGTTATCCCCATTTTATAGGGAAAGAACTTGAGTCTGCAAGAAGCAAGTCACCCAGGATTCTCAGGGCGAGGAGGAGGCTGAACCAGGATTTGGACCCAGATATCTCTGGCTCTCAAGCCTCCTCTTTTCTATAAACCACCTGTTTACAGCACAGAGGGAGCTGGTCATTGGGGCCGAGCTGGGTTTATGGTATCTGAAGCTTACACAATTTCAAGAGGACTCTCATTTAAAAAAAAAAACAAACACAATTACAAAACCAAAATTAGGCATAACAGTGAATTTTATTTATTTATTTATTTTATTTTTAATTTTTTTTTTTGAGGCGGAGTCTCGCTCTGTCACCCGGGCTGGAATGCAGTGGCGCCATCTCGGCTCACTGCAAGCTCCGCCTCCTGGGTTCAGGCCATTCTCCTGCCTCAGCCTCCCGAGTAACTGGGATTACAGGTGCCCACACCATGCCCGGCTAACTTTTGTATTTTTAGTAGAGACAGGGTTTCACCACATTGGCCAGACTGGTCTCGAACTCCTGACCTCAGGTGATCTGCCTGCCTCGGCTTCCCAAAGGGCTGGTATCACAGGCTTGAGCCACCACACCTGGCTTCCCTATGTTTTTCTATATCCTGATCGCTTCCTTGTACAACAAGGATTTTGCAATGCCATATTCTATAGAGAAAACAAACTTCAATCAAATTTCTTTGATATGGTAGCAGGAAGAGTTCAGGGCATGGCTGTGTCAAGTTTTCTCATGTGGGACCTGACCTTACATGCTCCTTGGATGGGCCACACTGGTGACCACGCGAGGCTTTGATGCTCTCATCACAGGGACCTGTTCTGAGTTTTATGTTGTCTTTGTTGGTTTCAACATTTTATGCCAAATCAGCAAGAAATTTAAATCTTTTTTCATCATGATCATTGTATTCATTCTCCTTCATTCATTGGTGAGCCTGTTCCTGGAAGCCATCTGTACCCTCGGACAGCCAGCAACGACTGAGCTACACATGGATAGAACCATGAACCACAAGAAATACCCCTGAATTCTGAACTATTTCCATATCAACTTCTCCCAAAATACCCACAGCCAGTCCAACACCATCCAACTGGATGGGAGCAGGGAAGGCGGGGAATCAGAGTGGAAAGAGACTTAGCTGAGTTATTTTTATTATTTTTAAAAGCCTTATTCATAGACATATGTGTATATTTAGAGACAG
Organism: Homo sapiens; assembly: GCF_000001405.40. Classification (NCBI taxonomy): domain Eukaryota; kingdom Metazoa; phylum Chordata; class Mammalia; order Primates; family Hominidae; genus Homo; species Homo sapiens. The sequence continues at coordinate 42,443,279 of NC_000022.11, forward strand.
AGTCTATCACTACGTTGCCCAGGTTTGATTCTTTTTTTAGAGACAGGTCTGGAGTACAGTGGTGCAATCTTTGCTCATCACAGCCTTGAACTCCAGGGCTCAAGCCATCCTCCCACCTCAGCCTCCTGAGTAGCTGGGACTACAAGCATGTGCTGTGCCACCAAGCTGGCTTGGTGTGACTAACTGATGTCTCACCTTTGCAAACTTTACAGAAACATATGACATAGGAACACATTGCAATTACATATTGCAATTCAGCAGAAAAAAAAAAAAGAAAGACTTTCTTTTTACTGAATGGCACTGACTTACCAGGTACATACAAGCAAGTGGAGTCTGGGGACCACTTTTTGGCTGTTCTAGAGAAAGTGCCCCAAAGAGGATTCAGCAGCCAGACTCCTGTTAGTTTTCTCATCTCACTCAGAAGGCTCAGCCTCTGAAACAACCATTCCAGGACTTGGAGGCAGGGGATCTGGGTTAAAGGCCCAGCTCTGCCGTTTCCTAACTGTGGGGCCTTGGCAAGTGCAGGTCCTGTGAGCTTCACCAGCCTCATTAGCAAGAATAGTTCATGTTCCCCTGCCACGGAAGTGCCCTGTGAACTAGAAGAGAGCATGGGCAAGTATGGGGTTAGTCTCGCTAACAGATCAGCCAGCTTCTGTCTGGGCAATTCTGTCATTTAGGGTTTTGCTGGGGTGGCCCCGGGAGTCGTTTGGGAGTTCACCTATCTCCCCAGGCATGGAGAAGGGGTGGTGTTTCTGAATCAGGATTCTGAGCTGAACTGCAAACCTGACTGTGCTCCAAGTTTCTTGGACCAGCAAGCCCAGCTCCCAGAGTCCCGCTGCCCTGGCCTGAACCCGCCGCTCCACACCCCGGGCTCTCGGCAGCCGGGCGGCTCGTGGGAGGAGGCGCCATGAGCCTTCTTGCATTTCCTGCTTCAGACTTGATGGATTACAGAGGACTCCTGCTCCAGCTGTGGGGAACTCCAGCCCGCACTTTGCCTCCAGCCCGATGGTGCAAGATCCAGCTTCTCTTCAGCCTGGCATCAAACGTCTTTTTGATCAGCTTTTCATCCATTTTCTGAAAATGTAGTGATTGAGAGATGTTCTGAATCTTGCAGAATTCTGTGTCGCACCCTGGCCACACATCAATGCAGGCCTGAACCTGACCCTGGGTGGACTCCCTGCTCTCTGCCAGCCCCTTTCTCACCCCTGGGTCCCCACGGCCCCTGGCTCTCTCCCCTCTGCTAGAATCTCGCTGAGGGATTGGTGGGGAGGGGGTGGTCACGCACTGGGTGGAGATCTGGTGCCCCCTGGAGGCCGGACAGGAAGGGCCAGGGCGGACAAGGTCTTTGAGAACTCGGTGGCATCCCGCTCCTGATGGCCTGGGTCCCACCGCCCCTCCCCCAGCCTTCCTGACAGCAGAGGAGATTGATGGGGCGCTGCTCGAATGTTCTTCATCAGCGTCTTCAGTAATAAGCTTCTCCATTGGGTAACCGATCCTAGTTTAGCAAAACCGTTTGTCAACCATTTCCTCCCTTGAGCTTGATAAGAACCCCGTGGGAGAGGAGAGAGGGGGGCCCCCCAGGATCTGAAAAGCTGTGCCTCAGCCAAGTTCATGAGTCACTGGCGAGGAGGCCTGTAGGTCAGCAAAGCCTAGGAGGTCAAGAGTGCCCACATGGGGACCTACGGGCCTCAGGGCCGCAGGTTGCTGGGTTGGACCCTGGCTTGGAGCTCAGGATAGAAACCCGGAAACCCCACAGGCAAAGAAGGATGCAGAACAGAACAGGGCAGAACCAAGGACCCAGTGAGGGTGGCTGGCGTCAGAGCAAATATCAGAGTTCACAAGGTGAAATAATCCAAAAATCTATACAGAAAAAGCTAATCATTTTCTCCAATCTCTCCCCCAAAGGTGTCTACTCCTGCAGGCTTACCTGTAACCTTTGTCACTCACTCTTCTGATTCTGCAAACATATAAACCACGGAGCCACAGCCAAGAGAATCTGGACTTGTTCGTTTTTCCTGAAATAGGATATCTTAAATAATCCGTGGCTCAGCACTGCGCCCTTTTTTTTCTTTTCTTTTCTTTTTTTTTTTTTTTTTGAGACGGAGTCTCGCTCTGTTGCCCAGGCTGGAGTGCAATGTCATGATCTTGGCTCACTGCAACCTCTGCCTCCTGGGTTCAAGCAACTCTCCTGCCTCAGCCTCCTGAGGAGCTGGGACTGCAGGTGCAAGACACCACGCCTGGCTAATTTTTGTTATTTTTAGTAGAGACAGTGTTTCACTATGTTGGCCAGGCTGGTCTCGAACTCCTGACCTCAAATGATCTGCCTGCCTCGGCCTCCCAAAGTGCTGGGATTACAGGCACAAGCCACAGCACCCAGCCTCACTGTGCCCTTTTCACTGGCAGGCATTTTATTGTCCCTACAGACCCAAGACGGGGTGGGGGAGACGTGCTTTGTGCTCACCTGGCTGGTTCATGGGCAGGTGGCCTGGAGGACCCAGCCCTGGCAGCTGTGGGGTAGCTCCAGCCTGGGCCGGACAGGTAAGCGGAATCAAGAGATGGGGCCAGTTGCGGCTACAGGGCCAGGAGGGGCTGCAGCTCCTGGTCAGGGTCTTCAGAAAAGCAGGGTTCTGCTGGCTGGCCTGCAGTGGAAAGAAGACAGAGGGACAGGGAACTGGGGGTAGGGACAACCCTGCTCAACTAAGTGACCTTGAGAGGACAGGAGTCCCCACAGGAAAATCAGGAGACTGTTCCTCTGGCTGGGGTGGGCTGTGGGGAGGATGCTGGGCCAGCAGAGCCTGACAGAGCCACCCCAGTCATAAAAGGATATGTTTTTGTCAAGACTTTTCTAAACCCATAATCACCTCCCTCCTATGTCTTGGGTCAGCTTCTTTCATCGCAGGCACCACTGCGGACATTGCTGGGAGGAAGAGGAGGGAGAAGCGACGGGCTTCATTAGGAACGGTGAGTTTGTGACTCTGCCGCTAAGTGGCAGCTCCAGCTCACCCCCCCAGCTCCCTCCCACAGGCCACGGCTGGGCATGGAGAACTGGTGACTTCAGAGGCCCGGACAGAGGAGACGGGGGAGAGCGAGGGGCCGCCGTGCCTGAGGTCTGGGGGTGACAGCAGGGGATGGCCAAGGAGTGCAGGGCCAGCTTGCCCTGCCCTCTCTAAGAGAGTCTTACTGAATGTAGGGGTTGAATTGTGCTCCCCAAGAGATATGTTCATGTATTAACCTCTCCCTCCCCCCGACTCTTCCATTCCTGTGACTGTGAGCTGAATTTGGAAACAGGGTCTTTTCAGATGTAATCAGGTCCTTTCAACTCACGATAAAATAATCTTGGATTTAGGCTGGGCCCTATGTCCAACAGCTGGTGTCCTTATAAGAAGGAGAGGAGACGGCTAGGCGCGGTGGCTCACGCCTGTAATCCCAGCACTCTGGGAGGCTGAGGTGGGCAGATCATGAGGTCAGGAGATCGAGACCATCCTGGCTAACACGGTGAAAACCCGTCTCTACTAAAAATACAAAAAAATTAGCCCGGCATGGTGGCAGGCGCCTGTAGTCCCAGCTAGTCGGGAGGCTGAGGCAGGAAAATGATGTGAACCTGGGAGGCGGAGCTTGCAGTGAGCTGAGATCGTGCCACTACACTCCAGCCTGGGTGACAGAGCGAGACTCTGTCTCAAAAAAAAAAGAAAAAAAAAAAAAAAAGAAGAAGAAGAAGAAGCAGAGGAGACACAGAGGAAAGAGGGCCATAGGAAGATGGAGGCAGAGATGGCAGTGGTGAGGCTACAAGCCAAGGGATGCCTGTGGCCACTGGACGCCGGAAGAAGAGAGGGAGGATTCTTCCCTAGAACCTTCAGAGGGAGCACAGCCCTGCCAACACCTTGGTGTTGGACTTCTCGCCTCCAGAACTGGGAGGAAATCAATTTCTGTTGCCTTAAGCCACCCAGTTTATGTTATTTTGTTACAGCAGCCTGGGAAAAGGAATATACTGAATAAGAACCCAAGTGAGCTTATTAGAAAGAATATTGAGGCCTGGCGCAGTGGCTCACATCTGTAATCTCAGCACTTTGGGAGGCTGAGGCGGGTGGATTGTCTCAGTCCAGGAGTTCGAGACCAGCCTGGGCAACAAAAATACAAAAATTGGCCGGGTGTGGTGATGCACACCTGTAATCCCAGCTACTCGGGAGGCTGAGGCAAGAGAATCCCTTGAACCTGGGAGGTGGAGGTGGCAGTGAGCCGAGATCATGCCATTGCACTCCAGCCTGGGCGACAGAGCAAGACTCTGTCTCAAAAAAAAAGAATGTTGAACCTCCTCAAGAGGAGGTAAGTGATTTTAAACACTCTGAAGCCACACAGGGACAAGCCTTTTACAAGCCAAGAGGAGAAGGAGGAAAAATTGAAGTCACTTTTTTTTTTTTGAGACATAGTCTCACTCTTGTCGCACAGGCTGGCGTGCACTGGCGCAATCTCGGCTCACTGCAGCCACCACCTCTGAGGTTCAAGCGATTCTCCTGCCTCAGCCTCCTGAGTAGCTGGGATTACAGGCGCCCACGACGGCACCCAGCTAATTTTTGTATTTTTAGTAGAGATGGGGTTTCACCGTCTTGGCCAGGCTGGTCTCGAACTCCTGACCTCAGGTGATCCACCTGCCTCAGCCTCCCAAAGTGCTGGTATTACAGGCATAAGCCACTGTGCCCGGCCTTGATTTTTCTTTTTTAATGGTTAAAAAATACCTTCAAATGTACACACAGTAAAATTCACTTCTTTTGGTATATAGTTCAAATGCATAGAGTCCTATCACCATGACCGCAGTCAAGATAGGGAACATCCCGTCACTCCCAGAACTCCTGTGCTGCCGCTGGCAACCACTGCTCTGTTCTCCCGTTGCTTTTCCAGCAACGGGAGTCCTGAAAGTGGAATCGTGCGAGTCCAGGTTCTTTCGCTGAGCATCGTGATTTGAGGTTCACCCACATTGTTGTATGGTTCCTTTTCATTGCTGAGAAGTGTTCCACTGTCTGGATGGACTGTGGTCTATTTATCTATTCACCAAGTAAAGGATGTGGGCGATTTCCAGGTTTCGACGATTATGAATAAGCTGCTGTAACATTCACGCACAGGTGTTTGTATGAATGGAAGTTTTCACTTCTCTTGGGTGAATACCTGGGAGTGGGGTTTCTGGGTCCCGATCGGGTTTCTAGTGGTCTGTAAGTCAGACTTGCTAAGAGTTTTCGTTGGGGAGACGCACACAGGCAAGGTCAGCTCTCAGGGTCCTTTCTGCAATGCGGGGATGTCGAGGTCACCTGACAGAGGGGCAAATGCCAGCTGGTCGCCCAACCTGCTCTTGTCCATTCCTTTTCCCTCAGAAGCTAATAGAGGAAAGTAAACCTGTTGTTTCACTCTCATTTCCTTTTATTTTCATTAATATTAGGAAATGCCAAGATTAGTGAAAGAATGAAAAGAGTCAAAACAGCCTAGAAAAGGCTTCAATGATCCTCAAACTGGATGATCGAATCCCGAATAATTGGGAATCAACAGTAAAGGCCAAAGTAAGACTTCTAAAAAGTCCTCTTTTTTTTTTTTTTGAAGAGATGGGGTCTCACTACGTTGCCCAGGCTAGTCTCAAACTTCCAGGCTCGCCCAGTCCTCCTACCTTGGCCTCCTAAAGTGCTGAGATTACAGGTGTGAGCCACTCAACCCAGCCCAAAATCCCTATTATATCCTATTTTTTTGCTTTGCATGAAACATTTTATTTACTTCCATCCCACCCTGAACATAACAGCAGAGGGAATTTCTTTCTTTCTTTTTTTTTTTTTTTTTTTTGAGATGGAGTCTTGCTCTGTCACCCAGGCTGGAGTGCAGTGGCGCGATCTTGGCTCACTGCAAGCTCCACCTCCTGGGTTCACACCATTCTCCTGCCTCAGCCTCCCGAGTAGCTGGGACTACAGGCATGCGCCACCATGCCTGGCTAATTTTTTTGTATTTTTAGTAGAGACGGGGTTTCACCATGTTAGCCAGGATGGTCTTGATCTCCTGACCTCCGTGATTCGCCCGCCTTGGCCTCCCAACATGCTGGGATTACAGGTGTGAGCCACCGCGCCCAGCCCAGCAGAGGGAATTTCTAAAGGCAAAGACTGTTCCTGAATTAGGCGAAGGCATGGCAGCTTCACCTCTTACTGCCTGGGGTCAGGCAATTCTCTGCAGAGCAATTCTCAAGGAGGTGTCTTAGCTTGACTTGCCCCAGAATTGCTGCTGGGGAGTCCCAGCTGCCCCATCTAATTACCCTGAGCCCTTCTACCTAAATGCAGCCCTGGCCCAGCTCAGGCTGAGAAGTCCCAGGATCTGCAGTCACCAAGCAGAAGAAAACCAGAAGAGCCAACAGTGTCATTGCAGGCTAAGTCCAAGTTCAAAGAGAGGAGAAGACCAGTGTCCCAGCTCAGCTCACAGTCAGGCAGACAGAGCGAATTCTATCTCACCGTTTTTTTTTTTTTTTGAGATGGAGTCTCACTCTGTCACCCAGGCTGGAGTGCAGTGGTACAATCTCACTGCAACCTCCACCTCCCAGGTTCAAGCAATTCTCCCTGCCTCAACCTCCTGAGTAGCTGGGATTACAGGCGCACGCCACCACGCCCAGCTAATTTTTGTATTTTTAGTAGAGACGGGGTTTCACCATGTTGGCCAGGCTGGTCTTGAACTCCTGACCTCAGGTGATCCACCTGCCTTAGCCTCCCAAAGTGCTGGGATTACAGGAGTGAGCCACCGCACCCGGCATTATTTTTTTTTTTTTTTTGAGACAGGCTCTTGCCCTGTTGTCCAGGCTAGGGTGCAGCGGTGTGAACGTGGCTCACTGTAGCCTCGATTTCCTGGGCTCAAATGATCCTCTTGCCTCAGCCTTCTGAGTAGCGGGGACTACAAGTGTGCCACACCTGGCTAATTTTTTAAAAATTTTTTTGTAGAGATGAGGTCTCGCCACGTTGCCCAGGCTGGTCTCGAACTTCTGGGTTTAAGCGATCCTCCTGCCTCCTGCGTAGTCGGGACTACTGGCATGCGTCACCACACTCGGCTTACTCTGTCTTTTGTTCTCTTCAGGCTTTCGATGGATTGGACGAGGCGCGTCCACCCTGGGGAGGGCCATCATTTTATTCAGTCTACTGATGCAAATGCTTATCTCTTCTGGAAACACCTTCACAGACAGACCCAGAATATAGTTGAACCAAATACTGGGCACCTCATGGCTCCAACAGGTTGACACAAAAAATGAACCATTGCAGAAAACGAAGAACAGTCACCAACTCCCACCCATGCAGCTGGCTCATTTGCTGGGCTGCCCTCCCCAGCAGGTGGCACAGGAATCCCTGCCTTGGCAGGGAGGAGGCCTGGGGTGTGTGCAGGTACCCATGGGAAGTTTCTTTGCCATGGGGAAAGCCAGAGTCACCCCTTGCTTGAACACAAGAGTTGGAGGTTTCAGTGAGCTGAGATTACGCTATTGCACTCCAGCCTGGGCGGCAGAGTGAGACTCTGTCTCTAGATAAATAAATTAAATAAATAAATAAATATAATTTAATATAAATAACTAGAAATTTTTCAATACTTGCATCTCTGTAGGTTACCTCTGGAAGTGCAGGGCTTTGTCTTTTTGGATTAACTCAGAAATTAGACCTTCAGAAAACAACATCAGCTCTGATTCTCTGCACCCTTGATGCTGCCGGTGGCGACTGCGGCTTCCTGATGGAAATGTAGACCTGAACATAAGTCGCAGAAAAATGCAGACTTGAGTTGGAGCTAAGCTGACTCAGGTATTTTGAGATCTATAATCTGAGTGGGGAGCAGAGAGATTCCAAGATATTTGCATTCAGTGGCTTTTGCACACAGCAGAACCTGTGCTGAGGGCATTTCTAGGGTCATTACTCATAATCTGCAGTGTCTCTTTCCAGGGTTCCAGGCGTCTTACCCCAGAGGTGATTTCCAGATTTCGAGAAAAACCCAGGATTTAGGGCTGGCACGGTGGCTCACGCCTGTAATCCCAGCATTTTGGGAGGCCGAGGCAGGTGGATCACTTGAGGTCAGGAGTTTGAGACCAGCCTGGCCAACATGATGAAACCCTGTCTCTACTAAAAATACAAAAAAATTAGCCGGGTGTGGTGGCATGCACCTGTAATCCCAGCTACTCAGGAGGCTGAGGCAGGAGAATCACTTGAACCTGGGAGGCAGAGGTTGCAGTGAGCCTAGATCGTGCCATTGCACTCCAGCCTGGGCAACAAGAGCAAAACTCCATCTCAAAAAAACAAACAAACAAACAAACAAAACGCAAGATTTAGATCCCCTCACTGTAGCGCCCTCATGGCCTGGTAACTTTAGCAAAGCCTCCCCCTCCTCCCCCTCCTCCTCCTCCTCCTCCTCCTCCCTCCTCCCTCTTCTAGGTACAGAGGATGAGCAGTGGCTCCCCACACCATCCCCTGAAGCAGAGGCCCCTCTTCCCTTCATTCCCCATTCTGTACAGATGCTATGGGAGCTTCAGGCTCCACACTCAGGTCCCCAGTCCCTGAAACATAAAGCTGAATAAGACAGAGTCCCTGGGCTGAAGGGGCCACTGTTGGCCATGGAAGCAGAGTAAACAGAGTGGGGCCGACGTAAAGGTGAGCTGGGGTGCACTGGAGGCACAAAACGGGCAAGGATGGAGACGTGGGTGACGAGGTAGGGCAGACAGGCAGAGCTCAGACTGGGTCCTAGGCAGGGAGAAGTCACCATTGTAGAGCAAGGACGATGTGGTCAGATCTGGGCTTTAGAAATCTAGGTGTCTAGCCTAGGCAATATAATGAGACCTCGTCTCCACAAAAAACTTAAAAAATTAGCCGAGTGTGATGCCACATGTCTGTAGCCGCAGCTACTCAGAAAGCTGAGGATCCCAAGTGGAAGGATAACTCTAGCTCGGGAGGTCGAGGCTGCAGTGAGCCATGATCGTGCCATTGCACTCCAGCCTGGGCAACAGAGCGAGACCCTGTCTCAAGAAAAAAAAAAAAAAAGTAAAAGAAAAAGAAAGAAGAAATACAGCTCTGGAGCTGCCTAGGACAGGGTTGGGGACTCTCCTGACTAGCTGCCAGCGAATGTTTGCTTTCTGTGGCCAGGCCCTGCCTGGCCAGGGTGCACAGGGCTGAGCGAGGCAGATGGAGCCCCTGCTCTCAGACTGCTTTTCCGAATGCCATCTTGACGCTGCTCAAGTTTGGATTTTGGTTTTCATGGAAGTCAACTATGGTTCTGACATGGCCACCTCTGTCTCAACTGATGCACGGCCTAGGGAATCCGGTGATGCTTCAGCAGGTGGCAGGGCTCAGCTGCACCCGCCCGGGCCCCAGCGCCGCCTGCCACTCCTCCTCCTCCTCCCAGGCTTCGGCTGAGAGCAGGGCCTGGAGCCAGCCTGCTGGGTGGACTCCCAGCTCCACAGTTGGCTAGCTCTGGGGCCCTGGGGAGATGTCCACCCTCTCTGTGCTTTAATTTCTTCACCTGTGAGGTGGGGATGGTAGCACCTCCCTCATGGGGTGGCTATGGCTGTGAAATGAGGTAACGTCTCGGTGTTAGGCAGCTTCCAAAACGGCTCTCCAAGATCCCCTGCCTCCTGGCCTTCATAGCCTTGTGGAACCCCTGGCCCTGTGTGTGGGCTGGACTCACTGCCTGCTTCCACCCAAGAGAACAGGGCACAGCTGATGGGGGTTACTTCTGAGACTAGGTGATCAAGACTGGGGCTTGCTGGGTCCCTCTGTCTCTGACTCTTTCCTCTGCTCTCTCCTGCTCACTTGCTCACCCTAATACTATATCAAGAGCTGCCCTAGAAAGAGGCCCCGTGGCAAAGAACCAAAGGCACCCAGCAACACGAGTGAGGGTGGAAGTGGCTCTTTCCCCATTCCAGCCTCGCGGTGACCGCAGCCCTGGCTGACACCTTGCTTGCAGCCTGGTGAGAGACAGCAGCCCGAGGACCCTGCTAAGCTGCACCCAGGCTCCTGACCCATGGAAACTGTGAGATGATAAACATGTACTGCTTAAGCTGAGATTCGGGCTAATTTGTTACACAGTCATAGACATCGTTTTTTGTTGTTGTTGTTTTTTGAGATGGAGTCTCACTCTGTCGCCCAGGCTGGAGTGCAGTGGCACAATCTCAGCTCACTGCAACATCCACCTCCCAGGTTCAAGCGATTCTCGTGCCTCAGCCTCCCAAGTAGCTGGGATTACAGGCATCTGCCACCATGCCCGGCTAATTTTTTTGTATCTTTAGGAGAGACAGGGTTTCACCATGTTGGCCAGCTGGTCTCAAACTCCTGAGCTCAAGAGATCTGCCCACCTTGGCCTCCCAAAGTGCTGGGATTACAGGCATGAGCCACTGTGCCCGGCCTGTTACACAGTCATAGACATCTATAAAATACTCAACACGGTGCCGGCGCATGGCAAGCATCAGTTACTGACCACGGTGACCCTTCTGTGTACACCAGGGGAACTCAAAATACTCAGGAAATCTAAGCATATAAGCCTAGTCACCAGGCTGTCGACATGACCCTTAACAATGAACCTGTGTCTTTTGCCACCTCATGATGTCATAGAAGAAGAGCAGCATCAATGTTAAGAGTCTGGAGGAGGGACTAGATGCTGTGGCTCACACCTGTAATCCCAGCACTTTGGGAGGCCGAGGCAGGTGGATCACCTGAGGTCAGGAGTTCGAGACCAGCCTGGCCAACATGGTGAAACTTTGTGTTTACTAAAAAATACAAAAAATTAGCCAGGCATAGTGGCATGCACCTGTAATCCCAGCTACTCTGGAGGCTGAGGCAGGAGAATCTCTTGAACCTAAAATCTAAAAAATAAGACCACGCCAAGGAAAAAAATCAGTAACAGTATAGAGGGGATGGAAGCAGACCTCTTTAATACACCTTGTTCTTCAGTTTTGACTTTGCCATCATGTAAATGCTTTATTTAGTTCTAAATCAAATTTAAATTGAAAAAAAAAAATTCCCAGGCCAGGGCGGCGGCTCATGCCTGCGATCCCAGCACTTTGGGAGGCTGAGGTGGGCAGGTCAACTAAGCCCAAGAATTTGAGACCAGCCTGGGCAATATGACAAAACCCCATCTCTACAAAAAATACAAAATTAGCCAGATGTGGTGGTGCAGGTGCTTGGAGGCTGCTTGGGAGGCTGAGGTGGGAGGATGACCTGGGCCTGAGAGGTGGAGTTTGCAGTGAGTCGAGATTGCACCACTGCACTCCAGCCTGGGTGACAGAGTGAGGCCCTGTCTCAAAAAAGAAAAAAAAAAAAGTATTTCCTAGTTGATTTTTGTTCAACTTCAATTAATCATAATCTACCTTCTTTTTTTTGTTTTTGAGACAAGAGTCTCGCTCTGTTGCCCAGGATGGAGTGCAATGGTGTGAACTGCAACCTCTGTCTCCTGGGTTCAAGCAATTCACCTGCCTCAGCCTCTTGAGTAGTTGGGATTACAGGTGTCCACCACCACACCTGGCTAAATTTTGTACTTTTAGTAGAGATGGAGTTTCACCATGTTGGTCAGGCTGGTCTCAAACTCCTGACCTCATGATCCACCCACTTCGGGCTCCCAAAATGCTGGGATTACAGGCGTGAGCCACCGTGCCCTGCCAATCACAATCTACCTTTAAGTGATAATATGCTACCTTTTTTTTTTTTTTTTTAGACAGTCTCGCTCTGTCCCTCAGGCTGGAGTGCAGTGGCGCAATCTTGGCTCACTGCAAGCTCTGCCTCCCGGGTTCACGCCATTCTCCTGTCTCAGTCTCCCAAGTAGCTGGGACTACAGGTGCCTGCCACCATGCCCGGCTAATTTTTTGTATTTTTAGTAGAGACAGGGTTTCACCGTGTTCGCCAGGATGGTCTCTATCTCCTGACCTTGTGATCCGCCTGCCTCAGCCTCCCAAAGTGCTGGAATTACAGGCATGAGCCACCATGCCCAGCCAATATACTACTTAATATAAAGCATAAGAACATTGGCCAGGTGCGGTGGCTTATGCCTGTAATCCCAGCACTTTGGGAGGCTGAGGAGGGTAGATTGCTTGAGCCCACAAGTTTGAGACCAGTGACACCCCATCTCTACAAAAAAATGTAAAAAATTAGCTGGGTATGGTAGTACATGCCTGTAGTCTCAGCTACTTGGGATCGCTTGAGCCCAGGAAGTCAAGGCTGCAGTGAGCCATGATTGTGCCACTGCACTCCAACCTGGGCAACAGAGCAAGACCCTATCCCCACTCCCCACCCTCCCAAAAAAAAGAACCTAAAAGTAGTGTATTTCTGATTCTCCACATACACACTCCATCTATTTAAGAAACTACAATAAATACAATGAGTTCAGGCTGGATGCGGTGGCTCATGACTGTAATCCCAGCACCTTGGGAGGCAGAGGTTGGTGGATCGCTCCACTGTACTCCAGCCTGGGTGACAGAGCGAGACTCTGTCTCAAAATAAATAAATGAATAATAAAATAAAAAGTAAATGGTCTAGGCCTGGCCAACATGGTGAAACCCTATCTCTACAAAAAATACAATATTTAGCCGGGTGTGGTGGTGTGCACCTGTAGTCCCAGCTACTGCGGAGGCTGAGGCAGGAGGATCACTTGAGCCCAGGAAGTGAAGGCTGCAGTGAGCCACAATTGCGCACCACTACACTCCAGCCTGGGTGACAGAGTGAGACCCTTTCTAAAAAAAAAAAAAAAAGGAAAGAAAAGAAAATGTCCAAATTTAAAGGCAGAGATTGTCAGATTGGATTAAAAAAAGATTCAGTATCCTATTTATAAGAAACACACTTCAAATATAAAGACACAAATAGGTTAAAAGTAGAAGGATGGAAAAAGACATACCTACCATGCTATCACAAATCCAAAAAAAGCTAGCGTGGCTTATCAATATCAGACCAAGTAGATTGTATAGCAGAAGACATTACCAGGGATAAAGAGGTTAATTCAATAATGATTAAGGGGTCAGTTATTCCAGAGGACATAACAATTCTAAACGTTTATGTACCTAATAACAGAGCTTCAAAACACTTGAAGCAAAAACTTATAGAACAGCAAAGAGAAATGGAAAAGTTGACAATCATAGTTGAAGATGTCAATACCCTGCTTTCAATAATTGATAGAATTGATAGAATAGCTGGGTATAGCCGTGTATCACCTGTAGTCCCAGCTACTCAGGAGGCTGTGGCAGGAGAAGCACTTTAGCCCAGGACTTGAGTCTAGTCTGGACAACATAGTGAGATCCCACCTCTGAATAAATACATAGAAATTGATAGAATGAATAGACAGAAAACCAGCAAATATATAGAAGATTTGAACAACATTATCAACCAACTCGATCCAATGGACATTTATAAAACACTTTACCCAACAACAGCAGAATACACATTCCTCTCAAGTTCACACAGAATATTTACCAACATAGACAATATTCTGAGACATTAAACAAGTCTCAGTACATTTAAAGGGACTCAAGTCATTCAAAGTATGCTCTCTTACAATGGAATTAAATTAGAAATTGGTAACAGAAAGAGCTCTGAAAATGCCCAAATAACTTGAAAACGAAATAACACACTTCTAAATAATCCACGGGTCAAAAAAGAAGTCAAAAGAGAAGTCAGAAAGTATTTTGAACTGACTGAAAAGGAAAACCCAACATATCAAGTTGTGTGGTATTATTAGCTGTACGTTTCTTTGTAGATGCTATTTATCAGGTTGAAGAAGTTCTCTATTCTCAGTTTGCTGGGAATTTTTTTTTTTGTTTTTTGTTTTTTGAAACTGATTCTGGCTCTGTCACTCAGGCTGGAGTGCAGTGGCGTGATCTCGGCTCACTGCAAGCTCTGCCTCCTGGGTTCACACCATTCTCCTGCCTCAGCCTCCCGAATAGCTGGGACTACAGGCGCCCGCCACCACGCCCGGCTAATTTTTTGTATTTTTAGTAGAGACGGGGTTTCACTGTGTTAGCCAGGATTGTCTCGATTTCCTGACCTCGTGATCTGCCCGCCTCGGCCTCCCAAAGTGCTGGGATTACAGGCATGAGCCACCACGCCCGGCCATTTTTTTTTTTTTTAATTATGAATGGGTGTTGGATTTTTGTCAAAAGCTTTTCTTGCATCAATTGATATGATCCTATGATTTTCTTCTTTATCCTGTTGGTATGCTAAATTGCATTAATTTTTTTGTGTTTTTGTTTTATGAGACTGAGTCTCACTCTGTAGTCCAAGCTGAAGTGCAGTGGCATGCAGTGGTCAGCTCACTGCGACCTCCGCCTCCGGGGCTCGGGCTTAAGCTATTCTCGTGCCTCAGCCTCCCGAGAAGCTGGGACTACAGGCGCATGTCACATGCCACCATGCCCAGCTAATTGTTTGTATTTTAGTAGAGATGGGGTTTCACCATGTTGCCCAGAGTGGTCTCGAACTCCTGATCTCAGGCCATCCACCTGCCTCGGCCTCCCAAAATGCTGAGATTACAGGTGTGAGCCACTGTGCCCTGCCTAATTAATTTTTGAATATTGAGTCAGCTTTGCACACTGCCAATGCAATCAAGATGTAGTTATTCTTAGGCTGGGCATGGTGGCTCACACCTGTAATCCCAGGACTTTGGGAGGCCGAGGAAGGTGGATCACTGGAGGTCAGGAGTTCAAAACCAGCCTGGCCAACATGGTGAAACCCCGTCTCTACTAAAAATACAAAAAACTAATCAGGCATTGTGGCGTGTGTCTGCTACTCAGGAGGCTGAGGCAGAAGAATGGCTTGAACCCGGGAGGCGGGAGGTTGCAGTGAGCCAAGATCACGCCACTGCACTCCAGCCTGGGCAACAGAGCAAGACTCTGTCTCAAAAAAAAAAAAGTAGTAGTTATTCTTTCTCTACCCCCTCTCCCTTCCCACTGACTGAGGCAGGCAATGATGATGAAGCCTTAGGCAGAGGAGATGGAAGGTGATGTGCTCCGGAATCACTGTATGGGGGAAAACCCCCTCATCAACCACAAACACTCACACTGGTCAGTCATGTGAGTGAGAAACACATGTCTTTTGGGTTAAGACGTTAATATTTGGGGATTTATATTAGGGGATTTATTTATTACAACAGCTAGCGTTTCCTTGCTGTTAACCTCAAAAATCATCAGTGTATCTCGAAAGACACATTCTTCTTCTTCTTCTCTTTTTAATTGAGATGGAGTCTCGCTCTGTTGCCCAAGCTGGAGTGCAGTGATGCAATCTTGGCTCACTGCAACCTCTGCTGGCCAGGTTCAAGCAATTCTCCTGCCTCAGCGTCCAGAGTAGCTGGTATTACAGGTGCCCATCACCACGCCCAGCTAATTTTTGTATTTTTAGTAGAGACAGAGGTTCGCCATGTTGGCCAGGCTGGTCTCGAACTCCTGACCTCAGGTGATCCACCTGCCTTGGCCTCCCAAAGTGCTGGGATGACAGGTTGGAGCCTCTGCGCCCAGCCCAATTCTTGAGTATTAAATGCTTAACTGCCTTGTTATACCTCCTGTACTAAGAACACTAAAAATGTAGAGCATTTTAGACAAGAAACCTAATTAAAAAAAAAAAAAAAAAACCCAGTTCAAAAGCATTTGGGAGTGATTCAGAAAACCACAGCCCCGGAGCTATAGTCTCTGAAGATGCGGGGCCTGGACCTCTCTGCATTCCCCCATTGGTGTCTGCTGAAGACTAGCGTCTGCAGAAATCCCAGTCTGTACACAGGCTGAGACTATTCCTTTTCCCTACATCCTGGTGATGGGCACACACACACCTCAAGGGAGGCGTCGATGCTCTCAGGCACTGAACTTGTTCCCGTGTCTTTATGTTTCATGATCGTATATGAGAGAGGGAGCGTGGCCTGGAACTGTACACAAAATGTGACCGAAAACAGCCTCTCGCTGTTTCCAATTAAACAACCTGCTCGAGCCTTTGGTTTCTCTCCATCACTTCCTGTCTCAATCTCACTGACGTCTTCTTTTTTAGCAAAATGCATTTGTATTTCAAGCAGAAGATCAATGGTTACATTTTAAAACGCTAAATATCTTTTCTGCCAGGCCGAATGGGGGTGTTTCTCCCATCCTTCTCTGCACGTCTTCTCATCTTAAAGCGATGGAATTGAGTTCTGTGAAATCCGATCTGGTGTTTAAGCTCTGATTTATAACAAATTACCTATGTGGCACTCAAGAAAGAACTTGTATGTCAGATAACACTGGAGTTTGATTTCACCACCCTGCCCCCAAACCCGTTTATTCATTCATGGCGGGGAGAGATCCAGAGGGCCGGAGC